>NC_000013.11:19658106-20908106 GCF_000001405.40 Homo sapiens | reverse complement strand
TAGGATCTAAAGAGCACATGGGCCAGGTGTGGTGGCTCATGCCTGTAATCTTCACTTTAGAAGGCCAAAGCAGGAGGATTGCTTGAGGCCAGGAGTTCAAGATCAGTGTTGGCAACATAGCGAGACCCCATCTTTATTTAAAAAAAAGAACATATGGGCTGGGCGCGGTGGCTCATGCCTGTAATCCCAGCACTTTGGGAGGCTGAGGCAGGCGGATCACCTGAGGTCAGGAGTTCAAGACCAGCCTGATCAATATGATGAAACCCGGTCTCTACTAAAAATACAAAAATTAGCCAGGCATGGTGGTGGGCGCCTGTAATCCCAGCTACTTGGGAGGCTGAGACAGGAGAATCGCTTGAACCCGGGAGACAGAGGTTGCAGTGAGCCAAGATCACACCATTTTACTCCAGCCTGGGCAACAAGAGCGAAACTCCATCTCAACAAACAAACAAACAAACAAACAAGCAAAAGAGCATATGGCCAGGGCGCGGTGGCTCACACCTGTAATCCCAGCACTTTGGGAGGGCGAAGTGGACAGATCACGAGGTCAGGAGATCAAGATCATCCTGGCCAACATGGTGAAACTCCATCTCTAGTAAAATACAAAAAATTAGCCAGGTGTGGTGGTGCGCGCCTGTAGTCCCAGCTACTCAGGAGGCGGAGGCAGGGGAATCGCTTGAACCCGGGTGGCGGAGGTTGCAGTGAGCCGAGACCACACCACTGCACTCCAGCCTGGGTGGCAGAGTGAGACTCCGTATCAAAAAATAAATAAATAAATAAACAAAAATTAGCCAAACGCGGTGGTATGCACCTGTAGTCCCAGCTACTTGGGAGACTGAGACAGGAGAATCACTTGACCCTGGGAGGCAGAGGTTGCAGTGAGCCAAGATTGCGCCACTGCACTCCAGCCTGGCAACAGAGGGAGATTCCGTCTCAAAAAAAAAAAAAAAAAAAAAAGCGTATGACAAGGCTGCAATTACCCTCTCCACCTCTGCCCCAGGAGAGTGTTGTTATTGAATAATAAATCAAGGAATAACAAGAGTCAGGCATTGGAGGAAAGTTAACTGATAGGCAAATTCTAGGGTGTTTTCCAACATTGAGATCCTACAATTTCAGCTCTGCCCTGAAATTCATGGCTTCATTATGTGAGATGTCTATACCTCACTTCATAAAGTCTCAAAATTCAAAATACTGTTAATTTGAAAGGAAGCAAATTAATCCTCACATTTGATAAAAATATATCCCTTCCCTTTTATTTTTATTTTCATTTATTTATTTATTTTTTGAGATGGAGTCTCTGTCGCCCAGGCTGGAGTACAGTGGTGCGATCTCGGTTCACTGCAACCTCTGCCTTCTGGGTTCAAGTGATTCTCCTGTCTCAGCCTCCCGAGTAGCTGGGACTACAGGCGCCCGCCACCACGCCTGGCTAATTTTTTAGTAGAGACGGGGTTTCACCGTGTTAGCCAGGATGGTCTTGAACTCCCAAACTCAGGTGATCCACCCGCCTCGGCCTCCCAAAGTGCTGGGATTACAGGCGTGAGCCACTGTGCCTGGCCTTTTTTTTTTTTTTTTGAGATGTAGTCTCACTCCGTCACCCAGGCTGGAGTGCAGTGGTGCAATCTCAGCTCACTACAACCTCCGCCTCCCGGGTTCAAGCGATTCTCCTGCCTCAGCCTCCTGAGTAGCTGGGATTACAGGCACGCACCACCATGCCTGGCTAAATTTTGTACTTAATAGAGATGGAGTTTTACCGCATTGGCCAGGCTGGTCTTGAACTCCTGACCTCAAGTGATCCACCTGCCTTGGCCTCCGGAAGTTCTGGGATTACAGGCACGAGCCACTGCACCTGGCCTATTTTTTGTTTGTTTGTGTTTAGAGGCAGGGTCTCACTTTGTGGTCCGGGCTGGAGTGTAGTGGCACAATCACAGCTCACTACAGCCTCTATCTCCCTGGCTCAAGTGATCCTCCCACCTCAGCCTCCTGAGTCACTGGGACCATAGGCATGCACCACCACACTTGGCAAATTTTTTAATTTTTATTGTTTTGTAGAGATGGGGTCTCGCTATGTTGCCCAGGCTGGTCTTGAACTCCTGGGCTCAAGCAATCCTCCTGCCTTAGCCTCACAAAGTGCTGGGATTACAGGCGAGAGCCACCGCATCCAACACTTCTTTCTTTTCTTTCTTTTTTTTTTTTTGAGATGGAGTCTCTCTCTGTTGCCCAGGCTGCAGTGCAGTGGCACAATCTCAGCTCACTGCAACCTCTGGCTCCCAGGTTCAAGCGATTCCCCTGCCTCAGCCTCCTGAGTAGCTGAGATTACAGTCCTGTGCCACCTCGCCTGGCTAATTTTTAGTGGAGACAGGGTTTCACCATGTTGGCCAGGCTGGTCTTGAATGCCTGCCCTCAAGTGATCTGCCTGCCTTGGCCTCCCAAAGTGTTGGGATTACAGGCATGAGCCACTGCGCCTGGCCTTCTCTTTTTTTTTGAGATGGAGTTTCACTCTTGTTGCCCAGGCTGGAGTGCAGTGGCGCGATCTTGGCTCTCCGCAACCTCCGCCTCCTGGGTTCAAGTGATTCTCCTGCCTCAGCTTCCCGAGTAGCTGGGATTACAGGCATGTGCCACCACACCTGGCTAATTTTGTATTTTTTTTTTTTTTTTTAGTAGACATGGGGTTTCTCCATGTTGGTCAAGCTGGTCTCAAACTCCTGATCTCAGGTGATCCGCCCACCTGGGCCTCCCAAAGTGCTGGGATTACACACGTAAGCCACTGCACCTGGCCCTCTTTCTTAAAACACGTGTAGTTGCAAAGTTCTAATGTAATTGCACAAAATAAATACTTTGGAACCCAAGGCCCAATCTGAAGCATTATAAGCCTCAAACATTTACTGTCACAAACTGTTTATCTACATATTTGCACAATATCATTGATCTTTGGTAATTACTCTTTGCAGCAACTAGAATCATTTTGTAATTTTCTTGTAGATTGCTATACTTGGTCAAATATTTACTGAGTGCCTACTATATGTCAGGCCCTATGATAAACACTTAGTTACTAAAAAGGACCATTAACTGCATTTTGGCTCACTTTAAACTTCAGTAATAAAATAAAACTTACTTAGTTTCTCAAGCAATACAAACCTTGTTAATTCATTTTCTCTACTTCAAGTTGCAGAGACTTCAAGTACAAGAAACAACATATTTTCCAACGGAGCTAATAATGCAGTTCCGTGTGGCCGGGCACAGTGGCTCATGCCTGTAATCCCAGCATTTTGGGAGGCTGAGGCAGCGGATCGCCTAAGGTCAGGAGTTCAAGACCAGCCTGGCTAACATGGTGAAACCCCGTCTCTGCTAAAAATACAAAAATTAGCCAGGTGTAGTGGTGCACACCTGTAATCCCAGCTACTCTGGAGGCTGAAGCACGAGAATCGTTTGAACCCAGGAGGCAGAGGTTGCAGTGAGCTGAGATGGCACCATGGCACTCCAGCCTGGGTGACAGAGAGAGACTCCATAACACACACACACACACACACACACACACACACACACACACACACACACACAGACATTCTGTTGCAGTGACATAAAACCTCAACAGTATGGCTTTCTTATAACTAGGAATAAGAAACAGGAAGATTTCAACAAAAAATAAACTTAAAAATACTGAAACGAATTTGACTGTCTGTGTTGTTTCAGAAGGCTGAATAAGCACCAAAAAGAAGTTATAGGAATGTAGACCGTAGATGTCAGCTCAAAACGAAACAAACCCCTGATCCGAACAACCTAACAGCACTGGTTTGAATACTGAAACAGCTGTCAGGACCACTTGCGTGGAATGTCCTAGAGGCAACTGGAGCACCGGAGGGAAGGTTAATTACTTGATACTCTAATATGCCTTTCAACACGGATTCCACAAACACGACAATGCTGATTTTTGTCCTTTTTTTTTTTTTTCCTGAGACAGGATCAGCCTCTCACCCAGGCTGGAGTGCCGTGGTGTGATCTCGCCCCACTGCACTCTCGACCTCCTGGGCAATCCTTCCGCTTCAGCCTCCCGAGAAGCTCGGACCACAGGCGCAAGACACCACACCGGGCTTTTTTTTTTTTTTTTTTTGGTAGAGACAGGGTCTCACGATGTTGCCCAGGCTGGTCTCGAACTCCTGAGCTAAAATGAGGCCTGCCTTGGCCTCCCAAAGTGCTGGGATTACAGGCATGAGCCACAGCGCCTGGCCGACAAAGCTCATCTTACTGCATTTGAGAAGCCAGGTAGTCAAGGTCAGGCTTTCCTGTCCCTGCTTTCTCCCTCTCCTATGTGAGCCAGCCCTTAAAGAGTGAAAACGGCAAGAGCCAAAGACGGGTTTTCCTCCTAGGGTCTCCTAGCGACCCGCTGCCCAGATACATTTGGATGATTGTCCTGCAGAAGGCCAAAGCCCTCCATTATGAAAACGAAGCGTTCGGCCGGGGGCGGTGGCTCACGCCTGTAATCCCAGAACTTTGGGAGACCGAGGCGGGCGGATCACCTGAGGTCAGGAGTTCGAGACCAGCCTGGCCAACATGGTGAAACTTCGTCTCTACTAAAAGTACAAAAATTAGCCGGGCGTGGTGGCGGGCGCCTGTAATCCCAGATACTCAGGAGGCTGAGGCAGGGGAATCGCTTGAACCCGGGAGACGGAGGTTGCAGTGAGCCGAAATAGGGCCATTGCACTCCATCCTGGGCGATAGAGTGAGACCCTGTCTCCAAAAAAAAAAAAAAAGAAAGAAAGAAAACGAAGCGTTCTATCCTGGAATGTTCTCCCATGGCAAGAAGGAACAGAGAAGCAGGAGACAGAGATACTTTGAAAGGAGGTGCGCTCTGAGGAGGGGAAAGCGGGAAGAGCGATTCCAAGTTTAGGAAATCCTGCACGGCGCTGGAGCGTGGAAGGGCAAGGAGGAGCCAGGGGAGGCGGTGTGCAGGGCTGAGAACGGAGGGAGCGAACTGGCGTCGTGGATCTGCGGGTCCCCGGGCGGGCTGTACTAGGGTAGTGGGGAGAGGGCCGGGGGCACCGCGAGGCCGGGGCGCCGGACACCACGCATGCGCGGGGCTGGGAGCTTAGCGGGGCGCGCGGCTGCAGCAGTCTGGGCAGACCGCCTCGGCCTCGCCCGGTGCCGGCTGCGGCCGCCCCCGCCCCAGCGCGGCGGCCGGGCTCACACTAGTCCCCTCCCAGCCACCCGGAACCCGGCAGCCCGGCCAGACCCGCCGAGGCCGCGACGCCGGTGTCGACAGCGGCTGCGACGGCCCTGGGAGCGCGTGAGGCTCCGGGGTCGCGGCGGCGATTGGCCGGCCGCGGCGCCCGCTCCCAGAATGCAGCGCATGGCGCGTCATTGAAGAGAGACCATGATGGCGGCGGCGCTGGGGCCCCCAGAAGTGATCGCTCAGCTGGAGAACGCGGCTAAAGTTCTGATGGTGAGGACGCCGCGCCCCTCAGACCCCGGGATTCGCGGGCCCCCGGTCGGCCCTGCCACTCCAGGCCTTGCTGCTCGCTGGGCTGGCGACTGGCAAGGGCCTGCAGGGAGCCTGGAAGTGGAGGAGGAGGTGGCGGTGGCGTGGCGCAGGATTCTTCAGCCTACTTTCCTCCTGCCGTCGTCCCCTCCTTCCAGGAGCTGTCCCCTTCCCCTGGCTGCCCAGCACCCCAGTCGGGCGTGGGAATATAGTGGTGTAGCAAAGAGAATTTCTTCACCTTACACCCTGCCCCACAGACTGGGTCGCAGAGCAAGGCGCCGGGAAGGAGTTGGGGTTATCCCCGCAGGGCTTCGGTAGGGGAAATTTGTAGGGCTGTGTGAGCGCTCTTGGGGAGTTGGTGTCGGGAGGGATTGGATGGCACAGCCTGGGTGCTGTTAGCAACCCTTGTTTCCTGTGCATTCGCATCCTCTAGCGCTTCCCTGACATGCAGCCACCTCTGGAGTAATTGCAGCCGGCAGCACGTGGAAGGGCCGGGCCGGCTGGAGGGAGGGAGGGGAATCGTTGAGACCAAGGTCATTGGGGCAAAACTTGGTCTAGTGCTAAGCTCCTTAAAGCTCCCGCGATTTGGAGAACTGAGTCTATGCTACTCTTTGACTTCATGCTTACACTACAATAAGCAGTTTGATGAGATTGTTTACTAAGGGAATTTGAGAAGGCCGAGTCAAAGGATAAAAGTATTACATGCAAGGAGGAGAAGTAAGGATAAACTACGTTCAGTTAGTAAACAGTGTTTCTATTTGCTGGCTCAGCTTTGTTTTTGCAAATTATGACTTCGGTGTTTGTAGATGTTTTGGGAAGTTAGAGGTTCATTTGATACCTGGATTGATTCAGACTTTCTAAGAATTGGATACAGCCAGCTTTGTTACCTTTTTGGACTTTTTTCCTTTTGGTTTGGTGTTAGGGTGTTTGAGCATCACATTTGAGAATATTCGAACTAATTCTAGCGTAGTTTGTAGTTCTAATATTTTACACCAGATATTTTTGTTTCTTTAGAAATCGAGAAGTCTAATAAAAGCAGGATTTACTTGCTTCATTATGAATATTAACTTAATGTACGTTTTGTCACAAAACAGACTAGTGAAGGTTTTCACACTTTTGCAAATTAAGCAGAAGTAACTAGCTAGTATTCCCCTTAATAAAAGATTCTTAAAAATCCCTGACATAGAGCGTTTTGTAAAATTCCTGAAATTTTCCTAGGAGCTAGGGGCTCCGTTTTCATTGGATTCTGGAAGGAGTATGCCACCCAAAACACGGCTGTAGTTCTTACACTGATCAGGTAAAATCAGTGTCCTTCGTCACTGGCTTAATATAAACTAGTATTTGTGTTTTCCAATATCTTCCCTCTTCCCTGGCAAAGCTGCTTTTATCCCCTATAAGGAGTAGGTGAGAAGAATAGTAGTAAGTACCGTTTATTGAGTGCTAGATATTGGGCTTGATGCTTTACATACTTTACATATTTTATTAATTCTTGCAACAGCTTTGCTTTACAAGGTTGAGAAACTGTAAGTGGCCCGGGTTACACGATTACTAAATGGCTGAATTAGGTCTTGAACTCAGTTCTGTCTGGCTCTAAAGCTGTGTGTCTTTCCACTCTACCCCATCTGTCATATGTTGTATAAATAATTTGTCTAAATGCTTTTTATCTTTTCAGAGGAGAGTAGTATTGAAAAAAGTGTCATGTTATTAAAAACAGGAAATTACAGCCGGGTGCGGTGGCTCATTCCTGTAATCCCAGCACTTTGGGAGGCCGAGGTGGGCGGATCACTAAAGATTAGGAGCCCAAGACCAGGCTGGCCAACACGGTGAAGCCCCATCTCTACTAAAAATATAAAAATTAGCCGGGCGTGATGGCTGGCACCTTTAATCTCAGCTACTCTGGAGGCGAAGACAGGAGAATCGCTTGAACCAGGAGGCAGAGGTTGGAGTGAGCCGAGATCGTGCTGCTGCACTCCAGTCTGGGCGACAGAGTGAGACTTCATCTCAAAAAAAAAAAAAGGAAATGACTTTTTGGAAATTTCCACTTAAGTATTCAGAAATTTGTACCAAAGATGTGTAGAGTAGTTATTGTATTATTTCTTAATATGAAAGCTATATTCCAAATTATTAATAGCTACCATTTATTGAGTACATACTATGTTGGAGGCGCTGTGCCAAGCCCTTTACATATATTACTTTTTATCTCCAGTAACTCTGTGAGGTAGGTATTATTACTTTCATCTTCTTTTTTTTTTGACCAAGTCTCACTCTGTTGCCCAGGCTGGAGTGCAGTGGCACGATCTTGGCTCACTGCCACCTCCGCCTCCCGGGTTCAAGCGATTCTCCTGCCTCAGCCTCCCGAGTAGCTGGGACTACAGGTATGTACCACCACACCCAGCTAATTTTGTATTTTTAATAGAGACAGGGTTTCACCATGTTGGCCAGGCTGGTCTCGAACTCCTGACCTCGTGATCCACCTGCCTCGGCCTCCCAAAGTGCTTGGATTACAGGCGTGAGCCACTGCACCTGGCGTGTTACTTTCGTTTTCATTTTACAGGCTAAGGAAACTCCAACATGTAGATGCTAAGTAATCTACACAAATTTACATAGCAAGGGGTAGAGACTCAAACTCTGGTTTGTCTGTTACCAGTCTGTGGTTCTTAAGCTGTAGGATACTGGGACCAGAAAGGAGGTAAATTAATTCATCTTTGGCTAATTAAGGTTGTTAATGCTCCGTCAATTATTAAGCATTAAGCTACATATTTTAAACAGAGTGATCTTAGCATTTATCCATCTGTGGGTCTGAATATATCTTATGGAAAATTGCTGTATTTTAACTGTTAATATGCTTTGAGATTCAAAATGCAAATAGTGATGTATTTCATAATTATTTTTGCTTAATTTTTCATTAGGTAACTCATATAGTTGTTTTATGGAAATCAGCATAGAATTTTAGAACATAGAAGAATCTTAGATCTTTTGGTACAGAAGTCTTAGGGAGTCTAGGATGAATATCAAAAGGAAATTGTAACAAATTTTTTGGTGTAAATGTACATTTTTAGTAATAGGGTCTAGAGCTTTTATCACCGTCTCTGAGAGACTAGAAACTGAAAAATAAGAATCAAGTCTAAGCATTCTCCCTTCTATGCTACAGATGGGGAAACTGAGGTTCAAAGAGGTAGAAGTGACTTGCCCAAGGTAGGTCACAGAGCAAATTCATGATATAACTGATCCAGGCTGAGATCACCAGACTCCCCTTTCAAAACCTTTACTCTTTTTTTTTTTTTTTTACTTTTTTTACTCAACCATGTTGGTTCTTAGTCAACATATACTATAAATGTTACATTTTATTACTTGATGGAAAATGTCTAAATATGGTACATCTATATTCAATCAATTTAGATTATTGGATAAGCTGCCAGATAAAGTAGTACAGTTGTCCCTCGGTGTCCATGAGAGGTTAGTTCCAGGAACCGCCTCCACCCATGGACATCAACCGTGCATTGATACTTAAGTCCCCCCGATCCCCTCCCTTTCTTTTGAGACAGGGTCTCTGTTGTCCCAGCTGGAGTGTAGTGGCATGATCATGGCTCACTGCAGCCTTGAATGGGTAATTTTTTAAAAATATTTTTTTGTAGAGAGGATCTCACTGTGTTGCCCAGGCTGGTCTTGAGCTCAAGTGATACTCTTGCCTTGGCCTCCTAAAGTGCTGGAATTATAGGCGTAAGCTACTGTGCCCAGGTGAGTTTCTTACATGATATGGTATGGTAATTGTGTATGACCTATGCACATCCTCTTGTATACTAAAATGTAGGAGGTGTTTTGATTTTAGAGACAACATTATTGAAAAGTTTAGTGTTCTTATAGTATTGATGCCACATTCATTTGCAGTCCAAAGAGCGCTTTATTTATTGTCTTGAATTTGCTTGGTTTTGTTGCCCTGTCTTCATTAGGTTGTTTTGGATTGTCCTTAGTGATTGTGTGTAGCAATAATATAAGATAGTGCAGAGCACACATATTAACTGATACATTATAGAAAAGTAATTTTCATAGGTTTTTTTTTTCCTTTTTCTTTTGAGACAGTCTTACTCTTGCCCAGGCTGGAGTGCAATGGCACAATCTCAGCTCACTGTAACCTCTGCCTCCCAGGTTCAAGTGATTGTCCTGCCTCAGCCTCCCAAGTAGTTGAGACTGCAGGTACCTGGCACCACGCCTGGGTAATTTTTGTATTTTTAGTAGAGATGAGGTTTCAACACGTTGGCCAGGCTAGTCTTGAACTCCTGACCTCAGGTTATCCTCCCACCTTGGTCTCCCAAAGTGCTGGGATTAACAGGCGTGAGCCACCGCACCCGGCCCATACATTTGTTTTTAAACCAGGATGGATTTAGTGAGTGTAAATCCAACTTTAATAAACGAGATTCATGACTGGTTTTCATAGATTTTATTATAGTGGAATCTGGTTAATATCTTCTAAAATACTTGCACATCTGTAGTCCTATAGAAAAATTTTTGTCTTCATTCTCATATCAGTCCTGTGAAGTAAATAGGATGAGATATTCCTAAACCTTATAAATGAGAAAACCTGGCCAGGCATGGTGGCTCACACCTGTAATCCTAGCACTTTGGGAGGCCAAAGTAGGTGGATCACCTGAGGTCAGGAGTTCGAGACCAGCCTGGCCAACATGGCGAAACCATGACTCTACTAAAAATACAAAAATTATCTGGGCGAGGTGGTGCATACCTATAACGTAATCCCAGCTACTTGGGAGGCTGAGGCAGGAGAATCACTTGACCCCAGGAGGCAGAGGTTGCAGAGATTGTGCCATTGCACTCCAGCCTGGGCTGTAGAGCGGGACTCTGTCTCAAAAAAATAGAATAAATAAATAAATAAATATGAAAACCTGATATTCAGAGATGGCAAATGATTTGCCTGTTGTCATGTAGCTAGTTTGGATCTGGAATCCAATTTCTGGCCATTGATTTGTTTTAGAACATTTCTTCAGTATATAGAAACACAGCATGTTAGACACTATGCTGTGTATGCTGAGGAGACAGAAGAAGCACCTTCTTTTCAAGGAGTGGAGAAAGGCAAAAATATTAGCAAATGTTGGTTGGTAAAGTTATAATAGAAGTAGGTACAAACATCTATCTCAGGCTGAGATAGGGACTGAGAAAGGGCTTCTTGGAATAGGTAACCCTTAAGCTGAATCATGAAAAATAGATTAGAGTTTTCTAGTTTGATAAGCAATATCCCAGGTGGAGATATATATTTTGGGGAATATAGTCTGAGAGAATATAGTTTGGGGAAATACAGTGAGTTTGAGGAATATTTGAGCATTTATGTAGTAGATATTTCCTGAGACCTTCAATGTGTAAGGTACACTGCCTTTATTTTTTTGTAACCACAGTACACGTCATAAAAATGAAAATTTTAATTAATTGAACCTACTTTTCTTATTTGAAAGATGCATTATAGTAAGTATGCATTTTTGTTTATTTCAGCCCTGTCTTGTAGTACCTGCGGTGGCACTAGATATTAGAAAACTGGCACAGCATTCTTTTTCTCAAAAAAGCTAATTAATAGGAAATTTATGTTTCAAATTCAGTTCAATTAAATGTGTATTTGCAGTTGGACTTGTGTCACACTAATTGGAACATAGCCAGTGATCCAGAGAAGAAATGCAAAAAGGCATTTGAAATCATCCATAGATGCCTAAAAGGCAGTTGTTAAAATTTAACAGCATTTTATGATTAAAACAATTGGATAAACTAGGAATTGAAGGGAATTCTCAATATGATAACAAATAGTTATCTGAAACCATGTATTAAATGATGATATCCTCAGAAGTAAAACGGGAGTCCTAATATAACTGTTATTTAATACCTTCTGGAGGGTCTAACTGATACAGTAATACAAAAAATGGGAATAAGTGCAGATATTGGAAAGAAAGGCCAAAAAATGATTATTTGCAGGTGATATGACATTTCGGAAAAAAAGTTTAAGCAAAATAACTAAGACTGTTGGAACCATTAGTTCTTTGGAAAGATGACCAGATGTAAGAAAAATAAATGGGTTGCAAGATTTCCTTTATATCAGCAGTGATCAGCTTAAAATTGGAAAAAAGATCCCATTCTGTTAGAAAGAAAAACTGTAGAAATAAATTATAGGGCACTGATAAGAAACATGCACCATTTTTGTGAAGAACATGATACAGCTTATTTGCAGAATATAAAAGAGCTGAATTAAATGAAGGCTATGCTCCTTGGTCTGAAAGGTCAATCCGGTTAAGGTGGCAATTTCTCCCTCATTCATCTCTAAATTGAATATAATGTCAATCAAAATCTCTCTTTCCTCCTCACCCTTTTCTGAGGTGGGAGAAAAATTAATTGATTAGAAAATATATCTGGAAGTCTGTGAAGGGTTTGGGGACTTGATGTAGCAACTATTACAATGTATTCAGAAGCTAAAGTAATTGAAACATAGCATTGGCATAGGAAAAGAATAGAAAGTTAGAATAGTCTAGAAACAGAACTAAGAATAAAATGTTATTTCACATTGTAAAGGTATAGGGAAGTATGCTACAAGTTTTCGATACAAGAGCCTTCAATATATAGCTGACCCCCAGCTATTTCACTTCTGGCCATTTATTCAGTTTATGGAAATACTTGCTTATACACAAAGAATGTTTACTGTAGTGTACTTTGCTGTAGTGAAGATTGAAACAACGTAAATGTCCAGTTACACCAAATTGATTTAATATACTGGTATTCTTTATAATGGAATTTTATGGAACTCTTAAAAAATATGGTATATCTAAAATGTGATAGCTTTTTTTTTAAATGGGAAGATCTGAATGAACATGGAAAGATACTCAAAATAAGACGAAAAATTGCAGAATAGAATATATGATCCCATTTCTGTTTTCTAGAAAAAGTTCTGTATATATTTGTATATGCATAGAAACGGAAATGGAAGGCTTATACTAAACTTCTTTTTTTTTTTTTGAGACAGAGTCTTGCTCTGTCACCCAGGCTGGAGTGCAATGGTGCGATCTCGGCTCACTGCAACTTCTGCCTCTCAGGTTCAAGTGATTCTCCTTCCTCAGCCTCCCGAGTAGCTAGGATTACAGGCATGCACCACCACACCCAGCTAATTTTTGTGTTTGTAGTAGGGACAGGGTTTCACCTTGTTGGCCAGGCTGGTTTTGAACTTCTGATCACAGGTGATCTGCCAGCTTCAGCCTCCCAAAGTGCTAGGATTACAGCTGTGAGCCACTGTGCCTGGCCTATACTAAACTTCTAAGAATGGCTGCATAGGGAATGAGATTGCACATGGGAGGAGTGCTTAATATAGTTTTAATATAGTTTGAATTTTTTACAATATAAAAATTTAGACCATAAATTAATACTCCGTTTTAGTAAATTTGAATGTTGCATGCATTTCTATTTTCTTTTCTTTGAGATGGAGTCTCACTCTGTTGCCTAGGCTGGAGTGCAGTGGCGCAATCTCGGCTCCCTGCCACCCCTGCCTCCCGGGTTCAAGCAATTATCCTGCTTCAGCCTCTAGAGTAGCTGGGACTACAGGTGCACGCCACCATGCCTGGCTAATTTTGGTGTTTTTAGTAGAGACAGTATTTTACCATGTTGACCAGGCTGTTCTCAAACTCCTGACCTCAGGTGATCCGCTCGCCTCGGCCTTCCAGAATGCTGGGATTACAGGCGTGAGATACCACACCCAGCCTGAATGTTGCATGTGTTTTAAAAAAATCTACCTTTTTTTTTTTTTTTCTTTGAGATGAAGTTTCACTCTTGTTGCCCAGGCTGGAGTGCAATGGCGCCATCTCGGCTCACTGCAACCTACACCTCCTGGGTTCAAGTGATTCTCCTGCCTTAGCCTCCCCAGTAGCTGGGATTTACAGGTGCCTGCCATGATGCCTGGCTAATTTTTTGTATTTTTAGTAGAGACGGGGTTTTACCATGTTGGCCAGGCTGGTCTTGAACTCCTGACCCTCAGGTGATCCACCTGCCTTGGCCTCCCAAAGTGCTGGGATTATAGACGTGAGCCACCACACCCGGCCAAAAAAAAAATCTACTTTTAAAATCTACTTCCTTGAATGTCCTGCAATTATTTTTATGTTGAAGAATGTTCAAAGCTGTATCATGGTTCAGACTAAGACTAGGTTTGTGGTTTTGCATTTATAGACTTATAAATGCAAATGCAGGGCATTCCATTTCCACAGATTTGTTTAATCACTGCTAAGTATAATATAACCTTGTGAATAAATAAAAGGAAAAATGTCTTTTGAGTGAGAAAGAGCTAATAGAAAACTAATAAACTTTATTCTGAAAAAGAGATAGGGATTCACTCTTTCTCTGTTTGTAATTATGGGAAAAATTAGGTCCATTGTAATTTGACAATATTTTAGAGAAGGGTTTTTCAGAGTTTAGAACATGCATAACCAATCTTAGGGTGATTATTAAAACTGCAGATTTCTGGCTGGACACCGTGGCTTACACCTGTAATCCCAGCACTTTGGGAGGCTGAGGCGGGCAGATCACCTGAGGTTGGGAGTTCGAGACCAGCCTGACCAACATGGAGAAACCCTGTCTCTACTAAAAATACAAAATTAGCTGGTGTGGTGGCGCATGCCTGTATTCCCAGCTACTCGGGAGGCTGAGGCAGGAGAATCACTTGAACCCGGGAGGCGGAGAATGCAGTGAGCCAAGATCATGCCATTGCACTCCAGCCTGGGCAACAAGAGCGAACTCTGTTTCAAAAACAAAACAAAACAAAAAACTGCAGTTTCCTTTGCCTTACCTACGGAGGTTCTAATTTAGGAGGCCATGTTTCTTTCTTTTTTTTTTTTTTTGAGACAGAGTCTCACCCTGTCAGCCAGGAGTGCAGTGGCGCAATGCACGTTTAGGCTCATTGCAACCTCCGCAACCTCCGCCTCCCAGGTTCAAGCAATTCTCCTGACTTGGCCTCCTGTGTTCCTGGGATTACAGGCACGTGCCACCATGCCCGGCTAATTTTTGTATTTTTAGTAGAGACGGGGTTTCACCATGTGAGGGAGTTTCACCATGTTGGCTAGACTGGTCTCGAACTCCTGACCTCGTGATCCTCCCACCTCGGCCTCCCAAAGTGCTGGGATTACAGGCATGAGCCACCGTGCTTGGCCATGGAGACCGTGTTTCATTCCATATCCTCATCTTTTTTGTCTTTCTTAGTGGGTCTGAAGGGTCAGTATAGTGAGTGGGTGGCCTCTGCCTTGTATCCGAGCCATAAGACTGTTTCTGTCCACTGTCTTTGTTGTCCAGCCAGGGCTACCTACATAATTTGCAGGGCCCAGTGAAAATGAAAATGTAAGGCCTCTTGTTCACAAAAAGCAGGGGAAAAGTGCCATTAAGTGTTGTGAAATATAAAGCATTTTTCTTTAAAAATGTTTGCACCTTGTGAGGCTTTGGATAAGTTACTGCCTTTCCAGCTTCTGTTGACTCTTTTCCAGTCGCTTTTTCTCTTCATCAGCCACACTAGCTTTTTTGCAACCCTTCCCACTTGTGTCCTGTGTCCTGTCACAGGGCCTCTCATATACTAGTCCTTCTGTCTGGAATGCTTTTCTTCCCTGTCACTTCATCCTTCAGTTCTCTCAGTAGTCAGTTTCTCAGGGAAGCCTTCCTTAGCCTGCCTGAAAGGTGAGATTCACCTGTCCTTTTATAACAGTGTAGTTCTTTTATTTTTTTTTTTTTATTTTTTACTTTTTGGAGTTACTCTAAAACCCAGCTGGAATGCAGTGGTGTGATCATGACTCACTGCAGCCTCAAACTCCTGGGCTGAAGCGATCCTCCCCCTTTAGCCTCCCGAGTAGGTGGGACCACAGGTGCACGCCACCACACCTGGCTATGTTACAATGTTTTTGTAGAGACGAAATCTTGCTGTATTGCCCAGGGTGGTCTCAAGTTATTGGTAGTTCTTTTATAACACCTTATTTATGTGATTGATTAATGAACGTTGGTCTCTCTTGCTGGACTCTAATGTATATTTGTTCAGGGACCCTGTTTGCTTTTCCTTGATTATGTGTGTCTAGTACAGGGCTTGGCACCTTGTTGCTCAGTAATATTTGTTGAATGAAAAAGGATGAATAAACGAGGAAGGGAGTAGTGTGAAATGAGACTAGGGAAATAGAGGCTGGGTTATCTTAAGGTTTTGTTTGCTATAATAATTAGCTTGAATTCACACAGTATAAAATTTGGCTGGGCATGGTGGCTCACACCTGTAATCCCAGCACTTTGGGAGGCTGAAGCGGGTGGATCACCTGAAGTCAGGAGTTTGAGACCAACCTGGCCAACATGGTGAAACCCCATGTCTACTAAAAATACAAAAAATTAGCCAGGCATGGTGGTGCATGTGTGTAATCCCAGCTACTCAGGAGGCTGAGACAGGAGAATCGCTTGAACCCAGGAGGTGAAGGTTGCAGTGAGCCAAGATCGTGCCACTGCACTTGCAGTGAGATTGCACCACTGTACTGCACTTGGAGTGAGCCGAGATCATGCCACTGCACTCCAGCCTAAAAGAGCAAAACTCCATCTCGAAAAAAAAAAACAAAACAAAACAAAAAAAAACTTGTCAGATTTGTGGTTTTGATGTTCGACTGGCAGCAGTGTGAAACATCCTGTCTGTAGCTCCACTTCCCTGGGTGGATAAGGCAGAATTGCTTGAGTCCAGAAGTTCAAGCCTGGGCAACATAGCAAGACCCTATCTTTTTTTTTTTTTTTGGAGATGGAGTCTTGCTCTGTCACCCAGGCTGGAGTGCTGTGGTGCGATGTCGGCTCACTGCAACCTTCACCTCCCGGGTTCAAGCAATTCTCCTGCCTCAGCCTCCCGAGTAGCTGGGACTACAGGCATACGCTGCCACGCCTGGCTATTTTTTTGTATTTTAGTAGAGACAGGGTTTCACTATGTTGCCCAGGCTGGTCTTGAACTCCTGAGCTCAGGCAGTCCGCCTGCCTCAGCCTCCCAAAGTGCTAGGATTACAGACGTGAGCCACCACGGCTGGCCCAAGAGCCCATCTTTTTTAAAAAAATAGAGAAATAATAACCACTACCTCAGGGAGTTAGTGCAAAGATAAAATGATTTAACATACATTGAAAGAAAAGTGTTTAGTATAGTGCCTGGGGTATAGTAAGTGCTCTGTAAATGTTAGCTGCTATTTTGTACTTTAATGTATCAAATAACATGGCATCAAATCAAGATAACCTTATAGTAAGCACTTGATAAATACATGTTGAGTTAATTAGATTTCTTCTAGAGTAACACTAGCTGATAGAACTTTCTGTGCTGATGGAAGTGTTCTTTATCTGCTCTCTCCAATGTGGTAGCCACTTACCACATTCGTCTTGAGCTCTTGTAACATGGTTAATGTAAGGGAGCCACTGTGGTAGTGGCTACTGTGTTAGACACCACAAGTCTAGAGTGTGGCCGTTTGTTCTTTTTTTTTTTTTTTTTTTTTTTTTTTTAAATTGAGATGGAGTTTTGCTCTTGTTGCCCAGGCTGGAGTGCAATGGCTTGATCTTGGCTTACAGCAACCTCCACCTCTCGGATTCAAGCAACTCTCCTGCCTCACCCTCCCAAGTAGCTGGGATTACAGGCGTGCACCACCATACCATGCCTGGCTAATTTTGTATTTTTAGTAGAGACGGGGTTTCTCTATGTTGGTCCGGTCAGGCTGGTCTCAAACTCCTGACCTCAGGTGACTGGCCCACCTTGGCTTCCCAAAGTGCTGAGATTACAGGCATGAGCCAATGCTCACAGCCTGCTCCTTTTTTTTTTTTTTTTTTTTTGAGGCAGGGTCTCATTCTGTTGCCCAGGCTGGAGTGCAGTTGCGCAATCTCGGCTCACGCCATCCTCTGCCTCCCAGGCTCAAGCAGTCCTCCAGCCTCAGCCCTCTGAGTAGCTGGGGGTACAGACAGACACCAACCATACCCAGCTAATTTTTGTATTTTAGTAGAGACAGGGTTTCACCATGTTATCCAGGCTGGTCTTGAACTCCTGAGCTCAAGCGATCTGCCTGCCTCAGCCTCCCTAAGCGCTGGGATTACAAGCATGAGCCACCTTGCCTGGCCATGCTCTTTGCGTATTTCTTCTGATTTGTAAATACTGATTTCAATTTCTTTATTTCTTTTTTTTTTTTAGACAGAGTCTTGCTGTGTTGCCCAGGCTGGAGTACAGCAGCACAATAGCAGCTCACTGCAACCTCCACCTCCTGGGCTCAAGCAATCCTCCCACCTCAGCCTCCCAGGTAGCTGGGACTATAAGCATGGGCCACCATGCCTGGCTAATTTTTGCATTTTTTGTAGAGACAAGGTTTGTCTGTGTTGCACAGGCTGGTCTTGAACCCTTGGGCTCAAGCGATCCTCCCACCTCAGCCTCTCCAAAGTGCTGGGATGACGGGCATAAGCCACCGTGCCCAGCTCCTGATTTAACATTTCAAATAATTCTTATAGGTTCTAGCTCATTATTTCTGGTTGTTGCATTCCCACTGTCAAAATGCAATACTGATTTTAGATATTAAATGCATCCTTAACAGGTTTCTGTCTTCTTATTACTTCTGGTTCTTTTTCTTGCTCTAGCATCAGCAAAGCACAATGCTTTTGACAACATTGGTGGCACACAATATTGGTGAAGAGAAGATGAATATTCTTTGCTTTGTAGTTATAAATCATTTTCATTTTTAGATTTATAAATGGCAATTAGAGTCATCAAAACAGTTTTTCATTAACTTTATATATACACCTACCTTTAGCATTTGCCCACTTACGAACTGTATCAAGCAAATTTTTTACACACAAATCAAAGAAGATGAAAGAATGATATCACATGTCGTTTCAGCAAAACAGATTGTTTTGGATTCTTGTCACAGAATATTGGGTAATGATGTAATTCTCGTGTAATGACTGTCAATGAGATTACCATATTTTTTTCCTTGGAAGTATGTTCGTTCATTGATTGTTGAGTTGGAGAAAATTCATTTAGGGCAGGATTTCTCAAACTTGCCATTATTAGCATTTCGGGTGGATACTTTTTGTTGCTGAGGGCTGGTTCGTGCATTGTAGGATGTTTAGCAGTGTCCCTACCCTCTATCCACTAGTTGCCATTAGTGCTCCCCAGTTGTGGCAACCAGAAATGTTTCCATACACTGCCAGATGTCCCTTGGGGGACAAAATTACCTAAATTAAGAACCACTGATATAACATCATCATCTGAAGACTCAAGGTCTGAGATGACACTTACGTGATCCATTTTACCATGATTGACAGCATCTAGAGCAGTTCAGTCTGTAGAAACTTTCTGCAGTAATAGGAATATTCTGTATTTGTGTTTTGCAATGTGATAATTACTAGCCATGCGCACATGGCACTTGAAATATCCCTAGTATATCTGAGGAGCTAAATTTTTAATTAACTTAAACTTAAACAGTCTCATGTCTAGTGGCTACCGCATTGAAGAACACAAAAAGAGTGTCTTTTTGCCGGGTGCAGTGGCTCACGCCTGTAATCCCAGCACTTTGGGAGGCCAAGGTGGGTGGATCACTTGAGGTCAGGAGTTCGAGACCAGCCTGACCAACATGGTGAAATCTCGTCTCTACTAAAAATGACAAAAAAATTAACTGGGAACTGGGCATGGTGGCACACGCCTGTGACCCCAGGTACTTGGGAGGCTGAGGCAGGAGAATCACTTGAACCCGGGAGGTGGAGGTTGCAGTGAGCCGAGATTGCACCATTGCACTCCAGCTTGGGCAACAAGAGCGAAACTGTCTCAAAAAAAAAAAAAAGTGTCTTTTTGCCTTCATCCTCTGACTTATCTCATAATTGTGAATGTGAAATGTCTTTTGTCAGTTTTCTTCTCTTTGTCATTATGATTGGGAAATGAAAAATTTCTAATTCTCAACAGTATTCAATGAAACCTTTCAAAAAAGACCACCAGACTGGGTGCAGTGGCTCATGCTTGTAATCGCAGCACTTTGAGAGGCCGAGGCAAGCAGATCACTTGAGCCCAGGAGTTTGAGACTAGAGTGGGCAACATGGCGAAACTCTGTCTCTACAAAAAATAAAAAATAAAAAATTATCCATGTGTGGAGGCCTGCACCTGTAGTCTCATCTACTCAGGAGGCTGAAGTGGGAGCATCCATTGAGTCTGGGAGGTCAAAGTTGCAGTGAGGTATGATTACAACACTGCACTCCATCCAGCCTAGGTGACAGAACAGACCCTGCCCCAAACAAAACAAAACCCCCACCAGGTTTCTTTTATATCTTCTCAAAAGATCATGCCATATACTTGGGGCAATGTAGTAAAAAAAATTGAGGGTAATGTAATAGGGTTGATTTATTTAGTTATTGCCTCTCTCTTCCATATCATTTCATCATTCATTTTCTTATTATTTTAGTCTTTTTTTTTTTTTTTTTTGAGATGGAGTTTTGCTCTTGTCGCCCAGGCTGGCATGCAATGGCACAATCTTGGCTCACTGCAACCTCTGCCTCCCAGGTTCAAGCCATTCTCCTGCCTCAGCCTCCCGAGTAGCTGGGATTACAGGCGTACACTACCATGCCTGGCTAATTTTTCTATTTTTCGTAGAGACAGGGTTTTGCCATGTTGGCCAGACTGGTCTTGATCTCCTGACCTCAAGTGATTCACCTGTCTCAGCCTCCCAAAGTGCCGGAATTACAGATAGGCGTGAGCCACTGAGCCCGACCTCTTTTTTTTTTCTTTTCCTTTCCTTTTTTGAGACAGAGTCTGACTGTCGCCCAGGCTGGAGTGCCGTGGTATGATGTTGGCTCACTGCAACCTCCACCTCCCGAATTCGAGTGATTCACCTGCCTCTGCCTCCCAAGTAGCTGGGACTACAGGTGTGCACCACCACGCCAGGCTAATTGAAATTTTTTTATTTTGAGTAGAGATGAGGTTTCACCATGTTGGCCAGGCTGGTCTCAAACTCCTGACTTCAAGCGATCCACCAGCCTCAGCCTCCCAAAGTGCTGGGATTACAGGCATGAGCCACAGTGCTCAACCTTGTTTATTTTCTAATCTTAACTCTGTTTTGCATTTCTGGGATACCTAACTTGGTCACAGTGTATATTATTATCGTCATTATTATTTTTAACATCCATTGTTGGATTTGGTTTATGAAATATCTTTTTATTAATATTTTTAATTGACATAATTGCATACGTTTGTGGGGTATAGTGTAATGTTGTAATGTTTTAATATATATATACAACGTGGAATGATTAAGTCAAGTTAATTAACATATCCATCACCTCCCTTATGTGAAGTATCTTAAGATTTCTTCTTCTGTGTTCATGAGTAGGATTGATGTATAAATTTCTTTTCCTCCACTGTCCTCATCTGGTTTTGCTATTGGCATATTTATGATGATATGCTAGGCTCTTAAAATGGCGTAAGGAGTGTTTCCTGTTTTGTAGTCTCTTGAAGAAATCTGTATAGGATTGGAATTGCTGTATTTATCACAATAAATTTGTTTGCTATCCTTTTATTTATTTATTTTTTTTTTGAGACGGAGTTTCGCTCTTGTTGCCCAGGCTGGAGTGCAATGGTGCAATCTTGGCTCACTGCAACCTCCGCCTCCCAGGTTCAAGCAATTCTGCCTCAGCCTCACGAGTAGCTAGGATTACAGGCATGCACCACCACACCTGGCTAATTTTGTATTCTTAGTAGAGACAGGGTTTCTCCATTTTGGTCAGGCTGGTCTCGAACTCCTGACCTCAGGTGATACGCCCGCCTTGGCCTCCCAAAGTGCTGGGATTACAGGCATGAGCTAACACGCCCAGCCCTGTTTGCTATCCTTTTAATGTCTTTTTATTTTCCAAGGCATCTGTAGTTGCTTTCTCTTTTAATTCTTGCTTGTTTATATATTTGTGTTTTTCCTCTCCAATTTTATTAGTTATTCCAAATAAAGAACTTTTGGCTTTTTTGTTTATTGTAAACTATAGTTTTATTTTGTTTTGTTTTGAGACAGAGTCTTGTTCTGTTGCCCAGGCTGGTGTGCAGTAGCGTGACCTCTGCAGTCTTGAACCCACCGCATCTTGGGTTCAAGGGATTCTCCTGCCTCAGCCTCCCGAGTAACTGGGATTACAGGCATGAGTCACCACTACAACTAATTTTTTATATTTTTAGTAGAGACAGGGTTTTACCATATTGGCCAGGCTGGTCTTGAACTCTCAACCTCAAGTGATCCACCCGCCTCAGCCTCCCAAAGTGCTGGGATTACAGGTGTGAGCCACGCGCCCAGCCTGGCTTATACATTTTCTGATTTCCATTATGATTTTTTTTCATCCTTGAATTTTTCTAGTTTTTGTTATTGTTATGTTAAATCAATTTCTTACTTAATTGCTCTTGGTCAGGTAATATGTCACATACATACCAGTTATTTAAAATTTGTTTGGATATGCCTTACAGTCTAGTGTGTTGTCAGTTTTTGTTCAGTATGTGTTTGAAAAGAATGTGATATTCACTTAAAGGTGCAATGTATTTATGCTATTAAATCAAATTCATTAGATACTTCTGTCTCCTAAGCTAACAGTTACTGAGAGTTACATGTTAATCTTCCACTCTAGTGTATTTGTTGGTAGTTCTGTTTTGTTTTGTACGTATAAATTGTATTGCATGCCATTGTAGTTAAACCTTTTATAATTATGAGATGGCCCAGCATCTTTTAGTAATATTTTGCCCTAAATTCTGTTTTTCTCTGATAGCTACATCAATTTCATTAACTTTATTTTGATTAGAATTTTTTTCTACTTTTGTAAACTTATTTTATTTTTTCATTGTTATTTTAAAAATTGTTTTGTAGAGACAAAGGCTTGCTTCATTAACCAGGCTGGTCTTGAGCTCCTGACCTCATGTGATCTTCCTGCCTTGGCCTCCCAAAGTGTTGGGATTACAGGCATGAGCCATTGCATGAGGACTTTTTCCATCTTTGTGCTTTCAACCTTTCCATGCCCTTGAGTTTTATATGCATTTCTTATAAACAGCATAATTTTGGATTTTCTTTTTTATCCAGTCTGTCCATCTTAGTTTTTTATGTAGAGCATTTAGTTTATTACATTTTCTTGTCATTACTGATAAATTATAACTTATTTGTTATCTTACTGTGTGTGCATGTGATTTTTTTCTTTCTTGCCTTCTTTTAGGGTTTGATAATCTTTTGTTTCTCATTCCATAGTTTGTTGTCATAAACTATGTTCTTAGTTTTAATATCTTATTGACCACAGTAAACATTTTAACATGCATATTCAATTTAGTCCAAAGATAATATGTATATTCTGTCCCAGCCAGAGTAATACAAAGACTAGCTTAAAAATACCTCTCTCCTGGCTGGGCACGGTGGCTCATACCTGCAATCTCAGCACTTTGGGAGGCCAAGGCAGGCGGATCACCTGAGGTTGGGAGTTCGAGACCAGCCTGACCAATACGGAGAAACCCCATCTCTACTAAAATACAAAATTAGCCAGCGTGGTGGCGCATGCCTGTAATCCCAGCTACCTGGGAGGCTGAGGCTTGAACCCGGGAGGTGGAGGTTGCAGTGAGCCGAGATTGCACCATTGCATTCCAGCCTGGGCAACAAGAGGGAAACTCCGTCTCAAAAAACAAACAAACAAACAAAAAAACAAACCAAAAAAACCTCTCTTTTTACTTAATGCGCTATTGCTGTCCAGAGTTTTAATTGTCTTTTTTCATTTTCTCAAACTAATCTTTACTTGTTTTTGTGTTAAGAGACAGGGTCTTGCTGTGTCACCCAGACTGAAGCACAGTGGCTTAATTAAAGTTCACTGCAGCTTCAAACGTTTGGGCTCAAGTGATCCTCCTGCCTTAACCTCCCAGGTAGAATCATTTTAAAAATACAATACTTGGCCACGTGCAGTTGCTCATGCCTCTAATCCCAGAATTTTGGGAGGCTGAGGCAGGAGAATCACTTGAGCCCAGGATTTTGAGACCAGCCTGGGTAACATGGCAAAAATCCCATCTCTATAAAAATACAAAAAAATTTAGCCAGGTGTGGTGTCATGTGCCTGTGGTCCCAGCTACTCCGGAGGCTGAGGTGGAAGGACTGCTTGAGCCTGGGAGGTTGATGCTGCAGTGAGCCGAGATTGTACTACTGCAGTATACCCTGGGTGATAGATTGGATTGGATTGGATTGGATCGGATCGGATCGGATCGGATTGGATTATATTGTATTTATTTTTAAGAGACAGGGTCTCACCCTCTTGCCCAGGCTGGAGTGCAGTAGTGTGATCTTGTCTCACTGCACCCTTTGCCTCCTGAGCTCAAGTAATCCTGCTTCAGCCTCCTGAATAGCTAAGACTACAGGTGGAGGCCATCATGCCCAGCTATTTATTTATTTGAGAGACAAATCAATTTTTGAGACTGCCTTGTTGCCCAGGGCAGTCTTGAACTCCTGGGCTTAAGCGATCCTCCTGCCTCCGCCTCCCAAAGTGCCAGGATTACAGGTGTGAGCCACCTCACCTGGCCTTAGTGAACGTATTTAACAATATGTTTGGCCGGGTGTGGTGGCTCATGCCTGTAATCGCAGCACTTCAGGAGGCTGAGGCATGCGGATCACCTGAGGTTGGGAGTTCAAGACCAGCCTGGCCAACATGGAGAAACCCCATCTCTACTAAAATACAAAATTAGCTGTGTGTGGTGGCGCATGCCTGTAATCCCAGCTACTCGGGAGGCTGAGGCAGGAGAATCGCTTGAACCCAGGAGGCGGAGGTTGCGGTGAGTGGAGATCACGCCATTGCACTCCATCCTGGGCAACAAGAGCAAAACTCTGTCTCAAAAACAAACAAAAAAACCCAATACAATACGTTTACTCCATAGTCTTTTGCATTCAAGATCATTAATTTGGATTCACTTTACTTGAAGTATTTTCTTTAGAATTTTTTTAGGGAAGAGTACTTTGGTGGTAAACTCTCTTGGTTTTTATTTGTAGGAACATGCTTTCATTATACTCTAATCCCTGAAAGATCATTTTTCTAGATAGACATTTCTAGGTTAATAGTTATTTTCTTTCAATACCCTGAAAATGTTATTCTGGTCTCTCTTGTCTGACTTAACTTATTGCTCTAAGAAATACAGTTTAGTCTGTTATGCCTTACAAATATCTTTTTTCTTTGACTGCTTTTAAGGTCTTCTCTTTGAATTCTTCAGTTTCACTGTGATATCAGTAATACGATTTTTCCTCCTTTTCATTTAGTTTGGGATTCATTGGGTTTTCTGATTTTTAGTGTTTCTCATCAATTTTGGAATGCTTCTTTTCTTTAGCTTTGAGTCTACATCTTTCCTTTCTTTCTCCTCACCCATTGAAGCTCCATGCTGTGTCAGGCAAGGCCTGCCAAGAAACACTCAAAGGTGTAATTGAAGAGAGTTAACGAAGATAACTATTGACAGAGGCTTGGGGAGGGGTAAGATGTAAGGGAACCGCAAAGGATGGTAAAGCCATTCTCAGGGCCTGCAAGGGCAGGGCGGGATAGTGGAGAATTGGAGAGAGCTGTAGTTGTAGGGGAGAGCAGCCTTAGGGAGCTGTGGCTTTTGGTGGGAAAAAGGAAGCACTGGGACAGAGTGAGGAAGCCTGAGTCATGTGGTGTCTAGAGGTCAGCCTCTCGGGGCTCTGAGTACAGCAGAGAATGGATGGTCCCTTTATTCTCTTACACTCCCTGCCTTTTTTTTTTTTTTGAGACTGAGTTTTGCTCTTTTGCCCAGGCTGGAGTGCAGTGGCTCCATCTCGGCTCACTGCAACCTCTGCCCTACTGGTTCAAGCGATTCTCTTGCCTCAGACTCTGGAGTAGTTGGATTATAGGTGCCCACCACCACACCTGGCTAATTTTTGTATTTTTAGTAGAGATGGGATTTTGCCATGTTGGCCAGGCTGGTCCCAAACTCCTGACCCCAGGTGACCCACCCACCTCGGCCTCCCAAAGGGCTAGGATTACAAGCATGAGCCACTGCGCCTGGCCAATTCTCCTAGACTCTTTATGATGTGGTTTGGATGTTTTGTCCTCTCCAAATCTCATATTGAAATGACTTCTGATGTTGGAGGTGGGCCTAGTAGGAGGTGTTTGGGTCATGAGGTGGATCCCTCATGAATGGCATGGTGCCTCCCTCTGAGTTCACCGGAGATCTGGTTTAAAAGAATGTGGCACCTCCCCCCACTTGCTTTCTTTCTTGCCATATGATATGCTGGCTCTCCCTTTGCCCTCTGCCGTGATTGAAAGCTCTTGGTCTCACCAGAAGCTGAGCAGATGTTGGTACCGTGTGTATGGCTTGCAGAAACATGAGCCAAATAAGCCTCTTTTCTTTATAAATTACCCAGTCTCAAGTATTCCTTTATAGTAATGTGAAGGGACTATCATGCTTCATGTTTGTGCCTTCCTATGTTTGTAATAATTTCCCATATCTGTCTTCAGTTTTTCCCAATTTTCTTTTCTTTCTTTCTTTTTTTTTTTTTTTTTTGAGACCGAGTCTTACTCTGTCGCCCAGGCTGGAGTGCAGTGGTGTGATCTTGGCTCACTGCAACCTCTACCTTCCAGGTTCAAGCGATTCTCCTGTCTCAGCCTCCCAAGTAGCGAGGACTACGGGCATACACTACCATGCCCAGTTAATTTTTTTGTATTTTTAGTAGAGACGGGGTTTCACCCTGTTGGCCAGACTGGTCTCAAACTCCTGACCTCAGGTAATCCACCCTCCTCAGCCTCCCAAAGTGCTGGGCTTACAGGTGTGAGCTACTGTGCCCAACCCCTAATTTTTTCCCCGATGTATCTAATCTGTTCTTTGATCTGTTTAGTGAGTTTTTAATGTATATTTTATTGAAGTATATTAACACAAGAAAATTCACAAATCTTAGGTGTCCAGTTTGATGATGATATGTGATTGTGTGTACTCCTGTAATTACCATCCAAACCAAACATAGTAAGTCTATTGATATTTATATTTCTTTTATTATATTGCTCATAAAAGTTTTCTTGTGATATCTTGCTTTTAAAAAAAATTATTGGCTGGATGTGGTGGCTCATGCCTGTAATTCCAGCACTTTGGGAGGCTGAGGCGGGGGGATCATGAGGTCAGGAGATCGAGGCCATCCTGGCTAACACAGTGAAACCCCGTCTCTACTAAAAATACCAAAAAAATTAGCTGGGCATGGTGGCGGGTGCCTGTAGTCCCAGCTGCTTGGGAAGCTGAGGCAGGAGAATGGCATGAACCCGGGAGGTGGCGCTTGCAGTGAGCCGAAATTTTGCCACTGCACTCCAGCCTGGGCGACAGAGCGAGACTCTGTTTCAAAAAAAAAAAATTATTGTAAAATTCAACATAAAATTTGCCATTCATATTGTTGTGTAACTATCACCAAAATTTATCACTATCTCCAGAACTTTTCCAAACTGGAACTATATACCCATTAAATAGCAACTTCCCATTTCCTCCTGCCTCTAATCCCTGGTAACCATGATTCCACTTTCTATGAATTTGACTATTTTAACTACCTTATATAAGTGAGATCATACAGTATTTGTCCTTTTGTGTCTGGGTTATCTTACTTGGCATAATGTTTTCAAAGTTCATCCTTGTTGTAATATATCTTAGTACTTCATTCCTTTTTTTTTTTTTTTGGAGGCAGGGTCTTGCTCTATTACCCAGGCTGAAGTGCAGTGGTGCAATCATGTCTTATTGCAGCCTTGACCTCCCAGGCTCAAGTGATCCTCCCACTTCAGCCTGCCCAGTAGGTGGGACTACAGGTGCAAGCCACCAGGCCTGGCTAACTTTTGTATGTGTTCGTAGAGATGGGGTTTCACCATGTTTCCCAGGCTGGTCTGGAACCCCGGAACTCAAGCAATCCACCCACCTCAGCCTCCCAAAGTGCTGGGATTTCAGGTGTGAGCCACTGCCCCCTACCGCTTCATTCCTTTTTATTTCTGAAGAATATTCCATTGTGTGAATATACAATGTTTTGTTTATCCATTCATTCTTTAGTGAACATTGGTACAGTCTATTAAAGCATTGCTTTCAGTTCTTTTGGATATATAGCTGGAAGTAGAATTACCGGCTTATATGATAGTTTTATCTTTGATTTTTTGAGGAACTGCCATACTATCTTCCCTAGTGGCTGTTCCTTTTTTTTTCTTTTCTTTTTTTTTTGAGACGGAGTCTCGCTCTTGTCGCCCAGGCTGGAGTGCAATGGCGCGATCTAGGCTCACCGCAACCACTACCTACTGGGTTCAAGCAATTCTCCTGCCTCAGCTTCCCGAGTAGCTGGGATTACAGGCATGTGCCACCACGCCCGGCTAATTTTTGTATTTTTAGTAGAGACGGGGTTTCACCATCTTGGCCAGGCTGGTCTTGAACTCCTGACCTCGTGATCCACCTGCCTTTGCCTCCCAAAGTGCTGGGATTACAGGCATGAGCCACCGCGCCCGTCTGTGGCTGTTCCTTTTTTTGTTTGGCTGTACCATTTCTACATTTCCACCAGCAGTGTACAAAGGTTCCAGTTTCTCCACATCCTCATCAACACTTGTTATTTTCTAATATGTCTGTTCTCATGGATGTGAGGTGATGTCTTGCAGTTTTGATTTGTATTTTCCTAATGATTTGGTATGTTGGACATCTTTTCATGTGCTTCTTGGCTATTTATGTATCTTCTTTGGAGAAATGTCTGTTAACGTCCTTTTTGTATTTTTTAATCAGGTTATTTGGTTTTTTGTCATTGAGTTGTAGGAGTTCTTTATAGATTACAGATATTAATCTTCTATCAGATAAGTAAATGATTTATAGTATTTTCTCCCATTCTGTGGATTGCCTTTTCATTCTTTTGATAATGTCATTTGATGTACAGAAGTTTTTAATTTTGGTGAAGTCTCCTTTTTACATTTTTGGTTCTTTTAAATATTTTATATTCTGTTTCTAACATTTCCAATATTTGTGAGTTTCGTTTGTCTGATTCTTTAATTTATTGTTCTGTAAACTTGTAGTGGCTTATTTCCTCGTGTGTTTAGTGAAATTTATATGTTAACTCTTGGAAATGTTTATGAAAAACTCTGAAGCCTGGATTCCTCCAAGTGCCTAGGTACATAGACAACACAGGACTACTTTAATTTTATTGGCTTCAAGTTTTTTGGACAACATGGGTCCTGTTGTGATGGGCAAGAGACCTGTCATAGGCCTGCTTGTGGGTATTCATTGTCTGAAGTAATTTACGCTCTTCCATCTATTGTTAAGGTCCAGACCGGCAAGTTAATCCTTCCCTCCCTTCTCCCTTCTTTTTCTCTTCCCTGGTCCCCCTCCTTCCGGTTTGTTTTGTTTGTTTTTTAAATAGTTTACCCTTGCGCTGAGGATCCCAGCTTTATGTGGAGGGATATCTTGTTAGATCCCTACCTGAGATGGGCCCTGGCTTTAATCTCCTGTCTTCTTTATGCTAGGCAGCTGTCAAAATGGAAGTTCAGGGTCACTAGAGGTTGGCACATGTCTCCAGGGTAAACACATGAGTGCTTGCATTCATCTTTGGATCCCTGCGTTCGCTTCTGTTTTAGCTTTTGATGATTCCTTAATTTCTTGTAAGCTCAGTGATGCACTTAAAATTTTTAAGAAATTTTGTCCACCATTTTTGTCTTGTTTTAGCAGAAGAGTTGTTTAAGGTCAGCTGTACTATCGAGAATAGAAGGCCCACTTATTTAAAGAAATGCAAGGTTTTAAATGGACAGAAAAATGCATACAGTAATATAAATTACATTCATATGCCTACCTCCTAGATTAGCAAATGTTCATATAGATGTTTTGCCTACAATCTTTTAAAAATATTAAGATATCACAGATATAATTGAAGCCCCCTTTGAGTCCTGTAGACACTGTTCCCTGCCTCGTCGACCTCATTTTCCACAGAGGCCATCATGGCTTCACAGTTGCTTATCCTTCCTTCCGTGCTTTTATACTCTTCCCGCAAATGTAAATAACATACTATTGAGTTTTAAAAATTTTATATAAATGGTGTATTGTACATGTCTTGTCATTTGCCATTTTCATTCAGAATAATTTTCAGGGTTTATCTAGGTTGGTAAATATAGCTGTAGTTCAATTTTTACTGGCTTTATAAACCAATGTATGACTATACTGCAATGTATTCTCTGTTGGTGGAAATTTAAATTGTTACTTCTTCTTTTTTTTTCTATTATAATGTTGTAGGAACATCTTTGTGGCCTTTGTATGTATGTGGGAAAGGGGAGAAGTTCTCTGGGGAATAAATGTCTAGAAGGTGGTAGAAGTGGACTTGTGCATACCTTGCTGGTTGGGACTATCAACTTTTTCTAGATAAGTCTCAATTCTAAGTGATTGTTCCATTTTATATTACCATTAGCAGTTTATAATGATACCCCAAACTTCCCCAAACACTTGTTAGTTTTTTTTTGAGGTGGCATCTGGCTCTGTCACCCAGGCTGGAGTGCCATGATGCAATCTTGGCTTCAAGTGATTCTCCCAACTTAGCTTCTTGAGTAGCTGGGACTGCAGGTGCGTGCTACCACGACTGGCTAATTTTTGTATTTTTAGTAGAGACAGAGATTTGCCATGTTACCCAGGCTGGTCTTGAGCTCCTGACCTCAAGCCATCTACCTGCCTTGGCCTCCCAAAGTGCTGGCATGAGCCACCATGCCCATCCCCAAACACTTGTTTTTGCACTTAATTTTTATCTAGCCAATGAGTCAGAAATGATAGTTCCTTGTTTTAATTTGCATTTCCATGTGTTACTAGTGAGGTTGAGTGTGTTGTCATGTTTAATATCCATTTTTACTTTCTACTCTGGATTGTCTAGCCTATTGTTCATTGGCAACATTTCTGTTGCATATTTGTTTGGATTAGGTTTGGCAGCATGTAACAAAAAACTAAAATTACAGTGTTTTTTAAAAAGATAGGTTTAGTTTTTCTCACATAAAAAGTATGGAGATAGATAGATATATATGTATATGAATGGTTTAGTGGCTGTAGGATGTCATCAGGGGCTTACAATTCTTCTGTTTTTCTGTTTTACTATTCTTAGAGGATATCTTCAATCTTTTAAGTCTTCTCATGGTCCCAGATGATTAGTAGAACTACAGCTATCATGTCTACTTCTGGGGAACAGGAAAGAAGAGTGTTTCTAGCTGAGTCATCTCCCTTTAGGGAATCCCACCTGAAACTTTGCTAATATCTTATTGGCCAGACTTAATCCCATAGATCCTCCTAGCTAGAAATGGGTCCAGGAAATGTCATTTTAGGTGGGTGGGTGCATTGCTGCTGAGCAAATAAAATTAGGGTCTTGTTACTAAGGAAGGAGAGAAGAGTGAAGGCATAGTTGTCAGTTTCTGCTATAAATTGTCTTTTACTTACTTTTGTGAATGTTGTTATGTTCTGGATATTAATCCTTTGTTAATTATGTCCAGTGCAATTATTGCCTTCTTGAGAGGGGAAGCCAGCTGGACTTCCTGGGTCGAGTGGGGGCACTTGGGGATCTTTTCTGTGTCTAGCTAAAGGATTGTAAATGCACCAATCAGCACTCTGTAAAAACGCACCAATCAGCACTCTGTGTCTAGCTAAAGGATTATATATGCACCAATCAGCACTCTGTAAAATGGACCAATCAGCAGGATGTGGGCATGGACAAATAAGGGAATAAAAGCTGGCCACCCCAGCCAGCAGCGGCAACCTGCTTGGGTCCCCTTACACGATGTGGAAGTTTTGTTCTTTCTTTCTTCACAATATATCTTGCTGCTGCTCACTCTTTGGGTTCGCACCACCTTTAAGAGCTGGAACACTCACCCTGAGGACCAGGAACCCACCAGAAAGAATAAGTTCTGGACACATTCTCATCTGTGACTAGTCTTTCACTTTACTTAATGGTGCCTTTAAATTTAGGAGGTTATGATTTTAATATAGTTCAATTTACTAATTTTTAAAAAGAATTTTTGCTTTTTATTAAGAAATTCTTCCCTACTTTGACATCATACTTTCCTATGTTTTCTTCCTATTAAAGTTTTGCTTTTCATTTTTAAATCTTAAGTTCACCTGGAATTTATTATTATGTACAATATGAGTAACTGTCTACTTTTATGTTTTTCCTTAGAAATTGCCAGTTGTTCCAGCACTATTTAAACAGACTATACAGTCTATTTTTTTTCTCATTGATTTGTCATATGTCATAGGTTTGTTGCTGGGAATTTTCCCCATTCCATTGTTTTTTCTGCTCTAATACCGTTTTTCAAAATTACTATTATGTCTTCATACGTGTTTAGATTTAGTTGGGTATTACCCCCTTCTTATTCTTTTTTTTTTTTTTTTTTTTCCGAGATGGAGTTTTGCTTTCATTGTCCAGGCTAGAGTGCAATGGCGCAATCTTGGCTCACTGCAACCTCTGCCTTCCGGATTCAAGTGATTCTCCTGTCTCAGCCTCCCAAGTAGCTGGGTTTACAGGCATGTGCCACCACCCAGCTATTTTTTTTTTTTTTTTTTTTTTGTATTTAGTAGAGATGGGGTTTCACTATGTTGGTCAGGCTGGTCTCAAACTCCTGATCTCAGGTGATCCACCTGCCTCGGCCTCCCAAAGTGCTGGGATTACAGGCGTGAGCCACCTCGCCTAGCCTCTTTTTTTTAAATTAATTTGACCCTTTTGTGCCTTTACCCTTACATGAGTTAGGATTATCTTGTCATATAAACCCTATTGGGATTTTAATTGGAATCGTATTACTTGTTATAGATTAATTTTGGGAGACCTGTATGCTAGTGCAGTTCTCCTATCAATTATGAGATGAATTCATTAGCAGCATTTTGCAGGTTTCCCAACTAGTGTGCTACAGAAATGGGATTAGAAACCAGGTCTTTCTGGTTCTGTAGCCCTGAGATTGTGTAAAGGGGTTTTTGAGATAGGGCAGGCCTGTTTGTAAACAGAAGGGACCACTGCTAAGGACAACTTTTAAGATAAGAAGGAAAGGAAAGACAAAGAAGGAACCGAGGCTTTATGTGAGAGAGGAGGACATAGATTTAAGAGGCAGTTATGGAGGAGGGAATATTTTGCAAGAAATTGGAGAAGGTGATAGAGGAAGAACATTGGGAGGAAAAGAGACTTTAAAACGGAAGATATGTAAAGGAGCTTATACTAGAAGACTCTTTTTGAAAGGACATCTTTCAAATTTGAAAGGGTAGCTTTGCTAGGGAGACAGGGATTAGGGCAGTGACTCTCAAATTTGTTTTGCTAGAAAGGCCCAAAACCTGAAATTTATAGTACTCTTTGTGGAATATTATGAAATATTGTTATGGCAAATTTAATTTAACAAAATGTTTCATTTTGTGTTAATGGATTTAAATTTAGATAGGATCACTGGTAACCTCCAAAAAGTAAGGAAAGATTATGGAGGGAAAACTGAAAGTTGAGCAAATTTTTATCACTAACTTAAAATTTTTAGTGAATGAGTCAAAGACTACCAGTATTTATGTTTTTGGTTGGTACATCTATCGTTTTCTAATTAGACTATTAAACCATCTGTCTTAGTCAATTTTCTGCTGCAATAACAGAATACTACAAACTGGGTAATTTATAAAGAACAGAATTTTTTTTTTGAGACGGAGTCTCACTTTGTCCCCCAGGCTGGAGTGCTGTGCTGCGATCTTGGCTCACTGCTACCTCCACCTCCTGGGTTTCAAGCAATTCTCCTGCCTCAGCCTCCTGAGTAGCTGGGATTATAGGCACCTGCCATCATGCCCGGCTAATTTTTGTATTTTTAGTAGAGATGGGATTTCACCATGTTGGTCAGGCTGGTCTCGAACTCCTGACCTCAGGTGATCACCCGCCTCGGCCTCCCAAAGTGCTAGGATTACAGGCGTGAGCCACCGCACCCAGCCAAGAACAGAAGTTGATTTGGTTCATGGTTCTGGAGCTGGGAAGTCCAAGAGCATGGTGCCGGCATCTGATGAGGGCCTTCTAGCCGTGTTATCCTGTTGCAGAAGGACAAGTGAGCCATGAGCAAGAAAGAGAGAGAGAAAGAGAAATAGGGCCTAATTTAACCTTTTATCAGGACCCCACTCTTGAGTTAGTTGGCATTAGTCTATTAATAAGGGCCAAACCCTCATGACCTAATCACCTAATCGTGGCCCCATCTCCCAATACTGTTACAATGGCAATTAAATTTTAACATGGGTTTTGGCGAACAGATTTGAATCATAGCACCGTCTGTCTCTGTCAAAGATAAACAAGAAATTAAACCTAAGAAATCCTTAAATGAGCTCTATGATATGAGTTGAACATGTGTTCTTTTCTAGTTTTGTAGCTTATTTCATATCTACCAGTAATGCCAGATTTTCAGTTTGACTTTAATATTCTCACATTTTCGTGTTTTTTAATGGTCCTATAAATGATATGTATAGTAAGCCAAGAATATTATTCAGATTTCTCTACTAGGTATCTGAGAGATGTTAGTCTACCCAACTGTGTGTCGCCAGCAGTAATACTTAAGGAGGTTCAAAGCATGGGCTTTAATGTCATGCAGACCTAAGGTCAAATTCTGGTTATGATACTTACTAACTTTGTCATCTTGGGCATGCAACAATTTCTGAATCCTGTTTTCTCCAGATGTAAAAGAGGGGAAATAATTCCTACAGAGATGTTTTGGGGATTAAATGAGATAATGCATGTAAAGTATTTAGCCTTCTGCCTGGCAAATAAGTAGTAGATGTTGTTGTTAATAGTAGTAAAAAAGTTACAATTTTACAATTATTGCTGCCCAGGGAAAAGAAGAATCTAAAGGTCCTGTAGAAAATTAGCTGGGCATGGTGGTGCGTGCCTGTAGTCCCAGCTACTAGACGAGCTGAGGCATGAGAATTGCTTGAACCTGGGAGGCGGAGGTTGCAGTGAACCGAGATTGTGCCACTGCACTCCAGCCTGGGTAACAGAGTGACTCTGTCTCAAAAAAAGAAAGGTGCTGTGGGATTTGTAGGATTTGACAATTGGGATTCCTGACTGTTTTGAGGAAAGGATTAGTAACACGATAGAGGAAGAAGCCAAAATGAGTCAGTGCAGGCAGAAATTATAGACTCATGAATTATTTATGTGACTGTTTAGTGCCTGTGTTTCCTAATAGAATTCCATAAGGACAGGGCTTTTTCCCTTCCTTTAGTATCCCTAGTTTCTGGCATGGTGCTTGGCATATAGTCAGCCCTGAAAAATACTCTTTGAATAGAAACCATTTAGATATTTTGGTGTCTCTCTGTCTCTCCTTGAAATATGTCAGTTAATCTATTCATTAGTAAGTAATCTTTAGAGTTCTAATTTTGGATGCCCCTAGAACAGTGATCGTGTTCTCCAGATTTTGTGAACTGAAGGCAACTGAGCTGGGCTTGGAGGGTCATGCTGAGGGTTGGGGCTAGAAACCCCAGTCTATTGAGTTAGGAATTTGTGAGCTCCAACTCTGGAAACAAATCTCAGTTTTTTCCCATCCTTGTTTTTTTTTTTTTTTGAAGATCCTTGGAATGGTCACGGGTCTCTACTACCACCTCCTATTGCTTCCAATCCTTCTGATTTATGGGATTCCATCTCTGAAGTGTGAAGCCTTTTTAAGCTTTTACTGTAGTGGCAATGATGAGAACGTAAACAGGGAATTCAAAAAGCCCCTTTATTACTCTTTGTTTACTGAAGCTTCACAGGCTATGCAGAACACTTTAATGTCTGTATTGGGTCCTGGAGGAAAACTTTTAGGGAAGATTTTTTTCTTTTCTACCAGACAGCCTTAAGAATGATGAGTCTTACATAAATTTGAGCTATGTAAGTGTAGTTTCTGTTAAGAGTTAAGACCCTGGAGTCATACTACCTGGGTTTAATTTTCAGCTCTGCTTCTTACTGATAGTGTGACGTTGGGCAAATTACTTATTCTTTACATACCTCAGTTTCCTCATCTGTAAAATGAGGATAATAATATTTCCTCCCATAGAGTTGTTAGGATTAGTGAGATTACCTTCCAACTTCCCTCCTCCTTCCTGTCTTTCTTCTTTCTTTCTTGTGTATGTATCTATCTAAAATAATGCCTCGTATCCTAAATGCTCAATAAATGTTAGTTGCTATTAAATGCCTCTCTCTTTTGTATGTGGTAGGCCCTAGGAATTTAGAGAGAAATAAAGTCACTGGTGTCAGAGAAATAATAAAAGGAAGGGTAGGGGGCAGCAAATAAAGGTTTGTAGTCCATTATGCTAAGTTGGGTAATAGAGATGGACAAGCAACGTGTTATGTGAGATGAAATAGAGATGTTAGTTGTGCTTGGACAACTGGGGAAAGGTGAGTGAAGGTTGATGAAGGAAGCAGAGACGGAAGCAGATTTTTGAAGGGTAACTTAAGATTGTTGAAGGGTAAGGAGTTTGACAGTGGGGAGTTTTATGGGTCAGTACCACTTGGGGAACTTTGAGGGAAAAATGTGTATTTTTGGTTTTGACTCCCAGCCTGTTGAATCTTTTGGGGTTGGAAATCTATTTGCCAGTTTTAAAAGGTTTCCCGGACTGTCTGGTGCAGATAGCTTGCCATTTGGAAACCATTGCCAAGTAGATTTCAAGAAGGAATTTAAAATTCTGGTTGTAGAAAAACTAAAGTGACTACCATCCTGCCATTTAATATATTGACTTGATAATTTTATTGTTTGTATGATAATATTTAACCAGGTGGTTAATATAAATCAACTTTTAGATTATACTTTACTATTTCTAAAATCTGACATAAATAGAATATCATCTTCATTATATTAATATATTCAGACCTGTTCTTTCTAGTAGATTAAGTATATGTGGATATGAGGATGTCTTTTGGATTAACTTTAGACAATTTTTGTTTGTAGAATAACTAGCATATTAATTTGCACAATTATGGATATGTTGTGCTTTTCAAGGATGATAAGAAAGAATGTATGATCCAGAAATTGCTTGAGGAACTCATAGATTCGTATTTGTAGCAGTATAACATGGGTAGTATCGTTTACTCTATGCCATACAGAGAGTCAGTAATGTCAGCAGACTTTGGGATTTTGTAATCCAGAGTGCTGGGATTACAGGCATGAGCCATGGTGTCTACCCTCTACAAAAATTTTAAAATTAGCCCTGTGTGGTGGCATGCCCCTGTAGTCCCAGTTACGGAAGAGGCAAAGGCGGGAGGATCCCTTGAGCCCAAGAGTTTGAGGTTACAGTGAACTATGATCATGCCACTGCACTCCAGCCTGGACGACAGAGTGACACTCTGTTTTAAAAAACAAAACAAAAAAGACTGGGCACGGTGGCTCATGCCTGTGATCCCAGCACTTTGGGAGGCCGAGGCGGAGGTTGCAGTGAGCTGAGATCATGCCCCTGCATTCCAGCATGGGCAACAGAGTGAGATTCCGTCTCAGGAAAACAAAACAAAGCAATAAAACAAAAACCCCACAAACTCATCTTGTTGAACTAGAAAAGGTGGTGGGAATAAAAAAATTTGAAAATTGGCCGGGCACGATGGCTTACACTCATAATCCTAGCACTTTGGGAGGCCAAGGCAGGCAGATCACTGAGGTACAGGAGTTGGAGGCCAGCCTGGGCAGCATAGTGAGACCCCATCTCTACAAAAAATACAAAAATTAGCTGGGCTTGGCGCATGCCTGTAGTCCCAGCTACTGAGGAGACTGAGGCAGGAGGATTACTTGAGCCCTGGAGGTTGAGGCTGCAGTGAGCTGTGATCATGCTACTGTACTCCAGTCTGGGCAACAGAGTGAGGCTGTCTCCAAAACAGACAAAAAACACAAAAAGCAAACAAAATAATTTGAAAATGGAAAGACAAAAATACTTCTAGAATATAGTTTGCTGTTCAGTTTTTTTTTTTTTTGAGGCAGAGTCTTACTCTGTCACCTAGGCTCTAGTGCAGTGGCGCGATCTTGACTCACTGCAACCTCTGCCTCCTGCGTTCAAGCGATTTTCTTGCCTCAGCCTCCCTAGTAGCTGGGATTACAGGCTCCTGCCACTGAGCCCGACTCATTTTTGTATTTTTAGTAGAGATGGGGTTTCACCATGTTGGCCAGGCAGGTGATCTACCCGCCTTGATCTCCCAAAGTGTTGGGATTACGGGCATGAGCCACCGCACCCAGCCCTCACAGTTTTATTAGTAAATTTTTTTTTTTTTAATTGAGATGGAGTCTGGCTTTGTTGTCCAGGCTGGTGTGCAGCAGCGGGATCTCAGCTCACTGCAACCTCTGCTGCCTGGGTTCAAGTGATTCTCGTGCTTCACCCTCCTAAGTAGCTGGGATTTACAGGTGTGCACCACCATGCCTGGCTAATTTTTTTGTATTTTTAGTAGAGACGGGGGTTTCACCATGTTGGCCAGGCTGGTCTCGAACTCCTGACCCCAGGTGACCTGTACTCTTCGGCCTTCCAAAGTGCTGGAATTACAGGTGTGAGCCACCACACTCAAAATTCTTTTTAAAGAAGTGTTAAAGAATTTAACACAATTCTTTTTTTTTTTTTTTTTTGAGACTCCTTCACCCAGGCTAGAGTGCAGTGGCGCCATATCAGCTCACTGCAACCTCTGCCTCCCGGGTTCAAGCGATTCTCATGCTTCTGCCTCTGAGTAGCTGGGAGGTGTGCACCACCACACCCGGCTAATATTTTCATATTTTTAGTAGAGACTGGGTTTCACCATGTTGCCTGGCTGGTCTCAAATTCCTGATCTCAAATTATCCTCCCGCCTTGGCCTCCCAAAGTGCTAGGATTACAGGCATGAGCGACTGGGACCAGCCAACACAGTTCTTTAATGGAAATATTTTCATTTTTATTTAGAGAACTGTAGAGGGTGCTATATGATTAGGAATAGTAGTCTGAACTGGCTTTAGCTAATTATAAGAATTCTCTGAAGCCAGAGATTCACAGTAGTTAATTTTTCCTGGGTGAATAACTTTTTTTTTTATTATTTTGACTGAAATTAGTGACTAATGTTGCATAATTGATATAATTTATAATGAGTGTTGATCTAATATAATTGATTGTAACATTTTTCATCATCTAGATTATTTAATATAATTGAAATTATGAGTTGCCCTCTTTATTCAATGGTTTGAATAATAAAGGTTTATTTTCCTGCCATCTACCTCCAGCCCCCTTTCCCAAATTAAGTATTTGTAAGTCTTAATAGGTTAAAAGTTAACTAAACCATGTAACAGGAATGTACGTTTTAGGTAGATCTGGCTCAGAAGATTATTATCTTTAGAAGAACGATTGTTAACACCAAAATGGTATTTAAAAACTTGGTCAGACTTTAGAAATTGTTTTTGTTAAGAGAGAAGTCTAGATTTTTTTGAGTGATTAATTTATTATTCAGAAATACATTTCATAAATTCCAAACTTTAACTGTTCCCAAATTTTTCTGGTTTGATAGTGATTTTAGAAAACTTGAGGTGAAATAATATTTGATCCTGTGTCTTAAAGGATTGCTTTTGGAAACTGATTTTTAGTAACTTGGATTCAATATCCCCAGTATTGAAGAATTTTGAAGTTATTTGAACTAGGTCAAGTTAGTCCAAGTGGTATATTTTGGAATAAAAGGTGATAATAAGTCAACTAATTGTTAAATCCCCCAAAAAATGTTAGATAAGTATCTGTTTTTCTAAAATGCAGGTTTTTTAAAAACCTTTAAAGGATTCTGACCCAAACCTTGCCAGGAATTTTTTCCTTTTTTCTGAAACCATGTTTTAAACATTTATTATCAAGTTTTATACTATAATTCCTTAAAAAGTTAAGCAAGAATTTGTTCCTCTTGCCCCCCAAAAGTGAAGGCATTTTCTGTTCTTGTGGGTAAAAATATTGATATTATTTAAGCTTTGTCATTAGATAAGTGTATCTGTTCTTGTCTTTAACTCTCAAGGCACCACCTTCCATGGTCAATAATGAACAACGCCAGCATGCAGAGCACATATTCTTATCATTTAGGAAATCAAAATCACCATTTGCAGTTTGCAAGCATATTTTGGGTAAGTATTCACTTAAAAAATATAAAATATTTTGGCATAATCAGATCTGGGTTTGCTGTCTTAAACATTAGCTATTTTAAATTCCTTTTTAAAAACCTGGTTTGTGTAGTTACAATTATTTAAATTAATAATCATTCTACTGGAGTAGCTTTAAAGATATTCTGTAAAGCCAGACGGGAAACTTTGTTTTTACTTTGGATTTTTCCCCCCTAGATATAGTGTTCATAATTTGTTTTATTATTGACCATAACATGAAGGCTGTTAATAGTAAAGAGAAAAATTTAGTATTTTTTCAGTTTTCAAATGTCATTTATTACAGGGTATGTACTATAGTATCTTTTAGCCCAGTCTTAGTTTTAAAATTGAGATTGTTTTTGGAGATTTCTACATTTTCTTTTAGTTGTTTTCCATAGTTTTTTTTTTTTTTAACCATTTAGTTTGTACTCAGCTTGCTTAATGAATATCAGTCATTTCTGCGTAGGGTATCACTGTATGTATCCTAAAATAAAGCACTGATTTTTACTTTTGTCAAATATGTTTTATGAGTATCTTATGTCTGACATGTACAGAAAAGATTTCTTCTAAAAGAATCACAAGAAATATAACTCTTATCCAAAGATGGCATTTTCTAAGAGTTATATATGATGTGCCATCTGTCCCTTAGATATTTTTCAATAATAGTAAGAGAGACTTCATTGGTTATTGTTATTTTATAAGCTGATTACTGCTGGCTGATTTTTTTAGTGGGAGCCATCTTTTGTAAGGCTCTAGTAGGCTACTTGAGTCATCTGTGACCATAAAATTGGTTAGTTGAGTATTAGGAACTAGAACATCTGACTTTTATTCTTGTGCTTTTAGTAAGGCTTATCTATAGCTACCAATAGGCTGGTTTCCAGATTGAAATAAACTACAATTAAAGTTATGTGTTAAAGGTGCTTTACATATAAGGACTTATGGAAGAGAGTTGTTCGATTGTAGTGGAAAGAGTGCTGATGTAGCAACTATGACATCTAGGTGCCACTGGTGCACCTTGAGGAAGTCAGTTCACCTCCCTGGGCCTCTTTTTCATCTGCCTTATGGCAATAACGATACCATTTGCCTTAATGGATTTGCTATCTTAAATTGTTTCGTGAGGTGAAAATGTAATTACTTTTCATTATGTAAAAGCACTTTGTGAACAGTGAGGTAAATGTCATGGCCATATACTTGATTTTAAACAGCTTTTAAAAAATGTAATCGGCTTTAAAAATGCTGTGTTCTGTGTTTGCAAGGAACTAGCAGCAGTGGTGAAGGTGGCTCTGTCTCATTTAGGAGTTAGGTCTTAGCAGAGGAACAGGTTCAACAACTACCTTTTAAATTCTCACTGAAGCCATTTTAATTAATTTACTTATTTCAGTGGTCAGCTTTTATAGTTGTGTGGATTCGTTTCTGGCACTAAGAAGATTTAACATATACCTGTGGAGGATATTTAACTCAATGTTAAAGGAAGCAAAACTAAACGGCATAAAGAGTTTAAGGAAGCATTAATTCATCCTTACTGCCTTGAAATTGTTCAGCATTAATAGATTTAGAAAACCGTTGTGTTAAACTATTAACCTAAAATAATTTGAGTCTGGTTTTCATGGCATATGCCTTAACGACATTGACTAGGATTCCATCAGTGTTTCATCTGACTTTCTATTGGAATTCAGTGTCATTGTACACTAGTTGGGAAATAGTTGATCTAACTTACAAGTATTTTATTAGAGTGTATTTGTTTATACCATTCTTTCCTTTTTAGAATATGTATATTTTATGAAGTATTGTTGCTTTGTTATGATTGAGCTTGTTTTGGAATACTTTTGTTTTCCTGATAAAATTTTCTAAAGAGTAGTATTGCTAGTTCTGGCCATGCTTTTAAAATGAGTTTGGGTTTTGAGACACTGACTATTTAAAAGGTGGAGTGCATGTATTACAAGCATAATCATTAATGTACTGCAAAGCCCTGTGTTACATTAATGTTTACATCTAAACTTCACAGAAAATCTTTTCACTCCTTATTCAGTTGCCACCAGCACAGAAGGGTAAATTCCTCTAAGAAGACTTCTCATACAAGTGGCAGTCAATCGCAGTTCAGAATTTTCACATTCTTGTTTAGGGATTATGTGTCATTTTTATAGAAGGTCTGGGTAATATATTCTACTAAAGGGGAGACTTTCTTTGATGCTTCCCTTTTCTGGCCTCTTAAAATTCTTCCTTCTCACTTCTAACTTGAGTTTTATATGTTGCTCATTTTTCCTCATTTCTTTCTCTTCTTATCCTTTTGTTTTCATTCTAGTTTTTATTTTCTTTGCTCTTTTCTGTGTGTGTGTGTGGTGTATCTGTGCATGCATGTGGCATGCTTGTGCATTTTGTCAGAAGAGCACTTTTAGACTTCTTCACTTCAGAAGTCTTTGGCACTTAGTAATTTAAATTTTTTAGGATCAAATGTTCCTTTAAAAAAACAAGTGAGTTCTGTTCTTGTTAAAGAAATAATCAAGAACTGTGAGGGATTGGCTTACTTCTTCTGGAGCTAACTTTGTGGCATTCTTTTACTCTTTCTCAGGGAGAAATGGATTTCTTTCACTTCTGATCTCACAAGTGCCAAAACAAAACAAAATAATAAACCACCAAAAAGTCAGTTAAACTAGTAAACTTTTACACCTCTGGAAAATTGTTTCCTTAGTAGTGCTGTCAGTCACTGGGAATTAATAAATCATCTTCCATCTGAGACTTTTTGTCATTAGTTGGTGGGCATAGGTATCACTGAGTCAAAGAGTAGACTTGGAGCTTATATTGCCTGTGCTTTGGACAGAAATACTTAAGGCCAGAGAGTTGATTGTAGTAGCTGTATATCTGTGGCTTCACTACCGGGGTTTTTTCTTTTTTAAAAAAACTTTTTGGTCAGAATGTAGTGCTTTTCCTGTATTATTAACTTTAACTTTTGTCTTCATGTTTCTGTTTAGTTTCAGATGGCTGACAAAATTCAAATGAATTTTATTTACATAATTATTATTAAAGAAAGTTACTGTGGTAGCAGATGAAAGCATTTTGCTAAAGTGACCTAAAATAATTTATTCTCTGGACAGTGTCCTAGTCAGTGGCAGATCTTCCCAGAAGTAGTTTAGAAATTCTAGATGAGGCTGGGTGTGGTGGCTCACACCTGTAATCCCAGCACTTTGGGAGGCTGAGGTGGGTGGATCACTTGAGGTTGGGAGTTTGAGACCAACCTGACCAACATGGAAAAACCCTGTCTCTACTAAAAATACAAAATTAGCCGGTGTGGTGGCACATGCCTGTATTCCCAGCTACTCGGGAGGCTGAGGCAGGAGAATCACTTGAACCCGGGAGGCAGAGGTTGTGGTGAGCCGAGATTGCGCCATTGCATTCTAGTCTCAGTAACAAGAGCAAAACTCCATCTCAAAAAAAAAAAAAAAATGCTAGATGAATTGTGAGTTCTTCATGAAAACCCTGTAGTTTCAGGCATCTTTGTAACAGAGAGCGAAAGTAAAGCTCATATGTATTTGTGAAGTTCTAATTTCATACTGGTAGGCTTCGAGAGTACCTTCTAGCATCTCTTGCATATTTCTACTATGTATAAGTTAAATTTATGACAGCTAATAATGGTTTTTATGAGAAAGGGTAATTTATTAGTTTAGGAAAATTTCTTCTTTTAAATTAGGAATTTGGCTTTTTTTTTTTTTATTCCTCCATTCTTAGAGTCAGCTTCTTATGGGAGTAGTCATTTAGAGATCATCATTTAATACCATGCAGAGGTCTAAGAAAAAGAATTAAGAAACTTTTGTGTCTTGAAAATTTTGAATATTCATCTTCTATAACTGCCCCCTCACATCCAACACCCACCCACCTCCAAAGGGCAGAAAAAGGCTTGGATGTAAAAACAAATAGTTAGGAATGTTTCAGTGATCATTAACAATGAAAGTGCTTATTCGCTCTATCTTCAGTGGCATGTGTGTTTCAGGGTAGATTAGTATTGCTCAAGGAACATTTACCAGCCATGTGACCTCAGTTTCCTCTCTATCTCTTGGGGCATCCTTCAGCTCCTGTAAAATGGAGGAATTGATTTAGATGGTCTTCAGAGTTCTATAACTAAAATTCTTAGAGTACCTTAGATTTTGCTTCATTGTTGAAATCCATGGTTAAGGATTTCCGGTTTCTTGTCCTTAAAATTTTTACTATTGCAGTAGAAAATGAAGATAGGCAAACAAACATCATTTTCTTTAAGAAGAGGTTTATAATGAGAGATTATTTGAATTACCTTTATGAGACAGTACCATATTTCTCTTTAAGTGATCTAAATAGATGGAACTGGGTCCCCCTTTTTTTTTAACTCCTAGAGTTTTAAACACATCTTTTCTAATAGGTTCACATTTTTAGAAGCTATTCCTTTATTTTAATTATTTATTATATTTTAAAGTTTCTAAATTTGTATCAATTCTGATTATCATCTCAATTAGAGTTCATGTTAAGATAGCATAGAATAATCAAAACTTTAAAAAAAGGTTCAAATTGGTTTCTCTTAGTGGTTTTGGTATGATCAAAACTCCTGTGTAGTAGTCTAATACGATAGGAATTTATATAGGGTACACCTTTTCTCATACATTTTTATAGCTAAATGTGTCAAGAACACTTGTAAGATTTTTAAATGACCTGAGCTTGAATAGGAGAGAAAATGGTGTGCTTGACTGTATATATCTTCATGCTCTTCTGATATATTCTTGAAGGTGCCAGTCTATGCCTAGAGATAATTTCTCATGGCTTTCAGATATGCATGTCCAGTGATCTTGGCAAATAATCTGGAGTCTAATCATGAGCTTTTCATGGATTTCACATGATGGTTATTTTTTAGAGCCTCAGAAAATTTCTGCTTTTTCTTGACTTCATTTCAACTGTTTCTCCCTGTTGATAATGCTGTTTGGGAAACTGATTGTAGTGGTATTGGTGAATAAAGGAAAAAATAGAAAATTAATATAAAACATTTTTAAAGTGTGTTAATTTTCTATTTTTTCTCCCCTGATTTAGATTTTAGATCAGATACTATAACTTGCTAGCTAAGGCTGGGTCTTTCTAAGTGTAGCTTTGGGATTTTACTCAGTTTGATCAGTACTGCAATCAGAAAATTCACAAGCACTTCTCACCTTGTGTAAATGTGACTTATATTGTTTTTTATATTTTGAGAAAGAAAACCTAAACATGATTGTTTTTATTTCTGAACTTGCTATTGGAGATGGGTCATCCTGCTGAAAGCTTAATACTTAAAAATGAAATATTTTAACAGCATGGCTCATCACAGGTAGTAATGTTCAATGACTAGTTTATTAAAATGTTTTTCAGATACAAAGTTCTGTTTTGCACAGGGTGAGAATCTTAGGAAATTTTCTGATTGCTTTATATTTTTATTTTTATTTTTTTTAAAGCTGTGTTATTTTTTAGTTCTTCATGCTTTGGAAGTAACAGTTGAAGAGAGGTGAGGAAAGTTTGTGAAAATTGTGATCGGTGATTAGCTGCCACCTGCCTGAGGTGTCTTCTGAGAGGAACTAACCTCTTTGTGGTGCTAGAGCAAGGTCACTGGATAAAAAAAAGAACAGGTAACCATCTTATTCCTTGTCTGAAAAGTTCTGTTTTAAAATTAATAAATGCAAAATGTGCAAGGTAAAATGAATTATTGTTTAAATAAAGTTTTTAATTTTCTCCTCAGAAACTAGTAAAGTGGACTATGTCCTCTTTCAAGCTGCCACAGCCATAATGGAAGCAGTTGTCCGAGAGTGGATTCTCTTGGAAAAAGGTAGCATCGAGTCTCTGCGAACATTCCTTTTAACCTATGTCTTACAAAGGCCCAAGTAAGTACATGGAGGGGGACTGCTGAAATACTTTTGCTGAGCTTATGTGTATCTTTTTAGAGCTTTTTTTGTTTGCATTTTAAAAACTTTTGGGTGGGTATAGTGGCTCACACCTATAATCTCCACTTTGGGAGGCTGAGAGGGAGGATCTCCTTGAGCCCAGGAGTTTGAGATCAGTCTGGGCAACATAGTGAGACCCCATCTCTACTAAGTACAAAAAAAGAAAAAAAATTTAAAAAGCTCTAGATGTTTAAGGTTAAGTTTTGTGTGGGGCTCATATTTTAAACACTTGTATACACGTGATTGTAGGTAGTTTTGGTGCTTAATGAAATAATACCTTTTATTTAAGCTTTTGGTACTATGTTTTGTTTCTTTGAAAAGGTTGTGTTGGATATTAGTTTTTTGTTGTTGTTGTTGAGTTGTGAAGAACTTAGTTATAAATAAAAGTTGACCTTAGATTAGATGAAGAACCTTTATATTTACTTGTTCTTTTGATGCTTAGTAGAGGTGAAAAATGGTAAGTATTGATATAACACAGGTGAGTATCCTAAAACAGGGGAGAGGGAAGAAGCTAAGTACCACTAACAAATCAAATGTTACATATATGTGTACATAGAAATGTGCATAGAGGGCTGGGTGTGGTGACTCACACCTGTAATCCCAGCACTTTGGGAGGCCAAGCCAGGCAGATCATGAGGTCAAGAGATCAAGACGATCCTGGCCAATATGCGGAAACGCCATCTCTACTAAAAATACAAAAATTAGCTGGGTGTGGTGGCACACGCCTCTAGTCCCAGCTACTCGGGAGTCTGAGGCAAGAGAATTGCTTTAACCTGGGAGGCAGAGGTTGCAGTGAGCCGAGATCATTGCATCACTGCACTCCAGCCTGGTGACAGAGCAAGACTCCTTCTCAAAAAAAAAAAAAAAAAAAAAAAAAAAGAGAGAAATGTGCAAGGTTCTATTAAGAAGTTCCAAAATCTTTAAGTAGCTTCCATTGAAAATAGGATGAGTTTTGAGGAATGAGGTGAAAGTAAATTTTCTTTTTATACATATCTGTATTGCTTAAACATTTTACAAAATTATGTACATTTATTTCTTGAATGATTAAAAAAAATATATGAGGCCTGATGTGGTGGCTCATGCCTATAATTCCAGCACTTTGGGAGGCTGAGGTGGGTGGCTCACTTGAGGTCAAGGGTTCAAGACCAGCCTGGCCAACATGGTGAAACCCCATCTCTACTAAAAATACAAAAATTAGTCGGGCGTGGTAGTGCATGCCTGTAGTCCCAGCTACTTGGGAGGCTGAATCAGGAGAATTACTCAAACCTGGGAGGCAGAGGTTGTGGTGAGCCAAGATCGAGCCACTGCACTCCAGCCTAGGTGGCAGAGTGGGACTCCATCTCAAAAAAAAAAAAAAAAGAGGAAAACTATCAGCTACATAACTTTTGATTTACTATTTACCTTTTTTTGTTAAGTTCCCCAAAGACCATGTATTCTTTTAAGAATAGACAATGCACTTGTATGTTTACTGTTTGTGCAATTGAATACTTTAGATGTTCATTTCCAAAGTCATTAAAGAAAAAATTTTGTTATGTAATCAGAAATGTGTGTGCTTAGGAATGGTGATTAATGGCAATAAACATACACATAAAATTTTAATTTTAGAGCATACTGTCATGCATTTGTTTCTGTTGACTGTACCCTGGCAGTCTGAGTTAATAATATTTAATAATACTGACATGACTTTAGCACTTTGTTAACTGCTAACTGCCTTACATACAAAAAAAAAAAATACAGGAGAGAACAAAGGCAAAGGTTCTGTAGCCTATTAGTGTTGCAGGTTTAGTGGATAATGTGTCCTGTAGATAAGTGGATATACATGTTTGTGAGGAGGACATGGCTAATTTTTTTCTGGTTTTCATAGAATAAGGAAGTCTTGTCCCTGGTTTGAAACCTTTCTTTTCTCTGTCATGCTGGATTGATTGATTGGTTTTTGTTTGGTGGGTCCATTTGGATGTGATACTAGTTTGCTCTTTTGTTGTTTTTATTTGACCATATTTGCTAGACCTGACAGGACTGTTTGTCTTTTGACCCCTCTGTACATAAAGAAAGGTAAGTACAGGTGAGTAGAGGTCTTGACAATGTCAGCAAGTGCTTGTTATTTTGTTTGTTGTTTTGCACACAATGTAATTCAGACACATCAAAATTTATATTATCAATTGCAACCATGGAAGAGATACGTGTTTTGTTGAATTCTAAAATGATATTTGTTTTGGTATTTTTCTTTACCCTACGAAAATATTTTGAAATCAATTATGATAGTGTGCTTGTTGTTGAACACAAGTTGAGAAAACCTTCATATTTATTTATATTTATGTAATAAAAGAAAATAAGCCTTAGGGCCTCTGTGTTTATAGAAGTTTATATGTGGGAAGGTTAAAAAAATTGTTTTTGGCCTCTAGGCCTAAAATGTTAGCGTTTTCTGAAGAGCAGTCTATTTATGTGACCTTGGGAAACTAACATAAAGTCTCTTTAATATTCTGTTTTACCTGTAGATCAGGGACTTGGTACCCATCTCATATGGTTGGTGTCAGGATTAGATGAGATTGTTCTGAGCACAGTGCCTGGTGGGGAGTAAAAGCTTTGGCTGCTGCAGCTGTCATCATCTGGACCAGACTACCTTATGGAGTCAGGGCCAGCAGGGGAGCTTCAGGTCAACTAGAGCGGTTCTTTTTTGTGGAGCTGTTTAGTTGTCATAGCCTTTTCTCCCCCTTGTCGCCATTCCCCAACCTGAGAACCACTGAACTCTGGAGACCTTGGTAGACTTAAATGTGTAGCAAATTTTCATTATGTATATGTGTCTGGCTCTTATATTATCCAAAATAATCGCATTCTTTTTTTTTCCTTTTTATTTGTTCTTTTTTTTTTTTTAATTTTTTTTGAGACAGAGCCTTGCTCTGTTGCTAGGCTGGAGTGCAGTGGCGTGATCTCTGCTCACTGCAACATCCGCCTCCTGGGTTCATGCGATTCTCCTGCCCCAGCCTCCCGAGTAGCTGGGACTAGAGGTGCGTGCCACCACACCCAGCTAATTTTTGTATTTTTTTTGGTTTGTTTTTTGAGACGGAGTCTCGGTCTGTCATCCAGGCTGGAGTGCAGTGGCGTGATCTCCGCTCACTGAAAGCTCCACCTGCTGGGTTTACGCCATTCTCCTGCCTCAGCCTCCCGAGTAGCTGGGACTACAGGTGCCCACCACCACGCCTGGCTAATTTTTTGTATTTTTAGTAGAGACGGGGTTTCACTGTGTTAGCCAGGATGGTCTCCATTTCCTGACCTCGTGATCCGCCTGCTTCAGCCTACCAAAGTGCTGGGATTACAGATATGAGCCACCGTGCCTGGCCTAATTTTTGTATTTTTAGTAGAGATGGTTTCAGCATGTTGGCCAGGATGGTCTTGATCTCTTGACCTCATGATCTTCCCATCTCGGCCTCCCAAAGTGCTGGGATTACAGGTGTGAGCCACCGTGCCCAGCCTCCTTTTCAGTTTTTTAAATTGAGACAGGGTCTTGCTGTGTTGCCCAGGCTGGTCTCTAACTCCTGAGCTCAAACAGTCCTCCTGCCTCAGTACCCCAAAGGGCTGGGATTGCAGGAATGAACCACCGTACCTGGCCCAAATTAATCTCATTTTAAAATCATTTTGATAATTTAGAAGCTAAAGTAATTAGTTTGATTGTAGAGTTGATTGTAGGGTTCCACATTGAAATAGCTCACATATATATATATATATATATATATATACACACACACATATATATATATATTTTAATTTTTTCTTTTTTTGTTTTTTCTTGAGACGAAGTCTTGCTCTGTCACCCAGGCTAGAGTGCAATGGCGCAATCTTGGCTCACTGCAACCTCTGCCTCCTGTGTTCCAGCGATTCTACTGCCTCAGCCTCTGGAGTAGCTGGGATTACAAGCATGCGCCACCATGCCCAGCTAATTTTTTGCATTTTTAGTAGAGACGGGGTTTCACCATTTTGGCCAGGCTGGTCTCGAACTCATGACCTCATGATCCGCCCTCCTTGACCTCCCTAAGTGCTAAGATTACAGGCATGAGCCACCACACCTGGCTTACATACATATTTTTTATCTCAAACATTTTTTTTAAGAGAGAGAGTCTTGCTGTGTTGCCCAGGCCAGAATGTGGTGGTAAACACACCCTTTTTCCAGTAGAGGCTCAGTTAACATTTTGTCACATTTAATTTCTCTCTTATGTATATGTACATTTTTTACCCTTAACTATTCGAGAGTGCCACAGACATCATGATACTTTAGCCTTAAAGTTCTTGAACGTGTCTCTTCTGAAAGCATAATCTCAATACTCTTGATATAATTGGCATATTTATATGATCTAACAATTCTGATTCCATATTCTGAGTTTCCCAATTGTCTGAATAATATTTACATCCTTTTTCCTTTATACTTTTTTTTTGGTATTGCAGTCTGTCACTTCAGATCTATTAATATTTGCTTTATTTAGGTACAGTAGGTTTTTTTTTAATCTAGGTGAGCCAGAGATTGTACAGTGTATTTAGTCATGTCTCTTTTAATCTAGAATAATTGTGTGCTCTTTTTTGCCTTTCATGACACAGATATTTGTATCTTGTAGAATGCCCTACAGTGTGGATTAGATTCAAGTTAAACGTTTTTGGCATACTGCATAGGTAGAATACTATAGGCTATGTAGTAGACTATTACATAAATAATGTGTACTTCCCATTACATGCACAGAATTTTTTCTTTTTTATTTTTTCCTCTTAATTGAAATAAAATTTGTATACAGTGAAATGCACAATGTCCTTTATGAAAGAGGCAAGTGTAGCATAGTGGTCAAGAAAGGGATTTGCACCCTACTTCTGCCACTTAACTCTGCAGCATTGGGCAGATTACTTCTTTGTGCATTAATTTTCTGATTTGATTTTTTTGTTTGTTTTTGAGATGGAGTCTCGCTCTGTTGCCCAGGCTGGAGTGCAGTGGCGCAGTCTCAGCTCACTGCAAGCTCCGCCTCCCGGGTTCATGCCATTCTCCTGCCTCAGCCTCCCGAGTAGTTGGGACTACAGGTGCCTGCCACCACGCCTGGCTAATTTTTTTTTTTTTTAGTAGAGACGGGGTTTCACCGTGTTAGCCAGGATGGTCTCTATCTCCTGACCTCGTAATCCGCCTGCCTTGGCCTCCCAAAGTGCTGGGATTACAGGCGTGAGCCACTGCGCCCGGCCTTCTGATTTGATTTTTAAATGGAGTGAATAATAGTAGTAGTATCATGGGGATTAGATGTGTTAATATTTGTGAAACCAGTTCATATAAATTCTTGCATATAGTAAGCATTCAATAAATGGTAGCTATTATTTATTCTAATAATAATTTTAATTCTTGCCAGTAGAGATATTTAAAACTATGTTTGTGTACATTTGTAGTCATAGTCTTCAGCTTTATGTACATTTTCTAGTAGTAGTCAGTGCCTATGAAACTATTCTGTCCCCCTAAAAGTACAGAAATTCCCTTTGGCCAACTAATATTCTTATGCATAGTAGGATCTCTGCATTTATTTGCTTAATGAGTGAAAGATAAATGGTTCAAGTGTATGTTTTGAAGGAATGTTTTTTCACTTCAGTCTTGACGATAGGGAGACATATTTATTCATCTGTATAAATATCTAATAAATGCATGTTATGCAGCAGGTAGTGTGCTTTGCATATGCTAGTGTGCATAGAGTGGGTGGCTGATCTGGGAGCTAGTGAACCAGTAGTAACAGATATGTCCTGTCATGTGAGGGTGCCGTGGGAGCCCTTAGTAATAACTTTCTGGAGAAAGTGACGTCATAATCTTGGGAGAGGGAATAGAAGTTCAGAGGCCTGGAAGTCAAAAGAGTGTGGAGTGAGGAACTGAAAGGTCAATATGTCTGCAGTTGTGCGTGTGTGTGGAAGGGCAGAAGTCAAGGAGAGGAGCAGCCACTGGTGGCTATAGGTGGGTCTCCAAACTGGGACACTTTTGAGAGTGAAATAAAGAACGACTAATAATTATTTGGGGCAACAGGTGAATTGAGGCTGTCCCAGGAAAGCTAGAATGGTTCCCACTGCTTATAAGCCATGTTAAGGGGTTTGGGTTTATTCCAGGGGCACTTGGTGGTTGTATCTTTGTGGGATTCCAGAGGCTAGATTATAAAGTTTGGGATTATGTTTTCTGATCCTTATCTTTCAGAAAAGATTGTGAAAAGTCAATTAAGTTTCTGTGCCCTTGTGGTCAAATGGGCTTGGTAAAATGCCTCCACTTGGGATGGGTGCTTCTGTCATCACATGGAGGAACAGAACCTAGATATGAACATTTTGAATGTTTGTGTGTGTGTGTTTTACAATTTTATGTTTCCATAATGATGTATCTCGGATAGCTAGTATGTTGCCTTTTCACATTAAAGGGAAATGGGATTTAGGATTAGATTAGTAGTTGTAGACGTAGGTTAGATCAGAATTTATCTCCAGACTAGTGGAATCTTAATCTTAGTGATTTTTTTCCCTACAAATATTTAACAGGGAGCTGACTTACATCTGTTGAACACTTCCTGGAGCAAATAACACTTGTATAGTGCTTAGTATGTACTGGGCACAGTTCTAGGAACATTTAACCCTTATAATAACACTAGTAGTGTTATTCTCATTTTACAGATTGAAAACCAAGGCCCTGAATGCTAACTGTCTTGCCCAGGGTCATACAGCCCGTCCACAATGGAGCCTGGGTTTGAACCCAGGCCTCCTGGCTTTGGAGTCTGTACATAACCCTTTGGCTCTTCTACTCTCACATGTAAGCAATGTTATTAGTAGCTTCAGGCATAGAGAGAAGTTTGGGAGTATTCTTGTATTAGATTTAGGTAAATTTTTCACAATGATTTTTATGTTTTACAGCCTTCAAAAGTATGTTCGGGAACAGATTCTACTAGCAGTAGCAGTAATTGTAAAAAGAGGATCATTAGATAAATCAATTGACTGCAAAAGCATTTTTCATGAAGTCAGCCAGTTGATTAGTAGTGGCAATCCCACTGTGGTAAGTGTGCTATTTGTATTTATAAATATTAACAATTTATATTTTCTGTTACACAAATAGCATTATAGCAAGAGTAATGGATATCTACATAAAAATAGTGAAAAAGCTATCAGTCAAGCAATTTTCATTTGTTCAGGTTTTCTTCTAGTCTTTTTTTTTTTTTTTCCCTTGTGACAAGAGTTTTGCTCTTGTTGCCCAGGCTGGAGTGCAATGGCATGATCTTGGCTCACCGCAACCTCTGCCTTCCGGGTTCAAGCAATTCTCTTGCCTCAGCCTCCCAAGTAGCTGGGATTACAGGCATGTGCCACCACACCTGGCTAATTTTGTATTTTTAGTAGAGACAGGGTTTCTTCATGTTGGTCAGGCTCGTCTCAAACTCCCGACCTCAGGTGATCCGCCTGCTTCTGCCTCCCGAAGTGCTGGTATTACAGGTGTGAGCCACTGCGCCTGGCCTAGTCTTTTTAAATATATATGTACATAATATAAATGCAGTGTACTTTGCTTTTTCGTTTGATTCTGTATTTTCCATGTTGCCATAAATATTCATAATCATTATTTTAATTGTTATAAAATATTATAAGTTAATATGCCATAATATTGTTAGCCGTTTCTATTGAACTTTGTTTTGCCATTTCTAATAAACCTTTGACAGCTACTAGTGAATACAGAAGTGTTTGAATAAAGTAGAAAATATCTGACATGAAAATAATTAAAAGTTGCTGTCCTAATAGGCCATGGGACTTCAGGAGTTACTGTCAACTGAACAAATTAGGGGTTATTGTTCTTGGCTGAATTAGTTTGGGAAGCATGGTTCTCCCACCCTCTCCACTCTCCTGTCCACCTTTTAGAGAGCTGGAGTTGTGCCTGGAGAGTGGCTGTTTGGTTGTAATCACTCTGTCTGAGGCAGGAGGAGTTGCGGTTGCTATTAATGATTAGCTGTGATTCTTTGTTTAACCTATCAACTTTTATCACCTGAATGATATTTAACTCATATAGAATTGAGATTGGTAATACTTGGCCATTCTGAGTCTCGGATATTATTACATCTTTAAGTATTTTGGGTAGCTTATTACCTTTACAATTTATTTAATCATTTTAAAGATATCTATGTGAGGCTATGTACCTTATAACTGTTTGTTAATTCCTTTTGTCTTCAGTGGCCCCTCAGTTAATGGATGTGATTTTAACGATGTAGTTGATGCTTTGAGGTTGAGATGCTGTGGTGTATTTTAGGAGGGCCACATACATTGTCCCTTGCTTTCCACAATATCTTGGATCTCTTCTCTTCTGCCTTCCTGTCCATCACTTTTCACCGCACACAGCTATGCGCTCAACTCACTCTCCCAGCCATCTGCCTCCACTCTGCTTAGGACCGCAGACTGATACCTCAGGAGTCTAGACCCACGGAATCTGTAAGCAAGCTGATCAGGACTTTGGAACTTACTATATATACCCTACGTGTTTTTTGTTTTCCTTAGAAATTCATCAATGGTCTTGTGTTTGTTCTTTTTTTTCCTTAACTTTATTGAGAAGTAATTTACATGCATTACTATGTCTGTCTAAAATGCACACCTCGTTAAGTTGTGACTGTTGTGTATACCAGTAAACTCCTACCATAGTCAAGATACAGAACATTTTTATTTACATCTTGATTTTTGATTGTGTGATATTAAGTTTTATGCCATTTTTGTGGCAAATTTCAAGAGTAGTGCTGTCCAGTAGAACTTACTGTGTTGAAAGAAGTGTTCTATGTCTGTGCTCCCCAATATGTAGCCACTACACTGGCCACTTGTGGCAGTTGGTGATGTGAAATGTGGCTAGGGTGACTGAAGAACTGAATTTTCTAATTTTTTAAATTTTAATTTAAATTCAAATAGCCACACATAGTTAGTGACAAACGTATTGGATAGTGTCATTCTAAAGACCGATAATTTAATTTTATGGCCCCTTTACTTAATCTTAGTATTGTGAAATTTAATTTTTGTATAAAACTAATAAATTTGAAAGTATATATGTTTGAATCTTTACATTCTATAAGTCATTTTGATTTTATGAAGTGGGAATATTTCTTGAAAGAAGGGTTCATATTAAATTTTTGAGGTGAAAATTATGGGGAGCTACTTTTTTTAAATTTAAGAGACAGGGTGTAATGCAGTGGTGCATAGCTCACTTCAGCCTCAGTCTCCTGGGCTCAGCCAATCCTCCCACCTCCCACCTCAGCCTCTCGAGTAGCTGGGATTAAGGTACAGGCTACTGTACCTGGGTAGGAAGCTATTTTTTTTTTTTTTTTGAGACAGGGTCTCACTTGCTCTGTTGCACAGTCTGTGGAGTGCAGTGATATGATTACAGCTCACTGCAGCCCCGACCTCATGGGCTCAGTCTTCCCACCTTAGTCTCTCCTGAGTAGCTGGGACTATCGGCACAAGCCACCACTCCTGGCTAATTTTTAAAGTTTTTTTGTAGCGATGAGGTTTCACTATGTTGCCTAGGCTGGTCTCGAACTCCTGGGCTCAAGTGATCTCTTGCCTCAGCCTTCCAAAATGCTGGGATTACAGATGTGAGCCACCACGGCTGGCCATGGGAAGCTATTTTTACTTAGAGTAATATAAATTGTGGTAGTAGATATAGTCTCCATTTCTGATCAGCATGTCATGAGCTTTAGATAAATCAATTGACCGCAAAAGCATTTTCCATGAAGTCAGCCAGTTGATAAGTAGTGGTAATCCCACTGTGGTTAAGTGTGCTATTTGTATTTATAAATATTAACAATTTATATTTTCTGTTACACAAATAGCATTATAGCAAGAATAATGGATATCTACATAAAAAAAGTGAAAAGGCTCTCAGTCAAGCAATTTTCATTTGTTCAGGTTTTCTTCTAGTCTTTTTTAATATATGTATATAATATAGATGTGGTGTACCTTGCTTTCTCATTTGATTCTGTATTTTCCATGTTGCCATAAATATTCATAATCATTATTTAAATGTTATAAAATATTATAATCAAATATACCATAATATTCAAATATACCAAATATAATATTACCAAATATTATAAGATTTGTTCATGAGATGCTGATGCTTCAGCAGTGTCTACACGAGTTGTATAATGGTAATCTTGTCATTTCTATGAATTTGTTCGAATTTGCTTCCAAACTAATGGCCATGTGCATTATCCAATGTTGGTCATCATCGATAGCCTGGGGAAAAAGAAGTGGTGGATATACTTAGATAAAAATAGCAGAGAAAAGGTTTGCAACTGAGGCTGCTACTTGGAAATATTATCCTTGCCCCCAATGCCCTGAATCAAGTTGCACTTCATATTTTAGATTTCACTTAAGAACATCTTGTTTCATTTTGACAGTGTGCAGTAAAGGAGTCCAGCTCCTTGTGACAGACAGGATTTAAACTTGAGGAACATTACTAGTAACTCTGAGATCTATCTATTTATGACTAATGCCTTTCCCTTGTTAGTTTGGTGATCATTCCAGCCAGGATTTTGGTATTGGGGTAGAATTTATGCGGCCTGCCCTCACCCCCTACAAGTAGCTTGTTGGCACTGGGACGGCGCAGGCGAAGGGTCAAGAGTCCCTTGCCTCTCTCAGGAATGAGCACATACTTGGGAACTGAGTTCTCTGCTTCCTTTCCCCTTGGGTAATTTGACCCAGCACAAAAACTAGTCCCACTGCAACCTGGCAATTGGATTTTTTTGGAGCCACTGAAATAACTGATCTTCTGAGAATGATTGGAACAGATATAGCTGTTCAGTTAGAGAAGATTTTGCTCTCTTCATAGTGTGTACACTTTGAGAATAGTGGATAAATGTAATATTCTCATGAAAGACTCCAAAGTTTTTTTTAAAGTCAAATTTCTGTCTTTCTTTCTTTCTTTCTTTCTTTTTTTTTTTTTTTTTTTGTGAGACCGGGTCTTGCTCTGTTGCCTCGGCTGGAGGGCAATGGTGTAGTCTTGGCCTACTGCAGCCTTGACCTCCCCATGCTCAGGTGATTCTTCTACCTTAGCCTCCTGAGTAGCTGGGACTACAGGTGCATGCCACCACACTGAGCTAATTTTTTGTATTGTTGTAGAGACAGGGTTTTGCTATGTTGCCCAAGCTGGTCTCAAACTTCCAGGCTCAAGCAATCTGCCCACCTTGGCCTCCCAAAGATTATAGGTGTGAGCCAACCATGCCTGGCCTAAAGTCAAATTTTTAATACCAGGGCTGAGAACTACTGTAATAGTAGGAAATCAGTATACTTCAGTGGGAAGTAGAATTTAATTTCAGGATTGCAGGATGAAATTTATTTTGGTGACTACATTAAAAACATTAAATGTGAAAAATATTCTCTATATGGCAGGTTAAATGCATACACTGTCCCTATTTGTCCTTGCCCAGTAGCTTGAAACTAGCTCAATAGGAAGGCCTAAAAAATGAAGTTCAGACATTTTCTTATATCATCCTCTCTTCTTCTTGGACTGTTAAGAATTTGTAAGTGGTTCAAGAATTTACTTAATGTTTTCATAGTCTCAGATATAAATGACAGTGAACAAGATGATTAAAACCTCTGTAAGAAAGGAGAATGATAACTGATCAGAACATTGATTTAGTATTGGCTATAAACTTTCTTTATAAAGGTGACTTTTAAGAGAGATTTGAAAAGTAGAAAAAATTAACTAAAGGTTTTCTGTAGATGAAGAAAGGGTTGACTTCATGAACCATTAAATTAGATAACTAATTTTCCCCTCACACCTCTTCTAGAAGGACATTTCCATCAACCTTCATTGGCCAGAAACTGTATGTAGTCTGGCTTTTCCCCCTTCGCTTTTGAAGCATATTGGTTTCATTTGTTTGTTTTGTTGTTTTAGAAACAGGGCCTCGCTCTATCGCCTGGGCTGAAGTGCAGTGACATGTTCATAACTCACTGCTGCCTCGATCACCTGGGCTCAAGTGATCCTCCCACCTCAGCTTCCTGAGTAGCTGGGACTGTTGGTACGTGCCACTGTACCTGGCTAATTTTAAAATTTTTTTGTAAAGATGGGGTCTCACTATGTTGCCCAGGTTATCTTGAGCTCCTGACCTCAAGGTGATCCTCCTGTTTCAGCCTTATAGGTGTGAGCCACCACGTCCAGCCAAGAATTGATTTTTGATGGTCCATTTCCCTGTACTAGTCTCATGTTTGCATTTATACAGGTTTAGGGGCAGTGTAGTATAATAGAACACTGATTTTGGATTCACACTTGGGTTTAAATCCCAGCTCTGCCATTTATTGCCAACCTAACTTAAATTAACTTCTCTAGGCATTAGTTCACTAATATGTAAAATAAATGTGATAATATTCACTTCTATTCAGCAAGTATTTGTGCCGTCTCCCTAGTAGTCTCTCACTGCTTTCTTCATAGAATCTCGGGAAGTGAACTATAATAAATCATGTGTTTTTCTCTCAAACAATATTTTAAGTATGGAAAAGCAGAAGAAAATGTTTATGCTATGAGTGAAACTAATCATTTGTGTGTGGTTTTTGTTGAGACAGAGTCTTGCTCTGTCGCCCAGGCTGGAGTGCATTGGCATGAACTCAGCTCACTACAACCTCCGCCTCCTGGGTTTAAGCGATTCTCATGCCTCAGCCACCCGAGTAGCTGGGACTACAGGCGCATGCCACTATGCCCGGCTAATTTTTATATTTTTAGTAGAGATGGGGTTTTGCCATGTTGGCCAGGCTGGTTTCGAACTCCTGACCTCAAGTGATCTGCCCACTTCAGCCTCCCAAAGTGCTGGGATTACAGGTGTGAGCCACCACATTCTGCCAATTTGTGTGTATTTTTAAAAAATATAGGTAACCAACACATTAGGCTTTCTTTAAAGGCTTTCAGAAGTATCTTAAAGACTTGGTTCTCTACAGATAGTTTTATGGAAAGATTATATCTAATTTGTGTAAAAAATGATGTATTCTTAGTTAATTTATGCCTGTATGATTATTAAATAATGTTATTTCAAGCTTGTGGGCAGTTATGATGTTTTCCTTCCATAATTATAAAGGTTACGTGGTTATTTCATCTCAGTTTGCAGTAGTGTCAGACCTGCTGTCAGTACTAATTTGGGAGGGATATGGAAACTTGCCTTCCTAGGAAAGTAGCAAAATTTTTTATTTTAAGCTAAAATTTTAATCTGTATTTAAACATATAATTCATATTTGTCTTATTTCCTTTGAAAGCAGTAGGCATACGTTAAATCACTTTAAAGCTGTTTAATTTAGCATTTAAGTCTCCTTTCTTCCTCTTTGCCATACTAGAGAGAAGTGGGTGAGAAATTCACTTGTCTACGGCAGCCCCTGGATGTGATAGCCAAGTTAATCTCTCTTATCATAAGTCTCATTGATGTTTGCATAGAAGAGCAGCTGGAAGTCTGCTTTATGTATGGCAACCTTTCATAAAGTTTATTCTTGGTAATAAAGCTCCTGGGGTAAGAGCCAGGCTATTATAAGAGACAATCCTCTCTCTGAACAAGAGTATTTTATTTTGTCAGCTGGAGTTAGTGTTTGAGTATCTTGGGCTTGTGACAGTAAGCTGGTGAGTAAGGCAAGCTATCTCTGAAGGGCATTTTTTCACTAGCTTGAAATTAATGGCTTTTGCTAGAAATAAATGAGAATGCTGGTCTAAGACTTTCAATGTGAAGATAAGAGTTACTTAAATTGTTAGCCAGTGAATTAACTTGTGAATTTTCAGTACTTCAATGAAAGAAGACAATTAGACTTTTTTTTATAACTTTGACACCTCATTGCATTGTCTTCTACTTGTTTGACATATTAAAATTGTCTTGTAGAAATTTATAAACAACCAAAAAATAGGGAACACATCATTTATTTTCCAACTTCTGTTATGTTAACATAGTGCTGGGCATAGAAGTAAACACTGATTCATTAATCCAAACAGCATTTACTGAACATTTACTATATTGCTTTAGTGATACAGCTTCAGTTATAGCTCTGTTTTTTAAGTGGTGTAACACATTTAGTAATTTTAATTTTGCAGAATGTAGATCATCATCAAGGAATAGAATAAAGCTGAAATAGGTGGTTGTCATTTTCTATGATAATGATAAAAAATACAGCTGCTACTTTACCTTCTTGTAACCTGGTGTAATTACATGGTATTTTTAAGCATTATGCAATTTGAGCCTTAGGACAATTATGCAAATTAGGTATGGCAGAGGGTGGTAGCCCTTACTGTAGATGAGAAAGCTGAGGTCAAGGTACATGAAGGGCTTTGACCACAGTTATTTGAAGAAGGAAATCTTGGACTGTTAGAGCCCAGATTTTCTAACTGATTCAAACAACAGGATTCTTGTATTGGACTCCTGAAAGAGTCCTGCAGAATGTTTTTATTTATCATTTATTTTAGATGTAATTTTAATAAATTTTATTTGGTTTCTAACCTGTGAGCAAATGAAAATGATCCATTTAGAACTACCTGTTAGTGGCAGTCAAATTGCCAGCAGCAGTGAATGATAGACAACAACAAAGGATGATTGAGAAAAGCTATGAAGCAGACATAAATCAACAAGCATTGGGATCTGGCACCACGTTGCCAACGGGTGGAAGGCCCCTTATGTTTTAGTAGCTTCCAAGTAGTCACTTAAGTATAATATCATATAATTGCCATAGAAATAATTCCTTAAGAAAAATTTATAGGACGTTTCATTAAAAATGTTTGCTTGCTGCATTTACAAAATTAACATATTAACTTAATTCTTCATGATCTTAGATAAGTGAAGTATTGTTGTATTAACCTCTTAGAAGTCTTAAGATTTGTATTTTATACTGGGCAAATTCCTGTGTATTTTAGTATGGCAGTCTTTTATCAATTAGTTAGTTAGTCAACTTTGATCCGAATTCACTGACATTAATTACTACAGCTTTTGTTTCCGGCTGTCTTAAGTATCAGAGCCACTGTCTCTGATATGGAAAAATATCTAGCTCTGACTTTGACAAAGGCCAGAGAGGCAGCACTTGAAGATACTGGTCAGTAGAGGGTGAGTTAGGGGGTAGTGCACTCGGAATGCCCATTGAGACCTAACAGTCTGAAGGAGGCAGATAAGAACATTCTTTAAGGGTAAGAAAAGCTGAAGCTGGTGATCTCCTTTAGGCAGATTTGATGCTTTAATTTTTTTTCTTTCCTCTCTCTTTCCTGGGAAGAAGCTGTCCTCTGTTCTCCCTTGGGAGTTTTATTTTTGGCTTGCTTCCCTAGCTATCTTCATTACAACCCACAATGTGAGAGTAACTTCATTTTAAGGGGATTTAATCCATAATTAAATATTGAAAATGAGCAAACATATTTAGAAGTGAGTCCTAGACATTTAGTGATATGTTTAATTCCCCTATGAATAGGGAGAAATACTTTGTTGATATGTGTTGAAGTACTTTGCTCTCTTAATGTATAATCAATGTTTAATTATTCATCATTCCCCAGGAGTCTCTATTCATTTGGCACCTTTGAGCCAGACTAGTGTAGTATGATTAATATTTATGATGGTAATCTCATATTCCTACAGGATTTCCAAATTAAGGAGAGCTTATACTATTTGGTATATTTTAATGATGAAAATATCCTATTGAATTTTAGTTCTTTGGAAGCTGATAATCGTAGGTACAGTTAAAGCCAGAATATTTGATTTCTTGCAATACCTCTAACAATGCTGTACAATAATTTATTTTTATGTATTTCTTAAGTCTTTAAGTGGTATATTTAAATAGAACACATTTGTTTTTAAATTTTTTTCTTTTTATTTCATAGGTATAAAGTGGAAAAGTAGAATGTAAAACTATATTTGGGTTTATATCAATGATATATAAAAATTTATATCTGTGCATCAAAAAATTGGAAAGCTATAAATGTTACAGTAATAACTCCTGGATGGTAGGATTGTAGACAATTTTATTTTCGTTGTGCTTTTCTACGATTTCTAGTTTTTCTAAGATAGAAGTATATTTTTGTAGGATGAAAAAATTATTTAAAAACGAAAGATTCTTACGTGTTCAGGGGGCTAAGTCTATAAGTGCATTTTGTTCTAAATTCTCATCGATTAAGAATGTACTTGTTTTTATGGGTGAATTTGTACTTCATTAGTGTGGAAGTTTGCTGTTTTGGAGGGATATATTCATTGCCGTAACTAAAAAGCAGTTCCATGCCACTAGGGCTCCTTGTTTTGTCTGATGAAGTTTGTAGTTGCAGGAGTAGCTTTAGCAGGGCTTTCACCTGTCGTTGCCCTGCCCCTCTCCTTCACTCATTTGTTTCTCATCTTGACCGTAAACCACATGTTATCTTGGGAAATGTTTGTTTCATGTGAAAAAGTAAAGCTTTTGTGAGTACGTATGGCTGTGATCATTAATTAGAGAGATGTTCCTGAAAACTTGAATATGGTGATAGTTTTAAAATAAGCCATTTTGTGGTGAATGCAGTAAGACACAATCTGTGGAAAGCTGTAAATTACTTGTGAAAAACTAGTATAGATTATTCATTTGTAAGAGTAAGAATTTGTTTAATGAGTGCTTCTAGGTTCTTTCAGCTTGCAGGTTTTTATGTTATGTGTCAATTCTGTTTTTAATAGGTTATCTCATCTGAGATTCAGAAATTAATTTCCTTTTTTAGTAAGACAAGTTTTCTCAAACATTTAGATGTGTTTATAATGTTTTATTGACTAGAGTCTTAGAAAGGATAAGTGAAAAGCTAAGTGTCAATGAAAAATTGTTTTCAGGATCCTAGGATCTTGGGATTCATCATTAGATCATTGTGAATTAAATTTTTTCTCTGAATCTCATTAATTTGATTTAACATCTACTTTCCCCACCAAAGCCTAGCTGTGTTTAAAAATCATGTTTATAGTTGATCCTCATGTTATTTAAATGTATCTGTCTAATGTTAATTGCTGGCACTATAATCATTAATCATTTTAAAAGAAAATTTTTGAAAATTAACAATTTTGTTAACTAAAAAAATGAAGGGATTGTACTTCCTGAATTTTGAGATCGCTTTAAACAGTAAAATGACAGAAATATGTGATCAACTGTTTTTTTCTGTGAGAGGCCTTAGTGCCTGGCTTCTTTGTCTCCAAGTGCCTGGGGCCATACAAAGGCAGTTAAATGGGTTTCTTGAAGATTTTGGGAGGAAGGGACATTTTTATATTAAGTCATGTATATTTTGAAGTAAAATTACAAAATGTGTGTGTTTATGCCAAACCAGTAACATTCAGAGAACTTTTATTGTTGCAGAAGGCATCTTTGATCATACCCCTAGATTCGCTAGAGAATTTGCATTTACTTCCAGGTGTGGAAAAGTCTGAGAAACTTCTTTAACATATGGGGTTTTGTGCCTTTCATAAATATTAGCTATATAGTCACGCTTGTTTTAGTTGAGATTAAGAGGCAAATAGGAATTTAACTTTATGTTTACTCTTTTTTCTTTGAGACTTAGTCTTACTCTGTTGCCCAGGCTGGAGTGTAGTGGCGCGATCTCGGCTCATTGCAGCCTTCGGCTCCCAGGTTCAAGCGTTCTCCTGCCTTGGTGTCCCAAGTAGCTGAGACTACAGGTGCCTGCCATCATGCCTAGCTGATTTTTTTGTATTTTTAGTAGAGACAGGGTTTCACCATGTTGGCCAGGCTGGTCTCGAACTCCTGACCTCAGGTGATTGCCTGCCTCGGCCTCCCAAAGTGTTGGGATTACAGGCATGAGCCACTGTGTCCGGCCTATGTTTACATTTTTTAAAGAAAAATTTCAGACATATACAAAATGGACAGATAGTCTATTAGTCACTCATGGAACCATCAGTCACCTCTCACCTTCAACAGATATTTCCTGCCAGTTTTTAGGAATTTAATATCATTAAGTTATTTGCTAAGATTTGCCAAGATAAGTATCTGTAAGGTCAAGGTACTGACATCAGAAGCATTTCTGAACAGAGATGTTGCAGTTGGTGGGTGGGTATGACAGTGTTCAGCTGTTGGATAAGCTTGCATAAATAGTATCATCTTGACTTTAATCTTTCGGTTGTTCAGAGGTAGTGTGCATATTTCTGTTTAACTCCTGGAAAGTTGCCAAAATAATTTGTATCCTCTTTCCATCCTTTGTACCTTGACTGTTTTAGTCTGGGAATAAAATCAATGAGTTGATATTAGGAGCCTGTTGGATAGAACCAATGAGAAGAAAAATCTTCATTTTTCTATTTAAAAAACTTTTGGGTATTACCTGGCTATAATATTTTGGACACTATAAAATCTGTTTCACTTTTCATCTATTTGGGAATGCATTTTACAAACAGAACGGGGTCAAACATGGGTTGAAATCTCAGCTGGCCTTAGATAAGTACTCCAGGTCACTTCTCTCAAATGTAAAATGAGGATATAGGTTGTTCTGCGAATTAAACAAAATAATACCTTCAACATTTATTATTTTTAAATATCATTTGAATTCCACTATTGAGTAGGAACAGTGTGTCCTGAGTTCAAGTCTTAGATGGATTTGTATAACTGCATTTGAGGAAGTACTATTAACACTGACCAGACCACTTAGAAAGGAGAGCTAATATTTATTTTGTCATATCTGATTTTCTGACTAGTTGTTATAAGATCTAAAGATACAGTGGAAGATCTAAAGTTAGGGAGAAAATGTTCTATTATGTTTGAACAAATGCATTGAAACAAAGCGTTGAAACAGTAATGCCTCACAATTATTTCTTATCAAATAATTACAGCAAACTCTGGCCTGTTCTATTCTGACTGCGCTATTGAGTGAATTTTCAAGTTCAAGTAAAACTAGCAACATTGGATTGAGCATGGAATTCCATGGTAACTGCAAAAGAGTTTTTCAGGTATTGGTAGTTTTGTTCTTGAGTTTTAATTATTGGATCATTCACTTTTTACTCAATCTATTCCTAATGACATGAGAATATTTATTTTATGTAGTTGAATGGTAGCCTGTACTTCAGGATTTGTTTTGTGATTTCAAAGGATATAGTAAAATGATAGGTTTGGTGAATGTAGTTGATGGTTTAAAATTACTTGTTTAATTCTAGTCTTAAAAACAATACTTCTATAAAGATCTTTAGTTTATTATTTATTTCTTATTGTGTTTAGATATAACTAATTCAATTGAAGGGACTCTGCTGGCCTTAAAAATAGGTCTGGAAGAATGCCAGAAGGCCGTGTATTTCAAATGTTATTGCAGATGGTGCGGGCTCTTTGTCTTGTATGTATTGTTTGGCTCTGGAGTAAAGTTATGTGAAGGCATTGGCTTAAATCCTAGGGCTCTGCACTATAGCAACTGACTCCTCTGGCTCCGCAGTAGTTGTCAAAGACTCTCTTCTCTATGGAAGTAGCATTTATATTCAAGTAAAAGTATTCCATCTGGCGTCACTTGAAAGCATACTGCGATGTAAATTACAAGTAGAGGCCTAAAAATGGAACACGTTCTTAAGGAAATGGTGTTTTCCATTGGAAATTTTAAGGTGTTTGTTTTGTTTCATGATTCTAAAAGGGGATACATTTTGAATAAATTTTTCATATAAAATATTTGTGATTTATTGACTATAGGAAGAAGACCTTCGTCAGATCTTCATGTTAACTGTTGAAGTTCTGCAGGAGTTCAGCAGGCGGGAAAACCTCAATGCTCAGATGTCTTCAGTATTTCAGCGTTACCTTGCACTCGCCAATCAAGTCTTGAGCTGGAACTTTCTTCCTCCAAATTATATCCTTTTAACAAATGAATAGTTTATCTGTGGTAATTTTCATAGGTGACTTAATTACAGCTCGGAGTCTTTCACCTCTGCAGCTTTCATAAAACATATTGAAAGAAAATAAGATTTTTTTTAAGAAATAGAATTTAATTTCTTTATAATGCCAAAAGACAGTGGATACTAGGATAATACTAGAAGATTTAAAAGTATTTACTCCTTTGTAGAAGAAGTTTGAATACATAGAAACGTGGTGGATGACGGAGCTGTTGCTAATTCAGGATTAGCATTATTCTTTGGGAAGGAAAAGGAAACAGGTAGAAATTACCTTTTAAGAAACCGAATCATTTTTTCCTTGGACAAGTAATTATGTTTGATTTTTTTGACTGACTTAAAGCTAGTTTGGAGTGCTCTAATTTAATCTTTATGGATGGTGATGTTGTTCAAGTATAGGTAATAAGTTAGTAATATGTTTACTCTTCAAGGGCCTTTACCAGTATAAAAAAATGAGAATTTTGTTTTTAGGAAATTATTCAAAAGTTTAAGTGGGTTGTATTATCAATGCATATATCTGCTTTTTAAATTAGTTACTTAAAGTAGAGAAATTTGTATTTCATAAACTTTAAGGAACTGCTGTCTCATTTACTATGCTGGGACATCTGCTGCCCGTTGATAGTAATATACAGTGACTACCCATTTGTTGTGTAAAGTCCAATAGATCTGGATTCAAGGCTCTGCTCATCTTAGGCAAATCACCTGAACCTCTCTGAGTCTCAGCTTTTCCAAATGTAAAATGGGGGTATGGATTGTTGTGTGAATTAAATGAAACAATACATTTAAAACACTCAGGAGTTAGTTACTATTTATTGAGCTCTTAATAGCCTCCGTGAATTAAATAGTTCATTATATAACTAACTGTCTTTTATACTCTTCTTTGTTGAACTAATACGCCTCTGTGTGGTATAGGAAATTTAATGCGACCTGTTCTAGATGTTTTTAATCTGAGAGTCTGTTCAGGAGAAAAAGACTGATGATAAGCAGACAGGAAATAGATGTGAAATCAGATCAGAGATCTAGTATGGGACTCATTTTTATTGTAACAAGAGCCAAGAGGAGCTACATTTACATATACAGAAACTCGCTAATTATTTGTGGCTGGTAAAATTATGACATTTAAAGGAGTGTGGTGGGGTATAACTCCTTCTTCCATTTAAACTTAGTCTATTCACGTAGTAGAATATTAACTGTGAAGGGCTCTGTCAGGTAAAGTGAGTCTGACTCGTGAGCTCTCCAGGTTTCTTTCCCAAAAGCAGTCACTGAGCTGCTGCATTATGGGGCAAAGCTTACAGTAAGGTCAGTCACTGTTTCCTTTTATTCTTATTCTGTAATCATCTTTCTCCCAATAACCAACTTTTTATCTTTAATATATTAACTTAATTCTTTTTGGTTGTCAAGAGGTGGCTACTTGCTTAGGTTTGCTTTTTAAAAAATTTCCCCTTTCAGTGTTTCAATATTTTTGTTCTAGGTTTTTTGTTTGTTTGTTTTTTTAAATAAAGTTGGTAAGGCAGGCTTTATTCAGGGGAGCCAATGGTGATAGATGTGGGGACCACCACAACAGGATCTTGCAGTTGGGGAGAGAGATTGGATTCAGCTTCTTGCTCCAGTGTTTTCAGTGGGGAAAGAAAAGATATTGAAAAACCTTGAGACATATTTTAAAATTAGCAGTCCATATGGAGCTATCAAAATATTAATTATATATGTAGGGAAAAATCAACAAAAGTTACACTGCATATATTTTAAAGTGTCTGTTTTAAGGGAAAATACAGTTGGTAGAGAGTGACTATTTTATAAAAAGAAATAGTTCTCTGGGAGTTTGGAAACAAAGCTTGTCTAAAAGATACACACACATAAAATATTTTATAAAGTACTTAGATAAAGCTTTGGAAAATCTGTCATCTGAAAATGATAAGCAATACTGCAGTGTTGCCAAAGGAAATAATTCCTTGTTTAAAGAAAGTATATCTTGGTTTTTGACTTGAGGATATTTTGCTTCATGGCTTATGAGTGAGTTCTTGTGTGACCTTTTCATATAGTGCCATTTGTTGGCTGACTGCACTACAGCTAAGTATTCTTTGAGTGGATTAGCTTTAAGTGTGGGAGAAAGAACTTGGCAGTGAGATTAAACTAAGCTACAGATTTAGCACTCATTAGGGAAATCAATTTCAAGGAACTCAATTCTGACTAATTTCTAATTTTGGAAATTACCTGGAGATCTACCATTCAATCAGTAAGGAAAAGAATGGAATAATTATGCAGCCTTGTACCATGGAGAGGGTCTAAATAATCAAATTTAACTTAGTTTAAAAGTGTTGAATTGATGCCTTTTAAAAGATGGTTTATCTGCTGGGTGCGGTGGCTCACTCTTGTAATCCCAGAACTTTGGGAGGTTGACATGGGAGGATTGCTTGAGTCTAGGAGTTCGAGACCAGCATGGGCAGCATAGCACAACCCTATCTCTACAAAAAAATACAAATATTAGCTAGGTGTGTGGTGTGTGCCTGTAGTCCCAGCTGTTCGGGAGGCTGAGGTAGGAGGATTGCTTGAGCCTGGAAGGTTGAAGCTACAGTGAGCCATGATCATGCCACTGCACTCACCCTGGGCGACAGAAGAGACCCTGTCTCAAAATAAAAATAAAATAAAATAAAATAAAAGGTGATTTGTCTCTTAGGATAGACAAATAATAAATCATGGAAAATTTGTGTATTTAGTGTTAAATATTTTGATAATTTAGAATGGTATGTTAAATGAGGCTGTGTTAAATTATCAGTAACAATCCCCCATTTATTAATTTTTTCTAATCTGCTTTCTTTTTTGTATCTATATTTTATATTGAGATAATTTTATTTTTATTTATTTATTTATTTTTGAGAAAGAATCTTGCTCTGTTGCCTAGGCTGGAGTGCAGTGACACTATCTTGGTTCACTGCAACCTCTGCCTCCTGGGTTCAAGCGATTCTCATGCCTCAGCCATCCAAGTAGCTGGGATTATAGGTGTGCACCACCACACCCAGCTTATTTTTATATTTTTAGTAGAGACAGGTTTTATCATGTTGTCCAGGCTGGTCTTGAACTCCTGACCTCAGGTTGATCCACCCACCTTGGCCTGCCAAAGTGTTGGGATTACAGGCATGAGCCACCATACCTGGCCCTGACTAATTTTTTTATTTTAATTTTTGTGGAGATGGAGTCTTGCTGTGTTGGCTAGGCTGGCCTCGAACTCCTGGCTTCAAGTGATTCTCCTCCTTCAGCCTCCCAAAGTGCTGGCATTACAGGCATGAGCCACCATGCCCAGTCTCAATAATAGTTTTATTGAGATGTAATTCACACACTATACTATATACCCATTTAGAATGTATAATTCAGTGTTTTTTAATATATTCATAGAGTTGTACAGCAATAATTGTCAGTAGTTTTAGAACATTTTCATCATCCCAAACACAAGCCCTGTGTCAATTAGCAGTTAGTCTCCATTTCCACCTTCCCCAGTCCGTAGCAACCACTTTCTGTCTATGCATTTACCTATTCTAGACATAGCGTATAAATGGAATCATATAATATGTGGTCCTTTGTGACTGGCTTCTTTTTGAGACGGAGTTTCACTCTGTTTCCCAAGGTGGAGTGCCGTGGCGCGATCTCGGCTCACTGCAACCTCTGCCTTCTGGGTGCAGGCGATTCTCCTGCCTCAGCCTCCTGAGTAGCTGGGACTATAGGCACACACCACTACGCCCTGCTAGTTTTGTATTTTTTAGTAGAGATGGAGTTTCGCCATGTTGCCCAGGCTGGTCTCGAATTCCTGTCCTCAAGTGATCTGCCTGCCTCGACCTCCCAAAGTGCTGGGATTACAGGTGTCATCCACTGCACCCATCCTTGCTTCTTTCACTTAGCATAATGTTTTCAAGATTCATCCATTTTGTAGCATGCAGCATCCATCAGTTCTTCATTCCTTTTCATTGCCATAATATTGTATGGATATACCACTTTTTTAATCCATTTATCAGTTGATGGACAGTTGGGTTGTTTCCACTTTTTGATTATTATTAACAATGCTGCTGTGAGCATTCATTTATAATTTTTGTGTGGGCTTAGGGTTTCATTTCTCTTTGGGAGGCCGAGGTGGGAAGATTGCTTGAGGCCAGGAGTTTGAAGTTGCAGTGATCTATCATCACACCACTGCACTCCAGCCTGGGCAACAGAACAAGACCAAAATGTAATTTCTTTCTTTTTTTTTTTTTTTTTTTTGAGATGGAGTCTTGCTGTGTTGCCCACGCTGGAGTGCAGTGGCATGATCTCGGCTCACTACAATCTCCACCTCCCAGGTTCACGCCATTCTCCTGCCTCAGCCTCCTGAGTAGCTGGGACCACAGGTGCCCGCCACCACGCCTGGCTAATTTTTTTGTATTTTTAGTAGAAACAGGGTTTCACCCTGTTAGCCAGGATGGTCTTGATCTCCTGACCTCGTGATCCACCCATCTCAGCCTCCCAAAGTGCTGGGATTACAGGCGTGAGCCACTGCGCCCAGCCCCAAAATGTAATTTCTTATAGAAAGTACTGTATTAATTGTGACTGTAAAATATTGGGAAAACCAGCTGAAGCTGACTGAGCAGTGGCTGTAGGATGTGCATAGAGAGATACTGACAAAATAATGCAGAGTAAATATTTAGATATTAATATTTAAGGGCATTAATGCTATCATAGTTAATAGCTTGTATTACAGTGTTCTTAGGTCAAGATTTACGCTCATGCAAAGTTTCATTAATGAAATCATAACTTGGCTGGGCGCAGTGGCTCACGCTTTTAATCCCAGTACTTTGGGAGGCCAAGGCCGGTGGATGGCTTGAGCTCAGGAGTTTGAGACTAGCCTGGGCAACATGGCAAAACCTCATGATGTGGTTTGACTCTGTGTCCCCACCCAAATCTCATCTTGAATTGTACTCCCATAATTCCCATGTGTTGTGGGAGGGACCCCGTGGGAGATAAAGTCATGGGGGCAGTTTCCTCCATACTGTTCTCGTGGTAGTGAATAAGTCTCACAAGATCTGATGGTTTTATCAGGGGTTTCCACTTTTGCATCTTCCTCATTCTCTCTTTGCCTGCTGCCATCCATGTAAGACGGGACTTGCTCTTCCTTGCCTTCTGCCATGATTGTTCCGTGTGTCCCCAGCCACGTGGAACTGTAAGTCCAATTAAATCTCTTTCTTTTGTAAATTGCTCAATCTCGGGTATGTGTTTATCAACAGCCTGAGAATGGACCAATACACCCCATCTCTTACAAAAAATTAGCCAGGCATGGTGGCACACACCTGTAGACCCAATTATTTGGGAGGCTGAGGCAGGAGAAGTGCTTGAACCCGGCGGTCAGAGGTGGCAGTGAGCTGAGATTACGCCATTGCACTCTACCTCTAGCCTGAGGGATAGAGTGAGACTCTGTCTCTAAAAAAGAAAAAAAAAGGAGAAGAAAGAAAACAAATCATAACTCTTTAACATTGATTCTCAACTAGGAACAATTTTGTATACTTGGGACATTTGGTGGTGTCTTGAGACAATTTGGATTGTCACAACTCGGGAAATGCTACTGCCATCTATTGGGTTGAGGCTACGGATGCTGCTAAACATCCTAAACATCCTACAAAGCACGGGACAGCCCCACACAAGCAATTATTGGGCCCAAAGTATCAATAGTCATCCACACAAAAACTTGTACATGAATGTTCAGAGCAGTACTATATGAATAGGCTATTCATAATACTATATGAGTAGAAACAACCCAAATGTCCATCAGCTGATGAATGGATAAATAAAATGTGGTATACCCATATAATGGGAATATTACCTGTCATAAAAAGACATGAATTACTGATACATGCTACAACATGTGTAAACTTTGAAAACATACTGAGTGAAAAAAGCCATTCACAAAAGACCACAAATTATATGATAACATATTTATGAAATGTCCAGGATGGGCAAATCTATAGAGACAGAAAGGTTAGTGGTTACCTAGAACTGGAGTGATTGGAACAAAGTAGGAGGTGACTGCTAAAGCATATGGGGTCTTTCTGGTACCATGGAAATGTTCTCAGATTAGATCATGGTCGTGGTTGCACACATCTGTGAATATGCTAAAACCATTGAGCTGTACACTCAGTGGGTAAATTGCGTAGTGTGTGAATTATGTCTTAATGAAGCCTTTAAAAATACCCATCATGTCACGGTGTAGAAACCCACTTCACACAGGTCAACTGCACCATTAGTAGAATTATAGAGGGAGATTAGGGGTGGAGATAAAGTTGTGGGAGAGTGGGGCCATTGAAGTTAAGGAAATAGGAGAGGTGGTCCAAGAAGGAGCAGAGGATCCATGTCAGGACCTTTAGGTGCATCAGTAGTGAAAAAGCAGGAAGAAGCAAAAGAAAATAAGAAAGCCAATTAAGACAAGTGGATGGGAGAACAAGGCAAGGAGTGTTTGGAAAGCAAAGATAGATGATGTTTCAAGGAATCAGGTAGTCAACATCGTCTGTTACCGATAGGTAAGATGTAGATTGTTTTTGATCTACACCGAATATCAGTTAGAACATAGTTGGTCATATGGAAGTCTGTTTATGTGAATGACAGGGGCAAAAGCCGTATCTCAGTGATCAGGTAGTAATTAGTAATTGATGAAGTATAGAGTGAAGTACAATTGACCCTTGAACAATGTGAGGGTTAGAGACACCAACCCCCATGCGGTCAAAAATTCCAGTATAACTTTTTACTCCCCAGAACGTTTTACTAATAGCTTACTGTTGCCTGGAAGACTTACTGATAACATAAACGGTCAGTTGGTACTTATTTTATGTTTTATATGTACTATAATATATTCTTAAAGTAAGTTAGAGAAAAGAAAATGTTGTTAAGACAATTATAAGGAAGATAAATGATATTTAGTGTTCATTAAGTATAAGTGGATCAATCATAAATGTCTTCATCTTCGTCTTCTAGTTGAGTAGGCTCAGGAGGAGGAGGAAGAGGAGGGGTTGGTCTTGCTGTCTCAGTGATAGTAGAGACAGAAGTGGAGGAGGTGAAGGGGAGGTAAGGAAAGGAAGGCACACTTGGTGTAACTTCTAGTGAAAGTACAAGTGGACCTGTGCAGTTCAAACCTGTGTTATTCAAGGGTCAACTGAACTATATAGATATTTCGAAGAGCATCAACTGACAGCTCAAGGGAATGGGGGTTTGTGCCAAGGAAATGTTGTTTTATGCTTTAAGCTTAGATGAACCTGTTTATTGCTTGAGGGGAGAAGTCAGGATTTCAGAAAGAAAATGTGATATTGTGGTGTTAGGCCAATGACATAGATGTTGAGATAGCCCAGGGCGTGGTTGAGGTAGGCAGCCCTGTGGTAGTGTGAACTGCCTGCCTTGATGATCCATACTTCTTAGCTATTAAGTGCTGATTTGACCAGCTTTGTCTAGGTTTCTTTCAAAATGGAGGAACACAGTGGTAGAAGTCAGCATGAGGGAATTTTATTTTATCATTATTTTTTTAAACTGATAGAATTGCAAGGAGAGTGATGGAATTTTAAAGCACATATATGTAAAGCCCTTGTGAAGTATTTTCTTCTGTCCTCTCTTTTTTTGAATAATCAGTATTTCCTCCAACTATTGTCTATTTGTACCTGGCATTGTACCCTTTAAAAAGAAAGTAGAGGCAGCACATGGTGGCTAACACCTGAATCTCAGCACTTTGGGAGGCCAAGGCAGGAGTATGGCTTGAGCTTAGGAGTTCAAAGTTACCTTGAACTATGATTGCACCACTGCACCCCAGCCTGGGCAACAGAGGAAGACCTTGTCTCTTAAAACAGAAACAAACAAAAAACTAAGTTAAGTTTTCTGATTTTTAAAAATTATTATTTATAGAGATAGGGTCTTGCTCTGTCACCCAGGCTAAGGTATAGTGGCATGATCATGGCTCACTGCAGCCTTGACCTCTGAGTTCAAGTGGTCCTCCTGCCTCAGCCTCCCAAGTAGCTAGAACCACAGGTACACATCACCACACCTGGCTAATTTTTAAATTTTTTTGTAGGGCAGGATCCCACTATGTTGCCCAGGCTGTCCTCAAACTCTCCTGGGCTCAAGTGATCCTCCCGCTTTGGCATCCAAAAGTGCTGGGATTACAGGCATGAGCCACTGGGCTTGGCCTGGATTTATTTATTAAAGGTTTTTTTTTTTTATTTCTTTCAACACTGTTTTATAGTTTCCAGAGCAAAAGATTATTAAATTTATTCTAAGTACATTTTTTTTTTGAGACTGGGTCTCGCCCTGTTGCCCAGGCTGGAGTGCAGGGGTGTAATCATGGCTCTTGGCAGCCTCGACTTCTTGGGCTCAAGCTATCCTCTCAACTTCAGCCTCTTGAGTAACTGGGACTATAGGCACGCATCATGATGCCTGGCTGATTTTTGTAGGGGTTGAGTTTCGCTGTGTTGTCCAGGCTTGTGAGTATTTTTTTATTATTCAATTGTAAATTGTTTTTTAAATTTCATTTTCACACTATATAGAGAAAAATACAAATGATTTTTGTATGTTGATCTTGTATCCTGTAATCTTGCTGAACTTGCTTATTAATGCTAATGAATTATATACATAATTGTATTATCTGCAAACCATTATATTTGTTAAGGATTATTATATGTAGCTTTTCTATGTGCAGCAGGTGATTTATGAAAGTATCCACCTACCCAGACCCAGTGGTGCAAAGTCCACAGTTTCTGTGATTTGGTAGATGTTAAAAATCACTCTGTGGCCCAGAGAGCGAATTCCTCTGCACTTTGTAGCCCCATGTTACTCTGAGACTCTGGAGACAAAATTCACTTGCTTCTCATTCTGTTTTAGATCACTGTTGTGCAAAGAAAGTGTCCTGGTCCTGTGATCCTCCATCATACCATCATCCCCATTTGATAGTGGGCGCTGGGGTCCGGGGCGGTCTCATCACCACCTCCCTCTCATAGCTCTTCTGGTAGAGCTGCACTCACAGGCCAGCTTTCCTTCTACCTTGTTCCTTGCACACACTGCTTCTCTGCCTGGGTCCTCTCTCTTTGCCTGATCACCTAATTGTACTTCAGCCTAGACCAGGTTGGCTTTCTTTTGCTATTTTCTCCCTATGCATGTTGTATATGATTTTTTCCCCATTTGGCTCCCTTCTCAGCTGTAATTTTTCATTCCTTAGATTATTTAAGTACGGTTAGCCCTCCAGGTTTGTGGGTTCCACATCCTTGGATTCAACTGAGGATCAAAAATATTATAACTAAAAAATAACAATACAACAATTAAAAAAATACAAATTTTAAAAACAGTGCAACAATGTACATAGCACTTACATGGTATTGGGTATTATAATTAATCTAGAGGTGATTTAAAGTATATGGGATGTTTATAAGTTACATGCAAATATGATGCCATTTTATATCAGAGACTCTGGATTTATATCAGAGCATCTGTGGATTTTGGTAACCATGGGAGGTCCTGGAACCAGTCCCCCTCCGGATATTGAGGGACAACAGTAGTGTCTGTTTACCTACTGCGCGAAGCTCCGTGAAAGCATGGGCCATGCTTTTGCTCACTGCATTGTTGAGCCCTAGCACAGATGCTCAGCAAATATTTATTATTATATATTTATTATTTAATTATTGAAAGAAGCCCGTTCAGAAGTATTAGCTCAGTTTTCGGATGTTTGTTCACTATAAATATAGTTCGGCTAGTAGTTCACCTGGTGTTCATAAATGCTTAAGGGTTTTGGCAATGCTAATCATAAATGACAATATCATTTTGTAACAAGAATGTTTGGCAGGTATGTGTGGTATGTTGGCTTCAGTGATACTTCTTTTTTTAGTTTGGTTACACTGCCTTTTATTGGTATTCTATTTTTGTGGATCTGATTTGGTTTTGGTAAACTTTTTTTTTTTAACTTAATCTCTTGGAGAAAGCTAACTGGATTATAGAGTAAGTAATGGGATACAGAAGCTTTCACCTAAATTGGATTTCCAGTAAAGCCAACCTTTACTATTTGGAGGCAAGGCTTGGGAAAACATTCAGGTAAGGTCACTCATGTATTTCAAAGGATTTGTGGTTGCTTGGACTGTGTTGTCTATAAGACTGGGGTTGTTGGTTCTGTGCTGTGCCAGGAGAAGTAGCAGTTTTTGTTGTTAGAAAATTTAATAATGAAAGGGATTAAATATTTAAGAAAGAAAATGGTCTTGCTGTAGCTCCTGAAACTTTGTTTTACTGATGAAGTAGGGTAAAAAATAGTATGGAAAGATGAAGGGAGTAAAGCATTTATTACTTATGTGAAATGCCCATTGTTGCTACAAGATCTTTCTATATTGTAAAGTAATTATAAGAATAGGCAAAGGAAATTTTCAGATTGTCCATATTTGCTTGAAGATAATGTGTAGCTACTGTATGCCTTATTTAATTATTTTTTTGAGTGTCATTCACAATCACAAAACGATACCCTTACTGAAAGTGTTAGTGGATAAACTTAATTGCATAATTACGGACCTGTGTATTTCCAGAGATGATGTTTTCCCCACTACATGTTAAGATGTACGTATTTAATGACAATGCTGTTTGTTGTATGAGAACTTGAGACAGAAGATTTAGTAGGATTATCCAGTGACAGTCAGTACAGGGTGCGATTAAGCTGTCCTTCTGGCTCTTGGCCTGGTATATGTTTGTCTCTGGCCATGCAGTTACAGAATAGGGCAGGTGGCATGTTTATATATGCCTTTGATTTCACAGAAGTTGGTGAGCTTTCCTAAGTGGAGAATTTTAGAGCTAGATAGGATTGTTGTGGGAGAGGGGGCAGGGAATGGAGAGTTGATTCTTCACTCTTCTGTGGTGCAGTTGAATTTACATGTAGCTGGAACTGATTTTCCAAGGGATTATGATGGCAATGAGCTTAGAAGATTGGTTGGGTTTTAGCACTTCAGAATTGGATCCCTTGCCGGAACCCTTGCTAAGAGGGAGTGGACTTGTATTTGGTACAGAGACCAAAAAAAAAAAAAAAAAAAAAAAATCACTGTACTAAATGTCCTGATTCTTTAATTTGGTGAGAACATGGATGGGAAGGTAAAGTAAGATTAGATGTGTATGATAGATTTTTTTTAAGATAAAGGGTTAGCAAAAGACTGAAAGCAGCTCTGTTTGGCTTTCTTATTGATGGAATTGTGTTTTGTTTGGTTACAAATGAATTATTCTGATAAAAATATAAATTGCATGCATTCAGTATTTATTTTAGAAAAATATATAAAGCCATAGCCCAAGAAAATTCTTGAATTACACTCTTATTTGAACTTCGGTGAAGTAATAGCTATTTAGTTCCAATCTTTTGTGACTTGTGTGTCTCATAAAATTTGACTAGCATGTAATAAAAGACAGTTTAGTAAATAATCAGTTCATTGTCAAACTGTTCTTTCGTGGTGACATATTTGTTGTAAAAGATAAAACAATGTAATGTGCAGATATTATAAAATGCTAAAGTGGTGACTATAAACCAAACTTTTGAAAGTTTTAAAAGGAAACTATTGTTTTATTAAAATTATTTTTAAATGAACATCTTGCTTTATTTAACCTTGAAATTATTTTTAAAATATTGCTTTAAGAATAGTAGTGCTAGATTTCTGAATTCTGGTGGTACTGGTTCTGTTTGTTTTTTAAGTTAAGAATTTAAGAATTATCTGGGGTAGAAATGGTATTTTTTTTGATTTCTTATAAGAATTATTAAGAATTATCTGGGGTTGAAATGGTTTTTTTTATTTCTTATACATACAGATAGAAATAGTCATTTGAGAATACCTGATTAAAAATGAATTACCTTAATTCTTTATATTATTTTGAATGTAAAGATATGGTCCAGATTTGTGTATCATTATTCTGCCCACATTGTGATATGCTCTTCACTAGTTTTGTTTTTCAAATTGAAAAGTAATGCATGTACGTGAATAATAACAATATTTTAGGTAATATTAAACATTATACAATGCATAGTAAGCCTTTCTCCCATATAAAAGCCAGCATAGTCTGTTATTCGGGGCAGCAACTTCAGCAGTTTCATGGTACAGTCTGATAACTAAAACATATTTCTTGTCAAAATAACATTGTCTTTAAACATTTGTTCTGTATAAACATTATGATGCTGTTCCATATAAACGTTTATTATACTGTTCTTTTTGTTTCATGTTTTTTATTTAAATGCTTTTGGGAATAATTAATTTTTTTTAGTAGAGTGGGATATGATTTGTAGTTACAGGATTGTAATTGTGTCCTATGAAAAGTATAATATAGTACATGTGCATTTTTATTATGGTATATAATAGTGGTATTATTAGTGGTATAACCAGGCTGGCTGATAGAAGGTAGTGAAGTCTGCAGTGTTGTAGATTAGTTTTTCAGTGGAAGGTAAGTGTAGCCTCTTTGCATGGAGCATTACAAGTGTGCATTCTTGTTAGAAGGCAAACATCATGCCAGAGATAAAAATCCTTTCCAGGTTTGGAATTGGAAAACAAAAGTAACATGGAGTTTTGTAATAATTATGGGGAAAGGTATTTTCTGATAGATATTACATACTAACTCATAAATCTCCCATGCTCGTGGCCACGTGTAAGGAATTATAATCTTAAAACTATTCTGGTTACCAACACTTGAAGGAAATTGGCCATGGAATTGGGCATCAGGGACAGTGTGCTGAAAAACAGACCATGATTAGGAGAGGCTAAACCAAGATTTTAAAAAATCAGATTTCAGGGTTATTTTGAATCTGATGTTACATGAGCCATTGCAATGAATTCCATTTTATATCTGGGAAAAACCCTTTTTAAATAAAACTCATATCCATTTTCCCTTAATGTAAATAATTGATATCCAGAAGTATTAATAGAGTATATGCTTTTTATAATTTATAAAAAGATAGAGGAGAGAATTATATGAGAATTTTGGTTTAGGTTTAATAGTTTCCTTTTGTAAGATTTCTTCCTGTATTTTCTTACTGATACTTTTGTAAGATTTATTGAATCTTTAGCTTATCATCTCCCTCTTACCAAAACACACTGTTGCCCCCCTTGCTGTATTATACCTGGAGGGCATAATTAGAATGTGAGAGACTCTCCTCATTTCCTTGGAATAGAGTTTTTCATATATCCAGAAGTAGCAAAATTTATAAATATGATTCCCTTTGCTTCTGCCACCTGTATTCTTCCTCTGTACTTGAACTGTCTGCAGCTCTTGAAGGGAGGTTTGGGCTTTCATTCTCTTGCAGTTATAGCACCTGAAGTATTTGCCTTCTTACTCTGAGGGATCACACATCTGCTAGCTACTAAAATGGTAAATGGTCAGCTTTGGGGCCAACCATTTTATTATGGTTATGTGAACCCATTTATTTGTCTCATATCCTATATAATTTAAAAATAAAATCATGACACCTTTTATAAGCATACGAAATATTACAAAATCATTATTTTCCTAGTTATATTTCATTTGTTAGATTTGGCATATTGAAAATAAAGAGAAATAAAACTGGAAAACAGTAAGTGAAATACATTTAAATTTTTATGAAGTATGAAGAATTGGCCAGGTGTGCTGGCTCATGCCTATAATCCTTGCACTTTGGGAGGCTGAGCCAGGAGGATCACTTGAGCTCAGGAGTTCAAGACTTCCCTGGGCAACATAGTGAGACCCTGTCTCATTAAAAACAAACAAACAAACAAAAAGTACACACACACACAAAACACAAAGAATTGATTGCCTTACTCAGAACATTTATTTCATATACTATAGCCTTTGGCATCCCGTTATTGTGGAAAATTTCAAAGATACACAATAGTGGAGAGAATACCCAGCTTTAAACAGCCAGTCTTGTTTCATCTGTGCTCTGCCATCCCCAGAATATTTTGAAGCAAATCCTAGGTGTCAGATAAATCAGTATATTGTAGTATTGGGTGAAGAACACAACATTGACCTTAGACCATGATCGGTGCCTCTTAAGAAAATGAACTCACTCTATATTGTTAGCTCTTAGGGTTCACGGGCTGATTTTTTCCCCCTTTTTAAATTCGGGCTTCTTTCTTTTGGCTTTTTTGGCCTTCACCTCTTTCCCTGTACCTCCACAAGGGGGCAGATAAAGGAAGAGAGAAGGGAAGTTTAAATGAACCAGATTTGAGTTTCACTTTTGTTAATCAGTCGAATAGAGTTGCAGAAGATTTTGGGGGTGACTTTTCAGAAACAAGCAGTGATTTTTCTCCTTGAAACAACTCATAGTGCCCCTCCTTGCTCTTCAGAGACAGAATAATATTAGCTATTTTAAAAGGGGTTAAGCAATTATCTTAAAAAAAAGTTTCCAGAGCATTATTACAGCCTTTAATTTTCCCTGTGAATAATAATTTTTCTGTAAAAATAACGATTTAGACTTTACTCAAAATATAGTATTTGAATTTCTATCTACTTTTTTCAGACGATAGCTCTGGGTGATTATCATTAAGATTTCTCATTGAGTGATGTGAATGTTGCATAGTCGAAGTATTTTAGCTGGGCAATTGATTACCAATGGAAGGGGCATAACCACTGTTTTTTGTTTGTTTGTTTGTTTTGAGACAGAGCCTCTCCCTGCCACCCAGGCTGGAGTGCAATGGTGTGATCTCGGCTCACTGCAACCTCTGCGGGAGAGTGTTTTCAAGCGACTCTCCCGCCTCAGCCTCCCAAATAGCTGGGATTACAGGTGCCTGCCACCATGCCCAGCTAATTTTTGTATTTTTAGTAGAGATGGGTTTCACCATGTTGGCCAGGCTGGTCTCGAACTCCTGACCTCAGGTGATCCGCCTGCCTTGGCCTCCCAAAATGTGGAGATTACAGGCGTGAGCCACCGTGACTGGCCGAGTTTTCTCATTTCTTCAAAGCCTCAGTTACTGTGGCAGTATCAATGAATCGTATTCATAAAAACCTACAAATATATGATGGTTACTTTGTTTATGGTAAAACAGTATTCTGTTTGAAGCATGTTTGAAATTGAATGCCTGAACACCATATAAATTGCTTTTTAGTCTGTGGGAATTTTAAATAAGCATCTATAAAGTTTTTTGTCAATAGATTATTTCTTTGTCTTGATATTTAGATACTGTGACCTGTGGGAGTTTTTTTTCTTTAATATTATATGTGTTTACTCTTTTTGTTCTTTTGCTTTTCCAGTGAATATATTTCTTCTGGAAAAATGCTATTTTTCCAAGTAGACTATATGAAACTCACATTTTGTATATGTGGTGTTAATTGTTGCAAGATATTGGGGGAAATGATGGGATAAACTTGCAGAAATTGATTCTTTTTACATGAATTTTGGCATATGCTTTGCAGTAAGTGTATTTCCTTCTGTTGCCACCATTAAATTCTCTGGTTCTCAAAGTTTCTGTATGCCTACAGCATGACACATAATTACAATGAAAGCATTACCTTACATTCCTGTAACATTCTTTTTTTCCCCAGGCACTTAATGCCTTCTATTCCTTAGCTTCATGGATGAATTATGTAGCATATGTGAAGAGGCTTAAACTGTTACCATTACAAATTCTTTCTAGATGGCTCCTGTTATATTTAGGATATACTTATACTTTAGACAAAGTAAGAATGTTATTGTTGTTGACCTTGACACCAAATAACTGGGCAGACATTATATAGCTATGTTTGAATCCTCGCAAAATGTGCTGTTGAAGCCAACAGAGTCCTGGCGGGAGACTCTTCTGGACAGCAGAGTTATGGAGCTTTTCTTCACAGTAAGTTTTAGTCTTCATCTCTGGTAGCAAGAGCCATAGAAAAGAGGAAATGCCTTGGCGAGTTTCTTAAGTAAAACAGAACAGATTGCTTTTCTCCCCTAAAGTCTTGTCTTCTCATCAGTATGGCTGCTTAAACAGAAATTATTTTAAAAGGTTCTTGCTAATTTATAAAAATGTCACATGGTTATGAAGGGCTTAATATCCTGCAGCAGAAGTTCTCAAACTTTTAATTTCAGGACCCCTCTATACTCTTAAAAATTTATTGAGAACTCCAAAGAGCTTTTCTTTATATAGGTTATATTTGTCCTGTTAAAAATTCAAACAAAACTTTACAAAATAATGTGCTAAAAAGTAACAGTAAGAAACGATTACATATTAACATAAGTAACATTTTAATTAACTATATTTTTGAAAACGAAGCAAGTTTAATGAGAAGAATAGCATTGTTTTGCATTTTTGTAAATCTATAATATCAGACTTAATAGAAGACAGTCAGATTATCTTACCTGCTTCTGCCTTCAGTTAGTTGCAGTATCGCACATCGTGTGGCCTCGGGGAAATTCCACTTTTTACCTGTGTGACAGTGAGAATGGGAAACGCAGATACTGTCTTCATATTATTATGCAAATAGTTTTTTTCCTCACAGGCAACCTGACAGGCTTTTAAAAAGCTTCAGGGATCCCTGGGCCATAGTTTGAGAACTGCTATTCTAGAGTGTAGGTTTTATACTTATTATATTTATGAGTCATTGGTTAAGTTGGTATTATGGAATAGCAGTTTATCTCATGTATAACTTTAGACAGTCCTCTTTATTATTGGCTAAATATCAAGATGTAAGCAGTATGTTCCCACATTGGCCAGTGTGTATCCCCAATAAAACGGTCAAAAGCTGGAAAAACAATTCATATGTGTGTGTTTATGTGTTGGATGCTAATTTGCAGTTATAGGGGGAATATACAAGTTAATTAGATATAATGACGTGGACAGAAGCCCAAGTAAAAATCAATTAAAAGTAAAAAAGCTATTTTGCTTAATCCCAATTGTTAATTTTAGTTTCTTTTCATTTGTTGTAAAAATATAGATGAGCCCTTCAACTGCCTTTTTCTGATTGAACCATTTAAAATAAAGTAGTTATGTGGTATGTATTTTAAAATATCTAGAACAAGGTTATCTATCCATGGGTATATATAAAGGATATTTTCTATAGAAATATTCAGACTGAGCATTAAATCACCTTGTGGTTTCTTTTTAAAATCAGAGAAATGATGGCTAAAACCACTATCAAGATCAAAGAGATAATTGTAACTAAATTTTAAAATTCCGTTGCCTGCCTCATCTGACAGGAATTGTTTTGATACGAATCCAAGTCCAAGTCTTTGTATTATGCACTTGACTGAAAGTAGATTCCACTCCAGCAGTTTTTGAAAAGGTGAAAAACTTGCTGGCAGTACTGGAAACAACTCTACCAGATCTGAACAGCTGTCTAGACAAACCAGACAGCTGCTCCTGTCAGCTGTGAACAACCACACGCAAATAACTTGAATTTGAAAGTTAACCCTTTTTTGCTTTATTTGAACAATTTTTGTGTTTGTAGCTATTTTCACTTAAGCAGTTTATGAACAAGTTTGTTACTTGTTTTAAAAATGACAATGGCTAATCTTTTTATTTAACTTTGGTTAAATTTAGTTTTAGTTATATGAATTTATTGCCTACTTTAAAGCACTTTTCCACTGGATATCACTTGTGCTAGATTTGGATAAGCATCAGTATACTGTTGCATAAGAGCAAGACTTTAAATATGTTAATCATAAGACTTTAAATATGTTGGAATACTTTGGGTTGCATTCTGCCCTATAGAAGTTTACAAACTTCTTGATTTTTTTTCCTTCTATAAGGTCTTGGAAAAAAAACCCACTTTCATTGTGTTTTCTTCCTACCTTTTTGACCAGAGTCTTCTTGATCTCGCTTATGGTCTCTTCCTTCTTTGCTCATCACATAAATATTGGCATTCCTATCTTAGTTCTCAACTTTGCTGACTCTGTACACTTTCCTGTGGCTCTCTCTTTGACACGTAGGACTTCAGGCACCGGTTCCCAGATGACTCCTACATCTATATTCAGCACAGCCTGCTCCAGAGTTTCAGAGCCTTATAATCCCAGTGCTTACTGGATGTTTTAATTTGGATGGCCAACAGACATCTCAGATTTAACATGTTCCAGTAGAATTCGTCATCTTCCTTACTTGCTTCTCCTTCCTTGTCTTCCTTTTCTTGATGCATATCCTTGCCATTCATCTCACTGGGCGTCCTGCTGGGCTTTGCTTTCCCTTATCCCTCTGTCCCTTTTCCATATTCAGGTGGTGATTCAGCTTTCCGTTTTATGATACAGTTTATATTGAAATACATGTTCAGATATGGAGGAACTCTTTTGTAATGATGACATTGGAAGAAAGGCAAGAATTTATATTGTATAAAAATTAAGCATTTATTATTAGTTTTATGTGGTTTATATTTCAGGTAACATAAATTAAGCTTGAACAGCACACACCGTCTCGAAAGACAGTTATTTATTTATTTTAACTTTATTTTTAGTTATTTCATTAGCTATTTCATTGAGGGTATTCTTTCTTCTGATTGCTCGCTTCGAGACCATAATGAACATTCAAGATTGTGAGATGTATTCTTATTGTCCCAGATTACATTCTATCTGTTGACAGAATATATCCCTGGATATCATGCTTAAATGCTGATTAGATTCTAAGGCATCGTGACAAAAATTTAATTACAGATTTCGGATAAAGAACTTATAAGAGTGAGTTGTGTTCAGAAGTTTATGAACTAGACAGTGTGCATATATGAATTTGTCTATTGTACTTGGAATTTACTATATAAAACTTAAAATACATTGGAATATAGTTTGAAAAATATTTGTATTTTAGACCAAGGATTTGCAGACATTTTTTGTATAGGGCCAGATAGTAAACACTTTAGGCTTTGCAGGTCATATGTTCATATTCAACACTGCCATTGTAGTACAGAAGCAGCCATAGATGATACATAAATAAGCACGGCGGTGTTCCAGTAAAGCTTATTGATGGTCATTAAAATGTGAATGTTGGCCGGGCGTGGTGGCTCATGCCTGTAATCCCAGCACTTTGGGAGGCCAAGGCCGGTGGATCACCTGAGGTCAGGAGTTTGAGACCAGCCTGGCCAACATGGCGAAACCCCGTCTCTACTAAAAATACAAAAATTAGCCAGGCGCCGTGGCACGTGCCTGTAATCCCAGCTACTCAGGAGACTGAGGCAGGAGAATTGCTTGAACCCGGGAGGCGGAGGTTGCTATGAGCTGAGATTGCACCATTGCACTCCAGCCTGGGCAACAAGAGTGAAACTCTGTTTCGGGGGAAAAAAAAAGAATTCTGTGTAATTTCCACAGGTCACAAAATATTATTTTTATTGGTTTCCCCCCAACCATACAAAAATGGAAAAAAGAAAAAAACACAACCATTCTTAGCTCACAGCCATACAAAAACAGGCGGGGGCCAAATTTGGCTTATGGGCTGTGGTTTGTTCTAGTCCAAAGAGTATAGCATATTTTAAGCATGTCAGTAAATCAACTAACTTTGTAATGTTTAGAGATTACTTAGTGTTTTAAATTTCATTACTAGAACCTTGAGAAGTTCAGAGATTAAGGATTAAGGGACTCAGTGAACAAGGATTTATTAAGTGTTCATTGTGGCCCAGCATACCAGTGAGTACTTAAATGTTCTGACCTGAAGTAATTTAGAAACAATTTGCCTAGTCAAAGTGAATATAGCCTAAAACTATGAGTTTGATGTTACACAACATTTACAAAATAGAGAGAGAACTTTGTGTGGGAAAGAAAAGGGCTAGTTAAGTACTTCGGCAAGTACAAAATGGTACATCCAACAGTAAGTGTTGGATGGATTAAGATTAATAATGATCATATTCCTTCACTAAATTTTCCTTGGCTCTAATATGTCAGATTACAGAAATGAAACCTTTAACATCTGAGAATATTAATACTATAAAACTAGGGAGCAGTATTTCAAGAGCATTCCCTTCATACAAAACACTCTACCAGGTGTTTCATGTCCGTATTGTATCACTGAAGTAAAATATAGGTTAGCTTTAAATGGATTTAAGTATAATTTACATTTGGTATTCAAAATCTTTTAGCATTTATTAATAGCAATGATGTAGGTTAAACTGAGATTCAAACAAATTGTAAGCAAACTGAGAATTAATAAAAGAACGTGCTCATTATATTTTGGTTGAATGAATGCATGAATGTCTAGGGATTCAATGGTATATTGCTTTTCTAAGTGCACAACTGTTTACTTCCACTAAAGCAGCATCTATATACTCTTTATTGAACTTGTCTGCTAAGTTTAGCAAGAAGCTGTAGCTAGGCATAGTTAGCATAATACAGATGACTGTCATTGTTGCTGTTTTTAGAAGAAGCAGTATGTCTGACTGGCTGGCATCTGTTTCTCTCTTTGTCATAACATGCTGGAGACAGATCAATTTTCAAAATGTAGGTAGCCCTCAGTTAAAAATCAATTGATATGTTTAAAATAATGACCTGTAATGTAAAGTGGACTGAGGGACAATTTTCAATTTAGTTTAATTCAGGAATTAATTTTCTAGAAATAACCAGCTACAGTGAATTTTTGTCTTACCTCATTCGGCATGGTAGACACGTGACCCTTACAAAGGAAGAATTTATATTTATGGATTAGTAATTCTTTCTAACAGGTACATCGAAAAATCAGAGAAGATTCAGATATGGCACAAGATTCTCTGCAGTGCCTTGCCCAGTTAGCTTCTCTTCATGGACCCATCTTCCCAGATGAAGGATCACAAGTTGATTATCTAGCACACTTCATTGAGGGATTACTGAATACTATCAATGGGTAGGTATACTTGCCCTTTGCAGCTGAAAAAGGAGCTCTACGTTTTGTGTTTAACAGTAGAAGAAAAAAAGAAACTAGTTATTTTTTCCCCCTTATATTTTGAAGTAAAGTCATATGGGTAATTTGAAATTAATAAACAGAGACATACCTTTTAAAATGAATCAGTAACGATATTTGCTTGTTTGGAAATGAGTTATTATATTAATAATTTTTCTTTTACTGCCACTTAATAATACTCATTCCTTGGTTTTAGAATTGAAATAGAAGATTCTGAAGCTGTGGGGATCTCCAGCATTATCAGCAACCTGATAACCGTGTTCCCACGAAATGTTTTAACTGCCATTCCAAGTGAACTTTTCTCCTCCTTTGTTAACTGCCTCACACACCTCACTTGTTCTTTTGGGCGAAGTGCTGCATTGGAAGAAGTGGTGAGTGACTATTCTAAAGTAAATTGTGTCAGTTTTCACAAGGAAATTTGCGGTGCCTTTGGAACATTTCTCATGACAAGTAATTATTTTAAGTGAGTGCTGGCTATTGTTAAAGTGACTGTTTTGTTTAGATGTGCAAATTATTTGGGAAACATGACCTTTAAAAATTTGTGGATTAAAATAGCTTTAGTTGGTGATATTTACTGGTCTTAAGCATTTAATTTTGAGATAATTTAGTACCCAAATATAAGAGATGGAATGAAATGAGCTGTGGTTTGTTCAACACAATTTTTCATGTAAAAATTATGTCGAAGGCTCTTTCTAACAGCAAAAACATTGTTTACAGGGTGTTGCTGTGGTGTGGTGTAATTACGTGTAATTTTTTTTTTTTTTGAGAATTTTTTACGTTGGACTTATTTGGCAATTATGTAAACATAATTTGGTTCAAATCATTGAAACCTTGCTTATTTTGGTTAGACTGTGCTCTCTAATTTTTTGGATGATAATGCTTTAATAGTGTATCCTGGTAGAATTTAATTTACATTGAAATTAAGACCAATAACAATACTGAAGATGTTTTTTGGTACAAATTTCCAAATGTGTATTTTCCATATTTTATATTTAAATTTAGACGTCTACTAAAACCCCTTGAGGACACAGCTGCTTTTGTAACAGTTACTCTGAATAGCTGTATTAATCATGGAAAAAAATTGATTTCATTCCACAAAGTAGTGATTAAATTGTTGAAACTAATTTTTCTTTTTATGAGTCAAAATGTGAATCTTTCTGAAAGGCTGTAAGAGGAAAAAGAATGTAGATATTTTGTTAGAATTTCATGTTAAATTGTAAGTTGTGTTGGTTAGATTCTGCCAACGTGTATGTGAGTTTTTTCGTATCCCTTCAGAGGTGTTCAGAGAATAGAGAACTCGAGAATGATTATGTTTATGTAATCGGGCACTTTCATGATTTGATGAGGAAAGGAACCAGGTCAGACAAGTGTTTATACGGTAGAGAAAATGTAGTAACAGAAAAATAGAAGTTTAAAGGCATGATATGTACAGTTGAATGTTTCAGAGGGATACTTTACATTCTAAACATAAAAATCCAGGGTAATTTTAAGTATTTAACATTTTAAGTATTTACAGTTTACTCAAACCTCTTTCAAATGATCACAGATTCTGAACTAGTCAGGTTTTATTTAACATGAATTCCTTGCACTTTCCCTCTCCACCTTGGTTTATTTTCTCTTCTAAACCAGGTGGATTAAAGAGCATGTTGATCCTATATTTAGAAACTAAGCTCCTTTTAGTTCTGTTTGTGAGTTAAGCGTGTTCCTAAACGTTTTAAAGAATTGCTGGAAGATATATGGCATCCTTGGTTTGCAAATTTTAAGTGCAGAATTTATTTGAGGACACTGACATCTTGACAATTTTTCCTTCAAGATTTGACATAGGAGTGTTGGAATATAGAAAGCCTGCATGCATTTGCAGAGAAGCAGATGTGTGTTGTGCTTATTTCACAGCAGGCGTGCTCTAGTGAAGATGAACCTAACAGGTTTCATTCAAGAAAAGTATTATTTCTTTTCATTTATTTTACTCTTTTAATTAATTTTTAATTGAGCTGTTTATGATATTTAAAAATTATTTTTTAAAATAATTGGTCACCTATTGAAAAGGACAGAGGGAAAAGATCTGTTTAAAGTTTTGCATTAGTCGTAGAAACCAGGTTGGGGATGTGTGGTGAAGTTGAGGGCTAATGGGGTGGCCCAGGCATGGTGACTTTCTTAAGAGTAAACCTCCTAAATGTCATCTCAACCTCAAGCGGTTTCCGTTGTATCTTCTGTATGCTGGGAGTAGAGGACCAGGGGAGTATACAGCTAATACCAGAAATATAGGAACAAATCCAGCCAAACCAAATTGGACCTCTGGGACAGAAACCATTTCATCTTTTGTTTTCTTGGGCACCCAGTAATTGTAGTAATAGTACATAATACGTAGTTGTCCTGAGATGGAAAAGTATATAAAGACATGATCTTTTTTTTTTTGAGATGGAGTCTCGCTCTGTCGCCCAGGCTGGACTGCGATGGCACGGTCTTGGCTCACTGCAACCTCTGCCTCACAGGTTCAAGCGATTCTTCTGCATCAGCCTCCCGAGTAGCTGGGATTACAGGCATGCGCCATCACGCCCGGCTAATTTTTGTATTTTTAGTAGAGACGGGGTTTCACCATGTTGGCCAGGCTGGTCTCAAACTCCTGACCTCGCAGTCCACCCACCCCAGCCTCCCAAAGTGCTAGGATTACAGGTGTGAGCCACCGCGCCTGGCCAAGACATGATCTTTTAAGTAAAATTTGAAAAATTGAGGCATATTAAAGATATGAGTTTGGGAGTTAACATGGGATGAAAAGATGATGAACTTTTGAGGGAGACTGCACAGTTACAGGCCAGGCAGTCATGAAGAGCAAGAGTTCAAGCAAGCTGCTTCACTTTTTTTTGGAGCATGTTAGCTTATTGGTAAAGTCAGGGTATGAATTCCTTCTACTGCTTTATGACGTGGATTAACTGCATGAAAAGTACCTGTATAGGCCGGGCTCAGTGGCTCACGCCTGTAATCCCAGTACTTTGGGAGACTGAGGCAGGCGGATTGCCTGAGGTCAGGAGTTCGAGACCAGCCTGCCAAACATGGCAAAACCCCTTCTCTACTTAAAAATATAAAAAATTAGCCGGGCATGGTGGCGGGCGCCTGTAATCCCAGCTACTTGGGAGGCTGAAGCAGGAGGATCTCTTGAACCCGAGAGGCGGAGGTTGCAGTGACCCAAGATCACACCACTGCACTCCAGCCTGGGTGACAAGAACGAAACTCCATCTCAACAAAAAAACAAAGGGGAGGGGGAGGGGGACGTGTATAGTGTACAATAATTTATTACAAGCAATAACATGTAGAATAATTTTTTAAAATGAGCCTTTAAAATAATAGCTTTTATTGAAAACCTGTGTGCACTCTTACCACATAAGAACAACTGTTGAGTTTTGTTTGGTGCAAACTAATTATAATTCTAATTTTTTAAAATTATTTTTTAAATGATTTTTATAATTGTAATTTTGTGAAATATTGAAAGCTTCTTTTTCCAGTAGGAAAACAGGTTCCACATGTAAGACTTTGTTTTACTGTGAGAATACTTTTTTCAGAGCTGTGTTTGTTTAGGAATATATACAGATTATCATCTTTTTTAATAGCAATTCATGTCTTTGATGGTGGTAACGTTGTGTAGCAAGGGAAGAAGAGCATCTTCATAGGAAGAAGCATTCTTGATACCAGTGTGTGTTTTTGAAACCCATGTCATAAAGCCACCTTGCTGGGTGGCTTTAGCATGTGAGTGAAGAGACATATTTATGAGTACTCTGACTTGCAGTTAACTGAGAGTCTGTGTTCACAAAGAGCAATTCTGGTATTCAGCCAAGTTTCTCTGTGGCTGCAGAAGTTTCTTGATATTATTTGAGACTTTTTGGAGATAAGAATTTTTTCATTATACCCAGAAATCAAATTATTATCTATTGCTGAACTGAAGAGGTAAGAATGAATGTGGAGATGAAAAAGTATTGCCTTAAAGATTAAAATCCTGCTGGGCTTGGTGGCTCACGGCCGTACCTTGGGAAGCTGAGGTAGGCAGATCACCTGAGGTCGGGTGAGGAGACCAGCCTGGCCAACACATCGAAGCTCCGTCTCTACTAAAAATACAAAAATTAGCCAGGCATGGTGGCACACTCCTGTAATCCCAGCTACTGAGGAGGCTGAGACAGGAGAATTACTTGAACCCGGGAGGCAGAGGTTGCAGTGAGCTGAGATCATGCCACTGCACTCCAGCCTGGGTAATACAGCAAGGCTTTGTCTCAAAAAAAGATTAAAATTCTATCAATAATTGTTCATATTAATACAACAGCTGTTTTATAAAAGATTTATAATAGTAGATGCATTTGAATTGTTTCAGTGAAATTCAAGGAGAATATGACTAGAACTGTATACTCTAGTTTGTTTCTTGGTTTCTTTTATAATTAACCATTTTGAGTTCAGCCAAGTAGGTGAAGCTGTGCAGTATGTTGCTACAGGAACAGAGCAGCCTTCATAGCATTGAGGTATTTTGTATATGCATTTTGATGTATGTGTTGTGTATAAGGGCAATCGTGGTAAATAACAATTTATAAAGGAAGAACCTTACATCTAGTTTTAGTATATTTGTAGCCTAATCTCAAGACCAGCAGGACAAGGTAGTAAAGAAAAAGGTACTTGATAAAGTTTTTAGGAAGTTGATTATAGAATGTAATGCAATAAAATAAATTTGCAATTTGTCAAGTGAGTGAGTGTATTTAGAGGTCAGCATTCTTGATTCAGAATTTAATTTCTCTGGCTTGTTGGGTAATTACTTTGTAGTGAGGTTATGTGACAAAAAGGAAGCCATAAATTGAAGCCAAATTACAGATTGAGAAGTGGGGAGCATAAATTTTGGGATATCTCAGTGATAAGAGGGAAAACAATACTTATTCTCTGGATGGTTGTGTCCGTACAGTGTAACTGTGTAGTCTACCTTGCACCTTCACCCATGAAAGGATGGATTGTTTGAAGATCCTTGCCAACATCCCCACCAAACGGTTCTTGTAGCTATAAAAGAATAAACTGATGATACTGGAGAGAGCAAGCTGGCTGTCCAGCGCCCCCCACCCATCAAGCACATTCATTTCCTCTGCTTAAAAGATAGAATTAAATCCATGAGTATTTTTTAAAGCTTGCACATTAAAAGTATACTTTTTAGAAATAATAACAATAGTTTTAGCTCTACCAGGATATTTGGAAGAAAACTAGTTACTATTTTACCTTAAATACAGATTCGTATTAAAAGAAGTGTTTTAAGAATTGTTTTAATGTTTTAATTCTAATTGGATGATAACCATGTAATATTTCATGACTTGTATGAGTCAGCTCTGATTGTTTAAATCTGCTTTACCAATCCTAGTGCAGAACCAGTGTTAAGTTTCACAGAATTCTTGCACCTTTAGTGCAGTGGATTTAGAATAAAGCTTACTTACTGTTATAACTATTGTTCCATATCATATTTAAGTGATCTGTCTGTAAGATTTTTCTAACAGCTGCAATACTTGTCTACTAAATCCATTTCTCTTGGGGGATTCCAGAAACCAGGAATACTGTCAGCTGCATAGGTATTCTGAAGTTAAATTAATTCTGTATTTTAAGAACTAGCTAGAAAAAATAAAAATAACTAGACGTGGATTTATTTTTCATTTGACATTCAAAGACTTCTAAATTCCTACATTTTTAAGTGGAGAGTTCATGAAGTTTTTTTTGTGACATTTGTGTCACTATATTGTTCCCATATTTGCCTTAAATGATACTTCGCTAGGAAAGAATCTACATACCAATAGCAGATGAATAACAGCATAAACTAATAGTATAGCTCTTTCAGTCTTTAATCGTTCATATGTCCTTCTTAATGTTTTACACTGTGCAGCACAAATATTATTTGTGATTTGTTGTTAGACGTGGGGATTGTGCTGATGCCTGTAAATTTTAAAGTTATTGTGAAATGTTTCATTCATATAAAGTACTAGTTTTATGTTATAAAAATATAAAGAATAATGAAATGAACGATTATGTATCAACCACGCAGATTAAGAAATAGTATAGTATATTGATGGAGCCTTTTTCTGTTGTTTTTTAACCTGTGGTTTTTTCCTTCTCCTGTTATTGCATGCAAGTGTTTGGTACATTACTTATTTCTGCCAAGTGAGTCTATAAGCAGATGCTGCTGGTGAACTTCCCAGCCAGTGTTTTGGGCACTTTTTTGCAGCTTCTACAATCTCTGATAGTTGAAGCTGTTTTCACTTCCAAACTGTTGTAAAGAATAATATAAAAGGAACTTTTTGAAGGATATTCTGTAGACATAAGATTTTCTGTGAAAATGAATTGCCCATATTCATCTCACTGCATTTTTTGTCTGTGAATCACATATCTAACACGTTATTTATGTTTACATATGAAGATAATCTTGATGATCAACAGAAAAAGCTTTCCAATTTCATTGAAAGGATTTGGAGTTGTCATGATGATTAGTTGCTGTTCACAGGAAAACAAACTAACTACCTTAGCATGAGATTTAGCTCATATTTTTACAGTACCTGATATTAGATTTATATAGATAAATATAAATATAGATAAAGACTTTTTATATTTTAGAGCAGTTCTGAGTCCACAGCAAAAATTGGGTGAAAATACAAACCCCCTCAAACATGCAGCCTCCCCACCCTCACCCATCAACATCCCACACGAGAGTGGTACATTGTTACAGCTGATGAAACGACATTGACACATCATCGCCATCCAGAGTCCATAGTGTACATAGGGTTCACTCTTGGCATTGTACATTCTATGGGTTTGGACCAGTGTGTGATGTCCATCATTAAGGTATCATACAGAGTAGTTTCACTGTGCTGAAAATCCTCTGTGTTCTGCCTATTTATCCTTCCCTGCCCCTCACAACCTCTGGCAACCACTGATCTTTCGCCTGTCTCCATAGTTTTGCCTTTTCTAGAATGTCGTGTAGTTGGAATCGTGTAGTGTTGTTAGATTTTAATCTCTGAAATTCAATTTGATGTCAAAAAGGGGACAGATTTCATATATTGAAAGTTTTCTTTTCAAAGCTTCATTTGACAGCATTTTCATAAATAAAAGTAACCACTATTTTGGAATTATGTATTCAACATAATTACCAAAACGTAAAAGATTTTTTTCTATGACTAAAGGGTTGCAAATTTATTGCTCTATATACTTCCAAGGTAATTATGGGCATTGAGAGATAAGTGCTGATATCATAATTTGATTACCTTCTCCACCCTGCATTTCCAGATGGAGTAAAGTGGGGTCAAGTAGTCTCGTAAGCTCTAAGCCCCTCTCCAAAGCCTCTCTGGCAGCAGGCCTGACAATACCAAGGGCATGAGCACATAGTGTCTAGCTTGGTCTCCTTAGTCATCTCTGTGCACGTGCTGCTGCCTTGGCTGCTGGGTTTTGGCCAGAGTGGCCATGGAGCAGGGCCAGGGTATTATGAAAAAGCGCTAGGTTAGGTTTCAGTTTTCTGTGATTAGACTGAAAGATTTAGTTGCCAATTGTCAACAACCATATTTCTCACACTTTGCTCGATGAGTTATATTATCTCCAAAAGAAACCAGAAGGCTGTTTAGAAGTCCATAGTCTTACTGTAAATTGCCATCCAATGAGTTGAGGCTCTTGCAGTCTACCTCTGATCTTCTGTTCTAATATCAGAGTGTTAATAGGAGGGATTATTGAAAACTTTTTTTAATAATAGAAAGGCATATAAGACTTTTACTTTTTAGTTATACTTTTATGTATATGAATAATTAAACCACGATAACATGTGTTAGATATGTACCTAAAAAACAACCAAGATAGGTCTTAGAAAATATCCTGCTTTTTTTTTTTTTTTTTTGGAGACTGGGTGAGTCAGAGGATGCTATTCCTAAATTCCTCTTGTGATATGTTACCAGTCTGTTTATTTTGGCAAGATAAACTGTTAAGACTTAACAAATGATGGCTGTAAAGCACATGCTTTGTTAAGTATATAAACAGGCCACAGATGTTTCTATGGAAAGAAAGTATCTTATTCATCTCCATATTCCAGTGCCTGGCTCTTAGCGTTCAATAGATTTTTTTTTTTTTTTTTTGAGACAGCGTCTTGCTCTGTCACCCAAGCTGAAGTGCAGTGGCGTAATATTGGCTCACAGCAACTTCTGCCTCCCGGGTTTAAGCGATTCTTCTGCCTCAGTCTCCTGAGTAGGTGGAACTACAGGCATGTTCCACCACGCCTGGCTAATTTTTGTATTTTTAGTAGAGACGGAGTTTCGCCATGTTGGCCAGGCTAGTCTTGAACTCCTGATTTCAGGTGATCCACCTATTTCAGCCTTCCAAAGTGCTGGGATTACAGGCATGAGCCACCATGCCTGACTGAGAGCTCTCCTAAAGTATAAACCTAGGAGTGGAATTTTTTGATCAGAGAGTATGTAAATGTTCACTTTTAGAAGATAGTAGTGTCAAATTTTTCCGAAAGTGATTGGACCAGTGTATTACGTGTATGTGAGTTCTCAATGATCCATGTTCTCACCAACATTTACTGCCAAACTAGCAGGCATAAAATATGATCTTAATTTGCTTTCCCAAGTACCAGTAACATTGAGCATCTTTTCATATATTTAAATATGTAGTTCTGTGATTCCTCTTTTGAAATGCTTGTTTGTGTCCCTTGCCCATTTTCCTAATGGGATGTTTGTCTTTTCCTTACTGATTTGTAGAAAGTCTATATATGTTCTAGAACTAGTTTCTTGTTGGTTATATGGGTTTCAGATTGAGATGGTTTGGCTCTGTGTCCCCACCCAAATCACATGTCGAATTGTAATCTTGTAATACCCACGTGCCAGGGGCGGGGACCTGGTGGGGGGTGATTGGATTATGGGGGTGGTGGTTTCCCGCATGCTGTTCTCGTGACATTGTGTGGCAGTTATCTCCTCACTGTTTCCCTCCTGCTCTGCCATGCTAAGACATGCTTGCTTCCCCTTCGCCTTCCACCATGATTGTAAGTTTCCTGAGGCCTCCCAGTCATCCTTCCTGTTAAGCCTGCGGAACTGTGAGTCAATTAAACCTCTTTTCTTCATAAATTACCCAGTCTCAAGTAATTCTTTACAGCAGTGAGATAATGAACTAATACACAGATCTATTCTTTTTTATGGCTTTTTCACTTTTTTTCTGTATTTAAAATATGGAATAATTCTGTATTTAAAATATGGAATAATTTTAGGTTTACAGAAAATTTGCAAAGACAGTACAGAGAGTTTCCATGTGCCTTGTACCCAGTTCTCTCTTAATAGTATCATCTTTTGTAGCCATGGTACATTTGTCAGAACTAAGAAATTAACTTTGGCATATTATTAGTAACTAAACTAAAGGCTTTATTGGATTTCACCAGTTTTTCCCCCAATGTCCTCTTCCTGTGCCAGGACCTAGTCCTGGATATCACATTGCATTTTGACTTCATCATATTGTTTGATGAACAAGTGTTCCTCATCTTAATGTAGTTGAAAGTTTTTTTTTTAATGATTTGTAATTTTGGTTCCAATGTAAAGACGCCTACCCTTCCTGTGTTTTCTTCTAAATTCTTTAAAATTTGCCTTTCCTGACTTTAACATCTTAGAATTTAGTCAAGTAGGGATGCAAATTTTTTTTCTCCATGTGGATAACAGGTTTTTCTGCAACATTTATTGAATAGTCCTTCATCCTCAATGATCTGCCATACTGTAGTTTTTATATAAGTGTGGGTCTCCCCTCTGCCTCCCAGGTTCAAGTGATTCTCCTGCTTCAGCCTCCCAAGTAGCTGGGATTACAGGCTCCTGCCACCATGCCCAGCTAATTTTTGTGTTTTTAGTAGAGATGGGGTTTTGTCATGTTGGCCAGGCTGGTCTTGAACCCCTGACCTCAGGTGATTCACCTACCTCAGCCTCCCAAAGTATTGGGATTACAGGCATGAGCCACCATGCCCGGCTCCTCCTTATTCTTAATCAACATCTTCTAAGTGAATGCTTCTGGGTTTTCAACTTTAAAAATAAATACTTAGGTATCTGTGTGCTGACGATGCCCTAATTTGTATTTCCGGCCGTGATCTCTTTCCTAAACTTCAGACATGTATCAAACATGTTAATAGAACATTCCCACTTGGATTCCTATTTTGGATCTAAAATTTAACATGTCCAAAAGAAGAAAGGCCAAGAGGCCTTCATCACCCTGTATGCGTCATCTCACATTGCCCTGTCCAACACCCCCATCCTTCTGTATTGTAGGAATCTTCCCAGCTGTCAGGGTAAAAACCCAGGTGCACCCCCACCACTGCCTTGTTTTCTGTCTTGCCTCAGGTCATTTTCCAGTGTCAGCCCTTTCTCCAAAATCTGTACCCAGTTTGGCTGCTTGGCATCATCTCTCCCCTGGTCCATGGCACCATTATACTTTGCAGTGTAAGCAGTCTGATTTTCCTTTAAAGAATTATATCTGGCCAGGTGCAGTGGGTTACACCTGTAATCCCAGCACTTTGGGAGACTGAGGCAGGAGGATCCCTTGAGGCCAGGAGTTCGAGACCATCCTGGCCAACATGGCAAAACCCCGTCTCTACTAAAAATACAAACATTAGCTGGGCATGATGGTGCACACTTGTAGTCCCAGCTACTCAGGAGGCTGAGGCAGGAGAATCGCTTGAACCCAGGAAGCGGACGCTGTAGTGAGCCAAGATCACACCACTGCACTCCAGCCTGGGTAACAGAGCGAGACTCCATCTCAAAAAAAAAAAAAAAAAGAAAAAAGCATTCTATCTGTTTCAAGCATTGCAGTGGCTTCTTGCTGCAATTAGAAGAAAACCTAGTGTCCTTGTCATAGCCTGTCAAGGCCTTTGATCTGTTTCTTGCCTCCCAGCCCCCATTCTCACCCCATGTTATGTCAGGACCCATCACTCTCTGCTCCAGGTCCACCGGCTCTCTCTGCGATATAAATGCCAGGCTCATTCTTGCCTCCTGACCTTTGTAGATTTTTAAACTAGAGTGACCTTTTAGCCAAATGTTAGCTCCATTCAGGGAGATCTTGGACCACAAGTAACTCTGTGAAACAGCCTGGTGGTGTGCATAGTCATCCTACCTTTTTCTCTGATAATTTTTCTCTTCTTTCTCAGTGGTGTAGTTTTGGTGTAACACTTTAATTCAGTAATAGTAGCTAAATGAAGAAGAAAGAATAGGAAAGAGGACAATTAGGATTACAAGCTAAACAATTTCACTGAGACTATCTTGAAGCGTATACAGCCTCAGGGTTTCCTTAGTGGATCTCATACAGGTCTAGTTACATCCGGTACCATGCTTGTGGAGAGAGGCCTATTTAGCCAGTCAGAGCTTTGGGCAAGAAGAAGCCTGGCTTTTCCCTAATCTTATCTACTTGTCTCTTTTTCTAAGTTTCCCACATGTGTTTCCTTTGTAAGAAGAAAAACTAACTGCAGTGAACCAAAAAGATGGAGAACCAAGAAGAGGGAGAAATTTATTTCCACATTCACAAAGTATTTGTGCTTGTTAAATTTCTGATTTTTCTCTAAGTATGGGACACTTTTGGTATTTCTCTAATAATTATGAGTTGAGTCAACGCGTATTACATTTTTTTTGAAGACAGTGCTTTTCTACTGTATGGAATTTGCTGTTCTTTTTTATTATGAGTTATTTCTTGTTAAGGAGCACTGGTGGAGTTCTCCCCACATATTCTTAAACCTGCTGATTAAGTCAGTCTGTTTTCATCCTTCAGTTTCTCTAAAACCATTTTAAAGTGCGTAGGGTGTATACATTTTTTTTTATTTTAACAATTCTCTTCTTGACTACAGAAAATGTTAATATTATTTTTATTTGAAAAATGCATGTTCCACAAAACACTAAACAGCTGGTTTTAAAAATAAACTTTAATTCCAGATTGCCTAAGACTTACTTGAACTTAGAAAGATTTTAGAAAGTTCAATAAAAACTTATCAATAATTGGGAAGCTCTGTTAAAGGAAAAATTTAAACTATTTGTATGTATTTATATGACTGTTGTTATGCCAATTGTCGTTCTCTGGACATTTGTTTTATGAGTGTTCTTTTCTTTTAGCTTGATAAAGATGACATGGTATACATGGAAGCATATGATAAATTGTTGGAGTCCTGGTTAACTTTGGTTCAAGATGACAAACATTTCCATAAAGGCTTTTTTACCCAACATGCAGTTCAAGTTTTCAATTCCTATATTCAGTGCCACCTAGCTGCTCCAGATGGCACAAGAAATTTGGTGAGTTTTAAGCAAGATGGTAATTAACAGTCTATTTCATCATAGGCTATATTTTACCATGTTACACATTATATAATGCCAGAAATTTAGGATGGGTTCCCTCAGAAGATTTGCTGGGAGCAAAAGTGGCCTTGTTCTCTGAGTTCTTATTAAAATGGGATGTTGCCTATGTATATTCCTTTTCAATTTTCAGTTACCCACCTCTTTCTGTCTAGCTGTCAAGAGATATGAATAATTTGGGCCATGGATGTCTGGTTATTTCAGTGACAGAAGTTCAATTCTCCCATATGGGAGGTGGGTTGTGGGTGTGCAGTTAGTTGTGTTGATCACCATGGAGTGATTCCTGTACTTCTTGCTCTTGTATGTTTTCCCCCTTTTGATAACTACCACGGCTGTCAGCATTGTTAGAAGGGAGTTCCTAGATAGCTGTGCTCAAAGGTCGGCTGTGTCCCCTCTCCTTTTGCTATGCAGTGCTTAGCTATCTAAGCTATGTTATGGAGCCACAGAAGTGCACGTTGAATAGGCAATGCAGTTCCTCATTGTTTATTTCTTTTACTTGCAATAGACTGCCAATGGTGTGGCCTCTCGTGAGGAGGAAGAAATAAGTGAACTTCAAGAGGATGATCGAGACCAGTTTTCTGATCAACTGGCCAGTGTAGGAATGCTAGGAAGAATTGCTGCAGAACACTGTATACCTCTTCTGACAAGGTACACACAGTCCAAAGAAACCCCATGGAGCAAATATTCTCTATTCACAATTCCCTGGAGAGCACTTAAAGTGTTTAAAGACTTTAAACACCCCCACCCCGTGTCCCAGCACACTGGAACAAATGGACAGAAACATACTCATGATTGCGTTCCTTGGCTTAGACATTTGGAGCCCAGGCACTACAGCATAGATGGCAGAGAGATTATGGAAAACATGGTATGAGAAATGATTTGACCCATATCAGTAAAAACTTGGAATAACCAGTTTTCAAATGCCTGTTGTAAACCTTGATTGTTTGTAAAGCAGTGTTTTAATTCTATGTTATAAAAAATAAATCATAATTCCTATAGTGCTATGACAACAGTTGTGTACTATAATGTTTTTGTATATGTGTTTTTACGCTAACATTCAATTCATGTTGTCTAATATATGGAAGTTGTAAGTTGTTCCATGTCTTTGCTTATTGAACTTTATGAAGCTACTGTTTTCTTCTCTTTTAGTTTATTAGAAGAAAGAGTAACAAGACTCCATGGTCAGTTACAACGACATCAGCAACAGTTACTTGCTTCACCGGGTTCAAGCACTGTTGACAACAAAATGCTTGATGATCTCTATGAAGATATTCACTGGCTTATTTTAGTTACAGGTTGGTTGGTGGTTTCTTTTTAAAATGTAATTGCCAACTGAGCAATTTAAGCCTTAAAAGAAGCTTCCTATATGAAAAACAATAGTGTATATATAATATTGGATAAAATTTGGATACAGCCATTTTCTGTCATAGAACTATGGATGCATTTTTAAAAAATACTGGCTAATATGTATGCAGTGCCTATTGCATACCAAATGTTTCATGGATCTCATTCTACCCGCTGAATTAGTATTGCTAGGTAGTATTACTATTATCATCATCATCGTCATTATCCCCAACTAATAGATGAAGAAGCTGAGACTTTGAGAGTATAAGAAACTAGCCCATTGTCACACTGCTATTAATTTTTAGAGCCAGAATGTAAATCTAGGCAGTCTGACTCTTAGGATCTTCTTTTTTGACCACCATACTATTAGTGTTTCCATATTTTAAATAATAAGCAAAAAATCTTGACTTTTGAAAATGAATTCCCTAATATTGACTTCTAATATAGATAGTAGCAAAATTTCTATTAACTTTACAGAATACAGTACTGAAAATTATTTAAGGTAGTAGATTAAAAAGCCCCTATGAATTACAAAATTGGTGAATAAAACATTTGTCCTTTTCTGTAGTTTTGAGGGTTACTTATCTGAGACATAGAAAGTTTTTTTTGCATAAACTTGAAATTAACAGGTTAACATTTATAATTTACATCAATTTATATGATGTATATAAATCAAACTGAAAACATTTATAGTACAATTTGATAAATGTAGATTTGTTAAGTGTTCATTTTTAATTTTTTTTAAACTGAAGGCTACCTCTTAGCTGATGATACTCAGGGAGAGACTCCGCTAATACCTCCAGAAATAATGGAATATTCCATTAAGCATTCATCTGAAGTTGACATTAATACAACACTTCAAATTTTGGGATCTCCAGGAGAAAAGGCTTCTTCCATCCCAGGGTACAACAGAACAGATTCTGTGATTAGGTAATATAAACTCTATAGCTGTGCTCTTGTAATTTTTATACTGTTTTATAAATTCTGAGTTGATGGGTAGATGACTGGAGTGATAGGCACGTTGTAAATCTGATACATGAAAAAAATGAAAACTTGGAGAAGCCTTGAAATACACAAGGATGGCAAGTACTCAGTATATTTAGGCAGTGCCACTCTAGTGAGAGTTGACAGCTATACCCAGTACTGAAGAAAAGTAATGTCAAATTATTCTGAATACAATGAGACTTGGAAGGGACATTGAATGTAGTTAGGAACATAACGCCTGTCCATCAGAGAGCAATACTGATGCATGCAGGCGCCCTAAATGAAGGGAACCAGATGAACGTCAACAAGTATCGTTCATAAAAGCTAAAACTACGTTTCGGTGGCTTTCTCATGGAAAATGATAGATAAAAATTTGTATCTCGTAAAATGGAAATATGTATTCTAAATGTGAAACTTAAGAGCCCTGTTATAATACAGGAGAGTGCCTCAAATGAGGTGATTCACTTTAATCTTCCTAATACTAATGGCAAAATTTTCGTTAATTCTTAATGGTGAAATTAAGGAGGGATAAGCCTGTATTAAAAATGTTCCGGCCAGGCGCAGTGGCTCACGCCTGCAATCCCAGCACTTTGGGAGACCGAGGCGGGCAGATCATGAGGTCAAGAGATTGAGACCCTCCTGGCCAACATGGTGAAACCCTGTCTCTACTAAACCTGCAAAAATTAGCTGGATGTGGTGGTGTACGCCTGTAGTCCCAGCTACTCGGGAGGCTGAAGCAGGAGAATCGCTTGAACCCAGGAGGCAGAGGTTGCAGTGAGCTCAGATTGCACCACTGCACTCCAGCCTGGCGACAGAGCAAGACTCTGTCTCAAAAAAAAAAAAAAAAAAAAAAAAAAAAAAAAGGGTCCTGAAAGTGAATTTGAAAACAACATGTGAAATTTCAGTATCTTTAACTTTATTTTAAATGTAGGTTGCAAGCAGAGATGTCAGTAATGATATTAACATTGGTTTTTGTCAGCTGCAAAACCAGTAACTCAAACAGGATGCTGTCCCCTTCATTCTTTTTAGTATGCAAAAATATATGGATATCATTTAAACATGCAATAGAAAATGTGGCTTTTTAAAAAATAGTTGAAATATTAAGCTGATAACCAAGGAAATGTTGGGGAATTTATTTCCTTTATTGTTGCATTCTCTTGTTTGAAATGAAATCATACTTTATTGAAAAAGTTATATATTCATTTTAGGATTACCTTAGTCATTAGATTTAGTGTCTCTGGAAATCAGTGCTTTGCTCTGGTTTGGTTGGTGGTGAATGTTAATTTAAAAAGCAGTTCATTTCAGGGTGCTGTCATATTATATATTCTTTGTTATATTTTTTGCTTGGGCAGTAGCATCAGGAATGCTTTCCTTGTATTTTAAGTGCTTTTTCCATTTTTGTCAGATGTTAGTGTGGGAGCAAAACATTTTGGTATCTGAGAGCACAGACTATGGAGGATTGGGACCAAAAAAAAAAAAGTCACCATGTTTTTAATCCAAAGAATTAATATGAAATTTAATGTTATATGGTAGAAACATTTCTTGTTTCACTAAAAAAGCAGCTCACATTTCTTAAAACAGGTATCATTTGAGAAATAATTATTGACTGCTGACAACGTAACAGGGAGCCTTCGGGTATTTGAACAAAACAGATAGAAGTCACTTCTCTTTTAGAACTCTTTATAAAGGAGAGAGAATAAATAAGTAAATTATGCAGTATGTTAGAAGACAGCAAATGTGACAGGTAAAAAGCTAGAGTGAGTATCAGTAGGGATTGTTGTAGTTGTCATTAGTGTGATGAGTGTTGGCTTTATCTAGAAGGTGACTTGGGAGCAGAGATGTGAGGTTGGTAAGGGAGGCCATGAAGGTGTCTGGGGGGAGAGCATTCCAAGCAAAATAAACAGTGAATGCAAAGGCCCTGGGCCTGCTTGGCATGTTCAAGAACAGCAAGAATGCCGTGGTGGGTTGAGCAGAATGAGGTGGAATTTTTTAGGAGATGGAGTTAGGAAAATAGAGGGAAAACAGAGAAGGTCTTAGGCCTTTGTAACATCTTTGGCTTTTGTTCTGAATGAAGCAGCATGCCATTGTAGGGTTTTGAGCAGAAGAGTAACTTAAATGTTAAGAAGTTTACTCTGCTGCATTAAGAGTAAATGATGGAGGCTGGGCACTGTGGCTCACACCTGTAATCCTAGCACTTTGGGAGGCCAATGTGGGCAGATTGCCTTAGCTCAGAAGTTCAAGACCAGACTGGGCAATATTGAAACCCCATCTCTACTAAATACAAAAAATTAGCCGGGCATGGTGGTGCTCGCCTCCTGTAGTCCCAGCTACTCAGGAGGCTGAGGCATGATAATCGCTTGAACCTCGGAGGCAGAGGTTGCAGTGAGCTGAGATTGCACCACTGCACTCTAGTCTGGGCGACACAGCAAGACCCTGTCTCAAAAAAAAAAACAAAATGCAAAAAAACCCGAGAGTAAATGATGGAAGCCAGGAGACCAGTTAGGAGACAAATTGTAGTAATCCAAGAGAAAGATGATGGTGGCTCAGACCTATAGTGGAGGTTGTGAGAGGTTAAAGCTCTGTTTGATTTATTGTGCTGACTTTGGATTTATGACATACAAATGTAATCTAGGATTGACTTAGAAAATATGAGAAACTGAGTGCTGTTTGAAATATATTTGTAGATATAGTGCTTTAAGGAATTGAAGTAGGAATGGGGTATTAATCTTGGAATATCAACAACTTAAAAATATTTTGGTGTTTTTATGAGTTGTATTTCAACTCCTATGCGTGCCAGCATCTGAGGATACAGTTAGAAGTGTGTAAGGGTGTTATAGGAGCTCCTGGTTCCCCTAATCTACGGGCAGAGGAGAACCAGAGGGGGCTTCTTGAAACAAGAGTACTTTAGGCAGTGACAATAGCATAAGCAGCAATGTTATAGGAAAGGGGTCCCTGAGGGTTCTTGGATCTTGCACAAGAAAGAATTCAGGGCGAGTCCATAGAGTAAAGTGAAAGCAAGTTTATTAAGAAAGTAAAGGAATAAAAGAATGGCTATTCCATAGACAGAGCAGGAAGTTCCTGAAAATAAGAAATAAGAAAATAGGAGGAACACGTCCACCATAGGCACAATGCTTGTGTGTATGTGTGTGTGTGTATATATATATATAATGTGTGTGTGTATATATATATAATGTGTGTATATATATAGATATATATAGTGTATGTATATAGTGTGTATATATATATTGTGTGTATATATATAGTGTATGTATATATAGTGTATATATATGATAAAAAAGATGGGGAGATGGGCTTTGCTACAAGGGTTTGTGATAAAGGATTACTTTTCTTAATTACTGTATTTTGCAAGAATCAATATTACTATCTTTAAAGCAAAATTAGGAATGCCTTTGTTCTCCAGATGTCAGAATATCTGGACACTCCCAAGTCTGGGTCTGTTTAGTAAATCTTATTAATTTGTTCCCTTAACTGTAAACATCTAGAGAATAGGGAATGCCTGATTTTCTGGGAATGCAGCCGTCAGGTCCCAGCATCATTTTCCTAGCCCTCACTCAAGATGGAGTCAGTCTGGTTTGATGCCTCTGACAGTAAGAGAGCCCTGCTCAAGTGAGAAGAACTTAGGTGTGGCTGGTGTGTGACCCAGGAGGGCAGGGCGATAGCTTTGGTGGGGGGATGAGGGTGGAGAGGCAGGGAGGTTGCTGTGGGTGGGGCTGATAAAGTGGGAGTAAAAATACTGACAAGGATTTACAGCAGAGAAGTGAAGTGATCAAAATATTTTAGAGATACTATTCCATGGGTGATAAATTTAAAGGGTGACAAGGCAAGTTAGGAAGCATTTTCCTACGTAGTCTTGGGAGTGAAGATGGAGAAAGGTTCTTGGGTTATGAGAGGTATTTCTGAGGTAGAAGAAAGGCCCCTGGGTGCCTCCCCTGGACCTGCCTGACTCAGGCTGAGTGGTTCTTTCATTGATGTTTCTTCCACTTTACAAAAGAAAGGCCAAAGTTTTCACTTCTACCTCTGAACATGTGGATTGGCAGGTGTGTAAAACCCCACAGAGGAGAGGGACAGTTGCAAACAGTGTGGCACTGACTAAGTGACTGAGTCACTAGTGAGTGGACAGTTAGCAGGTTTCAGTCCTTTGCATTAAATAACAAGAGGACCTAATCACATCAACCAAGAGATGATTAAAAATAATTTTTGTTGGTAGATCTCTGTGATTTTTGGTGTATAACTTGGAAGAAATTCAAATAATTGGGGTACTCTGCGATTTTAAAAATAGGTTCTACTTATATGAAGTTTTCTCAGTACTTATATCTATTAAAGGAAAAATAGGAATCAAATCATGCTCCACTTGCTCATCTGGCAATAGGTAATATTCATTCAAAGATACGTGTACTAAGTGGGGAAAGAACCCTACTAAGTTAATCACATTAAGAGATGCATACAATTTTATGTTTGTGTTTATTCATGTTTAATAATTTATTCAAATTTATATTGTTTTGCTCAGTTGTCTAGTTTTAAGTATCATAATGATAATCCAGAAGACATTTTTAAACACTTAATGGTCTTATGGTCATTGAAAATGTTTAAAAGTTATCTTTCAATATATAGACATTTGTATCAGAGTATGTAGTATGATGAACAAAATACTGGAACATAAAAATTATATTAGGATAATGTTCTATGGGAAAATGAAATTGAAATAAAAATAAGGAAAATCTGTTTATATTTTTAATGGGTGATAGTGGGTATCAGAATATTGTGATAATAAAACTCCAGTGCATAAATTTAAAGTGTTAATGTAACCATTTTCTTTTGAATTTTGTTAGGCTGGAATAGATATTTAAAATGATTTAATCTTACCAGGAATTTTGACATATCTACAACTTAAATGTATTACTGTACTGGGAGATTGTTGGGGTTTTATTTGTTTGTTTTGTTGTTGTTCATATACCCCCTAAAAAATTTTTTTAAAAAACTCAAACGAGCACTGGTGGTATAGGAAGTGTGCAGACAGTGAAGAAGGTTGGGCATGGTGGTTTATGCCTGTAATCCCAACACTTGGGGAGGCCAAGGTGGGAGGATTGCTTGAGCTCAGGAGTTCAAGACCAGCCTGGGTGACATGACGAAACCCTGTCTTTACAAAAATTTTTTAAATCGGCCTGGTGTAGTAGTGTGTGCCTGTAGTCCCAGCTACTTGGGAAACTCAGGCAGGAGGATCACTTGAACCCAAAAAGTTAAAGCTGCAGTGGACCGTGACTGTGTCTGGGCATACTGCAGCCTGGGTGACAGAGCAACTCTGTCTAAAAAAGAAAAAAAATTAGAAGAGATTCTGGGGTGGAACCTTAAAAACCTCCTGATTTAAAGAAGAAGTTCAGGAGAAGAGGATGCTGCCATGAAGACTGGGAAAGAGGAAGCAGATGGCTAGATGAAGAGAGGAAGGGCAGTGACCCCAGGGAGGCTGCAGGAAGATAAGGGCAGTGACAGTGGGCCATCCAGTGGGGTAAAGAACTGAAACACGTGTGTATGATTTCATGATGAGATCATTTCAGGCTTCCTGAGAGCACTAGTAAAGGAGCATAAGCCGAATTTGAGTGATTAGAATCCTTTTCTCAGCACTGATATTCATTAGTGTGTAATGGGGTCTTTCCATTACCTCCTTTGCTTCCTTGCCTTTTGGCTAAAGTCAGGTTAAATATATATCACTTCTGATTATGTGCCCTCCTCAACAAAGACATTTCTGTTTGTCTGCATGTCACGCTATGTGATTGACACCACACGACCATATGAATTATGTAGTGTAGGAAAGGACAATATGTGTACTTACACAGGTAATCTTTCTAGCAAGAGTTTTATTTAAAAATACCATGAAGAATCAAGTTTACTAGGAAATATTGGATTTAAACAAGGCTCAATATTCAAAACTTTCTAAATAATTCCCAGATCTTGTACTGTAACATGACCATGATATAAAAACACAAACTATACTAACCAGGGTAGTTTTAAGTAGTGATGCTAAGTAGTACATGCTAAAAGAGTTTGGCATGTACTCTGAAGATTTAATTTGATGTATTTCTCCTGAAAATCTGAAAATTTTGAATCTGAAAATTCTCTTTAGCTAGTAATGCTGATATTCACACATGTGGTTACAACTTCAGCAGAAGGACATCTCTAGTGTTGACTCTTCCTTTCCTTATCTTGTCTCCTGCTTCGTGAAAGATCAGAAATAATATGGGACAGTTGTCTAAAACTCTGTAGATGAAATGTTCAAGTATAGCCTGACCTAAATCCAGAGAACTGAAAGACAAAAAAGGACTTTTAAGGAAAAAAATATGATTAGACAGCAACTAAATAAATAAAAGAATAAATGACTTCTGTTTTATACCTACAGGCTGTTGTCTGCCATTCTCAGAGTTTCAGAAGTTGAATCTCGAGCAATAAGAGCAGATCTCACTCATCTACTAAGTCCCCAGATGGGCAAAGATATTGTTTGGTTTTTAAAACGCTGGGCAAAGACTTATCTCCTGGTGGATGAAAAACTGTATGATCAGGTCAGAATGTAAAACTTAAAACTTCATTTGGATTTATGATGATAGCAGTTATAGAAGCAGGAACATTTTTCTTGGTGGTTTTTCATCAAAATAGAACTGTTTAAGAGCAGTTTAACATTTTCTGTGTGGAAGAGAATTATGTGACTGGAATGCTGTTTTAATGTGTTTTTGAGCACATCCCTTGATATCGTTTATTTTAACTGCTGTTGAAGATACAGATTATTATTTGGGAATAGATTATGCTTTTTTGTATTTGGTTTAATACTATGTTAATTTTTTAATACTATGGGAATAATAGAAGTTGACGGGAAAATCACACTGGAAAATGTGAGTGGATTGAGGATGTCTTTTTTTTTGACCAGTGGAAATGAGTACATGTGTAAAGTTGATGTGAAGTAAGCACTACTTCAGATTAGATACTAATTTCAGTTCGATTTTTCTCTGTTTTTTTTTTCTTGAGTTGATCTTTCTTGCTTACCTTAAAAAATTTGTTTCCTCTCTTAAGATAAGTCTGCCATTCAGTACAGCGTTCGGAGCAGATACAGAGGGTTCTCAGTGGATAATTGGCTACCTCTTACAAAAAGTCATCAGTAACCTCTCAGTCTGGAGTAGTGAGCAGGACCTTGCAAATGACACTGTGCAGCTCCTTGTCACTTTGGTGGAAAGAAGAGAAAGGTTAGCCCATTGTTGGAGGCTGACTGTGTGTGTATGTGTGTGGGTGAGAAACTCTTTTTCACTTCTTAGTGTAGTCCTTTGAACTGGCAAATGGTTACACGGTCCTAATTCCAGATAGAGCCTACATTTTTGGAGTAATGGGTTTTAAAAACTATGTCACAGTACTATTACAAATGCAAATGGAGCTTTCCCATCTTATAATTGAGCATTACATTGACTCCTTCAGGATTTGGCATCAAAGCCCTATGAGTAACACATTAGTAATTTATCGTGTTGCAAACACTTTTATGTGGAATATGCTCATTTGAATTTTTAGACATCCCCATTTTAAAGATTAAATACTGATATTTAAAATTTAATGTTGGAAAGTAAAATTTTTAGTGCTTTCTACAACAATTCTAGAAATGTTTTCGTTGTTCTTACTGTATAGGAGTATCATTGTTATTATTACCATTGTCATTGTCTGGTTTATTGAATTCTTATAATTTACTATGTACTCTTCTAAGCATGTCATAGGTAGTATCTCATTTAATCATTATATCAGTCTCAGCCCCAGGAGACTGTTATTATTCCTATTTTGCAGATTATAGAGAAGTGATGATTGATAGAGGTTAAATAAATTTTACATCACCAGACAACTAGTGGGATTTGAATGTAAGCCTGTGACTTCAAAGTCTATACTAAGTTTACTGTACTTTGCTTTAACAGTAATTAAATCTAGTTATTTTTTATTTTTGTTTTCTTTGTGTGTATATGTGTATGTGTGTATGTATATACATAGTAATACATCTTATGTTTTGTTATTTCTACCTGTAGGGCAAACTTAGTAATTCAATGTGAGAACTGGTGGAATTTAGCTAAGCAGTTTGCAAGCCGAAGCCCACCTCTTAATTTCTTGTCAAGTCCTGTGCAGAGGACATTGATGAAGGCTCTAGTCTTAGGAGGTTTTGCACATATGGACACAGAAACCAAACAGCAGTATTGGACAGAGGTAACAGTGCTGTCTATTTTGATTGCACCCTTTTGTGTAACTCTGTAGTTCCTTTATCTATGCGTTGCCGTAAGAGTCTCTGGAGACATAAATGTATCAGTCATAGCTTTTCTTTCTTTCTTTCTTTCTTTTTTTTTTTTTTCTGAGATAGGGTCTTACTCTGTTGCCCAGGCTGGAGTACAGTGGTGCAGTCTCAGCTCATTGCAGCCTCTACCTCCCAGGTTCAAGCGATTCTCCTGCCTCAGCCTCCCAAGTGGCTGGGACTACAGACTCATGCCACCATACCCAGCTAATTTTTGTTTTTTTTAGTAGAGACGGGCTTTTGCCATGTTGGCCAGGCTGGTCTCGAACTCCTGGCCTCAAGCAATCTGCCCGCCTTGGCCTCCCAAAGTGCTGGGATTACAGATGTGACCAGCCACTGTGCCCGGCCCAGTCATAGCTTTTCTGATATTTTTTCTCCTAATGAATGGGTTGAAGCTTCTTATTTTACAAATGTTGTCTTATAATTTTTCTGTACCTGCCTGTGTGTGATGACATTGAATATTATCAAGTGTTCTGCATTTTAGGCACATTTTTCACAACTCAGTCGAGAGCATGGACTGGCTTATTAAATTTTCATTAGGGATCAGGGAAATATTCTCCTGTCTTGAATAAGATGCAGATTAACCATGATATTCATTTCCTAGGGCTGCTCTAACAAAATACCACAACAGAAATTTGTTTTCTCCTACTTCTGGAGGCTAGAAGTCCAAGCTATAAGGTGTCCATGGGATTTGTTCTTTCTGAAGGCTATGAGGGAAAATCTGTAGCCTCTGGTAGCTTGCTGGCAGTCTTTGGCATTCCTTGATTTGTAAACGCATCACCCTGATCCCTGCCTTCATCTTCACATGCTCCCCCTGTGTGTGTCTGCATCCACACTTCCCCTTTCTATATCAGTTATATTGAACTAGGGGCCCACCCTATTCCGGTATGACCTCATCTGAACTAATTACATCTATGACAACCCTATTTTCTTTTTTTTTGAGACGGAGTCTTGCTCTGTCACTCAGGCTGGAGTGCAGTGGTGTGATCTTGGCTCACTGCAACCTCCACCTCCTGGGTCAAGCGACTCTCCTGTCTCAGCCTCCTAAGTAGGTGGGATTACAGGTGCGCACCACCATGCCTGGCTAATTTTTGTATTTTTAGTAGAGACGGGGTTTTGCCATGTTGGCCAGGCTGGTCTCCTGACCTCAAGTGATCCGCCCACCTCAGCCTTCCAAAACGTTGGGATTACAGGTGTGAGCCACTGCATCCGGCCAACTCTATTATCAAATAAGTTCATATCCTGGGGTTTGGATTTCCACATATGAGTTTTTGAGGAACACAGTTTGACCCATAACAACAACCATGGGCACATTATTTAATAGGCTTTAAATCAAGGGCCAAGAGTTGCCAGTGTGTGTAGGTTGCCAGCCTGCAGTCCTTGTCTAGAGGGCCCTTAGTGTTTGAGAAGGGGCACAGTAATGGAATTAGGCAGTTGTTTGTGACTTCAAATCCAGGGGAAACCAGACTGACTAAGTATTTTTATTTTAAACAATTGTATTATCATATGGACAACTTAAAGTCGAATTAAGATACTGTCCTCTTGAATATGAGTACTCTTATATACAGGGCAGGACTGATTATCTGAAGTTACGTTCTGTGCCAAGAGGAATTAGGTAAAGGAAAAAGGAAAAAAACAGACAAGAACTTTGAATTGGGCTTCACTCTGTAGAGGTCGGCAAGCTGCAGCCCATGGGCCAAATGTGGCTTACTGTCTGATTTTGTAAACAAAGTTTTTTTTCCTTTTTGACTCATTACTTGGAAAGAGATGGAGGGAAATGGCAGAATTCTTTGAATGGCAGGGAGACAGTTATGTCCCATGCTTTGGGTGTTCTGGCTTTACATGAGCGGAAAGTTAGGATGACCCTCAAAATGGGGAGTGTAAAGTCTGGTTTAGATATTCTTTGTTATGTGCTTGTCCTGCCTCCAACAATTAGAAATGTTTTGGAAAGTGAATATGTATCCAAGCAGAGGAAATAAAGCATGAGAACTGAGCTTTAAGAAAATTCCTGGTTTATTTTTATAGGTTCTTCAGCCACTTCAGCAGCGATTCTTAAGAGTGATAAACCAAGAAAACTTCCAGCAGATGTGTCAGCAAGAGGAAGTCAAGCAGGAAATCACTGCCACACTAGAGGCCCTGTGTGGCATTGCTGAGGCTACCCAGATTGACAACGTAGCAATCCTGTTTAATTTTTTAATGGACTTCCTTACCAATTGCATTGGATTGATGGAAGTTTACAAGAATACCCCAGAGACTGTCAATCTCATTATAGAAGTTTTTGTTGAAGTTGCACATAAACAGATATGCTATCTTGGAGAGGTAAGCACTTTCTAATTTTATCCCCTCAGGATTAAAACTCTTTGAAGCTGTAATAAAATAATAGATCTTTGCTTAAAATTTGATTAGTATTATCTTAAATAATATTTTTATTCCTTCAAAAGATTTTTAAAAAAGATTTTTGAAAAGAACTTATAATTTAGAGAAAGTCATGTTGAATGAATGTAAATTTTTTTTTTAATTTCTTCTAAAAGGAAACAGGATACATATACAGAACGTTCAGATTTGTTACATAGGTATATGTATGCCATGGTGGTTTGCTGCACCTGAATATAAATTCTTGTCCTAAAATTTTGTTAGAAAAGGGGTAAAATTAAAAAAAATATACTCTTAATATATGCTTTCTAGAAATTATTGTTTTAATGTAGTTTAAAGCAAGAATTATTGCTACTGTTGGAATTCGGAGTTAATTTATATAGATTATATTTTAAAATTTTTTTAATGTCAGTGTACCAAGTAGCATAATTTGTGCATTTTTTTTTTTTTCAGTCCAAAGCTATGAACTTATATGAAGCCTGCCTTACTTTGTTGCAAGTGTATTCTAAGAATAATTTAGGGCGGCAAAGAATAGATGTTACAGCAGAAGAAGAGCAATACCAAGACCTGCTTCTCATTATGGAACTTCTTACTAACCTGCTGTCAAAAGAATTCATAGATTTCAGTGATACAGGTAAAATGTAACGTGATGGTTTTTAAACTTTGTTGTTATCCTCCTTTTTATTAAATCAAAGGATTGTTTTCTGTAAGAGACATCTCATGAGGAAATTCAATTTATGGAATAAATGAAAGAAGATCTTTGTGGTCAAAGTGAGGGTGAGGACCAGTGGCCCTCCTGCTTGCCTTTCCTCTTGTAAGAATAATAGAAATAGTATCTCTCATTCATTGAGATCTTACTAAATGCCATGCACTGTTCTTACCTCTCACAATGGTATGAAGTCAATCCCATTGTTATTCTCACTTTATAGATGAGGAAACAGAAGCACAGAGAGCTTAAGTCACTTGGCCACAGATACTTAGCCAGGACTGGGATTCAAATCCCAGCCTGTGACTCCAGATGCCAGTCTCTTCAGAGTTACACTTCCTGACTAATCACTTCTCCATGTTCCTCACGGTGGCCACCCCAGAAACCCTAGCACTTTCCAGAGTGTGGCTTGGAAAGCCCTGTTGGTGTAGGAAGCACTCTCTCTGGAGTTAACAGCCCACACTTTGAAGACCTAGCCTAGTGTCTCACCTACAGTATGATGTGAGGGGAGTTGATTAGCCTACCTGTGTCTTTACTAGCTGGTCAAATGGGTATGATAATAAATACCTTTCAGTGTGTTTGAAGGATCAGCTGTAAAGTGTCTTTGGTGCCTAGCATTGTGTCTGACAATCAGTAGGTAAAAGATAGTTGCTGTTACAGGCAAGAACCTGATCAGTAATTTAAACCTCATATATGTGTATAGTTTTCAGTGCTGTAGAGTTCACTCCCCTCCTATCTCACTGCCAACCTTGACTTCAAACAAAATGGATCCTGTTTCATGACAGAAAAATGAATCATATCTAGCCTCTCCTATTATATGTTGTGCAGACACGTGTGGTAGTGGACATTTTTGGCTTCTTCCTTGTAAGATTCTCTTTCTAAGTTGGGTGCTATAATATCCACTTGACTTATTTATCCCAATCCTTGAGATTGTTCTGTTTCCTTAATTTTTTCGTATTCCTTATTCACTGGACCATGTCTTTTTTTTTTTTTTTTAAATTCTTGGGCAACGGTTTTTCCAATATCTGCCCTGAGCTAGGTACCATCAACTTCACAGTGTAGAAGGTTTACTCTTTATTTTTTTTGCAGTTAACTAGGGGTACCAAGGTGAGATAGTCTGAAAAGCACTGTACAAATTCACTTTTCCTCAGTGAATTCTTTCTGGTCTGTTTTTAGGCCCAGCCTTTCACCCAAGTTTTCTAACTTTCTTCAGGTCAGTTCTGCTTAATCCAGGAGTTCTTAACTTTTTCTTTCTTTCCTTGTTGTTGTTTGAGAGGCAGGGTCTCCCTCTGTCATCCAGGCTAGAGTGCAGTCGCATGGTCACAGCTCTGTGCAGCCTCAACCTCAGGCTTAAACTATTCTCCCACCTTAACCTCCCAGAGTGCTGGGATTACAGGTGTGAGCCACTGTGCCCAGCATTCTTAACCTCTTACTAATACAGTATTAGTTGGTTCATGGACTCCTGGAAACTCTTCTATACATTTTCCAGGTGTGTCAGGAACCCAGGTTAAGAATCTTGTCCCCAGAGGAATCTGTAACTAAATGTTAGGACCCAGAGCTAAAACATGTATATGTTTAGATGATTTACTGTCATGATTACTCTGTGTATCATAAATCAGCTCATTGTTTCAATTTTTTCATTTCTAGAAATAGTATCATCATTTTCTTGGATTCTTATTCTATGCCCCCACTCAGGCCCCATCGCAGACCTACTAACTCTAGAAATCTATATTTTGACTAAGTTTCCTAGTTGTTTCTGACATACTACCAGATTTGTCTTATTTTCAGAATAATTTTCCTAAAATAGTGATTCCATCGTGTTTCCTACCTACTTAAGTACTACAGTAGATCCCAGCGCTGGGCAGCGTTAATAAGAGAAAGGAGAAGGGACAGTCCACATTTCTAGAATATTCTATAATCCTATCAAAAAAGGAAGGATTATAATAGAAGTAAACATTTAGAGAAATGATTGTGGAGCTGTGGCCAGTTTTTAGAATCTTCCATCTTCTTCCTACCTTGAAGGCCCCTTTAGGAAATCAGAACTGCCTCTCTGCTTCCTTACTGGACTCTAGATGGAGGATCCTCCCCCAGCACAGCCTTCCTGAGTTTTTCTTTGAGTAACATAATTTCTGTACGACTTGCCCTGGACCCAGTAGGACTTGTACCAACAATAAGGGATAGCCATTAATATTTTTGGAATATTTTTTCACCTGGGAGTCTTCTTTGGTTAAGGGTGAAATGTTTCAGATCATTTACATTGAAAGGGCAGGGGATAAAAAATTAGCCAGGCATGGTGGTGGTGGGCACCTGTAGTCCCAGCTACTCTGGAGGCTGAGGCAGGAGAATGGCGTGAACCAGGGAGGCGGAGCTTGCAGTGAGCCGAGATTGTGCTACAGCACTCCAGCCTGAGTGACAGAGCCAGACTCTGTTTCAATCAATCAGTCAATCAGTCAATAAGAAAGGGCAGGGGGGCTATTAAGGTGTTTGAAGACAATCTCCCAGGTTTATGGTGCAGCTGCACTTCCTCCCATCTGCCATTCTAAGAACAAATTGTAGAGCAAACAATAAAGCTAAGCATTTGAAGGAGAGATTTTCAAAATAAAAGCAGCGAAAAGATTAAAGTCATAATAAGGTTAAGAAAAGAAATTGATGCTATAATGCTCAGGCTAGACAAAACAAAATAGGGGTAAAAAGAATAAAACGAGTATGTAGGGTTGAAATTCAGAAGAAACAAAAATGAAGGCAAAGTAGAAAATTATAAGGAAACATCTTTGGCACATCAGGCAAATGGATGGTAAAAAGGAAGAGAATATTTTATTTAAAAATAAAGATAATAGCTGAAACAAAATATAAAATATTCTAAATATTGTAAAACAAAGTTAATGGACTAGGTGAGATATTAAAAGCATAACTGCGCCGGGTGTGGTGGCTCACGCCTGTAATCCCAGCACTTTGGGAGGCTGAGGCGGGTGGATCACCTAAGGTCAAGAGTTTGAGACTAGCCAGGCCAACATGGAGAAACCCCGTCTCTACTAAAAATACAAAAAAATTAGCCGGGCATGGTGGTGCATGCCTGTAATCCCAGCTACTCAGGAAGCTAAGGCAGGAGAATCGCTTGAACCTGGGAAGAGAGGAGGTTGCAGTGAGCTGAGATTGTGCCATTGCACTCCAGCCTGGGCAACAAGAGCGGAACTCCAGCTCAAAAAATATTAATAATAATTAATAAATAATAAAAGCATAACTGGAAACTGGCATCTGACTTTTTTTTTTTTTTTTTTTTGTGAGACAGAGTTTTACTTTTGTTGCCCAGGCTGGAGTGCAATGGCGCGACCTTGGCTCACAGCAGCCTCCACCTCAGCCTTACGAGTAGCTGGGATTATAGGAACCCGCCACCAGGCCTGGCTAATTTGTTTGTTTATTTGTTTGTTTGTTTTTGAGACAGCGTCTCGCTCTGTCACCCAGGCTGGACTGCGGTGGCGCCATCTTGGCTCACTGCAACCTCTGCCTCCTCGGTTCAAGTGATTTTCCTCCCTCAGCCTCCCAAGTACCTGGGACTATAGGTGCCCGCCTTTTTTAGCAGATACTATGTTTCACTATGTTGGCCAGGCTGGTCTTAAACTCCTGACCTCGTGATCCGCCTGTCTCACCCTCCCAGAGTGCTGAGATTACAGGAGTGAGCCACCGTGCCCAGCCCAGGCCTGGCTAATTTTTTGTATTTTTAGTAGAGATGGGGTTTTGCCATGTTGGCCGGGCTGGTCTCGAACTCCTGGCCTCAGGGGATCTGCCCACCTCAGCCTCCCGAAGTGCTGGGATTACTGCGCCTGGCCTTGACATTCTTTAACGTGGTATCCGACCTGCTTTCTTGACTCCTTAGCAGAGCACATGGTTAGAGACTGAGCCCTCTTGGAGCCCATGATGGGTCAGCCTTTGCCGGCTCTGAGAGACGTGTCTTCTTGGCAGATACCTGGAGCAGGGAGTCAAGCTCTAGTACCAGCCTTCTGCTCCAGAGCAGGCTGGGGTTCCTTGGGTAGAATCCAGGCTTACCAGTATGATGTGCAGGGAACATTTGGTGACTCCTGCTTTAACACAGGAGATTCTTCCAACCAGAACAAAGATTCCAGGGGAGAAGTTCAGCGTTAGGCTTAACAAGTGGATTTTAAGTAGACACATATCCCTCATTTGATCTTTTTGTTGTTATAAGAAATATGCCCTTAATAGAAAAAAATTGTAAATATAGAGACAGAAAAATCATGCTTACTTTTGGACACCATCCAGAGTCAACTATACATTGCATTTTAGGAATTTCTGTTTTTGTTATTTTTGTCCAATTTTCTTTGTGATCGTGCTCTAAATACAAGTTTGTTTTTATTTTGCTTTTACTCCTGGCAAGCTGCGAACTAAATTCAATTTTATATTCTGTCGTTTTGTTTAATGTAGTGTTAACCTTTCCCTTGTCATTAGAATCTGTGATGATATTTTTAATGGTTATGTGGCATTCCACATTTTGGAATTTAGCCTGTTTCCTAATATTGGACATCTGGAATGTTTACCTTTTTCCTCTTATAAATGGTGATGCAGTGATCATTTCTGTGGACAAGGCTGTCTGAATTTCTGATTATATCCTTAATAGATAGAATTCTCAAAATGGTCTTAATATATTGCTTTTGAGGTTAACCACATTTCATCCTTACTGGCAATGAAATGTTATCATTTTTACAAATTATTTTTAATGTAATGAATCAGAAGTAGTATCTTTTTAAAATTTGTATTGCTTGATTAATAGTTGGAATGGACTGTTTTCCTTTAGAGTCAGACTTTGATAAACGTTTGTTTAGAGATGTTAATTTATCTGTTTAGGTCTTAGTATTCTCATTAATTTATATATATATATAATTCATATGTATTAAGAATGATAACCCTTTGTCATATTGGTTGTTCTTTTTTAAACTACTTTCTTTTTTATGTAACATTTTAATTTCTGTATTTCTCGCATTCCTTTTAAGCTTAGAAATATTATACACACTTGAAATCAAATGGATATTTCTATAGAAATTGTTTAACTCATTATGGCTAGTATGCCAGTAGATTTTATATTTCAAAACATTGATTAAGCATTAGTTTTATTTCTAGACTGTCCCCTGCTCTTAACCTCCCCAATACTTCTGTATCAAGTACTCATATCCCCTAATAAAACTCAAAAGGATGACACAGGGCTGGGGTCTCAGATCTTTTTTTCACCCCTGGATGTGCTGTCTCCTCCATCCCCTCACCAGAGACCAGGCAGGACGAGGTCAGATTCTTTATTATTCACTCATTGATTTATTTAGCCTCTAGGGGTGAGTTTATTTTCATAAGGGTAGAATACACACTTGGAAGATTTATTGATGTTACCACCATAAGCCTGCATCCTTTTATTTTAATAGATGAAGTGTTTAGAGGACATGAGCCAGGTCAAGCAGCAAACAGATCTGTGTCAGCAGCGGATGTTGTGTTGTATGGAGTAAACCTAATTCTGCCCTTGATGTCACAGGATCTCTTGAAGGTAATTAATGAAATTGAATGTGAACATACCACTATGTGTAACTGAAGTTCAAAGATACTTTAGACAAGAATATATCTGTGATTTAATTTAGTAGTTGTATCTGCTAAGTGCACATGAAGATACAATTTTTGTATTTTCATTAACGGTTACTTGTGCATGCTTCTCAGTAACATGGGCCCTTACTTAGTCTCTGTTTCTGCCCCAAAGTCCTGCAGGCACCCATACATTAGTGACTCGTTTTGTCAGGGAGTGCTACAGAAAGGAGCCTGTCCTTTTAGAAAGTACATTCTGTTAGCAGTTTTGATTACCTCATAATTTGTCACTAAGGGAATAAAGTAAGTTAAAAGTTTCAGTGTTTTCCTCTGATACTTTCTGAACATCATTCTCAAGTTAAGGGATTGAGCAAAGGAAGGCATTTTCCAAGGGGCACCATGTAAAAATGGGATGGTATGCTTCCAAGACTGATGCTGTTTTAAAGTTTTTGCACATTCTGACTACATTATGCCTTGGTTTTGTCAGTTAATATTGAGGGTGTGGTGGCGGTGAGGCAACTTTTTTCTACCATCCGTAAGTACCACAGAGGGAGGTCTCTTGTCATGAGTTGTCATAGCAGGATAAGGGTGGGGATGAGGACATGGGTGGAAAGGAAAGGAGGAGTTTGTGTGTGTATGTGCACATGTGCATGCATGCATGCGTGTGCACACACACACGAGATAAAGACAAGGAGTAGGAGGAAGTAAGATAGTAGAGGCTGGGCCGGGCGCAGTGGCTCACGCTTGTAATCCCAGCACTTTTGGAGGCCGAGGTGGGTGGATCACGAAGTCAGGAGATCGAGACCATCCTGGCTAACATGGTGAAACCCCGCCTCTACTAAAAATACACACACACACACACAAAAAAAAAGCCGGGTGTGGTGGTGGGCGCCTGTAGTCCCAGCTACTCAGGAGGCTGAGGCAGGAGAATGGCGTGAACCCGGGAGGCGGAGCTTGCAGTGAGCCAAGATTGTGCCACTGCACTGCAGCCTAGGTGACAGAGCGAGACTCTGTCTCAAAAAAAAAAAAAAAAAGTAGAGGCTGAGAAGTGTCCAGAAGGTGAGTACATACGAGAAGAATGAGTCCTGTTTGATTGCCAGCATAGCAGGATCTAACCGTGTGCTTCCCCCTCCTTGAGAGCGTCTCTAACTATTGGAAACAATGTTGATGACCCATGGCATTCACACAGCAGCCAGCCAGCAGGATGAGGAAGTTTAGTCAACTCTCCATATTGATTTGCATTTAGGGTTTGTTTAAACAAATAAGCCATTAAACATTTAAGTGTGTATTTTTCTTAAGTGTGGTTAAACCAGATTACTTACTTTTACCTCAGTTCTCTAGGATAGTACAACTGGAAAAATGTTTTTGGAAGTGTAAAGACCGAATACTCTGCTCTGTGCATAGTCTTAACAATTTGTATTAACCTTCTTGAATTTTTTCAGCATGCTTGAATGGAAATACATTTACAAAAAGGTTTTACTCCTAAGTTATTTAATAATTTTAAATCTGGCTGCCTTGTTTACTTTTTCCGGGTAAACACAGAATATCAGGAATTGACCTTAGATTTTATTAACTATCTAGAAGATAATTGTTTTGACTGTCTGTTACTTTGTTTCATAGTAGTTACTAAAATATGCCCTTTATTTGTACCTGTTTTTACATTTAATTTGGTCTTCATGTTTTCTATATCTTGTACATGTTTTAAAGAAATCATTATATTTAGAAGCTTGTCAGTTACTTTATTTTATTGCATTGATGAAAATAGAAATTGGATACTAATGAGCATCCAAATAATTGAATATTTCTTTTTCAGTTTCCAACCCTTTGTAATCAGTACTACAAATTAATCACATTTATCTGTGAGATTTTTCCTGAAAAAATACCACAGCTTCCTGAGGATCTGTTTAAAAGTCTGATGTACTCCCTAGAATTAGGAATGACATCATATCCTTTAAATGAACATCACTGTTACTTGTTACTTGGGGAAAAAGATCTTCCTTTAAAGAAAAGTTTTTTAAGTTTACATTTTTCATTTTTCTTTTATGGTTCAATTTTATTTCTTAAAAAACCCTGGGCCAGGCACGGTGGCTCACACCTGTAATTCCAGCACTTTGGGAGGCCGAGGCGGGTGGATCACCTGAGGTCAGGAGTTCGAGACCAGCCTGGCCAACACAGTGAAACCCTGTCTCTAATAAAAGTACAAAAAATTAGCTGGGCGTGGTGGCAGGTGCCTGTGATCCTAGCTACTCGGGAGGCTGAGGCAGGAGTATCGCTTGAACCCGGGAGGCGGAGGTGGCAGTGAGCCGAGATTGCGCCATTGCACTCCAGCCTGGGCAACAAGAGTGAAACTCCATCTCAAAAAAAAAAAAAAACAAAAAAACAAAAAACTGTCACCTCTGTAACTGCTCTATTTCTGTGTTTCTTTCGTTAGTTTGCCTCGTCCTGTCCTCCTTTCATAGATCTCTGAGGCATTCAGTCCCTGGTTCCAGAAGTTACCCCTTCATCAGGGTCCCATTAGTAATGTTGAGCTGGGTCTCTGGTCTTAGCTCTGATTGTAGAGAATAATATGACTTTTTAATAAGTTGTATGTATCGTAAACTGAAACAAGCTATACATCACCAGGCTCAAACCCAAAAACCTTATAGGCAATCTGAAAAACACTGGAAATCTTCTTTCCTTATATAACTCAGTGAAGATATTGCCCATGAGTCTACTTGTGTATCTGTATTCATTTCTAGAAACACTCATCCATTTAATACTAGCTATAATTTTTTTATCTTTTATAAATCGAATATATCCAATCTAGTTTGTTCTTTGACCTTCATGATCAGAATGAGTTCGGAGGTTTGCCAGCTTTGCCTGGAGGCCTTGACACCGTTAGCTGAACAGTGTGCAAAAGCACAAGAAACAGACTCACCACTTTTTCTAGCAACACGGCACTTTCTTAAGGTAAGATGTCTGTGCGGTAGGTCAGAAAATCAGCTACTTTCAAAAGTGTGGTCGGTGCACATAATTCTGCATTCAAATGAGGAAATGCTTCCATTCTTTCGGGGGCAAGGAAACCATGACTTCCTGTTCACTGTTTTTTTCTGGAGATCAGCTCTTCATGGACACATTCTCATCCTCTATTTTTTGTGTTCTTGGAAATTGATGTGGTACACATTGAGGGAATTTGATATTGTTGATTATTCAGATACCACAGCAAGTAGCAATATCTGTAAGGTATTTTTTTTAAAACATTAAGGAAAATTTCAGATTGATTTAATAAATAGAATAACAACCAACCCTCTCTTCTTCTTTTTTGGACTGGGGAGGGACTGGAGGATATATGATCATCCTATGTTTTTATTTAGAAGTCTTATGTAATTTCAGCTGGTTTTTGATATGCTGGTTTTGCAAAAGCACAACACAGAGATGACCACTGCGGCTGGCGAAGCTTTCTACACGTTGGTGTGTTTGCACCAGGTACTGGACATGCCTCTTTTCAGGGGACTCTTCTCATTCTATTTTGCAAAGAGATTGTTGAGATAGATGGTGGGTCATTAATCCCCCCTTATAGGATCTGTGACTCAGTGCTTCAGTTCTGTTTCAGTGAGGAAGTATTTCTTAGCTTCTTTATTAGCTTTCACATGTCAGTTTGTGTTTATCTGACAGCTGTTTGTCAGTTCAAAGCATTTATTTTTTGTCCTCCACCATTATGAACCATCCTTTGCAATGGTCACTGCCCCAAAGCCTGTCCTTAAACAACTGTGCTAGGAATGAGGAATACATAATGGGTGTGTGAAGAACTCATGGTTTTTTGTAAGGGAGACAGGATGGCAGACAAGGAAGAGTCTGCCTTCAGACAGTATGGAAGACAGTATTTTATTGCATATTATAGAAAACAGTATATTATTTCATTTTGTTGATCTTTTAAAGATTCTGAAGCATCACTGATAATGGGGTTAATAGAAGAGTTAGGCTAGCTTACCTGTCTCCCCACTTCTGATCGAATAGGTGCCTGTGAAATTTATGAAAAGGACCGTATTGAACAGTTTGCTGCCTCTGTTTCCCCTTTTCCTCTCCCATGCATATATATACACACATATATATGTAAGGTACATATATATATATATATATATACACACACACGTATATATATATATACCTCCCAGCATGGCCAAGAAGCTTTGGCGTTTTATTTCCATCTTTAAAAAAGGGTTTAGAGGAGGTCTTCCATACTATTTAAAGACCTCCTTTCTCTAGACTTCCCGTAACATCTGTGCCCTAAGCTGAAGGTGCCCTGGGGCTTCATTTCTTGCTCTCTGCCCTAGGCTGCCACTTCCTGCAGGTGGTACCTGCTCTCAAATCTGTGCCCTTTCTCTGTCATTTGTCTTACTTGTTGCTTACTAGCAAGGTAGTCGTCTTGTCTGATCCTTCCTTCCTTCCTTCCTTCCTTCCTTCCTTCCTTCCTCTCTTTTTCTTTTCTTTTTTCTATCTTTTTCTTTCATTTTTCTTTTCTTTCCTTTCTTCCTTCCTTCCTCCCTCCTCTTTCTTTCTTTCTCCCTCCCTCCCTCCCTCCTTTCCTCCCCCGTTCCCTTCCACCCTCTTGTCTCTTCCTCCCTTCCTTTCTTCCTTCCTTCCTTCTCTTCCTTTATTTCTCTCTCTCCCTCTCTTTTAACATATTTACACACTGCAGGAAAGAGCAGGTTTCAGGAATGGCCAGTATGATACTTGCTGCCTGGCCCCAGAGGCTCTACTATCTCGCTTTTTTTTTTTTTCTGAGACAGGGTCTCACTTTATTATTACCCAGGCTGGAGTGCAGTGGTGCAATTACTGCTAACTCCTGCCTCGGCCTCCTGGCCTCAAGCAATCCTCCCGCCTCAGCTCCCCAAGTAGCTGGGACTACAGGTGTGCACCACCACACCTGGCTTATTTTTTGTAGAGACGGAGTTTCACCATGTTGCCCAGGCTTGTATCGAACTCCTGAACTTAAGCAATCCACTCGCCTCGGCCTCCCAAAGTGCCTAGGATTACAGGTGTGAGCCACCATGCCTTGCCACCTCTACCATTTCTCATGAGTAGGGAAATGATAGGAGATTATACTTGGTCCCCTGTGAACAGGACTGTCCCTTTGATAAGGCAATTAGGGGAGCCACTCTGGCTCCATGGTTGGGGATTGGGATGCTGCACCTTATCCTTCTTTTCCAAATGTAATTAACATTTGGTTTCACCATTTTGGTCTATCATGATATCCCAAGAAGCCAATGAAAAATTACAGCATGCCAGGTGCAGTGGCTCATGCTTGTAATTTTTGCACTTTGGGAGACCAAGGTGGGTGGATTGATTGAGGCTGGGAGCTTGAGACCAGCCTGCTCAACATTGCAGAACCCTGTCCCTACTAAAAATTCAAAAATTAGCCAGGGATGGTGGTGCATGCCTGTAGTCCCAGGCTCTTAGGAGGCTGAGGTAGGAGGATCACTTGAACCCAGGAAACAGAGGTTGCAGTGAGACAGGATCTCACTCTGTTGCCCAGGCTGGAGTGCAGTGGAGCAACCATGGCTCACTGCAGCCTCAACCTCTTGGGCTCAAGCGATCTCCCATCTCAGCCTCCCAAGTAGCTGGGACTACAGCTGTGCACCACCACAACTGCCTAATTTTTAAATTTTTTGTAGAGGTGGGATCTCACTGTGTTGCTCAGGCTGGTCTCAAATTCCCGGGCTCAAACAGTCATCCCTCCTCAGCCTCCCAAAGTGCTGGCATTAAAGGCCTGAGCCACTATGCTTGGCCAGGCCAGCTTTTTTTGAGAGCTTACCTCTGTCCTGGTTGAATTTCCCTTAAGCCCACACCTTCTTCCACTTTCCTTTATAAGGCTTTATAATAGAGTATTAAAAACAGAAAATTTCCCATATTCCTATATTTACTAAAGTCCTCTTCCTGCCCTTTCTCTAAGAGCTGCTGGGCACAGTGCTGGTTTGGAGCTTTCAGAGTGCCCTGCTCCACTTGGAGAAGGCACTGGAATATATTTCTCCGCCCCGTCCTCCCAAAAGACTCCTGCCTGTCCTGTCTTTGTGCACATTGCTGTCCTCAGAACTGGGTGGACCAGATATCTCTATTAACCTCTGGGGAACTATTGCAGACTTAGATTATGTGTCAAACGCAACATAAATAGGAATAATGTGCTTTGAAGAGGCAGCACAACAAAGTTGATTATCACATGGGTCTTGGGGCTAGATTGGTGGACTCTTGCTTGATCTGGGCCATATCACTTCACCTCACTGAGTGTCGAAACCTTCACCTCTGGAATGGGAATAGAAACAGTACCTGTCTCGAAGCATTGTTGTAAATGATAGATGAATTAATCCATGTAAAAGGTTTTCAAACAGTAGTACTTAAATGCTGAATTATTCTAAATGTTAACTCTTAAAAATGTGTCCCTGCCTTTTAGAACCCCACAGTCCAGTAACTGATAAGATCTACTTGTATGATATTCTAAGGAGGATACTTGTGTATACTTTATCTCTTCAATAGGCTGAATATTCTGAACTGGTCGAAACATTACTATCAAGTCAGCAAGACCCAGTTATTTACCAGAGATTAGCAGATGCCTTCAACAAGCTCACTGCAAGCAGCACTCCTCCTACGCTGGATCGGAAGCAGAAGATGGCCTTCTTAAAGAGTTTAGAAGAATTTATGGCAAATGTTGGTGGTCTCCTTTGTGTAAAATAAACAACAGAACTTTATGCTTAATTTAGATCCTTTCTGCAAAGTGCACTGAATTGCTGAAAGTTGACTTGAGTCTTGTCCTATTCCTCAGTTCATTTGGCCATTTTGGATTTTGGAGAGCCTGAAACTTTGATATGTATGTAATACAGTGAAACAGGAGAGGTCAACTTGGCATCAGCTTCTGCTGTTAAGTGTTAGCCACAATCTGTCATATATATGTCTTTTAGATTCTGAATGGTGATTTAAAATTTTCAAAATGAAATTCCATATATGTGCAAACAGATATGGGCACCACGAAATACATATGCAGTGCCTTTTTTCCTTTTAACATAGGTGGCTAGCCAAAGTTTAGAATTTTTGTCATTAAATATGAAATGGATATATGCTAGGCAGTGTTTCTCAAAATCTCCATAGATCGCCTGCATCACTTGAGGAGCTGGTGAAAAGGCAGATTCTTAGGCCCAACTGTAGACCTTCAGAGTCAGAATGTCTGGTTGTTGGGCCCAGGAGTCTTCATGTTAATAAGCTTCTCCCTTTCGTCACCCCAAAAGTTTTGAATCAATGAAAGAGACATTGAAAACTCTTAAGAGGTTTTGTGCTTTCTAGCTTTTCCTCCCTTTGATGATTGGGTTTTATAATTCAGCAGGAAGGGGAAACATCACCAGGGGTTTGTTGGCTTTTTCTTAGCTTGCTTTCTTGCTTGCTTGCTTTCTTGCTTTTCTTGCTTTCTGTCTCTCTCTTTCTTTTCTCTCTCTCTCTCACATCAACCCAGTGCTGCAGGTTTTGTGTAATACAAGTCACTAATCATACTCTGATGCCTGAACTTGAGGAGGAAAATACATGTATATTTTTGTTCCGTAAAAATAACCTTAGGAACTGTAGCCATTTCATTGCCTTAATTTTAAGAGGAAAATACAAAAACAGCTGATTTGTTTTAGTAAGAAACCACGTCTTGATGCTTCAGAGTTGGTTTAGGGTGTTAGCTGCTATGAACCTGTTGCCCCTTTCGATCGTGTATTTATGTAGGTTTATCAGTGAAATGAAAGGCTTGTTTCCGTCTAGTCTAACTTTTTGAGTGTGTTTCTATCCAGCCACATAGCCCATATCTACTCTAAATGGCTTGCTTAAGCAATAATTATTTTAAAGGATGTGAATCACTGATTCACACAGACTATTGCACGTTGGGGCATTAGGGGCAATAATTCTTATCCAGACATGGGAGCCAGTGAATTTAATTTCAGAGATTAAAAATTCACTTTAGATCCTCTAGTTTGATCTCTTAATCAGGATTTTTATACAGCTGCCAGGCTCCCCTAATTCAGTGTGCCAGCTTACAATGTGGAAATGAAAGCTAATTTATACACAGCAGGCATATGAAACTCCACTCATTGCAGTACTTTCACAGCACAGTGACAGGTAGAGGACTCTGGCACAGGTGCACTCATGAAACTCTGCTTCCACCATGTTCCTGACACCTATCTATTAAACCATTCTGCAAATACGGTTTTTCTACCTGATTGCATATAGCATATGTGTCATTACATGTGATGCTGTGCAAAACTTTGTATAATTCTGTGTTATTAACAGTTAACAAAACTGGAGCATCTGAATTACATCCAACCTGTGCATGTGATGTTAGGTAGATGTGAATGCAGGGCCTTGGGCCATAACTTACATTTCTCTCAATTTGATTAGCTTTGAGTCACAATTAAGGGGAAGCAAAAACATCTTGAAAAGACTGCTAGGAAGGAAATTAATATCAGTCATCCAGAAGTACACGTTTCTGTATTTTAAAAAATACTTTGATGCATTTATTTTTAGGTGTTTTTTTTTTCCCCTTAAAAAACTTGAAGTGATATGCAGCAGTAATCTATTTGTTTTGCATTGTTCTTGGTGTTTTGTGTTTCCCAGATCCCTCAAGCTTTCTCAGCTGTTGTGAATTATGTGTATCTGTGTGTGTGCTAAGTACAGTCTCTTTACCAAAGGGCACTGAAACACACAATTGACTGGACAGGTCCACGCGCCATGACAAAACTATAATCAAGTTATTAAAACTAAAGAGGAGTGGGAAAGGAATGCCTTGGTAAGTAAAAAGGCATCTATATTTAATAACTTTTATCCAGATGGCAACATATTTGCAAAATTTGCCCAGATCCTATTACAATACTAAAAATAGAAAATTTCACCTCCATATTCCTGAGGTGTAATTTCATTAGACTAGTTTTAGTTTAAAAAGACCTTCTTCAGATTGGACCAAATAATACTTATAAGATCAGCAGAATGTTGAATATTAGCTCACTGGGGTGGGGAGAAGCCACTACCATTTTTTAGGTGATGGGGATGCCACTGAGTTGCAACGGCTAGACCTTTTCAGGGTGGTTGTGTCCATGTTTGCCTGATTGGATGCTTATTCACTTTGTGTTTTCTTTTGTTTTATTTTGTCCAATTTTGTCTTTAGCTGTGTTTATTAACTTCTCCGGTCTTGTTTTGTTTTAATGCTCTTGGCCCAGTGGGTGTCAAGAACACTGGCTTAATTCAAGTCAGTTGATTTTTTTTCTATTAAAACTGTTGTTAAAATATTTTTTAAAACAAAAACATTATTTGTGCCCTCTTTTATATATGTCAAAGGGACACTGTCAAGTATTTCATTTTTAGATTTTTGTTTTATAAAATTTCTGTTGTTCATATAGTATCCTTTAACCTCTAGTTTTCCATACATCCTTTGTTTGTTTCTCATTTTATTTTCCTTGACCCATTTATTTCCCAAGGCACAATCACTAAAGACTTTGTACTTTCACAGTCTGTTAATGTGGTAGCACCTGTAACTGTGTTCTTGTTCTGTTAAAAGGATTGATTTGCTTTTATAGTCCTTGTGCTGGATGAGTGGCTGCCTCAGTAGCAAAACTACCTGACAGTATTTGACAGTGTCCTTTCCAGCACCATTATTTGGGTCTTTCAGGGTGGCCATCTCTGTTAGAAGACAGTAGCATGTTAACATCACTGCATTGAGTTTTTGTCTGGTGTAAAGTATGACTTTTAATGTAAACAAACTGCAGGTTTTTTTCAAACTAATTTTAAGAATTTAGTCTTATTTCGTTGTAAACTGTGTATCTAATTATATTACATTACTCTGTTCAGATGGGATGGTTACTACCACTTGTCCATGATTTTCATTTGAAAAGCAAGTATCTATATCATTTCCCCCCAGTCAGCATTATTTAACACTCCCCTTAACTGTCTTTGAACTTTCTCTTTTAACAAAAATGTCAAGTCTTTATAGTTGTAATATCACCATGTTTCCCATTTCTGTTAATACTTCTATGAACCCCTAAAGTATTGAAGGGAACTAGCTGTCAGTTTCAAGGATTACAAGTTTGAGTCTCCTAGTATTCAACATCATTCTGAACCCTGAAATAATATTTTTCTCTGTTAAACAATTTTTATCTGTTTGCCACCTCTGTTGTTAGAGGTGGTTGTCAATTGACCTTACTAAGTTAGCTGTCTTTGATGAGGAATTATTGTTATTGGTTCCTGAATAAAACATTAACCTTTTAAGTCAGAAGGAACCTCGGTACTTCTTAAGGTTTGTTTGTGTTTTCTAAAACCAGAGAATAAGGAACTGATTTGGCTATGAGGTTTAACATTATAATTTTCTGTAAGCTTTCCCACAAAAAAACATTGTTGATTTGAGGATATAATAATGTTTTAATCTTTTTAAAATATAAGTGGTTATTCTCTGACTTGGTAACTATGTTCTGAAAACACTGCATTTAAGAATTTTTAAAAATTGGTTTTCTAAAATTAAAATGTCCAAATTAGGCATATTGCTGAGCTCAAATTGATGTGAAATGCCATGGTTCCAGTTGAATTTTAAGCATATTTTCATTTAGATATAAAATATATGAAGTATGCTTTGTTGATTATAGTGAGAACCCATGACATAGTTAACCAAAGAATATGTTTGGTTCAAATAAAAATAGAAGCTTAATACTGGGCATTCATACTTTTTAAAGAGAATGAATGAAGAAATCGGTTTCCTGCTGTAGTTCTCTATGGGTAAGTCTTAGTAAAGACGAGAATGCTGAAGTCGGCCGTGGCGATTCCCTCCTAGGAACTGGGAGGTGTGGCTTGCCCATTACCCGCTTGAAGCTCACATCTTTACCCTCCTCTCCCACTGTGGTTTGATCTTCACCTATTCCCAGGCCCTCCCAGCAATTGGAGAGGTGTCTTTTTTTTTGGTTTTGGTTTTTTTTCTCCCCGTCTGCATTCTTAGGCCTCTTAGCTATTAGGAACTGTCAGATACATACTAGTAGCTAATTTTCCTAGCCTGAAATTATATACTGCATCTGCACTATGTACCTACTAGGGATCTGACCTCAAGTGTTTTCTGAGCCCAGGCTTCCTGGTGTGGTGTCTTTTACCACATAAAATTATTACAAATTGCAAATGTTGGTATTGTGATTTGATTATCTGTACAAAGAAAGAAGCTCTATGCAGTGAGTTTGTGGTTTAATGGTCACAAAAATGTTAGCACTGCTACCACTCAGCACGTGTAAAATTTTTTAAATTTATAAATATTAAAATTTTAAACTTACACTAAGACTTTTCAGTTTTATTTAAAGACCCAGGGATGAGTGTACTGTTTAAATATTTACCTCTATTAACATAACTAATGAAGGTATAAAATTGCATTTAGTTTTTCAGAAGATGCTGCAATATGATTTTAGGAAATAAGGCTATGTATTGAGCCAGTTATAGGCTGAATATCAGGTTGATAAAATTTTATTTGTATTTTTAAAATTCATAAATGGGAGTTAAAATGTGTCTTTTCACTAAATATTTTTATTACATTTTTGTTTTGACCATGTGTGATTTGTTCATGGGTATTTAGCTAGACTCTTTTATGAAATGCATTGAAATGGTGCTAGTTTGTTTACCATTATAGGAAGATTGACACTGGGGACATTACACGGTCCTAAAATAATTTTAAATTTAAAAAAATGAAGACATCTGTACAGATAAAAATCAAGATTTGCATCACCTTCTGGGAGAACCCGTGGTACTCACAGAATATCCAGTATTAGAAATATAAAAATTTTGTCTATATTTTATAATATTTATCTCAGCCCACAGTCTTAGAAACAGTTTCACAGTTACTAGTTAAGTCATTATCTTTGGTGCATATTTAGTAAATACTTTTAGCAAGTCATTCTTTTTGGCCTTTCAGGGAAAGTGGTGAATTACCATATTACTGTGTGCTAGATAGATCCACCCTTTGCCCAGTGTTAAATCTTGTAAACATATGAAGTGAAAAGTTAATTTTTAAAGAAAATGCATCTTTAAAATGTTCATTTTTAACCTGAATTTGCTTTGAATATTCTTTGATTTGTAATGTTGTTATTTAGCTTATATTGAGATTTATTCCACTCCAAAGGTGGATAAAGAAAAGTTGTTTAAGAAAACCAATTAGAGTGTATTTTGAATTTTTGTTTCTTTCATTACCAAGTGTGGGGCCATACACACAGGCTAATCATCTGTCATTTGAGACCCACAGATGATTTCAAAGGTCCCAAATAAATACACATCTATAACTGTTTTTTAAAAGACATCTTTAATGGTGCTCTCCAAAAATACAATTCGGTTGCTTATGAGTGATGCCTTTGACAGGCTGATTAGATTATAAAACAGTTTTGTTTTTTTAAACATAGGGTCTCAGATTGAGTCTTGTGCATTCTATGTAATCTCAAATGGCAGTTCAGTTTGACTTTCTTTTAAAACTAAGTGGAAATGGTATATTTGGTGAAACTAATGAAAGAATCTTTTGCTGGGAAATTCCATACAGCACCCCCAGCAGCATCCTGTCTCAGTCTGGCGTATAATTCAACCTCCTACTGAGTGTCCCTGTAAATTATTTTTAATATATAGCATGAGAGTGAACTGAGGTAAGTCATTGATGTTTCCCAGAGATGATGAATGAACAAAAGCAAATAGGATCTGCTAAACATTTTTATTCCCACAGTAGTGAGCAGTTTTGTTCTTGTTTTGATAATGTTCATTTCTGCCTAATCTTAGGCTTCAAATACACCTTTAAGAAAGCCCAAGATGTATTGAGTAGTAGAACTTCTTATTTGTACACCTGTTTATAACTGCACTGCCCTGGATGTTATGGTTATTTCTAAGGACTGACCTGGTAAAGCTACTTGAACTGGTAGACTGCAGGGTAGAGGCAGACCTAGATTCAATGTCTAACTAAGCTGCTTAGGGCTTACATTAATTTCCACAGGTCTGTTATCCATATCATGAGTTTATAAGTGTTCCTCCCAAAGAAAAAATTTAAAAGTGATGGATGAAATATAATAGTAGATGCTCAATAAATTCCATTGTATTTAAAGATTATTTCTGAAAACAGATTTCATTTCATTAGACAAATGTATCATAACACTAAGTCTGATACCTAATAGTCAATTGCTTTTAAATACATGCTGTAATATCTTCATATTGATACTACGTTATAGCCCTAACCACAACCACCCTAGGGATATTGGGGTAGACTTCACCATATTATTTACTGTACTTTTTTTTAAAAAATGAGAAAATGGATCTATTTATGTTAACTATCTTAGTCTGTTCTATTTAATTCAACTATCTTACTCTGTGCTATTAGAATACCTGAGACTGAAGAACAGAAACTTACTTCTTTCATTTCTGGAGGCTGCCCTTTGACTTCCATCATGTGGAAGAGGCAAGCAAGCCATCACCAGATGGTGGCGAGAGAGAATCAACTCCCTCCTTCAAGCCCCTTTGTAATGGGACCTAATTTTATTCATTAGGGAGGAACTCTCTTGGCCTAATCACCTCTTAAAGGCCCCACCTCTTCATACTGGCACATTGGCAACAATTGAATTTTGCAAGGGAGCTATTCAAACCACAGCAACAAGGATTTTATTTTCTGCTGAATAGGCACCTATTATTTCTACAACAATGAAAAAATCCTGGCCGGGCGCGCGGTGGCTGACGCCTGTAATCCCAGCACTTTGGGAGGCTGAGGCGGGCGGATCACGAGGTCAGGAGATCGAGACCACCCTAGCTAACACGGTGAAACCCTGTCTCTACTAAAAATACAAAAAAAAAAAACAAAAAGCTGGGCGTGGTGGCGGGCAGCTGTGGTCCCAGCTACTCGGGAGGCTGAGGCAGGAAAATGGCGTGAACCCGGGAGGCGGAGCTTGCAGTGAGCCGAGATCGCGCCACTGCACTCCAGCCTGGGCGACAGAGCGAGACTCCGTCTCAAAAAAAAAAAAAAAAAAAAATCCTAACGGTGATTCCCAAAGTGAGTTTAATTAGTAATTTTTTAAAATAATTGTTGTTAAATAGTTTTGATAAATAAAACAGGTTTCTTTAGTGCATTAAGTTGAAGGCTTTAATACATTAATGCCTATGGTGAAACTCAGAAGAAGAGTTTAATCAGATTTTCCTCATTTTACTTTATACAGTCTTTTCTCAAAGTACCTTACAGGACTAGAAATCTAAGGAATGTCCTTTGCAACATGCTTAGGATAATTCGAATAACTCTGTGATAAAGCACTCAATGGAAGAAAAACAAACACCTGAATCTGTTTTTGTACTTACAGGTAATTTGTTGTTGTTTTAAGAAAAACTGAGTCTAGTGTGGTTTGTTTTGTTTTGTTTTTTTGAGACAGAGGCTCCCTCTGTCACCCAGGCTGGAGTGCAATGGCGTGATCTTGACTCACTGCAACCTCCACCTCCCGGGTGTAAGCGATTCTCCTGCCTCAGCCTCCCAGGTAGCTGGGAATACAGGCGTGTGCCACCACACCGGGCTAATTTTTGTATTTTTAGTAGAGATGGAGTTCCGCCATGTTGACCAGGCTGGTCTCAAACTCCTGACCTCAGGTGATCTGCCCACCTTGGCCTCCCAAAGTACTGGCGTGAGCCCTGCACCTGGTCCCAAGTCTGGTTTACTTTCTTTTTTACACCATTTCTGAAGAGAAGCAAGACGAACAAAAATCACTGGTGAATACACAAAAGGAATAATTCCTGAATTGAAGACATCCTTCATATCCAATTTAACTGGACAAGTAATTTCCCCTTTAATGAGAATAAGTACTCCTTTGATATTTTACATGTTTATGATTTGCAAAAACCATTAAATTACAGTGCATAGGTTTCACCAGGAAAATATGAATCTTACTGTATTACTCTCATGCTGTCTGAGCAATCAGGTCTAGTGAAGGTACAAAAAACTCTGACATCTGTGGTCACTTTCATAGTAAAAATAGTATATAGTAAAATACATGAAGATAACATGTCTTACATGCTATTAAAGCAATGTCAGCTTTGAAAGAAAATGATCTACTGTTTCAGACTCAATTTGACTGAATGTAAACTTCTGTTAAAGTAGTTATAAGCTAGGGCAGTCTTATTTACTGAACACCACCTCCATAAAAAATGCACTCATAAAAGTTGGTTATTGTTTCTCAGTTTGTGTTAAATTTCTTTTAGTTTTTTAAATATATTTTCTTCCTGTTCCTTTTCCAGAATACACCTGATCTTGAAATATTTGGTTAATAGACTTGTCATCAATTCAAAACAAAGTCAAAATGTAGCATGGGTTATTATAAACTGGAAACAGTTCTTAAAATAGAAATTATAGTACACCCAATGTTATAAACCTGTTTCATTAACTACTTACTGAATAGCATCATTTGCCAGCTGAACAGTTTATATCCTTACCTTATACCAGAAAGGATTTTCACATTGCTCAGCAGAATATATAAAATTTAGCAAGATCATGAAATTGGTAAAGAAAATGGAGGAAAGAGAGGGTAGAAGCATAATACAGATTGATTTCTTGGGGAATTGGAAACAAATACTTTGTATCACTTATAATTTGGTAGCTGCTAAAACGTAAGGGAACCTTTCAATAATCAGTGCCTGTATGTGCAAGATAATTAAGGTGTTGTTGACAAAAATCATACATACTTACGGCGCTTGATGTCTAAATACATATATTGACCAACTCATTCAAAACTGAAGACTCTGAAAGACTAACAAGTTTTAAAGGTTCCCCCCCGCTACCGCCAATCCTGTCAATTTTACCAAAGCCTCAATTTGATGTCAACATTTAAAGTCAACGATTTGATTTAAAAAGACTGAGCAGACAATCGACCAATGAAGCCTTGACTTTGAAAATCTACGTGACTCAGTGCAAAATAGTGGGTTTAACTTTAATTAGGATCTTAATTTTTTTTTTTTTAGATGTTGCCTTGCTCTGTCGCCCAGGCTGGAGTAGCTGTGGTGCGATCTCGGCTCATTGTAGCCTCTGCCTCCCGGGTTCCAGCGAGTCTCCTGCCTCAGCCTCCTGGGTAGCTGGGATTACAGGCGCACGCGACCACGGCCAGCTAATTTTTGTATTTTTTAGTAGAGACGAGGTTTCACCATGTTGGTAAGGCTGGTCTCGAACTCCTGACCTCAGGTGATCCGCCCGCCTCGGCCTCCCAAAGTGTTGGGATTACAGGCGTGAGCCACCGCGCCCTGCCAGGGCCTTCATTTTTTTTGTTGTTGTTGTTTTTTTGCTACCATTCTTGGGGGCGGCTGATGAGACAAGCGAAGGAACGACTCCAGGCTGGAGACGGCCCTCAGTGTTGTAAACGCGGGATTGAGACGCTGCGGGGAGATGGCCTGCCTTGCGCAAGGGCCTGGGCGGGAGGGCCTGCGCCTGCGCTAGCGAGACTGGCTAGCCACTCCCACTGCACACGGCGAGTCTGGGCGACTGCGCACGCGCGGCTGGTGAGTGGCGGGTTCGGGCGCAGCTGTAGGGTTGGCTGCGCGCCGCCGAGGCGTTTTGGACTGGGTTAGGTGCCTTTTGTGTGTTTGTTTCTCACCTTTTTTCCAGGGTGGTAGTGGTGGAAGAGTTTAATTAGCAGTGGCTGGCGGATTCCTGAGGGAAGGAGCTGGCGCCGGCCTGAGAGTGGATCCTGGTTGCTGTGTTAGGCGCTGTTGGGCCTCGCGTCCCGGTCGCCGGAAGGCGCCGCGTCCTGTGCCGCGCACGTTGGCGCCCGGGCCTTAGGCAGCCTTGGTGCTGACGGGGAAATTAACCCCCAGGCTACGGCAGCGCGTGGAGGCCTCCCTTCCCTCCGAGTAGAAACAGGACTCGGCCTGCTGTCCTTTTCATCTTTGCCCTCAGAAGTTCGCTGATGGAGTTTGCGAAATGCCCAGGCCTGACTGTCCGCTCCTGGAGGGCGGGCACCCGCGGCGCCTGTCGCTGGGGCTTCTGAGGCAGGTCCCTTGCAGGATGCGGGTGCTGCGAGGTGGAGTAGACTAGGACGCGGGCGGCTTTACTGCGAAACGGGCAGTAGCTTCGGAGGTGCAGAAGAAGTGCTGGGACGATAGCGGGTCCCTACCGGGAGGGAGCCACATGTCAGACAGGAAGGCCTTCCTTATAGGGGTTGTGGTTACATGGGGCGTACATCACAACGTCGCACTGCACACGTACGACCTGCATTTCATTGTAAGCATTACCTCCTTTTTAAAGTTAATTTAAAAACAGGATAAATAGAATTCTGGAAAGCAAGAAGGAAGGAACTGTTTGAGGCAGGGGGACTCAAAGATGAAAACAGAATGAAAACCTTTGGCCCTTTTCTGGACGTAAATTGGATTAAGGGGAGAATCATCCAGCAATTTATAAAAAGTATTTGGAGAATATCTAGGCCTTACCCATTCATAGAGGGAGCCTTGCTCTCCTGCGGTTTACTGGAGTCTGGGATGGCTCCTAGGTTAATGCTCTTTGCTCTGAATCACACTATCTTAACCTAATTTCACACAAGAATGAATGTTGAAATTACAGTATGGTGGTTTTGCCCTAAGTAAATTTGATAACATGGAAATTGAGTAATTTTATCCAAAAAGAGACTAACCACAGCCCCTGAGAAGCCAGCTAATCCCTGCTTATGCTGCAAGCTAACGTGTCCGCCCCTTTGCTCATGCTGTTCCATCTTTCTGAAGTCTTCACTCTTCATCCTTACCTTTTCCTGAGGCCGAGTTGAAGCTCCACCTGCTCTTTCACTCCTCTCCCCACTCAGGCCCTCCACTCTGATCCCATGGCGTGAATGGTGCTTCTCTATAGAGGGCCTCCACCTTACCGTTGGTGTTCGCCATGTGTCTGCCTAACCTAGAATTTCTCAACTGCAGCTTGTAGGGCGGGATACTTCTTTAATGTGGAGGGCTGTCCTGTGAATTTTAAGTTCAGCAGCCTCTACCCACCTGATGCCAGTAGCACCCTCCTTCCCATTTACGGCAACCAAAAATGTCTCTAGGCATTGCCAGATGTTCCCCTTAGCGACAAAAGGGCTCCTCATTCTGTGAGAACTGCTGATTTAGAGTCTGAGCCACATAAGGTCCAAGGTCAGCTTAATAATAATATAATTTCAATATAATCCATAGGTACAAGTTTTAAAATCTAAAGAAAAAAATTTTTTTTACTGCCACTTGTGGGGCAGGGCCAGCCATAGACAGTGTGCCCAGAGTAGCCAGAAAAAATTTAAAAATAATAATAATATAACACAGTACTTCCCAGCTCTTTTGGATTTGAAAAATCTCATAAACCCCCTTAGAAATTTTAAAAACAATAAAGATATGATAAAATAGTGATTTAAAAAATAGTTAAAAATAGGTTCATTTAATTTAATTTTTTTTTTTTGAAATGTAGTCTCACTCCTGTCATTCAGGCTGGAGTGCAATGGCGAGATCTCAGCTGACTGCAACCTCCATCTCCTGGGTTCAAGCGATTCTCCTGTCTCAGCCTCCTGAGTAGCTGGCGCTATAGGTGCCTGCCACCACACCTGGGTAATTTTTGTATTTTTAGTAGAGACAGGGTTTCACCATGTTGGCCAGGCTGATCCCGAATTCTTTACCTAAGGTGATCTGCCCGCCTCGATCTCCCAAAGTGCTTGGATTACAGGCGTGAGCCACCACTCCCGGCCATTTCATTTAATCTTTGATGTTTATCTTGCTAACAGATTTCAGTTTTCCTCATTAGAAGAAGTGATGCACTTTTGAACTCACTTTAACAATGTAGGAAACTTCTACGATTCCTAAAATTGCAGCCCCCTATGCTCTCCATGTGTTCCTCCATTAATCTTATTGTCATCTAACATTTATTTCATATGTATTGTTTTAGTCTGTCTTTTCCTCTCTAGAATGTAAGCTCCAAGAGAATAAGGACTTTGAGACTCATCACCAAGAACAGTGCTTTCTACAGGGTAGAAAATGATTATCAAAGGAATGGATTTGGTACTCTTTATACTTTCATTTTGGGATCAAATTCTTATATAGATTGGAATTTAATTGCCTTTTACAGCTATGAAAGGCGACAATTTTATTAAATTGCTCTTTGGAATTCCTTGTTTTGCATTTATAGTCAACTGGTTCCTTTTTGGTTTTCATGTTTTATTTCTAAGTGATTAACAAGTTACAGGCTGTTATTTAAAAGCCCTTCTTCAGTGACGCAGCTGTGGAAAGTACTAATAAAAATGGAATTGGCTGGGCATAATGGCTCATGTTTGTAATCTTAGCACTTTGGGAGAACAAGGTGGGTAGATCACTTGAATCGAGGAGTTCAGGACCAGCCTGGGCAACATGACGAGACCCCCGTCTCTACAAAAATTAGCTGGACATGGTAGTGTGCATCTGTAGTCCCAGCTACTCAGGAGGCTGAGCTGGGGTAATTGCTTGAGCTGGGGAATTTGAGGCTGCAGGGAGCCACAATCGCACCACTGCACTCCAGCCTGGGCAGCAGAGTGAAACCCTGTCTCAAAAAAAAAAAAAAATTTATATGTCAAGGATAAATATATATGCATATGTGTGTATGTATGTGTCTGCATATGTATATGGACACACTCATATACACACACAAACACACTTTTATTTTTCTTTCAGTTCTAGGCAGTATTGTGGTGCAGCCTTTTTTAAGGAACTTGTACTCTTCGATTTTGCCAGGCAATATTGGCTTTTACTAGTTGCCTGATTTTTCTCCTGAATGAAAAGAACTCACAGTTCTGAAATACCAAATTGAAACCTTTTAGTTGTTTGCAGATCATTTTGCCATGTTTTCTCAGTTCAGCATGCACACAAGCTAATCTTTGGAATTTTTACTTGGAAATTTTCCGGCCTGTTGGGTTCTGGTATGCTTTCCTGAAAATGTGTTTTTGTGCTTATGCTTATTGCAGTAAACTAGAACTATTCATTTCAAGCATTTGTACCATTCTTTGGTGGGACTTCTATAGACAACCCCGTGTTGACTGAAATTATTTTTAGTTCTAAGTATAAAAACCTTAAAAGTAGATAATCCATCACTTTTCATCTTATAAAACTGAACAGTACACCCATTAAACCCTATTCTCCCCTCCCCCCAGCCCCTAGCAACCACAATTCTACTTTCTGCCTCTCTGATTTTGACTACTCTAGATACTTCATATAAATGGAGTTATGCAGTATTTTTTTAAATGACTGGCTTATTTCACGTAGCATAATGTCCTGAAGGTTTATCCACATTGTAGCATATATCAGAATTTCCTTCTTTTCCAAGGGAATCATATTCCATTGTATGTATTTATTTCATTTTCCTATATTCATGCTTGCTGATTCTCTTCTGCCTGCTCAAAACTGCTTTTAATTCCTCTAGTTAGTTTTTCATTTCATTATTGTATTTTTCAGCTCCAGAATTTCTACTTAGTCTCCTTTTATGTTTTCTGTCTCTCTATTTATATTTCCATTTTGTTCATATGTCATTTTCCTCACTTTCTCTACACCTTTCTTTAGTTATCTGAGAATCTTTAAGATAGTTATTTTAAAGTCTTTGTCTATGAGGCCCACCATCTAGTCTTTCTCAGGGATGGTTTCTCTTTTATTTTTTTTTTCCTTTGAATGGGCTGTACTTTCCTGTTTCTTTGTGTGCCTTGTAATTTTTATGTTGAAAAATAAGTCATTTGAGTAATAATGTGATAACTCTGGAAGCCATATTGTTCTCCCTTCACCAGATTTTGCTGGGTTTTTGTTATGTTTTTTTGATTTTGTAGGCTGTCTTTTGCTGGGGATCAGCACGAGTTGTAAACTTAAGATCTTCTCAGGTATTTTCTGAGCCCATGCCTTTCCCTGGGAATGTGTAATGGCTTTCTAAATTCCCCTGTATATGCAGTTGTGTTTGAATGTCTCAGTCCTTAGATATCTGGCTTCCCGAAGGGATAAAAGAAAAGTAGAAGCATGGGGGAAAGGTGCTGGCCCTTTAAATCTGCTGGAGGTCACTTTAGCCAGAGGGAGAGGGGCTTGCAACAATGGCTGCCACCTGCATCTTTGGCTTTCTTATCAGAAGCAGCAAAGGGAGTCAGAACAGATTATTCCAATGTTTGAAAGACAGGTGGTTCCTGTAAGTTTTATGCAAGGTGTTTCCTGAATGTGTGCATAGCCAAGCTGCTCCTGGAACTATTCTGTGTTTACTTAGATTTTGTGTTTGCCTATTTGACATATATTAAGTACAGGGACAAACTAAAGGCTAAAGTTGTTTACATCATCCTTTTAAGCCCTCTCTCGTGGGTGCACAAAACTCATATCACAGACTTCCCAGTGACAACCATAGAATGTCTGTTTTTGCTTTATGCCCAACAGGGGACATCCCCACCTAGATCCATCCCACTGACTTAGCAATAAAGGCATAGTCTCAGGTCCTCTCTCTGCTTTGTGGTCTCTGCTTGTGACAGAGTTTCACGTGGCCCCCTGTGGCATGCCATGACCCTCATTTCTGGGGAGAATTGTAACATTAAACTTTCTTTTCAATGGCATTGATCTCTCCATGTCCTCTCTGTCACCTTTATAAATTAAGATTTAAAACAAGAATGCATGCATAGCTGCTTGTCAGGGGGCTGGAGGGTGAGAATGGGTAGCTGCTGCTGATCAGAGAGCTGAAATTCGCTGAAATTAAACACTATTTACCATCTAAGCCTTCCAGTAGACCCTTCAAAAGATTGAGGTGTCCAATCTTTTGGCTTCCCTGGGCCACATTGGAAGAAGAATTGTCTTGGGCCACACATAAAATACCCTAACAATAGCTGAGAATCTGGGTAGGCCAAGATGGCTAGAGTGGAAGGCTGAGTACCAGAGAGAATAGAGAAAGAACTCCAGGTATCTGCAGAGGGACCTCCTTGAGAAACTACTGGAAGATAGGGAAATAAACATCTGAAAAGATTTGAAGGAACAATACCTGACTCATTCAAGACCAAGAATAGTGTCTTTCTACCAGCTGGACTGGAAAACCTCATAATTTATGGGGCATTGGATAGAGTACTTCAAAGGGTTTTGCCTCCGTAGTGGGGTGTAATCAGTCTAGACTAAGTGCTGCTCTGCTCTTATCTAACAGTCTTAAAAATGAGACCTGAAAAGATCAAATTGTTTCCAAGTAATTAACCTGTGTTTCAGGAATACTTACATAGGAATACAGAAATATACAGATACAAGTTAAAATCCACAATGTCTGGCATTCCATAAAAAAACTATCAGACATGTGAAAAAGCAAGAAAATACAATCCATAATGGGAAAATCAGTCCACTGAAACTGACCCAGAATAGATATATGTTAGAAGTAGTGGACAAGGATGCTAAAATAAATTTATATCCTGTACTTTCAAAAAGCTAGAGGAAAATTGAACATGTGAACTGGAAATATGCAAATAAAGACTCATGTAACTTTTGGAGATAGGTCTGAGATGAAATGTCTGTGGTGAAAATTACACTGTATGGGATTAATAGATTAGACATAGAAGAATAGAAGATTAGTAAACTTGAACACTAGAAATAGAAGCTATCACAAATGAAATACAAAGAGAAAGAAGTTTAAAATGAAGAAAGCATCAGAGAGTTGTGGTACAATATGAAGCTACTAAATATATGTATAATTGGAGTCCCTGAAAGGGAAGGGCAGCAGAAGATTACTTGGGAAATAATGGTCAGAGTTTTTCCAAATTTAAGAAGCTCAATAAACACAAAATACAAGAAACGTGTAAAAAACCACACCAAGGCACATCATAATCAAATACCCAAAACCAGTAATAAAGAGAAAAACCTTAAAAACCATTAGAAAAGAAAGACATGAAGAAAAATAAGAATTACAGCAGATTTTATGTGTGGAAACAATGCAGTGAACAGACAGTGGAGGACTATCTTTAAAATACCAAAAGAAAACTTGTCAACCTCAAATTCTATACCCACAGTTAAACAGACATTATCAGAAACAAAAGCTGAGAGAATGCATCACCAGCAGAATTATACTACAAGGAATGTTCAACGAAGTCATTCAAGCAGAAGGAAAATGACACCAGCTGGAAATATCTTTTTTTTTTTTTTTTTTTTTTTTTTGAGACAGAATCTCGCTTTGTCGCCCAGGCAGGAGTGCAGTGGCAAGATCTAGGCTCGCTGCAAGCTCCGCCTCCCGGGTTCATGCCATTCTCCTGCCTCAGCCTCCCGAGTAGCTGGGACTACAGGTGCTTGCCACAACGCCCGGCTAATTTTTTGTATTTTTAGTGGAGACGGGGTTTCACCGTGTTAGCCAGGATGGTCTCGATCTCCTGACCTCGTGATCCGCCCACCTCAGCCTCCCAAAGTGCTGGGATTACAGGTGTGAGTCACCGCGCCTGGCCCACCATCTGGAAATATCTATACAACAGAATGAGGAGTTAAATATATGTATGAGTTTTTAATTTAACAATGTAGTGTGGCATTTATAACAAATGTAAAAGTAAAATGTATGACAACAATAACACAAAGGTTTGGAGAAGAGAAATGGATTTATGTATACTATTCTAAGCTTCTGTTTTTTTCTTTTTCTTTTTTTGTTTTTTTTGAGATGGAGTCTTGCTCTGTCGCCCAGGCTGGAGTGCAGTGGTGTGATCTTGGCTCGCTGCAACCTCTGCCTCATAGGTTCAAGCAATTCTCTTGTCTCAGCCTCCTGAGTAGCTGGGACTACAGGCGCCTGCCATCACACCTGGCTAATTTTTGTATTTTTAGTTGAGACAGGATTTCACCATATTGGTCAGGCTAGTCTCAAACTCCTGACTTCAGGTGATCCACCTGCCTTGGCCTCCCAAAGTGCTGGGATTACAGACGTGAGCCACCGCACCCAGCCATGTACCATAATTCTTAAGCAACCTCTTAAATAACAGAGTCACAGCTAGTAAGCTAGCAATGGAGAAAGAAATAGATTCATAAAATGTTTTCACTGCTATGTAGTGAATATATTTATACTGTAGGAATATACAACATTATATACTGTCTAATGGTTGGACATTTCAGTTGAGTTTAATTTTTTCTATTACATGTTTCTTTTTTTCTTTTTCTTTTCTTTCTTTCTTTTTTTTTTTTTTTTTGAGATGGAGTCTCACTGTGTCACCCAGGCTGGAGTGCAGTGTTGTGATCTCTGCCCACTGCAACCTCCTCCTCCCAGGTTCAAGTGATTCTCCTGCCTCAGCCTCCTAAATAGCTGAGATTACAGGCAGTGCCAACATGCCCAGCTAATTTTTTTGTATTTTTAGTAGAGATGGGGTTTCACCATGTTGGCCAGGCTGGTCTTGAACTCCTAACCTCATGATCTGCCCACCTTGGCCTCCCAAAGTGCTGGGATTACAGGTTTGAGCCACCACGCCCAGCCTCTATTGCATATTTCTATTTTGAGCATCTTTTCATATATGCCTACTTGATGTTAGACTTCTTAATTGCGGTCAATCTGGTAGGTGTATAGTGGTATCTCATTATGATTATAATTTGCATTCCCTCATGACAAGGTTGAATACCTTGTCATATGATGTTTGATTATCTGTATGTCATCTTTTATAAAGTGCCTGTTGAAATGTTTTTCCTATTTTGTCTTTTGGTATAAAAGAATTCTAAAAAAAAAAAAATTCAAGAAACATATATGAAAGCTAGAAAAGGAAACAAGAATTAAAACCAAGAGAAGAGGCCAGACGCAGTGGCTCATGCCTGTAATCCCAGCACTTTGGGAGCCCAAGGCAGGTGGATCACGAGGTCAGGAGTTCGAGACCAGCCTGGCCAACATGGTGAATCCCATCTCTACTAAAAGATACAAAAAATAGCCAGGTGTGGTGGCCGGCGCTTGTAATCGCAGCCACTGGGGAGGCTGAGGCAGGGGAATCGTGTGAAACTAGAAGGCGGAGGTTGCAGTGAGCTGAGATTGCACCACTGCACTCCAGCCTGGGCGAAAGAGTGAAACTCTATCTCAAAAAAAAAAAAAAAAAAAAAAAAACCCAAGGGAAGAAACAGAAAGCAAATAATGAAATAGGCTTAAGCACAATATATCAATAATAACATTAAGTGTAAAAGGTCCAGATGCACCAATAAAGGAGCTTATCAGTAAGGATTTAGTTTTTATTTTTATTTTATTTTATTTTCGAGTTGGAGTCTTGCACTGTTGCCTGGGCTGGAGTGCAGTGGCACGATCTCGCTCACTGTAACCTCTGCCTCCCGGGTTCAAGCGATTTTCCTGCCTCAGCCTCCCGAGTAGCTGGGATTACAGGTGCCCTCCACCATGCCCGGCTAGTTTTTTGTATTTTTAGTAGAGACGGGGTTTCGTTATGTTGACCAGGCTGGTCTCAAACTCCTGACCTCGTGATCCACCCGCCTCAGCCTCTCAAAGTGCTGGGATAACAGGCGTGAGCCACTGTGCCTGGCCAGGATTTTTTTTTTAGACGAAAACTATATGCTGCCCACAAGAAACTCACTTCAAAATTAGGGTGTGTGTGTGTGTGTGTGTGTGTGTGTGTGTGTGTGTTGAAAGTGAAAGGAAGGGGAAAATATATGCCATAGAAGCTTTTTTTTAAAAGCATGAGCACTTTTATTGATAGCAGGTAAAGTAGACTTATAAGAGTAAAGAAGTCACTAGGAACAACAACAGAATTACATAATGATAAAAAGAGTGAATTCATCAAGAACAAACAACAGTTCTAAGTATGTACGCACCAAACGAGAACAATTTAAATTACATGAAGCATGAAATAAAAACTGATAGAACTGAAAGGAAACAGACAAATCCACAATTACAGCTGGGTACTTCCATTCCCTCTCAGCAATCGATAGAACTACTAGATGGGAAACCAGCAAGGATACAGGGGACTTAATAACACCATTAACCAAAAGGATCTATTCACATTTATATAACCTTCACCCAACAACATCAAAATACACATTGTTTTCAAGTATTCATGGAATATTTCACCAACATAGACCATATCCATAGCTATTACACAAACTTCAGCATTTTTAAAAAGTGTTGAAATTATACATGCTAGAAAACCTAATAGGAAAATCTCCAAACACTTGGAAATTAAACAGTGTCCTTCTAAATATATGGGCCAGAGAGAAATTTAAAAGTACACTGAACTGAATGAAAATGGGTGAAAAAGGACAAAAATTTGCTGGGATGTTGCTAAAAGGGAATTTAAAGCACTGAACACTTAAATTAGAAGAAAGGTCTCAAAACAGTGTTCTAAACTCCCAGAACAAAAAGGTAGTTTAAAACAAATGCAAAGCAAGTAGAAGGAAGGAAATGAAAGGCAGAAATCAATGAAATTGAAAATAAAGTCAATGATGCAAAAACTTATTTTTTAAAAGAGATCAATAAAATTGATGAACCTTTAGTAAGAAAAAAGAGAAAACAGAAATTACTGACATTAGGAATGAAATGGGGGATATCAGTACAGATCCTAAAGACATTAGAAATAATTGAGGACTGCTATAAACATCTCTATCCAGATAAATTTTAACAACTTAGATGAAGCAGACCAATTCGTTGAAACTACAAACTACGAGAACTCACCCCATATGAAACTGATAATGTGAATAGCCGTGTAAGTATTAAATTGAATTTGCAGTTAAAGGCCTCTCATACAAGAAATTTTCAGGCCAGGCATGGTGGCTCATGCCTGTAATCTCAGCAGTTTGGGAGACCTAGGCGGGCAGATCACCAGAGGTCAGGAGTTTGAGACTGGCCTGGCCAACATGGTGAAACTCCATCTCTACTAAAAATGCAAAAATTAGCCAGGGTGGGTGGTAGGCACCTGTAATCCCAGCTATTTGGGAGGCTGAGGCTGGAAAATCGCTTGAACCCAGGAGGCGGAGGTTGCCGTGAGCTGAGATCGAGCCATTGCACTCCAGCCTGGGCGACAATAGCAAAATTCTGTTTCAAAAAAAAAAAACAAAAATTTCGGGCCTTAAATGCTAGGGATGCTATAACAAAATACCGTAGACTGGGTGGCTAAAAGTAATGGCAGAAACAGCAATTACCTTTGCACCAACCTAGCATCTCCAGATATAATTACAATGAGGGTTAAGGCTTTAACATATAAATGGGGTGCAGGGTGGGAGGGGGGTGGTGTGTCAATTGAATCCATAGCACATGATTTCACTGAAAAAAATTACCAAATGTTTATTGCGTTAGCACTGATTGTACACAGTCTTTTCCAGAAAATAGAAGAGGAGACATTTCTAGTTTATTTGATGAGACCAATATTACCTTGTTACCAAAACCAAAGACAATACAAAGACCGAAAACAATAGACAAATATACCTCATGAAGATAGGTGACGAAATCCTCAGCAAAATATTAGTAAATATGATTTAGCAATACATAAGAAGAATCAGTTAAGTGGAACCTATTCCAGGAATGTGAGACTGGTTTAATAGATAATCAGTTTAATTTATATCATGAGGTTAAAGAAAAATCACATGATCGTATAAGTTGATATCAAAAAGTTATTTGAAAATTCAACACCCATTCATGATGAAACTTGGCAAACTACTAATAAAGGGAATGTCCTCATCTTAACATAGAACATCTACACCCTGGGTGTAGTGACTCACACCTGTAATCCCAGCACTTTCGGAGGCTGAGGCAGGAGGAACACTTGAGCTCAGGAGTTTGAGACCAGCCTGGGCACCAGAGTGGGACCCCATCTCTACAAAAAATAAAAATGTTAGCCGGGCATGGTGGCGCATGCCTGTAGTCCCAGCTGCTTGGGAGGCTGAGGTGGAAAGATCACTTGAGCCCAGAAGGTTGTGGCTGCATCATATTTAATGGTGAAAGATTGAATGCTTTCCCACTTAAAATCTGGGACAAGTGTAGGATATCTGCTCTTATCACTCCTATTCAGCTCACTAGAAGTCCTGGCCAGGCACGATGGTTCATGCCTGTAATCCCAGCACTTTGGGAGGCCGAGGTGGGCGGATCACTTGAGGTTAGGAGTTCGAAACTAGCCTGGCCAACATGTGAAACCCCATCTCTACTAAAAATGCAAAAAAATTTAGCTGGGCGTGGTGGCAGGTGCCTGTAATCCCAGCTACTGGGGATGCTGCTGAAGCAGGGAGAATCGCTTGAACCCAGGAGGTGGAGGTTGCAGTGAGCCAAGAATGCACCACTGCACTCCAGCCTGGGCAACAGAGCAAGACTCTGCCTCAAATTAAAAAAAAAAAAAAAAAAAAGACTGATGAAATACATCAAAGATGAACTAAATAAATGGAGAGATGTGCCATGTTTTATGGATTGGAAGACCCCGAAAAATAAAGGTTCTCGTTCTGTTACCCAGGCTGAAATACAGTGGTATGATCTTGGCTCACTGCATCCTATGCCTCCAGACTCAAGTGATCCTCCCACCACAGCCTCCCATGTAGCTGGGTCTACAGGCACATGCCATCACACTCAGCTAATTTTTAAAAACATTTTTGTAGAGACAAGGTCTCACTGTATTGCCCAGGCTGCTCCTAGGCTCAAGTGATCCTCCTGTCTCAGCCTCCCACATTCCACCTGAATTATACACTTTAAATAGATGAATTGTATGGTATATGAATTAGATCTCAATACAAATGTTTTAAAATTTGCACATTTCACTTCAATAGGCATTTCAAAAACAACTACATGACTGCAAAGAGAATCCTGACTTCTCTGGCCACAGTAAACCTCATAGTACAGGGATTCAGTTCTTCATTTGATGAAACCCTCTTATAATGTATCATCATGAAATAAATTTTTTGATGTCCTCAAAATAAACACACTCTAACCATAAAATCCAACATCATACTCTTGAGCATTTATCCAGAGAAATGAAAATGAAAATTCCTATACATTTTACAGGAATGTTCACAACAGCTCTATTTGTAATACCTTAAAATTGGAAACAACCCAAATGTTTTAGTGGGTGAATGGTTAAGTGTGGCCATACTATGGATTACTACTCAGCAATAAAAAGGAATAAACTATTGATACACAGAACAACCTGGGTAAATTTTAAACCATGCTGAGTGAAAATGACAATCTCAAGTTATATAATGTATGATTCCATTTATCTAAAGTGACAAAATTATTGAAACGGAGAACAAATGCTTTCCAGGGGTTAAGAATGGAGATTGAGGTGGGAGAGGATGGGAATGACTTTAAAAAGGTAGTACAACTCATCTCTTTGGTGCTGGAATATTCTGTCTCTTATCCATGGAAGTGTTTTCATGAATCTACACGTGATATCATTATATAAAACTATACACATGTGCATACGCCTGCAAATAAATGTGTGTAAAACTGGTGAACTGCACGAGCTCTGTGGATTGTACTGTTCATTTCCTGGTTTGACAATGCACTGTAGTTATATAAGTTACTACCATTGTGGAAAAATAGGTGGAAGGATACATGGGATGGACCTTCATTATTTTTGCACATTCCTGTGAATCTGTGATTATTTCAGAGTAGAAAGCTTAGGAATGAGAATTGGTGTAGAAAAATAGAAATATTTATGTCCAAATTATCAGATTCTTTTCCAAAAGATTATGCCAATTTAAATTGTTATCTAAATTAGAGAGTATACCAATATCACTACCTTCTCATCAGCATTAAGTGTGTCCATTATTTTGATGTTTTATCTGTGTATTCTTTTTAATTTTTTAGAGTATGTATATTTTTAAATTTTAAAACATATTTTATTTTTAATTTTAGATTCAGGGCATACATGTGCAGGGTATATTGGGTGATACTGGAGTTTGGGTTTCTAGTGAACCCATCACCCAATATTGAACATAATATCTGATAGGGTAGTTTTTTTCAATCCTTCCCCCACTCTTCCCGGCTCCTCTCTTGGAGTCCCTAGTATCTATTATTTCTGTCTTTATGTCCACCTGTACCCATTGTTTAGCTCCCGTCTACAAGTGAGAGCATGTGGTATTTGGTTTTCTGTTTCTCTTTTAATTCACGTAGGATAATAGCCTCTAGCTGCATCCATGTTGCTGCAAAGGACATGATTTCACTCTTTTTTATGGCTGTGTACTATTCCATGGTGTATATGTAGCACATTTTCTTTATCCAGCCCATCTTTGATAGGACGCTTAGGTTGATTCCATGGCTTTACTATTGTGAATAGTCCTGCAATAAACAGCCTAGTACAGGGGTCTTTTTGTTTTACATAGGATTAGCTAACTTACATTCATACCCGCAGTGTATAAGCATTCCCTTTTCTCATATCCTTGCCCACATCTGTTATTTTTTGACTTTTTTTTTTTTTTTTTTTTTGAGACAGAGTCTCGCTCTGTTCCCCAGGCTGGGGTGCAGTGGCGCAATCTCAGCTCACTGCAAGCTCCGCCTCCCGGGTTCGCGCCATTCTCCTGCCTCAGCCTCCCGAGTAGCTGGGACTACAGGTGCCCGCCACCACACCCGGCTAATTTTTTTGTATGTTTAGTAGAGACAGGGTTTGACTGTGTTAGCTAGGATGGTTTCAATCTCCTGACCTCGTGATCCACTGGCCTTGGCCTCCCAAAGTGCTGGGATTACAGGCATGAGCCACTGTGCCCGTCCTATTTTTTGACTTTTTAATAATAGCCATTCCGACTGGTGTGAGATGGCATCTCATTGTGATTTTAATTTGCACTTCTCTGATAATTAGTGATGCTGAGCATTTTTTCATGTTTCTTGGCCACTTGTATGCCTTCTATTAATCATGTACTTTGCCCACTTTTTAATGCAATTCCTTTTTTTTCTTGTTGATTTAATTCAGTTTCTTTTTTTTTTTGTTTCGTTTTTTGTTTGTTTTTTGTTTTTGAGACGGAGTCTTGCTCTGTCACCCAGGCTGGAGTGCAGTAGCGCCATCTCGGCTTACTGCAAGCTCCGCCTCCCAGGTTCACGCCATTCTCCTGCCTCAGCCTCCCGGGTAGCTGGGACTACAGATGCCCGCCACCATGCCTGGCGAATTGTTTGTATTTTTTAGTAGAGACGGGGTTTCACTGTGTTAGCCAGGATGGTCTCGATCTCCTGACCTCATGATCCACCCGCCTCCATCTCCCAAAGTGCTGCGATTACAGGCGTGAGCCACGGCGCCCGGCCGATTTAAGTTTCTTATAGATTCTGCATATTACTCCTTTGTTGGATGCATAGTTTGCAAATATTTTTTCTGATTCTGTAGGTTGTCTGTTTACTTTGTTGATTGTTGCTTTTGCTGTGCAGAGCTTTACCATTGGTCAATTTTTGATTTTGTTGCAATTACTTTTGAGGTCTGTCATAAATTCTTTGCCTAAGCCAATGTCCAAAGAGTTTTTTCTTAAGTTTTCTCCTTGAGTTTTTATAGTTTCAGGTGTGACATTTCAGTCTTTAATACATCTTGAGTTAATGTTTCTATCTGGTGAGAGGTAGGCGTCCAGTTTTACTCTTCTGCAAATGGCTAGCTAGTTTTCCCAGCACCATTTATTGAATAGAATATCCTTTCCCCATTGTTTATTTTTGTTGACTTGATCGAAGACCAGTTGATTGTACGTGTGTGGCTTTATTTCTGGGTTCTCTATTGTATTCCATTGATTATGTATCTGTTTTTTTATCTGTACCATGCTGTTTTGGTTATTATAGCCTTGTAGTATAGTTTGAAGTCAGGTAGTGGGATGCTTCTAGCTTTGTTCTTTTTGCTTAGGATTGCTTTGGCTATTCATTCTCTTTTTTAGTTCCATATGAATTTTAGAATTTTTTTTAATTCTGTGAAAAATGATGTTTGTAATTTGTTAGGAATTGTATTGAATCTGTAGATTGCTTTGGGCAGTATGATCTACTCTTATGTCGACCATCTGTTTTTCATACTGAGGATATATAAGCTAGCCAAAATACTGATACTTGATTTATATGCCATAATTTGTTTATTGTATGTATATAAATAAAATTATTCAGAAGAAATTGGCTTTATATATTTTAAGGAGACATAAGACATCAATCAGTACATGTAAGGCATATATTGGTTTGGTCCAGAAAGGCAGGACAACTGGAAGTGGAGGGCTTCCTGGTCATAGGTAGATTCAAAAATTGTTTTGATTGGCAGTTGGTTGAAAGAGTTAAGTTATTATCTTGGAATCAATGGAAAGGAGTGTCTGGATTAAGATAAGGGGTTCTGGAGACCAAGGTTCTTATTATTATGTAGATGAAACCTGCAGGCAGCAGGCTTCAGAGAGAATAGATGCTAAAATGCCTCTATCAGACCGAAAAAGGTGCCAGACTCTTAATTAATTTCTCCTGGGTCAGGAGAAGACCTGGAAAGGGAAGGGGATTATCTGCAGTTTGTAGATTTTCTCCACAGGAGACAGCTTTGCAGGGCCATTTCAAAATATGTCAAAAAATATATTTGGGGATAAAATACTTCAACTTCTTTCGGGGCCTGTTACCTGTTGTGTGTACTATACTAGAGTCAGATTGGAATTTGATATCTTATTGCTACAAAGAGTCTGTTTTGTCACTCTTAAGATCTCTGTTTTAATGTTTATACTGGTCAGTTGTGTCTGAATTACAAAGGAAGGAGAGTATAATGAGACATGTCCTTCCCATCGTGGCCTGGTTTTTCAGGTTTACTTGGCCACAGAAGAGGGATTTATTCAGTTGGCTGGGGGGCTTAGAATTTTATTTTTGGTTTACTTGTATAAAACTCACTTCAGTTTGGATCCTTGCTGTTAAATAAAAATTTTTAAAAATTATTACTGGCTGGGAAGGGGAAACAAAATCTGCACAGAACATTTATTTCTTGATCTGCAGGTTATAAACAACTTGTGAAATGAGTGATTTGGAAGATGATGAGACACCCCAGCTTTCTGCCCATGCCTTAGCAGCTCTCCAGGAATTTTATGCTGAGCAAAAGCAACAAATTGAGCCAGGCGAGGATGATAAATATAACATTGGAATAATAGAAGAGAATTGGGTAAGTAAATGCATTTCACAGCCATCAGGAAGTATTGATGTGGAACCTACTCTGTGCATTAGTCCAGTGTTTGTCTGTCTCACCTAAAACCGGAATCTCTGTCACCTGTCATTTGGGATCTGAACTTCTCTATGGGGAGCTAAGACAGAAAGCAGTCAGTGAACATTTTAGAACAGTGTAACAGCTTTTCTTGAACAGCTGTTCTTGATTCTGACTATCAGGCTGGTTGGTGATCAGAAGATGGGGTTTTTCAGATAAGGAGATAATGATGCAGGATTTCTCCTCTTGGTCACTTTGCAAGCCGGGGACCCTCAGCTGGCAACACCCCTCCTGGGCCTTGCTCGGCCACGCTGGTGTGCCCCAGCTTGGCTGTGTTATAGCTCGTACCCACGTTCGGCGGTTCCCAAGTTCTTCTACTGCGTCCAAGAAGAATGAGGATATGAGGGACATTGGAGGGTGAAGAGGGTGGGGAAGAATGTTAATGAGTGATGAAAACTGCTTTCAGCAGAGACGGGATGCAGGTTTAGGGGATGGTTACCCCATGTGGTTGGGTCTGGGGCCCTTTATGGACTCAGAATGGGGAGTGTGTGCTGTTGGTTTGTGAGTATGCAAAAAAGGTAAAGGTGAAGGCACCACTCAAAGGTGGGCACAACAGTGTAGAAAAAACAAGTAGGAAAGGGTAAGTATATGTAAAATAGGTAAAGGGTGGAGAACAATCAGAGGAAAGTGTGCAAACAGGAAGACAAGTTCTCAATCTGGTCCAAGGATTTAACTTGTAGCTTGGCTTTCAGGCTTTAAACTGTCTTCATCTTGGAGGCGGGGTTTTACTGGGGACCCACCCCATCTGCCTAGGCATTTGTCTGCCTCTGTCAATAATACGTTATTACATCCAATACAAACTTCTGCTTCATTTTTGGCTACAGATACACCCCACCGGTTTTTATGGACCCCAGAAATCCTGGTGGAAAGAGAAAATATTATCATTGCCGGAAATTGGGGAACTGAACTTAAACATGTATTGAAAAATTGATGAGAAGGAAATTTAAAGAAGATACTAATAGTTTCTGGTGTATAATGTATATTTCAATTATATTTTTATCATCTGAATTACAATAGGGATTAGAAAAAAATGAGTTGAAGGAAACTCCTAACATGACCTGGAACCTATAATTTTTTTTTTTAAAGGAAATAGTTGGGAAACAGAAAAGGCTTGAAGTTTGTCTGTGACTACCCCTTGATAATAGGTGTATCTTCAACACTTTGCAACTGGAAGGAAGCTTCTGTATGCTTATCATTTTTTGATAGTCTTTAATATTTTTGTGTCTAGTTTGGATCTCTGAGTTATATAAACTTTTCCTATTTACCCTGTTTGAAACTAACTGTGATAAACATTTTTATTTCCATTTATTCCACATGTTCCACTTATTCTAAAGCCTCTTTCTCACTGTTTCCCTTCTTTATGTCTGTTTACCTTCTAGCTTGATGCTTCTGTAACTAACAAATATAGGAAATTTGAAGTACTGCATTATTCTTGAGGTGGTCTGTCTTTTTCTTTTTTCCTTCTGCTTAATTTTTAAAATACTATGTACTTTTTTTCTAATTATGAAAACTAGTCCAATCCCACTGCTTAGAATTAACACCTTTTCTAATTTTGAAACTTTGGTTTGATTATAAAATTGAGGAAATATAGAAAGCATAAAAATTGACAGACAAGATTTAGCCATGATGTCTGACTAGAGGTATTGGGTACTTGCCTCCTCCACAAATAAGAACCAAAATATTGAGCCAATAATCTCACTTCAAATAGACTACCTTAGAGAGAATGCTGGAATTCAACAGGGAAGTGACAGGAAACACCTAAGGTGAGGAAGGAGAGGAAGTGAGGCAGCCTGCTTGACAGGGATCAATTAGGATCCTGGAGAGGCTCCCCATTGTGGGGAAAGGCTAAGTGAGTGACTTCTAGCAGTTTATATTCCCACCAAGGATTCTGCAGTTCTAGCCACAGAAGAGCCCTTTTGGCCCATGAAGGCCCTGAGGCAAACATAGGGAACTGCCTGGAGACCACGTGATGGCTTTGCTCCAGATAGGGAGCACATGCCAAGTCCCACACAAGGCACCATTTTGAAAGCCCAGCTCCCACAAGACTGCATCCTGCCATGACACCCAGCAGCCCCTGCATCTCCACATCTCTGGAGCCCCATTGACTTCCCCCAGACTCAGCTGAGGTTGCTGTGGTCTGCTGCCACCAGGGCTGAAGTGTGAGCCATTGGCAGCAAAGCAACCCCACTGCCAGTAGTAGCAGGATCACTGCACAATTAAAAGTTCCCCTAGGAAAAGCTACCCTGCTTATAGCCATGACTAGAGCCAAAGTGTGCACTTCCCAACCTCCTGTTTATGGCTGCTGCCACTGAAAGCCACACCACCCTCCCTAAGAATAGCACAGCTACTGCTGTTCCCACCTGGAATCCTGAGTACAGGCCTGCTCAGCCTGGCTCCATCTTCCCCTACATGACGTAAAGGAAAACCATAAGTGGCCAATTTTTTTTTTTAATTTTCTTTTTCTCCGAGGCGGAGTCCCACTCTGTCACCCAGGCTGGAGTGCAGTGGTGCCATCTCGGCTCACTGCAACCTCTGCCTCCCTGGTTCAAGCGATTCTTGTGCCTACAGGCATGTGCCACTACACCTAGTGATTTTTTTTTTTTTTTTTTTTTTTGTATTTTTGGTAGAGACAGGGTTTTACCATGTTGGCCAGGCTGGCCTTGAAATGATCTGCCTGCCTTGGCCTCCCAAAGTACTGGGATTACAGGCAGGAGCTACTGTGCCCGGCTTTTAAAAATTTTTCAGGGTCCCAGAAGGCAAAGAGAAGACAAAAGAGATCGAAAACCTATTTCATGGAATAATAGCTGAAAACTTCCCAAGTCTAGCAAGAGATTAACACATCCAGATACAGGAAGCTTAGAGATTCCCAAACAGATTAAATTCAAAAAAGCATTCTTCATGCCACATTATTGTCAAACTGTCAGAAGTCAAAAGTCAAAGAGAGAATTCTAAAAACAGCAAGACAAAAGTGACTAGTCACTTAAAAGGGAAACTTCATCAGACTAACAGCATATTCTCAGCAGAAATCTTACATGCCAGGAGGGAATGGGGTGATATATTCAAAATATTGAAAGAAAAAAAAAGAAAAAAAAACTGCCAACAAAAGATTCTATACCCAGCAAAATTATTCTTCATAAATGAAGGAGAAATCAAGACTCCCAGACAAGTAAAAGCTGAGGAAATTCATCACCTCTAGACCAGCCCTGCAAGAAATACTTAAAGGAGTCCTATGCATTGAAGCAAAAGGATGAAATCTACCATCATGGAAATACACTAAAGTATAAAACCCACTGGTAAAGCAAACACAGAAAACCACCAAACCATAATGACAAACAATAAGAGAGAAAGAAAGGAACAAAGGATATACAAGGTAACCAGAAATAAATTAATAGAATGATAGGAATAAGCCCTCACATATCAACAACAACCTTGAATGTAAATGGATTACACTTTCCTCTTAGAAGATAGAGACTGCCTGAACAGATTTAAAGAAAAAAAAACCTGATCCACCTATATGCTGCCTACAAGAAACTCATCTCACCTGTAAAGACATACAGACTGAAAGTAAAGGGATGGAAAAAAAAAGATATTCCATGCACAAGGAAGCCAAAAACAAGCAGGACTAGCTGTGCTTATATCAGATAAAGCAGATTTTAAGTAAAAAAACAGTACAAAGAAACAAGGTTATCATATAATGATAAAGGGATCAATTCAGCTAGAGTAAACAATGATTCCAAACATATATGGACCCAACACTGGAGCATCTGAGGTATAAAGCAGATCTTATTACATCTAAAAGGAGAGATAGGCACGAATACAGTAATAGCTGGATACTCCAACATTAGATAGATCATCTACATAGAAAATTAACAAAGAAACATTGTATTTAAACTGCACTTTAGACCAATGGACTTAAGAGACGTTTGTAGAACATAGCATCCAACAGCTACAGAATATGCATTCTTCTCATCATCACATGGAACCTTCTCCAGTTCCATGTGGTTATGTTTGGACAGAAAACAAGTCTCAACAATTTTTGAAAAATTGAAATGTCAGATATCTTCTCAGGTCATAACACAATAAAACTAGAAATCAATAACAGGAGAAACTTTGGAAACTAAAAATACAGGGAATTTAAATATGCTCCTGAATGATCATTAGGTCAGGGATGAAATTAAAGAGGAAGTCCAAAAATTTCCTGAAACAATGGAAAATCAAAACACAACATACCGAAATCTATGGAATACAGCAAAAACAGTGCTAAGAGTGAAGTTTATAGCAATAAAAATCTACATCTAGAAAGTAGGAAGGTTTCAAATAAATAATCTAACAATGCACCTTAAGAAACTAGAAAAGCAAGAACAAACCAGTCCCAAAATGAGTAGAAGGAAAGAAATAATGAAGAGCAGACAGAACCAAACAAAATGCAGAATAAAAAATATTCAATGGATCAATGAAAAGTTGGCTTTTTGAAAACATAGGGAAAACCAGTAAACTACTAGCTAGACTAACCAAGAAAAAAAAACAAAAGACAAAAATAAATAAAATCAGAAATAAAGGGGACATTACAACTGAAGTCCAGGACCAGATGACTTTACTGCTGAATTCTACCAAACTTAAAAAGAATAATCAATACCAATTATCTTTAAATTATTCCAGAAGTTTGAAGTGGAGAGAATTCTCCCTAATTCATTCTATGAGGCCAGCATTATCCTGACACCAAAACCAGACAATAATGTAAGAAATAAAGAAAATTACAGGCCAGTATCCCAGATGAATATAGACACAAAAGTCCTCAACAAAATACTAGTAAATAGAACCCAATAGTACATCAAAAAAAATTACACCATGATTAAGTGGGATTTATCCTGGAGATTCAAGGAAGGTTCAACACCTGCAAATCAACAAACATAATACACCACATCAACAGACTGAAGGACAAATGTTATATGATCATCTCAATAGCTGCAGAAAAAGCATTTTAAAAAATTCAACATCCCTTCATGATAAAAACTCTCAACAAACTAGGCATAAAGGAACATACCTCATCATAATAAAGGCTATATATGATAAACCCACAGCTAACATCATACTGAATGGGGAAAAGCTGAAAGTCTTTCCTCTAAGATCAGGAATAAGATAAGCATGCCCACTTCCACCACTGCTATTTAACATAGTACTGGAAGTCCTAACTAGGACAATCGGGCAACAAAAAGAAATAAAAAGCATCTAAATTGGAAAAGAGGAAGTCAAATTGTCCCTCTTTATAGATGACATGACATGATCTTACACCTAGAGAAACCTAAAGACTCCAGGAAAAAACTTTTAGATCTTATAAATTCAATAAGATTGCAGGATACAAAATCAACATACAAAAATCAGTAGCATTTCCATACACCAGTAATGAACTAGCTGAGAAAGAAATCGAGAAGGCAATCCTGTTTACAATAGCTACAAAAAAAAGAAATACCTAGTAATAAATTTAACCAAGGAGGTGAAAGGTGTCTACAAGGAAGACTACAAAACTCTGAGGAAAGAAATTGAAGACACCAACAAATGGAAAGACATCCCGTGCTCACGGATTGAAAGAATAATCGTAGTTAAAATGATTATACCCAAAGCAATGTATATATCCAGTACAATCCCTATCAATACTAATGTCATTTTTCACAGAAAAAAAAAAGTCCTGAAATTCCTGTGGAACCCAAAAACAGCCTGAATGGCCAAAGCAATCCTGAGCGAATAGAACAAGGGTGGAGGCATCACACTACCTGAGTTCAAATGATGTTACAAGGCTGTAGTAACCAAAACAGCATGGTATCGGTATTACAACAGACACATAGACCAATGGAACAGAATAGAGAACCCAGAAATTAATCCACATATCTATAGCCAACTGATTTTTGACAAAGGTGCCAAGGGGAAAGGACACCTCTTCAATAAATGGTGCTAGAAATATTAGATATCCATATGCAGAAGAATGAAACAGGACCCCTATCTCTCACCATATGCAAAAGTCAACTCAAGATGGATTAGACGTAAGCATATATCCTGAAACTATAAAACTTCTAGACAAAAACATAAGGGACACACTTCAGAACGTTGGTCTAGGCAAAGATTTCATGGCTAAGACCTCAAAAGCACAAGAAACAAAAATAGACAAATGGGACTCTATGATATTTAAATGCTTCTACACAGCAAAGGAAACAATCAGCAGAATGGAGAGGCAACCCATTGAGATGTGTAAAATATTTGAAAACTATTCATCTGACAAGGGACTCGTATCTAGAATATATAAGAAACTCAACTAAAATTTCAAAACCAAATAATCCCATTAAAATGGGCAAAGGACCTGAATAGACATTTCTCAAAAGAAGACATACAAATGGCCAACTGGTATATGAGGAAGAGCTCAACATTACTAATCATTAAAGTTATGCAAATCAAAACCACAGTGAGATGTAATGTTATCCCAGAATGGCTATTGTTAAAAAGATTAAAAATACCAGGTACTGGTAAGGGTGTGGAGGAAAGGGAACTCTTATACACCGTTGGTGGGAATGTAAATTACTATAGCTACTGTGGAAAACAGTATGGTGATTTCTCAAAAAACTAAAACCAGAATTACCATATGACCTAGCAGTCTCACTACTGAACATTTATTCAAAGGAAAAGAAATTAGTATATCAAAAACGTACCTGCTCCTCATGTTTCTTGCAGCACTATTCACAATAACAAGGATAGGAATCAACCTGTCCGTCAATAAATTAATGGATAAAGAAAATGTGGTGTATATACACAATGGAATACTGTTTAGCCATAAAAAGTAGTGAAATTATGTCATTTGCAGCAAAGTGGATGGAACGGGAGGTCATTATGTTAAGTGAAATAAGCCAGGCACAGAAAGACAAATATTGCATGTTCTTATATGCGAAGGCTAAAAATGTTGATGTCATGGAGATAGAGAATAGAATGATAGATACCAGAGGCTGGGAAGGTGGGGTGGGGGTGATGAAAAGAGATTGGTAAATGAGTACAACCATATAGCTAAATAGAAGGAATAAGATCTGATGTTCTATAGCACAGTAGGGTGACTATAGTTAACAATTAGTGTATTGTATATTGCAATATAGCTAGCAGAGAGGACTTGAAATGTTCCCAACAGGTGATAAATACTCAAGGTGATGGATACCCTAAGTACCCTGACTTGATCATTACACATTCTGTGCATGTAACAAAATATCACATGTATCCCATAAATATGTACAAATAGGAAAGAAGACATTGGAAAACTAGCAGATAAATCCAGGAGGCTCAATATTCAACAAATAAGATTCCAGAAAAACAGAACAAAAAATGAAGAGGGAAGGAAAGCTTTAAAGAATATTAGAAATTTCCCAGAACTGAAGACCCTCATTAAGATACATGATTATGATGATTATGAAAATTCTGGATACAGATGACAAAGAACATCCTAGAGCCTTCCAGAAGAAAAACGGTCTCCTACAAAGTCTTCGGACTATGAGTTACATTGCACTTCTCAATAGCTTTATTAGAAACTTTTAAAAATAGAGTGATACATTCAATATTTTGAGTGAAAATTTTGTTCACCCTAGAATTATTTTTCCTTTTCTTTTCTTTCTTTTTTTGAAATGGAGTCTCACTATGTTGCCCAGGCTAGTCTCAAACTCCTGGGCTCAAGCAATCCTCAACTCAGCTTCCTGAGTAGCTGGGATTATACACATACTACCACACCCAACTGTAGCCTAGAATTCTATACCCAGCTAAACTATTACTCGTGTGAGGATAAAATAAAAACATTTTAGATATGACAAGTCTCATTACATTGACCTCTTGTGTACTTCTCAAGAGCTGCAGGAGGGTTTGCTGCAAGTGAGAAGAAAGAAGACATGAGCTCCAAGGAATAGGAAATCTGATGCATATAGTAGGAGAGGGAATTCCCAGGATGATGGTGACACAGAATGTCCCAGTGTAATGGTTGTGCTGCAAGTCTGGAGAGCAGCCAATCTACATTGTAGTAGGAGGATGGTGTGTTCCAGGACAGAGATCTTCAGGGGAAATACAAAAGTGATAGGATATCCAATATGTAGAAAATTGTATTGAAAGGCCAATAGAGGATGTTAGAAGAATTAGGGATAAATATAAACTAACCAAGCAAATGAAACAGTCATGCATTTACTTACTCTAGGAAAAACAAAAAGGAATTCTACTGAAAGGAAAAGCAATTATAGTATACCACTTGGCTCAATAATGAACACTGACACTTAATTCTAACTAACCAAAACTTGCTTTAAAACTACATTGGGGCTGGGCACGATGGCTCACGCCTGTAATTCTACCCACTTTGAGAGGCCTAGCGGGGTAGATCTCCTGAGGTCAGGAGTTTGAGACCATCCTGGCCAACATGGCAAATCCCATGTCTACTCAAAATACAAAAATTAGCCAGGTATGGTGGCGCGTGCCTGTAGTCCCAGCTACTTGGGAGCCTGAGGTGGGAGGATCATTTGAGCCTGGGAGGCAGAGGTTGCAGTGAGCCGAGATCATGCCACTGCATGCCAGCCTGGGTGACAGAGTGAGACTCTGTCTCAAAAAAAAAAAAAAAAAAAAACCAAAAAAAAACAACTATACATTAGGAGGGTGAAGAAAAGGCAAATGATGTGTATGAGAGAGCAAAAATCCTCATCTATCATAATAAATCCATAGTATATATAGGTGGATTATCAAGGGATAGCATTTAAAACGTAGTATTTAGAGATGTGGCAATAAATGATCAGAGAAAGAGCCAAGAATTGAAAATGGTTGCTTCTGAGGAGTGAGGCTCAATGGCAGGGGGTCATGGGATAGAAGACTATTGTTTTTCTTTATAAGCCTAGTAGTGCTTTTGACTTTTTTTTTTTTTTTGGACGGAGTCTAGCTCTGTCGCCCAGGTTGGAGTGCAGTGGCGCGATCTCGCCTCACTGCAAGCTCCGCCTCCTGGGTTCACGCCATTCTCCTGCCTCACCTCCTGAGTAGCTGGGACTACAGGCGCCCGCCACCATGCCCGGCTAATTTCTTTGTATTTTTAGTAGAGACGGGGTTTCACCATGTTAGCCAGATGGTCTCAATCTCCTGACCTCATGGTCCGCCCGCCTCGGCCTCCCAAAGTGCTGGGATTACAGGCGTGAGCCACTGCGCCCGGCCTGCTTTTGACTTTTAAAGCCATGTTCATGTAACATATTAAGGGCAGGGTTCTCCTCAGTTGGACAGGCACAAAGACGATTCTGGAAGGAACATCATGATGACTGCCCAAGGAGAGTCCCAAGTCCAGTTCAAACTTGTATTGGTTGGTGATGGTGGTACTGGAAAAACTAGATTTATGAAATGTCAGTTGGTGAATTTGAGACGTACATAGCTACCTTGGGTATTGAGGTTCATTGCCTTGTGTTGCACACCAACAGAGGACCCATTCATTGTATGGGATACAGCTGGCCAGAAGAAATTTGGTGGAGTGAGAGATGGCTATTATATCCAAGCCCAGCATGCCATTATAATGTTTGATGTGATATCGAGAGTTACTTACAAGAATGTGCCGAGATCCTGTGGTGGCTCACGCCTGTAATCCCAGCACTTTGGGAGGCCGAGGTGGGCAGATCACCTGAGGTCAGGAGTTTAAGACCAGCCTGGCCAACATGGTGAAACCCCGTCTCTACAAAAATAGAAAAATTAGCCAGGCATGGTGGCATGTGCCTGTAATCCCAGCTACTTGGGAGGCTGAGGCAGAAGAATCTCTTGAACCCGGGAGGTGGAGGCTGCAGTGAGCTGAGATCGTGCCATTGCACTCCAGCCTGGGTGACAGAGAGACACTCCATCTCAAAAAAAAAAAAAAAAAAAAAGAATGTGCCTAACTGGCACAGAGATCTGGTACGTTTATGTGAAAACATCCCCATTGTGTTGAGGGCAACTGAGTGGGTATAAAGGACAGGAAAGTGAAGGCAAAATCCGTTCTCTTCCACCAAAAGAAGAATCTTCAGTACTATGACATTTCTGCCAAAAGTTACTGCAACTTTGAAAAGCTCTTCCTCTGGCTTGCTAGGAAGCTTATTGGAGACCCTAACTTGGAGTTTGTTGCCATACCTGCCCTTGCCCCATCAGAGGCTGTCATGGACTCAGCATCAACAGTGCAATATGAGCACGATTTAAATAGAAGTTGTTCAGAGATCATCATCTCCCTGATGAGGGTGATAACCTGTGAGAATGAAGCTGGAGCCTAGCATCAGAAGTCTAGTTTTATTTGTCCTGTGATATCAGCAGTGCAACATTTATTATGTAGGTAACAAATGTGCCCATTTATTATGTAGGTAAGTGGAACGTGTGCTTCATCTGTGGGATGCTGGAGATGAATGGGCTTCAAAGTAAATGTCACCATTTTAAAAATACCTTAATTGTTCAGACTTGCATATTTAGCTGTTTTGGAATGCAGTTGATTCCTTCTTGAGTTTCAAATACAAGACTGCTACAATCACATCACAATGCTCAGTGGTGAAATCTTGTTTGTTACTGTCATTCTTATTCCTTTTCATTTAGAATCAGAATAAGGTTGTATTTCAGATATCTTAAAAAATGGAGTGGGACTCTTTATCTTTATGGAATGATATGAGGAGAGCCAAAATCTATCATTGTGCCCTGATGGTGTTGGAGTGAGGAAGAAGGGCAGTTCAGTAGTAAACCAGCAGACAACTCTTACCACTTACGGTGCATGATAGCAGATACTGTCTGCCACCTCCGAAATCAAGTGAACTCAAAGCCCTTCCATTCTCTGTATGCTAGGGGCTTTCTTCCAGATGTCCTTTGCAGAGGTAGAGGTCAGAGCTGCCATTTTTCCTGTAGATAAGAATGGATAGACATGGCCAGGCACGGTGCCTCATGCCTCTAATCCCAGCACTTTGGGAAGCCAAGGCAGGTGGATCACAAGGTCAGGAGTTCGAGACCAGCCTGACCAACATGGTGAAACCCCGTCTCTACTAAAAATACAAAAAATAGCCAGGTGTGGTGGCATGGACTTGTAATCCCAGCTACTTGGGAGGCTGAGGCAGGAGAATCACTTGAACCTGGGAAGTGGAGGCTGCAGTGAGCCGACATTGTGCCATTGCACTCCAGCCTGGGTGACAAGAGTGAGACTCTGTCTAAAAAAAAAAAATAATGGATAGACAGATGTAGATATGAATTAATACATATACCCACATGTATATATGTATATTTGTCTTTGGAAATATTTTAAACGTGGACTTATGAGTGAATATTCAATAAATAGCATGCAGACATCCAGATGGGAAATATTTGAAGCAATTCTCTTTTTCATTATATTCAGTAAATATTTATTGGTTTAAAGATGTGTTATTAATGTTTTCATTCATACCACGTGCCACTTTGAATTGTACCTTGTTTTAATTGTTATAGTCATTTTGAATGCCATCTTGTTTTATTTTTATTTTTATTTTTATTTTTTTCGAGATGTAGTCTCGCTCTGTCACCCAGGCTGGAGTGCAGTGGCACAATCTCGGCTTACTGCAACCTCTGCCTCCCAGGTTCAAGCAGTTCTCTGCCTCAGCCTCCCAAGTAGCTGGGATTACAGGCTCCTGCCACCATGCCCAGCTAATTTTTGTATTTTTAGAAGAGATGGGGTTTCACCATCTTGACCAAGCTGGTCTTGAACTCCTGACCTCATGATCCACCCACTTCAGCCTCCCAAAGTGCTGGGATTACAGGCGTAAGCCACCGTGCCTGGCCTGCCATCTTGTTTTGAGTGATTTAGAACCATTCCATATTAGTAAGACCATCCAGATAAACCTTTTAAAAGGTCCAATAATAGACAAGCAGAGAGCCAAATCATGAGTGAACTCCCATTCACAGTTGCTACAAAGAGAAGAAAATACCTAGGAATACAACTTACAAGGGACGTGAAGGACCCTCTTCAAGGAGAACTACAAACTACTGCTCAAGGAAATAAGAGAGAACATAAACAAATGGAAAAAAATTCCATGCCCTTGGATAGGAAGAATCAATATTTTGAAAATGGCCATACTGCCCAAAGTAATTTATAGATTCTATGCTATTCCCATCAAGCTACCATTGACTTTCTTTGCAGAATTAGAAAAACCTACTTTAAATTTCATATGGAAAGAAAAAAGAGCCCGTATAGCCAAGACAATCCTAAGCAAAAAGAACAAAGCTGGAGGCATCCACTACCTGACTTCAAACTATACTACAAGGCTAGTAACCAAAACAGCATGGCACTGTTGCCAAAACAGATATATAGACCAATGGAACAGAACAGAGATCTCAGAAATAACACCACATATCTACAACCATCTGATCTTTGACAAACCTGACAAAAACAAGCAATGGGGAAAGGATTCCCTATTTAATAAAGGATGCTGGGAAAACTGGCTAGCCATATGCAGAAAAGAGAAACTGGGCCCCTTCCTTACACCTTATAAAAAAATTAACTGAAGATGAATTAAAGACTTAAATGTAAAACCCCCAAATCATAAAAACCCTAGAGGAAAACCTAGGCAATACCATTCAGGACATAGGCATGGGCAAAGACTTCATGACTAAAACACCAAAAGCAATGGCAACAAAAGCCAAAATTGGCAAATGGGATCTAATTAAACTAAAGAGCTTCTGCAGAGCAAAAGAAACTATCGTCAGAGTGAACAGCAGCCTACAGAATGGGAGAAAATTTTTGCAATCTACTCATCTGACAAAGGTCTAATATCCAGAATCTATAAGGAACATAAACAAATTTACAAGAAAAAAACAGCCCCATCAAAAAGTGGGCAAAGGATGTGAACAGACACTTCTCGAAAGGAAAGAAGACATTTATGTGACTGATAAACATATGAACAAAAGCTCAACGTCACTGGTCATTAGAGAAATGCAAATCAAAACCACAACGAGATACCATCTCACTCCAGTTAGAATGGTGATTATTAAAAAGTCAGGAAACAACAGGCTGGCACAGCTGTGGAGAAATAGGAATGCTTTTACACTGTTGGTGGGAGTGTAAATTAGTTCAACCATTGTGGAAAACAGTGTGGCGATTCCTCAAGGCTCTAGAACGAGAAATACCATTTGACTCATTACTAGGCATATACCCAAAGGATTATGTCATTCTGCTATAAAGACACATGCACACATATGTTTATTGCAGCACTGTTTACAGTAGCAAAGACTTGGAACCAACCCAAATGCCCATCAGTGACAGACTGGATTAAGACAATGTGGCACATATATACCATGGAATACTATGCAGCCATAAAAAAGGATGAGTTCATGTCCTTTGCAGGGATATGGATGAAGGTGGAAGCCATCATTCTCAGCAAGCTAACACAGGAACAGAAAACCAAACACCGCTTGTTCTCACTCATAAGTGGGAATTGAACAATGAGAACACATGGCATGGACATAGGGAGGGGAACATCACACAGTGGGGCCTGTCAGGGGGTGGGGGACAAGGGAAGGGAGAGCATTAGGACAAATACCTCATGCATGTGGGGCTTAAAACCTACATGATGGGTTGATTAGTGCCCCAAACCACCATGGCATATGTATACCTATGCAACAAACCTGCACATTCTGCACATGTATCCCAGAACTTAAAGTAAAATAAAAATACGAGAAAAAAAAAAAAAAAGCACAAGGTCAAGTGTAGTGTAACAATAAATAAAACACTGCCCTTGCTCTCAAGCAAACTATTCTAAGACAAAAGTGATGATTGGAGCAAAATGGGGAGCAAAATGCAAGACACCTCCCCAGACTTTTGAGGTGGAGGGGAAGTCAAGGAAACCCACTGAGAGAAAGTGACAGATGTAAATTGAGTCCTGATGCATCCTAGATTTGGAAAAAAAAATTCAATCTTTATAATCCACACACAAAATTAAAGTCAAGGTGGATTAAAAAGCTAAACATAAAAATAATAAAAGTATTAGCCAGGCACGTTGGCTCACGCTTATAATCCCAGCACTTTGGGAGGCCAAGGCAGGCAGATCACTTGAGGTCAGGAGTTTGAGAGCAGCCTGGTTAACATGGTGAAACCTCCTCTCTACTAAAAATACAAAAATTAGCCAGGCCCAGTAATGGACACCTGTAATCCCAGCTACTTGGGAGGCTGAGGCAGGAGAATCGCTTCAATTTCGGAGGTGGAGGTTGTAGTGAGCTGAGATTGCGCCACTGCACTCCAGGCTGGGCAACAGAGTGAGACTCTGTCTCAATAAAAGTAAATAATAAAAGTATTAAAAGAAAATATAGGATAATATTTTATGATCTAAGGTAGAAAAACAACTCAAAACTAAGAATCATAAAGGAGAAGATTGATAACATTGACAAAATAAACGTATTGATAACAGAAGATACCATAAACAAGTTTAAGAGACAAGAGAAAGACGAGGAGAAAATATTTGTCTCATGCATGAGAGCAAAGGATTAATATCCAGATGTCCATGCCCACCAGCCAAAGATACCAGGAAACACACCTGTAGGCAAACAGAGTGGGGTCTGTTACTTGTTGCAACAAGAGAGGCTGAGGACCATGGGCAGCCTGTGGGACAGCTCAGTAAGAGGCAGCTAAGAGGAGATTATTCTGTGAGTTTGGCTTGCGTTAGGTGTTGGAGCAACTTTGTCAGAAAGCCAGAATAATTATTATGTAGGAGGTGGGAGGAATCAAATGGAGTTAAAGGTGTAATTGGTAAAGTATCAGCAGGCACTCATGTTACCTGGGAAAGAGACATTCATGGTCATTTTTGTGATTTGCACAGTGTTCTTGTTTTATCTGTACTCAGATGTGATTACAGAATGGTCATATTTTTATCTTGCCCCATCACAGGAATAACTCAGTCTGATGTTGGTGTTCTTTGAAATAGTTTCTGTTAAGTAGGGAACATCTGGGCCTAGGTCCTAGTTGCAAGCTAGTTCTATTTGACACCTGTCATTTTTTTTTTCTCAAAGACTGTATAAAGATCTTCTACAAATCAATAATAAAACAGTAAACCCAGTGGAAAATTAGGGAATGCTAGCAACAATTGACAAAATAAAAATAAAAATAAAAATTAAATATAGGAAAAGATACTCAACTGTACAACAGGGAAATGCAAATTAAGAGTAAAATGTTAGTAGTCATTTTAATTGGTCCAACCTTTTTGGAGGGCAATTTGGCAATATCTACCAAAATATTAACTGTATATGCCCTTCAACCACGAATTCCATTTCTAAAAATCTCTACACAGAGATTTTTATATGCACATGTATACAAAAAGGAATATTTAGAATACTCATTGTAGCATGTTTGTAACAGGAATAATTAAATCACTATCAAAAGGGAAATAAACTCTGGAAGGGTCAAGTGTAAGTTTCTTAGTTTTATTTAAGAAACTCAGCTATGATGTCTTACAATGTTAGGTTACAAAGTTAAGTCTGAAGAGGTAAAATTTGTGTACTAAGTAAGATTGTTACCTTCTGACTCAAGATGGTAGACTGGTCATATGAATGATCACTTTTCTCTTTCATTGAATGAAGAGTAAAGATGTTTTTAAAAAGTAATTACAGGCTGGGCGCGGTGGCTCACCCCTGTAATCCCAGCACTTTGGGAGGCTGAGGAGGCAGATCACGAAGTCAAGAGATTGAGACCATCTTGGCCAACATGATGAGACCCCATCTCTACTAAAAATACAAAAATTAGCTGGGTGTGGTGGTGTGCACCTGTAATCCCAGCTACTCGGGAGGCTGAGGCAGGAGAACTGCTTGAATCCGGGAGATGGAGGTTGCAGTGAGCTGAGATTGCACCACTGTACTCCAGCCTGGCGACAGAGCAAGACTCCATCTCAAAAAAAAAAAAAAAAAAAGTAATTACAATGTTAAAAAACAACAAACAAACAAAGGATGCTATTGACAGAAATTTCAGTAAATTTCTGGAAAAAAGAAAGAAAGTGGGTGTAAGATGGTCTATGGAACAGCAGAGAAAACTACCAGCCTCTCTGGGAACTGGAGCAAAGATGAGAGTCTGTCTTCCAGAAAAGAAACAGAGACTCTGGGTTCCAAACTCAGAACCTGTGAACATAAGTGGTAAAAGTGGCTCATGGGCCGATTTCTGCTTGAGTAATTAAAGGATGGCCTGCTGGCATCTTTGGGCCAGTTGGTCTCTTCCCCTTCTTCTGATCATATCCAGAAGGCATACATAGAATCCGAGGTACTCACCTCCAGGCTGAATCTCTGAGGATTTTTCACTAAACAAACTGGAGAATCTGCTTTGGGATGCCCTAATTTGGGTAGGAAAGCCAGAAAGAGACACAGAATAGAATCTAAGATAACTCCAGAGCTCCACCATAGCATAGAAAGAAGGAAAAAGGCAGCTCCATTCAGGAAGGAAGTACACAAAAGTCCTCCATACTCTGAGTAAAGCTCTCCTTATTTAAGCAGATCTCAGTTTTGTTGAGATATAATTCACATACCATAAATTCACCTTTTAAAAGTGTAGAAGTCAATGGTTTTTTTGTTTTGAGACTGAGTCTCCCTCTGTCGCCCAGGCTGGAGTGCAATGGTGCAATCTTGGCTTACTGCAACCTCCGCCTCCCAGGTTCAAGCGATTCTCCTGCCTCAGTCTCCCGAGTAGCTGGGATTACAGGCACATGCTACCACACCTGGCTAATATTTTGTATTTTTAGTAGAAGCAGGGTCTCACCATGTTGACTGGGCTGGCTCCAACTCCTGGCCTCAGGACCCTCCCGCCTTGGCCTCCCAAAGTGCTGGGATTACAGGCGTGAGCCACCACACCCGGCAAGTCAGTGGTTTTTAGTAAATTCACAGATAGGTCCAACTGAGAGGTGACAGTGTGCTGGTAGCCCTCGCTTGCTCTTGGCACCTCCTCGGCCTCAGCGCCCACTCTGGCCACTGTTGAGGAGCCCTTCAGCCTGCTGCTGCACTGTGGGAGCCCCTCTCTGAGGTGGCCGAGGCCGAAGCCGGCTCCCTCCGCTTGCAGGGAGGTGTGGAGGGAGAGACGTGGGCGGAAACTGGGGCTGTGCGTGGCACTCGCAGTCCAGCACGAGTTCCAGGTGGGTGCGGGCTTGGCAGGCCCCGCACTCGGAGCAGCCGGCTGGCACCGCTGGCCCCCAGGCAGTGAGGGACTTAGCACCTAGGCCAGCAACTGCAGAGGGTGCGCCGGATCCCAGCACTACCGGCCCACCTGCGCTGTGCTTGAATTCTCGCCGGCCCTCAGCTGTCTCCCCGCAGGGCAGGGCTCAGGACCTACAACCCACCATGCCCGAGCCTCCTCCCCCACCATGGGCTCCCGCGCAGCCTGAGCCTCCCTGACGGGTGCCGCCCCTTCTCTGCGGGGCCCAGTCGCATCAACTGCCCAAGGGCTGAGAAGCACTGGCACATGGCATGGGACTGGTGGGCAGCTCTGCCTGTGGCCCCAGTGCTGGATCCACTAGGTGAAGCCAGCTGGGCTCCTGAGTCAGGTGGGGACTTGGAAAATTTTTATGTCTAGCTAGAGGATTGTAAATGCACCAATCAGCACTCTGTATCTAGCTAAAAGATTGTAAACACACCAATCAGTGCTCTGTGTCTAGCAAATCTAGTGGGGACTTGGAGAACTTTTGTGTCTAGCTAAAGGATTGTAAACTCACCAATCAGCACTCTGTGCCTAGTTCAAGGTTTGTAAATGCACCAATCAGTGCTCTGTGTCTAGCTAATCTGGTGGGGACTTGGAGAACTTTTACGTCTAGCTAGAGGATTGTAAATGCACCAATCAGCACTCTGTGTCTAGCTCAAGGTTTGTAAATGCACCAATCAGCACCCTGTCAAAACAGACCAATCAGCTCTCTATAAAATGGGCCAATCAGCTCTCTGTAAAACAGACCAATCAGCTCTCTGTAAAATGGACCAATCAGCAGGATGTGGGTGGGGTCAGATAAGGGAATAAAAGCAGGCTGCCCCTGCTTAGCGGCGGCAACCCTCTTGGGTTGCCTTCCATGCTGTGGAAGGTTTGTTCTTTTGCTCCTCACAATAAATGTTACTGCTGCTCACTGTTTGGGTCTGCGTTGCCTTTATGAGCTGTAACACTCACCGTGAAGGTCTCCAGCTTCACTCCTGAAACCAGCGAAGTTACCAACCCACTGGGAGCAAAGAACAACTTCGGATGGGAGGAACTACCAACTCCAGATGTGCCATCTTAGGAGTTGTAATCCTCTTGGCGAAGGTCTGCAGCTTCACTCCTGAAGCCAGCGAGACCACGACCCCCCCAGGAGGAAGAAACTTTGAATACGTCTGAACATCAGAAGGAAGGAACTCTGGGCACACTATCTTTAAGAACTGTCACACTCATCGTGAGGGTCCACAGCTTCATTCTTGAAGTCAGTGAGACCAAGAACCCACCAATTCCGGACACACAACTATCACCACAGTCAATTTTAGAACATTTTCGTTGCGTCTAAAAGAAACCATATGTTTTTCAGCTGTCACCTCCTAATCCCTCAATCCTCCCAACACCTGGCAACCACTAATCTACTGTCTTTGTAGACTTGCTACTCGGGACATTTCATATAAACAGAATTACACAGTATGTGGCCTTTGGTGTCTGATTTCTTTCGTTCAGTGTAATGTTTCCAAGACTCATCCATGTAGCATATATCAGTACCCTGTTCCTTTTTATGGCCAAATAATATTTCATTGTAGGGGTGTACCACATTTTTTCTATCCATTAGTTGATGGGCACTTGAGTTGTTTCCACACAGGGCAGATTTTTAAAGCAGAGAACCCCCCAGTTGGCATGCCCCATGCAACTGGCTGCCCCGAGCCTGCCATTCAGGGAAGAGAGGCCTGTTGGAGAAATAGGTTTGTAGGATTGCAGAGGAAAACCATGCTACTTCTTCCATTAAACTCCTGCTTAATTTATAACTATGAATAGATAAAGATCACTAGAAATTTTTTAAAAATCACCAATCAGCATGAAGCAGAAGGAGCAAGATGAAAAACAAACTTGCCCCCAAGGGAAAAACAAGTAATTGAGGAAACATGCATAAGGTAAGATGAGGCTGTGGGCAAGGAGCACAGTCTGGATTTTGCTGATTGCATCCTCTGGTGTTAGTGAACTCATTCTTCCATCCTCTGTGTTTGTAATTCTCTTCATTGCTGGTTGAACCTAGAAGCTTAATCAGATTCAAGGTCTATTTTATTTTTTTGGCAAAACTCACACAAAGGTAGGGGTATGTTCTATCGGGAAAAACATTGGTTGTCTCCTTTTGTGGTGGTAATAGCCGTTGATACTCAGTGCCTAGATTTCATTAATTCATTAGGGGCTTGTATTAATTTAAAGTAATTTCGAAGAAAAATTAATTTTCAAAAGAAAAACTTTTTAAAAATATCTGTCCACTGGTATAGATTATATATAAATTAAAAGAACAAAATATCTGTCCACTGGTATAGATTATATATAAATTAAAAGAACAAAGCTTATGCCAGTTCTAAAATGCTATCAACCTATTTCTCGGTTACAGCAACTGAGCCAGTTTTGGTATAGTCAGGAAACTGCTCTGCAGCTGGCACAGGAGGCAATTGCAGCTGTAGGAGAAGGTGGCAGGTGAGATTCAAATTTTCTCTTTTTGGCATCTAATGTAATATTTTGAATGTCTTTCCTGGATGACAGATGGTTTGTAAGAAGTCTGAACTATAATCTGTAAATATTGTAGATCATGGTTTGCAGCATATGACAGATTAAGACCAGCTTCAACACTGAGTTTAGAGACCCACTCAGAAACCTATTCATTGTGGAATGTCTTATCTCTTCCTTTTAACATTTTCTAACCTGTTTCTTATCTTTATAGTTATAGAGCTCAGTTCAAAAGAGAATATCTTACCTTTTTGAAGTTTTAAGAATATAGATTTTCTTTTTTGTTAATTTGATATGTATATATGTATGTATGTATTTATTTATTTTGAGACGGAGTCTCACTCTGTTGCCCAGGCTGGAGTGCAGAGTGGTGCGATCTTGGCTAACTGCAACCTCCGCCTCCCAGATTCAAGCAATTCTCTTGCCTCAGCCTCCCAGGCAGCTGGGACTACAGGCACACACCACCATGCCCACCTAATTTTTGTATTTTTAGTAGAGATGGGATTTCACCATATTAACCAGGCTGGTCTCGAACTCCTGACCTTGTGATCCACCTGCCTCAGGCTCCCAAAGTGCTGGGATTACAGGCATGAGCCACCGTGCCTGGCCTGGTTTTTATTTTTATCAGAACCTTGCATGCATATAAATAGTCAAATGGTGACTGGGCGTGGTGGCTCATGCTTGAAATCCCAGCACTTTGGGAGGCCAAGGCGGGCGGATCACCTGAGGTTCGGAGTTTGAGACCAGCCTGGACAACATGGTGAAACCCTTTCTCTATGAAATACAAAATTAGCTGGGCGTGGTGGTGCATCCTGTAATCCCAGCTACTCAAGAGGCTGAGGCAGGAGAATTGCTTGAACGTGGGAGGCAGAGGTTGCAGTGTGCCAAGATCACACCACTGCACTCCAGCCTGGGAGACAGAGTGAGACTCTGTCTCAAAAAAAAAAAAAAAAAAAAAAGTCAAATGGTTCTAAAAGGCTTAATGTATTCTATATCCGTATCCCTGATTAACCCCCAAACTCTCTTGTCTAAATATCCTATCAGTAAGTTCAAACATATTTCAACTTCTTTTTTAAAAAAACCCTATTCCCAGGGCTCTGCAACCTGTCCCAGTGTGCATGGTCTTGCGCTGGTTTTACGACACCTCTTTTCTTGGTATCGCCCTTCATCATCATGCTGGAGTCCTTATACCTGTCTTTTGTTCTAGATTCCCTATTTCCTGTACTCCGATCCTTAGTTTACAGCCTTACCATGGTGGCATACCTCCTCCGATAGCTGCTACAGAAAAGGCACGTAGGAGGGAAGTTTTTAGAACCTTTCGTGTTTGAAAATGCTTTTTTCCTACCCTTCCTCTTGATTGTGATGGTTTTGTTGGACAGCACATTCCAGGTTTTGAAGGCGTTGCTCCATTGTCTCCAAACTTCCATACATGCTGCTGACAAATCCAGTATCATTCTGATTTCTTATAGGAAACTTGCTTTTTTCTAACCATGCCCACAGCAAGCTTAGGATTTTCTCTTAATCCCCGGTATTCAATGTGCCTCGCTGTGGAGTTTTTATCTATTGTCCTGGGTCCTAGAGGGCCCATTCATCCTCAACACACATGTCCTTCAGTTTAAGAAAATTATCTTAAATTATTTCTTTCCCCACTTTTTTTTTCTGTTCCTATTTTTGGAACTTCTATTCTTTGAATATTGGACCTGATCTTCTAATTTTCTTCTTTTTCTATTCATTGTCTACTTTCTGGGAGAATTCCTCCACTTTATCTTCTAAACTTTCTACTGAGTTTACCATATCTGCTTCCATGCTTGGAATTGTCTGCAGCTCTTTTTTTGGTCTTTGAGTATTTCTTTATTATTGTGTCTTGTTCATCCTTTTGAGGATATTATAGAATTTTTTAAAGTTCTCTTCTCCCTCCATAGTCTCTATTTACTCCAAAATGCTTTTTCTGTTTGTTAATTTCATATGATATATTTATCTAATCTATGTTCCTTAAATGTCTGTGGACATTGAAGGGTGGGGCACTCGAAAACTGGGAGCCTCATCTGCTTTGATCTCTACAGTTGGAGCATCTGAATGAGCCGTTCTCCTAGGGAACCCCCGTGTCTAAGACTTTTCTTGTAGTTTTGTCAGTGGTCCAGGGAAGATTCTCCTAATTCCTGACTGGAAGTTATACATCTAGTGGGCATCATCCTTGGAGGCATGTGACTGAAAGCCTGGAAGTTTCATCATCCAATGCGTTTAACTTAATCCTCCTAATTTCCACATGGTACATCATCAACCGCTGTGCCTGGCATCTTCCTTCCAAGCATCCCCCCCATCCAGACAACACTCCTCCAGTTTTCTGCCACAGTCATGGTGGGGGGCAGGCTTTGGGATATAGCAGAGAATCCTGAGAATGAATTGCTTCTTAAAATAGGCCTTTCAGTAAAACCTCCCAGTTTTGGCCCCACCTTCACCTCTGCTTCTTGAGTTACCGGGTTCTGTCGCATCCTGAGCCCTCGGGTATGCCACCACGTGAACCAGGGCGCTTCTCAGCTTTCCAACTGCCAGTGTAGGATTCGGCCATTGCAGGTCTGCCGAGCCCCACTACCCACCCATCTGCTGTTCCGCTTGCTCAGTGTGATTTCCTTAGTCTCCGCTGACATGCCCTTTGGTTTTTGCTCTTGTATTCCTAAATAAGACAACATGAAATTGCACTCTTGTTTTTAGTGGGCTTTCATGAGGGAGCAAATGTAAATGAATGTGTTCAATCTGCCATCTTTAGTGGGAAATCTTCCATTTTTCTTTTAACTGTTCTTTTTCTTTTTTTGATTATATGTAGTGGTTTAGTAGGTTTTTCTTAGTGACACTGCTTTTAGATATACTTTCTTTTTTGCCACTAATATGAGGGCCTTGGAAGCAACTTTTAACCTCCTTTGAAAGTCAACTTCAGTATTCATAGGAACTAAGTCATCATTTAAAGATGATACTCGGGAGGCTGAGGCAGGAGAATGGCGTGAACCCGGGAGGCGGAGCTTGTAGTGAGCCAAGATCCCGCCACCGCACTCCAGCCTGAGCGTGAGCGCGAGACTCCGTCTCAAATAAATAAATAAATAAATAAATAAATAAATAATAAAATAAAGATGAATGAGAACCGCATTTATTGAGTGCTTACTGTGTGCCCTCTCCTGTTGTAAGTGCGTTGTCAGGGTCATCTCATTCTATCCTCGTATCTCTGTGCAATAGTTCCTCTTACACGCTCTAGTTTAAAGACAGACACTGAGACCAGAAGTTCAGCCACTTGCAGAAGGTCACCCAGTGGGAAGTGGCAAAGCTAGGCTTTCAACACAGGTTCTCTGATCCCACTGCTGCCTGGTAACCACCACCATCCCCACCAGACCCACCGGTCTTTCTGCTCCCATCCCTTCTTGCATCCTGGACCACTGTCCTACCTGAAGTACATCCTTCAGGTGGATTTCTCAGGGAATGCCTGCTGGAGGCAATTTTGTTGTCTGAAAATATCTTTATTTCACCTTTTTTATCGGAAGATGTTTTCATAGTGTGCATATATAATCTTTGGTTGCAGTTCATTCTCTGTCAGCACAGTGAGGCTATAATCCCACTGTACTCCAGCTTCTTTTCCCCCTCCTACCGCCCTGATCTAGAGCTGCTGTGCAGGGAGAGTTGTGTCCTGCCAGCAGGGAAACACATGTTTCCAAAGAAACATTATGCGATGTCACGGGTTCTATTATCTGTTGCAGTGTCTTTGGGCTGAGAAGCCTGCTTAGCCCGGCATGGGTACCTAAGTAAGACGGGTAACACTGTCTCTGTTGGAAATGCGTCACACATTTTTAAAGCTGAGCGTAATTTTTAAATTAGGTCCTTTTTTGAATGACAGTGTATGCACATATAAAAATCCAAACGTGACAAAGGAATTGTGAGAAAAGGTCACTCTCTTCTCTATTGTATCCAGGTCCCCCAGGCACTCTCCCATGAGGCAGTCATGGTCACTGTCTCTTGGACACCTTCTAGAGGTCACCTGTACATCTATATGCATATATTCCCACTCCCATGAAAGCATACTTCACACTGTTCTGTTCCTTGAATAGATCTCAGAGATCATTCCTTATCAGCATAGAGAGGGCTGCTTCAGCCTTTTTTAAATGGCCACAGAACTTTCCATTGTAATAGGCATACCAGCTGGGCACAGTGGCTCACGCCTCCTTTAGGAGGTCAAGGCAGGCAGATGTTGAGCTCTGGAGTTTGAGACCAGCCTGGGTAAAGTGGCAAAACCCTGTCTCTATAAAAATAATTAGTGGCCAGGCACGGTGGCTCACACCTGTAATCTCAGTACTTTGGGAGGCCAAGGCAGGTGGATCATGAAGTCAGGAGTTCAAGACCAGCCTGGCCAAGATGGTGAAACCCCGTCTCTGCTAAAATTACAAAAATTAGCCAGGCGTGGTGGCGGGTGCCTGTAATCCCAGCTACTCAGGAGGCTGAGGCAGGAGAATCGCTTGAACCCGGAAGGCAGAGGTTTCAGTGAGCCGAAGTCATGCCACTGCACTCCAGCCTGGGCAACAGAGTGAGACCCTGTCTCAAAAAAAAAAAAAAAAAAAGTGTATCACAGTCAACTCAATAATTCCGTATTTAGGTTACTTCTAGCTTTTTGGCAGTTGGTTTTAACAGTTAACTCTTAAAACACTACCCATTCATAAACTGGGCTGCTGTAATGAGATAGATACTTTAATTTCCTTATACAAAAAAGAAGCAAAGCAGAAATTCAGAATAGCTTGTCTGCAGTGAGAGCACATTTTAATGTATCTTTATGGAAAACTGGAGTGAGTTGGGGAGTTATTTGGGTTTATCTTTCAAGATCATGAATATTACAAAATGACTTTATAGTATTTAGTTGGGACAAAAAGTATTTAAAATAAATATCAAAGGCCTAGCATGAAAATAATAGGTAAATTTAGGCTTTGGGCTAACTACATCTAAATTTTGTCATAATGTGTTCCTGATATTTTACATTTTTCACTATAAAAACTATAGCCTTTCATACCTCAAAATTATAAGCTATAGGCCAGGCGCGGTAGCTCATGCCTGTAATCCCAGCACTTTGGGAGGCCGAGGCAGGCTGATCACCTGAGGTCAGGAGTTCAAGACCAGCCTAGCCAACATGATGAAACCCCATTTCTACTAAAAATACAAAAAAATTAGCCAGGCGCAGTGGCGCGTGCCTGTAATCCCAGCTACTTGGGAGGAATAGCAGGAGAATAGCTTGAACCCAGGAGGCAGAGGTTGCAGTGAGCCGAGATCACGCCACTTCCCTCCAGCCTTGGCAACAGAGTGAGACTCCATCTCAAAAAAAAAGAAAAAAAATTATAAGTTACAGACTTTTAAGTACCAGATTCCTTAAAAGTGAGACACTATAAAGTTTTTTCTCAACATTAACTATTACACTAGTTTGCATTATTGTTTCCTGTAAGAAACTCTGAGCACTCGGACCCATGTATTGTTTAGTGAAGAAGTTGTTAACACCGTAATCTCTCTGTTAAGGATGTTTCATGGTGTGTTCATTTTGTCTCCTAGAATCGCATGTGTGAGTGCCCCTAGTGTTTACCAGAAACTCAGAGAGCTGTGCAGAGAAAACTTTTCGATATACATCTTTGAATATGACAAAAGATTTGCCATGTATGGAGAGGAGTTTATTTTCTATGATTACAATAATCCATTGGACTTACCCGAAAGAATTGCTGCACATAGTTTTGACATCGTAATAGCAGATCCTCCCTATCTTTCGGAGGAATGTCTCAGAAAAACATCGGAAACCGTCAAGTACCTGACGCGGGGCAAGATTCTGCTGTGCACAGGTAGGTGCTGCATTTCATATCTCATCAAAGTCACTGACAGTGGCTATTCAGGTCTTCAGGGTCAAGAAAAAATCCTGAGTCCACCACTTCCTGTGTGACTTGTGAACAAGTTATTTAACTCTTTGTGCCCTGGATTCCTTATCTGTAAACTAGGACTGATAATACTCTGCCATTAAGGGTCCTAAAGAATTAAGTGACACAAAGTACCCAACACTGGGTCTGGTGCATGGTGACTACTTGATGAATGTCAGCTGTTACTTTTACATACCATCATCAATACTATCGGTATCTTATCCAGCCTCTACCCTTTATCAAAGAGAAATTTGGAATCTATAGAGTTTAAGTGAATTGCCTGAGGTTACAGAGTAGACATTAGATTGGGTTAATGTAGAAGAGTTTTCTTACTGGCGAGATCGTTATACTTTTTTTCTCTCTGTAACCTCAAACCATTGGGCTAAGCCGTCCTCCCACCTCAGCCTCCCAAGTAGCTGGAACTTACAGGTGTGTGCCACCAAGCTGGGTTTGATACACTTAAGGCAGATATGGTAAAATTCAATAGAGTAAATCTGAGAACTTCAAGGTGGGAGGATTACTTGAGGCAAGGAGTTCTAGACCAGGCTGGGCAACACAGCAAGACTCCATCTCTACAAAAATTTTAAACATTAGCCAGGTGTGGTTGCATGGGCCTCCCCGCCATTTGGGAGATGGAGGTGGTGTGTCTGCAGTTTCTTCCTTCTGATCGGTTCTTGGTCTCACTGACTTGAAGAATGAAGCCACAGACCTCGTGGTGTTACAGCTCTTAAAGGCGGCACCTCCGGAATTGTTTTTTCTTCCTGGTGGGTTCGTGGTCTCGCTGACTTCAGGAAAGAAGCGGCAGACCCTTGCGGTATGTGTTACAGACCTTAAAGTTGGTGTGGACCCAAAGAGTGAGCAACAGCAAGCTTTATTATGAAGAGCAAAAAACAAACCTTCCACACCATGGAAGAGGACAACACCTGGTTGCACTGCTGGCTGCGGGGTGGCCAGCTTTTATTCCCTCGTTTGTCCCTGCCCACGTCCTGCTTATTGGTCCATTCTACAGAGTGCTGATTGGTCCATTTTTCAGAGAGTGCTGATTGGTCCATTTTACAGAGTGCTGATTGGTGTGTTTACAATCCTCTAGCTAGACAGAAAAGTTCTCCAAGTCCCCACTAGACCCAGGAAGTCCAGCTGGCTTCACCTCTCAGTGGGATGATTGCTTGATCTCTGAAGGTCGAGACTACAGTGAGCTCTGATGGTGCCACTGCACTTCAGCCTGGGCAGGGAGCAAGATTGTCTCAAAGAAAAAAAAATTCTGAGAACTGAAACCTTACCAACTGACCCGTCTCTTTATTTCTGGGTACCTGTGGTGTCCACACCCTTGAGTGCTGTTGTGGACGCTATACCCCAGTCCCTCCGGGCCGCGCTTGTCCCCTGGGCACCCTGCTGGGAACAGGGCTGGGCCAGGAGTGGAGCCACGGGAAGCTGTTCTGGTGTTGCAGAGCTGCGTGTGTGGGAAGGGGCGCTCTGTTCGCACAGATGCCGTGGTTGCCTGCACGCTTATTCACTCCGTTGCTTCCTTGAGCTCTCTGCAGTGCTCTGTGCACCAGCAGGCAGCGCTCTGGCCTCATGGAGTGTGCATTTTAGTTTCAGGGGATACTTTTAAAAAATAATAATAAAATAGACTAAAGGCTGGAAGCACTAACTCTGAGAAGAGTAACAGAGACCCAGGGATCTGCACTTTGCCCCAGGGACCTGAGGGGTCAGGAGCCACGGCCACAGCGGCCCGGGAGGGCAGAGTCGGGGCAGGAGGCCCCCAGTGCCTAACAGGGGACCGTGGGCATTGGGGTTTTCTTCAGAAGCCCAAGGCGACGGGACGCAACTTGTCTGAAGACGTAAGACGTTCGCTTTAACTTGACCGAGGTTTTGGGGCACGTGGACCTGGGCACCGCGGGCTGTTGCTGCACCCCAGGGAGGGCGGTGGCCTGCAAGGAGGGCAGGGCAGGGGCGTCAAAGAGATACTTTGAAGATGAAGTTGAGAGAGCTTGCTGTATTTGAGTGTGGAGGGGAAGAGAGGAGAGGAATCAGGGCTGTGGATGCCACCTCCTGTGGGGATGTCGCAGGGGAGCTGGCTGTGCGCTGTGGGCCCAGGGCGGGGAGAAATTGGGAGCAGATGGCAAAAGGGAGTGGCAATACATTCGCACCTGTGTTTGCAAGATTGGATATTACTGAAAAAGGCTCTTGGCTCAACGTTGGGAAATGTAGTTTTTAGTAATTATTTTTGCTTTCCATATGTGTGTATATATATATAGTACGTGTGTGTGTGTGTGTGTGTATAATCTGCTTCTAAATTTCTAAGTGTCTCGGCTTTGCAGAGGTAGGAAAATAATTCATTCAATAAAAAAGACATGGAAAAAAGTTGGTAAATTGCAAAAATATTGGAGAAGGTGAAAGGGAATGTAAAGAACACTCGCTCCCTCCCCCCACTTGTGAATTGTCAACTAATTGCCACCGGTGGTCCGCCTAGAGCCCCTCTCACAGCTCAGGACGCACTGAGCTCCGGCTGGGTTGTCACTCTCTGGATTCATTTGCTTTGTTCTCTTCAGGTGCCATCATGGAAGAACAGGCAGCAGAACTCCTTGGAGTGAAGATGTGCACGTTTGTTCCAAGACACACCCGGAACTTGGCAAATGAGTTTCGCTGTTATGTGAATTATGATTCTGGGCTGGACTGTGGGATCTGATTACAGACGGTGACATAACACAGGAAGGAACCCTGTCACATTCCTCTTTTTGTATTTTCGTAGTAGATTTAAAAGTTATAATCTCTTCCCCTCCCCCCAAACTGGAGCTGTCCCTGGCCTGGTTTTCAAAATAAAGTGTGCGATCTTCATTATTGTTTCCTTAGGGAGGGCGTCCCTAGAGCTCAGTCTTCTGCCAACCTGAATCCATGGAATTCGAGTTGGAAGAAACCTTAGAATCTGCCTGATCTTCTCTCCTCATTTAACATGTGTAAAAACAGAAGAACAGTTGTGTGGCTTGCCCAAGGGCTCCTGAATGAGACAGGACCTTGGCCTCTGCCTCGGGCCAGAGCAGTCTGGTAGCATCCTAGGGCTTGTGAGGAACCCCACCCCCATGTCCCACCCCAGCCCTCCAAGGAGACAGACTTGCCTCCATGCAAAAAGGCAATAATCCAGTAACTAGCGTCTGAATGCCTCTTAGAGCTCTCCTCCTCCTCCAGGTTCTAGGTGGGCTGCGAGGGATGACAGGTGCCCAGGTGCCCTCCCTGCGTGGCTCAGACTCAGCACCCTCCCTCTGAACTGCCTGAGAAAATGAAAGACCCATCTGTAAACCAAACACCAGGACCAAAAAATGGAGCTGGGACGAGTGTGCTAGATTCTCACCGTTCAGAAAATATTCCTCTGTACATACCCCAGAGGATGTCTCAACAATCAGAAGTGAACACACAGCATGGCTGGGTCTCGAGGGCATCACGCTGAGTGAAAAAGCCGCTCCGCAGAGGTCACACACTGGATGTTTCTAGGTATGACAGTCCCAGGGAGGAGAGATTCGTGGGTGCAGGGGGAGCATCAGGATGGGGCGAAGGGGATGGGCGGGCCACAAAGGGGAGTTCTCCTTGGTGGTAGCTTGTTCTTTATCTTGTCTGTGGTGGTGGCTTCATGAATCTGCATGTGGCAGCATTGCATAGAACCACACACACACAGAGATGAGCTCGCGTGAAACTGGTGAACTTGGAATGGGATCTGTGGGTTGAGCCAGTGTCCATTTTCTGATTGTGACACTGCACTATAATTATGTAAGATGTTACCATTAGATAAACTGGGTGTAGGGCATAAGACCTCTCAGTATATTTTTGCAATTTCCTGGGAATCTACAATCATTTCGAAATAAAAACTTTCCAAAAAATTAATGTCCTCCTTCTAGGAAAGGATTATACTTCCCCACCTCATAAGACTTGCTTTGGCCAACAAAATGTGAAAGGAGGCAGGGTGCTGTGGTTCATGCCTGTAATCCCAACACTTTGGGAGGCCAAGGCAAGCATGGATCACTTGAGTCCAGGAGTTCGGGACCAGCCTGGGCAACATGGTAAAACTTTGTCTCTACCAAAAATACAAAAAAAAAAAAAATTAGCTGGGCATGGTGGCACACTCCTGTAGTCCCAGCCACTTGGGAGGCTGAGGTGGGAAGATCACCTGAGCCCAAGAGGGCGAGGCTGCCGTGAACCGTGATGTGCCACCGCACTCCAGCCTGAACGACAGAGCCAGACCCTGTCTCAAAAACAAGAACAACAAAATCCCAAAATGTGAAAGGAAGTGATGTGTCATTTCCAACCTCTGGCTGTGAGTGGAGCAGGGCCACTGCCCATCTACCAGGGATGCGAGGAGAGCCAGGAATGAGCCTGTGTCATTGAACCATGGGCTCATTACCCACTGGAGCAAAACCCAGTTTGTCCTGACCGAGCCAGAGAGGAGGCCTGGGTCAGGGAAGCCTGGAGGACAGGCCTGGTCTTTCTTGCTGTTTCTTAGCCCTCGGCTGCCCGACTTCTGGACAACTTTTAATTTACTTTAAAAATCACTCTTTTCGGCGTGGTGGCTCACACCTGTAATCCCAGCACTCTGGGAGGCTGAGGTGGGCGGATTACCTGAGGTCAGGAGTTCAAGACCAGCCTGGCCAACGTGGTGAAACCCTGTCTCTACTGAAAACACAAAAATTAGTTGGGCATGGTGTTGGGCGCCTGTAATCCCAGCTACTCGGGAGGCTGGAGCAGGAGAATCACTTGAACCTCAGAGGCAGAGGTTGCAGTGAGCTGAGATTGTGCCATTGCACTCCAGCCTGGGCAACAAAAGCAAAACTCAATCTCAAAAAAAAGAAAAAAAAATCACTCTTTTTATGAGACATTGGTATTTTTATCAGTGTACAAGCACCTGGCCTTTGTTAAGTTTTCAATAAGTGTTCTTTAAAAAATAACCCCTACCTTATTATTTCCATATGTGGTTTGCTCTGTATGTAATTTGTTACATTGTAGTAACAAGTTATGTACAGAAATGCCATGTTTGACTTAGGACCTGTGGGAGAGTGGTAGTCTAGAAATGACAGACTTGTAGTTGTCCTATGAATCCAGCGGTTAGTTAAAGAGAAACCTTATTTTTTCACAGGAGGTGAGGGAGAGAAGGGACAAAGTTGGATTCCTCTCAAAAAATGTACAAACATTGTAAGTTAGGAGGCTTAAGCAATGAGGTGAAGGCATTTTTTGTTTAATAAGCAGCCAACGTGTTTCATGGCTTTGGACCCTGGTGTGATTTTGATTTTAGCAAACCTGTGTTCATATATGATCCACTTCTAGGTTTCATAAAAGGCCATCTATACCTCTGCAGCCTTATATTTTAAAAAACACACTAGGTCTGGTATATTCCTTTGGGCAGTTAATGAGGTGGGAGGCGTCGGGGCTGGGTGATACCCACGGTCAGTCATGCCGTCTGGAACCCCCAAGGCTCCCTCACCTCCTGTACCTTAGTAAAGCACTGCAGAGGTTAAAAGGAATGTTTTAATCCACGTCTTTTTAAGTCCCTCCTGATTAGTGGGAAGGGGTAGAAGAGTAATTTCTGTTTTGCTAACAAAATTCCAGCACTTCTCAGAAACTCTTCAGATGCGTGTCTGGGGTGAGGAGGGCCTGAACAGCAAGAAGAGATGAAAGGCAGGGGGAACTTTAAGACCCCATTTCAGATGGGGGTTCTGTACTCTTTCTCCTTTCATTCCTTCCTAAAATCAGAGCTGGCACCAGTTACTAAAAATGACCATTTCCCCCCTTTGCCCTGCTGGAAGAGATGCGGTAAGACATAATGAGATAACTGGCCCCTGACTGTGGAACTGTTGGTATTTGCAGAGTGTTTTTGGATTTCTGTTCCCAAATGATTCCATTTTTGTAGAACAAGTATATAATTGAAATACTGTCAGTTGGAAACGATCTTCAGTAACCAGCAAAGCACCTCCATTCCAAAGGTTGCCACAGAATCCTCCAGGTAGAATTCATGTGAAGGAAACATGCACTTTTCTGGGAGGAGGGGAAGAAGCTCTGAAATGTACAATATCATGTGTTGCCCCTCCACAAATCCTGGGAATGAAAGGCATGGAGGGAAATGTGTGAAATAAACCAAGTGGATCTGGGAGCAGGGAGGGAGATGTCACTGAACTTTGGCTGGCACAGTTTATCTAGCCAGTAAACCTCCTTATTTGTTTGATAAAACACAATACCAACCTCCCATCTCTGCAACACCCCCCCCCCCACCAAAAAAAACCCTTCAGTTTTAGCAAGAGAAAAAAATTTTGTCCCAAGAAGATCTTGTTATTCATTGAAACAGTACCTTCCCAAGCTTAGCCACCACCTCTAATTTCAACATACTGTATTTAAATGCTGCTGCCCAGTTAAAGTTCTAGATTTTGTTTTATTTGTTTATTATTTTACTTGTCAGTTATTATTATTATTATTTGAGATGGAGTCTTGCTCTGTCACCCAGGCTGGAGTGCAGTGGCACGATCTCAGCTCACTGCAATCCCCGCCTCCTGGGTTCAAGCGATTCTCCTGTCTCACTCAGCCTCCTGAGTAGCTGGGATTACAGGCGCCCACCACTGCGCCTGCTAATTTTTGTATTTTTAGTAGAGACAGGGTTTTTGTATTTTTAGTAGAGACCATCTTGGCCAGGCTGGTCTCAAACTCCTGACCTCGTGATCCACCCGCCTTGGCCTCCCAAAGTGCTGGGATTACAGGCGTGAGCCACCGTGCCCAGCCTTTTTTTTTTTTTTTTTGAGATGGAGTTTCACTCTTGTTTTCCAGGCTGGAGTGCAATGGCATGATCTCGGCTCACTGCAACCTCTGCCTCCTGGGTTCAAGTGATTCTCCTGCCTCAGCCTCCCAAGTAGCTGGGATTACAGTTGCGCGCCACCACGCCCAGCTAATTTTTTTGTATTTTTGGTAGAGATGGGGTTTCACCATGTTGGTCAGGCTGGTCTCCAACTCCTGACCTCAGGTGATCCACCCACCTCAGCCTCCCAAAGTGCTGGGGTTACAGGTATAAGCCACTGCACCCGGCCCAGCGATTTCATTTTAAACTTACCTTTCATACAAAAAAAAAAGTCACTTGTAAGTGACAGATGCCTCCTAAAGCGACATAACAAGTGACTTTTTTTTGGTATAAAAGATAAGTTTAAAATGCAGAAGGCTTAGCTTGATGTTTATTTTCAATGTGGCTTATGAATGACTGCAGTGCAATGATGTGTCCCTGTCCACACGTGTTCATGTGTGCCAGGCACTGTGCCAGGCACTTTACCAACAGTGTTGAATCCTCACAGGGTGGGCGCTGTGACCTCATTTCACACGGAAGGAAAATGAAGCTTAGTGAGGTGAAGGGAGCAGGTTCATAGAGCGGCACTCAGGTGCGAGGCGCTTGAGCAGCTTTGCCATTTCATCATTTTAGTGGAGGAGGGAGGCTGTCTCGCTTACTGCCGCCTTGCAGGAGCTGGGTGACTAGAACCAGGCAGGTGCCCAGTAGATAGTCACTAAGCGGATGAATGTACGGTACAGAGAAAAAACACAGGCTGCCTTTCTCGATCTTCAAATGGAAAGCTCATTTCTTCTGTTAGGAATGTGCTACCTTTTAGCAAGCTGAGGTTAAACTAATAATTAATGCAGTGAATAAAATCATGACATTTTCCCCATGCAGATAGTTTCCTCTCCTTGTGTGCCCTTCCTCCAACGCTTGCACTGTTTATATTTGAGGAGTGACCTGGAAAGTGTTACACAACAGCAGCGATGACGGAAAACACACCTAAGTTGCTGCTTTAAAAGGCAGTTCTGGGCCAGGCGCGGTGGCTCACGCCTGTAATCCCAGCACTCTGGGAGGCCGAGGCGGGCGGATCACGAGGTCAGGAGATCGAGACCATCCTGGCTAACACGGTGAAACCCCGTCTCTACTAAAAATACAAAAAACTAGCCGGGCGAGGTGGCGGGCGCCTGTAGTCCCAGCTACTCGGGAGGCTGAGGCAGCAGAATGGCATGAACCCGGGAGGCGGAGCTTGCAGTGAGCCGAGATCGCGCCACTGCACTCCAGCCTGGGCAACAGAGTGAGACTCCGACTCAAAAAAAAAAAAAAAAAAAAAGGCAGTCCTTTTTAATGTATGGATTTGTGTTGTTGTTGCTGTGGACCTTCTGGTTCCTGGACAGGAATGTGTTCTAGACTTACCACCACCAGAGGATCCCTTTTCTTCCCCCAGAGGTTGAATGGGGAAGTGTAGTCTGTGGAGCTATTCATAGCTACTGCTTTCCATTTTGAATTTTTTATTTGGACAGTGTGGATTTGCTCAGTGATGTGTTTTTCATGCACAATTTCTGTCCATTTTAGTGGGAGCTGAAAGTCTCTGAGTGACCCATTCATCTGGATCAGACCAAGGCTGCCAGTCGGTCTTTCTGTGGTAGCTGAAATTTGGGAGTGAAATGCATGTGAATAAAGGACATTTCCTGGTCTTGGGGGTGTCACAAAAGATCCAAGACATTGACCTTACCTGACTAGTTGATCTTTCTAAGACCAAATCAAATCTCGATGAATTTAAACCTCAAGATAAAGTGAAGACCTTAGGTAACATATGATTTCCTCTAACAATTAGTCTGGCCCATCAAGCAGAATTGAGATAAATACACACAGCCAGTGTATCCTTCAGCAAGCCTCTTTTAATGATTTAAAAAAGAACTACTAACTTTTACAAATAATTGTGTTCAGAGACAGACTTTCAATCTAAAGAAAAGATCAAGGACCTAGCTCTCGTGGCAGAATGCAGAAACAGAAGCCTCCAGATTGATCTCTGCAGATGCTAACGTGGCCCACTTTGTCCTCATATTCAGCCTGATCCTAAAGCCCTTACAACTAAGCCAATACCTGCTTGGATTCTTCTGACAACTGGCAAAGATGTCACGTTCCACTTCTTATCTCACCACCTCTTAACCACAAATTGGCCCCAGTGGCTTTCAAAAGGGGGAAAAAATTGTGCGAGTTTGAGACTGTTTATGTATTCATGACTAAAACCAAATCTGAGATCTTTGGAACTCTTAGCTGGCCCTGGGGCATGCGAGCCGCCTGTGCATCCCTTTGGTCCACCTGGAGGCCCGTGAAGACCTTCAGTGGAAGGAAGAGTGGGTCAGATGAGACGTGTCCATTTCATCAGTCAGCCATCGGTGACAGGCTGAATTCAGAGACCCAGGCCAGAGTGTACCAGCTACAAAATTTATCCAAGGATTCCAATTATGCTTTAAAAAATTCTACCAGAAGAAGTAAAAAACGATGTTTATATGTTAAGAAATGTAACAGAGTAGCTCTCATTTGATAATATAAAATAGCTCTGCCTCTATTCAAAACAGTTGATTTTAAAAGTAGGTATATAGTCGCTATACTTATTATTATTTTTAGATTGCTTTAAAAAGCATATGCGTCCCTATCTCTTTGGCAAGCACCCAGCGGTGAGTCACGCCCTGCACCCGCAGCAGCCGATCTGAGAGGCTCCTCAGGGAGCCTCCGTGAACTTTTCCAAACCCTCCATGCGGGCCGCACACAGGATGCCCGTGCCGGGTCGTTTCCCATCAGCTTCCAGCCACGCTGCTTGCTTGTAGCTAAAAGCAAGCCAGGGATGCCCGTGTCAGATGAAGCTGCTTACGAGTCTCCATGGAAAGGCGGCGCTGGTGCTCCGGCACTTGGTTTGCTCGGTGCACTCTCTTCAGAGGTCGCCGACCGAGCCCTCCAGGCGGCTCCAGCTTGGGCGCCTCGGGATGCGGGCCGGGGAGACCTCCCGGGGCAGGACCGGCCTCAGGGGCCAGCGGGCGCGTCGTTGGGGCCCAGCAGGAGCTTGGCGCCCTGTTTGTCGATGCTGGAGTTGATGCTGTCTGCGTCCTTCTCCGGCTCGGGGACGCAGGTGCAGCCCACGGGGATGGTGACGTAGGCCTCGGTGTAGACGGAACGGCCGCCGGCGCAGGCGGGGGTGCGGCGCAGGACGACGGTGGGCATGTAGACAGGGGCGCTGCGGAAGCGCACGTCCTCCTCGCCGAACAGCCCGGTCAGGCAGCCCCGGCACAGGCAGTAGGCTTCAGGCAGGTACCTGGGGTACCTCGCCGGGTCGTAGGAGATTCTGCAGGGAGAGAGCACGGGTGAGGTCACGCCTGGGGGCAGCCCCGCGCCGCGCGCTGAAATCCCTGGTTAGAGTCACCGGGGAGGGCCTCGGGGACTGTCCTGTCCTCCGCCTGCGGGCGCGTGCGTGCGAGGCCCCCCGCCGACAACAGATCTGCCCGGCGCTTCCTTACATTTGAAATGACGGCACATCTAGCCAGCCCTGAGCCAGGCCGGAAAACTACTTCCAGAGTCTGGGCTAATGTGCGCAGAAAAATAAAATCTATGCCGCCTGCACGGGTGCCCACAGGTGCCACCAGAACAGAATGAGGCGCCCTGTCTGCCTAGGGCCCCGGAGCCGCTGCTTCCCGCCGGCAAGGCTCTGCAGACCCCGAGGGGAGCGTCCACCTGGGGCCTAGGCTGGGGGCAGGTAGGGCGGGTTTCAAGGACAGGCTTGGGGCAGGTCTAGAGAAAGAGGGGCTGGGGGCGGACAGTGCTGACTGGGCCGGGAGCCAGAGGCCTGCAGGGCTCCCACGGGAGTGAAGGACAAGAGCTTTCTCCATCAGGGAGATTTGGTGCCAAGTGCCAGCTCTCAGTGGCCTGTGAGGTTCGGGGGCTCAGGAAGGCATAGGATCCTCTTCTTCCGTTTGTGTCTGAGGGACTAGAGCACGCCTGGGAGGTGAAGAGTCTAGAAATGGTGTGTTCTCGCCATTGGAAATGGATCCAGTGCCACCTCCGTGCCAGGACCTAAGGAGGGAGTCTGCCGGGGGAGGGGGGGGGGGGTTGGGAGGGAGGTGGTCTGGTGTAGGAAGAGCCCGAGGCCACCGGCCAAGCTGCCATCAGAGGAAGCCGGTGACTGACACAGGACTGCACCCAGCCACCTCTTGTGCTTGCGGAACCCCAGAGGGACATTTCCAAGCACTAGTCCACTGTTTGAATGTGGGGGATGAGGTCGGACAGAAAGTCAGCAATGACTCCAAGGCTTCCAGTCGGGGTGGCCAGAGGATGGGGCAGCGCAGGGATCAGGAGCTTGGCCAGGTGGCCTTGCTGGCAGTGGAGCCGCAGAGGTGGGAGCCCAGGGTGAAGGCACCGGAGAGGGCAGTGGGGACCGCCTGCAAAATGAACAAGTTGTCTCTGAAGCAAAAACAAAAAAGCACAATCTGACTTCATTTATTCATGCTTCCCTCCAACATACCAAATAGTTGTAGAATTTTTTTCCACAGGTCTCATGTCAAAGCATAGGGTCAAGGGACAGTCACCACTAGGAAGTACAACGAGAAAGAGTGTCCCTCAGATGGAATTTTAGAAAGATCCCTCAGACTATTGGGGGGAAGATGGGCTGGAGCCGCAGAGGGAGCTCTTGGCTGAAGGCAGAGTTTTAAGTTGTCCACCGATAGATGGTGGTTAAATAAGATGATAGTCTCCGGGGGCACATGGAGGGAGAACAAATAGAGGCAGAGGAGAGCAGAGTACACCGACTTCCCGGGGAGAAGGCTGATGGTGGAGACTGGGTGCATCCTCAGTCCACGAAGGGCAGAGGCTTGAGGGGGCTGGGTCAAACCTGAACTTGAACCTGATGGAGCCAGGCTACCAGAAATAGAGAGAAATGACACTATGAGGACGTGACCAACAAAGGACGGAATGTAGGAAACTTGATATATCCCGTGTTGTTCCAGGAGAAAAACAAGAGGGAGGGAACCTACACGAGCGCCTTGAGTAGAGGAACACAAGCCGGGGGTGTCCTGGCTGGGCCCACACCTGCCGTCCTGGCGCAGTGACATGAAGCCAGCCACTTCCACTCCCAGTATCACCACCTGCACAATCATTTATCAAACACATGCAACCCAAACTCGGGGACATTCCACAAAACGAGTGGCTGCTGGAGGTTGGATCCTAGGGCAGAAAGGGGCATTTGTGGACCCCCTAAAGAAGGCCTGCGGGGCAGATAATAGTGTCGTGTCTGTTCATTTTCCGATCTCAGCATTTTGCTGAGTGATGATGCTGACATTTGGGGAACCCAGGTAAATGGTATATGGGAACTCGTCCTAATTTCACAATAGTTGTGTTAGTTTGAAATTATTTCAAAATGAAGTATTAGAAAATAGAGAAAATCATTTATGGGACAATACAGAAATTTGACCGTGAACATGAGTGTGAGCATGTGTGTATGGCAGGTGTGTGGGTGTGTGTGGGCAGGTGTGTGTGAGCGAGGCAAGTGGGTGTGGTCAGGTGTGAGTGTGGGAAGCTGTGAGCATGGGCAGGTGTGTGGGCAGATGGGTGAGCGTGGGCATGTGTGTGAGTATGGGCAGGTGTGTGTGGGTGAGTGTGGGCATCTGAGTATGGGCAGGTGTGAGTGTGGGCAGGTGTCTGAGCGTGGGCAGGTGTGGGGGTGTGTGTGGGCATGTTTGGGCAGGTGCGTGTAAGCATGGGCGTGTGTGGTGAGTGGGCAGGTGTGGGTGTGGGCATCTGTGAGTGTAGGCAGGCGTGCGTGATGGGCAGGTGTGCGTAAGTGTGGATAGGTGTGTGGATGAGTGTGGGCAGGTGTGCGAGCATGGGCAGGTGTGAGCATGGGTAGTTGTGTGTCAGCATGGGCAGGTGTGTGTGGGCCAGGTGTGTGAGCACGGGTGTCTGTGTGGGCATGTGTGAGCATGGGCATGTGTGGGTGTGTGAGTGGGCAGGTGTGTCTGAGCGTGGGCAGGTGTGTGGAGGCAGGTGTGAGCGTGGGCAGGTGTGTGTTGGTGTGTGAGCATGGGCGGGTGTGTGAGCACGGGCAGGTGTGTGTGAGTGTGGGCATGTGTGTGGGTGAGGGGGCAGGTGTGTCTGAGTGTGGGCAGGTGTGTGTGGGCAGGGGTGAGCGTGGGCAGGTGTGTGTGGGTGTGTGAGCATGGGCGGGTGTGTGAGCACAGGCAGGTGTGTGTGAGCGTAGCCATGTGTGTAAGTGGGCAGGTGTGTGTGAGCGTGGGCGTGTAAGTGGGCAGGTGTGTGTGAGCGTGGGCATGTAAGTGGGCAGGTGTGTGAGCGTGGGCCTGTGTGTGGGGGGCAGGTGTGTCTGAGTGTGGGCAGGTGTGTGGGGGCAGGTGTGAGCATGGGCAGGTATGTGTGGGTGTGTGAGCATGGGCGGGTGTGTGGGTGGGGGGTAAGTGTGTCTGAGTGTGGGCAGGTGTGTGGGGGCAGGTGTGAGCGTGGGCAGGTGTGTGTGGGTGTGTGAGCATGGGCGGGTGTGTGAGCACGGGCACGTATGTGTGTGAGCGTTGGCGTGTGTGTGTAAGTGGGCAGGTGCGTGTGAGCGTGGGCATCTGTGGGCGTGTGTGTAAGCATGGACAGGTTGCGTGCTCACACGCACGCGGCATGCAGCAGGCTGGAGTCATGGTGAGCTATTCGAGAGGTGCACAGGAGCCCTGGAGACCACAGCAGTTAGTCTGTATGTGATCTTGCTCCTGGAAACTCATGAAGGGCACCGGGCAGCTGCACACACGTGAGATGTGGTTTTGGAAAGGCTGTCAGAACAGTACCGAGGATGTGCCGCAGGAAAACCAAAGGCGGGCGGGCGGGTCAGGCATTCCTCTGTGGACTCAGTCTCTTCACGGGTGGGGTGAGTGACGTGAGGGCATCGCCCGGCCCTCTGAGTTCTCGTCACCTGGGACTGGTCTTTCCGTGCCCTCGGTATGTAGGTAACTGCTCATATTTCACCATCGTTTGGGTTCTTCATGAACAACTGTCACTCAGGCGTCACCCCCGGTAGTTTTGTAGGTGATAACTGACAGTCACTTGGATGCGGTGAGGGTCAGAGTTTCATCCGCCTAAAAATATACAGCGCAGCCCTGCACTGGACTTGGGACTGAAATTGCCCCCGCCGCTGGGATGCCTCTGGGCTAAGTAAGGCCTCTGACAAGACACCTCCCCCCATGGCTGCGTGGGCCATGGGAGATCAGAGGCATGAACAGGGGCGGGTTTCAGGCAGTTCTCTCACAATGGGAAGGTGCCGCTAAGGGGGGTGCCGCGCATCTACCATGCCCTGCTGCCCAGGGCGCGGGGGCTTGAGGCCTGCAGTCCCAGAGAAGCAGAAAGACAAGGCCTGTGCCTTTGGAAGGATCCAGCGGGGGCCTGGGAAAGAGGTCATGAGAGAAGCCCTAGGGCCCTCGCTGGCACAGACTCAGAGCTGAAGTCCCTCACCCCAGCCTCCTGCCTGCAGTCTGGGGACATCAACAGCTAGGTGTGCTTTTCGGTTAAGGAAAGCTGCCACCAAAAAGAAACAGCAAGAAACTGCAACGGGAGCCTTTTCTCTTACCAAACACGGACAAGCAACCGAGCAGAGTTCTGCCCTGTGCCGCGCCTCCTGTGGGCAGTCATTCTTTTGTCTTCACATTTTCTGCGTGCTGCTCTGCAGAAGCTTGGCACCAGGGCATTCTTGAAACACATCAAGTTTTCCCCTCTGATGGGATCGCAGAAGTGTCCCTGGCCACGTGGGAAGCTTGGCTTGAGCGAGTGACAGGTGGCCCGGCTTAATCCAGGAACAAAGGACGAGTCCTCCAGGGATGATTAGAGGTGATGGAAACTGAGCTGGGAGAGGAATGTAAGTGACAGCAGAGACAGAAAAAGAGCCCTGCCCCTGGGGCCGGACGCGGTAGGAAACAATTTGAAGCGGCTCCGGAGCTCTGAAAACAATGAACACATTCCGAGGGAGGATCGGGCCACCTGATGTGTCCTCTAACTGATGCCCAAGGATAGCTGGGGCGCTGGTTGGCACACGCGCCTTGATGTGGCTCACCCTCCCACCTTGCAAAACATGAAATGATTTCAGAGCAGCAGGGGCTCAGGATGACTGTTTATCTCACAGCAGTTGAAAGACCCCATCCCAGGAACAAAGTGGGGGCAATGCCTTCTCCAATCTTGGCTAGAACCCACAAGCACCGAAATGTGTCCGTGGAGACAGCCTGCCTCGGTAGCGTGGCTCGCCAGATCCGAAGGTCAATGAGTTCAACCCAGCAGACTCTCTTAAAAGGGGAGGATGCAGCCATTAAGAGTCTGGGACCTAAAACTGTAGCCCAACTTAGTCACCACCCAGTAACCTTGGGCAGAGAACTCCACCTTGCCTGGTTCTTTGCAAAGTGAAGGAGATGGATTTGATGAGCACTTCCCACAATTTCCTAACGGCAGGACTGATCATGTGACATTTTCACCAATGTTTTATGCTTAGAAAAGACACTGGCAATACATTGAGTCTCTAAGGTCTTGGAAAATTCCAATTAATCTATAAAGTCAGTGCAATTCTAACGAAATCCCAGAAAGATTTCTCTGAGAACTTGGCAAGCTGATCCTAAAATTCATAGAGAGAGAAGAAAAGGGCCAAGAATACTCAAGACAATTTTGAAAAAGAAATGAGGGGGCAGACTCACGCCAGCAGATCTCAAGACGTTATACAACCATGGTAATACCAAGACATCCGCCGTCCTCTGGGGACACTGAGGGACATGTAGCATCCCTCTCCAAGAGCTGAGAGTCCTGTGAAAAACACTAACCTTTGCAAGAGATAAGAAGGCGGCATAAACAAGATTTCCAAAATGTGGTTTTCAGACCACCGGCATGAGGCCTATATGGGACTCCTGTTAAAAGTGTCGATTCTGGCCGGGCGCGGTGGCTCATGCCTGTAATCGCAGCACTTTGGGAGGCCTCTTGAGCTCAGGAGTTTGAGACCAGCCTGGGCAACAGTGAGACTCTATCTCTACAAAAAATACGTAAAAGAATAAAAATGAGCCAGGCGTCGTGGTGCGTGTCTGTAGTCCTAGTTCCTTAGGCTGAGATGGGAGGATCCCTTGAGCCTGGGAGGTCGAGGCTGCAGTGAGCCATGATCACGCCACTGCACTCCAGTCTGGGTGACAGAGTGTAACTCTGTCTCAAAAAAATAAAAACAAAAAAAGATGTATAGATATATCTATATTTCAAAATAAAACTTTTAAGTTAAAAAAAATTTTTAATGCAAATTCTCAGACTTAACACTACATCCAAGGAGTCGGAAGCTCTCCACACTAACAAGCTGTCCAAGTGATCTGTTTCACTCATTTAAGCTGGGGAGTCACTGATTCAAATGAATCAGCAGAAACCCATTTCTGGCTGCACAGTCAACAACGTAAGCGCTATCCCTAAAGGCTAGCTAGCCATTGGCTAAGCTCGGATCTATCTATCGATTTGCAGCTGATGGCAAACAACTGGATGATTGCATTTCCCAAGTGGGTGTGAATTTCATGACCATACCGGCCCAGGACTTCTACATTTCCTCTAATGAGTACATAAGGTCATTATTAACCCAGTAAGCAATCAGTGTTGCCAATGGGATGGCTTCCCTGGAGGCACACAAATGAGCTTATAAAAAATAGTAATCAGTGTCCCCCCCACCCCCAGAGATTCTGATTCAATTGCTCTAGAGTGGAGCGGGGGGCTGGTCTTTTTTAAAACCTCCCCAGATAATTCTAATAGACAGCCCTGGTATAGACCAGTTGGTCTCTATGTTTAAGAGAAGTAATGAGTCACGAAGACAGGTTTGTGTTAGCCTTCCGATCTCTCACTTTCCCTTTGGAGCAAGCCCAGCAGCTGGGAGGGGGAATGGTTTTGAGACCACAGGGGAAGGAAGGGGCAGGACCACCACATTGGAAGCACTATGTGCAGCCAGGACGGCTGTGGGGCCAGGGCCGGGTATAGTAGGGCTCTGGTGGCTGGCCAGGGAGTAACTGGAGACCACAAACAGCTTCCCTGTTGCCAAGCCATGGCCAGCAGACCCATCAGCTCCACCCTCCTTCCATGAGCTAAGGCCCCAGGGAGCCAAAGATCTTCAATATGTGCTGCCAAGAAGCTCTGAAAAATGCTTTTCTGGCCCCCACAAGAAAACATCAGTCGTGCATTTCTCATGAAACAGGACATGGAAAAATCAGCCTGGGATAGCAATGAGGTCTGCCCAGGGCACGGATCCCCACTGGCTTCCCCAGGCCAAGGAGAACTAGCGGTCAGTCCTGCCCTGTCTGGGTACTGAGGTTGACTTTGGTGCAATCCTGAACTTAACATCAAGGTCAGGGCTCCAGAATGAACCCGGCTCCTCTGCCAACTGAGCTGGCTCAGGGCTATTAGGAAAAAGAAGGCTTAGCCTGCCCACCCTCTCCTCTCACTCGTGAGGAAACTGAGGCACCAACAGAGTAGCGGACTTGTCCAAAGTCTTCCAGCTCTCCTGGGTTAGCCCAGCCGCCCGCACTGCCCCCCACAGCCAAGCTGCCTAAGCCTCACGGTAATAACAGATGCGGTGTGCGGTTTGTGGCTATTTAGCAGCCAGCCAGGCACTTGGTAAACAGTGAGGCTACAACAAGGAAATCCATTTATTCTGGGGAAATTCGTTCATCTGGGAGGTAGGGGAAGAGGAGAGAAAGACTAATGTTTTGGAAAAGAATTTGGAAGATAATTCAGAAAAAAAAGTTTTACAGAGGGAAAGGGAGAAAAAGAAATGAGAATGAGAACCCACATTTCTTGAAGGGTTTTATTTTGTCATGGCAAATGCCACACATTCATTGCAGCTGGGAAACATCTCTTCAAAGGAAAAACACGACTCATGCCCACGGGGTGGCTTAACTCTCCGCCCGGGGGAAGCTGCAGAATCTGGGTTCAGAGCCATCTTTGAAGTGTCTGTCCTTGGGGCAGGCGCCTGTGCGCACCAAGGGGGGAGTCCACCCGACCGCCAGTGAGTCAGTTGTCGCCACAACACTGGTTATGAGGAATAATCACTATCACAACATGAGCCTGGACTCTTTAATTCCGGAAGAGTTTCCGGTAGATTCTTTTCTCTTTGGCCTCTTATTTAGTGAGCAGTGTGCTCATTGCCAGTTTTTCATGTGTCACTTCTGGAAGACAGACACCATGAGGAATTTCACTTCATGGCATGTGGGGAACTTCCTGAATTTGCCCAAATCATTCTGTTGGCATTAGGGCACATGCATTTTATTCAGGTGAGGAGCATTGCAAGAGGCGCTGATGGAATGAAATATTATCATCATCCCTGGTTACTCTAAGAATGCTAAAGTAAAACCCAGGCAGTAAGGGGAAAATAACTATCAAAGCAAAACGAACATACCTATTTTCAGAACGAGAGACTTTAATCCCATAACAATGCTCCTGACAATGCTTTTATTTTTACCCTGTGAAACAGTGATAGGTGCAGTAGAGCCTGCTGTATTTTAAGAAGCTGGGGCAAGGGGGGAGTAGCGGGGTCTGTGCTGTACCTTGGCCAGTTCAAGGTCATTTAAGCATACAAACATTTTAGGGGGAAAATACCAACATTTCTTAAATAAGCTGCTTTAAACAATGAGTTTCTCTTTTTCTCCAAGAATGAATGAGGATGAACAATGTCCCGCCGGCCGTCTCACAGGCTGTGACTGAGACCTTCCCAGCCAGGCAGCAGAGCCCTCTGTCCTTCACTCTTCCTTTCTCTAACGCCCTCGTTTTCTCAACAAAGCGTTGTCATTAGAGGATGGCGGCGAAAGGACACTGCACCTGTGCTCATGTACTATGTGCAGAGACTCCGTGAAGGCGTGGCTTAGTTTGCTTTAAGACATTAGAAAATAACCCACAGTTTGGAAGCAGGGACCCAAGGAAAAACGTTATAAAAAAGAAAGAGGGAGGGAGGGAGGAAGGAAGGAAGGAAAGAAGGGAGGGAGGGAGAGAGGAAGGAAAGAAGGGAGGGAGGAAGGAAGGAAAGAAAAGAAAGGAAAAAAGAAAAAAGAGAAAGAAAGAGAAGAAAGAAAAGCACCTCCCATCCCCAAATTCCACAGACCACGCGGTGGGCCGGCCCGGGCAGCCAGTGCGCTGGGCGAGGACGCTGGCGCCGTGCTGCCCCCTGTCGGCCAGAGACGCCGCTGCAGACACCTTCGCCAGCCGGTGCTCAAGACAGTGGGGACGCGCGTACCACAGGGGTCTCAGCCTGCAGGGTGGGGTTTTTTTTTTTTTTTAGCGTCGGCACACACATTTGAAAGTGCATAAAAGAGAGACATGCATTTGTTAAAGGGGTAGAGGATAAATGGGAGTTTGTTTTTGAGACGTAGTTTTGCTCTGTCACCCAGGCTGGAGTGCAACGGCGCGATCTCGGCTCACCGCAACCTCCGCCTTCCGGGTTCAAGCGATTCTCTTGGCCTTAGCCTCCTGAGTAGCTGGGATTACAGGTGTGCGCCACCACACCCGGCTAATTTTGTATTTTTAGTAGAGATGGGGGTTTCACCATGTTGGTCAGGCTGGTCTTGAACTCCTGACCTCATATGATCCACCCGCCTTGGCCTCCCAAAGTGCTGGGATTACAGGCATGAGCCACTGCACCCGGCCTGGTGTCTTAACAAGAAGGATAGCTGTAGTGAGGATAACTTTCTCTAACATTATACTCCTAATCTTTCTCTAATGTTATAACCCCTTAGATAAATTTTTTAAAAAAGATTTGATGGAGAGAAAGTGATGCGAACAGTACCTTGTGACTGCAGGAGGAGTGTCAGGGTCTGTGGTTCCTGGCTGTATTCCAGGGGGCCTGCCCACCAGCCCCTAGACAATATTTGATGAATGAATGTGACCCTGGGTTTCAATATCGGTCAAGTGGAATAATTAATGGACAGCCCACATGGGAAACAGGTCGCAGTGAATGGGCCATTGCTGAACTGCCCACAGGTAACTGGAAGCTGAACTTGGGCACATTTAGTAAGTAGGGGATATCCTTAGGTACACTGAGAGCCGCCAGTCTTCACAGCTGTATAGCATTTTATCTGACTAGCTGCCTATAGGCGGTCATTCAGGTGACTTCCAGTCTGTATCCCACATCTGTATCCCAAGGTGGCGCTTTTCAAATGAAATCCCTGAAGGGAATTTATTTTCTTGTGATTTCCCCTCTTCCCCAATGTCATCTGCTGAAATTCTGGTACTTGGGTTCTCCACAGGAAAATACCGGCTTCCTTCAGCCGGGGTACCTGAACCGTACCTGCACTGGGCTGCTGGGGAGGGTCTCATGGCCTCTTCGAATGCCGTTGGTGACCTAGGGTGTCTATTTGAAAGTTACTTGACCTCCTGTCCCCTGTTCTCCCTACTCTCCTTTACTCTCTGCTATGGTCTGTGTCCCTCCAACAGCTCATGTGTTAAAAACTCAGTTGCCATGGTAACAGTGTGGGAGGCGGGGCCTTGAAGAGGTGACTGGGTCAGGAGGGCTCTGCCATCCTTGGAGGGGTTCCTGGTAAAAGGATGAGTTCCGCCCTTCCCTCTCTGTCACTTGCTTCCACCTTCCAGCGTGGGACGACTCTCACCAGATGCCAGCACCAGACCCTTGGGCTTTCCAGCCTCCAGAGCCATGAGCCAAATCAACTTGTACTTTTTTTTTTCTTTTTTTGAGACAGAGTTTCACTCTTGTTGCTCAGACTGGAGTGCAATGGCATGATCTCAGCTCACTGCAACCTCCACCTCCCCAGTTCAAGTGATTCTCCTGCCTCAGCCTCCCGAGTAGCTGGGATTACAGGTGTGTGCCACCACGCTCAGCTAATTTTGTATTTGTAGTAGAGCTGGGGTTTCTCCGTGTTGGTCAGGCTGGTCTTGAATTCCTGACCTCAAATGATCCACCCACCTCAGCCTCCCAAAGTGCTGGGATTACAGGCGTGAGCCACCACGCCTGGCCAACTTGTACTCTTTATAAATTACCCGCTCTGTGGTATCTGTGATGGCAGCAGAAAATAGCCTAGGACACTCCTTGTCCTTTTCTTTGTTTACCTCCCGACTACAGCTATCCATAGAGTTGTTTACTGTAAAATAAATTAGGTGTAGTTTCTTAAATTGTCCAGAGGAAAGGAGTTAAAGAAGAAAGTAACAAGGCCTAAAAATAAATTATTGCACATTATTCATAACCTAGAGAAAAGTTATCTTTAGACGACTACCAAAAATTGGAAAACATAAGCTGTTAAAAAATATTCAGAGTACTGTACTGGTAGGTGTTTATCTTTGGGGTTTCTTTTTTTTTTTTTTTTTTTTTTTTAGACAGAGTTTTGCTTTTGTTGCCCAGGCTGGAGTGCAGTGGCGCGATCTCAGCTCACCGCAACCTCCGCCTCCCAGGTTCAAGTGATTCTCCTGCCTCAGCCTCCCAAGTAGCTGGGATTACAGGCATGTGCCACCATGCCCGGCTAATTTCGTATTTTTTTTTTTTTTTTTTTTTAGTAGAGATGGGGTTTCTCCATGTTGCTCAGGCTGGTCTTGAACTCCTGACCTCAGGTGATCCACCCACCTCGGCCTCCCAAAGCGCTGGGATTACAGGTGTGAGCCACTGCGCCCAGCCTGTCTTTGGGGTTTCATCATAAATGAATGACGTATATCTTAAACTTCAATAAACCTCAGTGTTCTTACAACATATTTCTTAATATATCAATCTGACTTTTAAAAACTTGCTGAGCAACCCAATTGACTTTATTTTTGGCATTTTTGTTTTTAAAGCTAAAGAGAAACAAACATTATGCCACAAAGTAAGTGAAAAAATATTTTTGTATTCTGGAAGCTGAATGTTGTTTTCTAACAGCACACTGGGTGGGACTTGGGCTAGACGGAACCAGAGAGGTCCAGGATGACTCCTGGCTCTACTATTTCCTGTCTGTCACCTGGGGCCAATACCTTCATCTTTCCAGGTCTGGGCTCCTCACCAGGAGCACAAACCAGCCATGGAGTCGCAGGAACTCTGAAAATCCATCCAGATGTCTGCAGTGCCTCTTCAGGAAGCCCCAGAGCCTTTAAGAGCAAACGGTGCCCTTCAACCAATGCCCTTGGTATGTCCCAGGCTGTTGTTTGTGCTGAAGCTTCATTTCCTCAGTATCTGCTTTTTTCTCGTGGTTGGAGAAATTCCCTTTCTGCTCTCAACTTAAAAACTAACATGTCTTTGAAATAAGGAATATGTGCACATGGCAGAAAACTTTAACAGATACAAGAGTAAAAAGTAGGTCTCCTCCCCAACTCCAGCCTCCAGAGACCCTCATAAGACGCACACAGAACCCACGTTCTAAGGATGCCTGTGTGCGTGTATGTGTAGGCGCTGAACACAGAATGTGTCATATGTACATATTACGTCATATTTTCCCTTTTAACGTAGAAATGGCAGCATGCTATATACCCCTTTCCCCGCTTTGTATTGGTGAGTGATTGATCCACTTATGACTTTTAGAGCTGCCTCATTCTTCCTTATAGTGTATAATATCTAACTCGGTGCCTGTTGGTGGATGTTTAGGTAGCTTCCAATCTCTTGCCATTGCAGCAGTGAACACATATCCTTGTACACATATCATTTGGCACGTGGGCAAGTGTGTCTGAAGGGGAAATGCTAAGTTAAAGGGTGTGTGAATTTAAAATCTTGATATTTAACACCAAATCGCCCTCCATAAAAGCTGTGCTGATTCATACCCCTGTACTTGGATGAGAATGCCTTTCCTTCACAACCTTGCCAACGTAGCCTGCTGGGTGCCAGGAAAAAAAAAAAAAAAAAGGGCTTCTTAGTATAGTCTCCACATGCACTTCACTGATGCCTGATGCTAGCGTTGCTTTCTGTGTCAAGCGTTTGAGTCATTTGACCTTCCTTCCCCGGGAACAGTCCCGATCTTTGCTCATCTTTCCATGATGTCACTGGTCCTTTTCTTTTCTTTCTTTCTTTTTTTTTTTTTTTTTTGAGACAGAGTCTCGCTCTGTCATCCAGGCTGGAGTGCAGTGGTACAATCTCAGCTCACTGCAAGCTCTGCCTCCTGGTGCCCACCACCACTCCTGGCTAATTTTTTTTTTTTTTTTTGTATTTTTAGTAGAGATGGGGTTTCACCATGTTAGCCAGGATGGTCTCGATCTCCTGACCTCATGATCCTCCTGCCTCGGCCTCCCAAAGTGCTGGGATTACAGGCGTGAGCCACCGCACCCGGCCGTCACTGGTCCTTTTCTTACTGATTTGTGGGAGCTCTTTAGGAATGAGCTCTTTGTGACTTGGGTTGCAAACATTTTTTCCCAGTTTGCCCTTGTATTTTTCTTATTTTACTTTACCAAGAAGAAATGGTGTGTAATTATGTAACTTCATTTCTCAATCTTGTCTTCTGTGACTTTTGGGGACTGTGAGCAGCTAAATAGGGCCTCCTCCACTCCAAGATTATAAATATAATTGCTTGTGTTTTTCTCTGCTTTTGTGGTTTTTTTACATTTAAATGTTTGATTCATCTGGAATTCATTTTCACAGAGGAGTGAGGCCCAGGCTGTCCCAACACCATTTACTGAATGACCCAGGTCTCCATTCCATCCGTATGGAAAGCCACCTTCCAAATGCCTATTGTAAAACTTATCCACCTAAAGTGATCCTTGCTGTGCCCATCAGTACTCCTGACGTTCAGTCCATCTCCCTATCTGTCTTTCTCAGCATTCTCTCTGACTGCTGTGCCTTTAGGGCGTGGTGGCTTGGGCCTGTAATCCCAGCACTTTAGGAAGCCAAGGCAGGCAGATCACTTGAGGCCAGGAGTTCGAGACCAGCCTGGCCAACATGGCGAAACCCTGTCTCTACTAAAAATACAAAAATTAGCTGGGCGTGGTGGCATGCACCTGTAATCCCAGCTACTCCAGAAGCTGAGACAGGAGAATTGCTTGAACCCAGGAGATGGAGGTTGTAGTCTGCCAAGATCATGCCACTGCATTCCAGCCTGGGTGACAGAGCAAAACCCTGTCTCAAAAGAAAGAAAGAAAGAAATACCACCTGACCCTGTGCCCAGCCTGCAGGTGGGCACTCCTCTACCCAGGCCCCACCCTCAGACACTCCACCAAGGAACAAGCCCTGGCCTGGCACCATGGCTTACGCCTGTAATCCCAGCACTATGAGAGGCTGAGACAGGAGGGTCACTGGAGCCCAGGACTTCAAGACGAACCTGGGCAACAAAGTGAGGCCCCCATCTCTAAAAAACAAAACAAAAAAACTAGCTGCATGTGGTGGTGCGCACCTGTGGTCTCAGCTACATGGGAGGCTGAGGTAGGAGGATCCCTTGAGCCTAGAAGGTCAAGGCTGCATTGATCTGTCTGTGTCACTGCACTCCAGGCTGGGTGGCAGAGCGAGATTCTGTCTAAAAGAAAAAACCTGTCCTTCCACAACATCTTTTAGTAGAGGCTCCACACTTCCATTGGCTCACTATTTCTTTTCCTTTTTTTTTTTTTTTTTTTTTTTTTGAGACAAGTTCTCACTCTGTTGCCCAGGCCGGAGTGCAGAGGCACAATCATAGTTCACTACAGCCTCAGCCTCCCTGGCTCAAACTTCCCAAGTAGCTGGGACCACAGGCAAACATGACCACACCTGGCTGTTTTTTTTGTAGTGATAAGTCTCATACTATGTTGCCCAGGCTGGTCTCAAACTCCTGGGCTCAAGTGATCCTCCCACCTCCGCCTCCTGAGTAGCCGGGGATTTACAGGTGAGCCACTGGGCCTGGCTGGGTCTCACTTTTTCTAATCTTCCCAATAACCCAAAAGATGGTGAGAGGTGATTGGAGGGAGGAGGGCAGAGAGGGCTCTCCTGGCAGGAAAATGCAGGAGCAGCTTTGGCAGTCAGCAATCTGGAGTCCCAGCCCAGCAGCCATCCCCTGAAGACTGTCCTTCCTTCAGCAAATATAAGCCACCCACCTCCGTTTGCCCATGGGGAGTGATCTCATCACTGTTGCTAAATAATATGAAAAATGATGCACATGACACCTTCAGCCACCCTGCTGCAGCTGCCACTCCTGCTCCTGGGACCACCCAGCACTGAGGTTCCACATGTGGGCAGATCTGGGTGGCCCAGACCACGATCCCCGAACCCTGTGTGTCATTCTCATCCATAACCTCCCTCGGCTCCCAGATCCTGCCTGGGGCGACATAGGTGTCATCTGTAGCAAGGGCAACTCAATTTAACTTCCCACACACAGAATGCCAGTGCTGCTAACTCTCCATGTGTCCTCCAGCCCTGCTCTGTCTCCTGAGCTCCAACCAGTCATTGTCACCTGTACGCCTTTCAGGCAGGCAAAACTCAACAGGCTTGTTACTAAATTCATTATTTCCTCCCACAACACTTGTTCCTAAGTGTATTTTCTCATTTTGCTCAAATACCATCAACAACCCAAGCCAGAAACATGAGAGACATGCCTTTGGGAGGCTATATACTACTCTTAGGCCCTTGGCCCAGCCTGTGGGGAGCCACGGGTTTGCCTGAGAGTTCGAATCTGCTATAGAAAGCAGGGCCAGCAGCTTCTGTCCAGAGAAGTTAATCTCTGGTTCTGAGAGATTCCTTATGTGGCTTTAATCCTATTTGGTATATCAGAAGCATAACACGAGGTTAGAGAAAGAAGAATGCCGTAGTCCATCCCTTCAGGTCCTGGAAATGGAGGAAGAGAGAGGAAAAGCAAGAGCACCAAGATACCAGAATGAATGGCGCCATGTGTGTGCCCTGCAGGCTCCAGCTGAAGGACAGGAGTGAGAAGGGCGGGAGGGGTCCCACCCAACTTCCCCGTGGGCAGGGGCTCTGAGGGGGCTCTGCCACAGTGAGCTTGGTCCTCTGCAGAGTAGCCAGGAGGCAGGAGGCCCTAAAACTTGGCTTCCCAGGACAGCATAGGGGTCCTGTGTGTTGTTGAGTAAAAGGAAATCTCCCTACCCAGCAGCCGGCAGGGAGAGGCTCCAGGAAAGCCCAGATGCGTTTTAGACAAAATCATCACATTTCCTCTGACTCTCCACAGCACTTGTCTTCTTTAATGAGCATCTTTCACGCTGATCCTAGTCTCCCCTTCCCACCGCGCTGCCTGAGTGAAGCCCTAGATCCTTTGGATGGAAGTGCTGGAGAGCATTGTCCAATCCATGCCCCATTGGGACACCCTCCTAAACCAGAGTGGCTGTATGGCTTCCTCCATCTCAAGTGTCAAGACTTTTTTTCTCTTTAATTTTTATTTTAGAGACGGGGTCTCGCTTTGTCACGCAGGTTGGAAGGCAGTGGCGCCACCACAGCTCACTGCAGCCTGAACCTCCCGGGCTCAATCTATCCTCCCACTTAAGCCTCTGGAGTAGCTGGGACCACAGGCACGTGCCACCACACTTCGCTAATCCTTAAAAATTGTTTGCAGAAATGGGATCTCGCTATGTTTCCCAGGCTGGTCTCGAACTCCTGGACTTAAATCCTCCTGCCTCGGCCTCCCAAAGTGCTGGGATTCCAGGCGTGAGGGTGAAGCTCTGCACTGCTGACAAGGCGGGGATCCAGCTCCTGCACCTGTCTCCAGCCTTACATCGATGCCCACCCCACAGGCAAACACCTCGCCTACGCCCCCCCACCCCCACCGCCCCCGCTCGCCTTGTGGCTCTCCCCATTTTCCAAGCGCTTTGTTCCCGCTTGCTATCAGCTGTCCCTTCCCTCAGCACTGCCTTTGTAGGCGACTTGCTCTCCTCCATCAAGACTCAGCTCTTTCACGAAGCCTTTCTTGACCTCTGTGGCCCTGGGAGGCCTTGCCCCCTAGGGCAGCTCCTCCTGCTCCAGCTAGAGGGAAGACGGTCACAGGTGCCTGCTGAGGACACTGCGGCACCCTGCCTACACGCCCCCAACTTCTCCAGCCTTCCCCTTCTGCAGGCTGTCCCTTTCTTCTGAAATGACCTCTGTTCCAAGACCAAAATACTCTCGAAACTGTTCATGTCACTTCATGCACTGCCTGATGGTGTGGTTTCTTTCCCAATTATCCCCACTCCTTCCTTAGGCTATTAAACTAGAGGGGCTCAGAGGGCGCTTCCCAGGGCTCCACTCCAGCAGCCTCTGGACCACAGGGGCACTCAGGAAATATGTGGATAGTACCGCGCACCCCCCAGCAGCACCTCCCCGGGCCCCCTGTGCAGAGTACGGTCCACATCACTGTGTCCACATCACGGAAGGGTCCCCAGCTAGTGCCTTGCGGACCCATCCAACCTGGAGGAGATGAGGTGTTCAAGAGATACGTGTTGCATAGGAAATACTGGAGGGTAAAGAGAGGAAGCAGGACTCCTTCAAGGGAGGTGGTGGGGGTGGGCCTTCGCAGTTTAGGAATTGCCCCCCAGTGCTCCAACTGCCCCGCCCCACCCCGCCTCATCGCAGCGCCCCTCGCACCCCACCCCACCCTACCGTACCCTACCCTGTCTCGCCCCGCACCACCCCACCCCTACCTGCTCCGCCTCGCCCCGCGTGCCACGCCCCCTCCGCGTCGCCCCGCCCCAACCACCTCCCCTTCCCCGCCCCACCCTCCCCGCCTGCCCGGCCTCGGCCCGGCCCCACCCACTCTCCCCGCCCAGCCCTGCCCTCCCCACCTGCCGGGCCCCGCCAGGACGCGCCCGCGGCTCACCTGTAGGCCCAGGGCGACACGCTGCGCAGGTTGGTGGGCGGCCGGAAGCGGCGGTCGGCGGGCCTGCCCCCTGCCGGGCAGCTCGCGTTGCGCGCCTGCTCACGCGGCCCCAGCTGCAGCGTGTGGTGGAAGGCACTGAGCACGCCGGCCGCCAGGCGCCCGTACAGCTGCTCCAGTAGCTCCTCCGGCCGGTCCGCGCAGCCCCGCGGCCGCGCGGGGCGCCTGCCCGCCCTCGGGGCGCCCGCGGCCCAGCTCGGCGGCAGCGCCAGCAGGAAGCCGGCTACCAGCATCCAGACCTGAGGGACAGGCCACGCTCAGCGTCCGCACGCGCCGGAGGAGCCCGCCTGCGCCCCGCGCCCGTGTCCCGCCCGCGGCGCCCGGAGCCGGCGGGCGCCTCCCCTCGCCCCGCGGAGCCAGAGGCCGGCCCGGAGGATGGGAGCCGCGCGGGCGGGCCCCAGAGCGCCCTCCCCGCCTGCCCGCCGCCCGCGGGGTCCCCGGGGCCCAGCCCGGCGCCGGCCCGCGCGCCCCCGGCCCCCGCCGCCGCCGCCGCCCCGAGCCGGGGGCCGCACGGGGGGCGGGTGCGGGGCGCGCGTGCACGTGTGCGTGTGCCTGCCGGGTTGCTGCGCCGCGGGCTGCGAGTGCTTGTGACCCGCCGCACCCTCACCCCCGGGCGCGCCATCCCTGCTCCGCCGCCAGCGAGGGAGCCCCGGAGCCTAAGACGCCCGGACCCGCCGCCTCGCAGACCCACCCTTGCCCCTGCGCCTCGTCATCCGCCCGCCCCAGCCAGCCCGCGCAGGGTCCGCGGCCCGCTTTTCCGCGAGAAGCCCCCTGTGGTCTTTCCTCGTACCCGGGGACTCGGACCGAGAAGCCGACTGAGCGAGGTCGCCGCCCGGCCTCACGGACACAGAGCGACTCTGCACCTTTCGCCTCCAGGAGCTGAAAACATTTTGTCACTTGTGCAGTGTACTCACCAGTGCCCCCAACATCTTCTCCCCCGAAAGCGCTTTCAGATTCGCGCCGAGATGGGGCGACGCGGCGGCTCTTGAGCGGAATAACCCGAAGGGCCACGCAAACTGGGGCTTCCAGCCGCGAGCATGCGGCGGGGCGCCCAGGGCCTGGGGTCGCGCGCTCAGGGCCTGTGCTGCGCCACGCAGGAGGAGGAGAGGGCTGGCCCTGCCGGGCGCGGGTGCGGGCCCGACTGGCTGAAGGAGGAGTGGGGACTGGCTTGGAAGTCTCCGAAGCAGAAAAGTGGGGCCGACAGGATGGAATTGGGGGAGGCCGATTTTGGCTCAGAGAGATTTCTCTATTAAGGAAAGCAGTCCAAGAATAGGCCCCCTGGAAGAGGAATGCGCTCAAACCCAGAGGGATTCTCCTTAGAGCTACCTCTTGAGATTCTGTACTTCGAGGAAATTAGAGGTTTTTTTAAATCTCTATTTTTAATAAGGTGGGAGGAGGCTGTTGCTCCTTTCTCCTCAACAACATGAAATGATCCTGTGCCTCTATCCAACAACTCTACAACAAAGCACTGAATACTTCCCTGACTGGCACTTTCATGGCTGTTCATGGGCATCTCTTGGTCTATGACGACGATGTTGGAGAGTTCCTACTCCGTGATAACTCAGTTCTAAGTGCAAGCAGTCACGTGAAATGAGCCTGATAGTCTGCGAATGAAGAAACTAAAACGAACTATATTATATACTTCATAACACAAGACAACGTGCTCGTTTGTTCATTCTGCAAGTAAATGCTTAATGCTTCCTAGGTGGCAGGCTAAAGAATATGATCATTTTAAAGCAGTCATGCTTTGAAAATAAACAACCCATCCCAGCTGTAAGCTTTTTGAAAGTGTACAAAATATGTAATTGATGACTCCCTAAATGGTTTGCAGCTTTGGTATTTGACTGAATTGTAAACCATTAGTTAAACTACATTTCAGTTATGCTTTGTAGGAAAAACACTTTCCTATGCATTGAATGTTCTATAACTAAGGAGCTTAGTAATCTACTGCTAAAAATCTCACTGAAATCTCCAGTTTAAGCGATTTAAGCAATTTACAGCTCTTGGCAAATATTTGTTTTGGGTTATAAAACACTTTTTTTCTGACTAGTAAATTGTTCATGTTCTTTGTTTCCAGTAAAATGGGAATAAAGGTTTCAGTACTCAAATACTGCTTATTTTTTATTGGAAAAAAGGAAGCGTGGGAGGCTTTTAAGAGAGTATCATTATGAGGGTTTCATAGAAATACTCAGTCTGTCTCATTTCAGCATCCATTCCTATATGAGGTGACATGGTACCAGACTTAGTTCTGTATGTTATTCAACAAAGTATTTTCCACTGTCTGGTAACATGGCAGCTTCTCTCTTCCTCACCACCCCCCCGGATTACCTTGGAAGTGGGAAGGAAAATATTTACTTTCCAGCAGTTTTCATTTTGTGAAAGATCACAAATGACTGAAAATGCTCACCTATTTGGCAGAACAAATTTGATATTTGTGAGACTAATCAGTTGAGAGTCATAAATAGGTGCAAATGTTTATGAGTTCCCCTCAAATTTCAACATATTTGTGAAGATGCAAAATAAGCATGTTAGTAAGTTCAAACCTAAGACATACAAGTGAAAAAAAGGGAACAACATACTCAAAAGCAGGCTCATCGTGTTCCCTTAAAACCAACATATCTGTAATGTGGCCACGCAAGCTTCATTTGAAGCCTCTCCAGTCCCTCATCCCCTGGTTTACTCAGCACACCCAATACCAGCACAGCTGCAAGACTGCTTAGCATGGGGCAAGCTGTTGGGGAAAATCTTTTAAATCATCCTTAGGCACCGTAACTCCAAAAGCCGGTGTGTGGTTGGCTCCTTCCATACTAATAATCTTGGGTTACTGATGTTCGTATCTACCCAAACCTCTTTCTCTTCCTTAAAGAGCTGTCCTTGAGGCCGGGCATGGTGGCTCACGCCTGTAATCCCAGCACTTTGGGAGGCTTAGGCGGGCGGATAACGAGGTCAGGAGTTCGAGATCAGCCCGCCCAACATGGTGAAACCGGGTCTCTACTAAAAAAAAATACAAAAAGCCGGGTGTGGTAGCGCATGCCTGTAATCCCAGCTACTCAGGAGGCTGAGGCAGAAGAATCGCTTGGACCCGGGAGGTGGAGGTTGCATTGAGCCGAGATTGCACCACTGCACTCCAGCCTGGGCAACAGAGCTAGACTTCGTCTCAAAAAAAAAAAAAAAAAAAAACTGTGCTTGGATGTTCCTACTGATAGCGCTCTCATTGCTGTCACCTTGCTGGTCACTCCCTTGATTCACTGATTTTAGCACCTGGGTCTACCACTATTCCTGCTGATCATTCCTGGCACCTTAACCTCCACAGAGACAATTTAACATGCTGATTTCCAAGTGACTACGTTAGCCCCAATTGTCTTTATTTCCCATCTCATCTCAACTGTCAAGTCATAGGGTCATATCCAAGGTTTCGTCATCACCAATAACTGCAATACAGCCAAACATCTGATTTCAAATATCCTATTCCTTGACATAGGTGCCTTCTGTTTTCGCCCACTCCTGCAGTTTTCTGCCGTCATCCAGCCTTCTCCCACTTCTCACTAACCGTTCCACCCTTGAGTCCTTATGTCCTTTCTTGTCTAGTTTAGATTCACAGTTCGACACTGTCGCCACGCCCTTGCAAACACCCTTAATCCCTTTCTCCTTTTTTCTCTGTTGTAATTGCCTAGAATCCCAACTCTTAAAAATCATACAACTGAGCTGAGTAGACTCAGTTCTGAGTTATGACCACAAATCTCAGATTAACATTCAACATAAGTATCGTATTACACCTCTGCAGTTATGGTCTTCTTCCAGTATCACTAATCTACATATTCTCTTTCCTCAAGTCTCTACTGCCCAATTCGTTCCTCACACCTTCCACAGACCACAGATGAGAGCTTTTACATTTCTTCCAACCAGCAAATGCACTGACTTACTCCCACCCAGTCTGATGTCTCCCACCTTCTTTCCTGATGCATTTGATAAACCCTTTCTTGACCCCAGGTCCCACTTGACTCCCCTTTACAGCAAAGGTTCTGAATTTTTATTTTGTTTTATTTTTGAGGTGAAGTTTAACTCATTGCCCAGGCTGGAGTGCAGTGGTGTGATCTCGGCTCACTGCAACCCCTGCCTCCCGGGTTAAAGCTATTCTCCTGCCTCAGCCTCTCGAGTAACTGGGAATATAGACACGTGCCACCATGCTGGGCTAATTTTTGAATTTTTAGTAGAGACAGGGAGGGTTTCACCATGTTGACTGGGCTGGTCTCAAACTCCTGACCTCAGGCGATCCACCGGCCTTGGCCTCCCAAAGTGCTGGGATTACAGGAGTGAGTCACCACGTCCGGCCTTGATGAGCATTCTTTTTCTATCCTTTCTTTTTCAACCTATCTGTGCCTTTAGACAGTCACATGTCTTTTACCAACAGGGATGCATTCTGAGAAATGTAAGGTGATTTCGTTGCTGTGTGAACACCCTAGGTTGTATTTAAACTGAGTATAGCCTACTATACAACTCGGCTCTGTGGGGTGTAGTTTAGGCTACAACACATCTAGGCTACAAACTTGTACAGCATGTTACTGTACTGCATAATGTAGGCAATTGTAACACAATAGTAAGTATTTGTGTATCTAAATATAGAAAAGGTACAGTAAAAATTTGGTATTATAATCGTATGGGGCCACCATCATATATGTGGTCTGTTTTTGACTGAAATGATGTCATGTGGTGCAGGACTGCATTTAAAATGTGTCTCTTGTAAGTAACATATAGTTGAGTCTTGTTTTTTAATAGTCTGATAATCTTTGTCACTTAACTGGAATATTCTATTTACATTTGCTGTATTTTTAAACATAACTAGCATTTACTAATTATTAATGTAATTGAGTTTGCATTTTTATAATTACTAATGTAACGTAATTACTAATATAAATAGGTTTAAGTCCTGTCTTGTTGCTTGTTTTCTCTTTGTTCATCTGCTCTTTATTCCTTTATTTCTCCTTTACCTGCCTTTCTTTGCATTAATCAAGTATTTTTCATCATTACATTTTGTCCTCCATTAGCTTTTTTATTTTTATTTATTATTTTTAGGCACGGGGTCTTGCTCTGTCACCAAGGCTGGAGTGCAGTGGTGCTATCATAGCCCACTATAACCTGGAGCCCCTGGACTCAAGCCATCATCCTGCCTCAGCTTCTTGAGTAGCTAGGACTACAGGTGTACACCACCACACCCAGCTACATTAGCTTTAAAAAAAACTTTTATTTTGAAATAATTTCAGACTTATAGAAAAGTTGTAAGAAGAATATGAAGGAACTCCACATACCCTTCACTCAGTTCCACTATTTGTTCACATTTCTCCACATTGCTTTTTCACTGTGCTTTCTTCTGGACCACTGAGCCATCGAGTTGCAGAAATCAGGACCCTTTGTCCCACAGCACCTCAGTGTGTATTTCTCAGGAACAAAGACATTCACTTATGTAACCGTAGTGCAATTCTAAAAATTAAGACATTTTACAAATACTTATCTAATGTAGATGGTCTCCAGCTTATGATTGTTCAATTATGATTGTTCGACTTTGTGATAGGCTTATTGGGACATAACCCTATGGTAAGTCGAGGAGCATCTGGATTTAATGATAGTTCAAGCTATGATTTTTCATCTTTATGACTGGTATAACAGAGTAATAAATGTATTTTCAACGTGTGGTGTTTTTTAACAATGGGTTTATCAGGACACAGCCCCATCATAAGTTGAGGAGCATCTGTACATTCCTATTCCCATTTCACCAGCTGTCTCTTTAATGTCCCTTAAAGCAAAATTCCCCCAGTCCAGGATCTCATCAAGGATCATGCATTACATTTTGTTGACATGTCTCTTTAGTCTTCCTTCCTCTCCCCTCCCCTCCCCTTCTCTCCCCTTCCGTCCCCTCCTCTTCCCTCCCCTCCCCCCTTCCTTCCTTCCTTCTTTCTCTCTTTCTCTCTTCTCTCCTTCCTTCCTTCCTTCCTTCCCTCCTTCCGTCCTTCCCTCCCTCCCTCCCTCCTTCCTTCCTTCCTTTTTTGTTTTTTTGACAGAGTCTCACTCTGTTGCCCAGGCTGGAGTGCAGTGGTGCAATCTTGGCTCATTGCAATCTCCACCTCCTGGATTAAACTGATTCTCGTTCTTCAGCCTCCCAAGAAGCTGGCACTACAGGCATGCACCACCAGGCCCAGCTAATTTTTTGTATTTTTAGTAGAGATGGGGGTTCCCGCTATGTTGGCCAGGCTGGTCTTGAACTCCTATCCTCAAGCGATCCAGCCGCCTTGGCCTCCCAAAATCCTGAGATTACAGGTGTGAGTCACTGAACCCAGCCTGCTTTAGTCTTCCTTAATCTGGAACAGTTCCTCAGACATTTTTTTGTCTTTCATGGCCTTGACATTTTTGAAAAGTAGAGGCTAGTTATTTTGTCAAATGTTCTTCAGTTTATGGTATTTCTTCATGATTCGGTTCAGGTTAGTTTTTTTGGCAGGAATATTGGCTACGTAATCTCATATCTTTTCAGTGTCTCACATCAGGGGCATAAGGATTTTATTCATCCCATTATTGGCTGTGTTCACTTTGGTCATGATTAAGGTAGCACCAGGTTTCTCCAGTATAAAATTTTTCTTCCTCTTATAATTAATAAGTAATTCATGGGGGAAAACTTTGGGGCTATGTAAATACGCTATTCTCATCAAACTTTCCTTCACTTGCTTTAGCAATCGGTGATGATTCTTGCTTGGATTAATTTTGTGGTGGTTGCAAAGTGGTGATTTTCATTTTATTTATTTATCTATTAGTTATTATTTATCTATTTATTTTTAGAGATAGTGTCACGCTCTGCCACTCAGACTGGAGTACAGTGGTGCCATCATAGCTCACTGTAGCCTCAAACTCTTGGGCTCAAGTGATCCTCCCACCTCAGCCTCCTAAATAGCTGGGACCATAGGCACTTGCCACTGTGCCTGGCTTATTTTTTAATTTTTTGTAGAGACAGTGTCTTGCTTTGTTGCCCAGGCTGGTCTCAAACTCCTGCCTTCAAGCAATCCTTCTGCCTCGGCCTCTCAATGTGCTGGGATTACAGGCATGAGCCACTGCACCTGGCTGATTTTATCATTCTTTCCATATTCATTAGTTGTACCATTACTCTTTTAATTGTACATTCTGCAAAATACTCCTCATTATGGTCTAGCACTGTCTGAATGATATAAGAAACTTCATTTAATACCCAGTCCCAATCTTTGGACTAGTATTGTCATTATTTTATTTCTATGTATCTTAAAATTCCACAAGGCATTATTATTGTTGTTTTAAATAGTGAATATTCTTTCTTTTATATATCCCCATACCTTTCTGGTGCTTTTCATTATTTTTCAACTTTGTGATCAGTTTCTGTCATTTCATGCTTCTTTCTAGGATCATCTTCCTTTAGCCTGTAGGACTTTTTCTGTGGACCTAGTCTTCTGGTAATTAATTTTCTCAAATTTTATTTGTCTGAAAAATTTTTTTTTTTTTTGAGACGGAGTCTTGCTCTGTCGCCCAGGCTGCAGTGCAGTGGTGCGGTCTCAGCTCACTGCAACCTCCGCCTCCCAGCTTCAAGTGATTCTCCTGCCTCAGTAGTTGGGATTACAGGTGCCTGCCACCACACCTGGCTAATGTTTGTATTTTTTAGTAGAGACGGGGTTTCACCATGTTGGCAAGGCTGGTCTTGAACTCCTGACTTCAGGCGATCCACCCTCCTCGGCCTCCCAAAGTGCTGAGATTACAGGCATGGGCCACTGCGCCCGGCCTGAAAACTCTTTAACTTTAAAGTTTATAGGATATATTCACTGGAATATAAATCTAGGTTGGCAGACTTTTAATTTGTTTTTCAGCACCTTAAGGATACCATTTTATTGTCTTCTGGTTCCTTAGTTTTATTGAAAAGTTAGCCATAAATCTTATTAATGTTCCTCTGAAAGTACTGTGTCCTTGTAATTCTGCTTATCTTAAGGAAGTCGTGGGTTTTAGCAGTTTGAGCACAATGTAACCACAGCGTGGTCTTCTTTGTATCTCCTTGGTGCTCACTGAACTTCCTAAATCTGTGGCTTTATGTCTTTTTCAATTTGGGGAGATTGTAGACATTATCTCTTCTAATGTTAATTCTACCCTATTCTCTCTTCCACTCCTTCCGGGATTCCCATTATAATTATTTAAACTCTTGACTGTGTCCCAAGTGTCTCTTGTCAGCTGCTTTATTTTGCCAGTCTTATTTCTCTTTGCTTTAGTTTGGATATTTTTCTATTGACCTACTCACTAATCCTGACATCTGCTGTGTCTGGTACATTGTTCAATCCATCCAAGTAAGTTCATTTCAGATATTGTGTCTTTCAGTTTTAAGTTATTTGACTCTTTTTCACAGATTCCAACATTCAATTGAAATTTTCCATCTTTTTATCCATTTTATTAACTTAACACACTAGTCACAAAGTCCTTGTTTGTTAAATCCATTATCTGGATTTTCTAGAGGACTGCTTCTATTTATACTTTCTCTTGATTGCTGGTCATATTTTCTTGACTCCTTGCATTCTAGTAATTTTTTTTTTCTTGAGACAGAGTCTCGCTCTGTCGCCCAGGCTGGAGTGCAGTGGCGCGATCTCTGCTCACTGCAAGCTCCACCTCCTGGGTTCACGCCATTCTCCTGCCTCAGCCTCCCGAGTAGCTGGGACTACCGGTGCCTGCCATCACGCCTGGCTAATTTTTTGTATTTTTTAGTAGAGACGGGGTTTCACCATGTTGGTCAGGATGGTCTTGATCTCCTGACCTCGTGATCTGCCCGCCTTGACCTCCCAAAGTCCTGGGATTACACGCATGAGCCACTGCGCCCAGCCACAGTAATTTTATTACATGCCAAGCATTGTATATATAAGAACCGTAGAGACTGCAAATGATATTCTTACCATAGAAAGGTCCTCTTTCCTCTCTTAGGCAGAGAGAATTCAGGACTAATTACTTCAATCCAGTCAAGGATTGAGTTGAGTTGCAGGGTCTCCTTCTGTTGCCCAGGCTGGAGTGCAATCACAGCTCACTGTAACCTTGAAGTCCTGGTCTCGAGTGATCCTCCTGCCTCAGCCTCTCGAATAGTGGGGACTATAGGTGCATGCCACCATGCCCCGGCTAATTTTTTTATTTTTTGTAGAGACAGGGTCTCACTATGTTGCCCAGGCTGGCCTTGAACTCCTGGCCTCAAGCAATCCTCTTGCCTCAACCTCCAGAAGCACTGGGATTACAGGCATGAGCCACCTCACCCAGCCTGGGCTGCAGTTTTTGTATAAGGGTCAGTCCACCGTTGATTCATGTTTGTCCTTCTAGGCTTTTGATTAGGAGCCTAGATTTGTCTCCTCAGCTGAGAAAGATGGAAAAAGAGTCAAGTTGGTCCCTCCAGGTTTTGACTTTAGATTGTTAGCCTCCTGCCCCCATGCAGATTCAAAAAATAGCAAATATCTTTTTTTTTTTTCTTCAAGACGGAGTCTTGCTCTGTTGCTCAGGCTGGAGTGCAGTGGCGCAGTCTTGACTCACTGCAACCCCTGCCTCCTGTGTTAAAGAGATTCTCCTGCCTCAGCCTCCCAAGTAGCTGGAATTACAAACGAGCACTATGCCCAGCTAAATTTTGTATTTTTAGTAGAGACAGGTTTTTGCCATATTGACCAGGCTGGTCTCAAACCCCTGACCTCAAGTGATCCATCCGCCTCATCCCAAAGTGCTGGGATTACAGGTGTGAGCCAGTATGCCCGGCCCCCAAAATAGCAATTATCTTGAGGGTAGACTAAATAGCAAATATCTTGTGGAAAGCCTTTCCCCCTAGCAGGACATCGTCCCCTAAGAACTATGGGAGATTTAAGCCCTTAAAACCTCCATCCCAGTTCCCTAGCCTCCAGCATTACCCCAGCTGAAGCAGCACTCCAGCAAATGCCCCATGGTGGAAAGCCAGCCATACATTTGGGGCTTCTCTAAGTTTCCAGTTTGTCATGCCAACCCCAAATGACCACCTTAAAAGCTCTGTTAGTTTCTCTAGATGACGCCTTTTCCCTGAGGAAAGTGCAGTTCTTAGCCCATGCCTAGAACTGGTGAATGTCTCCAGAAAAACAGGCAGGATCAGCAGTTCATTTAGAAATGGCTCTTTTGGGCTGGGCGCAGTGGCTCACGCCTGTAATCCCAGCACTTTGGGAGGCCGAGGCGGGTAGATCACGAGGTCAGGAGTTCAAGTCCACCCTCTGGCCAAGATGGTGAAACCCCGTCTCTACTAAAAATATAAATATTAGCCAGGCATGGTGGCAGGTACCTGTAATCCCAGCTACTTGGGAGGCTGAGGCAGAGAATTGCTTGAACCCAGAGAATTGGGAGGCAGAGGTTGCAGTGAGCCGAGATCACGCCACTGCACTCCAGCCTGGGCGACAGAGGTTGCAGTGAGCCGAGATTGTGCCACTGCACTCCAGCCTGGGCGACAGAGCAAGACTCTGTCTCAAAAAAAAAAAAAAAAAAAAAAGGCTCTTTCCTCTCTGCAATTTTTAGTTTTATTGATTCCACAGATCTCCAGAGACTTTGAAGACATGATTTTTGCAATGATTTGTTTTTTTTTCCCAGCTGCTACGGAGGGCTTCCATGACCTACTGCATCCTTCTCAGAACTGGAAGTTTGAATCCTGAAACCTCCTACATCACTTGTTGCTCTTCTCAGTCTCTTCTGCTGAGCCATCCTTTTTCTCTGGTACTCACAAGCACATTGCTTATACTTCTTCTCTAGCCTCACTCTCAGACCTAATTGATCTCATTCAGTTTCATGGTTTTAAGTACGAAGTGTACATAGATGGATCCCACATCTCTACCTGTAGCCCTCACTTCTGTGACCTCCAGATTTTAAAGATTAACTGCATTCTTCGCATCTCAAATTGAATGCTTGAGACAAATTTAACATGGGTAAAACACATCTACTTATTCCCCCCCAAATCTATCTTACTAAAAAGACAACACTAGCCACTCCGTTCCTTAGCCACAAATTTTGGCATCATCTTTTCCTCTCTTTCCCTCACAATCCACATCCAATCCATTAGTAAGTCTCAGCTCTGCCTCCAAATATATGCTGAATCTGACCACTTCTCACAATTTTCTATTGCTAAAAACCTGTCTCAATTGCTTTCATCTCTTACCCAGGCTACTGCTAGTAGTTTCCACTCTTCCCTTCCATCCCACTTGCCCACTTCATCTTCATGGCGACCAGTGTGATGACTGGTTTCTAAAGGTTAAATGAAAGCACTTCACTCACCCCCCTTGCATGAAACCTTCTAGCAGGTGTTCTATAGTAACTAGAATAAGATCCAAACTGTCTTTATAAGGCTGTACATGCTCTGAACCCTGCCTACCTTTTGGATCTCATCTCCTTTCCCTTTCCTGCCCATGTAGCACACCACCCACACTGCTGGATCCCAAACCCTCTCACTATCACTGTAGCTCAATAACCCTGTGACACATCCAGATCATTCATTTTTCAGTGTGCGGCACTTGCTGCTCCTTCTGCTCAGAACACTGCTTTCTTCTCACCATTCTAGTGTTATTACCAAGGCCACCTCTTAGAGTCCCTCCTCTATAATCACTACCTATTGCATTACTCCATTTTGTTCTCTTAACTGTAATTAACAATATCTAGAGTCCTTTAAAAACATATTTTCTGGCCAGGCACGCTGGCTCATGCCTGTAATCCCAGCTCTGGGAGGCCAAGGTGGGTGGATCATGAGGTCAAGAATTCGAGACCAGCCTGGCCAACATGGTGAAACCCCGTCTGACTAAAAATACAAAAATTAGCCAGGTGTGGTGGTGCGTGCCTGTAATCCCAGCAACTCAGGAGGCTGAGGCAGGAGCATTGCTTGAAACCAGGAGGTGGACGTTACAGTGAGCCAACATTGCACCACTGCACTCCAGCCTGGGCGACAGAGTGAGATTCCATCTCAAAAAAAACCCAAACAAACAAACAAAATATATTTTCCATCTCCCCACCAGAATTTAAGCTTCTTGAGGGCAAGGTATAGTTCTTTTTCACTACTGTATCCCCCAAATTTTAATGAATTCTCTGCACATACTGGATGTTTACTGTATTTGTTGGCTGTCTCATCAATTAGAGCATAACCTACTTTGGGAGCAAGGAATGTGGTCTAGTTTTGGTTTTCCTCCCTCGCATCTAACAGTAGCATGCACGTTGCAGAGACAATGGTAAGTAAGATTGAGGGGTCCATTCTCTTTGGTATAGTGTTAGAGATAAGCCACTGCTTCTGACATCCTCGTCATTATAATTCCTCTGGAGACTCTAGACCAGCCAAACACATTGTTAAAGAAAAATGCAGGCAGTCCTGCCCCCAACCCACTAAGTCACAAATGGGAAAAGCCATCTTAGAGTTGTTACTGCTCTGTGCTATTGGTGCACACCCCCGGGCTGAAGTAGAAAGGAACTTCGGAAAGGAGCACTAGGGTTATGGTTTGGTATTTAATCCCATTACCCTTTATACTGCTTCCAAAACATAATTGTTTTAATAGTGTTTCTAATCCCCACAAGGCAAATCTTCCAAAGAATTTCCAAACTCCAAGCAATTTAAGTATGAATAGAAATTGTGCCTATGTCCACACAGCATTTTTCAATCTGCAAGCCATGAAATCAATGTAGTGGCTTCACTACTAGCACTTTGTTTGAATGAAACTATAGAAAATATTAGCATGTATTGCAATAATAAGGGTAAATTTTTATGACTACATACACATATATGTACTAGGTTGTGTTATGAAATTTATTTCTTCCTGTGTGTCAATGTTTTCAAAAAGCTAAGGAAGTCACTGGCCTAAAGTATTAGTTTTACCTGTTTTTATTCCTTAAAAGAAAAAAACAACTTAAATGCATACATACAGAATAGAATACACTTACTTAAGTTTTGACAGTGAAAAAAAATAATTACAGGTTAGATATTTAATCCAAGGTTTAACATGAGGATGATCTCATAAGGCAATTTCTTTCCTTTAATAAATATTAAAGTGAATATTATTCTGGAAGCAAATCATCTCCTAATTCTTCATCAGCAAAATCATCCTCATCGATCCTTTTCTTGGCTGCAGTTTTTGGTCGTTCTATTTGAGGGCCAAGTGGGTCCACATAGGAGGCATCTAGGTTTCGAAGAGATTGTCACGTTAGAGTTATGTAAACAAACAAAACAAATGTGAAACCAATCAGGCTCATAGTCAAAATGAATAACTCAGAGTGAACAGAAATGGTCTCCCAAGTCATTTTAAATTTTATCTGTAAATATCAAATTCTTAAGAATTCCCAGCAACACCTTTTGGCCATCTCACCATTCTTCTTCAGACCTGCTATGCCTGGAGGAACTGGGTGGAGAGTACTTGCCTATTTCTTTGTTACTGCTACTTTCATAAGGTTCATTTGTCCCAGGTAAAGCTCTGAGTCTGGCACTTAGTCGTTCACCTTTACTACTGGCACTATAGTTCTGGCCACTATCTGAAAACACGAAAATAAAAATGCATTTGTTTAATATGTTGAGAAAACATAAAACTACATTATGCATCTTAAAGCATACTTATTTGCCAAGAAACAAGCAGGTTGTTTAATTTGGAAGCCAGCTTCTTAGGGATATAATTCTTGTTTTCTGAAATTTAAAAGAAATATCTTGTGGGAATCTATAATATAGATAAAACATCACTTAAGAGTAGTCTGTATATGTATTCTTTCAAATGTGTGCTTACTTATAGGTTTCAATTTTATGGAAGAACTTAAGAGAAAGTAAGAGATCACCCTGACTCTTATAATTGCCCAAATAGGCAATGGCTGCCTTAGGAAAAAATGTAATATGTATCACTGAGGATTTTCAGATAAAACTGAACACTAACATTAGTAGGAAATGTTAGTAGTACTTTTTAACCAGAAATTTCTGTGATATTTTCTAAAAGTACTCCTCTAGCCCCACAGTTTTCCTTTCTTCCCCTTAGAATTCCTAGAGTGATATTTTTTCTATTATGTAAGCCTCACTTTTAATGAGAGTAGTCCACTGATAAACACACTGACCATTTCGTTTTTGAATATAGTTTGTCTTTTAGTTTACTGATAATGTCTCTGGGAATAAATCAGAACAAGATGGTCTTTAAAATCCCCACATTTTAAGATTGGCCAACTGACCCAAAATAGTAAGTCTTCTCTAAGGTTCTTATCCAAAACCTTACCATTTCCCCTACCACTGATGTTACGGGAAAATAAAGCTCTTTAGTGTACTGAATATGTCTACACACTTTAGTATATTTTACATTATTTTGTCCCTCTCTTTTTGTTAAAACAAAAGTTAATTTTTTCCATGCAGAAATGTATACGGGTGTCTTTTAAACTGCCTGAGTGAGCTCAAGTCAATAAAGTTTGAAAAACATTGCTCTAGGGATATTTCTTTTACTTTTTTTTTTCTGAATAATGTATATCCTACCTGTCTCCAAAAAGGTTTAAGATAAGCCACCAAATATATACACAATAACTATATAGCAATCTTTTAAAAGATGAATGAGTATGTGAGAAGAAAAGTTTGGGTGAGAAACATAAAACAAAGTTGGCAGGGAGTGGTCCAAACAGGCCTTCTTGCCTTAGGGTTTGCAGTCAACGAAGGGCAAGGGCATACACAGTTCTTTGACTCATGGGTACATAAGATATGACAACCAATGTCTCCACAAAAATGTAGGTGTTCTCATTACAGAGATAAGATGGAAATGCCTCACAGAACTGCTCACTGAGGAATACTGTGGAATGTCAGAAACACATCCTCATTAGTAAATACGACAACGTTATTTCACTTTTTACACAGATGTAAATTACCAACAAAACCCTGATAGCTCCCTCAGGCACCCAAAACCCTTCTGAAATCCAAATCCAAATTCCTAGCCTGAAAGATTCAAATTTTGTGGAAAAAGCAAACCTTTAAAAAATAAAACCTGGGGCCGGGCACGGTGACTCACGCCTGTAATCCCAGCACTTTGGGAGGCCAAGGCAGGCAGATCACGAGGTCAGGAGCTCGGGGCCAGACTGAGCAACATGGTGAAACCCCGTCTCTACTAAAAATACAAAAATTAGCCGGGCGTGGTGGTGCACACCTGTAATCCCAGCTACTCAGGAGGCTGAGGCAGAAGAATTGCTTGAGCCTGGGAGGCAGAGGCTACAGTGAGCCAGATCGTGCCACTGCATTCCAGCCTGGGCTACAGGGTGAGATTCTGTCTCAATAAATAAATAAATTAATTAATTAAATAAAAATAAAGTGCTTATATAAAAAATAAAACTTGGCTGGGCAGAGTGGCATGCACCTATTATCCCAGCTGCTTGTGGGGATGAGATGGGAGGATCACTTGAGCCCTGAAGTCCAATGCTGCAATGAGCTATGACAGCACCACTGCACTCAGCCTGGGTGATACAGCAAGACCCCATCTCTAATATAAATAAATAATAATTACAATATTTGTAGTCTTTGAAGATTGGACTCTATAGTTTCTGTTGTTGCTTACTCTTAGTGACTTATTTCCTCATGCATGCATACTTTTTCTTAACTGTAGGTTCTTATTCTTTGGAACTTAAAAGTGCATTCCTCCAAGGAGGATTTAAGTTTATTTCTTGTAGGCACCTTGTAGCCTCACCAACTGAAGTCCACTTTAAATCAAATTTTCAGCTTGGTGTTCTTCAGAACACACAGATATAATATGTATTCTAGCTCCAAAACTATGTGAGTGAAGGCTTACTTATGGTTAGGAATTATCAAAAGAGCTCTTCTTGTTTTCTACATTAGAACCAAGGTGAAAATCCATCATCTGTAGGGTGGCCTCTTTTCTTTTGAGATGGAGTTTCGCTCTTGTTGCCCAAGCTGGAGTGCGATGGTGTGATCTTGTCTCACTGCAACCTCCACCTCCCGGGTTCAATCGATTCTTCTGCCTCAGCCTCTCGAGTAGCTGGGATTACAGGCATGCGCTACCACGCCCGGCTAATTTTTTTGTTGTTGTTGTATTTTTAGTAGAGACGGGGTTTCACCTTGTTTGCCAGGCTGGTCTCAAACTCCTGACCTCAGGTGATGCGCCTGCCTCGGCCTCCCAAAGTGCTGGGATTACAGGCTTCAGCCACCGTGCCCGGCCAGAGTGGCCTCTTTCCGACTTGGCCTACTCAGAGTATTGCCAGTGAGAAGTCCTAGCTTTGTGACAGGGATTCTTTGATCCGACCTCTGCTCTGGCCTTTTTGAGGCCCCAGGCCTTATCTCTTGGTCCCCATGAGTGTCTATAATCTGAGGTTCTCAATCATGAGGGATTAGCTAGGCAATGCCAGCTCCTGCACATTGGATTTAAACTTTCTAGATCTTTTTGGCCTCCAAAGAATTTCCTTCTTTGCTACCAACTCAGCCGTGCATTTTTGAAGTTTTTTTCATTTTATTTTTTCCTCCCCCTTCTTCTTTTCTTTTTTTTCTTTTTTTAACACGCAACATATCATTTTTAGGAGAGCTATACTTGGAGTTTTCCTGAATATTTAGACTATCTTACCGTCAGACATAGATATTTGTAATAATTTTATAGCCAGTAGAAATATACAAAAATGTCATTTAAAAGGCTAAGTCTAACCCCTTTATTTTTCAGATGAGAAAACAGGCTTAGGATAGTGAAGTGAAGTGACTTGTTCAAGAGTGCATAGTTGGTGACAAGATCAGCACCAAAACCCAGCCTTCCTGACTGCCAGCCTGGTCCTTGCCTGTTAGACAAATAGTGCCTCTTTAGCAAAGGATCTGTGTGTAAAGTGTGGCACCTGGGCCTTATTCATATTCAGATTCCAAGCATATGCTATTCCAAGCTCAGCAGTTTGGCTCGCCCCACAAAATGTGGCTGTCTTAATAATGACAGTTAAGCATTTAAAGGAAACTCACAATCTCTAATCTCTTTTCACTACCCTGTATTTTAGACCCTTCTGCTGGCCCCAGAACAACCTGACCCCCTCCTTGCCTTATTAAGCAAGTCTGCAAAAAAAATCTTAACACATTTCTAGTTGGTGGCCGACTACATCCCGACTTGACCAATGTTTTTACAAGGCAATGCATACTAAGAAGATGACCTATTTGTAACATTTTAGAGTGACGTAGTTTTTAAATATGAGGTTTTTTTTTTTTTTTTTTTTTTTTTTTGGTAAGAAAGTGACTTTTAAGCTGGGTGTGGTGGCCTGAGCCTGTAATCTCAGCTACTCAGGAAGCTGAGGCAGGAGGAGAATTTGAGGCCAGGAGTTCAAGAAAGTGAGTCTTATAAAAGGCTCTATTCACAGAATAAATTAAGTAAGGTTAAGGGGCTAACTACATAAACTTTGGTGAAAATTTCTCTCCAAATAAAAATGAATTGTTTCCAAGGAAAGACAGTCTTTACTAATTTAGAAAGAATATGGTTATGAGCATAAAAATAATTTATAGCAGTAATAAACTTAAGATAGAAAAAATAACTGTACAGGGAAGATGAAAAGCAATGTCCTTCATTTTTGCTAATTTTCTAAACAGGTTGCGGCAGAGATTTTTATCATATTTAAATACAATGATTTTGTGAAACTGAGTACATAATACATTTATATAAGTAATGAAAATAAGAAAAAATGTATCAATTTCTTTATCTTTAACACCACCGATGCTATTTTAAATTCTGATGAGTGTTAACTGTGCTCCTGCTCAGTACCTTATGCTGTTCACACCCAGCAGAGGCAAAAGGAGATGCAGCCACTGCCTTCAGGAACTTTACAATCTGTGGGTGACTTTTACCTTAAGCATTCACTATAAATAATTTCCATGATGTCATACCTATAACACATTTTAAAGATCCAATAAAAGTACTTGCCTTTCCTGCATTTTTATTTTACTGATTTCTGTATGAACATTATTTTGCTTAGAGAAAAGTAAAAAGGAAACTACATTGTGTGATGATTATTATTCACTGCACTCCAGCTGCAAATAAGATTGTCTCTAGAAGTTATATCATCTCTCAAAGCTGTTAAGTGATCCAAGTCTATGGAGCTCCCAATGGCAACAGCATCCCCCTTAAAGATCAGCCAAGGAAGCTCGATGTGGGATCTCACCACAGTGGGGAAGAAGGGGCCTGTAATAACTGCTCCAGGGTGACACAACTGTGAAGAACATAATTCAACTTGGAATTATTTCCAGTTGAACATTTGGTTTATTCCCAATGTTTCTACCATAAATAATGTGATCAATATGTGTGTACAAAATTATTTCTTTAAAGTAAGTTCCTATCAAAGGTTATGGGCATTTTAATTAATTTATTTATTTTTTGAGATGGAGTCTTGTTTTGTCTCCCAGGCTAGAGCGCAGTGGCGCAATCTCGGCTCACTGCAACCTCTGCCTCCCGGGTTCAAACAATTCTCCTGCTTCAGTCTCCTGAGTAGCTGGAACTACAAGTGTGTGCCACCATGCCCGGTTAATTTCTGTATTTTTAGTAGAGTCAGGGTCTCACCATGTTGGCTAGGCTGGTCTCGAACTCTTGACCTTAAGTGATCCAAGTGATCTGCCTGCCTTGGCCTCCCAAAGTGCTGGGATTACAGGCGTGAGCCACCATGCCCGGCTGGGTACGGGCATTTTAAAGGGCTTGATGAATATTTCCAAACATTCCCAGCAGGGTGTGCCACTTAGAACTCCCCCCAGCAGAATTTAGTTAATAAACAGTGCTCATCTCATCTCATCCTTGCTACCCTTGGGAATTACCTTTTAAAAAATTCATTGCTAATTTTATAGGTTAGTTTGTGCTGGTAGCAAGCCCTAAGCCTGTCATAAACAGGCCTTAAAGAAACTGGCCATAAAAAGGATTTCTGCAGCAATGTGGCATGCTCGTGATGGCTATCACACACACTGCTAGAAGTCGTTGGTTTACTGGAGCAGGGCAAGGAAAACCTGGCCCCCCCACCCCCGGGAGCGGAAAACTGCTCTAGCCATAAACAATAGCAGGAGCAGCCTGTGTCTTAACAACGTGTTTTTGCTGCAGATAATCAGCCAGGGCCTGTTTCTCTGCTCCTCGCTAAAATTGCTTTGTTTCCCATAAGGAATGCTTCTAGCTAATCTATAATCTATAGAAGCAATGCTTAGCACTGGCTTACTGTCAATAATATGTGGGTCAGATTCCGTTTGTGGCTCTCAGCTCTGACGGCTGTCAGCCCCCTGATCCCACTCTGCACTCTATTTCTGTGTCTGTGTCTTTAATTCCTCTAGTGCTGCTGGGTTAGGGTCTCCACGACCGAGCTGGTCTCGGCAAGCGGTGCCCAACATGGGGGCTTGAACCCGGGTCGAAGGGTCGCCCCGAAGCGACAGTTGGAGAACGTGGAACTACGCTGGGGAACACCCGAGTACTCTTAAGCAATCCCTGTGGTGAGTAAGAAGGGGAGCTCGGAAGCATCAGGGTAACAATGGGACAAGGGTCGAGCAGGCACGAGGCTTGAGTCTGCTTCGGCATCTCCTCAGAAAAGGAGTGAAGGTTAGCACCAGCTGACTTATGCAACTTTTTAGTGTGGTAGAGAAATACTGCCCCTGGTTTCAGGACCGAGGAACTATGAATGTAGAGGTCTGGGAAAAGGTAGGCAGCACACTGAAAAAGGCATACAACGATGGTGCTGAGGATATTCCTGTAACTCTCTGGTCAGTGTGGATTGTGGTTTGTTCCACCTTGGAGCCTTTCTATATAGATGACAAGGAGGAGGAATCAGAGGAAGAAGGAGAGTGTAACGAAGTAACTAACAGAAGAGATGACAGAGCAGGTTTGCTTGCCAGCTAAAGAGACAAAGGAGGGAGAGGTTTGTCCCTACCCCTCTATACCCCCTCATTATTTTGAAGAAAAAGAGTGGCCTGACTCTCCAAATCTCTCTTTTCCAGAGGACACTGGGCAAAAAGTAGCTGCCCCAGTGACTGTTCCAGCAGTGCCTCGAGCGACCGCTCTCAGTTCCATTTAGGCAGGAATCCAGCAAGCTAGATGAGAAGGTGATATGGATGCTTGGCAGTTCTCTGTTAGAATATACTCACCTGATCAACAGGGGAATATTATGGCTACATTTGAGCCTTTTCCTTTTAAATTCCTCAAAGAATTTAAACCAGCTATTAATCAATATGGACCAGGTTCTCCTTTTGTAATGAGACTGTTAAAGAATGTTGCTGTCTCCAGTCAGATGATGCCAGTGGGGACGGTAGGATTACTTCTAGGTAGGTCTAGTTTAAATTTAAAAGGAGTGCAAGTACATACAGGAGTCACTGATTCAGATTACAATGGGGAAATTCAAATTGTTATATCTACTTCTGTTCCCTGGAAAGCAGAGCCAGGAGAGCGTATAGCACAGCTCCTGACTGTGCTGTATGTGGGAATGGGAAAAAGTGAAATTAATCAAACAGGAGGATTTGGAAGCACAAATAAACAAGGCAAAGCAGCTTATTGGGTGAATCAAATTACTGATAAATGTCCTACCTGTGAAATAACCATTCAAGGAAAAAAATGAATGAAAGGATTGGTAGATACAGGAGCGGACATTTCCATCATTTCTCTACAGCACTGGCCATCCGCATGGCCAATTCAACCCACTCAATTTAACAGAGTTGGAGTTGGTAAAACCCCTGAAGTATATCAAAGCAGTTATATTTTGCATTGTGAAGGACTCGATGGACAACCTGGGACTATCCAGTCAATTATAACTTCTGTACCTATAAATTTATAGGGGAGAGATTTATTACAGCAATGGGGAGCACAAGTTCTAATTCCTGAGCAACTATATAGCCCTCAAAGTCAGCATATGATACAAGAGATGGGGTACGTGCCTGGCATGGGATTAGGAAAAAATTTACAAGGGTTAAAGAAACTGCTTCAAGCGGAAGGACAGAATTCTCATCAGGGTTTAGATCATTTTTGATGGCGGTCATTGTTAAGCCTCCAGAACCTATACCTTTAAAATGGTTAACAGGTAAGCCAATTTGGATAGAGCAGTGGCCGCTGAGTAAAGAGAAACTGGAGGCTTTAGAGGACTTAGTTACTGAACAATTAGAAAAAGGACACATAGCTCCAACATTTTCTCCCTGGAATTCTCCAGTCTTTGTTATTAAGAAAAAATCAGGTAAATGGAGAATGTTGACAGATCTTAGAGCCATTAATTCAGTTATACAACTTATGAGGGCACTGCAGCCAGGATTGCCTTCTCCTACTATGATTCCTAAAAATTGGCCTTTAATAGTCATAGATTTAAAAAACTGTTTCTTTACTATCCCCTTAGCTGAGCAAGACTGTGAACGGTTTGCATTTACAATTCCTGTGGTAAACAACCTGCAGCCTGCTAAGCGTTTTCACTGGGAAGTGCTCCCACAAGGCATGTTAAGCAGTCCAACAATTTGTCACTTATATAGGACAAGCAATTGAACCTACTTGTAAAAAATTTTCACAGTGTTACATTATTCATTATATAGATGATATTCTTTGTGCTGCCCCGACTTGGGAAATATTACTCCAATGTTATGATCACTTACAAAACTCGATTTCTCGAGCCGGTTTAATTATAGGTCCTGACAAAATTCAGACTGCTCCTCCTCACTCCTACTTGGGGACCTTAGTAAATGTCACTACAGTAGTGCCACAGAAAGTAACCATAAGTAGGGATCAATTGAAAACACTGAATGACTTTCAAAAATTACCAGGGGACATTAATTGGATACAACCTGCTCTAGGCATTCCTACCTATGCCATGAGTAATCTATTTTCTATCCTTAGAGGAGATCCTAGTCTCACTAGCCCTTGTCAATTAACAAAGGAAGCTGAGGCAGATTTACAGCTGATTGAGAAGCAAGTGCATACAACTCAAATAAATAGAATAGATCCAACAAAGACTTTAGACTTGCTGATTTTTCCGACACAGCATTCACCTACTGGTGTTATTGTCCAAGAGCAGGACTTGGTAGAATGGCTTTTTCTTCCACATGCTAATTCACAGACTCTAATTCCTTATTTGGATCAAATTGCTACTCTGGTAGGAAATGGGAGAACCCAAACTGTTAAATTGCATGCATATGACCCTGGAAAAATTATTGTCCCTCTTACAAAAACACTAACACAACAGGACTTTATAAATAGTCTTGGCAAACCCATTTAGCTGATTTCGTAGGTGTTCTTGATAATCACTTTCCGAAAACAAAATTATTTCAACTTTTAAAATTAACTAATTGGATTCTCCCTGGAATAACTAAATCTAAACCAGCTGTAGGTGCTGAAAATGTTTTTACAGATGGGTCTAGTAATGGTAAAGCTTCTTATTCAAAACGTAAAGTTTTCCAGACGCCCTATACTTCAGCTCAAAAAGCGGAGCTTGTAGCTGTAATTGAGGTGCTGACTGCTTTTGAGATGCCTGCCAATGTAATTTCTGATTCTTCATATGTGGTTCATTCCACACAGTTAGTTGAAAATGCTCAGCTACAATTCCACACAGATGAACAACTGATGACTTTATTTACCCAATTACAAACCACAGTTAGGAACAGAATGCACTCTTTTTACATTACTCATATTGGAGCTCATACAACTCTTCCAGGACTTTTGACTCCAAGGAATCAAATGGCTGATTGCCTAGCTGCTACTGAAATATCTAACGCTAGACACTTTCACAATTTAACCCATGTTAATGCCTCTGGTCTCAAACGCAGATACAGCATTACCTGGAAAGAAGCTAAAGCTATTATCCAGCGATGCCCAACTTGTCAAATGGTGCATTCCTCATCTTTTACAGGAGAAGTTAATCCTCGAGGATCGGAACCTAATTCTCTTTGGCAAATGGGTGCCACCCATGTTCCCTCGTTTAGGAGACTAGCTTATGTGCATGTATGTGTAGATACATTTTTCTCACTTTGTTTGGGCTACCTGTCAAACAGGAGAATCTTCTGCCTGTATTAAACGGCATCTTCTGCAACGCTTCACGGTCATGTGCATTCCAGCTTCTGTTAAAACGGACAATGTCCCAGGCTATACTAGCCAAGCTCTAGCTACATTTTTCTCTATATGGAATATTAAACACATTACTGGCATCCCATATAATTCACAAGGACAAGCCATTGTGGAACGAATGAATCTCTCCCTAAAATGACAATTGCAAAAGCAGAAGGGGGAAACAGGGACAGTGATTATAGGACTCCACACATGCAACTGAATCTAGCATTACTGACTTTAAATTTTTTGAGCCTATCTAAAGGCCAGATGCTATCAGCAGCTGAACGGCATCTACCAAAACCAGCTGCAAAGATAGAAGCGGAACAACTGGTTTGGTGGAGAGATTCGATAACAACGAGTTGGGAAATAGGTAAAATAATAACATGGGGTAGAGGTTATGCTTGTGTTCTCCAGGCCAAAACCAGCAGCTGATTTGGATACCATCAAGATACCTGAAAACTTATCATCAGCCAGATGCCAAGGAAGAGATTTTGGGAGGAACCCGAGGACCCCCCGGTTGCAGCCATGTTGAGACTGACAATAAGGAAGACACAAGTGCTGGCGAGCAACACTGGTCGGGCACAGCCACCCCCCTGGGGCCAGATCAAGAAGTTGACACAGATGGCGGAAGAAAATCTGAAGAAGGCAGGACAACCAGTTACAATGAGTAATCTAATGGTAGCTATGATGGCTGTGCTCACCATCGCCATGAGTATTCCCCCAGTGACTGCTGAAACAAAAGACAATTATACTTATTGGGCATATATTCCTTTTCCACCACTTCTACAGCCAGAAACATGGTTAGACCCCCCAGTGGAGGTATACACTAACGAAAGTTTTTAGATGCCTAGTTCTATAGATGATAGAGGCCCGTCTAAGCCCTAAGAGGAAGGAACTATTATGAATATCTTGTTGGGATTTGAGGATTTACCTATTTGTTTGGGAAAAGCCAATAGGTGTTTAGCTCCCAGTCATCAATCCTGGCTGGCGATAGTGCCTGAATGTAACATCTCCATGACACAATTACATATGCTTTCTGGTCTTAGTATTTATCACAATTATTATGCTCCTGTAACCGAAGTTTACCACCCTCAAAAACCTATCTGTAAACTGGATTGGACATGGTCAGCAAAAATGAAGGTATTTGCTTGGGAAGATTGTGTCGCAAGGCAGGCAGAGGTGTTGTGTAATGATTCATATGGAGTCATTATTGATTGGTCCCCTAAAGGGGCATTTATGAGGCTCACCTCTCAATCTGTAGCTAATGGTCACCCTGCATATAAACAAAATAATCAGATGGTGGACACTATAAGAAGTACAGCAAGAGTTCCTATTATTTGGGCATATGGTGGTATAGTGGTACCTCAACCCCAAATGATATGACCTGATGTAAGAGCTAAACATAAGGAGTTATGGAAAATATTAATGGCACTGAAAAAGATAAAGATTTGGGAAGGAAAATATACTAAGCCAACCCAATATAATCCTAATTACATGTTAGAATTGGCTCACAACAGTTCAGTCTGGATACATAGTTGTGTCTGTCCGCCTTTCCTGTTTGTAGTGGGTGATTTAAAACTTGATCTCCCTAATCATCATATGACTTGTCAAGAATATAGATTGTTTTCTTGTGTGAATTCTTCCTTGTATAATACTGATCATTCTATTTTAGTAGTAAGAGCCCGAGAAGGCGTATGGATACCTGTAAAGCTTTCCCATCCTTGGGAAGCCTCTCCTTCTGCGCATATTATTACTGAAATTCTTCGATAGATTTTGAGGCACTCTCGGCGTTTAATTGCCACTTTAATTTTAATCATTACGGGATTGACTGCTGTCACAGCTACTGCCGTGGTAGCTGGAGTTGCTCTGCATTCCACAGTACAAACAGCAGACTATGTAAATAATTGGCAGAAAAATTCTACTCTGCTGTGGAATTCCCAAACTAATATAGACCAGAAACTAGCTAATCAAATCAATGATCTCCGACAAACTGTAATGTGGCTAGGAGATTGAGTAGTTAGTCTAAAATACAGAATGCAGTTACAATGTGATTGGAATACTTCTGATTTTTGCATTACTCCTCATCTGTATAATGAAACAGAGCACGAGTGGGAAAGAGTTAGGAGACATTTAAAGGGTCATACTGGAAATTTATCTTTAGATATTGTAAAACTGAAGAAACAAGTATTTCAAGCCTCTCAGGCACATCTGACGCTAATGCCAGGAACTGAAGTGCTTGAAGGAGCTGCAGATGGATTAGCAGCTATTAACCCATTAAAGTGGATCAAGACACTTGGAGGCTCTGTGATTTCAATGATGATTGTGCTTTTAATCTGTGTTGTCTGTCTTTGTGTAGTCTGCCGATGCAGATCCCAAATCTTGCGAGAAGTAGCCCACCGTGACAAAGCTGCCTTTGTCTTTATCGCTTTGCAAAAACGAAAAGGGAGACATGCTGGTAGCAAGCCCTAAGCCTGTCATAAACAGGCCTTAAAGAAACTGGTCATAAACAGGATTTCTGCAGCAATGTGACATGCTCGTGATGGCTATCACACACACTGCTAGAAGTTGTTGGTTCACACTGCTAGAAGTTGTTGGTTTACTGGAGCAGGGCAAGGAAAACCTGGCCCCTCCGGAGCGGAAAACTGCTCAAGCCACAAACAATAGCACGAGCAGCCTGTGCCTTAACAACATGCTTTTGCTGCAGATAATCAGCCAGGGCCTGTTTCTCTGCTCCTTGCTAAAAATGCTTTGTTTCCTATAAGGAATGCTTCTAGCTAATCTATAATCTATAGAAGCAATGCTTAGCACTGGCTTACTGTCAATAATATGTGGGTCAGACTCTGTTCATGGCTCTCAGCTCTGACGGCTGTCAGCCCCCTGGTCCCACTCTGCACCCTATTTCTGTGTCTGTGTCTTTAATTCCTCTAGCACTGCTGGGTTAGGGTCTCCATAACTGAGCTGGTCTTGGCAAGTATGCATTGTTTTAGTTATTGGTGAGGCTGTATATTTCACCACCATGTGTGAGAGAATAGTTTATATCCTCTTCTCTACCTCCCTGCAACTCATTCACTTCTTAAATCATTAGAATCTGACTTTTACCTCTAACAGTACACTGAGACTGCTTTCTTTAAGGCTATCAAAACTATCTTAGTTGAAAAATCTAATGGCCCTCTGTAGTCTTCAAGGCCCAATTATAATACGTATATAATCATTTTTCAACATTCCCCTTCCCTTAAGCTAGGAAGTCTATCAACTGCCCCTATTAGTTTCTTATTTTTTGAAAGTACTATCTAAAATGAAACTTTCTAAAAAATTCTGCCCATTCCTTTGAATGTGTTATGAATATAGTGGTTCTTACTTTTTCAAATCTCTTCTTAAATAACTCTCTTTTGGTGAGCTATAAATTGATTTCATTATCCATTAGACACTTTGTAAAAGCTTTTTGGTCTGTCTCTCTCTTCTATTTTTAAGAAGATGATATTCAATTTAGCCTCTATTAAGATGCAATAATTAAGATCTATTCTCACTCCTTAAGTATGAGGAAGTATTTGTTTATATCTAGAAACACTGAAGAGCATCAGACAATAACTTTGGGACCTTTAGGAGGCCTTTACTGACCAATTTACTTCTAGGTGCTCTGTAATCTGACTTGCAAATGGCCTATCCTCTTATTACCAGGAAGCTGATCTTCCTTTGCTCCTGTCCCTTTCCAAAGTTAAGAGGCAGCGCACCACAGCTAGGGATCCAAAGTACTTTCCCAACCAACAGTCCAAGAAAGTAATGACCTTATCAGCTCAGATGACATAATACTCTGATAATTTTACAAGGACCATTGCTTGGACCTAGCCTTACTCTGAGAATTTCAGCTCATTCTTACATTGTTACAGCTGCAATTCTCAGTTTGATTTCAACCCTCACCCCCTACTTCTATTGATCCCATTACATTATTACCCAACAAAACCTAACAGGAATATATTAAAATTGTAAAAATGAACGCCGATAGCTACTGTATAGGCAATACTCAAGTGAGGAGAGGGAGACTCTGGAGGGACTCAGTGAAGAGAACAAAGGAGGTAACATTATATATTTGTTATGTGGCAAACTTAAATACTTAATACCTAGCATATAAAGAGGATATGAGAGGTGAAGCTGGAAGAATGTTGGTATTTACTGAGTACTTATTATGGCTAGAAAACGTGAGAAAATGCTTATCTGTAGATAAAACAGCAGAAAGGTAGGAAGGGAAAGAGGGTAAAAACTCATAAAATGTGTGTTTGTATGTATGAGCACACACGTATATATAAAATACATGTGTATATATTTTACAGATAGGATATATGCATGCATATATATGTGTGTATGCATATATATGTATGTATGTGCATATGTATTTTGTAAAAGTTTTGGATTCAATTTCCTGTGCTTTTTGTAACTTGCCTCTGCAGGCAATTATAAAAAAGGAGTTTCACAAATGTTTTGATTAACAGCAGCATTACTGAAGTAAATATTCAGCTTTCCAAATTGGTAACTTCAAGAACCAACATTTATTTTTATTTATAAGCACTAGTAATTCTTGTTTAAAAAAACAAAATTCAACTCAACAGTGAGACAGGGGTACACTTGGTTACACTGCATGGATAAACATGACCCTCTTGTGTTAGGGAGAAACTGAGGCTCTCACACTCAGAGGTCACACACTGGCAGTGGTGAGAACATGGGCGCTGGCAGTGCAGTGGACACTGGTATTCCAGGCCCTGCCCATGCACTCCCTTTGTCAGGCGGGAGTCACAGTAGCCATGCTCACCCTTGCACATGCTTGCCCTTATCAGGAGTTTCTCTAAGAGCTTTCCACATGAGCCCATTTCCTCCTCAGCAACCCTATCAGGAAGGTACTGTTTTCAGTCTCATTTTACTGATGAGGAAACTGTGACAAAGAGATTTAAGTAACTTGTTCACATAAGATGTGATGAGTTCAGGAAGGTGGTCCATGGATGTTGAATGAATGCCAGGAATGGGATTATGACAAGGACTGAAAACTCAGGGCAACAGGCTAAGGGCGAGAGTTAAGGAGCATGTTCTGTTGAAGATACAAAATCTCATCATATGCTCTGTGATGTGTGTTGACTTAGTAAGGTGGGTGAGTTGTAAACAACTAAGGTGGTTTTAAGAGAAGTTCACTGATACAGACTTTTACTGTTCAAGCTGTATACCAGGATGAAATGGCTTCAAGCAGTGCTTTGATCAAAAGGATAATTCCCAGGCCCCACCTGTCATTACCAAAAGTATTCATGGAGACTTTGGCTTAGAGCAGGGATTAGCAAACTACAGTGTGTGGGCCAAATCTGGCCCACCCTATTTTTGTCTATCCAGCAAGCTAATGATTTGTACATTTTAAAATGGTTAGGAAGAAAAGCAAACAATAATAATATTTTGTGACATATAAAACTCATATAACATTCTAACTTCAGTGTCCAAGAATTAAGTTTTATAGAACACTATCACATTTATTCACTTACACGCTGTGTACAGCTGCTTTCAATACACAACAGCAGAGTGGAATATTCTCGGTAGATGAGACTTGGCCTGCAAGCCTAAACTATTTACTACCTGGCCCTTTACAGAAAAAGTCTGCACACCCCAAATTACTGAGAATTACTGTATCAGAACACAGACGACACATTGGCAGGTTACACCAGCTGGGTATACTGGCATAGGCAAACTTTTTCTGGAACTGTAACACTGAGACTACTTTGGTGCTCTGGTGCTGTTCACTATCTTCTAATACTTATTATTCATCAAGATTCCTTTGTGATACATACCGTATACAAAGTGGGCTGGATACTCGGGTATCCTGCAAAACTGTGGTCTAGATTTATGGGGTAAAGGGACATGCAAGTTGGGACTGAGGCTGACAGGCATGATCCTTAGAGAAGTGACAGCACCCGCCCCCCGGCCTCTCAAGACTCCCTCCCCACATAGATGTCCAGCAATTCCTTCTGTAATTGGCTGACTTGTGTCGGCCTGTCCTCTACATTTAGGCCTATGCACCTCCTCAGAGCGTACACTCCTTGTCTCGTCCTCCCTTGTGGGCACTGAGCATGACTTGTTCATTCTCTGCTTGTGACACCATCAGGCCCCAGCAAAACTGTGGAAAGGTGTTAATTAGCCATGCTCAAACTTGGACTAGAATATTAAAATATAACTGGCCAGGCGCGGTGGCTCAAGCCTGTAATCCCAGCACTTTGGGAGGCTGAGGCGGGTGGATCACGAGGTCAGGAGATCGAGACCATCCCGGCTAACATGGTGAAACCCCATCTCTACTAAAAATACCCAAAATTAGCCGGGCGTGGTGGTGGGTGCCTGTAGTCCCAGCTACTTGGGAGGCTGAGGGAGGAGAATGGTGTGAACCCGGGAGGTGGAGCTTGCAGTGAGCAGAGATCACGCCACTGCACTCCAGCAAGACTCTGTCTCAAAAAAAAAAAAAAAAAAAAATATATATATATATATATATATAAAACTTCAGTTTTTTTAAATAAAATATGTTTACAATGTGCTTTATAAAAGATACCATAAAGTGAATTTCTGTTCACTGAATCTTATCCTGATTTTCATTATAAAATTATTTTCAGTCTAAAATTGATCCATTTTCATTGGAAAAGTTTATATCCAAGACATAAAAATCAAACTAAAAAATGCAGAAAGCCATTAAAAATCACACAGGGTAAACCAAAAAGCACTTTAAAAATGAAAGCTTAATAACACCATACTCAAAATAAGTCACAAAATGCCACTATCATGCAAAAATAGAAAATGCCATCTAAGAAGGAATTCTTGTGTCTTGAGGACAGCTACACATGAGAAGCAGATGTGTTCTGTCAATTTCTCAACCTTTAACAAAATTCAACCAAAACAATGGACAGAATATAGTTATTCCCCTCATCAGTTTATCTGCAGAGAATATAAATACTGTTAACTATTAAGACTTTGAAATCAAAAGGAAGGAGAAAGGGAGAGAAGCCTCACAGCCTGGGTTTGTTCCGACTTCACAGCCAGGGCCAGCCTTGGAGTGTGGCCTGTGCTGAGAACTGGAGAAGGCGGACAGAAAACACGATTCCTGCAAAAGTGTCAGCGTGGAACCAGCTCAGCCACAGAAAGCAGCATTCAAACTGGGCTCCAGGATGAAATGAAAAAGTCTGGGATGATGCATAACTCGAGATGTCAGAAAATAAGGAACGAAAAGGCAAATGATGGGGGAAAGCACCCTAGGAAGGGACTGATGAGTGCTTTAAATTTGTGCCAGAAGAACCTAGTAACACGCAACCCTGCTTGTAAAATGCCTTGAGAGCACAGAGTTTGTATGCCAAAAGTCTCTCATGTGAGAATAAAGCTTATTTGTGCACTAGAACTGACTATTTGTGTTGGACTGAAATGGACTGGAAGAAAGAAAGGAAAATAGATTAAAAAAGAAAAAGCAGCAGTGGGAGGCCAGGACCAGAAGGGAACTCTTCAAGAGGAAGGCCTCTCTTTTATAGCACACAGGTATCAGATCTGGGGTGGCCCTACCTCTCTTCATTGTCAGTCCCTTCTTCCCTGACCGTGGAGGAGGTCCCTGGCCGAGTGAAGCCCTCTCTGTGCTCTAATGCCAGCATGACTGAAAGAGGGCTATGGGAAAGGTCACCAGGGAGGCTGGGCAATTCTTCATGTCAAAGGATCTGAACCTGCGGTGGCCTGAGGCACACTGATCAATCTGTTTCCGAGAGGCAGCTGTCAGTCTTCCTGGGGTTACTTTCTCAGGGGTGGGACCCCAGACACTGTCCCCTGGGCTCTGGGGAAGCACCACACCATTCAGCAGTTTTTCGGGTGTTCTATCACATCCCATTAGGAGGTACTGATGTTTCTGAGGCAGATTTTCAAAGTGATGGCATCTGGGAAACTAAGGCTTAAGTTAAGGGGAGAGATTTTATAAACTTACGAATTACCAGGGAAGGGTCAGAGAACTTAACATAAGGTTGTTGATGTTTAGAAGGAACTGGTTGGTTATTCTGAACTTAAGATTTTCAGAGAGAAATGCAGAATCCTTAGGGGATGGTGAATCCGGCCCTAGAATTTTAATACTTAATACTTCCTTAGGGGTTACTCAAGACAATTACTCCTTAAAGGGACAGTTATTTCCAAGAGAGCTGATATCACGTACTTCCTGCTTCCTAGGAGCAAGGATGAACAAGCAGCACTGTGCTGGTCTGGGGAGCTGTCTAGAGTTGCTTTTGACTGTTGCACAATGCCTAGTCTGTGGACTTCTTGGCTGTTAAGAACATTTTTGGTACACATCCATGACCCTCCATCTACAATTCCAAATTCCAAAGAGCTCTGAAAGCCAACTCTTCAGGTGGCAATATATAAACTTCTTGGGTATAGAACTTGACTTGATTTGAGGCTATTCATAGTCTTTATTTATCCTTAGTGTGAATATTCATGTTTCACTGAATTAATATGTCTGAGGTGCTCTCCTTGGGTAGTATGTGATACATGGCTAATACATCTTGCTTTCTAAACTCCAAAAGGTTCTGAATTCCACAACACACCTGGCCCCAGGGGTTTTGGGTAAGGAGCTGTGGGCTTATGGCTGCCTCTGGCTTAAGAACTGCTGGGCCAGATCTCTCTGACTAAATCCAACCCCAGATAGTCACACGGATCCATTAAAGTGGAGTGTGTGAGATATCTGGGGCTAGGGAAGAGCAAGGAGACAGGAGTAGCCATCAGGACCATGGTGGCTGAAGAGATGGAAGTGGCTACTCTTTGATGTGACAGACTGCCTTTGGTACTCTTGAGGCTTGGGCTCAATGCTGCTTTTACTGATTTCTCCAGCTCTGGGTAATGGCTCCTGAAGATAAACAGGCCAGCACCATGAGGTTTAGCTGGAGACGCTGGACTGACTCTTGGGGAATCAAGTGGCCTGGCTAGAACCCGATGCCACTGATGGCTGTAACTGCCTACTAAGTTATAAATTGAATTTGACTGCAATTGGGACGAAGACTCCTTGAATTTCAAAGCACAGCTCTGAATTCAAGGAGTCTTTGTCCCAACTGCAGTTTCTATCCCTAGGAAAGTTTGAAAACTCATGTACATTTCTCTACCATGGCAGCATCCACAGCACCATTAGAAGCTGTGTGTCTTTCCAACTAGATTCTAACTTCTTTGAGCATGGGGACCACGTCTTATTTGTTCCCATGTCCTTGGCTCTTAGCACAGTGTTTGGCACACAGTATGCATCCAATAAACACTGTGAATGGATGAAAGGCCTGCCTAACTAAGAGCTACATTTGTCTTTGTCCTGACTCCTACATCACAAACAGATATGACAGAATGCAGCTGGATAGTTACATGGAGCTAGGTCATATATGCATGAGAGTGCTGAGTATGGATAGGAGAGAATGTAGGTATATTTATAGACCCCAATTCGACATTTATTTTTAAAATTAGCTTCTTTAAAATCACCAAATTTGTACTAAGTTTAACTTACACTGCCTGCCTGAAGTAGAGAAAGAAGGTAGATTGTTGATGGGAAGAAGGGGTGGAAAACTCAATAAAATGTCTTATTATGTAATGATGTCACAAGGAGTAAAAGAATTTTAGAGATGCAAAGAACTTCAGAAATCACCAAAAGCCTATAGCATTTATGTGGTTGGTCCAAAGACATATATACATCGTCACGATCAAGACTGGGACTCACACTATGTCTCCTAATTCCTAGCTTGTCACTAATTCTACACTAAAAGTCAGACTAAAGATTTAGGGCTGTCAGCATTCCATAGGACCATCCTCCTTCTCGTGGCACTTCCTTCAAATGGAAATTTTAAAAATGTAACACAGCAAAACCTCATAAGTACGCCCATCTATGATAATCTGTCCAACCTGAGAGATTAATAAATGAAAAACTTGTTTATTAATCAACTAGCAAAAACAAGCATGGTTATTTAAGAAAATCTGTTAGCATTTACAAATACTCATTTACATATCAGACTGACTGCTTACCAAATTAATTAATGTGAAGTTTCACTGTGTATAGAACAAACCGACAGACACATAAGAACACTTTAGATTATTGCAAGATGTTTCCAGAAGCCCACATACTAGAAATGTGGAAACCAAGTTTTTCAGGGAAAGAGAAAATACTTACCACCGCTAGCACTTCCTTCTCTTTTGCCACGGGAGCCCCCACTGCCATCTCTGCCTGACTTTATGCGCTAGAGCAAAGAGAAGACAAGTTTAAAAGAATAAGTGCTATTCCTTCAAAGTTGAATATAGATAAAGGTGGATTTTAAAATTAACATTACTACATTACCCTTAGGACTAACCCATCATACCTGAGAGTTGATTCTATAGAAAAAAAAAAAAAGCCTGAGTTGTTTTGTAAGTGGAGGGTTCAAGCCTTCCCCTCTAAGGCTCTTGAGAAAACTCGTATAGCACTTTAATTCAAAAGTGCAGCGTAACCTTGGCTTACACAAACAACTCAAAACTAAACAGTATTTTCTTGATGTGAACATTCAGGGCTTAAACATGATCTTTAGTTTAAGGGAGGGATGGGTGAGGAGGGGATAAGAATCTACAAAAGGGCCATTTCTTGCCATTAGTCCTCATATACAATGGTTGGACCTGAACTATTTGAGGGTAAAAAAAAAAAAAAAAAAAAAAAGGTAAGCTGAGTTTTGAAATTCAATTTATAAAATAAAAGTATGATTAAAACCTCACAAAAGACCTAAGATCTGTCCAACAGTCTACTTTCTTAGATACAGACTCGCCTTCAAAGCCTAAGAAGTATCTCCACACTGTGGCATTGTTAGGTTTCTTTCTACATTTTATGGTTCTGTTTTGCCTAAGTATTAGAATTTTTGTATTAACATTGAATCTGCCTCAAGTCACACTATCAAATTTTCATATGTATAATGGTTCATTTACACAGCTACAGGATGATTAGTGAACAGAGACAGATGGCTTTTTATGTTTATAATTGAATTAAACTTCTTAACATGGGTGGATATTTTATTTAGATCTTTAATAATATAAACATAAGACATAAACATAATTTCATATTTAATTCAAAAGACAAATTATTTAACTCCTTAACCCTGACAACTTCCCAAATATTTATAAATTGTCAGGTCATGGATAAAGTTATTGTCTGTGGTTTGCTAGGAAGAAAGAAATTCTTTTCAATAATTAACTCATTTCTGTAAGATGAAATACTCTCTTAAAACTCAGGACTTCCAAATGTTTCATAAACATATCCAATTTTTTTTCCATTAAAAGGAAAAGCACTTCCCTTGAAATATCAACTTTCTCCTTGCCTTCATAGATGAAAGAAAATCTTAAAAAGATGTAGCAAAGTAAGAATTTAAACATCCATAATCTGACTTTATTTCAAAACTTGATTTTCATCCAACCACAGATGGATCATCTCCAGCATACCAAAAAGACCTCTAAATGCTGAAAATAGGCCCGGTGTGGTGGCTCACGCCTGTAATCCTAGCACTTTGGGAGGCCGAGGCGGGTGGATTACCTGAGGTCAGGAGTTCAAGACCAGCCTGGTCAACATGGCAAAACCCCGTCTCTACTAAAAATATAAAAATTAGCCGGGTGTGGTGGCAGGCGCCTGTAATCTCAGCTACTCTGGAGGCTGAGGCAGAAGAATCGCTTGAACCTGGGAGGTGGGGGTTGCAGTGAGCCGAGATCACACCATTGTATGCCAGCCTGGGCGACAGAGAGAGGGACTCCGTCTCAAAAAAAAAAAAAAATGCTGAAAATAAATTCATCAAGACAAATGTCCACATAGCTTGACAGTTTTTAAAACCACATGTGAAAACTTGTATCCTGTTTAAGTGACTAGAGGTTCAGAACAGGATATGCGAAGGTAAGTAAGCACTTCCATAATCACTACACTCTTTATTGCCTGACACCTGTTCCCTGCACTCATCTAGAATTTTCCAGTCCTCTGGCTCTCATCACTCTTCTCTTTTTAAACTCTTTAAATTCCTACTTTCTGTCCAGCCTAGAATCAAGGCCTACCACGTGCCATGACGCCACATTGGAACTATGGTCCTTGCCTCCTTCTTGTCTTTCTGCTTCACTCATCAAGAGAAACCTAAGCCTCGGTTGGTTCAGTGCCTTCCCTTTTTCCTCTCCTACTCCCAGGACACTGTGCTGGGGAAACAGCTCCATCAGTACAAAAACCAGGCAAGCCTCAGGGCTCCCCACTGCTCACTTAGATCCTCCCGTGTGCCCCATGCAGGCCATCTCACTTCTCGTAGACACCACTTTTTGTCCTCATCACTTTTGGAACTGACTGTCCTGCCTGCTTAGAGAATAAAAGGAAAACAGCATCTCCTTGGATATGCCAGCTGGCATGGACCCTGCATGGATGGGTCCGCTAATCCCTGTCTGCCTGCCCTCCCTCATCTTTTCAGCTATTTCCTCCTCCCTCATCTCCTCAGGAGACCCCCTGTGTGTCCCCTGGTCGGGACTGGCTCCATGTGCTCTCATTATGCTCAGGGTCCGACTCTACCGGTTTGTCTTTCTCCTTCATCATCCTCCTGTGCACAGAGAATGTGGTGTTTTTTTCCAACTGAATGCCTATTTGCAGTTGAGAATCAGTGAACTCCACCATAAGGAGTCTTGTGTACTAACCATTGTAATAGCTGTACCATTGTAATAGCTGTAGCAAGGATTTCTTGTGGAAGTTACAGAGAAGGCAACTTCAAAAGTAAAACCAAAACATTTATCAAAACCTTAGTTTGATAAAGTTCTAAGTTCAAAGAACTCTCTAAGAATGTGCCTATTATGTAAGAAAAAAAAAAAGAAATCTCAACTGTCAAGACTCAGTTAACTGCACATCTCTCATACCATTCACACAACAGAGCTCTGCTCAGTAGTGTTTTCAGGCATGATCTAAGTGCTTCCTTCGGAGATGCAAAGTAAACACCCAAGAGACAGAGCTGCTGCAGACAGCAATCCCACCAGGCAACAGGACAGACTCTGTGATGCCCCACCGGGTATTCCAGGGCTGGCCCAGCAGCTGACCTTGCCCTTTAAGAGTGTGATGGAGGTAAAGTGGCCTCAGTGCAGTGCAAAGGAACTGAAGGAAGCCAGGAGGGGTGTGTCACAAACGCCACATATACAGAGCTGCTGCTAAGTCAGGCAGACGGAAAGTTAAGAGTGTCCATCATATTGACTGCTATGTAAGTGACTAATCTTAGTGAGGGTAGTTTTAGCTGTGTGAATGGAAGCAGTCAAGGTTAGACTGATTTGAAGAGCACCTGGGAAGTGAGAAAATAAAGATCAAGTATAGATAAAGCACACTGTTCTTTGGCTGGAAGGATAAAGAATGGTGACAGTGGGGCAGATCCAGAATGTGTGGGGCCAGAAGCTTATACAGCTTGGGGGAAACTTTCTGAGAAAGAGGATATAAAACTGTGAAAATGGGCTGGGCGCGGTGGCTCACACCTGTAATCCCAGCACTTTGGGAGGCCGAGGTGGGCGGATCACAAGGTCAGGAGTTCAAGACCAGCCTGACCAACATGGTGAAACCCTGCCTCTACTAAAAAAAAAAAAAATACAAAAAAGAAAACAAAAACAAAAAACTGTGAAAATGAAATGAATGCAAAAATAAAAATTTATTAGAGGCAATGCAAATGAGGGCCTGCAGCTTAAGCTCCCCAACTCCACGGGGAACACCCTGGGCTGTGGGCACTGCTGCTCCTCAGGGACACTGGGCAGGGAATTCCTGCCCACACTCTCAGGGGCCCGAGGGTCCTGTCTCACACAGACTCATCTGACATGCAACCCACCTCAGATCTAGCACAGGCATGGGTACATTTTAGGAGCACAGTAAACACTTGTAAACATAGTGAAGACGACATTCTCATCATATGGTATATGAGGGCTCAAGTAGGAGACACACTTTTCAGAATTATTCCCCTCATCCTTCCAGAGTTTTAACACTTCATAAAGTTCACAGAAATTCTTATCACTTTGGAGTGGATGTGAGATAAGGCCTCATGGTAGGTAAGAGAGGAAGCATTTAAACAATGATTGACATAAATGATTCTTATCACTTCAACGCTAAGATGTGCAGGAAACAGCCATGTAACAAAATATGGAGCACAAAGTGACGGAAATCTGTATTTACTGACATGGGAAGTGGTCCATGTTATTCTGCGAAGTGGGTGGGAGAGGTTATAAAACAGTATTTTTTGTAAAAATCTCATTTGTGTTTTAAAAAAAGTCCCATTTAAAAATATATGTGTTGATATATGTTTGTATATATTTGTAAAAATGCCTGGGAAAGGGGAATGATAACAGTGATGTCTAAGTGGTGGGATAGGTGATTTTCACTTTTTTCTTTATATATTTTTGTTTGGATTAAAAATTATTTACAAAAGCAATTTTCCTGCATTTTTAAAAGAACATTTATTGTTTTCATAATAGGGAAAAAAGATGGGATTCCTAACCTGGAAAAAATATTATGTCATTCCCACTCTGGAAAAAAAATGAGAGAAGGCACAGAATAGAGGAGCAAAGTAGCCACAAATAAAATAAGTGAACAAATTAAGTGAATAAATGCTGGAAGAGAGAAAATAAACATTTTTTCCCTTTAAACCTACTCTTTATTATGAATCTGTGACCATAAACTCGCATGCTACTCTTCCGGGGACTGGAAGAACCATTATGAGCTGGTGGGTCCTATGGGTTATCCAGGATGGGCCACCCAGAGTGGGGTCTGGAAACCACTGATGGCCCACAAACTGCCACCTGTCCTCAATGAGATGAACAGAGGGCAAGTGCTTACAAACTTGCACAGCATCAAAATGTTGCTGGATGTCGGACCCTGCTGACATCCAAGTGCAGGATCATTTTTCTAGTAATGTCAGTGACAGACTGGCAAAAAATAATTTCACCACAGATAGTTTGAGAAGTTCAAAGCTAGAACGCTATCCTCATTTTACAGCTGATAAGAATGAAGTCCAGAAAGGTAAACATCCATTCCAGATCACACGGTTGACCAATGGTCATGTCAGGAAAAAAGTACGGGGTTCTGTCCACCATACTACGCATTTACTTCCTAAGAATTGGGTTTCGGTTCTATGGAACAAGGAGCAGTTACTTGTTACGTAGTTAAGGGTTCTTAAGAAGACTGGCTGACCGTAAATTCAAGAGAAAACAAAATTAAAAACATTCCTTAGTGGCTTCAATTCCAAAGGACCCATAAACGTGGCCTTAACTTCCTGTCCTCAGACCTCTGCCCACATTTTTTTCTCTCCACCCCAAACTCCAAGTGTCCAATCATGCCCACTCCAAACACAAGCCCGTCTGGGAACTGCCTCTGAGTACCTCCTCTCGGAGCAAAGACCTTCCCCTCTCGGTCCCACAGCTCTGCCTAGAGTGCCTCAGGCACCAGGGCCAACTCTTGTCCCTCACTGTGTCCTCCATATGCACGGCAGATCATAATCAATGTTTTCTGAGCGAAACAACAGAGAGGCTAACACAGGGCAATGCATGAGAGTATCTGAAATCAATGGCCTTAAAGAAATGACTGGTGATCTTAACCTAGAAAATGTAATCAACATGCAAATCACCATCAGTTTTGTACTAAGGATATATTCTGTTCAGTAGTTTTGTTGACTTTTGTCAATAATATATAAATTGTACAAGACATTCTTAAAGCCATTATTACACATATAGAATTTTTTAAAAATTGCATTTTTTAGTTTGGTTAATTTTAAAGCTAAATATGGGATCTTAATACTGGATCTCTCTCCTTTTAAGAAATATAACCAAAAGGGTTTCTGCTCAACTTGACTATACATTTATTTTCATTGCATTTTGGTAATAACTGGAAATTTGGGTATATGTACCAATGATATATTAATTTTGAATGTCACATGCTATTTTGTCAATCTGGCCAAAAGAAAGCATTTCTTGGCATTGTTTCCTGATTACTTTGGGGGAAAACTGGCAAATATTGAAACAGCATTTCTGTATTTGAATAGTCTGAAAATTTAGAAATTTGATTTAAAAATTGAATATATTTTTATCTTTAGACTAGCAATGAAAATATTCTGCATTTTTGTCTTTTTTTTTTTTTGAGACGGAGTGTCGCTCTGTTGCCCAGGCTGGAGTGCAGTGGCAGGATCTCAGCTCACTGCAAGCTCCGCCTCCCAGGTTCATGCCATTCTCCTGCCTCAGCCTCCCAAGTAGCTGGGACTACAGGTGCCCTCCACCACGCCTGGCTAATTTTTTGTATTTTTAGTAGAGACAGAGTTTCAGTGTGTTAGCCAGGATGGTCTCGATCTCCTGACCTCGTGATCTGCCCACCTTGGCCTCCCAAAGTGCTGGGATTATAGGCGTGAGCCACCGTGCCCAGTCTCTATTATTTCTTTATTTTCTTTTTCTTCTTAATAGTTTACCTTTATTCTCCAACCTTTTTGGTGTTTTGGCTGTTTTTCTCTTCCTTTTTCATATTTAAAATATTCATTCCTCAAGCCCTGCTCTTCCCATTTTGCTCTATTCCAAACATACACTCTTGCTTTGACAGACCTCTTTGTTTGTCTGCTAATGTTTTTCATGTTCAGTGAAGCAGAAAAGCAAAACATCTTTTAAAAAACAGCACTGCTACATGGCTTACAGTTTCCAGGGGCTGGTCCACACCATTATGGGGCTCACAGTGTTCAGGAATGGAGGGCTGAGAGTGAGTCTGTCTTGCCTGGCCAACAACCCAGTGCCACAATTGCTTCTTGCTGGCACTAATGAATGTACAATGTACAATGTACAATGTTTTCTTCTTACCCAAAAATGTGGATTCCCCCAAGCACAAAAAAGAGAACAGTCTTCCTTTCCATAATAGTTCCAGAAAGAGGACTAGTTTCTCTGAAAAATCATTTTAGATAAAACTTCTAGTTTTAACATTTTAAAACAGGAGTTAGGGAATCAGCAAGAGAAATTACCCTGACCCACATAAACCTGAATTGGTTTATGTTCCTCTCTTAAGTTTATACAAATCTTTTTCCATTTTAAAACAATTTAAGAAAATCCACTGCCTGATATATTTTATGTCTACTTTTTCACCTCTTAAATTAGCTTCTATATCCTGAGTTGGTATTTGATCAAGGTAACCCTTCAAGGAGCATAAAGCCTGAGTGCTTCTCAAACTTTGGCGACAATAAAAATCACCTAGAAAACTTGTTAAAGCACACACTCACAGATTCCATTGTTGCAGAGAAGTAACTGTCTCTCATGGTCCACAGGACTTTCCAATTAAAATTATGTCTTCAAATTAACCTGTAAGCTATTTCATGTTGTGGAAAATTATAATTATTTGTCTGTTAGTAGCTATCCACTAAGATAATATGAAATCTATTGCACTTCCTCTCCCTGGGAATCCACTTTTGCCAGAATTTTATCCTCAAACTAGAGTTTTAGTTATTCCTCCTATTATGTCAGAGCAGAAAAAAATTTCAACTCTGTTTTCTTATAGAAGCTCCTAACATCACACATTTGAGCTATAGAAGGCTGACATTCTAAAAATTAACAGACTGCAGTTTGGGGCCCATATGAGATACCTGTTCCCTTATTTCTTTCATTTTTTCCAACCTCTTCAGTTTTCTGGCATATTCTTGAGCATCTTTTAATCCAAGATCTGTGCAGAGACGAACTAAGAAACGCAGACCTAAATTGTAAAATATACATTTAGGAAAGAATATAGGCACAGTATATTTGTTAAAAGCTCAATAAATCAGTGAACTCAGTCTTTTGGGATACAGGTAGGAATGATGCTTACAAATAGTATTTTTCTCCTGAAAAATAATTACACTTTGCAATCTCTGGACCAGGGAGAACTGACTTCCTTGGAAGGAGGTTTAAAGGGTCTCTCTCCATGTGTCCTGTCCTCACGCTGCCAGAACCTAGAAGGAACATGGCACAGGACACTGCTGGCAGAGAACTTAGAAGGCAAATGTAACATTTGTTAATGTTCTATAGCAGTTTCATAAATACATATAAAGAGCTATAAGAGAGACTAGGCTAAAAAGTGTAGACAGTTTATACATATAATAATCATTACTAATGTTATTACTGTCAGTAAATTCATTTTTAAATTAAGTATTATTCACACTGTGCAAAGCACTAGGAAGATAAAAAAGATGTATTTTACAGTGGCTGGTCTTACAGTTGACATCAAATATATACAAAATAATCACAATAAAAAGTTTTGTGTTAATCATGTCTTGTATACAATAACAACAACAAAATCTTCGATCACTTTATACATATCACCAGATGACATATTGTTTAGTTCTGCTTGCTATTGGGTCTTATAAAAATGGTATTGTTCTGTATACAGTCTCCTGGAATTTGCTTTTTCATTCAAGCTTGTGTTTCTAAAATTAGCAACATTTTAAAAACATGCAATAGATGCTAAAAAACACAATAATTTTGTCTTTACATTTGTAAGAATGGCCTTTGCCATTTGTGGTCTAAATTACTTTAAAATATTTTTATTATCTCATTTAAAAATAATATTTTCCTTCAATACAACTGCAATGCAGGTCATTATAGAGAATTTGTAAAACATACAAAGGTAAAAAACAAAAAATAAAAGTTACTCATTACTCATCCTTCCAGAGACATAGATGTTCATCAGGGATATTGGTCTAAAATTCTCTTTTTTTGTTGTGTCTCTGTGTGGCTTTGGTATCAGGATGATGCTGGCCTCATAAAATGAGTTAGGGAGTATTCCCTCTTTTTCTATTGACTGGAATAGTTTCAGAAGGAATGGTACCAGCTCCTCTTTGCACCTCTGGTAGAATTTGGCTGTGAATCTGTCTGGTCCTGGACTTTTTTTGGTCGGTAGGCCTTTTTTTTTTGTGGGTATCCTTTTTGTTGATGTTGATGCTATTCCTTTCTGTTTTTTAGTCTTCCTTCTAACAGACAAGCCCCTCAGCTGCAGGTCTGTTAGAGTTTGCTGGAGGTCTACTCCAGAACCTGTTTGCCTGGGTATCACCAGCAGAGGCTGCAGAACAGCAAATATTGCTGCCTGATCCTTCTTCTGGAAGCTTCGTCCCAGAATTAATCATTTTGGCTCTATTAAATATCTTTCAAATACATCTCCCGACATCATCCACCAACAACATCATTGCATTCTGCCTAAATTCCTGCTGTACGATTTAGGTAGGGCATTTGAAAATCTAGCTGTATCACATCCAGACTTGCAGCCAACCCTCCTGTTTTCAGAAGCAGCCAGCACCCCTCCCATTTTCTGATGCCTCCAATTCCCGGGATTTCCTGGGGTTCTATGTCAAGAATTGTTTTGCTTCTGCTGACGTCTCCACTACCTACATACCTCTGCAGTTCTTCTAATCTGCTAAGCAGAAAACATTCCTAAAATTTAATTATCTCTTTGTTCTTGTACATTTATAATTTTTTTTTTTTTTTAAGATGGAGTCTTGCTCTGTCACCTGGGCTGGAGTGCACTGGCGCAATATCAGCTCACTGCAACCTCTGCCTCCTGGGTTCAAGCAATTCTCCTGCCTCAGCCTCCTGAGTAGCTGGGATCACAGGTGCCCACCACTATGCCCAGCTAATTTTTTGTATTTTTAGTAGAGACAAGGGTTTCCTCATGTTGGTCAGGCTGGTCTTGAACTCCTGGCTCGTGATTCGCCCGTCTTGGCCTCCCAAAGTGCTGGGATTACAGGCGTGTGCCACCGCACCCAGCCGCATTTATAGTTTTTATAAACTGTCTTTTTTTGGTTTGTAGTATAAGAAAACACATCTTCAATCTGCTACATTTTCCACAATAGACTACCTTTTGAAATAGACTCTGCATCCCTCTAACTCTGCCCTTACTAATGCTACTGTCTACCTGCAGTGCCTGTTCCTGCCTTTCCTTCCTGGTAAAACCCTCCGTACCCTTCAAGGCCACTTCAAATGTTACTTCCTCTGTAAAACCTAATTATGTCAATCGTCCCCTAGTTTGGGCAGAGTTAAGAGATCCTCTGTATTTTGACAGCACTTTGCACATTTTTCAGTTATCTCATTTATTAACCTATATCAGTTAACTATTTGTGAGTCCTAGGAGGCAGAAATCAAGTTGATATATCTGTTGTATCCCCAGCACATAAAAAATAGTTGGTAAAAGTTCTGGGGAACAAATGAATGGATAAAGAAACAGGAAAGTCTTAAAGCTAGTGAACACTCCATTTTTTCAAAAGTATTACTGATAATATATATAATAACAGAGCACAAAAATATGTGCTAAATATACTGAAATAAATTTATATGAAGATGGCCCCCAACTTCTCCCTAAGTGCCTATTTAATACATCCTCTTGGACATCGAAAAGGTAGCTCAAACACAACATATCTAAAAAAAGGTTTTGATTTTTCCCTCCAAAAGCTGCTTCTTCCCCAGTTTCCTACATCTCAGTGGATGGCATCCTTCCAGCTCCCAGAGCTATATTTGTGCAATTACCCTTGACACTCTCTCCCTCAAGTCTCACATCTAAATGGCCAGCAAGTGCTGGCACTGATACCTTTGATACATATTCAGAATCCATCCTGCCCACCTCCACTGCTAAATCATTAGTCCAAGTGAATACTGTGATTTTGCATTTCGGTACTGCCCACTCCAGCTTATTCTCCATACAGCAGCCAAAACAATCTTTTGATTTGGACCTCAGGTACAGAAGCTTGAGTTAATCACACTTTAGAACCTTTTGAAAACATATGTCAAATTGTATTATTCTTCCACACAAAATCCTCCAATGGCTCATCATCTCCCCAGAAATATAATTTGAAGCCCTGACCTAAGGCCTGTGAGGATCCACAGGTCCTGGCCCACCCACTCTGCCTCTCTCTCCCCATCACATCGTCCACTGTGCTTCAACCACATTGACCTCCATATCGTCATGGCTTGCTTCTGTCTATTCTTTCAGGTCTCTGCTCAAATGCTAATTTAACAGAAAGCCGTTCCATGACAACCCTGTCTCAAATACCAGCCCCTCCCACATTCTCTAGCTCCTTACCTGTTTTGCCTTCATAGCACTTATAACTACTGACATTATTTGTTTATTGTCTTTTCCCACTAGAAACAAGTTCCACGACATCAAGGATTTTGGTCTCTTTTGTTTTCTGCTACATCCACAGTGCTAGAACAACGTCTGGAACAGAATAGTCACTCCACTCCACAATAATTTGTAAATATACCAGCAATTTAAGACCATTAAAGTAGACCAGGCGCGGTGGCTCACGCCTGTAATCCCAGCACTTTGGGAGGCTGAGGCGGGCAGATCATGAGGTCAGGAGTTCAAGACCAGCCTGGCCAAGATGGTGAAACCCCATCCCTACTAAAACTACAAAAATTAGCTGGGCATGGTGGCAGGCACCTGTAATCCCAGCTACTTGGGAGGCTGAGGCAGGAGAATCACTTGAACCTGGACAGCAGAGGTTGCAGTGAGCCGAGATCGCACCACTGCACTCTAGCCTGGGTGACAGAGTGAGACTGTGTCTCAAAAAAAAAAAAAGACCATAAAGTATTGTAAAAGTTAATAGTATAAAGTAACTTAAAATGTCACACATTACTATAAAAATTGCATTTGCATATACATTTATATTAATAATTCAGAATAAGAAGGTAATTTGTACTTTCTGCAAATAAAGATTGGCTTAGGAATTTTTTTTTTTTAAGAGATTTAGAGATGCCCAGGCTGGAGTGCACTGGCACAATCACAGCTCACTGCAGTTTGGAACTCCTGGGTTCAAGCGATCCTTCCATCTCAGCCTCCCGAGCAGGTGGAACTATAGATGCACACCACCATGCCCTGATATTTTTTTCATATTTAGAAGAGTTGAGGTCTTGCCATGTTTCCCAGGCTGTTCTTGAATTCCTGGGCTCAAGCAATCCTCCGGCCTTGGTGTCCCAAAGTGTGGAGATTACAGACATGAGCCATCACGCACAGCCAGAAACACTTAATGTAAAGTAAAAATCATTATTTTTGGTGGATGTTCTCTGAAATTTAGTACATCATCTGTAACTCTGTAAAGCAGGTCAATTTTTGGTGAAGAATATGTTTTAAAACTAAATTATCCTGCTAGTTTTATCCAGAAAACTAGTCTTCTTAAAACAGCACATTCCATGGGTGTAAATGTTTTTTCTACAACTACAGTTAAGGTAGACTATTGATTACATTTGTTTTGAAAATTAAATAGGCCAAAGTTATCTTAGACACCCTCTATGGCATAGACAATCATTCATTTGATTCTTAGAGTGACTCATACTCTAAAGAAAAAAACCTGGCCTTCCTTGAAGACATTCGCTTTTCCGGTCCGGTGCAGAGGTGCTATGGTTACTTCAAGAGTTCTCAACTGGCATCAATTTTGCACCCCCAAGGGACACTGGCAATGTCTAGAGACATTTCTGGTTTTCATATCTAGGGGTGAGAGAGCTACTAGCTAATCTATTGGACAGAGGCCAGGGATTTTACCAAACATTCCATAATCCCCTGGATGGCCTCCCACAATGTGGAATTGCACAATCCCAAATGTCAAAGGTGCCAAGGCCGAGAAACTCTTGCCTAGCAGACTTTTGGGTTGTTCCACTTTCAAGAAAAGTTATTACTGCTATCTCTCATTTAATCTCTAAAGCACTAGTTCTCTAATGTGACTGAGATTAAGAATCACATAGAAAGTTCTTTAAACAGAAATAGGAAAAAACAGACGCCTGCATCCACTGTAAATCTAAATGAAAATCTTTCTAGGTAGGGCTAGAAATTTGTACTTTAAAAAAGTTCTAGGCCGGGCATGGTGGCTCACACCTGCAATCCTAGCAATTTGGGAGGCTGAAGCAAGAGAATCGCTTGAAGAGTGATTTTGTTTTTAGTAGAGCCCCCGTCTCTACTAAAAACAAAAATTAGTTGGGCATGGTGGCGTGTGCCTGTAATCCCAACTACTAGGGACACTGAAGCAGGAGAATCTCTTCAACCCAGGAGGCAGAGGTTGCAGTGAGCCAAGATGGCGCCACCGCACTCCAGCCTAGGAGACAAGAAGAAAACTCCATCTCAAAAAAAAAAAAAAATTCTAGAATTAATTCCCATGTAGCCTATTTCCTGACTGGTATTTGTGAAAACTACTGCTGTTAAGTTAATGAGTCTACTTCTAATCAGCATTGGAGAACACCCTGCTCCTACACTCCTACCAAAGACCATAACTGAGCTAACTGCTGTTGAGCTTTTTTAGAAAGCCAAATGGAGAAATATATTAATGAAGAAACACGTAGTACATCTAATCCTTGGCCATTAGAAAACTTGGCTCAGAAAAGATTTGTTTTTACTAAATTGTAATGCATTCTTTTGTGTTCATTGTCATTGAAGAACAAATTTATTTATTTATTTATTTATTTATTTATTTATTTTGAGACAGAATCTCGCTCTATTGGCCAGGCTGGTCTTCAACTCCTGACCTCAGGTGATCTGCCCACCTCAGCCTCCCAAAGTGCTGGGATTACAGGCGTGAGCCACTGTGCCCAGCCTTGAAGAACAAATTTTAACATGGTCGTTTCCAGCATATTATTTTATTTGCTATAGGGATGTTATTTAAGAAAGTATCTACTGTGTCTTTCAATGATTTTATCTACTGTATCTCTCAATGTCTAAACAGAAGTGAATTAAGAGTTGAAGAGATACTTCTTCTTCCCAATAAATTGCTTTATATTTCCACATAAAACAGTAAAAATTGTACAACTGCTTGTAACTTTTCTCTTTCCTTTGGCTGCAAGGCTATTCAGGGACAAATTTATAGTTTAGTGAGAACATGTGGCATATGACTGTGCTTACTTTATGTTTTTCTTGATTTTGTTGTTACTGCCATAATACTTCACATTATTACTGTAAGTTGCATCAATCCACTGTGCAACAAGATAGTAAATAAATGAATATCTTCTACAAAGATAACTTTACAACTGAGTACGCAGCATATTAACATAATGTTTTAAAATTGAAGTAACATTAAAAATTATTTGCCGCCAGGAGCAGTGGCTCACGCCTGTAATCCCAGCACTTTGGGAAGCCAAGGTAGGCGGATCACAACGTCAGGAGTTTGAGAACAGCCTGGCCAACATAGTAAAACCCGTCTCTACTAAAAATACAAAAATTAGCCAGGCACGGTGGTGCGCGCCTAGAGTCCCAGCTACTAGGGAGGCTGAGGCAGGAGAATCACTTGAACTCAGGAGGTGGAGGTTGTGGTGAGCTGAGATCACACCACTGCACTCTAGCCTGGGCAACAGAGCAAGACTCTGTCTAAAAAAAAATTATTTGCTATTGTATCAGCAAGATTATTAATGTTCAGTTTTTATAAACCCTAAAATTATTTTCTCAACCTTTAGAAGTTGTTTACTAAAATGGACAGTTAAAAATGTCTTTCCTATAAAATACCACAGGTTTACAAACTTTGAAAAATCAACCATAGGCCAAAATGCTTTCTTAAAATTCTATAGAACTCTGAAATATGTATTTTTTTAGTATTAAAGAAAATTCTGTGGTATATTTAAATCCATCAACAATTAGTTACATAAAAATATGTACTTGCATAGTCAAATTTTCTGATGCTATAAAAATATTTAAAATATGTATCACAAATTATAGGTTGGTATTTACGTATACAATTACTGTAGCAAAGGTAATTATATATTAGAACATAAAATATGAGAACTTATCACTTCAAAGTTACATTATGTAATGCCACTTACATTCGACATTTTCTGGAAATTTTCTGTGAGTATCTTTGTAAGTATCTAATGCTTTTTGGTAGTTACCTATAAACAAACAAGAGAAAAATATATTAGCAAATTATAGAAACTAACAGGATTCAGAAAAATATTAATTTTAACTGATATACTGGCTATTTAATGGTTTAATAGAAAGGTTTCATGTTTTATATACCACTTAATATAACTTTTAGAAGAAAATGTATAGATAAAATAAATTTGAAATAAGGCTGAAAGCAGAAGTAAATGGGTGATAGCTGAAATTTAGCTTCTTCCTTTTTTTTTTTTTTAAAGAGACGAGGTCTCACTCTGTTGCCCAGGCTGGAGTACAGTGGCTATTCACAGGCACAACCATTAAGTACTACAGCCTATAAACTCCTGAGCTGAAACAATCCTCGTGTCTTAGCCTCCAGAGTAGCTGGGACTATAGACGCACATTGCTGAGCCTGGTTCACTTTAAATATTTTAGTGGCAAAAATTAAGATCCATTCAATTTTCTAAAAAAGATTATTCCAGATGAACTGACAAATTTAAAAATAATCTAAGTTATATACTTACAGTAATGTCAATGTCATTCATTTAGTTGGAAAATATTTAAGATGTTTTTATAGTTTTTTTGGGCTGGGCGTGGTGGCTCACTCCTTTAATCCCAGCATTTTGGGAGGCTGAGGTGGGTGGACCACTTGAGGCCAGGAGTTTGAGACCAGCCTGGGCAACATGGTGAAACCCCTTCTCTACTAAAAATACAAAAATTAACTGGCCATGGTGGCACACACCTATAAACCCAGCTACTGGGGAGGCTGATACAGGAGAATCGCTTGAACCCAGGAGGTGGAAGTTGCAGTGAGCTGTGATTAGTGCCACTGCAGGCCAGCCTGGGTGACAGAGTAAAACTCTGTCTCAAAATGAATGAATGAATGAATGGATAAATAAATAAATAAATGTGTGGTTTTTTTTGTTTTTTTTTTTTTGAGATGGAGTCTTGTTCTGTCACCAGGCTGGAGTGAGTGCAGTGGCGCAATCTCGGCTCACTGCAACCTCCAACCTTCGCCTCCTGGCTTCAAGTGATTCTCCTGCCTCAGCCTCCCGAGTAGATGGGACTACAGGCGTGCACCACCAAGCCCAGCTAATTTTTGTATTATTAGTAGAGATGGGGTTTCACCATGTTGGCCAGGATGGTCTCGATCTCTTGACCTCGTGATCTGCCAGCCTCAGCCTCCCAAAGTGCTGGAATTACAGGCGTGAGCCACTGTGTCCGGCCTTTACAGTTTTTTAAACATTAGAAAGTTTATAGAAAGCAATTTATTTTATAACAAAATAATTTAGCTTCATGTAGCAGCCAAAATAGGAAAAACGAATTTGGGTCAAAGATCTTTCCTAAAATCTTAGCAAATGAGTTATAAATCTCTCTGGGCCTCTCTCTACAAGAGGGATGAAATAGAGACAGGAAGCATCTGACCCAAAGCCAGTTCTCAATGCTAGCTGCTGCTTCTATCCTGTACTTCCATAACTGAAGCAGGCTATGTCTTTAAATCATTTAGAATAGTTCATATGTATATATATACTTTCTATATGACTGACGTTGAAATGAACATAGGCAATTGAGAACTCATGTTGATATAAATTGAATGTATATAGTATAGTCATGTTGTACATTCAATAGGAATTACAGATCCCCCCTAAAATGATTTGAGGAATACACTGAGTTATGTATTAAAACATTTCTGATGCCATTCTGAAGGTGCTCACAGAGATAAAGAAGGAAACCTCCCCCGAAACTGGGTGAGAACAAACTGCCAACACTTTCAAAACTTGTGCTTCCCTCTTCCCTTAGATTGAATACTTTCTTTTCCTGGGTCATTTTTATGCTCTACAAGAGGGATTATAAATTTGTTCACATTTCTCTCCCAGCTTGATCTTTGATATTTTATGCATATTATTCACTTCACAGTTAGCCTAAAACTAATAGCATCTCTATCCTTCAGGATATGTGTCATCAGCAAGAATTTAATAAAAGCAGTAACAAAAACACAAACCAAGATAGCCAGTGATCTTTGGTATAAAAAACATATAGTCACACTTGTCTCAGTGTGAGCTTTTCTCAGGCTTCTCAAGTGTCATAAATTTGGCCGAGCACACAGGACATTTAGAATTAACTGAGTAGAAAATGGAAATATAATGTATACAGTATGCCTATTTTTTTCTGTGGCTAACTTGTGAAAATGATTACATGTTAACTTTGAGAAATAACAAATCTGTTTTTAAGACAAGTATTGGAATACATGATTAATACCCATTTTGTAAGCATAACTTTTTTGTATGTAGTAATTATTGTGTTTTTCATACAATGCTTTGAATTATGTACAGTTATAAAAAGTTAGTATTTTAATAAACAGATATGCAACTGGATCACATTTATATGCATAATTACCTAAAAGGAAAGAAGCAAAATATCTATAAAATGAATAAAACTAAAGCATTTACCACTTCTTCTGAAACAACTAGCTACCATCAGCTGCCATTTCACTTGTGTAGGCCTATAAAATAAATAAATGAGATGAAATTAGAGATAAAAAAATCTGTGATGCTCAGTTTTATAAAGCTATGTATCTACTATTTTACAATTACTTTTTGACCTTTTGTTAGATAATTTTTATTATTGAGAACAGCAGATATATAATTTCCCTCAGTATTGCTTGTCATATTTATATCAGGACATATAAATTTAAGTGTTCTTCAAAGTTCCTCTAGTTCATACCTTTATTTAGATATTCATATGAGAACCACTTAACCTGTTTGGTTAAAACCCACTGCATTCTACTTTAAACTTAAAGGATCATTACTTTTGCTATAATCTTTTATCATAATACTTACACTTGCTTGCAAATTTAGTACCTGAGAAGCGATTTTTGATCTAGTGTTTGAAGAATCAGGCTTCGACTAAACAGAGAGTAAAAAAAATTCTACTAATCCCTTTTTGTCCATTAAAAAGAAATCAAATTCTTTTCTAAAATAAATAACCAAAACCAGGATTTCTAAATACTTCTATTAAAAATATCTCAGGATGGCAAGATATGAAGGAAGAAACACCTAGGGAACAATTTATGCTCGCCTCATTTTTTTGAATCTCCTTTCTAAGTAGAAGCCTGATGGCTTCAAAGAAAACCTCAGTTCCTACTCGATTTGATGGCAAACCTACCTACTGGAATCAGATAGATCTGGCTTTAAATCACAGCCCTGCTACTGGGGCAAGTTACTTAACTTCAAATCCATTGCCTACACGGCCACCCACTGTGATCTAAATAAAATACACATCTAACCACATTACTTCCCTCCTTAAAACCTGTTACCTCCCTTCCACCTACATGCTAAATCCAAGATTCTAACCCAGTTTATCTACTTTCTAGATCTTTTCTGCTTCTCCAACTCATCTCCCACCGTGCCTTGCTTAACATTTCATGTTACAGCAAATTCACACAGGAGCACGGACTTCCCTGTATCCCCTGCATTTGCTAGACTTCTGGCTTTTGTATACACCACCATGTCTGCTTAGAGGCGCATTCCAACCTCTTTACTCTCTGCTAATGCCACATGGATAGACTGTTCCATATGCTCTCCTAACACCCTAGAATCACTTAGTGTTGCATTTACCATGTGGTATTATTATTTATGTTTCTGAATACATTACCTTCCTTCCTCTATAAAGGTAAGTATAATGACTTCTAATACTGTCAATCTAGCCTGTTTTTGAACTTTAAATGAATACAATCATATAGTATGTAACTTTTTTTTTTTTTCAGACAGGGTCCCAGTCTGTCACCCAGATTGAAGTGCAGTGGCATGATCTCAGCTCACTGTAACCTCCCCTTCCCGGGCTCAGCCTCCCAAGTAGCTGGGACCACTGGCACACACTGCCATGGCAGGCTAGTTTTTATTTTTTTTTAAAGAGAGTTTTGCCATGTTGCCCAGGCTAGTTTCAAACTCTTGAGGTCAAGCGATCCGCCTGTCTCATCCTCCCAAAGTGCTGGAATTACAGGCATGAGCCACTGCACCTGGCAGTATGTATCCTTTTATTAAGAGCTGAATTACTGAGATAGTCTTCATATACCATACAATTTACCTACTTAAAGGACACAATACAATGGTTTTAGTGTATTAATTCTTTAAAATTATGATAAAATATATACAACATAACATTTGCCAAAATTTACCATTCTTGGGTGTACAATTCAGTGGCATTTATCACATTCACAATGTTGTGCAACCATCACCACGATCTCCAAAACATTTTATGACACCAAACAGAAACACTCTGCAACCATTAAACAGTAACTCTTAATTCCCTTCCCCACAATCCCCAATAACTTCTGATCTACTTTCTATCTCTACAAATTTGCCCATTTTAGACACTTCATGTAAGTGGAGTATTTGTTCTTTTGTGTCTGGCTTCTTTCACTTAGCTAATGTTTTTAAAGTCCTTCCATGTTGTAGCATGTAACAGAACTTCCTTTGTATAGTGGAATAATATTCCATTTTATTTATATACTGTGGTCCCCCCTTATCTGTGGTGAGTATGTTCCAAGATCACCAGTGGATACCTGAAACTACAAATACTACTGAACCCTATATATACTATTTTTTTTCCTATACAAACATACCTATGATAAAGTTCAATTTATACCTTAGGCATGGTAAGAGGTTAATAATAATAACTAATAAAATAAAGCAATATACTATAATAGAATTATGTAGATGCGGTCTGTCTCTCTCAAAATGTCTTATTGTACTTTACTGAGGGTAACTGAAACCGTGGACAGCAAAACATTGTATAAAGGTGGACTACTGTACCATGTTTTGTTTATTCATTGTTGATGGACACCTAGGTTGTTTCTACCTTTTCGCTACTATAAATAATGCTGAGGCTACTTTTGACTATCATAAACTGAAAGCTGAGGCTCAAACAGATCAGATACTTACACAAACATGTGTAAGTATCTGATCTGTTTGAGCCTCAGCTTTCAATTCCTTTGGGTATATACTTACTATACACTGAAAACTATACAACATTGTTGAAATAAATTAAAGAAGACATAGATGGAGAGGCATGTGTGTGCTTGAATTGGAAGACTTAATATTTTTAAGAAAACAATACTACTCAAAGTGATCTATAACGTCAATGCAATCCCTATCAAAATCCCAATGGTGTTTTTGCAAAAATAGGAAAATTCACCCTAATATTCATGTGGAATCTCAAGGAACCATGAATAGCCAAAACAATTTGAAAAAGAAAAAAGTTGAAGAACTCATGCTTCCTGATTTTAAAATTTGCTTTAATGCTACAATAATCGAAACAGTGTGGTACTGCTGCAGAAGGACAGATATATACACCAACACAATAGAATCTAGAATCCAGAAATAAATCCTCATATATATGGTAAATTGATTTCCAACAAAGGTGCCAAAAGGTGCCAAGACCACTCAAGGGAAAAGGGACACTCTCTTGCCTTCATGGCTAAATTAATCGCTAATTATTTTATTCTTTTTGATACCATTGCAAATGCAATTTTTTTCTCAATTTCCTTTTTGGATTTTTCATTGCAAATACATAGAAATACAACTAGTTTTGTGGGTTAATTTTATATCCTGCAACTTTGCTGAATTCATTTATTATATCTAAGATTTTTATGTGGATTCCTTAGGGATTTCTACATATAAGATCATGTCATCTGTGAACAGGGTTAATTTTTACTTCATCTCTTCCCATGTAGATGCATTTTATTTCTTTTTCTTGCCTACCTGCTCTGGCTAGAACTTCCAGTACCATGTTGATCAGAAGCAGTGGAAGTGGGCATCCTTGTTTCTGATCTTAAGAAAGCAAGCTTTTGGTCTTTCACCATTCAGTATCCTGTTAGCTGTGAGTTTCCATACAATACTTTAACACGTTAAGGAAGTTCTTTCTATTCCTGATTGGAGTATTTTTATCACAAAGCGGTGTTGAATTTTGTCATACGCCTTTTCCGCATTAATTGAGCTGATCACGTGGGTTTTTTCTTCATTCTATTAATGTGAAGTATTAAATTGACTGATCTTCATATGTTGAACTATCTTTGCATTCTAGGAGTAAATACCACTTGCGAATGATGTACTTCTTTTAATATGTGGCTAAATTTGGTTTGCTAGTATTTTGTTGAGTATTTTTGCATTTACATTCACAAAAGATATTGGTCTGTAGTTTTCTTGTAGTGTCTTTGTTTACCTTTAGGATAAGGATAATGCTGGCCTCACTGACTGAGTTAGGAAGTGTTTACCTTCTCTTCAATATTTAGGAGAGTTTGAAAAAAAATGGTGTGAATTTTTCTTGAAATGTCTGGCAGAATTCACCAGTGAATCCATGTAGCCCATGGCTTTTCTTTCTTGGAATATTTTTTATTACTGATTTAATTTCCTTACTGGTTATAGGTCTATGCAGATTTTTATTTCTTCTTGAGTTGGGTTTGGTTGATTGTGTTTCTACAAATTTGACCATTTTATCTAGGTTATCTAATTTGTTGAGGCAAGGTTGTTTTCTTATAACTTTTTATTTACGTAAAATTGGTAGTGAGGCCTCTACTTGCATTTCTAATCTTAGTAATTAAGTCCTCTTTTTTTTGTTAGTCCTTCTAGCTAGAGATTTGTCAATTTTGTTGAGCTTTTCAAAGAATCAATTTTTGGTTTTGTTGATTTTCTCTACAGCTTTTCTATTCTCTATTTTATTTATCTCTGCTCTAACCTTTATTATTTCCTTCCTGCTGCTATCTTTGGGTTTAAAGTGCTCTTCCTTTTCTAATTCCTTAAGGTGTTTAGTTAGGTTACTAACTTGGGATCTTTCTTCTTCTTTAATGTACTTACAGATATAAATTTCCCTCTTAGGGATGCTTTTGCAGCATCTTGTAAGTTTTAGTACATTGTGTTTCATTTTCACTTGTCTCAGTTACTTTCTAACTTCCCTGGTGATTTCATATTTGATCCACTAGTTAAGAGTGTGTTCTTTAATTCCACATACTTGTGAATTTTCCAGTTTTCCTTCTGTTATTAATTTCTAGTTTCATTACATTATGACAGAAAAAGATAATTTGTATGAGTTCAATCTTTTCAATTTATTAAGTTGTGGCCTAACCTATGGTTTATCCTGGAGAACGTTCCATGTACACTTAAGAATGTACAATCTCCTGTTGTTGGGTTCAGTGTCTTGTGTATGACTGTTAGGTCTACCTGGTTTATACATTGCTTAAGTCTTAATTTTCTTATTTATCTTCCGTGTGAGGTTCACAGACGGTAACACACATTTTTAAAAGTATTAAGTCTCAAACTAATATGAGGTCTATTTCACCCTTTAATTATATCAATTTTTGCTTCATATATTTTGGGGCTCCTCTGTTGGGTTTTTAAGTGTTGTACATTCTTGCAGTAACGAACCTTTTACCAATATATAGCATCATTCTTTGGCTCTTGTAACCTTTTGTGACTTAAAGCCTGTTTTGTCTGACAATAATAAAGCCTCCCAACTCTCTTCTGGTTACCATTAATATTTGTTTGGAATATCTTTTTCAATCCTTTTGCTTTCAACCTCTTTTGTGTCCTTGTATCTAAAGTGCATCTCTTGTAGACAGTATATAAATAGACCCTGATTTTCTTATTCAATCTGCTAAGTTTTTCTTTTAATGGGAAAGTTTAATAAATTTATATTTAATGTGATTATTGACACAGAAGGATTTGCTTCTGCTATTTGTTTTCTGCATGTGTTATATGTTTTTTCTTCCTCAATTCTTCCATTACTACTCTTTTTTGGTATTTTGTTGATTTTTTTTAGTGTACTATTTCGATTTTTAGTTATTTTCCTAATACTTTTTTATAGTGTACTATTTGATTTCTTAGTTATTTTCCTAATGATTACCTTGGGTATTATAATTAACATCTGAAACTTATAACAATCTCACTTGAACAATACAAACTTATTTTATTTATTTATTTACTTATTGAGATGGAGTCTCGCTCTGTCACCCAGGCTGGAGTGCAGTGGTGCGATCTCTGCTCACTGCAACCTCCGCCTCCCGGGTTCAAGCGATTCTCATGCCTCAGCCTCCTGAGTAGCTGGGACTATAGGCACCTGCCACCACACCCAGCTAATTTTTGTATTTTCAGTAGAGACAGAGCTTGGCCATGATGGACAGGCTGGTCTTGAACTCCTGACCTCAGGTGATCTGCCTGCCTGGGCCTCCAAAGTGCTGGGATTACAGGTATAAGCCATCACGCTTGGCCAGGATACAGAATCCTTGGTTGACAGTTTGTGTTTTGTTTGTTTGTTTGTTTGCTTTTAAATTTCAGGACTTTACATCATTCCATTGCTTTCTGGCCTCCAAGGTTTCTGGTGAGAAATCTACTAATAATCTTACTGAGGGTCCCTGTATGTGATAAGCCACTTTTCTCTTGTTGCTGTCGAGATTCTCTCTTTGTTTTTGGACAGTTTGATCATAATGTGTCTCATTGTGGATCTTTTAGTGTTTTTCCTACATAGAATTCACTGGCCTGTGCAGACTTCTGGATTCATGTCTTTCCTCAAATTTGGGAAGTATGGCAATAATTTCTTCAAATAGTCTCTCTCCTCCCTTTTCCTCTCTCTTCCCCTTTTGGAATTCCCATAATGCATATATTGGTCCACTTGATGGTGTCTTATAATAACCATCATCACAATCAATATTAAAGAACATTACCTAATGCTGCTGAAGAATGGAATTACATTAAGTGGACCAGTCAGAACTAGGGTTTCTTGATATTTTAAGACATGATTTATGAATGTAAAGAAAATAAAACAACAGTTTATGCTTAAACCAATTGCCAAAACATCATATTATTAAAAACCATAAAAATCTAAGAGATACAGCAAGGCAAGGAGTTTCTATGGTAAAGAAATTTAATTTAATTCAACTATATGCCAAGTTGACATGTAAAGAATATTTAAAGAATATGTAAAGAACTATGTGACATAAGAACTAATACTCTCACTTCTCAAAAAGCCTACATTTTTATTGTAGAGGTAGAACTTACAGAACAAATCAAAGCTTAGCATGTAAAAAAGAGAAAATGTGAAAAATTAAGATATATGGTATAGAAAACAAATGCTCAAAAGAGATGTAATATAATGAATGTATATTGAATAAGTTTCTGTCACTGAGAAGGAGATAACAGCAGGTGCAAGTGGAAGTAAGTTTATAGAAAAGTAGAGAGAAATGTTAGGAAGGTTTCTAAAAAAGGCTTCTATATTCTGGGAAACCGAGGCATAAAATACATAGGGGAATTGAAGAGATCAGAGAAACAGGAGGGAGAGAAATACTTAAGACTGATGAGCAGTGCTCATATCACACAGATTTGTGTAGCATCAATTCACCTGGTTACATAATTTACCTTTGACAGTATTTCACAGCCTGTGTAAAGGAATGGAATCAATGGCTGGAATAACCTAAGAACTGAAATCTCTTGGAATAAATGGGGTAGTAAAGCGAGAGAGAGAGAGAAAAAAAAAAACAGGAATGTTAGCAAGAAAGGGAAAAGATGTGACCAATTAAGCAATCTAGTATGGATAAGCTCAGAATTAAAGTCAGAAGGAGGCTGAGACTGCAAGATAAGGGGAAGGTCAAGAGGGGAGGTCTCAATATCACCAAAGAAAAATGCACTGGAAAATAGGGAGTATGGAAGTTGGAAAGGTAAGAGGTTATGTTCAGACAGCTGGACATTGTAACTTAAGATTTTATTGGTGTAGGCTGGGCGTGGTGTCTCACGCCTGTAATCCCAGCACTTTGGGAGGCTGAGGCGAATGGATCACTTGAGGTCAGGAGTTCAAGACCAGCCTCACCAACATGGTGAAACTCCGTTTCTACTAAAACAAAAACAAAAACAAAAACAAAAATTAGCCGGGTGCAGTGGCATGTGCCTGTAATCCCAGCTACTCTGGAGGCTGAGGCAGGAGAATCGCTTAAACCTGGGAAGCAGAGGTTGCAGTGAGCCGGGATCACGCCACTGCACTCCAGCCTGGGCGACAAAGCAAGACTCCGTCCTCTGTCTCAAAAAAAAAAAAAAAAAGATTTTATTGGTGTAAATGTGTTAGTGATAATCACAATCAGATGAGTCAGGTGACTGAACTACAGAGAGGGTAAAGATCAATGGAGTTAGGGAGGTCAAAACTTGTGGGACTAGAATAGTGATGGAAAGAAAAGGAAGAATATAAGCTAGACTAGGTAAGGTAAGGGACTGACTGTTAATCAACATCTGACATTTACAAATAGGAGTTAAAAATGGAACAGTGGCGGACTGAGCCTCAAAGAAGGAAGAGTGTTGCATGAGCTAATGGCTAATGTTAGAGTAGTATTAAGTGTAATTAAAAAGCTTACAGTGTATTACTGAAATAGCTTTAATCTTAAAGATATAATTAAACTAAAACTATCTCCTCATCCTTGGTAATTAATTTTATAATTCTCAAAAGAAATTTATGTGAAATAAATATCACAAAATGAATTGCCTAATAGAAATTCCAAACAGAAATCATTTCACTTATTAAGCATTTCTTTATCATTCAAATTATTCTAAGGGGCATTTGTTCTTAAAATTCAATATGGCCAAATACAAAGCAGAAGATGATGTATTCCAATTATTTTTGAATTGTTTTGAATCAGATATGTATAACACATTCTGATACGAACTTAAAGACACTGAAAACATTTTAATTTTTCATATATATTAATTATAAATTGAAACCAACAAAACTGTCTTGTATTAAGACTCTTTTAGAGATGAAACTTTGTCCTAGGACTGAGATAAGTCATTTTCTGATTGATAAAGGAACAATAATTGTTTGCTGAGGTGTAAGAAAAATACATAAAGAAAAGTATCTTAAAGAGGATATTTAAAAAATTCTATGCAAAGGGAAATATATTTATCACAATAAAGACCAAGTAAAATGGAATAAAATATAAGAAAATAAAAATAATTTGGCTGGGCGCGGTGGCTCATGCCTGTAATCCCAGCACTTTGGGAGGCTGAGGCAGGTGGATCACCTGAGGTCAGGAGTTCGAGACCAGCCTGGCCAACATGGTGTAACCCTGTCTTTACTTAAATACAAAAAATTAGCCAGGCATGGTGGTGCGTGACTGTAATCCCAGCTACTCGGGAGGCTGAGGCAGGAGAATCGCTTGAACCTGGGAGGCGGAGGTTGCAGTGAGCCGAGATCACGCCATTGCACTTCAACCTGGGCAACAAGAGCGAAACTCCGTCTCAAACAAACAACAAACAAACAAAAATAATTTATGAATGTCCATCAACATCTGTTCTTGAATTTACTAGGTCTATCAGATACTAATTCTAGGGATTAAAAAAACTCAAGACATGACATTAACTAAACATAAAATCCTAATGATTACTTACTGTATAAGAGAAGCTCTTTCAAAGTACTGAATAGCTTTTTCCCAAAATTGGGTGTCAATGTAATAGGCTCCAAGCCACTCAATGACTTCAATATTACAAGGAAAATACCTATATGACTGTAAAACAAATATGGAATGTAACAATACAACTTCAATGGCAACATATAATTTACTTCTTGAATACTTTACCTATTGAATAAATTTATCCAATATGGAATTTCTTAATAAAGGAGTATGAACTGTCCTAAGTACTTTGTAAATTCTGAAACTATATAATATTTAGAAAACCTAAGCTTTGCTTGACACACTTTTCAATTATCTATACTTTTGATATAACAATATATGAGCTGAGTCCAATTTAAATATTTAAAAGAATAAAAAAGAGATGCAAATCGTGCCTCAAGAGAAAAATGAACTGGTACTTCTTTTTATTATTAATATTATTAATTATTATTATTTTAAGACAGTCTCGCTCTGTCACCCAGCCTGGAGTGTAGTAAATGCGATCTTGGCTCACTACAACCTCTGCCTCCCAGGTTCAGGCAATTCTCGTGCCTTAGTCTCCTAAGTAGCTAGGATTACAGGCATGCCACAACCACATTTGGCTAATTTTTGTGTTTTTAGTAGAGAGGGGGTTTCCTCATGTTGGCCAGGCTGGTCACATACTCCTGGCCTCAAGTAATCTGCCTTCCTTGGCCTCCCAAAGTGCTGGGATTAAAGGTATGGGCCACCAGGACTGTCCTTTTATTATTATTTGTAGAGATGGGGTCTTGTTATGTTGCCTAGGCTGTTCTTCATCTCTTGGTCTTAAGCAATCCTCTCACTCTGGTCTCCCAAAGTGCTGGGATTATAGACGTGAGCCACCATGCCCAGCCCTATTTCATTTTTTCATTAAAACAAGTAAAAAACTAACTTCAGGCCTGGCGTGGTAGTAATCCCAGCACTTTGGGAGGCTGAGGCAGGCAGATCACCTGAGGTCAGGAGTTCGAGACTGGCCTGGCCAAGATGGCAAAACACCCCTCTACTAAAAATACAAAAATTAGCTGCACGTGGTGGCAGGCGCCTGTAATCCCAGCTACTCGGAAGGCTGAGGCAAGAGAATTGCTTAAACCCAGGAGGAGGAGGCTGCAGTGAGCCGAGACTGCACCACTGTGCAGCAGCCTGGGCGACAGAGCAAGACTCTATCTCAAAACAAAACAAAACAAAAACTAACTTCATTTTCCAAGAATGCTTTATTTTAAATAAATCATTTTAAAACTGGTAAGATCTTCTAAAATTTTAAAGCCTTGCTGCCTTCTTTATAACAATTCATAAAATGCTAAAACACAGAAGGAAATTAAGATAACACACCTACCTCATAGTAATATTGAAATGCTTGAGATTTATCTCCTTCACGATCATATAATTCTCCTAGCTTAGATAAAACTTGAGGATCGGTTGGAATAACACTGACCACCTGCATTAGCCATTCAATAGCTTGACTGGGATTTTCCATTAATTCATATCTTATGCAATGTCAGTTAAGGAAAACATGTTTTCTAAATTCATTAAGCAATAAGCAAACTTAAAAAACATTACAGTAACAATATTTCTTAGCCTACAGTAATGTGCTATTGTATACTGTTTCCTCTGGATATCTCAGGGGTGGAGATGGAATGCAGCAGTACTGTGGAGGTAACACTCTTGCTCCCTATGTATATAGCCTGCTTTCCCTTTTCCTCCATTACTATCCACTAAGATCAACTCCCAAATTTCTGGTAGAATTATTCAAAGTATTGTCCAAAAATTGTCCTTAATAAAAATGTCCTGAATGTTGCATCCAGTTATTCTTTTTCTTAACATGTTCAGCATATTAAGGAAATTATTTCCATGTGTTTTTCCTGTGAGTTTTCCCTAATTAGATTATAAACCCAAGGACAGTGTTGTTTTTTTTTTTTTTTGTAGCTTCCTTTTAGTACCTACTAAGTCTTCGGTGTATATACAAATAATTTATTCATATCAGTACTTTTTGATTAATTACTATTTATTTTATACATATTAGATATCTCAGTGAAATGAAAATATTCCAATTCAAAGTTTATTGAAAAAGAAGCATTGTTTTCAATGGTGACAAGAGTGACACCAGAAGATCTACTGTTTTTAACGATGACAAGTGTGATACCACAAGAAAAAAAAAAAAGAAAATGTACTCAAACAGTCTCAAATACATCAGTTGCTTGACTGGATCCAAGCTGATCATGAACTGGGTGGTAAAAGATAATGACACTGGCAGTTTCAGAGAAATTAAATGAACAAAACAGAACAAAAAGACTAACAGGAGTAACTATGATGCTATCTGCTCTAAAACTAATTTTTTTTTGAGATAGTCTAGCTCTGCACCTAGGCTGGAGTACAGTGGCACTATCTTGGCTCACTGCAACCTCTGCCTCCCAGGTTCAAGTGATTCTCCTGCCTCAGCCTCGGGAGTAACTGGGATTACAGGTGCCTGCCACAACACCCGGCTAATTTTTGTATTTTTAGTAGAGATGGGGTTTCACCATGATGGCCAGGCTGGTCTCGAACTCCTGACTTCAAATGATCCGCCTGCCTTGGCCTCCCAAAGTGCTGGGATTACAGGTGTGAGCTACTGTGCCTGGCCTAAAACTAAAATTTTTCAATAAAATTCTTTATCAAAAGTACAGCAGATAGTACTTAAAATTATTAATGGTACACCTCACAACATATAAAATTTTCTAAACATATTTGTATAAAATTTAAACCAAGATAACAGTAAGTTGAAAATCTACCTAAGATGTTTAACTCTTCCCAATGTTGTGGCCAAAGCTTACCAAAATAAGGAGAGAAATTAAAAGTGCTTTTCAAATAGCATGAAAAGCATTAAAAACATTAACACATTTCTGCTTTTCTAACCAAGAGCAGGGCTTATTAAGAAAGCTAAGTGTTGTGGAAGAAACTGATATTAGCGCAACATTTTGTAGTTCTACATTCCCCTGAGTTTGAAACATAATACTGATACACATAGTATACATTCAATAAATGACTATTAAATGAACAGAATGAATGAGTTCATATGAAGAATTACATAATTTTAGAGGGTAACAGTCTTTGGAGACCTCATTATATCTACAGGCCAGCTAAAAAAGTAAGAAAAATTATCCAAATTCAATCAATAGTAATCAGTAATAAACAGTATTTTATTTAGTAAGTTAGTGCTTCAATGATACCCTACAAGCTTCAGAATTAATACAACGTTCTAAAGCACCAAATTGACTTTCAATGAATGGCTTATATGTACCGAAAATGTCCTAATTACTTCAGTTATTTTCAAAATTTAATAAATAATAGTTTTAACCATTAATTCCTCTTTCGATGCAAACTACATCTTAAAATAGGATTACTCAAATGATATTTATCACACAATAATCTGCCAGATTATCCTCATCACTTACTTCAAATATTATCCTCATCAATTACTTCATTAGTTAAACTTATTTAATAATTGATCTTCAATCACCAATTGAGAGAATTAATAACTGTCCCTAAGGTTTTCAAATAAGATACATATTTGCTATCTGGTAAAGAACTTCGGCACTGTTTCGTAGGATTGCGTGAAGTTTCAGGAAACAGTCCAAAGCCTCATCTAGCCGATTTAGTTTCTCATAGGTAAGGCCTTAAAAAAAGAAGAAAAAAAAGAAAATCTATAAGTATCATTATTGGTATTAATTTATTTAACATAACAGAATAAATCTCAAAATATATGAAAATATTTATCCAGAAGAGAAAATGAAGATGAACTCAGGTTTTTGTTTTTTGATACAGGGTCTCACTCCTGCTGCCCACACTGGAGTGTAGTGGCACAAACATGGCTCACAGCAGCCTCGACCTCCCAGGCTCAGGTGATTCTCCCACCTCAGCCTCTCAAGTAGCTAGGATTATATGCACGTGCTACCACGCCCAGCTAATTTTTTGTATTTTTAGTAGAGACGGGATTTTGCCATGTTGCTCAGGCTGGTCTGGAACTCCTGGCCTCAAGCGATCCACCTGCCTCAGCCTCCCAAAGTACTGGGATTACAGGTATGAGCCACCACACCCGGCCAACTGAGGATTTTTTTAAAGAATAATGTTAGGGTGGGGATTCTCCACTGGCAGACACCAAAAGATGCTACAAAGCTTCAGTGATTTTAAAAGTGTGGTAGGGGGCAGGAATAGACAAACAGACCAATAGAACAGAATAAACAGTTCAGAAATGCACTCAACTATAGAGTTTAGTTAAAGACATTTAAAATCAGTGGGGAGGAAAGTGCTAGTAATAAGTGGTGCCAGAACAACTGACTATACATTAATTTGTATTTATTTATTTATTTATTTATTTATTTATTTATTTATTTTGAGACGGAGTCGCTCTGTCGCCCAGGCTGGAGTGCAGTGGCACAATCTCGGCTCACTGCAAGCTCCGCCTCCTGGGTTCATGCCATTCTCCTGCCTCAGCCTCCTGAGTAGCTGGGACTACAGGCGCCCGCCATCACGCCTGGCTAATTTTTTATATTTTTAGTAGAGACGGGGTTTCACTGTGTTAGCCAGGATGGTCTCGATCTCCTGACCTCATGATCCGCCTGCCTTGGCCCTCCCAAAGTGCTGGGATTACAGGCATGAGCCACCACACCTGGCCATTAATTTTTTTAAATGTAGATTCTTATTTCATAAAAAATGAACTCAAAATTTTGAAACTCAACAGAAAAAACAAAGCTATAAGAAGAGTATGAAAAGAAAATACAGAAAAATGATTTATAATCTTGAGTTAAGAAGGGCTTCATAAAGCAATAAACAAATGAATAAAGCAATAACCACAATTATTTAAAAAGACAAATTTGGCCAGGCGTGGTGGCCCATGCCTGTAATCCCATCACTTTGGGAGGCTGAGGCAGGTGGATCACTTGAGGTCAGGAGTTCCAGACCAGCCTGGTCAACATGGTGAAACCCCATCTCTACTAAAAATGCAAAAAATTAGACGGGCGTAGTGGAGCGCACCTGTGGTTCCAGCTACTTGGAAGGCTACGGCAGGAGAATCACTTGAACCTGGAAGGTGGAGGTTGCAGTGAGCTGAGATCATGCCACTGCACACCAGCCTAGACGACAGAGCAAGACTCAGTCTCAAAAAAAAAAAAAAAAAAAAGACAAATTTTACTATATCAATAATAAAACAATTCTCTGATAAAAGAAATTAGAAACAAAGTTAAAATAGAAGCAATTGGGAAAGGAGAAATATTTAATAGTTACAAAACAAATAAATAAGGATATATCTAGGAAGCAAGCTCCTGCATGAAGACCTTTGTGCCTCTCTTCAATGCTCTCTTCCCAGATACCCAAGTGGTCATAGCCTCCCTTCCTTCTATGACTTGAAACATACATTCTCAATGAGGCTCTCCCAGACTCCACCTAAAATGGCTAATTCCTTCTTGCCTCCCCTATTCTTCAAGGTTGGCAGTAGGCCTTCCCTCCTCCTTCAGGCAGGAGATTAAAGAGTCTTTTCTGGGAGGAAAGATCCAATTGACTTATGGACAGGTCTCCAACTAAACAGACCAGACCAGACAGATGCCCTATAGCAGAGTGCCAACCCATCAATCTCTCTCATGGACTTAGAGACTCCACTCAGTTTTTAGCCACAAACTCCTGAATACCAGGAGACAGCCCAAAATCATTAGACATCTAAGTAAAGTCCATAACATGGAAAAGAGAATAAAATAAGCAAACCAAAGAAAGCAAAAAATACCTAGGCAGGGAGAAGAAAACTTCAGAAGAAAAGTTATTAATAATCCAAGAGACAAGACCCAGTACTGCATGGACATGTGTTTGCAATACTGAAAATTCATGCCCAGGGGTGATGATGCCCATTTCAGGCAACCGCTGAAAGGCAGGGAAGAGAATGTGATGGTGGTGAGACTTCATGGCTTGTAGTATTTGGCTTATTAAAAACAAAATCTGAAGTAAAGATGGCAAAATGTGAAAATGTGTCAAACTGGGGTGATAGGTACATGGGTACTTATTTCTTGTGTGTACTTTTGTGCATGTTTGAAATTGTTCATAATTAAAAAGAAAGCAAATGGGATTTTTTCCCATCTATGAACTTGGCAAAAGTTAAAAAGAATGATAATATCCAGTATTAGCAGAAATTTGGGAAATTAGTATTATACACTGTGATGGAAAAGCCTTTTTGGAGGGCAGTATGGCAAGCCTGATCCAAATTTTGCATGTGCATAGCTTCTGAATCATTAATTCCATTTAAAATAATCTATAATCTGAGAGGCAGTAGTCTTCAATTTTCCGTTAGAAGGAAGTCAACTCCTCCTCCTAATGTGTTAGAGCTCTTTAAGCAAAACAAAACAAAAACAAATACAAAGCAAATAAATAATTTAAAAAGCAATTTCCCCTTGTTTCACTTACCAATATTATAAAGTGCTTCAGTACAAGAAGAATCATTTCTTAGAGCCTCTTTATAGAATTCAGCGGCCTTCTCATAATCACCATTTGCAAAAACTGTATTCCCTTTATTAGTAAGAGCTGCTGGATTATATCTATCAGAGTTCACAGCTATATCTGCATAGCTGCTGGCTTGTGCAAAATCCTTTCCCTAAGTAAAATACATATACAAATTATTTGAATTTCATGAAATACCTTTTCTGACTGTTCTGAGATTACAGACATAATAAATAGACTTTCTGAGATTATAAATGTAATGAACAAAAATATTTTACATATCTTGGTCTTGATAGTCTGATTCTACATAGAGTTTTACTTATCAGGCTGAACCACCCAAGTTTCTTGTGATTGACTTCTCCACAGTCTCATGGTTAGAATAACAACACTATTTATATGTAGGTGGTTCCATACTCAACGCCCAAATTGCATGTCATCATTTGCTGCAGCACTCCCCCTCCCACTTGAAGCCCTGAAATAGCTGTCACAAAAGCACTACCCTTCTTGCCCCTAGCACACTGGCTGCGTCACCTACTAGGTCTCTGCACTTCTAGCAATCCATTGTTTTTTTCCGTCTCCATGCCAAATGCTCGGTCAGGGCCTTGCCATCATTCACGTGAGCTACAGGAACCTCTCTGTTCTTAAATATTGTGACCATCTGTGCCAGGTCAGCTTGGTTAAGCCAGGAACTACATTTCCAAGAAGCTCCTTCACTATTAGCCTCTTGTCTAGACTTGGCCAAAAGAGGAACTTGTGTGACATCTGGAATGCAGACCTGAAGCAGTGGCCTTTAGTCTCAGAAAGCCTTTTTCTTGTCATCAGATGCAGGTCTGACACAGAAGTGTCCATGGGTACCAGCTTCTCCTCACTTACTCCACTCCAAGGGCAGCTCTTCTTCCTGACTATGCTGTCCCTGCTCCAAGATAGGGTTTGGCTGTGGTCCCCAGAGGAGGCAGCTGCACAGAGGCATCTGCTTCCCACAGAACTCCCCATGAAGGCCCTCTGGGTTCTACTGTGGCAGCTAGATATGTGTGGCCACTCACTGACTGATGGTTACTCCTCCTCAGATCTCCAGCTCCCCTTCTGCACCTTCACCGCCATGGCTCCTTCACAACTGTATAACATTAAATTCCCATGCCCCTTTTCCCATAACACTCACAGTGACCGTCCCTCGTTAAACTTTTTAAAAAGTTTAGATATAACTTATATATAATAAACCTGACCCCTTTAAAATGTAGAATTCTGTGGCATTTAGTAGGTTCACAAAGTTGTGCAACCATTGCCAATATCTACTTCCACCCTCAAAAGAAACCCTGTACCCATCAATAGTCACTTCCCATCCTCCTCTTCCCCCAGCCCCTGGCAACCACTAATCTGTTTTCTGTCTCCTTGCCTATTCTGGACACTGAATATAAATAGAATCATAAAATATGCAGTCTTTTGTGTCTGACTTCTTTCACTTAGCATAATATTTTTAAGGTTCGTCCATGTTTTAGCATGCATCTGTGCTGCAATCCTTTTAAAGGCTGAATAATGTCCCGCTGTATGGGTAGACCACATTTCATTTATCCATTCATTGTTGATGGACACTTGGGTTGCTTCCAGGCACCTTTATGGTTACTATGAATAATGCTGCCATGAACATTCATGTGCAAGTTTTTATGTGAACTCTGAAACAAAAATTGGTACCGACAAGTGAGGTGCTGCTGCTTAAAAACTAAAACATGTAACATTGTCTTTTGGACTACGTAGCAGGCAAAACTGAGAAAAGCTGTGAGGGCCTGTGTTGGGGACTGGAGAGATGGTGAAGCATGAGTGAGCCTGCAAAGGCAGAAGGAATCATCAGAGGCTGGATAAAGTGCAAACCACACTGTCACCATGAAGCACTGACACAAGTGGCACCCACAGAGTGGGATGGAGGATAGGAAGTGCACCTCATAAATATGCAACATGTGGCCAAGGGGATTTCTAGGTAGGATGCTGAAGGGCCAATGAACTTATTTTAACTGGGTATGATTGATCAGGTATAGGAAGAGAAAAATGAGCTAAGGAGAGAACTGTTTAGTTTGCAGGTAGAATTTAGAGAAAATATAGAAGAACCAGGACTTGCTAAGGTAGAAAATAAAATTACTTCATGTCTCCAGTTTCTTGTGGTGGCACAAGATTCTCAGATGGTGGCAGGTTAGGGAACAATTCAAAGGTGTGGCTGTAACACCTTTTGTAAACATCTCACAAAGATTTAAGGTCATACCTAGCAGACCTTCTCTCCCAGGTAGCGAAGTGGGCTTCTAAGACACTTCAAGGCTCTGTTCCATAGCAGCCTACACACCTAGTGGGAAGGGGTCTGTCCTGAAAAGAATTATGGATGCAGCTGTTGAGACATGTGGGAAAGCCCAACAAGATTTAGAGAAAACCCTCCAAGTTTTTAGGGGAGTTGTGCTGACTGTTGCTAGTTTGGATTAAAGGGACAGATATAGTCCAAAATGAAAAAAGCCCTCTATGCCCCAAATGTCTCAGGGCAGAACACAGGCTGAGAAAGTTAATCAGCTGCAAACACAGGCTATTTCTTTCCTTTTTTTTTTATTTTTTACTTTAGGTTAAAAACAAACATGGGATACATGTGCAGAATGTGCAGGTTTGTTACATAGGTATACACGTCCCATGGTGGTTTGCTGGACCTATCAACCTGTCATCTAGGTTTTAAGCCCTGTATGCATTAGGTATTGGTCCTAATGCTCTCCCTTCCCTTGCCTTCCACTCCCCGACAGGCCCCGGTGTATGATGCTCTCCTCCCTGTGTCCATGTGTTCTCATTGTTCAACTCTCACTTATGAATGAGAACATGCGGTGTTTGGTTTTCTGTTCCTGAAACATAGGCTATTTCTTATACAAAAGGAAGATGCTCTCAGAAGGCCGAGCCAAGAGCCACAGAGGACAAAGAATTAGGGGGCCACTCCGAGGGAGCAGAGCTGGGCCCTAATCAAGGAATATTCGTTTTTCTCAGACTAGGGAGCACTGGCCACACCTGCTTTGCTAGGTTTCAGAATCATTAAGGATAGTGACTGTGATGTGCCTCCATCCCTCCCCTTGGGGATGAGTGTCTTACAGTTATCCTGTCTTTATATCTCCATGGTATGTTGCATGTATGATGGGACAGGTGCCATGTCTTTTCATTCAGAAATTTTTGGATCCAAGTCCTTGCTATTGTGAATAGTGCCACAATAAACATATGTGTGCATGTGTCTTTTGCAGCATGTTTTATAATCCTTTGGAACAAATGTCCAACAATGATAGAATGGATTAAGAAAATGTGGCACATACACACCATGGAATACTATGCAGCCATAAAAAATGATGAATTCATGTCCTTTGTAGGGACATGGATGAAGCTGGAAACCATCATTCTCAGCAAACTATTGCCAGGACAAAAAACCAAACACTGCATGTTCTCACTCATAGGTGGGAATTGAACAATGAGAACACATGGACACAGGAAGGCGAACATCACACACCGGGGCCTGTTGTGGGGTGGGGGGAGGGGGGAGGGATAGCATTAGGACATATACCTAATGTTAAATGAAGAGTTAACAGGTGCAGCACACCAACATGGCACATGTATACATATGTAACAAACCTGCACGTTGTACACATGTACCCTAAAACTTAAAGTATAAAAAAAAAAAATAAAGAAATCTTTGGATCAAGAAGAAATTGTTCCTGAGAAAGCTCCATTTCTTCTTTTTTTTTTTTTGTTTGTTTGAGATGGAGTCTCGTTCTGTCGCCCAGGCTGGAATGCAGTGGCACGATCTTGGCTCACTGCAACCTCTGCCCTCCCAAGTTCAAGCAATTCTCATGCCTCAGCCTCCCGAGTAGCTGGGACTACAGGTATGCACCACCATGCCTGGCTAATTTTTTATATTTTTGGTAGAGACGGGGTTTCACCATGTTTAGTAGAGACGAGGTTTCACCATGTTGGCTAGGCTTGAACTCCTGGCCTCAAGTGATCCACCTGCCTCAGCCTCCCAAAGTGCTGGGATTACAGGCATGAGCCACCATACCCAGCTAGAAAGCCCCATTTCTATCCAGACCTGATGTAGATCCTGGCCTTTGAGCCTGATGCTGTGGTGGAATGAGACTCAGAGTCTTGGGAGGGATATGAATAACTGGGGTCTCAGTGCAGGCAGTGGTAGATTATTACAATAATGACTCCAGTGGATCACACCTCCCAGGATTCACGTACGACTCATTCAGGTATGATTCTCTCTCATGTTTGTTTTGTTCAACAAAATAATAACAAACTCAATGCGCACAAGAACCTAATACTCACCTGTGTACTGGGGTTTGCTCTCATGGAACCCAGTCCCACCTGAGAAGGCTGGGATCCCCTGCTGGGGATGCTCTGAGGGAAGACTGAGTTGCCCTGGACAACAGTTCAGCTAAGTGACAGGCATGAGGTAGGAATTTGGAACATCCAGTCTCAGTCATGCCTCAGAGGATGTCAGCTGCATGAGTAAGGCCAGGCAAGCCCAGTAAAAGAAGCATCCAGGTGAACCCAGCTCACTGGGTAGAATGTAAGCATATACCTGGTGATTTCAAGCCACTACGGTTTGGGGCAGTTCATTACACAGCAAGAGAAAACAGATACAACTATATGCCGGATACCAGCAATATATTTTCAACTACATATCATATAAAACTACATAGCAGACTCATCACTTGGCCTCAAAACATTCTTGATTACAACCATTTTCTTCAGAACCAAGTATAAGAAATTGCTGATGAGATGCTCTAATAGCTCTGCTTGGTTGATTAAATCTAACAATTCTCTTTGCTTCTTTAAATTTTCTATTGGTCTCCTCCTGCACAGTCGTCAAACTTGGTATAAAGATTTGGTGACGAATTGGGTCAAAAAATTCATTAGTGATTTTCTAAATTCAAAATTTAATGGCCATGATAGACACCATGCTTCACGCCATGGACTTGCCCGTCAGAGGTGCTGGAGGTGCTACTGGCCACCAGCCTCAGCAGGCAGCCCTCTCTGGAAACTGGGTGGAAGACAGAGGCACCTTGTCCCCCTTCCTAGAGGTGACCCTTTTTTGGGAGGCAGGCCACATCCAATGGCTGGCTGGGGTGGGGGTACAAAGGCCCACCCTCTCTCTTTTCCTGCCTCCTTGTGAAGAAGGTGCTTGCTTCTCCTTCACCTTCTGCTATGATTATAAGTTTCCTGAGGTTTCCCTAGCCATACAAAAATGTGAGTCAATTAAACCTCTTTCCTTGATAAATTACCCAGTCTCGGTTATTTCTTTATAGCAGTGTGAGAACGGACTAATACACCTTCTGTCTACTTGCTTCCATCATTACAAAAAATGTTTAAATATATTTAAAAAGAAACACAACATCTTTTCCCCCAATCAGCACCCTCCTCTAGACATGCAACTAACTGGTACCACTCTCCTACCAGTAGATTGAAGCACTGGAGTCATTCTTCAACCAGGGGTTTGGATCTCTTTCTTCATCTTTACATATATGAGGGATATGATACCTTTCCACTAGCAACAGCAATTCAGCACAGCAGTGCTTCTCAATGGTGCACAGATCAGAAGCTCTAAGAGGGACTAGAAACTTGGTTTAACAAAATAATATGACTTTTTTTCTCATTTGTTAGTAAAGAAGTGTTTAATAAGCACCTGTCATCAACAGGGCACTGTGCACAACACAAAGCTGAAGCTGATGGTCTAATGAAGAAGAATCACATATAAACCATTAAAATACAATGCTGTAAGTACAAACAAAATATTCTAGGAGCACAAAGGAAGGTGAGACTATCTGCCAAGGAGAGTCAGGAAGGCTTCATATTTCAGTTGGGTCAGGACAGTAAATTTAAACAAGGGGTTGGATAATGCAATATTCTTACAATAAGGGCAGTTCTTGGAAATCTGTTAAAGACCATTCCCACGCCATTATTCTGAGCAAAACGTAAGCAAAACCCAAGACGCTGGAAATTCGAGTTAGTGGCTAAGGCAGAGTTAAGGAGTTGTGGTAGCCTTATAATAGTTTACCACCCTGGTAGATGGTGAGGTCTGGGTTCCATGCCTTCATCTGGGCCCTTCCTTGGCCCTGCAACCTCAGCATGAACAGTTATTCCTAAGGAAAGCTCTTATAGGCTTCTTCTACATGCAGGACAGAATTAAATCTCGGATCATTTCCTCTAAGAATCATAGAATGACAGAATTGAAAAGGATACTGAAAAATCACACAGATCAGTTGTTTCTAACTTCCAGCCCTTAAAATCGTATGGGTTCTCAAAGTGGCAAATGAAAATCTACAATTTTTTTTTTTTTTTTTTTGGAGACAAGGTATCTGTCACCAAACAGGAGTACAATGGCACGATAATGGCTCACAACAGCCTTGACCTCCCCAGCTCAGGTGATCCTCCCACCTCAGCCTTCCGAGTAGCTGGGACTATAGGCATGCACCATCATGCCCAGCTAATTTTTTGAACTTTTTGTAGAGACAGGCACTGTGTTGCCCAGGCTGGTCTCAAACTCCTGGGCTCAAGTGATTCACACACCTCAGCCTCCCAAAGTGCTGGGATTATAGGCTTGAGGCACCACACCTACCTATAATCAATTTTCAATATTCAGAAAAAGCCTACCAGAAATTCTGTATTTTCTGGTGAAAAGAAATGACTCTTATACACACTTCCCTCCCAGCAGTTCCTTGCCTCTGTACTTCTGTTTCGTCCCCTTCTCCCTACAAATGCCCCTTTCTATATTCTGACCTGAAAGATCCAACTCTCTATGAAATCTTTCCTGAAAGTCCTAAATTAAAATGTTATTTGCCTCCTCTGAATTTCTGAAGCACTTATTATCTGCATTCGTTTATTGTTCTCTACTTTAAACCTTCCTTCCTAGTCTACCTCCTTTGTTCCAAAGACAAGAACGCTCCCCTTTAGGGAGCTTTTAGACTTTTGGTATTCCCATGACTGGCATCCAGTGAGATGCTCAATAAATGCTTGTTAGAGTTGATACTCTGTAACCTTACATAAATCTTTTAACCTAAGATGTCACTTTCTTTACCAATAACACAAAGGAGTTGAAATACATCTCTAGCTCTTCCAGCTGTATGTTGCATAATCTATGATGCGATGCTTATCACTACAATTTTTCTTCCTCCCTTCTCCTTCAGAGATGGTGTTCTCACTCATGTCTGCCAACTCAGCCCCTGGCCTGGCACTTGTCAGGATCAGATCCTCTATACTCCTCAGTCCACTTACCATTCTCCACCAATATTCTTTGGACCTCTCCCTAGGCATGATCCTTGGGCAGAAATTTAGCAATATAAAAATAGCATATGATTAACTCTTAGTAGTAAAAAAACTTACCATATAATACAGGGCTGAGAGATTGGTTGCAGCTGCACTTTTCACTCTACTGTCCTTTTTTTCCAACACTTTTAAGATCTCTACAGCCTAGAAATGGAATATCTGAAGGTTACTACCACTGTAATATGACAGTACTCAAGCTTATGGTCGGGGAAAAGATCAGTGTTCCTGAAGGGTAAGACCAGGGAAGGGCACAAAAGGGGTGGATTAAGATGTTCAAGAAAACAGATTACAAGAAGATAATTTCATTTGAGAATTAGAATTTATAAAAAAGAATAAAATGGAAATTCTGGAATTAAAAATATAATTAAGAAAACATAGATGTTCTAACAGCAGATTAGATACAGCTGAAGAGAGACCTGGTGACTGGAAGAAAGGTCAGTAGTAAATAATGAGCCTTGGAAGGCTGGGCATGGTGGCTCATGCCTATAATCTCAGCACTTTGGGAGGCCACGGCAGGAGAATTGCTTGAGGTCAGGAGTTTGAGACTAGACTGGGCATAGGCGTGAGACTCTCTCTAAAAAAATAAAAATATGATGATAATAATAATGATCCTTGGGAGTCATGTGATGCAGCTGAGTGTTTATTCTGCATAATGGGGTGGGCAGTGAGGCCTTGAAAGGTTTTGCCTAAGAGATGTGATCAAATTTGATCTTTACAAAATAATTCTTAGGTTTCTGCTTCTGGCCATGACTGACTAGCCTATAGAAGACCATTCTTTGACAGAGAACAACTAGAAAGATTATAGAAAATACTAAAAATATTTTTTGAAGGCACTGTAGAGCTAGCAAAGCAAACAGGACTTTAAGGCCAAGGTCCCAGAAAATGTTCAGACTAAATGAAACATGGCAAAATAGATGGCTAAAAAATGTTCCTAGAAAAGAACACAAGAGACTTACGGGAGCATAATGAAAAGGTCTAATAGAAATGTAATTGGAGTTTCAGAAGGCCAAGAAGGAAAAATGGCACAGAATTTTTCAAAACCAGTAACAGAAAATAATTCTGGGAGTGTTACAAAAAGTGATCTAAAGTAGATCCAAATATAATTACATTTTTAAATCATGAGAAATGAAAGTATGTTTTTAACTACCTGGCAGGTCTGAGATAATCCTAACCAAGTAAGATGTGTGGAACGGTCAGACACTTTACATGAAAGGTGAATGAGTATTCAACCTAGAAATTGCTACAGAATATTAGAAAGAAAAAAACAAGGGTAGAGAAAGGCACTGGGTTTTCCTTCCTTCCTTCTTTTAAAATATATTTACTGATTAGAAGATGCTTGACTCTTGGTGCCTCCTGCTCCTAGAAAGCAGTTATGTAGAAGCAAAAGTAACTGTGTTAGCTTTTATAATGGTTGTCAGCTACAGTTGTTGCAAATCTCTGACAGATTCTGAGATGTGGGCTGTGCAGTGTTTGACCTCAAATGAAATACCAGTAGGCAAACTGACTCAATTTTTTTGAAGGACAGAAGATTTTAAAATACTCAATTTCAGATACTTTGGTTAGAATATGAGTAAACTGTTATTCTTTTATTTATTATTATTTGCACAATAAAGTTGCCAAGCAAATTATTCTTTTAAAGGGTTTTTGATGACTTCAAAGAAAACTGATGGAAGTTTCTAGGTCAGTAGTTTACAAAGTAAACACTGGAAAAGAAAAACCCAAACATCATATCCTCACTTTCAAGATTCTATCATTTACTTTCTTGGAAAGATCTTATAACATTGCCACAAGTTCCTTAAATTTACCTCAAAAATGATTGCTGCTAATATTGCTTATCCTATAGAAACTACCTCATTGATGCTTTATACAACCTCCATAGCTATTAATATAAAAGCCACCACTGTTTTGAATCTCTAGGTTTTATAAGCTGCATTTCACTTTAAATAAGAATTGAGATAGTCTAATCTTCACTTTTAGACTGTGTCATAATAAATGGTGTATTACTTTAAAATATAAGGCACTTGAATAGGTGTAACTCATACAACCATTAAACTCTCCAAAGTGTACAGGAAAAGAAAGCTATTCTCTAATGTTTACAACATCCATAAAACAATACAAAAAGAATGCTAACAAGCAATAACAACAATTTTTTTTTAAAAAAAGGAGTGTTATAGTCCCTTGTATCATTCCTTTTAGAAGCGGCCATTTACATTATAGTCAAGGAAATGTGTTAAATTTTTAAATTTTGATATATACATTGTAACTCATTAATAACAATACTTTAAGGCTATATTTAACATCAAATCTATTTTCTCCCAAAATGGTTATTATGAATCCAAAAAGCAGTGCAATCCAAAACCATTACTTAAAAAACTTGGCAAAGGTATTTACAACTTAAAACATCCTAAATGGGTATCACTTGACAAAGTAATAACACTTCATATTATACGTTTCTAAACTATGATCTATTCTAAAAAGGCTACATAATTATTCTAATAAAAGGAACACTCGGGTATTTTTTCGCTCAAGTTTTTGTTTTGAAATAGGCTGTTTTCATAACTGTTCTCTACATGTCCATAAATCTACATAAAATATGTTTTTAAAAGTAAAATATTGTAAGTTTATTTATAAATGGAACTGATAAAAGTTCAGTCAAAATTAAATTTCATTCTAAATGGCAAAACAAAAAATAAAAATAAACAATGTTAGCTTGTTTGTTTCCCTGAAAACAATGAGGAAAAGGGATCTATGTCTGTCCTGGTCTCCTTTCCCAGCTGATGCCATCTAGCTCCTGGCTTCAGCATTCCGCTGAGCCTCCAGGCCAATGGCTTCATTTCATCCACTTTGGGCTTTTTGGCAGAGTCTATTTTTTCTATTACAAAAGTGGCTACAAACACCATCATTATCAAAAAGACCCATACTCTGTGATTTCAGCATCTTTTTCTTGGAAAAAAAAAAAGTATTTAGAGCTAACTCCAGAACTATATCCTCACAGAAGGCATAAATTTTTCTTTTTCACTTTGAATTGTAAATAAAGTAGTTGCCATCAAATGATTATTATGAGATACGTCAACCCAATCCTTTTTCACTTAATAATATTTCTTTCAAACTAAGATTGTATTATACCTACCTCATAATACTTACAATATACAAACAAAAGAAAGACAGAGTGAAAGCAGCAATGATGAAAAGAAAGCAGAAATGGCATTTTAAAAAAATCAGTAAACCAATTGATATTAAAAACTTGAAAATGCAAATGGAACAGAAGATATTTTGAACAAGAAGAGCTAGGAAAGCACAGATAGTAAGATCTGAGTTCAACAGGTTTTAACATTAAAAAATTAGAGTGTTTATTGCTTAATGAACATAGTTTTAAAACATGAGCCATGGCAATGCATTCTTAACCTTTTTTTTTTTTTTTTTTTTTTTGAGATGAAGTCTCGCTCTGTCACTCAGGCCAGAGTGCAGTGGTGGGATCTCAGCTCATTGCAACTTCTGCCTCCTGGGTTCAAGCAATTCTCCTGTCTCAGCCTCCCGAGTAGCTGGGACTACAGGCGCATGCCACCACGCCCGGCTAATTTTTGTATTTTCAGTAGAGACAGGGTTTCACCATATTGGTTAGGCTGGTCTCAAAACTCTTGACCTCAGGTGATCCACCTGCCTCGGCCTCCCAAAGTGCTGAGATTACAGGTGTGAGCCACCACGCCCGGCCTCTTAACCCTTTCTAAAAAGATCATTTAAAAATAAAATGTCAAAGGAAAACTAGCAGACATGGTTTTCTCCATTTTGTCATCCATAACAGTACATGTCACACACAAAATTATTCTTGTCCATATAGCACTTTAGCAAGATAATAAAAACCAATTTGATTCACGTCACTTCCATGTAAAAAGCATTACAACAATGTTGGAGAGTCATTGGTGGCATTTTTCATGACCAAGGATGTGATGATTAAATGACAGGATAGATACTTTGAAAAGTCTTTTTCAAATGTTTTGTAAATGCTCAAAAAATTAAGCATAGTAAATTAACATATGCAATGGAACCACCCCATGGTACTACATTAATTATATGTATTTATTTCGTGAACACTGGGGTTGCTTTTTTCTACTCTCATATTCTTTAGTAGATAATGTTCTCCCCACTTCCTTTGTTAGTCCTTTCTGTTGTCTCCCAGAGCAAAAAGTTCTCTAAATAGGAAGATAAACTGAAAGCATAGGCTTGGGAGAGGATGTGGGAAAGATGCTATAGCTTTCTCTGGTCCTTGCTCTCTGGATCTAACTGGGAAGAGCTGAGTTTTCTAGTTGCTGACATATAATGACACTAACCACTGGTGTTACAGACTAGGACATCACGTCATTCTGTTTACTCTCTTTGGTTATCCCTCTTTCTTACACCTGTCTAAGCCTCCTGATTGTGTGTCAGCTCTGTCCTAATTGAGAGACTGCTGAAGGGGGAGCACCCACTCTACCCCCCACCCAAGCTAGCAAGAGAGCAGCAGTGCCAGTGAGAGATCTGCGGGGTTCTAAAACCCCATACAGCCATGAGACCCTTCCAATCCCAATGCAGTGTCAATGAGGAAACCAAACACATAAAACAGACTACAAGGAAGCTGCTCTGGTGAGGATGGCAGACTCCTGGCTTCCCATGCTCCCTAGCACAATCAGTGTTCCTAAAAACTTTATGCTTTGGGGAACACTTTGAAAACCTCTAGGGGAAAGTTAATCTCCGGAATAGAATATGGTTTATAATTTAGCAACCATGCTATACAAAGAAAGTATTTACATTTTAAGAAACAACAGCTGGGCGCGGTGGCTCACACCTGTAATCCCAGCACTTTGGGAGGCCGAGGCGGGCGGATCACAAGGTCAGGAGATCGAGACCATCCTGGCTAACACGGTGAAACCCCATCTGTATTAAAAATACAAAAAATTATCCAGGCATGGTGGTGGGTGCTTATAGTCCCAGCTACTCGGGAGGCTGAGGCAGAAGAATGGTGTGAACCCGGGAGGCAGAGCTTGCAGTGAGTGTAGATCACGCCACTGCACTCTAGCCTAGGCAACAGAGCGAGACTCCATCTCAAAAAAAAAAAAAAAAAAAAAAAAAAAAAAAAAAAGAAACGACAAACAGGCAAAAATTAATAAAAGTTTAAAACTATTTTAATGAAAATTAACATAAAATAGAAATAAAAATATTATTCAACTTCAGAATAATCACAGATAACATTATTCTAGAAAGGAGTTTACCTGTTTTTAATGCTTTGACCAATTAAGATATGGAATTCCATCTAAAATTTTTTTTAAAACTTACTTGGTTATAGTCTTTTTGTCTCAAGTATGTAACTGCTTTGTTTATTTCCAGATCATTGGCTAGCTCTACATATTGAGAAGCTTTCACCACTTCCACGCACCTATAAGGGAAAGCATAAAAAACCTTACTTGATTTTGTTTTAGTATATTGATGCTGTTGGTTTTCTTAAATGTGGCTTTTCAAAGATTTTTTAAAGGGTCCCTAGTACTCTGTAAAGGTAAGCACTCGATTTGCTCCAACACAGGTTTTCAGTTACTGAAGTGTTCAGTTCTAAATTACTTTTCTTATCCAATTTATCATTAGCCTATTTTAATGTCTAATCATTTTAAGTAAAAATTGGACTGATACCTACATTCTCATTTTTGAATTAACTATTATAACAATTTGTAACAGACGACAGTTTCCACATATTTTTCCATATTAAATGCTCTCAGGGTGAGAAAAATTCTACAGAACTTGTAGAATATATTTAATTTTTTGTGTCCCAACTTAAATAGATCTCTTTATAAAAGCACAAAATATTTGCTGTTTACTCTATAACAGGGGCAGTGCTAATTGCTCTACAAGCATTAATACGTTTAACCCTCACAACAACCCTAAAAGGATTATTTTTATTTTATAGATAGGAAAATGGAAGATCTGAGATCACAAAGGTAGAAAATGAGTGTCAACTAAGAATTTGAACCCAATTCTTGTTGATACCAAACTCACTGCATCAAGACTGGCATTTTTCATACTGAGTTATTGAAATCAATTTAGTGGGTCACGACTCTTACTTCAATAACAGAAGAGATAGGGGGTGGTGGGACTGGGAAGACATTGGTCAAAGAACACAACATTTCAGTTAGACGAAGGAATAAGTTGAAGAGATCTATTGTACATCAAGGGAATTATGGTTAATAATATATTATATACTTAAAATTTGCTAAGAGTAGATTTTAAGTGTTTTCACTACAAAAAATAACAAGTATGTGTGGTAATGCATAGGATTTAGCAATTCCACAATGTGTACATGTATCAAAACATCATTTTGTATACCATAAATATATATCATTTTATATCACTGCACTCCAGCCTGAGCAAGTGTAAGGAAACCTGCAAAACTGAGTGGCCTCCTCCTGGAAGACATTCACACAGTATGATGGACTGAACTAATTATTAATGTGTGTGTTGTGTGTGAGAGAGAGAGAATTTATATAAAGGATCCATGGTTGAAAATCAGGGGGTGGCCTGTGGTGTTATGATATATATATAGGTTTTCATCCATGGTTCCTGCTCATAATTCCCATAGCCTTTATTAGAGTCTTCTGGTATAATGGGGATGTTAGGCCTCAAGTGCAGGCCTCTGACCTTCCCCTGCCTTTCTGTTTGTGGCCCTCACATGAGAGTCTCACCCAAAACCCTGGTGGAAGGAATGCTGAAGTCACTAGCCTTCCTTTTACCCAAGAGGACAGGGTTCGGGGAGCTTCCGGATAGCTGAACACGTGTAGGTTCCTAGAGGGTGGCGCCCAGGGAGGAAATGGCAGCTCCATGCCCCTTCTCTCATAGTTCACCTTATGCATCCCTGCATCACTATCCTTTGCAAAATCCTTTATTATAACAAACTGGTAAATGTAAGAAAAAAAAAGAGGTCTGAACAAAACATTAAGAAACTTGACATGACATACACAGGATGTTATCCCCAACAACAGCAGAATACATGTTCTTTTCAAGTCCATTTGGATTGCGTACCAAGCTGCAACAAATTTCAGAGTTGAAATTATTCAATGAATATCTTCTACCACAATAAAATTAAACTAGAAATCAAAAAAGGAAAAGATAATAAGAAATGCCTAACTTGCTGGAAATTAAGCAATGTAGCAGGATACAAAATCCACACACAAAATTCACTTCCATTTATCTATACACTAAAAACAAACAACTTGGAAAGGATATTAAGAGTACAATTCCATCGACAACAGTGCCAAAAAGAATACAATACTTAGGAATAAGGATAACCAAGGAGGTTAAAGACTTGAACATGGAACACTATAAAACATTGCCGAGAGAAATTTTTTAAAACATAAATAAATGGAGGCTGGGTGTGGTGGCTCACGCCTGTAATCCCAGCACTTTGGGAGGCTGAGGTGGGAGGATCACGAGGTCAGGAGATTGAGACCATCCTGGCTAACACAGTGAAACCCATCTCTACTAAAAATACAAAAAAAATTAGCTGGGCATGGTGGTGGGTGCCCGTAGTCCCAGCTACTTGGGAGGCTGAGGCAGGAGAATGGCGTGAACCCGGGAGGCGGAGCTTGCAGTGAGCCGAGATCACGACACTTCACTCCAGCCTGGGCGACAGAGCAAAACTCCATCTCAAAACAAAACAAAACAAAAACATCAATAAATGGAAACATGTCCCATGTTTATGGACCAGAAGACTTACTACATTTAAGATATCAATACTACTCAAAGCAATCTATGAATTCAATGCAATCTCTACCAAAATGTCCATGGCTTATTTTTCCAGATACAGAAAAATCCATCCTGAAATTCATACGCAATTTCAAGGGACTCCAAATAGCCAAAACAATCTTGAAAAAGAAAAGCAAAGCTGAAGGACTCACATTTTCTGATTTCAAAGTAATTACAAAGCTACAGTAATCAAAACAGTGTGGTACTGGCAGGAAGACAGACATGTAGACCAATAGCATAGAGTAGTGAGCCCGAAAACAAACCACCACATATACAGTCAAATGCTTTTTGACAAGGATGCCAACGCTATTCAGTGAGAAAAGGACAGTCTTTAACAAACAATGCCAGGAAAACTATGCATAAGTAATGAAGTTGCACCCTTACCTAACACTATGTACAAAAATTAACTCAAAATGAATCAAAGACCTCCCTGTAAAATCTAAAACTAAAAAAACTGTTAGAAGAAAACACAAAGCAAAAGCTTCATGACATTAGATTTGACAATTTATTGGATGTGACACCAAAGTCACAGGAAACAAAAGAAAAAATAGACAAAGTGGACCTCATGAAAATTTAAGAAGTTTTTGCCTCAAAGAAATATCAACAGAGTAAAAAGGTAATCCACAGAATGGGAGAAAATATTTGCAAATCATGCATCTGATAATGGATTAATATCCAGAATGTATAGAAAACTCCTAAAACTCCAAAACAAAAACCAAACCACCCAATTCAAAAATGTTAAAGGACCTGAACAAACACTTCTCCAAATAAGGTATACAAATAGCTAATAAGTACATGAAAAGATGCTCGACATCATATGTCATTAGGGAATTGCAAATTAAAACAACAATGGGACGCCACCATACGCTTATTAGAAAGGCCAAAATTGAAACACTGACATTACCAAATGTTGGTGAGGATGTGGCACCCCAGAAATTCTCATCTATTGCTAATGGGAATGCAAAATGGTACAGCAACTTTGAAAGAGTTTGGCAGTTTCTCACAAAACCAAATATATACTTACTGTAATTTCCAATAATCACGCTCCTTGGTATTTATCCAAAGAGGGGAAACTGTATGTTCACACAAAAACCTACACAATGGATGTTTTATTCAAAATTGCCAAACTGTGGAAGCCACCAAGATGTCTTTCAATAGGTGAATGAATAAACATCCATACAACAGAATCTGAAACTTTTTGAGCACAGACATAATATGATGCTCAAAGAAAATGCTCATTGGAGGATTACAGACTCTGGATTTGGGATGCTCAATTGGTAAACAGAAATATTCAAAAATCCAAGAAACCTCAAAATCCAAAACACTTCTGGTCCCAAGCATTGTGGATAAGGGATACTCAAGAGATACCACTAAATGAAAGAAGCCAATCAGCAAAGCCAACATACTAAATGATTCCAACCCTGTGATATTCTGGAAAAGCCAAAACTATGGAGACAGTAAAAAGATCAGTGGTTGCTAAGGGTTTGGGAGAGGGAGGGATGAATAGGTACAACACAGGAGATTTTTAGGGCAGTGAAGCTATTCTATACAATACTACAATGGTGGGTACAGGACATCATGTATTTGTCAAAACCCCCAGAATTAAAACACAAAGAATCCTAACATAAACTATGGACTTCACATGGTAATACTATGTGAATATTGGTTCATTGATTGTAACAAATGTACCATACTGGGATGGCATATTGGTGAGGGAGGCTCTGGGTAGGAAGTGGGGAAAATATATGGAAACTCTGTACATTCTGTTCAATTATGCTAAGAAACTAAAACTGTTCTAAAAAAAAAGTCTTTGGATTTTTTACTTTTTTAAAAAAGTCTTTTTTTTTTTTTTTTTTTTTTTTTTTTTTTATCTCAGCAGGTTTTGGGAAAATTGACAAGTTGGTTTTAAAATATATGTGGAAATGACAAGGACCAAGAATACTCAAGGTAATCCTCAACAACAAAGCTGGAGGACTTATACTGCCTGCTCTAGTTTGTGCAGGCTGCTATAATGAAATACCATAAACTCGGCCGGGCATGGTGGCTCACGCCTGTAATCCCAGTAGTTTGGGAGGCTGAGGTGGGCAGATCACTTGAGGCCAGAAGTTTGAGACCAGGCTGGCCAGTATGGCTAAATCCTGTCTCTACTAAAAATACAAAACTTTGCTAGGTGTGGTGGTGTGTGCCTTTAGTCCCAGATACTTGGGAGGCTGAGGTACGAGAATTTCTTGAAACTAGGGAGGTGGAGGTTGCGGTGAGCAGAGATTGCGCCACTGCACTCCAGCCTGGGTGACAGAGCAAGACTCTGTCAAACAAAACAAAACAAAACAAAAAAAACACCAAACCATAAGCTAGGTAGCCTAAACAAAGACATTTATTTTTCACAGTTACGAAGACTGAGAAGTCCAAGAACAAGGCGCCAGCAGGCTGGCTGTCTGGTGAGTGACCACTTCCTGCTTCATAGAATGCTGTCTTTTTGCTGTGTCCTCACATAATAGTAGGGGCTAGCTAGCTCTCCAGAGTCTCTTTTTATAAGGGCACTAATTCCATTCAAAAAGTGTCCTACCAGCTGGATGTGGTGACTCACGTCTATCATCCCAGCACTTTGGGAGGCCGAGCCAGGCTAACATGGTGAAACCCCATCTCTACTAAACCACAAAAAATTAGCCAGGCGTGGTGGCAGGCGCCTGTAGTCCCAGCTACTCAGGAGGCTGAGGCAGGGAAATTGCCTGAACCCGGGAGGTGGAGGTTGCAGTGAGCCGAGATCGCGCCACTGCACTCCAGCCTGGCGACAGAGTAAGACTCCGTCTCAAAAAACAAAAATAAAAATAAAGTGTCCTACCTTTATGTCCTAATCACCTTGAAAAGGACGACCTCCTAATACTACCACCTTGGGGGTTAGGTTTCAACATATGAATTTTGGGGGAACACAAATATTCAGATCATAGCACTACCAGATATCAAGTGTTACTATAAACTATAGAAATGTAGGCAATGTGGTTTGACGACAAGAGTAGATAAATGGACCAAAGGGATTGAATAAAGATTCTACAAACAGACCAATATATAGTCACTTGGTATATGTCAAAGGTGACATTACAGTGCAGTGGAAAAAGTAAACTATTTTCCATAAATCATGCTGGGTTAACTGGATAGCCCTACTACAGAAAAGAAAAGAGAGAGAAAAGAAAAAAAAAATCTTGACCTTACTTCACACTACACACAAAAATCAATTCCATATAGATCCTGTATCTAAATGTGAAAGGTAAAACCTCTAGAAGAAAACATAGGAAAATATTTTCATGAAGTTGGGGTATGCAAAAGTTGCCTTAAAAGGACACAAAAAGAACTAACCAAAGAAATAGAAACAAGGGCAAAAGTCTTGAACGGGCACTTCTCAAAAAATAATATTCATATGGTAAATAAACATATAAAATCTGCTGAGAGTGAAATGCAAATTAAAACTACAATGAGATGCCACAGTATGGCTGGCTAAAATGAAAAAATACAAAATACACCAAGTATTTGTAAGCTATTCGAATTTTCATGCACTGTTGGTGGGGGTGTAAACAAGTACAGGAACTTTGGAAAACTGTTTAGCGGTATCTATTAAAGCTGAACATATACACACCATAGGATCAAGCCATTTCACTCATAGGTATGTATCTAACAGAAATATCGGCACCACCCACCAAGAGATGTGCACAACTGTACCATAATATTGATAGGAGCATTTACAACAGGTTCAAACTGCAAATCACAACACCCAGTCACATTGAAATGGATACATTTTTACATATTAATACCATGAACTACTAGATAGCAATGAAAATGAACAAACCACAGCTACATGCGAGGACATGGACAACACTAACAAACACAGAGTAAAAGAAGTCATATGCAAAAGAATATGTACGGTATGATTCCATTTATATGATGCTTTTAAAACCTGGAAAAACTAAATTATGGATGCCTGCTTAGATGGTTAAAGAATGAAGAAAAGCAAGGAAGTTATCATCATCAAAGTCACTCTTCAGGGACATCAGTCACTCTTCAGAGCTGGGTAGCCAGTGATTAGGATTGGCATTTTGTAATGTGCTAACAATGTTCTATTCTTTAAATTTTATTTATTAGGGTATGCAATGGCTAAATGTTTGTTTGTTTTGTGATGTATCGTTGAGCTGAGTTACCATTTCGGATAATTTTTTGTATGTTTATATTTAACAAACATAAACAATTCCAGAAAAAAGGTTAAAAATAATTTAATCTCCCAGCACTTTGGGAGGCCGAGGCAGGTGGATCACGAGGTCAGGAGATCGAGACCATCCTGGCTAACACGGTGAAACCCCATCTCAACTAAAAATACAAAAAATTGGCCGGGCGTGGCAATGTGCGCCTGTAGTCCCAGCTACTTAGGAGGCTGAGGCAGGAGAATAGCGTGGACTCAGGAGGTGGAGCTTGTAGTGAGCCGAGATTGCACCACTGCACTCCAGCCTGGGTGACAAGAGTGAGACTCCATCTCAAAAAAAAAAAAGGGAAAAAAAAATAATTTAATCATATACAAAGAAGTTAACAGAAATATAGTAAGAATGCCAGAAGAATTCATAGTAAAAATTGCAAATAATTGCAGAACTAAGTTTTCTCTTCTGTTTTTCAGTAGAACAGTTGAATTATGCGTAATTTCCATTACACATGACAACTACCTGGAGAGCATTAAAAAAATATAGATGTTCTATCCCATTTAAGACCAACTGAATCTCTACTTTTAATGAGCTCCTCAGTCAGTGGCATTCAAGAACTATTTGCATAGTATAGAGCTGTATGTGGGATTTATATCACAGAACCCCCTAGGCGGCTTTATAAATACTGATCCCTCTGTCCCAACACCCAGAAATTCTGATTCAACTAGTCTACCACGCAGCCTGTGTGTTGGGACTATTTAAAATCCCCTGATTTTAATATGCAGTCATACCACTGGTAAAGAGTTACAGTATAGTAGGTATCAGAATCACTTGGGGAGGCTTGACACAAATGTAAATACTCACTCCAGACCTCAGAACCCTGACTCAGATCTACAGAGAAAGATGTGGGGAGCCAGATTATCCGCACTTTTAACAAGTAACCAGGGCAATTCCAATGAACAACGATCATGTGCTACATAAAAAAGTTTTGATCCGGCCAGGCGCAGTGGCTCACGACCATAATCCCAGCGCTTTGGGAGGCCAAGGCGAGCGGATCACGAGGTCAGGAGATTGAGACCATCCTGGCTAACATGGTGAAACCCCGTCTCTACTAAAAATACAAAAAAATTAGCTGGGCTTCACGGTGGCTTTCGCCTGTAATCCCAACACTTTGGGAGGCCAGGACAGATCACTTGAGGTCAGGAGTTCGAGACCAGCCCAGCCAACACGGCGAAACCCTGTCTCTACTAAAAATACAAAAATTATGGTGACGCCTGCCTGTAGTCTCAGCTACTCGGGAGGCTGAGGCAGGAGGATCACTTGAACCCAGGAAGTGGAGATTGCAGTGAGCCGAGATCACACTACTGCGCTCCAGCCTGGTTGACAGAGTGAGACTCAATCTCAAGAAAAAATAAAATAAAAATAAAGTTGTTCTCTGAAGAGCATTCCAGTCTGCATTCTCTGAAGTCTCATTCCAGTAATGACCCACTCAGCAGGAATATGGTGGAGTTCAGTCCAATTCAGGTCAGCCATATCCAAAAGACTACAAGTCATTACTAAGTTGAGCAAAAGAGTTTTTACGTATTAGCAGAAAGGGCCTCTCTGGCAACAGAGATGAAAAATTGGCCCAACTTCATTTCCATCCTTCAGGGAATAGCAAATTGAAGATTTACTTATCTAGGACTTGAATTCCTTCTTTGGGTCCAAGTTAATAAAAGACCAAGAAACTCCTGATTAAACTGGATAATGAAGGATTCTATAGACAGGGCTGCACGTATCGGCTTTGTTTGACTTCTCTTTTCTCAGTTAACATCTCAGAGATGGAACATTCCACATTCCCCAGCAGCGTGTGGGGGCCAACTAAAGTTTACAATTCCGACTAAAAATCACCCTGCTTCTGGCTTATCTGAATCCCTTACCCACCCCACCCCACCAACCCACTCCTACTTATTCAGCACCACACTACCCAGGAAACACACTAGCAAATTGTGCAATGGAATAAAATCCACACTTTTCTTTAGATTCTTGCAACTGTATCATATGTAATAGTATCACTTTTTCTACATTTTGGTCAAATAAATTTTTACATAAACTGAAAAAAAAATTAGCTGGGCTTGGTGGCGGGCGCCTGTAGTCCCAGCTACTTGGGAGGCTGAGGCAGGAGAATGGCGAGAACCCAGGAGGTGGAGCTTGCAGTGAGCCGAGATTGCGCCACTGCACTCCAGCCTGGGAGGCAGAACAAGACTCTGTCTCAAAACAACAACAACAACAAAAAAAAACCAAAAAAAAGTTTTGGTCCAGGACCAACCACATAGACAACAGTGGTCCCATAAGATAATGGTGCTAAAAAATTCCTATTGCCAAGTGACATCCTAGGTGCTGTAATGCTGTATCACACCTCATGTGTTTGTGGTGATGTTGGTGTAAACAAACCTGCACTGTGTCAGTCTTATGAAAGCACAGCACATACAATTATGTACAGTACATAATACTTGATAATAAACAATTATGTTACTGGTTTATGTATTTACTGTACAGTAAGGCATCGCTTGATGATGGGGATATGTTCTGAGAATTATGTCATTAGGCAATTTCATCATTGTGCAAATATCATAGGGTGTACTTACACAAACCTATATGGCATGGCCTACAACACACCTAGGCTATATGGTATAGCCTAATGCTCCTAGTCTACAAACCTCTACAGCATGTTACTGTATTGAATACTACAAGAAAATATAACACAATGGTAAGTATTTGTATATCTAAATCTATCTAAACATAGAAAAGGTACAATTAAAATATGGTATAAAAGATTTTTAAAATGTCATGCCTGTGCAGGGTGCTTACCATGAATGGAGCTTCCAGGACTGGAAGTTGCTTTGGATGAGTCACAAAATAAACTCTGAGTGAATGTGAAGGCCTAGGATATTACTGTACACTTTTATACAACTGGCAGCATAGGTTTGTTTATATCAGCATCACCACAAACAAGTGAATAATGCATCATGCTACAATTTCGAGACAGCTACAACGTCACTAGTGATAGGAATTTTTCAGCTTCCTATCTTACCAGACCACTGTCATATATGTGGTCCATTGTTGACTGAAATGTGTTATATAACTACTTGATTTACAAAATAACATGAGTAATAAGTATCTTATTAATAACTTTTATAATAGCCTATATTAATCTGAACATACAATATTATCTGCTTGATAAATATGAATCAACATTCATATCCACTTTTCTAATGACAATATTAATTTAAATTTAAAAGTATAAATTATGAAAAAAACCACATCTATGCAGTATTATAGACTTTCTCTCTTACCAATCATAACCTGCAGCAAAAGATGTTTCAATTACAGGAGCAATGAGTTTTGCAGATGTCATAATATATTTTTCTGCCATGGCTTTCCTATATCAAATAAACCAAAAAGTTGTATTTAGAGATACAGTATAAAATAGTTTGGATTTCCTAAAATTTAAGTGTAAACATTATCTATCAAAACTAACATACCACAAAAGCCTACTAAACAATGGACAGGTACCATAGAAATCTATTTACGATTCAGGTTTAAAACCATGACTAGGAAACGTAATTAGCAAGCCATGATTGCCTGCCGGGTCAACGGTGTTCATTTCTTTTCTTTTTCTGCTTTATGATGCCTTCTGACAAACTGAAGAGATACTGGAGAAACACAAGGCCCTGCAGCGGAACTTACGTAGCCTACACTGCAGACACGAAAGTAAAGGGTGAAATTACCACTGAAGAAATTGTGTGTGGTAAAGAGTAAAACTGAATTACTATTTGTTGCTTTTGTGTGCATATATGTGTATCTGTATCCGTGTGTGTATATGTATATGTACACGTACGTACATATATAAAATGTGTTATCGTCAAGGTTACTGGAAAATTTCCAAGTGCTTTTCAAAGTGGATATACCAATTTATAGTGGTGGGTAAAAGTTCTCTTAGTCATTTCTTCTTGAATTTATATATAAGTAGTGGTTTTTAAAATGGACTCAAAATGTATATACTATTCTATAACTTGTTCTTTATACTATGCTGTATTAATATAGAAATAATCTTTCCAGGACGGGCGCAGTGGCTCATGCCTGTAATCCCAGCACTTTGGGAGGCCAAGGCAGGTGGATCACAAGGTCAGGAGATCGAGACCATCCTGGCTAACATGGTGAAACCCCGTCTCTACTAAAAATACAAAAAATTAGCCAGGTGTGGCGGCAGGCGCCTGTAGTCCCAGCTACTAAGGAGGCTGAGGCAGGAGAATGGCATGAACCTGGGATGCGGAGCTTGCGGTGAGCGGAGATCGGGCCACTGCACTCCAGCCTGGGTGATAGAGTGAGACTCCGTCTCAAAAAAAAAAAAAAAAGAAAAGAAATAATCTTTCCAAATCATTCAACATTCATCTTGTTATTCTTTCTTTTGAACTTTATTTTGAGACAACTGTAGATTCACATGCATTTGTAAAACATAAGAGATTCCATGTACCCTTTACCCAGTTTCCTCCAACAGTAACATCTTTCAAGTATCACAACCAGATTACTGTCATTGATAACAGTCAAGAAACAGAATATTCCCACTATATTTCCATTCCTTTGTTTTCCTCCAACTCCCACCCCTTCTTCATCTCTCCTAACAACCATTAATCTGATCTCCAGTTCTACAATTTTATCATTTTAAGAGTGTTATATATAAAGAATAAGGTTATATATAATCTTCCAGAATTGGCTATTTTTGCACAGTATACTTCCCTTCAGATCTATCCAATTTGTTGCGTATATCAATATTCATTCCTTTTTGTTGCTGAGTAATATCCATGTTATATGTCAACTGTTACAGAAAAAGCATGTGACAAAATTCAACACTCATTCATCACAAAAACATACGAAATAAGAGACAGCTTTCTCAACATTACTGAATCGTGATTTTTTCCTTAGTTTGTTAGTATGGTGAATTACATTGATTGATTTAAAAATAATGAAGCAACCTTGCAGCCTTCGAATTAATCCTACTTGGTCATGGCGTGTAATTTTAAAAACATATTTCTGAATTTTTAAAAAACAGCTTTATAGGGAGATAACTCATATACCATACAGCTCACCCAATATAAAGTCTACAATGCAATGGTTTAGGTATAGTCACAGATTTGTGCAACAAGCACCACAATCACTTTTGAAACATTTTCATCATCCCAAAAAGAAACATAATATCCATTAGCAGACACTCCCTGGCAAATCTTTATAGATTTGCCTAATTTATACCTTTCATATAAACAGAATCATAAAACGTGGTCTTTTGTGACTGGCTTCTTTCATTTATCATGTTTTCAAGGTTCATCTGTATTGTATTGGTTGGTGCAAAAGCAATTGCATTCAATGGGAAAAATCGCAATTACTTTTGCACCAACCTAACAGCACGTATCAGTACTTCATTCCTTTGTATGGCTGAATCACATCCCATATTATGGATAGACCATATATTATTTATACCTTCATTAATTGTTGCACATTTGGATTATTTCTATTTTTCGATATTATGAATAATATCACTAAGAAAATCTGTATACAAGTTGTCATGTGGACATATACTCTGATTACTTTTGGGTAAATATCTAGACGTAAAATTGCTGGGTTATATGGTAAGTCTATGCTTAACCTTTTGGGGCACTTGTATGCTGTTTTACAAAGCACCATTTTATACTCCTACCATCAGCATTTAAGAGTTCCAATTTCTCCACACTCTTACCAATACTTGTTATTTTCTTTTTTATTATAGCATACTAGTAGGTGTGAAGTAGTATCTCACTGCAGTTTTCAGCTGCATTTCCCTAGCAATTACTGAAGTTCAGCATCTTTTCATGTGTGTATTGGGCATCTGTGTATCTATTTTGAAGAAATATCTATTCATATCTTTTGCACATTTTTAATTGGGCTATTGGCCTTTTTATTATTGAGTTGGACATTACTTATATAGTCTAGAAATAAGTCCCCTCTCAGATACATCATTTGCAAATATTTTCTCCCATTCAGTAGGTCATTTTTTCACTCTCTGGATAGCGTCCTCTGAAGTACATAAGTTTTTAATTTTGATAACGTCCAATTTATCTATTTTTTTCTTATGTCACTTGTGCTTTTGGTGTCATATCTACAAAACCTTTGCTTAACCGACAGTCAATGATATTTCTCTTCTTTTTCTAACAATTTTATAGTTTTAGCTCTTACATTTAGGTCTATAGTTCATTTTAGTTAATTTTTGTGTATGGTGTGAAAGAGATGTACAACTTCATTCTTTTGCAAGAGAATATCCACTTTTCCCAGCACAATTTGTTGAAAAGACTCTCCTTTCTTCTCTTAAATTTTCCTGGCACCTCCACTGGCTATAAACGTAAGAGTTTTTTCCTTGTCTCTCAATTCCATTCCATTCATTTATGCCTCTGTCTTCACAGTGTCTTCATCAATGTTGCTTTCTAGTTTGAGTCCCAACTTTGCTTTTCTTTTTCAACACTGTTTGGGCCATTCTGGTTCCCTTCCATTTCCATATGAGTTTTAGGATCAATTTGTCACTTTCTGTAAAAATGTTGCTGGAATTTTGACAAGGGTGGCACTGAATCTGTACATTAATTTGGGGAGCACTGCCATTTTAATAACATTAAGTGCCTATCCATAAAAATACGACATAATTTATTTAGTATCTTTATATTCTTCCCATGTTTTATGGTTTTCAGAGTTTAGGTTTTGCATTTCTTTCATTAAATTTATTCCTAATAATTTTTATGCAATTATAAATGTTAATTTCATTTTTGGGATAATTCATGGGTAGTGTATAGTGTATTTCTTCTTTTCTTCCTGAGGGGGTGCACAGTTCCTGGAGTTACTGCACTACCAGGTCAATGCATACAGCAGATGGAGCAAGGTCCTATTCAATCTCCCTGCTCCAAAAATCCATTTAACAGATTGTCCTTGGATAGCGGAAGCATCAGATATACAAATACTACACTTCATCTCAGCCACACGGCTGAGAAGATATTAATATATTTCTGCACTACACTATTGATTTTTGTATATTGATTTTTTTTTACTCTACAACCTCATTTATTCTAACAGTTTTAAAGTTGATTCCTTAGGATTTTCTATGTACAAGATCATGTCATCTGAAAAAAGATGGTTTAAACTGTTCCTTTCTAATCTGGATGTCTTTAACTCCAGTTTTAAGTTTATTTGTTTTGCAAACTGCCAAAGATAGAATCTTCCAGTTCAATGATGAACAGAACTGGTGAAAGTGGGCCGGGTGCGGTGGCTCATGCCTGTAATCCCAGCAATTTGGGAGGCCAAGGTGGGTGGATCACCTGAGGTCAGGAGTTCAAGACCAGCCTGGCCAACACGGTGAAACCTTATGTCTACTAAAAATACAAAAAATTAGCCGGGCATGGTGGCAGGCGCCTGTAGTCCCAGCTACTCAGGAGGCTGAGGCAGGGGAATCGCTCGAACCCAGGAGGCGGAGGTTGCAGTGAGCTGAGATTGTGCCATTGCACTCCAGCCTGGGCAACAGAGCAAGATTCCATCTCAGAAAACAAAACAAAACAAAAAACTGGTAAAAGTCGGATATCCCTATCTTGTTCCTGATCTTAGGTGCAAAGCATTCAGTCTTTTTTTTTTTTTTTTTTTTTTTTTTTGAGACTGGGTCATGCTCTGTCTCCCAGGCTGGGGTGCAGTGGCACAATTTTGGCTCACTGCAACCTCCACCTCCCAGGCTCAAGCAATTCTCCCAAATAACTGGGACTACAGTGCATATCACCATGTCTGACTAATTTTTGTATTTTTTTGTAGAGACAGAGTTTTGCCATGTTGCCCAGGCTAGCATTTAGTCTCTTTCCATTAAGTATGATGTTAGCCGTGAGTTTGTCACAGATGTACTTTATCAAATTGGGGAACTTCCTTTCTACTTGTTTCTTGTTGGACTTTTTGTTTTTAATCTTGAAAACATTTTGAATTTTGTGAAAAAATTTTCCTGGTTTCTACTGAGATGGTTGTGTAGTTTTCATCCTTCATTCCACTGATATCCTATATATTATTATTATTAATTATTATTATTATTTGAGATGGGGTCTCACTCTGTCACCCAGGCTGGTGTGCAGTGGCATGATCACGGCTCACTGCAGACTCAACCTCCCCAGGTTCAGGTGATCCTCCACCTCAGTTTTTGTTATTTTTAGTAGAGCCAGGGCTTCACCATGTTGCCCAGGCTGGTCTCAAACCCCTGGGATCAAGTGATCCACCCACCTCGGTACCACAAAGTGCTAGGATTACAGGCAAGAGCCACCACGCTTGGCCACCTGTATAATATTAATTGATTTTTACATGTTAAACCAGTTTCACATTCCTGGGACAAATCCCATTTGGTCCAGATGCATAATTCTTTTTAAATTTTGTTAATATTTCAATTTGCTTTTGAGTCTATGTTCATATATTCGTATGATATTAATCTGTAGTTTTCTTCTTTTTTTTTTTGGTACTGTCTGATTTTGGTAGTAGGGTACTTCTACATTCATAAAGGAAAGTAGGTTCTGAAAGAAATGTAGAACTGATGTTCATTCCTTTTTTTTTTTTCCAGTAACATCAGAGATTTCATTAAACCTGGAGGTTGAATTCATTTCGGAGTTCAATGATATGTCCAAAGAATCAGGTACTATAATCGTATAGACAACTCCTGTAATATATCCACAGTGCAAAATTATCCCCGTTTCCTGTCATTCCCTAGTGAGAAAAATCCAACTGCAGACTTGACTGCCTTCGGTGAAGGCACACGGCAAATTCTTCTGAAAAATAATACCCTTCAAGATTGACTCTTCCCGTTTTACACAGCAATTGTCTCAGCTTGGGACCAAAGTATTTACAAAGCAAGCAAACAACAGACTAGCGAACAGGGACACTTCTGAAGCTGGTGATGCAGAAATCCACTGCCAAGCAGGGTGGGGGGCCAGTCACCTCTCCTGGAATGTTCCATATGTAAGCTGACACAACTTAACATCTTAAATACAGAATTCCAATCAAAAGAAAAGCAAACAAAAGACAAAAAAAAAAAACAGCAGTCAAGCATAAGCAGTGTTACTTCCTCTCTGAACAGGGAAGCATCTTGCTCACTGGGAGATAAAGGGTGAACCTCTTATCTGCTGCTGTCTCCTCGCAAATGCCAGCAAGAAGCTGGGTGTGGTGATGAAGAAAGATGGCAGTCATCACCAAGACCCCACAAGCCAAGCCATGGTCCCCTCCCTGAGGGCACAGTCCTTTCATGAAGCCATAAAAGACTGAGACCTCAGCTCAGACCTGAGCACTCAGGGTTACCTACTGGGGTCGTGTAATATTCCTGATGTGATTTCTGCCAAAACCCAAACTGGTTCTTTGTTTTTTGTTTTTTGTTTTTTTTCTGTTTGTTTGTTTGTTTTTGAGACAGAGTCTCACTCTATTGGCCAGGCTGAAGTGTAGTGGCATGATCTCGGCTCACTGCAACCTCCACCTCCTGGGTTCAAGTGATTCTTCTGCCTCAGCCTCCCAAGTAGCTAGGACTACAGGCATGTGCCACCATGCCCAGCTAATTTTTGCATCTTTTTAGTAGAGACAGATTTCACCACATTGGCCAGGCTGGTCTCTAGTGATGCACCTGCCTCAGCCTCCCGAAGGGCTGGGATTACAGGGTTGAACCACCGCACCCAGCCCTAAACTGACTCTTGACCAAAGAATCTGATTTGGCAAACCAAATCTTAGTGCAGTGTTCGCTCCTCCTCTCCTTACCCAGAACATGATTCAGATCCTAACATAAACACAAAACAGGTCAGGGAACCAAAACGCCGTGGTCTTGTCTATTATGCAAAACATTGAGATAATGTTCATGATTCATTCTGTTTTCAGCAATTGTGTCCATTTTGAAGCTTCTCTCGAAGCTTTGAAACACTGCATTGTTTCCTACTAAATACCCAAATGTGTCACACAGGCATCACCAGTGGGAATTTTGTTTTTAAACATTTAGAAATAAAACAGTTTTTGACCCATAAGCCAGTCCTAACGCATAGGGTAATGGGGATCGAGGCTAAACACACACACAACTACAAAATATTCCCTAGAAAAATGCAACATCCTCAGAAAATCAAGATCTCCCTACCAAACAACCTACCAAGTCATCACTGAAGAGGTGAAGACTCCTCTCAAAAGATAAGTGCCATAGAAATAGAGCTTGAAATACTGAACATGATTTCTCGAAGATCCTTTTTGTTACCCCAAGAGAAGTGGAGGCAGAGGAGAGAGAGAGAGCAGTTTCCCTTTCCTCTGGATCCAGCCGGATGCCAACTCTGACATGCAGGGCAGAGCACCAGGCTGCAAGGCTGCAAGAATTGGATGCTAATTGCAATCGCTTTTCACTTTGGAACCTTTGCCAGGAACTTCAAACTATTAAGGGGATGACTGGGAAACGGGATCCATCTCTGTGGCTGGGGATGTTTTTGAATGATTCTCACAGGCTCCTTGTCTGCTCAGTGACCCTGTTGGTCCTATGCATATCTCAGCCGGGGAATTAAAATGGCCAGTCTGACGTTCTCAAGCACCGCCCTGGACACCCCCACTGCCAGCCCATGGTCTACAGCCACAGCGATCCCAGCTTTCCAGACAGGGTCCTGAATGTTATCTGGAATGCAGACACAAGTGTTTTGAGATACACCGTTTGGGGAATAATTCCACATGGAAAGGTACAACGTGGCCAAGATCTCGGCAGGGACCCGGCCCTCAGATGACAGTCTCCAGAAAGAAAGAGCATGAGACACCAGTGTCTGTTTAGGTTTGCCCAGAGCCCACAGCCGTCTGTGCTGCAGGCAACGCATCCTCCTGTGGCTCATGGGGCGCCAGGAACCCCGGTGCTTCTGATGAAGAGTTACACACCATTCCCTCGGCTGGGTTGTACATTCACTGGATGTCAGAAGTTTCTGAAACTGCTGTGGGGGCAGGGGAAGCCGTCGCAGAACAGTCTGGTCCTGTCCTCTGGACTCTACAAGTCATAGTGGTTCAAACTAAGAGTTTGGGTAGCTCTGCCAGCTGTACTGGAAGTGGTCTGTTAAGATATTGTTGCAGCCATGATAGTCCCCGTGCTGGGGGAAGAGGAGGCCATTGGTGGGGCTTCTCCAGTGGGCTCTGGTGATGTTCCTTGCTGCTCAGGTCCACTGTGGTGCCAGGAGGAGGTGCTTCCTGACTTGCTGGTTTGCATCTTACTTGGTCTTGTAGAGGAAGACCCCGAGGATGGCAGTCATTATGCCCAGGACATTGGTGCTGGTGACTGGGTTGGGCAGCATGATCAGGGACACTGTGATGACCATGATTCTCTTGGTGGCATTGACAACTGAATAGCTCAGAGAGCTGACGAGGTTGAGGATGCTGAAGGCAATGACATTCTAGGCAAAGTTACAGAAGCCGCTGACAGCCAGAAGCAGGAGCATCCAGGGCCACTGTGAGACGTAGTCAAGTCGCTGCTGACCAGGAAAGCTGAGAGGTCCACCAGAACCCAGGTGGGGATCATAAAAAAACAGCGTGGCAGCCCAAGATGTTGAGCAGCGGGAGATGGTGGATCCGCAAATCTCTCAAGATCTTTTTGGAGAAAATGTTCTGAAACAAGAAGCACAGCGTGGCGGCCTCCCCACATGTCAAAAGACAACTTGGTGACCGTGGCCATCAGGACGCCGCTGATGATGGGGATGAGTGACAAGTACACCTTGTTGCTCTGCTTCTTTATAATGATCTGGGACAGGAGGACCACCCAAATGGGCATGGTGGCCTTAATGGTGTGTGCATAGGACATGGGCACCTTCCAGAAGCTGACGTGCACTGACAGGGATGCGAAGTACTTGCCGAAGGTGAGTGGCAGCACGCAGTACGGGTAGAAGTGCTGCGGCAGCAGCAGGCCAGGGGACGAATGCAGACTGGGCCCGGGGCCTGAGATGGGCGGTGCAGGGGGCAAGCGCCAGGCGTGCAGCAGCAGCAGGAGCCCCACGTACAGTACCAGGATGTGGCACAAGGACACAGTCACCGGGAACAGGAAGGCACTCAGGATCACCTAGTTGACCACATTGCCCACTGTAGCCGCCGCCATCCTGCCCAAGTGGCTGCCCCTTCCTGCCCCTGATATAAATTCTTAATAGAATTCTCCAGTAAAACCCATCTGGGCCTAGAGATAGGTTTCTTTTTTCAGAGTTTTAAAAGCATCATTCAATGTCCTTAAGATTTATAGGGCTATTCACACTATTTTATTTATTTATTTATTTTATTTTTTGAGATGGAGTCCTGCTCTGTCACCCAGCCTGGAGTGCAGTAGCACTATCTTAGCACTCACTGCAACCTCCGCCTCCTGGGTTCAAGCAATTCTCCTGTCCCAGCCTCTTGAGTAGCTGGGACTACATGCACATGCCACCATGCCTGGCTAATTTTTGTATTTTTAGTAAAGATGAGGTTTCACCATATTGGTCAGGCTGGTCTCGAACTTTTGACCTCAGGTTATCTACCCGGCTCAGCCTCCCAAAGTGCTGGGACTACAGGCGTGAGCCACCGTGCCCAGCAAACAATGATTCTTAATGAACACTTGGACATTTCTGAATTATGAGACCCTGGATTTTAAGTATCGTTTTAGCTGGCTTTCTGGATACCACTCCAGCAGAGGAAGGAGACACTCCACCTTGCCACTGCCAGGTGAAGGTGGAAATCCAGCCCCTGCCACATGGCCTCCGTTGACACCCAGAATAGGCAGAGGGGTCCTTGTATCTATTGGGCAGGGTGGGAGTTCTTGCTTCCCAAATAGTCCGTCCTACTAACATCATGATAGGAGGGCTTTGTTACAACTGGGTGACAGTTAAAGCCCTGACGCTCCACTAAGCCTCCTCTGACACTACCCAAGGAGAAAGGGTTGGGGGATGCTTCAGTACTGCTGGGTAGGGGTGGAATTCCAGGCTCCCCACGTGTCATCCACTGACATCAGAGGAATGGAACAGGCTTTAGGGGTTAAAGTCTTAGCTCCCCACTTGGCCTTTTCTGACACCACCCCAGTTGTACTTTTAATTCCACCCTCAATCTCCAGCGAAGGGAGAAAGGCTGCAGACTGAGTTCAATCACCAATGGCCAATGATAAAAATCATGCCTACATCATGAAACCTACATATAAACCCTAAATGACACAGTTCAGAGAGTTTCCAGGTTGATGAACACACGGAGGTGCTGGGAGGGTGGTGCACCCAGAAAGTCAACAGAGGCTCTGCACTACTTCCCCCATATTCTGCCCTATGCAGCTCTTCCATTTGGTTGTCTCTGAGTTGTATCCTTTATAATAACGTGGTAAGTACAAATAAAGTATTTTCCTGAGTTTTGTGAGCTCTCCTAGAAAACTACTGACCCTGAGGAGGGGGTAGTGGGAGCCTTCCATTCATAGCAGGTCAGTCAGGAGTTCAGGAGGCCCAGGCTTACAGGCTTACAACTGGCATCTGTAGTGAGGAACAGGGTAGTAGTCTTGTGGGACTAAGCCCTTGGTGTCCAGGGAGATGGATAATTGGTTGTTGGTGTGAGAAAAACCACACATTTGGTGTCAGAAGTGTTGTAAGTAGAAACAAGTTGTAGTACCATATTAGAGGAAGGAAGAAATGAAATAAATAGAATTTTGTCTCTGAGAGCTGATCCTTAATTGTGAGGCAGGATAAAAAAACATAAAGACGTCATTTTTGAAATAAAGGTAAGATAAACAAAGTTCCAATAATGTACCAAATGCAGAGGGAAACAACTGACAGAATAACTGAGATTGAGTAATTGAGATTAGCATGAGCACTGAGATTATTCTGAATGAGAAAAGAGAACCAGTAAGTATAAAAATGGTGAAATAATAGCACTATTCAAGAAATATATTGAATATAACAAGTTCTGTAAGAAACAGAATGCACATTCAACCCTTTTATAAAAATTAAAACTAAATTATTTTAAGTTTCAAATATTAAGTATCTTAATACTAAACATTAAATATTTTAAATAATGTAATTAATAACTACGTTATTAAGTTTAAAATATTACCTTTCACGTTCCATTTGCCTGAGGTGATCATTTTTTATAGCTTCAGTTACTAAGTTAGTATGAGGATCATCCTGGTAAAATAAAATGGAAGAAAAAAAGAATAATTCAGAAGTAAACAGCAAGAACTTAATTTTTGTTTTGTTTTGTTTTGAGATACAGCCTCACTCTATTGCCCAGGCTGCAGTGCAGTGGCATGATCATGGCTCACTGCAGCCTCCACCTCCCTGGGCTCAGGTGATCCTCCCACCTCAGCCTCCCAAGTAGCTGGGACTACAGGGGCATGCCATGATGCCTGGCTAATTTTTGTATTTTTTGTAGAGATGAGGTTTCACCATTTTGCCCAGGCTGGTCTTCAATTCCTTGGCTCAAGCAATTTGCTCACCTCAGCCTTTCAAAGTATTGGGACTATAGGCATAAGCCATCATGTCCAGCCACGAACTTGAATTTCCAATAAGCCTCCCTACTAATTAGTTTTAAAAAAGGGAGAGTAAATTAATCCTTCTATTTTCCCTTATGTAAATTAGAACTTTCTTTTTCATATTTCTGATTACCAATCACATTCTCCATTGAACTAACCTATTCTAAGAAGCTGATAAAAGGATCAGGATGGAAAGATTAGGACCAAGTACACAGAAGCTGGGGTTGTTAGTACAAATATGTAATACTTTAATTCTAAACTCAAATATAAATGCTTCAATCATCAATTACTTAGTATGATCCATATCTCTACTCCCCATTAAAAACACAGATGATTTTACAACATATATTATTTTTTCTCAATATGAAAATAATATATAATAATTAACATTTGCCCAGCACTTAACTATCTTTCACATACATTTTTTTTGTTTGGTTAGTTTTGTTTTGAGACAGAGTCTTGCTCTGTTGCCCAGACTGGAGCACTGTGGCATGATCATGGGTCACTGCAGTCTCAACTTCTGGGCTCAAGCCATCTTCCCACTCAGCTTCTCGAGTAGGTGGGACTACAGACATGTGCCACCATGCCTGGCTAATATATATTTTTTTTATTTGTTATTTTACTTTTGAGACAAGGTCTCACTCTGTCATCCAGGCTGGAGAGCAATGTTGTGATCACAACTCACTAAACCCTTGACCTCCCCGGGCTTAGATGATCCTCCCACCTCAGCCTCCAGAGTAGCTGGGACTACAGGTGCACACCACCAGGCTGGCTAATTTTTTATTTTTTTGAGACAAGGTCTTACTCTGTCACCCAAGCTAGTGTGCAGGGGTGTGATCACGGCTCACTGCAGCCTTGACCTCCTCGGGCTCAGGTGATCCTCCCACCTCAGCCTCCCAAGTAGCTGGGACTACAGGTGTGCAACATCAAGCCTGGCTAATTTTCGTATTTTTTTGTAGAGATGGAGTTTCGCCATGTTGCGCAGGCTGATCTTGAACTCTCAGGCTCAAGCAATCCTCCCACCTCGGCCTCCCAAAGTGCTGGGATTACAGGTGTGAGCCACTGTGCCCAGCTGCCAGGTACTATTTTAAGCATTTCACATGCATTAACTCATTTAATCCTCACCTATAATCCTCACCTTAACCCTGTAAGATAGGTTATAATAGTTAATCCCATTACATATATAAAAGAACTGAGACACAGGGAGAGTAAGAGCTGAGTAGGAGAGCCAAGGCATCTGGCTTCAGAGCCTATACTCTGCTATGCTACAGTACTCTTATAATCTTTTTTTTTTTTTTTTTGAGATGGAGTTTTGCTCTTGTCACCCAGGCTGGAGTGAATAGTGCGATCTCGGCTCCTGCAACCTCCACCTTCCGGGTTCAAGTGATTCTCCTGCCTCAGCCTCCCTAGTAACTGGGATTACAGGCACCCGCCACCATGCCCAGCTAATATAATCTGTTAAGAAAATCTATTAAAAGTTCAACTCTGTGAAATTGAAAATGTACCATTTTTATCTACAAATAGAGGCAATTTTCCTTAAACTAATATACAGTATGCCAATATTTTATTTGTAAAAATCTGGAAAATATTTCAAAAGCATTTACAATCTCATAGCTCAGAAACTACTGTTTTATATTGGTGTCAATTCTTCCAGTTTATGTTCATGTATAAGTGTGCATAGCTGTATGTTTTCACTTAACATTATATAATATTTCTCTAGGTGTTTGAAAATATGACTTTTGATAACTGCATTATGTTCCACTCTATGAGTAAGGATAAGGAATTTATTTCACTTTTTTTTTTTCAAGACAGAGTCTTGCTCTGTCACCCAGGATGGAGTGCAGTGGCACAATCTTGGCTCACTGCAACCTCCACCTCCCAAGTTCAAGCAATTCTCCTGCCTCAGCCTCCCAAGTAGCTGGGATTACAGGCGCCCACCACCATACCCAGCTAATTTTTGTATTTTCGGTAGAGACAGCATTTCGCCCTGTTGGTCAGGCTGGTCTCAAACTACTGACCTCGCAATCTGCCCACCTCAGCCTCCCAAAGTGCTGGAATTACAGGTGTGAGCCACTGCGCCCAGCCTTCGCTCTTGAGATATTTATACACAGTTGAGGTTCCCTCTGCTCCACAATGGCTCTTAATAGGTGAAATAAGGATTTGGAGGTTTCTTGGTCAAGATATTACCCTTGGCCAGGCTCATACCTGTAATCCCAGCACTTTGGAAAGTGGAGGCAGGTGGATCACATGAGGCCAGGAGTTCAAGACCAGCCTGGGCAACATGGCAAAACCCCTTCTCTACTAAAAATAAAAAACTTAGCCGGGCATGGTGGCGCATGCCTGTAATCCCAGCTACTCAGGAGGCTGAGGCATGAGAATTGCCAGAGCCTGGGAGGCAGAGATTGCAGTGAGCTGAGACTGCACCACTGCACTCCAGCCTGGAAGGCAGGCTCTCTGTCTCAAAAAAAAAAAAAAAAAAAAGATATTATGCTTAATGAATGACATGGAATCTTATTTTTAATGATTTTTTTACTAAAATTGTGCAGTCTGTTTTAACCATAATCTCTACCCCATTTCAATAGAGTCTCATTCTCAACCCAATTTAAATAAAAAATGAAATACATCAATAATAAAACACATTGATACAGGCCTGGGAAAAACCCAAGAAGTCATCTATTCTGGCTTTCTCATTCTGAAAACAGAAAAGCACAGATAAGTGGGAAGTGGCTACAGAAATGTCTTTTTCATACTCACACTTGGTGAAATATATTTATCTTCATCAATTTCTAATGGAACAGTAATCAATTTTTGGAATGCCTTCTTCATTTTTTCTCGGTCTCCAATAGCAAAATAACAGATAGTTAGGTTGTAGCCTGCCTTCAGATTTGGTGCCATGCTCATTATGTGCTCATATGAATTAATAGCATCTGAATACTGACCAGCCTGAATAAATGTAACTCCAATATTCTGCATTATTTTAATCCTAAAAGAAAAAGACATGGATTAGCTTTAAAATTCTGAACTCTTTAGTATGGCATTCAAACCATTCACAAATAGTTTTCTTTTTTCGTCTCCCACTTTACTTCGTTTTTGTTTTGTTAAAGCTTTATTGATAAAAGCTTTATATAAATACCATAAAATTCACTCATTTTAAGTATATGATTCGATAATTATTGCTGTATTTATATAGTTGTGGAACTATAACCACATCCTTATTTTAATTCATTTCCATTACCCTAAAAATAAAACCTGTGCTCATTAACAGTCATTCCCCATTCTTATTCCCAGCCCTAGGTAACCATTAGTCTTTTTTTTTTTTTTTCAGACAGGGTCTCTCTCTGTTGCTCAGGCTGGAATGCAGTGGCATGATGTCTGCTCACTGGAACCTCTGCCTCCTGGGTTCAAGCAATTCTCCCACCTCAGCCTCCTGAATAGCTGGGATTATAGGCACATGCCACCACGCCGGGCTAATTTTTGTATGTTTAGTAGAGACGGGGTTTCACCATACTGGTCAGGCTGGTCTGGAACTCCTGACTTCAGGTGATTCGCCCGCCTCGGCCTCCCAAAGTGCTGGGATTACAGGCATGAGGCACCGTGCCCGGCCCATTAGTCTATTTTCTGTCTCTCTGTCTCTTCTAGGCATTGTACATAAATGGAGTCATACAATTTGTGATATTTTGTCTTGCTTCTTTCACTTGGCATAATTTTTTGAGATTCTTCCATTTTGTAGCATGTATCAGTACTTCATTCCTTTTTTTGTCAAATAGCATTTCATAGTATGAATACATACCATATTTTATTTATACATTGCCTACTTGGTAGACATTCGTCTTGTTTCTACTTTTTGGCTATTATGAATAATTGTTATGAATGTTTGTGTAAAAGCCTTTGTGACGATCTATATTTTCATTTCTCTTGGGTATATACCTAAAAGCAGAATTGCTGGTCACATGGTAAATTTGTGTTTTAACTTTTTTAGCTAACTGCCTGTTTTCCGAAGTAGCTGCACCATTTGACATCTCAGTGAATGAGGTTTCTAATTTCTCTAAATACTCACCAAAACTTATTGTTTCTTTGATTGGAGCCATTCTAATGGATGTGATCCCACCTTATTTCTAAACACTCCTCAATATAATCCCTCTATTTCAACTCAATTAGTTTATTCATAATTCTCTGATCAGATCATAAAGACTATTATTTCCCTGACTGGTCTCAGGTGTTGCCTTTTTCTCAGATGTTATCCCTTCTCTCCTCCTAAAGAGTCAATATCAAGTATGCCTCCTTCATAAAGCCTTTCTTGATCATTCTTGTTCTCAATAATGATTTCTTCCACTGAATTATTATAGCACCCATTGTCTTGATTATTGATTATGAAGCACTTAATATATGTTACTCAATACAATTTTTTTTCTAAAATGCTCAAATTCTTGGTCTCACCTGGCTTAAAAGTACTTCAAGGGCATTGTGTTCTGTAAGTTAGATAATATTTGCTAATGATAATGAGATATTATGTAAAATTCAAAAACGAATGATCTTAAAAGATGGTATTGCAAATAAATTAACTTTCACAGAGAAACTGTACTGTGCCTAGGGGAAATTATGATCAGTAAATATCTTGGAAACTTCCTATGTCCCCACAGTTATCACTAGACCATAAGAGAACTTACTGTTTCTGCTCCTGAATATTATAATAGAAAATATCCCAGCTTCCCCCTCTTCTAAGACTCAGAAGTAATCCTTTTCTCTATTTCATTCTCAAGCTACAGCAAGAACGTAAGGGGAGCTTAATTTCTAGCCTTGTATTGATATGTTCTGGAGGACTGCTATTATGATTTTGTGTCCGCATTAAGTTATATCAGGGTAGTAATGGCCTTCAGGGTTAACCCCTTTATTGGTCACTTAGTTTTATTTCATATGATCATATACAATGCTTTAACCTTTAACTTGTCATTATAAAAATGTGTACAAGTAGTAAGAAGGGAACAGATCAAAATACTACACGTATAAATCTCATGTACAAACACTTTGAAATGTTCAACCCACTGAAAACAGGTCAGAAGAGTTATCTTGTTTCAGAAAAACACTTAAATTTTACAATTATTATCTATTGTTATAAACTTACCTCATTTGCTTATTGACACTTGGAACTTGGTCTAATGCCATTCGGTAGAATTTAATGGCTTTGGAATAATTTCTTTGCTTTAAATAGATATTTCCCATATTCATTTTCAATATTCCTAATTTAAAAAAATTTAATGAATGTATAATACTCTCATTTTTCCACTCTTTGATATTTTAGATGACTTTTAATTCATATTCTCTGAAGCATTTCTCAGTTATGAAGTCTCAGATATTATCTAAAATTCTAACTTTAAAACAGTTATACTTTTCAAACTTACCTCCTGTGAAGAAATGGAACTTAAGACAGATTCCTGAAACTATGGCTAGAAAACAACTGATTTACATTATTGTGCTTTACATTATTGTGCGTTCTTCTAAGAAAACATGGAACTTAAAGACATTTAAAAGTTAGACTCAAGAATGCCACATACATTTTAATAATATTAAAGGAAACGACATTCTGATAAACATTAATACTGCTACCAAAAAATTACACAATATAAATGCTAAATATAAACTATAATCTCTTGGGGATAAATTTATATAAGGAAAAGCACATTCTATGAGGATGTCATGGCTCATTCTACTTGTGATAACAGGATACTATTAGGCAATATACCTCATACTAACTATATTTCTTCATCTGTAAGGATTTTTATATAAATAGTATGTTTAAGCAGGATACCCCTATCATAAATACTGATTTGTTTAGAGCATAGATCATTTCATTTTAAGGAAGCATAAAATGAAGAGACATAAATTAACACTACGAAAGAATTACATCTATTGGAAAAACTGATTATGTACACTTACCTGCATTGCTAAACATCTTATTTTTGACTATAACTTGATAAGTGTTAAGTGCTTCGGCATACATTTCATTAACTGAATACTGACTGGCCAAATTGAAAAGAACCTAAGGAAGAAAATATTATAGAAAAGACACATAAGACCACTTTAGGCCCCTTTCACCTATAATCTTTCTAGAGATTAAAATCCTATAACAAAGTTAGCTACTTATATCAAGATACTCAGCCAATTATGAAATTAAGTAAACAAAAGAATTATCTTGCATTACAAATGAACATTAAGAAAAGAAGACCTGTCCTCTAAATTTCACCTTAATTTTCTATGTATTCTATTTAATTTAGTAGTATTTGCCATCTATTAATCTCTGGAGGACCTACAAAGAATAAATGTGTATCATTAATGCTGCTGGTGATCAAAGAAATAAGCAAGATCGTGAACTAAATATAAATTAAACGTGGAAATATCTTAAACCTTAAAGTCTATCAGAAGAATCTGTATAGTAAGCTCTATATACTAAATTACAATTTAAGTAATTAATTTATAGTAAATTATGTTCCTAAAGGTAAAAAATGATCATCATAAATTATCCCTGAAAGATTTCATGGAATCGTAGAGTATCAGCTATAAACAGTAAGCATCTAACACTTCAAAATTTCAAACGCCCTTTTTTTCCTATGTGTTTAGCATATGAAACCTTTACCCACTGAAAATACACCCTTTTAAACAGAAGTGCAAACATTATGGAGGTGTCTTTTCAGAATTAAATAAATGTTGCTAGAAATTAGAGGCATTAGTTTTTTTTCCCCACTACCCTCATAGAACATTATTTTATATGCCTAAAGTTCTTGAAAATCACTGACCGAAAAGTCTACATTACAATCTCATCAAAATAACCACCTTGATAGAGCATTAAAATTAGTGCTCTTCAAGAAATAGAGCCATTGCATGGTAGGTTTGCAGGTACTTACCAAGTTATCAAAAAAAAAATATATATATATATATTTTTTTTTTGAGACGGAGTCTCGCTCTGTCGCCCAGGCTCTGGAGTGTGGTGGCAAGATCTTGGCTCGCCGCAAGCTCCGCCTCCCGGGTTCACGCCATTCTCCTGCTCCAGCCTCCCAAGTAGCTGGGACTACAGGCGCCCGCCACCACACCCGGCTAATTTTTTGTATTTTTAGTAGAGATGGGGTTTCACCATGTTAGCCAGGATGGTCTCGATTTCCTGACCTTGTGATCTGCCCGCCTCGGCCTCCCAAAGTGCTGGGATTACAGGCGTGAGCCACGGCACCCGGCTACATATTTTTTAATAAATAGAGACGAGGTCTCACTATGTTGCCCAGGCTGGTCGCAAACTTCTGAGCTCACTCAGTAATCCTCCCACCTTGACCTCCCAAGGTGTTAGGATTACAGGCGTGAGTCACTGCACCCAGCCTAAAATAACTAGTTAAATAACTAAAGAAAAGAGCTCTTTGCACAAAACAAAGACAAGAGTGTTTTATGAACTAAAGATTATTATTAATCTAATTGTGAGCACCTGAAGACCAGTAAGATTTTAAAAATAAAAGAAAAAAGACTCTGGAACCCATTAACCCTAGTCAAAATTTTATTTAAAAATTGTGTTATATTTCAATACTTACTGAGTAAGTTAAATCCAAATTGATATTTTCTGGAGTTGTAACTTGTTCTCGCTGTCTCACCAGGACTCTCTCTTTTCTTCCTGCATCTTTTGCCTTTTCTAAGGCCTGAAATCAGATTTATACCTTGTAACTTCCTTTGAGTGTTCATCAACTTTTATGCATTTGAGAAATATCTACATGAAGGTTGGATGAATTCATTTTCTATCCTCAGATTCCTCAAGACACCCCTGTGTGCTCTTACCAGAAACTTCCCTTGGAAAGGGACTTTTTGTTTTTTAGAATGACAAAAAAAGCCCCAGTTCTATGAGTAGTAAAAGCAGCTTTTTAAAGTGAACATTTCTTTCTAATGGTATTCATTAATCCAATAACTCACAGAAATTATATTTATATGATATGACAATCAAAGTAACATGAACAAAGCAAATTAAAAGTAAAGATTGATATTTAAAAAGCCAAGTTAGATTCCCAAAAAGCAAACTAATTTTTTAGTTTACTTAGGAAAAAATATTTGATAGTAGAGAGACTTCAAGAAGAAAACAGCCCTTAGTACTGTGTGTGGCTCATGGTAGCTACACCTTTCAGCAGCATATTGCTATCTAATCCAATAGTCCACCAGGCTGCCAAGTTAAGTATACAAATACATTAGAATTTTTTTCCCTACTGAAAAGGCCAATGTCAAAAATTACAAAACCAGCCAATTATTCTGACATTCAAATTTATGAAACTGAGTTACAATTCCTGGTTCTCAAAATAATTGCTTCTTATCCTAAGACCAGTCAACGGCAAACAAAAATATTTGTCTATACATACGGTGTATGTATAAAAGCAGACATACATCTATAAATGCTTCATAATTTTGAATCTTGTTTATGAACTTACCAATTTTAAGTCTCCACAACTATTGGCAATACAGCTTTCTTCTACCAACTCATTTACTTCCTTCTCTAATTGCTTTATTTTTTCCTCTGGGCTATTAAAGACAAAAGCAGGTACAATTTAAATCATTCAACCTCTAAAAATCTATACTAAAATTTATTTTATTTTATTTTATTTTATTTTATTTTACAGACAAGGTCTTACTTGGTTGCCCAGGACGGAGTGCAGTGGCACAATCATAGCTCACTGCAGCCTGTAGTCTTGACTCCTGGGCTCAGGTCATCTCCTCCCACCTCAGCCTCTCAAGTAGCTAGGACTACAGGTGCATGCCACCATACATGAATAATTTTGTTTTTGTTTTTTGTAGTGACAGAGTCTCCTCATCTTGCCCAGGGAGGCTGGTCTTAAACTCCAGGCCTCAAGCGATCCTCCCTCCTCAGCCTCCCAAAGTGCTGGGATTACAGGTGTGAGCCACAACACCCAGCCTAATTTACTTTCAACATTGAACAATGTGCATTTAAACTTCAAGAATAGTTATAGATAAGACAAATGTATACATGGTATTAAAGAGCAAATGTAGTACTGTTTTTAACAACTACATCATGTAATTATTCATAATAGTAAAATAATAACAACAGTCAAGGTAGGTAACATGGCCAGGCGTGGTGGCTCCTGCCTGTAATCCCAGCACTTTGGGAGGCTGAGGCAGGTAGATCACTTGAGGTCAGGAGTTTGAGACCAGCATGGCCAACATGGTGAAACCCTGCCTCTACTAAAAATACAAAAATTAGCCAGGTGTTGGGGCAGGCACCTATAATCCCAGCTACTTGGGAGGCTGAGGCAGGAGAATATTGCTTGAACCTGGGAGACAGAGGTTGCAGTGAGTGATATTGCGCCACTGCACTCCATACTCCAGCCTGGGTGACAGAGCAAGACTCTGCCTCAAAAAAATAAAAAAAAATAAAAATAAACGACAGGTTCTTGCTATGTTGCCCAGGCTAGAGTGCAGTGGCTATTTACAGGCACAATCATAATGCACTACGGCTTGAACTCTTGGGCTTAAGCGATCTTTCTGCCTCAGCCTCCTGAGTAGTTGACACTATAGGCGTGCACCACCATGCCTGGCCATAGAGAAAGTTTCTAATGAGGTGAAGAAGTTTAAAAATCCTGGCTCTATTAATAGCAAATCAAGTATTCCCAAATCAGTTACCTTTCAAAATAACAGTAATGTTGTTTTGCTACCACTTTCTTTTGGCAAAATACAACAATACTCTGAATACACATCAATGCCTAAATAAAATTTTACTACTGCTATATCAGAATAGATAGTAGTTCTCTTAATTCTCTACAAATGGATTTTATAAAAGTATATAGAAATAAATTGAGCAGCATAACTTTTTCTATAAAATTATATTCTTTGAGGAAACCTGGGACTAAGACTACAAAGTTTATTAGTTTATAAAGATCTGTAAAATTCTAACTGAGCAGTAAGCATAATAGATGGTAGTTTTATGAAGGTTACATGAAGTATAGAATTCTATTTTCTAGTTGTCTGAAACACTTGAATGTATGTCTTAAATGTTGCTTACAGATTTTATTATTAAATTCAAAATATCAACATAGAATTTTAAACTTAAAAATCTGTAAGAGAACTTTATGAAGACACTGAAAGTAACTTACCCTGTCCCTATCAAATGCAAAAAAAATGCAATCTATATTCAGGCACTGTTGGCTACCTACCCACACAGAGCCTGCCACCCGCCCTTCTTCTTTGCATGCAGAATCTAAGCAAGTCAAGAGAATCTCATTCTCTTTGCCAAGTGTTTGGTTCAGCCACGAGCATTTGATGCATTCCACACTGAGAAATGAAGGCATATCTGCTTCAGGTACAGGGCTGCTAGAAAGATCTTCTTGGCTTTTTAAGAGACCTAAGACTAGGAACATTCTGCCTCTAGACTATATCAGTTACATGGAGATTTTGAACTCTCAACACTCTCTTGGCATCATAATGATCGGCAGGCGCTTGGGGAAAGCCAAGGGAAACAAAGAGAAGCTGGACCAGGGATGATGTTACTGAGCAGTTAAATTAACCATCCCCAGAACTTCCCTTCCTCCAGACTTCCTATTATGTGAGATAATAAATTTTCTTGTTAATTATGTATATGTCTTTTTTTTTTTTTTAAGTCTTTCTTTGAGACAGGGTCTCGCTCTGTCACCCAGGCTGTGGTGCAGTGGTATGATTACAGCTCACTGCAGCTACCACCTCCTGGGCTCAAGCCATCCTCCCACCTCAGCCTTCTGAGTAGCTGGAGCTACAGGTGTGTGCCACCATACCCAGCTAATTTTTTAATTTTTTTGTAGAGACGGGGTCTCGCTATGTTGCCCAGGCTAGTCTTGAACTCCTGGGCTCAAGTGATCCTCTCACCTTGGCCTCCCAAAAGGCTGAGATTATAGGCATGAGCCACCACGCCCGGCCTGTGTCCTTACTTTTTTTTAAACATGTTTTCTGTTATTAGCAGCCAAAAGGACCATGAATGACATAATATTTAAATAAAAAATGCTTTTATTAGCTAATGTGCTGTCATTAATTAAGATAAAAAATAACATGATTTTCTATAGAGGTTCCTTGCTAGTCAAAAATGGAAATTATGTAATTTACACGAAAGCCTAAATACTGGGTTTAAGAATTACAATTTAAATAAAAAAAAGAAACAAAAAAAAAGAATTACAATTTAAAAACATATATTCTATAGAAGCAAAACAGTATAGTGACTAATTCCAGTTCTAGTTCCAGAGCCCAAGCTCTGGAACTAGAAAAACTGGGTTTGAATCTAAGCCTTGTCATTTACTAGCCTTAGAAAGTTAAGATAGCTGGGCTTCAGCTCCCCTCTTTATAAACTAGTGAGAATAATAGCTCTGTTTTCATAGGGAAAGTACTTGGAAAAGTGCCTGGCACACAGCAAGGACTCAGTTAATGTTAGCTTTTATTACTATTTGTAAAATGTATACATCAAGGTACTTGGATACCAGCAGATGTATATAATTAAATGTATACCATAGCTTTTTGGCTACTGTCTAGCCACTAGCACTAAATTAAGTTTGTTCTATAAAAAATTAAATTTCTCAATAATATGACACATTAATTTCATATGTGTTCTCTTAATTTTTTCCCTTGAAATGTCCTCTCAAGATAATCATATCTTACAACATTTACAACCCCATTTGGCTGTCAGGAGACTCAATACTGGCCCTGATAAAAAATTAGACCATATCTTCAAGTCATATAATATCACAATAAAATTGCACAGAATACATATGGCTATTCTTAATTTTGTTAGTTCTGGCAACTAGGGATGATTTTTTGTTTACTACTCTGCTGACACAAACTTTTTAAAGATTAAGAATTATGTAATTCTTATGGAATTCACATAATTATGTAATTCTTATGGAAGTCACATAATTATGTAATTATGTGAGCTGGTGTGGTGGCTCACGCCTGTAATGCCAACACTTTGGGAGGCTGAGGTCGGCAGATCATTTGAGATTGGGAGTTCGAGACCAGCCTAGCCAGCATGGCAAAACCCCATCTCTACCAAAAATACAAAAATTATCTGGATGTAGTCGCAGGCACCTGTAATCCCAGCTACTCAGGAGGCTAAGACAGAAGAATCGCTTGAACCTGGGAGATGAAGGTTGCAGTGAGCCAAGATCGCATCACTGCACTCCAGCCTGGGCAACAGAGTGAGATATCATCTCAAAAAAAAAAATTGTGTATTTGGAAAATAAAAATTTAAAATATGCAGCAACAACAACAAACAACAACATAAGGACTTACATACCTATCTTTTTTCTTGGCTTCCAAAGGGGAAGCAGGGCCCCTTGACTGACTAAGGGGGTCAAATGCAGAGCCTGAGACACAATTCAAGAGTTAATATTCAATTTGTAACTCAGCAAAATCGAAGAATATATGAAAATATAAAACCTCGCATAAGCTATTTCATTTACCTCTTTATTAAATGGTTTCAATTATCTATTTATTAAATGGAGATAACATTGTGTCTACATAAACATTTCATATACTGGGAAATTGGTAAGATTTTTAACACACATAAAGCTATGTAAATAATACGTGTGTTAAACTTAAAAACAAAAATAAGATATTCTCAGCATTTACTTTCTCTTCCACAGTGATCTATCTCTATTATCAACTCTAAATTATCAGTCACATGTCTTATAACCTGCTATTGGCTTTTTAATTTTCCTTATTGGCATACCAAACATTAATTTTTGTTATAATTTTATTTTTAAATTATCATTTAACTTTTTACATATTATTTCAATGCATTTTGACAAATTACACCATGGTTTAATTACCACCCCAACAGATATGTAGAAGGTTTTCATCATCCTTTTCCTTTCTTAATGGTACCTAAAATATCAGTGCATCTTATAATCAATGGCATTGTTAGATTTTATTTAAAATGACAGTAATATTTATATCACAAAATGATAAAAGATTAAAAGATCCAAAAAAGATTATTAGTAGAGACAGTGTAACAAACCTCTCAAAGCTGCTTTGGTAAAACCAGCTGCTCTCACTGCTGTCATGGGTCTAGTAACTCCATCCTTTAAAGAGAATGGGAATCATTTATTCTTAAATAAGATCTATCTCCTATGTACAGTTCTGCACATTACACACACCTTAATATAGCCCTATTTAAAAAAATGCTGATTTTCAATCACTATACGTTTACTCCTTACTTCTACCTCCTCATGTATCAATCATGTCCTCTCTCACCTTTACAATTTCAATTCTTTGATGTAATTGGGCTATAGTTTTAAAAAAAATTAATCAGCTTATTAGCCAGCTACTCTCTTACTTTTGGTTGGTCTCTTACATGCCTATGAGAGAAACCACAGAAATTGTTGTAAATGGTAACAGGAAAAATGGGCCCCAGAATACATCATATAAGCAATTATCAGTTCTATGTCCACACCCCAATGGGAATTCATTTGATACCTGAGTAAATAAATCTAAAGAGACTTCGCCTTCAAAGATTTACAACAGTGTAGACTTTAGCCCACAATTTAAAGAATCTGGGTCACTATATAAGTAATATCTTCTTTAACATTTTAAAATAATATAATAAAGTAAAAAAACTTTGGTAGTAAATTCCAAGTCACAAGAAAGGCACAAAATGAACATGCATCCAATAGAGATACCTGAATAGCCCCTGTCATTGGTCTTCCTATTGATGATGCCAGAGATGTCTTGGACTAGTAAACAGAAAAGTTAAGTTAAAAAGATTCCTAAAAATATCTGCCTTAAATGTTTAAACCAAGTTATAGAAGTTTTCTTCATTCTATCGGCAAATAAACAAACATAATTTATTCCTTGTACCTCCTGGGCGTATAGGGTAAAACCATAAAACTATAAAACAGGGAGCAGCAAACTACAACCCATGGTCTTTGTAAATAAAGTTTTACTGGAACATAGCCATGCCCCATTCCTTTGCACATTGCCTGTGGCTGCTTTTGCTTTACAAATGCAGAGTTGGATAGTAGCAACAGAGAACATATGATCTGCAAAGCCTAAAATATCTAGCCCTTCATGGAAAAAGTTTGCTCTTTTTCTGAAACACCACCAAAAATCAAATTTATGAGTAATACACACTCAGGCTAACTAATAAAAGCATGTTTAATATGACACACGTTTATATTATGTACAAGGCTACTTTCTTCACTCATATAAAGGAACATTATAAAGGCAAGTGCCCTGGACCTCTAGGTTCTGAAGATATTTTTTTGACTAAGAAAAGCTATTCCACCTAATTCTTCCATTTTTCTCATTCCTGTTATTTCATATAAGCTAAAACATCCAAATTACAGGTAATTTGAACAAGATTAAAAAGTTTATAACTTTTATAGAGTTTGATATATCTTTCCTCCAAAGGCTTCTAATATAAGACCCAAATACACACTTCTGAAACACTTTTCTTACATTTTATATTTGTTAATTAGTAAATGTTTCCCAATTATATACACTATTACATTTATGTAAAATCTAACTTCACATAAAATATATGAATGGAATACACGAGACTTGGTTGTATCATGTAGAAAATGAAAGGACGTCAACGAACACAGGGTTTACAAATGGAAAAAGGTTAATAAAATATTTTCCAATACTTACAAATCAAAATGACAATATTCAAATTTATTAATCACACTAGACTTGTATAATGTTTGTAAGTATCCAAAATAGAAAATATATTTGGATTATGACCTAAGATATAATAAAATTATTCAGAACTGCCTAAAGTGAACTATTGTATGAGAAAAAGCATCTTAATATTTTCAGCTTACAAAAACCTACCCCATATCCAGTAGCTATAGGTCTAGTAACTGCCGTGCTTGATATTTTAGCAGTTATCTTGGGGAGGAAAAAGAACATAGTTAACAGGATTCAGACTGAGCTATATAATAGAAAACTGGAAAAGAAATAGAAAATATAGACTCATAAATAAAGAAATATTTATATAATACTTAGAATGATTTCTTTTAAATTATCTTAAATATTAGGGAGCTCAGGTATTTTAATTATGTGAGAAGGAGACTCATTCTGGAATTCATTTTAAAGGAGAAAGGGGACTTTTGAACGATCTGAGGTGCCGATAAGAAAGATTTGTTTTCATGCTTGCAACCATCACGAATTAAACATTTTATTGCATAATTATTACTGCTAGCCACTAGGCCAAACAATAGACACAAGATTTGGGGTCTGAGAACTTGGGTTTGAATCTCAGCTATCCCTATAACAGATACCTTTATTTAATCTCTTTGAACCTACAGTTTTCTCATCTTTTAAATAAGAATACAAAGTATACGGATCACAAAATTGTAGTTAGAATCAAATAGGAGCACATCGATGAAAGTATACTAAAAATGTTAGTTGTTAGGCAGAACTGTTAGAAATATTTATTAAATATCACTCACAGAGGAATTCTACTTTCAGCTATGATGGACTGTTTTTAAAAACCTTCTCATTAAGAACTATTAAAAAATATACATGGGGTCAAAATATTTTTTTTTAAGTGTGAATACATTAGAGACCCAACAAGACAGTGAAGAATTACAAGGTCTGAAAATAACGAAGAGATGGGAAGGCTAGAGAGGTGAGCCCACATTTAGGCCTGCTTTCCTCCTAGAGGCATCTGTTAATTCCAAAGACAAGTCTGAGACACTGGACACAGCTTTTGAGACTCACAGCCTGAAGGGATAAACACTGGTGATGAGGGCCTGCCAAGAACGCAGCCCCGGTAATCCTCCAGGCTTCAGATTGTGATCTCAAAAGGCTACACCCTAAGACTAAAAGGTAAATAATAGTATACTAGCCCTCATAAGGGCTGACATCCAATTCAGAATCATCTCAAACCCGACTGGATTAAGGTGACCATGGATTCCTACTGCTGCTAGTACCATAAGTAAAAGTAAATTCTCTCCAGTGAAAGATAAGATCCTCTAGCACTGTGCTATCCAATAAACTTTCTGTAGTGATGTAAAAGTTCTATATCTGCCCTTTCTGATAAGACAGCCATTGGCCACACAAGGCTGTTAAACATATGAAATGTAAGTAGTACAACAAGAATTTATTTATTTTAGTTTTAAATAATGTAAATGTAAATAGTTTCATGTGGCTAGTGTCTCTCATACTGAGTAGTGCAGACATAGAGCCATAAAGTATCTCTAAAATTTTTCATTTATAATGTCTCTCAATTAAAACCAACCAGACATACAAGAGGCAAGACTACCTAACCAAAAGCCAAGATAAACAAAAGAATAGAAAGAAACTCAGAAGTGGGTACATATAATGCAAATATCACACATAGACTTTAACATAACTATGCTTAACATGATCAATAAATTAAAAGATTAGTAATAGCAACGGAAAATGAACTAAAAACTATAAAAAAGGAATATACATGGAAATTCTAGAACTGAAAAATAGCTAAAAATAATATAAAATCCTGGCACTGTCCAGGCAGTAGTAAAACTGTTAATTTATACTAGACTTTAAAAAGTTAGAGATGAGTATCATAATATTTAGGGAAACACTAAAAGAATAGTCAGAGAACGTAAACTACCAAGATAACAGAAAAAGAAAATGGAATAATAAAAAACAAGCAAAAAAGAAGGCAAGTAAGGAGAGAAAATGAAATATACAAGAGCCAGGAAAAAAAAAAAAAAGCAAATAGTAAGATAGCAAATTTAAAGGAAATCAGTAACTTCATTAAATGTAAGTGGAATAAATACTTAACTAAAATAATAAGATTGTTAGACTATTAAAAAAATAAAAACCAATCACACGCTGCTAATAAGAATTACATTTTAAATAAATTGATACGGAAAAGTTGGAAGTAAAAAGACAGGAAAGACATACAATAAAAATGCTAGACAAAGAGCTTGTATAGCTATAACAACATATTAATATCTTACAAACAGACAAAAAGCATTACTAGAGATAGAGGCATACTTCATAACAATATAAGGCTCAGTTTACTATGAAAATATAGCAATTCTAAATATCTTTGCTCCATATATATAAAGCAAAAACCTAAAAAAAATACAAACCCACAACGAGAGTACAAGAATTGATCACGCTTTCTCATTAAAAATAGAACCAGTAGGCCAGACGCAGTGGCTCATGCTTGTAATCCCAGCACTTTGGGACACTGAGGTGGGTGGATCACCTGAGGTCAGGAATTCAAGACCAGCCTGACTAACATGGTGAAACTCCGTCTTTACTAAAAATACAAAAATTAGCCAGGTGTGGTGGCTCACGCCTGTAGTCTCAGCTACTCAGGAGGCTGAGGCCCGAGAATTGCTTGAACCCAGGAGGTGGACGTTGCAGTGAGCCAAGGTCATGCCACTGTACTCCAGCCTGGGCAAAAGAGTGAGACTTGGTCTCAGAAAGAAAGAAAAAAAAAAAGCAGTAGGCAAACAAAATATCAGTAAAAATATTGAACATCTAAACAAAACCATTAACACACTTTACCTAATTGACATATTACACTGTACCCATCGTGGAACATATATATTCTTCAAGAATGCATTTGGGACATTAACAGATTTCAAAAAATTGAAAGCATACAGATTATGTTCCCTATCTAAGAATAAAACTAGAAATCAGTAACACAGAGATAACTAGAAAAATGTATTGTTTGGAAATTAAATATACTTCTAAATAACCCACAGGTCAAAGAAGAAATACCCATGGAAATTAGAAAATATTTTGAACTAAATCATAAGGAAAATGTAATTAGAGGTTAAAAAAAATGGGAAAAAACATACATATATGTTAATTCTGTAGGAAAACAAATGTCTGAATTGTAGGTGATAACATATAAAGTTGTTAGGTGAACTTTAGACATTGGAAGGTATTTTAATTTGTATACATGTTTCAGGGCTTAAACTCATGCTTGATAAGATTGGCTCCAGGTCTTAAGAAAAAACTGAAAAGGAAGGATATGGGTCTCTGCAACTTCTTCCATGAGAACCAACTGAGGGGAAGACCATTATTTTTTTAACTACTGCCTAATGACTAAATCTCATTTTTGTGTTTTGTTGTTAGCATTGGGCAGCTCCTACACTCTCTTCCCTCATTCATCTTGTACCCTTATCTGCAATGCCCTTTTCTCCTGATCTCAAGGTCAATCTCAATTCTACATATCCCGTAATAATCAACTCTTAATTTATCTTCTAAGCAATCTCTTCTGACTTTCCCAACTAGTGGTAAATAACCTCTCTTTTAAATTCCACAGCAATTTATACTCTTTTATTATAATTTATTACTTCATGCCTTGTAATATCTAAGTGTGTCCATTTAATTTGCCTTCTGAAGACTGTAAGCTCCTTAGGAGCAACCTAGAATTTTGTCCTCTTAAGTGAACCTGTAAGATGTTTCATATGACAAGTATAAAACTTTTTCCCATGTAATATAACAAGTAGGATGTGATGAAAATATCATTCAACAGAGGATCAAATGACCCACACACTATCCCAGTTACAGATAACTGTGAGACCTTGGCTTTTCTAGGCTTCAGTTTCCTCATCTATAAAATAAGAATCTCCAAAGTCATTTCTAAAGATCTTTTGAAGGCCCACCTGGCAAAATTATCACCTGTTACGTGATCCCTGAAATCACTTAATTAAAGACAAAGTTCACTGATTTACTAAGTTAGTCAATAAAGATGTATGGAACACTTAAGTAGACAAGCAAAAGAATGATGAATAAGATAATCTGCCTCTTTGAAAAGCTTACAGTCTAATCACTAGCCTAGTGCAAGGACTCAGAGCCTATGGTTTTTCTTCCCGTAATGAAGGTAACTTCAAAATTAAAATATGGGTTGTAAAAGAATTAAACAAATAAATAAAATATGGGTTTTAGAATGTGTAGTGAAGAATTAACTTTACTCAAAGAGAGGTCTGGCCTCTGTTGTTGGCTCCTAGGAAATGATTTCTACACCCCTGAAATGCTCTGCCTGACGGGAGTGTCTTTGTTTGCCCTGGCTTTGGCCACTGGTCAGTCTATCAATGTGATTCACAATGGGAGCTTTGGGACACATCAGCTTCTGGAGTTACTAGCCTGAACCTCCGGGACTAGAGACTAAAGGTTGGCCTGGTGGGTGGTATGTGATCAAGCCTCAGTAAAAACTCTGAATGCCAAAGTCTAGAGTAGGATTCCCTGGTTGGCAATACTCTTCAAGTACTGTCACACTGTGGTTAGGAAAAGGTACTGCCATGTCTTGCTCCACAGGGAGAGGACAATCAGAAGCTCTCTGTTTGGACCACTCCTAGGCCCTGCTCTATGCATCTCTTCCCTTGGTGGATTTTAATTTGTATCTTTCCCATGATTAAACTGTAAGTATAGGAGATTTCAGTGAGTTCTTTGAGTCTTTCCAGAGAATTATCAAGCCTGAGGATGGTTCTGGGAACCATGAACTTGCAGTTGGTGTCAGAAGTGGGAGTGGTCTTGTGGAGGACTGACTGTGTCCTCTACCTGTGCAGTGATTTAGCCAAACTCATTGCAAGGAACCACACTAAATGCATTTACCCCAAATGAGATGGGCAAGCTACTCACAATGATTTATTTTTGCTAGATAAGTACGTAGGACAGGGAGGACGGGAGAACATGACAAAGTGAGGGAAGATAACAGCAGAAGGACACTTCATCTAAAGCAAAGGAGTTTCGGCTGGATAGCTCTTTATTACCGGGGGCTGCCCTATGCATTGTAGAATGGTTAGCAGCATCTCTGGCTGCTACCCACTAGGTGCCAGTAGCACCCACTCAAGTTGTGACAACTGAAAATATCTCTCCAAGCATTGCTCAATGTCCCTGGTGGGGGGGCACAAGTGCCCCCCGCTGAGAGCCACTGCTGTATAGTATTAGATAGGTAGGGAGAAGCAGCATTCCAAAAAGGAATATTAGACATAGAACATTAGGGATAGAACTTTCTCTACTTCACTACTGAGTGTCAACCTTGTTTATTTTCAACTACAAACAAAGCTTGGCAGATTTCATGCACTGTGAAAGGCAGATGTCTATGCTTTGTATGACACATACAAAAACCTTAATACTAATACTGAAAAAAACTACTCTAGCAATTCATGTACTCGTAGAAAATTAATTGAGTATTAATTAATATTAATACAAGGAAGGGTAATCTGTAAATTAAGCCCCAATGTTTTGAGGGATCAATATTTATGCCACTTTAAAAATTAGAAAAGCAAATATTTTTAAAACAATGAATTTTTAGGTAAACAATATTCTGATGCCTAATAAAAATATTTAGTTTGAATAACATAAGAAATCATTTGATCTCAAATACTTTAAAATTCACTTACTAGATACACTGAAAACTACAAAACATTGATGAATTAAAGAAGACATAAACAAATGGAAAGGCATCCTGTGTTCATAGGTTCATAGACTGAAAGACTTAATATTGTTAAGATGTCCATACCACCCAGTGTATTCAATACAATCCTTATCAAATCCTTACTATCCAAATGACATTTTTTTTTTTTACAGAAATAGAGATTCATCCTAAAATTCATATGGAATATCAAGGGACCCCAAGTAGCTAAAACAACTGTGAAAAAGAACAAAGTTGGAAGGTTCACATTTCCTGATTTTAAAACATATTATAAAGCTACACTAATCAAAACAGTGTGGTTACTGGCATAAAGGCAGACAAATAGACCAATAGAACAGCATAGAAAGCCCAGAAACAAACCCTTACATATATGGTTAAATGATCTTCAACAATGGTACCAAGACCATTCAACAGGGAAGGGACGGTCTGTACAGCAAATAGTGTTGGGAGAACTAAATATCCATGTGCAAAATAATGAATTTGGACCTTTATCTTATACCATATATAAAAATGAACACAAAATGGATTAAACATCTAAAGGTAAGACCTAAAACTACAAAAAATGCTAGAAGAAAACATAGGGGAAAAGCTTCATGACATTGTTCTTGGCAATTATTTCTTGAATATGACACCAAAAGCACAAGCAACACAAGTAAAGATGGACAATTGGGACTACATCAAACTAAAAAACTTTGGTGTATCAAAGGACACATCAGTGTGAAAAGCAATCTACAAAATGAAAGAAAATATTTGCAAATCAGACATCTGATAAGACATTAATATCCAGAATATATAGAGAACTCCTACAACTGAATAACAAAAATGAACAAGTGTTCATTGACAGATGAATGAATAAACAAAATGTGGTATAAACATACAATGGAATACTATTCAAACTTAAAAAGGAAGGAGATTCTGTCACATGCTACAACATGGATGAACCTTGAGGACATTATACTAAGTGAATAAGCCAGTCACAAAAAGACAAATACTCTGAGACTCCACTTATGTAAGGTATCTAAATTAGTCAAATTCATAGAAATAGAAAGTAGAATGGTAGTTACAGGAGCTTTGGAAGTAGGAGAAAATGGGAAGTTTTTGTTTAATGGATACAGACTTTCATATATACAAGATGAAAAACTTCTGAAGATCTGTTTCACTACCATCTAAACTTAATGATGGTTATAATCTTTAACACTACAGGAATATACAGGTGAAAATGGTTAATCTGGTAAATTTCATGTTATGTATTTTTTACCACAATTTAAAAAAAATTTTTTTCACTTACTGGAGGTCTTCTGCCATGACTAGTCCTCACAGCTTGCTGAAAAGCTGCATCATTCTCCAATTCCTAAAATGAAAACGCAAATTTAACATTCAACACAGAGTAAGAATTGGGGGAAAAAATAAGTTTAAACTGCTGTTTGGTACTCAAGAGCCTCTATAACTCATCTATTGCCAACTGTTGACATCTAGGACTCCTACCTCAAATCTCCCCACTTCACACTACCCAGAATAGCAAACCTCCTTCCTCTCCCAGAATGAGGAGTACCGGTCATGTTAGTCAATTTTATGGACATCTTATTGGCTACAGTTTTAATGAGTGGTATCACAGTGCCGGGTTGAAACATCAAGTATACAAGGATGTGGCCTTTCTTCTGTTTCTTTTTTCCTGGTGGCTTGGAATTGGAGATTTACATCTCTCTTTCTCTCTCTCTCCCCACCATCCCCCTGTCTTTCTCCTCTTCTCCCACCCTACCTCAGGATAGAAAAGGCCATATTTTCTACAAGCAGGGGGCACTCTCTTTGGTGCCATTTCCATCTGCCCAAATGAAAAGGATTTTTCATCTCACTGGAGAGGTCAAGTCTGAGACGCAGACTGGAGCTAATCTAAGCAAATGGGGGGGCTCAACAAGTCCAACCTGCACTGCCATTTGGAATCAACATCTCAGTAGAAATAAAATGTTATTTTGCTTTGCTGATTCCTGAAATGTACTTACATTCCCCTTCAGGAAATTTGAGGAAAAGAACAGTAATCAAGGGCAGGATATAAGGGTTCCTGTGTTTCCTGAACAAAATACCATTTTTATAGTCTCTCAAAAGCACCCAGTCTCACCAACAGTCAATCTTCCAACCATCCCGTATTTCCTACTTCCCCTTCTCTAACACACACTCCGGCTTTAACCCTTCAGACACATTAAATGCAGTTCTCATCCTTGCCTCTGATTTATTTCAATCTACTTCCCACAAAAATACACACTTGTCAATTATTTTAAAAATAAACAATACAAAAAAAAATAAAGTCACTATCAATTAACTTTTTAAAAATTTGAAAATAATCAAAATAAAATGTTTATATTACCAGGATGCTAATACAGTGCTTTTAAAACACAGTTTTATTGCATACAAGTCTTCTTAATTTTTACTTTAAATTATCTTTTTTTTTTTTTTTTTTGAGACAGGGTTTCACTCCAACCTCCAAGCTGGAGTACAGTGGTGCGATCACAGCTCACCGCAGCCTCAACTTCCCAGGCTCAGGTGATTGTCCCACCTCAGTCTCCCTAGGAGCTGGGACTACAGGCACACACTACCACAACCTGCTAATTTTTGTATTTTTTTAGAGACAGGATTTTGCCGTGTTACCCAGGCTGGTCTCAAACTGAGCTCAAGTGATCCACCCCTGAGCCTCCTAAAGGGATTACAGGCATAAGCCGCTGTGCCCAGCCTAAATTATCCTTGTAACCTTCCATATCAACTACATAAAATTACACGATTCTCAGTTACCCATAGAAACTAAAGACTTTTGAATGAAGTATAAATCCAAAGGTAACCTTCAACATAATTTATTATACTTCTACTTTAGCAGATCTTTGGGTAAAAAAATTTCCCTTAAGATTCCTAAATTATTAGTAAAATTTGGTTAATCAGCTCAGTAAATCCTAACTAAATGACAAACTAAAAAGGACAGTCAACAAATTCTCCAATTACAAACACCAAACTTATACAACTTTTGGAACTCTTTGCCACTTTGTTAACAAATTGCATCTTCTATGAATATCTTAAGCCACTGCTGCAAGTAATTCATTTATTTATTGAACTTGTTATTATTACAGTTAAGATCAAAGAAAACCAAGCATAAGCCAAAAATTATTTTTACTTCACTGTCTAATTTATTTTTGGGTCTGATATTCTGAGTATTCACTTCACATTAAATTATGCAGCCACAGTGCAACAACCTGAGGAGGTAGGAAGTGTCCCTGGTGCTTTAAAAATAATAATCTTCAGGCCGGGGCGGTGGCTCATGCCTGTAATCCCAGAACTTTGGGAGGCTGAGGTGGGCGGATCATGAAGTCAGGAGATCGAGACCATCCTGGCTAACACGGTGAAACCTCATCTCTACTAAAAATACAAAAAATTAGCCAGGCGTGGTGGCGGGCGCCTGTAGTCCCAGCTACTCAGGAGGCTGAGGCAGGAGAATGGCATGAACCTGGGAGGCGGAGCTTACAATGAGCAGAGGTCGCGCCAATGCACTCCACCCTGGGCTACAGAGCGAGACTCCATCTCAAAAAAAAAAAAAAAAAAAGAAAAAAGAAAATCTTCATGATCCATGATCCATTAATTCCATTTCTGGGACTCTATCCCAGGTAGTGTTTGATCAAAACATAGAAAATTATTTATGCATAAATTTTTTCACTACAATGTTATCTACAATAGCAGAAAACAGGAAAAAATATCCTATCATGAGAAAATACTTCTTTAGGTTTTTTTATTTTTTTTGAGAGGGACTCTTGCTCTGTTGTGCAATGGCGTGATCTTGGCTCATTGTGCAATGGCGTGATCTTGGCTCACTGCCACCTCCACCTGCTGGGTTCAAGCTATTCTCCTGCCTCAGCCTTCCAAGCAGCTGAGATTACAGGTGCCCGCCACCACGGCTGGCTAATTTTTGTATTTTAGTAGAGACAGAACTTCACCATGTTGGTCAGGCTGGTCTTGAACTCCGGACCTCAGATGATCTGCCCACCTCAGCCTCCCAAAATGCTGGGATTATAGGTGTGAGTCCCCGCGTCTGGCAGAGAAAATACTTCTAATCACCTATATATTTTCAATATTATGTAGTCATTAAAGTAATATTCAAATATTTAGTATCATGAGACACTGCTTATGATGTAGTTGAATGTAAAAAAGTAAACAGAAAAGTAATTACTAGTTCAATTCCAAACATACTAAAAGAAAATTGTGTATGTATACATGAAGGAAAGACAAAGCACAAAAATGTTTAAAATGTTGACAGTAGTTATTTCTTGAGTGATGGGATTACTAGTTTTTGTTTCCATAAGCATTTCTTAATTTTATAATTGGGAGAATGAGGAGGTTTCAATGGTTTTCCTGATTTATACTAAATTCCCTTGAAGGAAAGAACCCAGCCATGGCAGGATTCGTCACTGCTGAATAAAGGGCCCTTGGGTCCTGAATAATCAGCAGCAATAACCAGGTAGTACATACAGTGGGACTTGGGTGAGACTCTGAGATCTACTGGTTTCAGGTGTGACCCAGCACATTCACAGCTGTGGTGGCTACAAAGAGAGACTGCTTCTGTTTGAGATGAGAAGAGGGGAGAGTAAAGGGGACTTTGTCTTGCAACTTAGGTATCAGCTCAGCCACAGTGGGTTAGAGCATCAAGTGGGTTCTTAGGGTCCCTGATTCCAGGCCTTGGCTCTTGGGTAGCATTTCTGGACCTACCCTGAGCCAGAGGGACACCCACTGCCTTGAAGGGTGAGTCCCAGGCCTGGCAGAATTCACCAAAACCTGAAGGAATAGCCCTTGGGCCTTAAGTAAACATTGGCGATACCCTGGTAGTACTCTCTGCGGGTCTGTTGTGGTGACAGACACAGGAGAGAATCTGCTGCCTGGGGAAAAGGGTGGAAAGAGTGGAAAGGACTTTGTCTTACGGTTCAGTGCCAGCTCAGCAGCAGCAGAAGAATAGAGCACCAAGCAAATTTCTAAGGATTCTGACTCCAGGCCCTGGCTCCCAGACAGCATCTCTGGACCCACCCAGGGCCCAGGGGAACTGGTTGACTTAAGGGAAGGATACAAGCCTGGCTGGTTTCACCAAAAGCTGTGGGATACAGTGAAAACAGTATTAAGAGAGAAGTTTATAGTTATAAGTGTTTACATCAAAAAAGAAGAAAAACTTCAAATAACCTAATGATGCATCTCGAACTAGAAAAGCAAAGCAAACCAAACCCAAAGAAAATAATAAATATCAGAGCAGAATAAATGAAAATGAATCAAAGACAACAATACAAAAGATCAACAAAACAAAAAGTTGGTTTTGTGAAAAGATAAAATTGACAAACCGTTAGCCAGACTAACTACAAAGAAAGAGAGAAGACCAAAATAAGTAAAATCAGAGATAAAAAAGGGACATTACAACTGATACCATAGAAATGTGAAGGATCGGCTGGATGCGGTGGCTCACACCTGTAATCCCAGCACTTTGGGAGGCCTAGGCAGGCAGATCTTCTGAGGTCAGCAGTTCAAGACCAGCCGAACCAACATGGTAAAACCTCATCTCTACTAAAAATACATCATTAGCCGGGCGTGGTGGCACATGCCTGTAATCCCAGCTACTTGGGAGGCTGAGGCAGGAGAATCACTTGAACCCAGGAAGCAGAGGTTGCAGTGAGCTGAGATTGCACCATTTCACTCCAGCCTGGGCAACCAGAGCGAGACTCTGTCTCAAACAACAACAACTACAACAAAACCAGAAATTTGAAGGATCATTAGAAGCTACTATGAGCACCTATATACCAATAAATTGAAAACCTAGAAGAAAGAGATAAATTCCTAGACATATACAACCTACCAAGATTGAACCATGAAGAAATCCAAAACCTGAACAGACCAATAAGAAGTAACAAGACTGAAAAAAAAAAAAAAAAAAAAAAAGTAACAAGACTGGGCCAGGCTCAATGACTCACGCCTGTAATCCCAGCACTTTGGGAGGCCGAGGCGGGCTGATCATGAGGTCAGGAGATCGAGACCATCCTGGCTAACACGGTGAAACTCTGTCTCTACTAAAAAAAATACAAAAAATTAGCCAGGCGTGGTGGCAGGCACCTGTGGTCCCAGCTACTCGGGAGGCTGAGGCAAGAGGATGGCGTGAACCTGGGAGGCAGAGCTTGCAGTGAGCTGAGATTGCACCACTGCACTCCAGCCTGGGCTACAGAGTGAGACTCCATCTGAAAAAAAAAAAAAAAAAAAAAAAAAAAAGAAGTAACAAGACTGAAGCCACAATAAAAAGTCTCCCAGCAAAGAAAAGCTCGGCACCTGATGGCTTCACTGCTGAATTTTACCAGACATTTAAAGAAGAACTAATATAAATCCTACTCAAATTACTCCAAAAAACAGAGAAAGAGGAAATACTTCCAAACTCATTCTATAAGGCCAGTATTACCGATACCAAAACCTGACAAAGATGCATCAAAGAAAGAAAATTATAGACCAACATCCCTGATGAACATTGATGCAAAAATCCTCAATAAAACACTAGCAAACCAAATCCAACAATACATTAGAAAGATCATTCATCATCACCAAGTGGGATTTAGCCCAGGGATGCAAGGATGGTTCAACTTATGCAAATCAATCAATGTAATACATCATATCGACAGAATAAAGAACAAAAACCACATGATCATTTCAACTGATGCTGAAAAAGCATTAGGTAAAATTCAACATCCCTTCATAAAAACCCTAAAAAAAAACTGTGTATAGAAGAAACATACCTCAACGTGAAAAAAGTCATGTAACAGACTCACAACTAATATACTGAATGAAAAAAAACTGAAAGCCTTTCCTTTAAGATCTGGAACATGCCAAGGATGACCACTGTCACCACTGTTATTCAACATAGTACTGGAAATCCTAGCTAGTGCAATCAGGCAAGAGAAAGAAATAAAGGGCATCCAAACCAGAAAGGAAAAAGTCAAATTACCCTAGTTTATAGATGATATGATCTTATATTTGGAAAAACATAAAGACTCCACCAAAAAACTATTAGAACTGATAAATTCAGTAAGGTTGCAGGATACAAAATCAACCTACAAAAATCAGTAGCATTTCTATATGTCAAAAGTGAACAATCTGGAAAATAAATCACGAAAGTAATCCCATTTAGAATATCTACGAATAAAATTAAATATCTAGAAATTAACTTAACCAAAGAAGTGAAAATATCTACAATGAAACCTATAAAACATTGGTGCAAGAAACTGAAGAGGACATAAGAAAATGGAAAGATGTTTCATGTTCATAGATTGGAAAAACCAATATTGTTAAAATGTCCATACTACCCAAAGTAATCTACAGATTCGGTGCAACACCTATCAAAATACCAATGTCATTATTCACAGAAACAGAAGAAAACATCCTAAAGTCTATATAGAACTACAAAAGACCCAGAATAGCCAAAGCTGTCCTGAGCAAAAAGAACAAAACTGAAGAATTACATTACCTGACTTCAAATTACACTATAGAGCTATAGTAACCAAAACAGCATGATACTGGCATAAAAACAGACAGACTAATGGAACAGAATAGAGAACCCAGAAACAAATCTAGACATCTACAGTGAACTCATTTTTGACAAAGGTGCCAGAAACATACATTAGGGAAAAGACATTCTCTTCAATAAATGGTGCTGAGAAAATTGAATATCCACATGCAGAAGAATGAAACTAGACCCTTATCTCTCACCATATGCAAAAATCAAATAAAAATGGATGAAGGACTTAGAAATCTAAGACCTCAAACTATGAAACTACTAAAAGAAAACACTAGGGAAACTCTCCAGGACACTGGACTGGGCAAAGATTTATTGAGTAATACCCCACAAGCACAGGCAATCAAAGCAAAAATGGACAAATGAGATCACATCAAGTTAAAAAGCTTCTGCACGACAAAGGAAACAATGAAGTGAAGAGACAACCCACAGAATGGGAGAAAATATTTATAAACTATCCCTCTGACAAGGGATTAATAACCAGAATATGTAAGGAACTCAAACAACTCTGTAGGAAAAAATCTAATAATCTGATTTAAAAATGGGCAAAAGATCTGAATAGATATTTCTAAAAAGAAGACATACAAATGGCAAGCATGTATATGAAAAAGTGCTCAACATTATTGACCATCAGAGAAATGGAAATCAAAACTACAACGAGATGTCATCTCATTCCAGTTAAAATGGCTTTTATCCAAAAGACAGGTAATAACAAATGGTGGTGAGAATGTGGAGAAAAGGGAACCCTCATATACTGTTAGTGAGAATGTAAATTAGTACAACTACTATGGAGAACAGTTTAGAGGTTCCTCAAAAAACTAAAAATAGATCTATCATATGATCCAACAATCCCACTGCTAGGAATATACTCAAACGAAAAGAAATCAGTATGTACCAGGCCGTTCTTGCATTGCTATTAGGTTGGCGCCAAAGTAATTGCAGTTTTGCAATTAAAATGGCAAAAACTGCAGTTACTTTTGCACCAGAGAATGCTTGAGATTGGGTAATTTATAAAGAAAAGAGGTTTGATTGGCTCATCGTTCTGCAGGCTGTACAAGCATGATATCAGTATCTGCTCAGTTTCTGGGGAGGCCTCAGGGAGCTTTCACTCATGACAGAAGGCAAAATGGGAGCAGTCACATCACATGGGGTGAGGATGGCACCAAGAAGATCATGCTAAACCATTCATGAGAAATCCACTCTCATGATCCTATCGCCTCCCACCAGGTCTCACCTCCAATGCTGGGTATTACAATTCAACATGAGATGTGCGTGGGGATAAATATACAAACTCTATCACAGTATATCAAAAAGATATCTGCACTCCCATGTTTGCTGCAGCAGTATTCACAATAGCCAAGATTTGGAAGCAACCTAAGTGTCTGTCAACAGACAAATGGATAAAGAAAATGTACATATATACAATGGAAAACTAGCCATAAAAAAGAATGAGATCCTGTCATTTGCAATAATGTGGATGGAACTGGAGGCCATTCTATTAAGTGAAATAAGCCAGGCACAGAAAGACAAACATCGCATGTTTTCACTTATTTCTGGGATCTAAAAATTAAAACAACTGAACTCAAGGAGATAAAGAATAGAAGGATGATTACCAGAGGCTGGGAAGGGTAGTGGCAGGGGAGGGGGTGAGAATGGTTAATAGGTACAAAAAAAAAAACAAAAAGAAAGCGTAAGATCTAGTATTTGATAGCAAAATGGGGTGACTATAGTCAATAATTTAATTGTACATTTAAAAATAACTAAAAGAATATAATCGGATTGTTTGGAACACAAAGGATAAATGCTTGATGTAACAGAAACCCTATTTACCCTTATGTGATTATTACACATTGTATGCCTGTATCAAAATATCCCATATTCCCCATAAATATATGCACCTACTATGTACTCACAAAAATTAAAACCAAAAAACAAGACATTTCAACTTTAAAATTTTTCTTAAAACCCTAATTTTAAATACTTTCAGGTGATCTAAGTCTTTTACACATTTGGATAGCTAGTGCTGAAGAATACAAGTATATATAATTCACCTTAATTCATTTTTGTAACCTGTCTCATGATCTTTCCTTCTGCTGCAATTATTATTTTTGGTGGAAGTCAGTAGAGTCTTCTGTAATAGCACTTTTCTAGGTTTTTGAATCAGCTTATTTAATCTAAAGCATAATAAAGTAGAACTCTCAAATCCACAGTCTTCATAAACCAGCTGGTTAACCAAGACCAATGTAAAAAACAACTAGCTTTTGTTACCTCGATATCATAGATTGGATTGTAGTCATTATAGCCGGAATAAAGATCATCTTCATCTGTCTCTGGAGCCAGGTGCACATTTTGCATCATTTGTACCTAGGAAAAACTGGCAGTGTAAATATGTTCTTGGTATAAGAAATATATATATATATTTTTTGAGATATGTCTTGCTCTGTTGCCCAGGCTGGAATGCAGTAGCACAATCACGGCTCACTATAGCCTTGATCTCTCTGGCACAAGTGATCCTCCCACCTCAGCCTCCCTGGTACTATAGGCTTGTGCCACCACACCCAACTAAGTTTGAAATTTTTTGTAAAGATGGGATCTCCCTATGTTGCCCAGGCTGGACTCAATTTCTTGAGCTCAAGTGATCCTCTCACTTTGGCCTCCCAAAATGCTGGGATTACCAGCATGAGCCACCACGCCAGGCCAGAAATAATTCTTAATTCCAATAAAGTATAACTATTTAATGACATTTGTGGTCAAATTTATCTATATATATTTTCATGGCTTCAATTTTTTTCACATCAAATTCCCAAAACTAGATGTCAAAACATTAAGTTATTGTCCTCATTTCACATTTATTTCACAACTACGACACTGAAAGAACAGTGACAGGCACTAGAGGGGGTACAATTGATTGTCCTGATTTTCATGGAAGCTTAGTATCAAGTGCAGAAGAAAGGTATGCAACAGTCAATTAAAATGCAAGGCAGAAGCCACCACATACCCATCAGAATGTGTAAAATTAAAAAGACCAACAACACATAATGTCAGCAAAAATGTGGAGCAACCAGAGTATTCACACGTTGCTGATGGGAGTGTAAAATGATACACTTTGGGAGAAAAGTCTTGCAGTTTCATAAAATTAACTTTTATTAAAAGTACCTTTTATCACCCAGCAATTCCACTCAAAAATATTTACTCAAGAGGAATGAAAACATATGTCTACAAAAAGATTTGTATAAGAATGTTCATAGTAGCTGTCGACCTAAAGAAAGGAATTGAGGCATAAAATACAATTCTAAAAAGTTTACTTGAGCCAAAATGAGGACGGCTGCCTGCCCAGAACACTCAGACTTCATGTAACCTTGGACAGGCGCTCCATTTGGCCTTTGTTTCAAGCAGATCTTTAAAGGCAAAAAAGTGGGGCAGGGAGTGGGCTGATACAAAGCTGTCTGTCAGAAATTCTCACTGGTTTAAAAAAATAACGTTGATTAGTGATTGGCTACATTGTATGGGTTATAGTATCCAGACAGTGCCATTGTTAGATTAATTTATAGCTACTTATGGCAATAGCAAGCAAGTTTCAAGACATGATTACTTAGCCCAAGAAGGTAAAGGAGATGTGACTGCTGTTTCACTCCCACGCCTCTCTGGACCTGGTAATTTAGAGGAGAGTCTCATTCTTCAAATTAAACCTTTCTTTTCTTTGTCATAGCTTTATTCATAATACTGAAAAATCAGAAACAAACCAGATACCCATCAGTAAAATGGACAAGCAAAATGTGGCATACTTACGCAATGAAGTACTATCCAGCAATAAAAAAGAATCCCAATTATGCTGAGTGAAAGAAGCCTTACATAGAGTGTACATTATGCACTGTTTCCTTTATATGAAGTTCTCAAACAGGCAAAGCTAATTTGCGGTAGAAAACCATCAGAACTGAGATCGCTTCTTGGGGATGGGGGTTAGGGATTGAATGGAAAGGGACATGAGAGAATTTTCTGGGGTGATGATAAATGTTCTGTATCTTGGCAGGGGTTTGAGTCGCACAAGTGTATGCATTTGTGAAAACTCAGCAAATATACACTGCGATTTCTGCTTTGTAAATTTTACCTCAAAAGTAAGAACTATAAACAAATATTGAACTATATAATTGATACGCATGCTGTTATTTCAGGGAACATGTAATAGCTGTAATTTAGCTTAAAATACATAAAATAAGACAGCTTAGGCCGGGCGCCGTAGCTCATGCCTGTAATTTCAGGACTTTGGAGGGCCAAGACGGGTGGATTACTTGAGGTCAGGAGTTTGAGACCAGCTTGGTCAAGATGGTGAAACCCCATCGCTACTAAAAATACAAAAACTAGCCGGGCATGGTGGTGCACATCTGTAATTCCAGCTATTTGGGAGGCTGAGGCACGAGAATCGCTTGAACCCAGGAGGCAGAGGTTGCAGTGAGCTGAGATCATGCCACTGCACTCCAACCTGGGTGACAGAGTGAGACTCTGTCTCTAAAAAAAAAGATGGCTTGATAGATGGATTGAGAGATAGGTAAATGGATAAGTACATGATAAAGCAGCTATAGAAAAAGGTTAATGGTGGAATCTAGGTAGCAGGAGTAACATTCAACATAAAATTCTTTAAACCTTGCTGCATGTTTGAAAATTTTCATAATGAAATGTTGAGGGAAAAAATGCAAGACAGAAAAAAAGATATCAAAGCAAAATGAAACAGAAGAGTGAAAGCTGATCATACAAATTTGAGTCATTCTTGTCATACCCAACTAAAACAGAGTCAAGAAGCTGGGGTGTGTTGGTGGGGAGGCACTCAGGACACATAACATTGCTTGAAGAATGGAATTCTCTGCAAGTCTGGCTGCTGAAACTGGCTGCTAAAACCTGAGGCCAATTTTATTTATAGCTGCTGAGATAACTTGCTGCAAATATAGGACTAATTGTGCCCACCACAGCTACCCACCAATTAGAACTTGCCAGCTTCCCAGAACCTCACTAGTTCCAGTGAACTTTCTCAAAGAGCACTACATGACACTTCTCCTTTTGATAAACCTCCAACCTTCTCTTTGTTCTTTGGACATACCAAAGACCACCTGGTCCTCAAACTGCAATTCTTTCTTCCCAAATAAAAATGTAAAATTTCAAGATTCATCTCTACATTTTGACTTGGACAGAAGCATGGGAGAAATGAAATTACCATATAGATATACTGTAAATCTAATAATTACTAAAGAATCTGGCAAGGATTCCTGGAAGTATCATTCAAATCAAGTCAATATTTTAGGCAATTTGAGGGGTGGGAGGTGGAGGAAGGCTAATTACCCAAGAAATGTAGTATTGCTAGTATTCAAGAAATGTATTTTCTTTAAAGCAAATACATATTTTCTTAAGGCCTGTACATTTTAAGTGCACCAGCAAATTCCTAAGAAATTTTCAGCTTAGGCTGGGCGCAGTGGCTCACGCCTATAATCCCAGCACTTTGGGAGGCCGAGGCAGGCAGATCACGAGGTCAGGAGATCGAGACCATCCTGGCTAATATGGTGAAACCCCGTCTCTACTAAAAATACAAAAAAATTAGCCGGGCATGATAGCAGGCACCTGTAATCCCAGGTACTCAGGAGGCTGAGGCAGGAGAATGGCCTGAACCTGGGAGGCGGAGGTTGCAGTGGGCCGAGATTGTGCCACCACACCCCTGCCTAGGCGACAGAGCCAGACTCTGTCTCAAAAAATAAATAAATAATAAAAATAAATAAATAAAAAATAAATTTTCAGCTTAATCTTTTTCTCAGCATAATACCACATATATGTGGCTTCTCATAACCTTTAAAAATTATTTATATATTTTAAATACTAACAAAATTATTAGTTTTTGAACTATAATTCATATACCATACAATTTAACTTTTCAAGGTGCAGTGGTTTTTAGTATATTCACAAGGTTGTGCAACCATCCCCAGTATGTAATTCCAGAACACTTTCATCATCCCATAAAGAAATATGGGGCCTGTTAGCAGCTCTCCATGCCTCCCTTCCCTTTCCCCAGTCCCTGGCAACCATTTTCTGTCTCTATGGATTTGCCAATTCTGGACATTTCATATTAAGGAAATTACACAATATGTAGCCTTTTGTGTCTGGTCTCTTTCACTTAGCATAATGCTTCCAAGGTTCATCCACGCAGTAGTATGTATCAATATTTCATTACTTTTTATGGCTAAATACATCTGCAACATTTTGCTTATCCATTCATTAGTTAATGGACATTTGAATTGTTTCCACTTTTTGACTTTTATGAATAACATCACTATGAATGTGTGTGTACAAGTTTTAGCATGCATATATAGGTCCAATTCTATTGGGAATATATCTAGTAAAGGAATTGCTGGATCATATAGTAACTCTATGTTTAACTTTTGGAGGAACAGCTAGACTGTTTTCCAAAGTGGCTGCACTATTTTACATCCCACCTGCAATGCATGAAGTTTCCAATTTATCCATGTCCTAGCCAACATCTGTTACTGTTCCTGTTTTTGATTATTGCAATTCTAGTGAGTATGAAATGGTATCTCATTGTAGTATTGACTTGCATTCCCCTGATGACTAATGATGTTGAGTATCTTTTCATCTGCTTATTATCCATTTCTATATCTCTTTGGAGAAATGTCTGTTCAGATCTTTTGCTCATTTTTTTTTTTTTTTGAGACGGAATCTTGCTCTGTCGCCTAGGCTAGAGGGCAGTGGCGCGGCTCACTGCAAGCTCCGCCTCCCAGTTTCACGCCATTCTCCTGCCTCAGCCTCTCGAGTAGCTGGGACTACAGGCACCCGCCACCAAGCCCGGCTAATTTTTTTATTTTTATTTTTATTTTTATTTTTAGTAGAGATGGGGTTTCACCGTATTAGCCGGTATGGTCTCGATCTCCTGACCTTGTGATCCGCCCACCTCGGCCTCCCAGAGTGCTGGGATTACAGGCGTGAACCACCGCGCCCGGCCAGCTCATTCCCAAAAATCAGGTTATCACATGAATTATAAGGATCCTGTATATATTCCTGATACTAAACATTATATAAATGATTTACAAATACTTTCTCCCATTCTGTACATCATTTTACATTCTTTGTACTATCCTCTGAAGCACAAAAGTTTAAAAAAATTTTTTTTTTTTTTGGGACGGAGTCTCGCTCTGTCACCCAGGCTGGAGTGCAGTGGCGCGATCTCGGCTCACTGAAAGCTCCGCCTCCCGAGTTCACGCCATTCTCCTGCCTCAGCCTCTCCAGCAGCTGGGACTACAGGCGCCCGCCACCACGCCCGGCTAATTTTTTGTATTTTTAGTAGAGACGGGGTTTCACCGTGTTAGCCAGGATGGTCTCGATCTCCTGACCTCGTGATCCGCCCGGCTCGGCCTCCCAAAGTGCTGGGATTACAGGCGTGAGCCACCACGCCTGGCCAAAAGTTTTAAATTTTGATGATATACAATTTATTTTTCCTTTGGTTGCACGTACTTTTGGTATCATATCTAAGAAAGAACTGCCTAATCTAAGGTCAAGAATATTTATACCTATGCTTTTTTTCTAACAGTTTTAGCTCTTATATTTAGGTCATTGATCCATTTTGAGTTAATTTCTCATTACTTTTTGAAGATGAAAATTAACTACTATGAGGGCAAATGTCACCCACATAGAAATGGCATTCCAAAATAGCTTCAAAAGGTTATTAAAAGGGCCAGGCGTCGTGGCTCACGCTTGTAATCCCAACACTCTGGGAGGCCGAGGCGGGCGGATCACGAGGTCAGGAGATCGAGACCATCCTGGCTAACACGGTGAAACCCCGTCTCTACTAAAAATACAAAAAATTAGCTGGGCATGGTGGCGGGCGCCTGTAGTCCCAGCTACTCGGGAGGCTGAGGCAGGAGAATGGCATGAACCCGGGAGGCGGAGCTTGCAGTAAACCGAGATTGCCGCCACTGCACTCCAGCCTGGGCAACAGAGCGTGCGACTCCGTCTCAAAAAGAAAAAAAAAGGTATTAAAAGTCACTGGTAAAAGATATATAAAATATTTTTAATTAAAAGCTTTAGCTCAGATAATACTAAACCAGTGGTTCTTAAACCCAAGTGATGCTGAGGCTACTGGTCTGGGGACCACTTTGAGAACCACTATTCTGAACCATAATTTCTGATTATGAACCCTATTTAAGTCAGCTTAGTTGACACATAAGTTATAGAAGGAAGCAACTTTTAGAATGAGAAATCCTTTCTGCTAGGTTGTAACCAGATTTTTAAAAGGTTTGACTTGAGACTTTAGTTGAATAGACATCTTGTGGAACATACAAATATTAAAAGATGTGGAAAGTGAGGCCAGGAAAGTTGAAGGGAATCAAGCATGGCTAATAGCTATGGGTGGCAGAACAACTGTTGTTATACAACCCAGGGTTTCTGGATTCTCCAGGCAATTTCCAAAGCAGCTTATACATGTAACAAACTTTTCCATGTTGAAATAATCTGGGGATGATGCCACCTATGTTTAATATAAATCAAATGCTGGCAAAACCTTTTTTTTTTTTAAGTGAAAGGTATGTTTTTTAATACTCTTCTACTGACTATGGACAGTCTACTTCAAGCTTTTCCAACCCCGGCCCGCACGTGGCACAGGACGGCTTTGAATGTGGCCCAACACAAATTCGTAAACTTTCTGGAAGCATTATGAGATTCTTTTTTGCGATTTTTTTTAAAGCTCATCGGCTACCTTAGTGTTTGTGAATTTCATGTGTGGCCCAAGACAATTCTTCTTCCGATGTGGCCCAGGGAAGCCAAAGATTGGACACCCTTGGTCTACTTCCAAGAAGCCTACTGCAGTTTCTCGAAAAAAAAAAAACAAACAAAAAAAACTCACAACCAGAAAATCGGACTAGTAAAAGTGTAATTTTAGGCTTAGAAAGAATCTTGGGACAACAGTACTTCACGTTTTTGGAATGTTTCCATCTTTGTGAGGCTAAGTACCGCTTTCTGCATTGTTGTGTACTTTTATCTTCATTCCTGATTCAACTTTCATCAGGCAATTTGAAGTGCTTCACCTAACAAGAAAATTAAAGAGCGATGTGCACCATCTCTGCTGTGCGATTCCAGAGCTGGCGCAGTAATCTAACTGGGTTTTAAGTTTCCCCGTCAGGCGTGACTGGGACTTGGGACATCGCCAAGCGGTCAGCGACGCCCGTCCCAGTTCAGAGGAGCAAGAAAAGCCTGTGAGCTGGGGACACCGATGTGAGAAACAACGCCCGCGTTTCTGAGTAGACAACTCGGGAGCCTGAGGAAGAAAAGCAGGGGCAGGCCGAGTCCATCTGGGGCCCCGCCTCAGACCGCCCCGGGGCCGACAGGGGCGGGCAGGAGACGGGCGAAGAGGCCCTCGGCGGGATGCGCCACACAGGACGCCGCAGGGGCACGGCTGCCAGGGGCCCTGAGGCACTAGGCCCCAGCGCCCTTCTCCTACCTCACGCTGAGGGAAGCGGGCGACAGTTATTCGGGCCCAGGGACGACGCAGCGGTTGGCCAAAGCGCGACGCCGAGCCGTTGCCAAGCGCGGAATCCAAGGAAGCCGCTCCCACAGTCCTCCGCGCGGGGGCGGGCGGGGCCGGAAGCGCGGGGGCGGGAGAGAGCGCGGCGGGAAGGGGGTGGTGCGGGAGGCCTGGGGAAGTGGGTGGGGGCGGAGAACGGCGGGTCAGAGAGAAGGCAGCCCGGTCCCCCTCAGTGGAAGGGAGTGGCGGTGGGCGGAGGGTGTTGAGGGGACGGTGCCAGCGGCTTGCGGGAAGCCGGGCGATGCGGGTAGAACGGTGGAGGAGAGGGCAGGGAGGCCGGGGCCTCCCGTGGAACGGAACCGGGGGGTTGGGAGGCTGGGGGCGGCCTGTGTGAAGGGGGCGGGGAGGGAAAGGCTCGCGGCCAGTAGATGCAGGAGGGAGGAGGGCCTAGAGGGGCTCCGGGCTGGCGGCCTCTGTGAGGAAGGGGAAGGATATGGAACCAAGATCCTTTAAATCCTGATGAACTCATCCGTAAAGCAGATGCCCAAAGGATGATAGTAAGCTTACTGTGACATAACTCCCGGAGCCGCAGCACGAGCCTTGTGAACCTTGGAAGCCCGTTTTCCGCGCAGTCACTAACTCGCTTAGTCACCCTGTGTAAAAGTTATTCTGGGATGACACCTGCCTGGGAAGTCTCACCTTTCCCCCCACCTCCTCCTGTCTGCGTATTGTTCTGTAGCACCCCGTGCGCACCTTGATTGTAGCGCTTAAGGTGTCCGTTTTATTTACTAGACAGGGATTGAACCATTGTGTCCCAACCACCTAGAACCTGGGTCATAGTGTAAAGCTTAATCAATGTAATATAAATGGGGGAATTAAATTCATAATTGTTTAATGTTTAAGTTTTGTCTTAAATTTTAAAAGTAAATGTTGGGGATGGAGGGGAGGGACAGAGGGAGTCTAAAGACACCAGTAATTAATGAGTTTTTATAAAATAAGTAGTGTTGGCCGGGCGCAGTGGCTCATGCCTATAATCCCAGCACTTTGGGAGGCTGAGGCTGGCGGATCACCTGAGGTGAGGAGTTGGAGACCAGCCTGGCCAACGTGGTGAAACCCTGTCTCTACTAAAAATACAAAAATTAGCCCGGCGAGGTGGCAGGCGCCTGTAATAAATCCCAGCTACTCAGGAGGCTAAGGCAGGAGAATCTCTTGAACCCAGGAGGTAGAGGTTGCAGTGAGCCAAGATGGTGGTATTGCACTCCAGCCTGGGTGACAAGAGCGAAACTCCATCCAAAAAAAGAAAAAACATAGTGTTGGGGGACAATTCTCCATGGGTCACCTGCACTTTCCCGTGTTTTGTGAGCAGAGACACTGACTGCCTTTGTTCTGGAGTACTATGATAGCTGGTATTTTTTAAGATGTGATTAACAGTTAAATTAGACTTGAGTAAAGCAGTTGGTCCTCCACAAGGTGGGTTGGCCTCATCCCGTCAAGGGAAGGTCATAAGAGAAAAGACTAAGGTCCTCTGAGGAAGAAGGAATCCTGCCCCCAGACTGCCTTCAGCTCTTTCCTGGGTCTCTAACTTGACCTACAAATTTTAGGCTTGCCAGCATTATAAATAAAGTTTTGGTGCCGCAAAAGAAATAGCACTCAACTATAAAATTTTCTTTTTTCCTTCTCAGCAAGGCAATTTACTTCTATAGAAGGGTGCGCCCTCACAGATGGAGCAATGGTGAGCACACACCTGGACAAGGGAGGCGAAGGGGTTTTTATTCCTGACGCTTGTGGCACCTGCTGCTGTGTCCTTCCCCTGTTGGCTAAGGTTAGACGGCACAGGCTAAACTAATTCTGATTGACTAATTTAAAGAGAGTGACCGGGTAAGTGGTTTGGTGGGAAAAATAGTTATGGCAGAGCAGGAAATCGGAATGAGTCAGGGTGGAGAATGAGTCAGGGCAGAGCAGGTAATCAGAATGAGTCAGGGTGGAGCAGGTAGTTGAAAAAGATTGCTTTACGAGGAAGTTAAGCTTTTTTTGTTTTGTTTTGTTTTTTTTAATTGAGACAGAGTCTCGCTCTATAGCCTAGACTGGAGTGCAGTGGCGGCATCTCGGCTCACTGCAAGCTCTGCCTCCTGGGTTTGCTCCATTCTCCTGCCTAAGCCTCCCGAGTAGCTGGGACTACAGGTGCCCGCCACCACACCCGGCTTATTTTTTGTATTTTTAGTAGAGATGGATTTCACCGTGTTAGGATGGCCTCCATCTCCTGACTTCATGATCTTCCCGCCTCGGCCTCCTGGGATTACAGGTGTGAGCCACCGCATCTGGCCAGAAGTTAAGTTTAAAAGTAGAAGACAAAGAATTGAACATACTGACATTGATTCTTCGAAGAGAAATTTAGAACTCATATCTAACACCAGCCTCCAATTGATTGAGCCAATTCCTTCAAATAAATCTCTCTCTGCAATATGCATCCTATTGGATCTGTTTCTGTAGGGAATTCTGATTAATATACCCTTTCAAGGAACAGCTTTGGAAGATTAAGATAATTGTCTGCTTCTGGAACAAAAGACAGGTTTGTTGCTGTTCAGTTTAATAAAGAGAGTGTCACCTTCTGGGGCAAAGGCTGAGCATGTTGGCTTGCAGTTCACTGTTCAAGACTGGGCTTTCCTAAACTTGGTGTACCTGGGCGGTAAAACCAATCACATGTGCAGCATCCACCTGGACTGTCCCCATGGGACTTGGAAGGGAAAGGGGAACCGAAGGGAATATGAAGCCCAGGCTACTGGCTGTGCTGTGAAAAATAAAGCCCTTTCTCTCTGACTCAGGTGTTTTCTGCCATCATTTGTGGAGCTGTTAGATGAGCTTGTTAGCTTGCAAGTAGGGTAAAATCTAACATGATTCTGAATAGTATCTAGCCATACTATACCCAGCTCATAGCAGTTGTTCCAAGAAATATTTGTTGAATTAATTAGTGAATACCGGGGAGCCTTATTTCAAGTTACTGTCCCTCTATAGACACAATTTCCATTATCTCTGGATCTCCAAACTGTAAATTTTCAGTCTCCTCAAAAAAATCTTTTTAATTAGAAACAAATTCAAGTTACTTCAACTTGGTTACTTTTTTTTTTTTTTTTTTGAGACAGAGTCTCACTCTGTAACCCAGGCTGGAGTGCACTGGCACCATCTCAGCTCACTGCAACCTCTGCCTCCCGGGTACAAATGATTCTCCTGCCTCAGCCTCCTGAGTAGCTGGGACTACAGGCATAAGCCAGCACACCCAGCTATTGTTTGTATTTTTAGTAGAAATGGGGTTTCACCATGTTGGCCAGGCTGGTCTCGAACTCCTGACCTCTTGTGATCTGCCCGCCTCTGCCTCCCAAAGTGCTGAGGTTACAGGCGTGAGCCACCGCACCCGGCCTCAACTTGGTTGCTCTTTGGGTGTGATACAGTTACTTGCCCAGGGAGTGCTCATTCACCTTCATTTTAAACATCATTATGTAGCTAGCATTTAATGAACACACCTATTATTGCCAGGCAAAATGTTAGGGTCACCTAGCTTATATTACTGAAATTCAAGCTCCACAGAGAATGGGCGTTTTTGTCTTTTTTGTTCTAGACTGTATCTCCAGTACTTAGAAAAGTGCCTGGAACTAGTTGACTCTCAATAATTGTTAATCGAATGAATTGTCAGGACTTGTAATTAATTATATAGAGAGTTGGGGGTGAATGGGTAGTAAGCAGCAAGCATGAATCCCAAGTTTGGCATGAGTAATGGGATGAATGCTAGCACCATGTATTACCATGGAGAATACTGGAGGAGATGCAAGTTTGAGAGAGAAAATGAGTTTAGTTTTGAATATGTTGAGTTTCAGATGCCTGTAAAATATGCAAATAGAGATGTTGACTAGGCAGCTGCTGAGTATATACAATTGTATTAATAAAGCTCAGAGAAAAGATCCTCAGGCCTGGTATGGTGGCTCACATCTGTACCTGCACTTCGGTGCCAAGGTGGGAGGATTGCTTGAGGCCAGGAGTCCAAGACCAGCCTGGGCAGCATAGCAAGACCCTGTCTCTACATATAAATAAAAATGAGCCAGGTGTGATGGTCCACACCTGTAGTCTTAGCTACTCAGGAGGCTGAGGCAGGAGGATCCCTTGAGCCCAGGAGTTTGGAAGCTGTGTTGAGCCATGATCATGCCACTGCACTCCAGCCTGGACAACAGAGTGAGACTCTATCTCTTAAAAAGAAAAAGAGGCCAGGTGCGGTGGCTGACACCTGTAATCCCAGCACTTTGGGAGGCCGAGGTGGGCGGATCATGAGGTCAGGAGTTTGAGACCAGCTTGGCCCACAAGGTAAAACCCCATGCCTACTAAAAATACAAAAATTAGCCAGGCATGGTGGCACATGCCTGTAGTCCCAGCTACTCAGAAGGTTGAGGCAGAAGAATCACTGGAACCTGGGAAGTTGCAGTGAGCCAAGATCGCGCCACTGCACTCTAGCCTGGGCAACAGAGCGAGACTCTGTCTAAAAAAAAAAAAAAAGAAAAAAGAAAAAGAAAGATCCTGTCTAGAGATACACACTTGTTATCCACTAGCTCCTAAAACATGGATTTAAGCGTAGGAGTGAGTGAGATTGCTTACAGTGAAGGAGGATATAGAGGAGAGTCTAAAATTGAGTAATGAAAAAGTAATATTTAAAGATTTTGTAGGCCGGGCGCGGTGGCTCACACCTGTAATCCCAGCACTTTGGGAGGCCGAGGCAGGCGGATCATGAGGTCAGGAGATCAGACCATCCTGGCTAACATGGTGAAACCCCATCTCTACTAAAAATACAAAAAATTAGCCAGGCATGGTGGTGCGCGCCTGTAGTCCCAGCTACTCGGGAGGCTGAGGCAGGAGAATCATGTGAACCCGGGAGGCGGAGGTTGCAGTGAGCTGATATTGTGTGACTGCTCTCCAGCCTGGGCAACAGAGTGAGACTCCGACTCAAAAAAAAAAGAAAAAAAAGATTTTGTAGAAGAGGAGCCCCTAATGATTCTGTTTAATGGTCAGACATATTTGAGCAAAACCAGGAAAGTGAAGGTAATGGAAGCTAAAGGAAGAAAATGTGTCATTTGAATTCTGGCACTCTGAATTAGAAAACAAAAAAGTCAAAAAGGAGGGAGTGACGACCGTGTTGTATGCCCAGGAAAGGTCAAGTAAGTTGAACCAAAGACATTTCATGTTCTTTAGCCATATGAAGGTCACTGTTCATTTAACAAGAGCTCTTTCAATGAAACAGTGATGTATACGCCTGACTTCACAGAGTTGCATGGGTAATTGGTGATGAAGTAGTAGCTGGACACTGAAACTCAAGAAGGCTGACTGTGAATGAGAAGAAAGAGATAAGGCACTGGTAGATGGCAAACGAGCCCAAGGAGAGTTTCTGTTGGTTTGTTTTAAAAGATAGAAGATAATTAGAGCACGTTTTAATTAATACTCATGGAAATAATCCAGTTGAAAGAGTTCGAAGGTACAGGGGAGACGGCTAAGAGGGAGGAGAATGGAAGAGGTTCCAAGGTTGAAAAAAGGTGAAGAAGGTCTAGAATAAGCAGAGAAGAGGAGAGATGTTAACTAGAGAAATACACTAACATTGCTTGGTAAGTTTAGGTGCTCAATTGACACCAACAATTGTGAGTTTATAGTGAAGCCTTTTCTGATACTCTCGTAACCCCATTTTTTCCACTGATCTTCATCAGGTACAGACATGGAAAAGGCAGATGGGAAAATGTACCCAAGGTTGAAATTTGTTGGGCAGTTGCCAAGAAAGGACTCTTATCATCATAGACATGAAATTTAATATAAATAACAATTTATATTAAATTTATTGTATTATTTATATTAATTTAATATAAATATAAGAAATGAGTGGGGCTAATGAATAGGAAGAAAGTGGAGGAGTTAGATTAGAGGTCCTGATGAAGTTAGAACAGTTGCAGTAGAGTTACTTCAGCTTTTTGAATTAGTGATCATGGAAGTGGAACAGTTTTTTGTTTGTTTGTTTGTTTGTTTGTTTGTTTTTGAGACGGAGTCTCACTCTGTCACCCCAGCTGGAGTGCAGTGGCTCGATCTCGGCTCACTGCCAGCTCTGCCTCCCGGGTTCATGCCATTCTCCTGCCTCAGCCTCCCAAGTAGCTGGGACTACAGGCACCCGCCACCACGCCCAGCTAATTTTTTTTTGCATTTTTAGTAGAGACGGGGTTTCACCATGTTAGCCAGGATGGTCTCAATCTCCTGACCTCATGATCTGCCTGCCTCGGCCTCCCAAAGTGCTGGGATTACAGGCGTGAGCCACTGCGCCCGGCCGGAAGTAGAACAGTTTTGAGTTGGTAACAAGGTTCAGGGTTTGATGAAGGGTGTGGTCTGGAGGAAGCCATTTGAGATAAGGAGTCCAAGGTTTGAAGCCACTGGAATAAGTGGAGAGGTCGCTGTGAGCCAGGCGGCAAAGACTGAGGGAAAGCAAACAGGAAGCTGGAAGAGATTTGGAAAAGGGTATACCAGGTGGCCTAAGATTCACAGCAGCAGATCTGCAAGAGGGTGGAAAAACCAAGGAGAAACCACCAACCCTGCCTTCTGACTCAGACATCCCTGAGCTGTGAAAGAATAAATAACCTTCACCTGATAGGGCTCCAAGGGAAACAGTATCCTCAAAAGACTACCAGTTTTCTGTGAAAGCAGAAGTGAGGAGAATATTGGGAAAATAAGTGGAAGATATGGGGCATCTGCTAATCACAAAACAGAAATTCCAGTGGGCTTGAGGGGAGATTGGACCAGGATATGTTGCTGACCAGAATGACCTGTAGTCTGGGTGGTGACCAAGGACAACAGAGGTGTGAGAGGAGGTGGATTTAGACCTGACATACACTTCTAACAGAATTTGGCTATGGCCTGCAAGTGAGGCTCAGTGGCTCTGGCAAGAGGCTTGTTACTCTTCCTTTTTCACCCAGGTCAGCTGGTGATGCAGTTGCAGCCAGGAATGAGTGAGCACCAGCCTGGGAACATTTATTCAGCGAAGGTGGTGGAGGATGGGCCCCTGCAGGCTGGTTTCCTACGTGAGGCTGATGCTGTCATGGTTTCCCTGAGGTCAGTGGGAGGTCAGTGTTTTTGGTTCTTGGCTGTCTGACATTCATCAATAATTTGAACCGACCTGCTGCATTTCTCTCCAATCATTGCACCTCTCTCCTTCCCCCTACAACCTAGAGGGTCCAGGCAGCCTCTTCTCTCACCTGCCTTGTTACCACAGCCTTTTCTCCCTGCTTTCTCTCTACTCTTCTGTCTTCCAGCTTGCTCTCACTCAATGGATTCTCCACACGGTCCCCACTCCCCGCGACACCTTGACTTTTGGACCAAGTCTAAACTCCATAGTGTGGCTTAGAAGGCCCTTCACAGGATGACTGACCCCTGTGGAACTACTCAGGATTCTTTGTTGCAGCCAAGAAAAGCCAATTCTTGTTGATTAAGCAGAAAAGGAGTCTTTTTGGAAAGATATCAAGTAACTCATAGAATTGTCCAGAAGGCTAAGGAACTGGCTTGGAAAAACAACAGAAGCTCAGGGAGGTAAGGCACAGTCAAAACCCTAACACAGGGACCATCTGCTTATGTGACAGAGACCAATCCTCCCAGTTTCCTCAGGACAAGTTGGTCACCCCACTTAGTCAGAGGTTGTGGGCAGGATCTCCACTTGACACCTGCCATCTTGCCATTGGACACTGGTTGCCACACAGCTGCACTCTTCTTTTGGGCACTTTCTGCCCCACTGGACACAGGGATCTCCCACAGGCTCTGTGAACCATTTTTAACCATCCTCCCCTTTATCTGCCTACCTCCCAAGTCAGAGTCCTGGATAGGAACACAAGTTGGCTGTGTGTAGGTCAGTGTACCGTGTTGTAGCTGCCAGGAGCTCAAAGATGGGGTATCTGCTCACTTTAACCCTCCTCCCACCTATTTAGGGATTCTCATAAAGTGGAAAGTGTGTTCAGATGTTGGGCAGCCAAAAATGACAGCTACCCATTGAAGTTTCACTGTCCATGGTATCTCCCTTCGCCTCCTCTCTTATTTATTATGCTCCAGCCATACTTAGCGTGTTTCAAGTCACTGCAAGGTACCATAACCTCTCTCACCTCTAGGCCTTCACACATGCTATTCTCTTGTCCTAAAATGGGCTTTCCTACAGTCATCTTAGCCTGGCCATTCCTTTCTCTAGGAGGCTTTCCCTAGTCCCTGGTATATGAGTTTTCTAGGGCTGCCATAACAAAACACCACACAATGGTGGTCTTTTTTTTTTTTTGAGATGGATGCCAGCACTTTGGGAGGCCGAGGTGGGTGGATCACTTGAGGTCAGGAGTTCAAGACCAGCCATGGCCAACATGGTGAAACCCCTTCTTTACTAAAAAGCAAAAATTAGCCGAGCGTGGTGGCAGGTGCCTGTAATCCCAACTACTCGGGAGGCTGAGGCACGAGAATCGCTTGAACCTGGGAGGTGGAGGTTGCAGTGAGCTAAGATCATGCCATTGCACTCCAGCCTGGGTGACAAGAATGAGACTGTCTCAAAAAAAAAAAAAAAGTAAGAAAGACAATAGGTAGGCCCAATTTCACATATTCTGCCTCAAATGTACTGTACTCTCTCCCTTAAGAGTCACCTAAGTGAGACCCATATTCTTTTTTTTTTTTTTTTTTGAGACTGAGTCTCACTCTTGTCACCCAGGCTGGAATGTGATGGTGTGATCTCGGCTCACTGCAAGCTCCGCCTCCTGGCCTCACGCCGTTCTCCTGCCTTAGCCTCCCGAATAGTTGGAATTACAGGCGCCCGCCACCATGCCCGGCTAATTTTTTGTATTTTTAGTAGAGACGGGGTTTTACCATGTTGGCCAGGATGGTTTCAATCTCCTGACCTCGTGATCTGCCTGCCTCGGCCTCCCAAAGTGTTGGGATTACAGGCATGAGCCACCGCGCCTGGCCGAGACCCATATTCTTTAATATGAAAAACACTGTTTTTCTAACTGTCACCAATCAAGTCCAGGGAAATCATACTCATGGCCTTTGGACAGGATCTTTAGATCCTAAATTGTGACTACACAGTGTACTCACACTTTAACCCAAAATCAGACTTTGAAACCAGGCTTGCAAGATTTCTTACTTGCAAATTACAAATTAACTTTAGCCTGCCAGCAATTTCAGTCTGTTCTAAAACAAATGGACATTGGACTATAAATTACCCTGATGAAAGAGTCCTATGTCCACTCACACCACAAAAACCGCAGCCTTTAGCAAGTCGGAATTAGTATGTAGCATACAGGAAACCATGGGGCATTTCAAGTTGTGTCCCTACTATCACAGGCCCTAATGGCAGCATATAAACTAAAGCGCAGTTTATCTAAGGAAGCCTTTTTTTGTTGTTTTTTTTTTTGAGGCGGAGTCTCACTCTGTCGCCCAGGGTGGAGCGCAGTGGCACGATCTCGGCTCACTGCAAGCTCCGCCTCCCGAGTTCACGCCATTCTCCTGCCTCAACCTCCCGGGTAGCTGAAACTACAGGCGCCCGCCACCACGTCCGGCTAATTTTTTTGTATTTTTAGTAGAGACGGGGTTTCACTGTGTTAGCCAGGATGGTCTCCATCTCCTGACCTCGTGATCCGCCCCTCTCGGCCTCCCAAAGTGCTGGGATTACAGGCGTGAGCCACTGCGCCCGGCCCTAAGGAAGTCTATTTTTAAAGAAAGGACTACTCACTAAAGTCCGACTGTTAATTTCATAGCATATTGTTTGTCAGAGAGGAACTAGGTAAGATAGATAATGACTTAGCACCATTCGTGACTTAAAGGATGAAAAAGCCAAGCTCCTGGCCTTCTAATGGTAAAGTAACGCAGTCATACAGTTAGTGCAAAGCAGTTGGTTGCTTTTGCCTCTTCTTTCTTTGTTTAATCTTGATTTTTGTCTTGGATCATTCTTTCCACTTAAATCTGGTTTTAAAATGCCACAGTCATGCTCCCAGCCTTATTACTACTGAAAATTCTTAATGTCTACAACAAAGAATAACCCAATAGTTTAGTTGACTTATGTAAACATTTAGAATTATCCACATACTTGTTATGTCTTCCATTTTCTTTTTAATTTTCCATGCAGAGATGATGATTCAGTAAAAAACAAGTCTCTCAGTTGGGTGGGCATAGTAGCTCATGTCTATAATCCCAGTGCTTTGGGAGGCCGAGGCAAGAGAATTGCTTGAGCTCAGGAATTCAAGACCAGCCTGGACAACATAGGAAAACCCTGTCTCTACAAAAAAATAAACAAAATTAAAAATTAAAAAATTAGCTGAGGCCAGGTGTGGTGGCTCACGCCTATAATCCTACCTTTGGGAGGCTGAGACGGGTGGATCACTTGAGGTCAGGAGTTTGAGACAAGCCTGGGCAACATGATGAAACCCCGTCTCTACTAAAAATACCCAAAAAATTAGCCAGGTGCGGTAGTGGACGCCTGTAATCCCAGCTACTCGGGAGGCTGAGGCTAAAGAATTGCTTCAACCTGGGAAGTGGAGGCTGCAGTAAGCCAAGATCATGCCACTGCACTCCAGCCTGGGCGACAGAGCAAGACTGTCTCAAAAAAAAAAAAAATTAGCTAAGTTTGGTGGTGTGCAACTGCGGTACCAGCTACTAGGGAGGCTGAGGCAGGGGGGATCACTTGAACCCAGGAGTATGAAGCTGCAGTGACCTATAATCACACCACTCCACTCCGGCCTGGGTGACAGAGCAAGACCTTGCCTCTAAAAAAATTTTTTTAAACAGGATATTTCAGAGGAATTTCTAACAATTGTGTTGAGTTTACTGTTTTTTGGGTATAAGCAAACTTCAGTTTCTATTCCTATCAGTTTTGCCATGATTTTGCAGCTACTTACCTGCATTCAAACTCTCCATATCGTGAACCTCCCCTGCCTTTTTTTTTTTTTTTTTTTTTTTTTTTTTGAGACAGAGTCTCGCTCTGTCACCCAGGCTGGAGTGCAATGGCTTACTGCAACCTCTGCCTCCTGGGTTAAAGCAATTCTCCCATCTCAGCCTCCCGAGTAGCTGGGACTACAGGCGTGTGCCACCATGGCCGGTTAATTGTTGTATTTTTAGTAGAGATGGGGTTTCACCACGTTGGCTAGACTGCTCTCGAACTCCTGACCTCAAATGATCTGCCCGTCTCGGCCTCCCAAGAACTTCGCCTGCCTTTCTAACCTTATTTTCTTCTGTTAAGGAGAGATAAAGACTTTGGGAGCAAAGATGAGGTTCGGAGAAAGGTTTACTGTCAAGCAAGGAATCTGATCTGACCCAGAGAACTTCAGTTCTGGGGATGAGGCCCTAAGAATCCGGTCTCCGTCAGGAAAGCAGTCTGTGGGCTCTGGAGCGACCTGGGATCTGGAGTGTAAGTGTATCTCTATGGTTTGTCAAGAGGCGGTCTTCTCTGTGAGTGTGAAGTGCTTATTTCAGTGTAATGGCACCTCCGTGGTTTCCACTTATTCCCGATTATGGTACCCTCACAATCATTTTAGAAAGACTCAAGTCTGCATTGCCTCCCACCTCTTGGATGACATCGCTACTGTCATCATTATCATAATCACTAATATTATCATTGTAAGGTTTTGGAGACAGGGGTCATGCCTTATATTTCTTGCATTCCCCCATGGATGTGTAGAATACATTTTCTCTCTGGTCTTAGATGTTTTAATAATAAAAAGAAGGGCCGGGTGTGGTGAGTCACACCTGTAATCTCAGCACTTTGGGAGGCCAAGACGGGCAGATTGCCTGAGCTCAGGAGTTCGAGACCAGCCTGGGCAACATGACGAAAACCTGTCTCTACCAAAAAATACAAAAATTAGCCAGGCATGGTGGCGAATGCCTATAGTTTCAGCTGCTCAGGAGGCTGAGGCAGAAGAATCGCTTGAATCCAGGAGGCAGAGGTTGCAGTCAGCCGAGACTGGGCCACTGCACTCCAGCCTGGGCGACAGAGTGAGACTCCATCTCAAAAAAGAAAGAAAGAAAGAAAGAAAATGGGGAGGGGGGGACATGGATTTAAAAACTAACTAGTGGGTACTGTGCTCACTACCTGGGTGACAGGATCAGCTGTACCCCAAACCTCAGCATGATGCAATATACTCACATCACAAACCTGCATACGTACCCACTGAATCTAAAATAAAAGTTGAAATTATTTAAAAAATAATAAATAAATTATAAAACTTCTAACAACAACAAAAACAAAATAGGCAGATTTTAAAAACACTGTTATCAGTGAAATACTAAGTTTGGAAGAGGTCTCCTGACCCAAGAAGGGAAACACGTTCATCCTCCTTCACCACAGGGCTTTTTTAGTGGGAAAACCTGAGGACCAAGGCCAAGGAAAGCTTACCTTTCTCAGTCAGGGACTCTGACTCTTCCTCTGATATGGCTACTGAATTATTGCGTGACTTTGGGCAGGTCCCTTCTCTAGGACTGTGTCTTGTCACCTGCAAAAGGAGGGGGTGGGCATAGCCTTTCCCACTGTAGCTGCTTTTGAGTCCTTGACCTCATCTACCTTCTTTTGGGTCCTTGACCTCATCTACCTTCTTTTGAGTCCTTGACCTCATCTACTTTCTTTTGGGTACTACACCCTAGCGGTTTTTTTTTTTTCTTTTCTTTTCTTTTTTTTGGGGGAGGGGGGAACGGAGTCTCACTCTGTTGCCCAGGCTGGAGTGCAGTGGCATGATTTCAGCTCACTGCAAGCTCTGCCTCCCAGGTTCACACCATTCTCCTGCCTCAGCCTCCCAAGTAACTGGGACTACAGGGTAACCCGCCACCACGCCCAGCTAATTTTTTGTATTTTTAGTAGAGATGGGGTTTCACCATGTTAGCCAGGATGGTCTCAATCTCCTGACCTTGTGATCCACCCACCCCGGCCTCCCAAAGTGCTGGGATTACAGGCGTGAGCCACCGCACCTGGCCCACCCTAGCGTTTTATTGCCTGCTAGTTTGACAATGTTCACAATGAATGGAATCTTAACTATTGTTAAGGGGGAGCTCCTTAGTATTTATTTATATTTTAGTTCAGGTTCAAAAGTAAGATTTCTCTTCACACAAACGTCTCACTTTTTTTTTTTTTGAGACAGAGTCTCGCTCTGTCGCCCAGGCTGGAGTGCAATGGTGTGATCTCAGCTCACTGCAAACTTCACCTCCTAGGTTCAAGAGATTCTCCTGCTTCGGCCTCCTGAAGATGGGACTACAGGCGTGCACTACCATGCCCAGCTAATTTTTCTATTTTTAGTAGAGACAGGGTTTCACCATGTTGGCCAGGATGGTCTCAATCTCTTGACCTTGTGATCCATCCGCCTCGGCCTCCCAAAGTGCTGGGATTACAGGCGTGAGCCACCGTGCCCAGTCACGTCTCACTTTTAAGAATCAGTAGAATACTCTAGATTTAAGGTAGTCTGTATTCAGAGATCACTGATTAAAACAGAAGGGAGTGGAGCAGAGGGAAGAAAGAAAAGTGGAAAAATACTCTAATAAACATACAAGCCGCTTTTATGGATGGAAAATAGTAAAAAGCTGGCCTGTGGCATGCTCTAATTGCAGCCCACATGACCCTGCTTGTGCCTGGAGCAAAGTGGGGCCCTGTGAAAGGTTTCCTTACAAAGCAGCACAGGCTGGCTGGTTCATGAACTCACACACTGCGCTGTTGTTACAGCCAGGCTTTCATGCACACCAAAGCTGATTTCTAAAAGGGCGTTTGTGCAGTCTGTGTGCAAAGTAAATTTCCATCACTTTGGCTTTTCTTTTGCTGCTTTCAGAAGAGCTGGCTTATAAAAAGCCTTATTCCATAGTATAACATGTCATTTTTTCTACTTGCTTGAGTCAGTAATTAAATTGGTTTCATAATAACAGATATGAATTTAGCTTTTCAACTTGAAAGTAGGATCAGTGAAGGCTGGAATGTGGCTTGAAAAGAAACCAGTAAGTTCTTTCCAACCCAAAGTCAACTCTCCCTTGTTCAGCATCCAAAATCACTAAAAAACAAGCACTCAAGTAAACCAAATAAATATTGTACAAAGATATTTGATGACAAGAAACAGTGAAATTAAGTGCATTATGTTTTCAGCATTAATTATCTTTGTTGATCCACGTCAGCTCTATACAGGGTCTAACAGTAACAAGTTCACTCATTCCTTCATCCATCCATTCATTTGTAGGAGTTTCACAAATGGATAAGCCAGAAGGAAGGCATTCCTGGCAGATACGAGAGCATATGCAAGCTGCGCACCTAACACAGTAGCCACTAGCCGTGGCTGTTTAAAATTAAATGGAAGGCCAGGTGTGGTGGCTTATGCCTGTAATTCCAGCATTTTGAGTAGCTGAGGCAGGAGGATCACTTGAGGCCGGGAGTTGGAGACCAGCCTGAACAACATAGTGAGATCTGTCTCTATAAAAAAATTAATGTAAATTAAATTAAAAATAATTCTGATTAATGTTATACTTATGTGTGCTTTTCAAAATTAAATCAAATTAAAACTTCAGGCCGAGAATGGTGGCTCACACCTGTAATCCCAGCACTTTGGGAGGCCAAGGCAGGTGGATCACCTGAGGTCAGGAGTTTGAGATCAGCCTGGCCAACAGAGTGAAACCTCATCTCTATCAAAAATATAAAAATTAGCCAGGCGTGGTGGTGGATGCCTGTAATCCCAGCTACTCAGGAGGCTGAGGCAGGAGAATCGCTTTAACCCAGGAGGCGTAGGCTGCAGTGAGCCAAGATCACACCACTGCACTCCAGCCTGGGCAACAGAGTGAGACTCTGTCTAAATAATAATAATAATAATAATAATAATAATAATAATAATAATAATTCATTTCTTCAGTCACACTAGCCACATCCAGGTGCTCAACTGCCACACAGGAATAGTGGCTACTGTGTTGGAGAATGTGACATAGAACATTTCCTTTATTGCAGACAGTTCTGTTGGACAGTGCTGCAAGGATGGAGAGACTATTAAGATCACCTGACTACACCATTTAAAAAATTTTTTGAATGAACTATCTTTGTTTGTAAGCCCCAAAACATGGTCTGAAGACTCATTAGTGACCTGATCATACAGCTGACCTCTGAACAACATGAGTTTGAACTGCGTGCGGGTCACTTATAGGCAAGTGTTCAACTGCACGGGGCAGGAGCAGTTGGTGCCCAATCTGCTAATTGTTCAAAGGTAGAGTGTAGTTTTTAAAGACAAGTGAGGTAATTTCTTTTAAATCTCTAGGCTACTACAATACAGAATGCTGGGAAATGAATTAATGTTATGCTTACGTGTGCTTTTCAAAATTCCCCTTGTGACTAATGGGATGTCACTCTGCAAAAACATTGTTAGTTTCCCATTGATTCCACTGGTTTGAGTGTGTTTAATGCCGAGGAAAGTGAGAGTTCTTTCGGAAGATGGTAGGTTTTTGTCTTTTTGAGGTGGTTCATTTACTTTGAGAATCATCATTTTGTATTTTTAAAACCAAGTCTTATATGCAAAATTATTGAACTGTGAGAAGAAAAGGCAAATAAAATCTTTCTTTTTCATTGCAAATGTGTCTTTATCCAGTAATGACTTTGAAACGGGCATCTAAATACTTTCTCTGAAACCCCAGTGAAGAAAGTCAAGGGGTCATCCAGGGTGAAGATCTTAATTGGCCTGTTTCCTTCAGCAAGTCTACATGCTTGTTGATTTAGCTTCTCAGCTTCTAATTTTTGTAGATTTCTCAAATTCAGGATCTCCATCTCCCTTCCTCTTACTCATCCTCCTACCACCCCTAGAATCCTGAATCTAGACAAAGATAAAATCCATAAGTGACATTTTCTGTAAGTGAAGTTGGAAGTAATTTGGGAAAAAGCTACAGTAATTATAAGTGGTTATGAAACCCTAATTTTCTGACAAGAACCTACTATCTCTCTGGACATAGTTATACTCAAGCACATCAGTTTCCCTAGACAATATCATACACATCATAGCCTCTGTGACATATGGTTGTATAGGTTGTGGGTTGTGCACTGCACAAGGACACATTTAAGGAGGTGTTGCTCACATTATATACATCACAGATTTGGTACTTATAACAAAAATAAAAACAATTTTCCAGAAGATGGCAGTAAAGTTGTTGGAGGCTGAAAGAATGAGGGTCGTGGTCAACTCAGTGCACCACTGGCGGCTATATGAGCAAACAGCAAACTGTTCTCGTGAAAGCAGGATGTTGGTAAACTGACAAACTGTGCCTGCCGCCCAGTAGGAATGCTGAGGGCAGTCACAACCCAGGCACGAGTGTTTCTTGTGATTAGGCACAACTGAATCCTGTTAGCAATAATGTGAACCTGTGATCAATTAAGCAGCTGACCAATCTACCTCCTCCTCCCTGCTCTTTATACCCAATAAATATGAAGGGCTGAAGAAGCTCGAGGCTGCCTTTGCTCACTAGAAGCAGGGAGCTCTCTTCTTCTTCCCCTGGACCCTTCCTTTAAAACAGTTACTTTTGTCTTAAGTTTTCATTTCCACGTTCATCCCTTCTTTCAGTCTCATAAAGACGGTCTCAAGTAGTAACAGTAGTAACTGTCTCAAGTAGTAACAGTAGTAACTGTCTCAAGTAGTAACAGTAGTAACTGTCTCAAGTAGTAACAGTAGTAACTGTTGTAGCGATGGTCTCAAGTAGTAACTGTGGCAGTCTCCCACACAAAGTATCTTGTTCTTAAAAAAAATCAAGGGGCCAGGCCAGGTGGCTCACACCTGTAATCCCAGCACTTTGGGAGGCTGAGGTGGGCAGATCACGAGGTCAAGAGATCGAGACCATCCTGGCCAACCAACATGGTGAAACCCCATCTCTACTAAAAATAGAAAAATTAGCCGGGTGTGGTGACGCACGCCTGTAGTCCTAGCTACTTGGGAGGCTGAGGCAGGAGAATCGCTTGAACCCAGGAGGCAGAGGTTGCAGTGAGTTGAGATCGTACCACTGCACTCCAGCCTGGTGACAGAGCAAGACTCTGTCTCAAAAAAAAAAACCAAAAAACAATACATTATGACAATTTTCTGTAGAGGAGAGTACAATGTCTTGATGAAGAAGTACCTTTCTCTGATTTACACAAAGGTATGAAATGGACTACCATTGGCTCTAGGGCTGTATAAAATCAAATCCAGACTATTAGTGAAAGTGAACCAATGCAGTTTAATAAGTAAAGAAAAAAAAAGAATGATCAATAATATATATTGAGCCAGGCACAGTGGCTCACGCCTGTAATCCCAGCACTTTGGGAGGCCAAGGTGGGCTGATTTCTTTGAGCTGAGTTTGAGACCAGCCTGGGCAACATGGCAAAACCCTGCCTCTACTAAAAATACAAAAATTGGTGGCGGGGGGCAGGGTGTGCGGTGTGGTGGTGCATGCCTGTGGTCCCAGCTTCTCCAGGGATGAGGCTGGAGAATCGCTTGAACCCGAGAGGTAGAGGCTGCAATGAGCCAAGATCGTGCCACTGCACTCCAGCCTGGGTGACAGAGTAAGACCCTGTCTTAAAATAATAAGTATTGAAATTCTGGCTTCCAAAATACTTGTTCTTTGTTCATATATTATATTACATGTGCAATATAGTGTCTTCGTTCATTCTGGCCGCTATAACAGAATGCTGTAGACTGAGCGGAGCATGGTGGTATGTATGCATCTGTTGTCCTAGATACTTGGGAAGCTGAGGTAGGAGGACACTTGAGTCCAGGAGTTTCAGTCCAGCTTGAGTAACATAGCAAGACCCCTCTCTAAAAAACAAAAATGCTATAGACTGGGTGGCTTATAATAACAGACATTTATTTCTCACAGTTCTGGAGGCTGAGGGGTCCAAGATCAAGGCATTGGCAGTTTCAGTGTCTGGACAGGGCCCACTTCCAGGTTCATAGACAGCCATCTTCTCATGGTCTCCTCACATACTGAAAGGGATGAGGGGTTTCTCGGGCCACTCTCATAAGGGCACTAATCCTGGGCATGAGGGCTCTGCCCCATGACCTAACACAACCCAGAGGCCTTGCTTTCTGATAACATCACGGTGGGGGTAGGGATTCCAATGTATGAATTTGGGGAGACATAAACATTCAGTCTAATATGTGTAGTATAAATAAGATAGTGTAATACATGCTTCCCTAGGCCTCATGGAACCACAGGTACAAATGTGATTAATATATATGGGGAGGAATTCTTCAGTTTTAGGAACATCTTTCTGTCACCCCAAAAGTCTCCCACACACATACACACTGTCTTCCATCTTTGGATCCCCCGAAAAGTAATGTATCAAAAGTACTGTGATGTTAAGGAGGAAAGGGTTTTAGAGAAAAAATAAATTCCTGATTCACTTTGTGACATGTTTAAATTATTTTGTTCCTTGTTCAGGACTATGAGCTTTCTGGCTTGGGCAACTACAGCTGAAAAATGCAACACCCTTTTCTTGTGGAGCAGTTTTACCAAAGTAACGTTTCTCTTATGTTTTGTTCATTTCAGAAATTGTCATCTTCCTTTCCCCCTCTCTTCTTTTCTCTCTCCCTTCCTCCCTCCCTCCCTCCCTTTCTTTTTTCTTTCTTTTTTTTGCAGGGGTGGGAATAAGGTTTCACTCTGTTGCTCAGGCTAGAGTGAAGTGGCACAATCAAACCTCACTGCCATCTTGACCTGCTGGGCTCAAGCAATCCTCCTACCTCAGCCTCCCTAGTAGCTGTGACCACAGGCACATAGCACCATGTTTGGATAATTAAAAAAAAAATTTTTTTTTCATAGATATAGGATCTTGACATACTGCCCAGGCTGATCTCGAACTCCTGGGCTCAAGCAATCCTGCCTCAGCCTCCCAAAGTGCTGGGATTACAGGCGTGAGCCACCTTGCCCGACCTTCCTTTCTAAGCAAAATAAATATAGGCAAGGGATGGATGATCAGAAAGCATTTGTAAAGTGCAGTATTAATGTAAGCTATTACTTGTGATATTTTAAAGGATGTCAGAAGTGGACAGGAGGAGAAGGACCTATGACCAGTGTGTTTAGACAGGGGATAGGAACAGACATAAGCAGCGACGTGTGCACTGGTTTTATGAACTAGTTTGCTATGACCCTGCAATGCCTTTGCATGTTCCTGGAGACTATGCCTGAGTTTTCAAATTCATCTTTTGTAAAACACTGTTCAAGTTTAGGATAAATATATAATTCAAGACATTTTGACTAGAAAGGAAAGATCTGGTCTGAGATGGACCTGCTAAGTGGCCTGGAAGTCTTGGGGCTGTCACCTGTAGAATGGTGGGGCTGGAATCTGCTTTACATATGCCAGGGAGGTGCCAGGGAGGGCCAAGTGAGAGTATGTGTAAGGAAGAGCTGCTGCGTGATACTACAGAGGACACAGAATGATCCAACACTGGCCATGTGCCAAGCACATTTTAGAATGGATTCTATCAGTTAATCATTAACAATAACCCTTTAAGAGGGAACCTCTATTATGACCATTGTACTGCTGAAAAGGCTGAGTTTTGAGGAACTAACTTGTCTAAAATCATGCAACTAGCCAAGCACGGTGGCCCACATCTGTAATCCTAGCACTTTGGGAGGCCAAGATGGGCGGATTGCCTGAGCTCAGGAGTTCAAGACTAGTCTGGGCAACATATTGAAACCCTGTCTCTACTAAAATACAAAACATTAGCCAGGCATAGCAGTGTGCGCCTGTAGTCCCAGCTACTTGGGAGGCTGAGGCAGGAGAATTGCTTGAACCCGGGAGGTGGAGGTTGCAGTGAGGAGATCAAGCCATTGCACTCCAGCCTGGGCGACAGAGCAAGACTCCATCTCCAGAAAAAATAAATAAAAATAAAAATAAAATCATGCAAGTAGCAAAATATGAATTTGAGATTCAGACCCTGGCAATCTGACTCCAGAGCTCACACTTTTAACCACCGCACAGTTTTGCCTTTCTGATATTGACTTGTATACTGTTACCTATGTAGCAACACGTTAAGTTGGGGATTACGGCTGATGCCCTAAGATAACAGATCACAGATGTAAAAATGAATTGCCAGACCAATGTGCATTTTTTCAAAGTAGGTGGTCCAGAATGTTTTGGAACTTTTTGATCTCTTACTAGTATTGGGGTAAAGGATGGAGAGTTGGGATTTCACCTTCAAAGTGTTCCTCTGCGACTGGTCCCAGCTGGCAAGAGGGGAGATTTAATGACCTAATTAAGACTGTATTTGCAACTTAAATTACCCTTAGGCTTTTATTTCCCCAAAGTGATCAGAAAAATCAGGGCCCCACCTAAGTTTTAAAAGGGGAAAGGGAGACAAAAATAAAGTTGGGCTTGAATTACATCCCATGAGTTGTTCTAGTTCAGTGAATCTAGTTCAATTACACATGCTGTACAGAGTTCTTTTTACTACTTTAAGCAGTTAATTTCTATTATGGGTGGAGTAGCCACAGCTTCAGAGAGGAAGCAGGGCTGGGCTATGTAAAAGAAGAGGAAGTTTCAGATAATTTGTGGTGAAGAGAGCATAGGATTTGGCATTGCTCTAGGTCTGTAGAGCTATTTGAGCGCTTGAAACCTCACTGCCCAGGAGAGGTTTTCTTCACCATTGATTCCCAAAACCATCTTCCTCACTTCCATCATCCTTAATCCCCTTGACCTCTTTATTTCCTACATAACACTTATCATGACCTGCATTATTATTCTCTTACACATACATTTATTTCCTTATCTACCTGTTCAGTTTCTGTCTTTCACTAGAATAACAGTTCCATGAGACTAGACGTCTGTCTATCTTGGTCACCACTTTGTTCCCAGTGCTTTGAACTGAGCTGTCTAATGGGGTAGCCACTAGTTACATGTGGCTATTTAATTAAAATGAGTTAATTAAAACAATTTTTTTTTGAGATGGATTCTCGCTCTGTCACCAGGCTGGAGTGCAGTGGCGTGATCTCTGCTCACTGCAGCCTCCGCCTCCCGGGTTCAAGTGATTCTCCTGCCTCAGCCTCCCGAGTAGCTGGGATTACAGGCACGCGCCATCATGCCCAGCTAATTTTTGTGTTTTTAGTAGAGACGGGTTTTCACCATGTTGGCCAGGATGGTCTTGATCTCTTGACCTTGTTATTCACCTGCTTTGGCCTCCCAAAGTGCTGGGATTACCGGCGTGAGCCACTGTGCCCGGCCTAAAATAAAATTTTTAAAAATTTATTTCCTCAGCCCCTTCAGCCATATTTCATGCCAATAGGCATATGTGGTTGGTGACTACCATATTGGACAGTGTAGATGTTGAACATTTCCACTACTGCAGAAAGTTCTCTTGGGCAGTACTGATTTAGAATAGTGATGGGCACATAGGAAGTGCTCAACAAAGATTTAATGAATGAGTATTAAATAAATGAAAGTTGTTGAACTTGCCCTCTTTGAAGACAATTAAGAGATCCTGGGGATTTGCTGAGATAACGAAGCAAAATTACTCCTGTACACTAGAAACATGACACTAATGTGAGCTATTATTATTGTAATTCAAGCTTCCCTGGGCTTCATGAGCTGCAGGTACAAATGTGATTATGTAAAAAGGAAGGACTCAGATTTCACTGGCTCTTGCCCTGGCCCACATAACACACATGGGTTATCTTATGAGACCCTTTCTTGATGTCTGCCCTTGGGGTTGGGAGAGCTCTTTACTGGCCATTCCTGCCAGCGACTAGCTTGCCAATATTGATAATCAGGCCATAGATCCGTTTCCAGAAGTATTCAATTCACAATCAGAAAAAACAAATTAGCTGGGTGCAGTGGCTAATGCTTATAATCCTAGCACTTTGAGAGACTGAGATGGGAGGATCACTTGAGCTCAGGAGTTGGAGACCAGCCTAAGCAACATAGGGAGACCGCATCCCTACAAAAATAAATTAGCCCAGCGTGATGGTGCACACATATAGTCCTAGCTACTCAGGAGGCTGAGTTGAGAGGATCACTTGAGCCTAGGAAGTCAAGGAGGCAGTGAACCATGACTGTGCCACTGCACTCCAGCCTGGGCAAAGGAGCAAGGCCCTGTCTCAAATAAATAAATAAAAACAATTAAAAAAAATTTAAATTAAAAAAATCTGCAGGTCAACAGGTTCAGCCAACATCAAAGTGTCTATGACCTCCCAGAAGCCCTCAGGGACCCAAAGCAATGCTCGATTATCCAGCCTTCTTGGTGCCACACACCAGGTGGAAGGCACACGCCCCTGCCCAAGTCCTCTGTTTTTTAAACTTTGTCACGTAGGCACCAAAGCCCAGCTGCTGTGTAGCCCTTTGTCCCATGGAATTCACAAGAGCACCCCTCCCTCAGCTTCTCCCTGCAGCTCTTGTCGACAAGACCCAGGCCAGATGAGAGGTCAGGGAACAAGAGTCACCAAGGACCCTCAGAAATCCCCTTGATGTTCCCCTTTGCCTATGCAAATTATTCACAGACAGAGGTATTTACAGGCTGCAGACCCAGTCATCATCAGACACAGCTGAAGCAATGGCTTCAGTAACAGCTCATTTCACCTGGACCACCAGTATACTACCGTCTTATCCTCACCCAGGAGTAACTTTTCGGAGGGTACAGAAGTGGACAGCTGTTGGCTGATTTCTTCAGAGCTTTGTCGTGGGCTCCATTTCCTGGTGTGCTGGTTCACAAGACTGTGTGATGCTGGGCCACATGGACTTCTCCCTGATGTCCTGGAGCTGCGGGGGCCGCCTGGACCCTGGCTCAAGTTCTCCACCCTGCCTACAAGGTCCTGACTCTGACTTGGCCTTTTCTGCCCAGCTCTGCTTTCTTCAGGCTGGAGGGCTGGGCTGGAAGCAGCACTTCCTTTTTCTTCAAGCACTTTATGATCAAGAAGACTTACGGCTGTCTTCATCTCACAGGCATTCCTCAGGGCTTAAGGCCCTCTCTTTGGGAAGTATCCTAGTTTTCCACCACTGATAGGAGTTTGGAGTTGTTTTAGTATATTAAAAAGATGATTCAGGGGTTTACTTTTTATTTAAATGATTAATATTCAATTTATTAAAGTTACAATATCAAAGTTTTTCCTTAGATTTTGAAGATTATTGACAAATCACATTTTTCTTTTTTAAAGTATATTAATTTTTTTTTGGAGACAAAATTTTGCTCTTGTTGCCCAGGCTGGAGTGCAATGGTGCCATCTTGGCTAACTGCAACCTCCGCCTCCTGGGTTCAAGCGATTCTCCTGTTTCAGCCTCCTGAGTAGCTGGGATTACAGGCATGCGCCACCACACCCAGCTAATTTTTTTGTATTTTTTTTAGTAGAGATGGGGTTCTTCATGTTGGTCATGTTGCAGGATTATTAAGTAATCAGAGAGACCAGTGGGGTTCAGGAGGATATTTATTAATCATTTAGGTGCACCAGCCCAGTCGGATTAATACCCAAAGGATTGAGCCCTGAACAAAGAGTTAAGTTACCTTTTACACATTTTGTGGGGCGGAGGGAGATCTGTGCAGGGGGAAGCATACTACCAAAGGCAGTTATTCAATTAATTGAGACATGCATTACATCATTTCTTACTTTTCAAGGAAAAACATGTTTTGTGACTTGAGTTTATCTGTCTAGTGCCCTTGCAGCTGCACAGCTAGGGAATCAGGGTCTTTCCAATACCTGGGAAAGGAGGAGAGATGAGGCTCACTAGCCACAGAAAAATAGGCAGTTAATTTTTAAAGGACTCCAGCTCTTTCTCTTTCTCAGCGGGGAATTGGGTTTTCTTACATACAACTGAATTTCTGTTTACACACTCTTTAATTTCTTTTAATTCCTGTTCCAGTCAGGCTGGTCTCGAACTCCGGACCTCAGGTGATCCGCCCACCTTGGCCTCCCAAAGTGCTGGGATTACAGGAGTGAGTCACTATGCCCGGCCTAAAGTACATTAAAATTTTTTAACGATCACTTATAGGGGCTGTTGAATTTACTGAGGTGATTAAATACTTTTGCAGCATTTAAAAACTGCTTTTAGGCTGGGTGCAGTGGCTCACGCCTATAATCCCAGCACTTTGGGAGGCTGAGGTGGGTGGATCATGGGGTCAGGAGATCGAGACCATCCTGGCTAACACAGTGAAACCCCATCTCTACTAAAAATACAAAAAAAAATTAGCTGGGTGTGGTGGCGGGTGCTTGTAGTCCCAGCTACTCCGGAGGCTGAGGCAGGAGAATGGTGTGAACCTGGAGGCAGAGATTGCAGCGAGCTGAGATCGCCACTGCACTCCAGCCTGGGTGACAGAGCGAGACTCCGTCTCAAAACAAAACAAAACAAAAAACTGCATTTAAATGCCAGGCGCAGTGACTCATGCCTGTAATCCCAGCACTTTGGGAGGCCGAGGCGGGCAGATCACCTGCGGTCAGGAGTTCAAGACCAGCCTGACCAATATGGAGAATCCCTGTCTCTACTAAAAATACAAAATTAGCCTGGCGTGGTGGTGCATGCCTTTAATCCTAAGCTGAGGCAGGAGAATCCCTTGAACCCAGGAGGCGGAGGTTGCAGTGAGCCGAGACTGCGCCATTGCACTCCATCCAGCATGGGCAACAAGAGCGAAACTCCGTCTCAAAAAAAATAAAACAACCCCCCCACCTTTATAAATGTACTGTATTTGATTTCCTTTTTGTATATTTCAACAGATCTGACTTAACAAAACTCCCCCAAATACAAAACAAGTCTTATAAATGTAATAAAAAAAACTTATAAATGATCCTAAAGTGATTCTAAAGTTCTCTTAGATGTTCTAAAACTATGCAAGAAATTAGGAAGTTTTCATTTTAAAATATCGTCTGAAGCAGTTTATTTTAAATAGCAGTTACAAGGCTGTCTCTGAGACTGAATTTCTCAAAAATTAAACATTACTAACTCAAAAACATAAATACCCTTATTTCTTCTCTTAAACCCTTACATACTTCATTCTTAAAAGATACATATGACCACATTGAGGTCACCTAAGAGCAGAGCATTTGGCCAGGTATTCTGAGTAAATCTCCTCACTGCCACCATCCTGCAGGCTGAGTCTTCAGTCCCTTTGGTGTCTTGCCATTAATCTCTGCAAGGTTTCTTGCCTTTGGGAACAGAAGTGTCCCAGACCAGCCTTGTACCCTTCCTTCCCTGAACACAGTCAATCATTTCTCTAAGCAATTCTGGTTCCTTCTAGTGAAAAAATGGCAAGATTTGGGCATTGGGGTTTCAGGTCAGATTTGAAATACCAGCGGCATTAATCCAAGGCCATTTCAGAGGGCAGAGCTGGAAAATATTCTTTTTTATTTTTGAGAGACAGGATCTCAGTCTGTCACCCAGGCTGGCATGCAATGGCAGGATTATAGTTCACTGCAGCCTTGAACTCTTAGGATTAAAGGATCCTCCTACCTCAGCCTCCTGAGTAGTTGGGACTACAGGTATGTGCCATTACACCTGGCTAGTTCTTTAAAAAAATTTTTTTCTTTTTTTTTTGAGACGGAGTTTCATTCTTGTTGCCTAGGCTGGAGTGAAATGGCGCAATCGGCTCATTGCAACCTCCACCTCCTGGGTTCAAACAATTCTCCTGCCTCAGCCTCCTGAGTAGCTGGGGTTACAAGCATGCACTACCACGCCTGGCTAATTTTGTATTTTTATTAGAGATGGGGTTTTGCCATGTCGGTCAGGCTGGTCTTGAACTCCTGACCTCAGGTATCCACCCACCTCGGCCTCCCAAAGTGCTTGAATTACAGGCATAAACCATTTTGCCCAGCCCCCAAATTTTTATTTGTAGAAATCGGGTCTTGCTATGTTGCCTAGGCTGGTCTCAAACTCCTGGCTTCTAGCCATCCTCCCACCTTGGCCTCCCAAAGTGCTGGGATTATTACAGGTGGGAGCCACTGTGCTCAGCCATTTTTATTTATTTATTTTTTTTGAGACAGAGTCTCGCTCTGTCGCCCTGGCTGGAGTGCAGTGGCGCCATCTCGGCTTACTGCCAGCTCCGCCTCCTGGGTTCACGCCATTCTCCTGCCTCAGCCTCCCGAGTAGCTGGGACTACAGGCACCCGCCACCATGCCTGGCTAATTTTTTGTATTTTTAGTAGAGACGGGGTTTCACCGTGTTAGCCAGGATGGTCTCGATCTCCTGACCTCATGATCTGCCCGCCTCCGCCTCCCAAAGTGCTGGGATTACAGGCATGAACCAAGTGCCTGGCCTTTTTTTTTTTTTTTTAAGCGTCAGCTCATATGAATATTTTTGATTCAATTCTAACATCATTGTGTTTCTCTTCAAACTTTTTGTTTATATCATTAAACCTTATGTTCTCTTACGGTAAAATTTTGGTGCCAAACAAAATCAAATTTATTTTTGGCTTGACAGAAATACAAAAAAAAAAAAGTAAAAGATAGTAATACCTGTATTGGCTTGAAAAATAAAACTACCAAGTGAAGTTCAAGATTTTCTTTATAGTCCTTTTTGTCGTGAGACTATATCTCAGTAAGAGTGGTTTCTGGAATTACTTGTGATTCTCGTGTCATACGGTTACCTGAGAACATTTCCAATTTGAAGTGTTGGCATTGAGGCTGTGAGTTCTTAAAAGCTGGCAACTTTGGTCTATTTGTCTTCTCTTGGTGGTAATATTGAGCTACTAAAGGAGTGCAGAAATTAATCTTACCTGACTTTATGAAACAGTGGAAAAACATAAGAAATTCAGCCTCTGAAGTCTGTCTTGTTTAATTTTACCATCATCTGGCCCAACTGCAGCAGCTGAATACTTGGTTATATGTGCAATATTTATTTATTTATTTATTTATTTATTTATTTATTATTATTTTTTTTGAGATGGAGTCTCACTCTGTCACCCAGGCTGGAGTCCAGTGGCCTGGTCTCTGCTCACTGCAAGCTCCGCCTCCCGGGTTCATGCCTCAGCCTCCCAAGTAGCTGGGACTACAGGCACCTGCCACTGAGAGGTGAAGCCAGCAGGGCTTTTGGGTGGGGTGGGGACTTAGAGAACTTTTCTGTCTAGCTAGAGGATTGTAAATGCACCAATCAGCCCACTGTGTCTAGCTAGAGGATTGTAAATGGACCAATCTGCACTCTATAAAATGGACCAATCAGCACTCTGTAAAATGGACCAATCAGCAGGATGTGGGTGGGGACAGATAAGGGAATAAACGCTGGCCACACCAGCCAGCGTTGGCAAACCGCTTGGGTCCCTTTCTATTTTGTGGAAGCGTTGTTCTTTTACTCTTCATAATAAATCTTTCTGCTGCTCACTCTTTGGGTCCGCACCACCTTTAAGAGCTGTAACACTCCCTGTGAGGGTCTGAGGCCTCACTCCAGAAGTCAGCGAGACCATGAGCCCACTGGAAGGAACAAACTCCCCACCGGAAGGAACAAACTCCAGACACACCACCTTTAAGAGCTGTAACACTCACCGTGAGTTCCACGGCCTTATTCTTCAGTCTTCAAGTCAGCGAGACCCAAGAACCCACCAGAAGGAATAAGTTCCGGACACACCACCAAGCCTGGCTAATTTTTTGTGTTTTTAGTAAAGATGGGGTTTCACCGTGTTAGCCAGGTTGGTCTCGATCTCCTGACCTCGTGATTCCCCCCATCTCGGCCTCCTAAAGTTGTGGGATTACTGGTGCGAGCCACCGCGCTTGGCCCTATATGTGCAATATTTGTAATAGGGGGATTTTGGCTGTGCAAACTCATTCTGCCTAAAAATATTCCATTTCTAATTATGTTAGAATCTACTTGTTTTCATGTACTTGATTCAATTTTAACTTTTCCAAGTTAAAGTCTTCCTTTTCTGAACCACAGTCTTTTTCTTTCATGCGTTAGTCTCATGCTACACAAATTCAACTTTCAAGGACTAATCAGAATCTCAGAAAACATAACCAAGGTATATTAAAATCAAGTTAATTTTTTAAAAAGAAAAGAAAATATGCCAGAGAATACTCATTTAAATTTTTGCCATTCACATGAAACCTAGTTATAAACTCATGTATATTTTCAGACTATCTGGGTTCCATTAGAATCAACTCATAAAATACACCAGTTTTTAACATTATAGAAGTCAAAAGTGCTTAAAACAGAAACCACACTGGACATTTCAACATGGAGAATTTAATATGGAGGATCAGCTCAATATCAATAGGTGTGTGAGGACTGGAAAGTAGCAAGAGTGAATGGGGAGGTCACAGCAATGTCAGGAAGTGGCACTACCCCAGGACTGGGGGAATGAGGGAAGATTTGGGGAAGACCTGAGGCTTAGACGAGGGGTCTCGTGAACTGAGGCTTAACCCCCAGTGGAGATGGCTGGGCTGGTCCTCTGAGCAGGGGTGAGAGGAGGTGTTTGGAAGGGCCAAAAGGATCAGGAAGCAGAGCAAGTGGCAGTCACTGGTGCAATTGCTGGGGTGACGCTAACAGCAGGCGTGAGTCATCATACTCTGTCACCAGGCTGGAGTGCAATGGTGCAGTCTCGGCTCACTGCAACCTCTGCCTCGTGGGTTCAAGCAATTCTGCTGCCTCAGCCTCCTGAGTAGCTGGGACTACAGGCGCGTGCCAACATGCCCAGCTAATTTTTGTATTTTTAGTAGAGACGGGGTTTCACCATGTTGGCCAGGATGGTCTTGATCTCTTGACCTCATGATCCGCCTGCCTTGGCCTCCCAATTTAATTGGGTTTTTAAAAATTATTATTGAGTTGCAATATTTCTTTATAGTATCTTAAATAGATATATGTTTCACCAATAGTTTCTCCCAGTGTGTGGCTGATATTTTTATTTTTCTTAACAGTGTCATTTGAAGACATATTTCTGGTTTTAACAGAATCCAATTTGTTCTATTTTTTTTTTTTAATTTTTGAGACAGTTTCACTCCATCACCCAGGCTGAATGCAGTAGTGTGATCATGGCTTACTGCAGCTTCGACCTCCTGGGCTCAAGGGATCCTCCCATCTCAGCCTCCTGAGTAGCTGGGACTACAGGTACATGCCACCACACCTAACTAATTTTTTATGTTTTGTTATAGAGACAGGATCTTGCTATGTTGCCCAGGTGGGTCTTGAACTCCTAGGCTCAAGTGATCCTCCCACCTCAGCCTCCCAAAGTGCTGGGATTATAGATATGGGCCACTATGCCCGACCAAAATCCAATTTATTAATGTTTACTTTTATGACTCATGTTTTTTGTGTTCTATCTAGAAAACTTTTGCCTAATTCAAGGTCACAAACATTTTCTTCCATGTTTTTTTCCTCCACATTTTCTAATGTTAGGTCATAGATGCAGGTCTAAAATTTATTTTGAGTTAATTTTTGCATATGGTATGAGTAAATATTTTTGCATATGGATATTGAGTTTTTTCAGCACCCTTTTTTGAAAGGGCTGTACTTTCTCCATTGAATTACTTTGGCTTGTTTATAAAAATGAATTGACAAATATACATGGGCCTAATTTTGGGTTCTCTTTTCTGCCATATATCTTAATAACTGTAGCTTTAGAGTAAAAGCTTCCAAATTCTGTCATTTCCATATAAATTTTAGAACTAACTTTTAAATTTCTATAAATAAAAGCCTTATGAATATTTGGGAATGCATTGAATCTCTAGCTTATTTTGAGGCTAATTGAAATCTTAAGTCTTTAGATCTGTGATGGCTATATCTCTCCAATTGTTTACATCTTCTTTAATTTATCTTGGCAAAGGTTGGTAGTTTTTGGTAAGGTATTGCATATATTTTATTAAATGAATTCATACATATTTAAACTTTCATTTGTTATTGTAAGTGACATTTGTCACTTATTATTATTTTAAAACACGTATTGTAAGTGTTTTAAAATTTTGAGCTCTAATTATTCATTCCTATTATATATAAATACAACTGATTTGTGGGGATTGACCTTGAATCTATGCATGCTTTAAACTAACTTATGAGTTCTATTAGCCATTTTTAAAGATTCCTTAGGAGTTTCTAAATACATAATCATGTCACTTGTGAATAAACATAGTATTATTATTTCTTACCCAATCTTTGTGCCTTTTATTTCTTTTTCTTGTCTAATTGCATTGGATAGGACTTCTAATACAATGTTGAATAAAAAATGTAAGAAAGAATATTCTTGCCTATTCCCAATATTAGGGGGAAAATATTGTCTTTCACTATTAAGAATAATATTAGATAGACAAATGGATAAATATACAAAATGAAATATCATTTAGCCTTAAATAAGAAGATTTTGTCATTTGACACAACATGGATGGGTCTGAAGGACATTATGTTAAGTGAAATAAACCAGACACAGAAATAAAAATATTGCACGATGTCATTTATACGTGGAATTTTTTTCTTAAAGGTCAGATATACAGATATAGAGACTAAAGCAGTGGTTACTAGAGGTGGAAGTAGGGGAGGAAAGGGGGAAATGTAGGTCAAAGGAAATGAAGAAGCAGATATGTAGGATCAACAAGTTTACAGATCTAATGTATAACAATAACACCAGGACTATAGTTTTTTTTTGTTTTTTTTCTTTTTCTTCTTCCATTTTTTTTTTTTTTTTTTTTTTTAAGACAAGGTCTAGCTCTGTAGCCAGGCTGGAGTCCAGTGGAGTGATTGTGGTGCACTGCAATCTCTACCTCCTGGGCGCAAGTGATTCTTGTGCCTCAGCCTCCTGAATACCTGGGACCACAGGTGTCTGCCAACATGCCCAGATAATTTTTGTGCCCAACTAATTTTTGTGTTTTTTGTAGAGATGGAGTTTTGCCATGTTGCCCAGGCTGGTCTCATACTGGAGAGCTCAAGCAATCCACCCACCTTGGCCTCCCAAAGTGCTGGGATTATAGGTGTGAACCACTGCAACTGGCCACTACAATAAAATTATATTCTATTAGGGATTTTTATTAAATAAGTAGGTTTTAGCTGCTCTTGTTGCAAAAGAGTGACTATGTGAGATGATAAATATGTTAATATGCTTCACTTTGCTATTTAAATGTATCCCATAATACCATGTTGTAAGCTTCAAATATGCTGCAAAATAGGCCCTGTGTGGTGGCTCACACCTGTAATCCCAGCACTTTGGGGGGCCAAGGTGGGCAGACCACTTGAGGTCAGGAGTTTGAGACCAACCTGGCCAACCTGGTGAAACCCCATCTCTACTAAAAATACAAAAATTAGCTGGGTGTGGCAGTGCACGCCTGTAGTCCCAGCTACTCAGGAAGCTGAGGCAGAAGAATTGCCTGGACCCGAGGTTTCAGTGAGCAGACAGCTACCACTGCACTCCAGCCTTGCTCTTGTTTTTGAGAGCAAGACTGTCTCAAAAACAAATAAATATGCAACATAAAATTTATGTTTTTTTTTTAAAAAAAGAATGATATGAGCTGTAAGTTTTCTGTGATTGCTCTTTATCAGGTAGTGGATGTTCCCTTTTAATCTTAGCTTTTATTAAAGTTTTAAAATCATGCATAGACAATGAATTTTGTTGTAGTTTATTCTACATCTGTTAAGATTATCATATAGTTTTTTTCTTTCTTTTTTTTTTTTTTTTTTTTTTGAGATGGTGTCTCGCTGTGTTGCCCAGGCTGGAGTGCAGTGGTGCCATTCTCCTGCCTCAGCCTCCCATGTAGCTGGGACTACAGGCAACCGCCACCATGCCAGGCTAATTTTTTTTGTATTTTTTTTTTAGTAGAGACGGGGTTTTACCATGTTAGGCAGGATGGTCTCAATCTCCTGACCTCATGATCCACCCACCTTGGCCTCCCAAAGTGTTGGGATTACAGGCATGAGCCACCATGCCTGGCCTAGTTTTTTTCTTTTAGTCTACTTATATCATGAATTACGTTTCAAGTGTTGAAACAACCTTATGTTTCTATGAAAAACCCCCTTTACTTATAATGTTTTATTCTTTTTTATATATTGCTAGACTCAACTTGCTAAATGTTTTAAAAAATATGTTTGCATCATGTTCATGAGGGATATTGATCTGTAGTTTTCCTTTGCTGTTTTGTAAGGTTTGATATCAGGATAATGCTGGCCTCATAAAATAAGTTGGAAACGTTTCCTACTCTTGTACTTTCTAGAAGAGTTTCCATTCAGTTGGGATATTTGTTCTTTAAATGCTCGGGAGAATTTACCCTTGATGACATCTGAGCCTACAGTTTTCTTTGGAGGACAGTTTTTTAAAATTACAAATCAATGCCTTTCACAGACAGAAGACTTACCTGTTTCTTTCTGAGTGAGGCTTAGTTATTTGTTTCCTTCAAGGCTTCCAGGAATTTGTCCATTTCATAAATTCATTTATTTATTGACATAAAGTTGCTCATAAATTTCCCTTATTACCTTTTTGTTTTTTGTATGATCTGTAGCGATATTGGTAATTTATGTATTCTTTCCTCTGACCAGTCTGGCCAAGGTTTTACTGATTTCATCAATCTTTACGAAGAAACAATTTTCGGTTTCATTCATTTTCCCTATTAACAATTTTCTCTATTGTTATTTGGTTTTCTATTTCATAAATTTCTCTTTTTTTGAGACAAAGTGTGGGAGTTCAGTCAGGCTGATGGGAAACATTTTAAGATGAAGTTATAAGATATAGACACAAATCTTCTTGGAAGGCTAGAAGGTTTTGCAAAAGTCTCAGGATAGGGTTAGCTGAAAGCAGTCTAATCCTTACCTTGAGTAAATAGCTTAAAGTAGATACAAAGGAATGTAGAGTAGTTTATTTAAATAGCTTGTTTACTCATGTGGTCCTCAGTCCAACCTTTGATCAACCACGGGTGCATAATTGCTCTCTACTTGGGGGGTGGGCAACAAGGTCAGTTACCCTCTAGTGGTGTTTACTCAAGACCTTTGTCATTTAATCTATACTGAATAAATGCGAGCTTCCCTGGCTGAATGGGGCCACGGCTGCTACTCTTTACAGCACCTTCATCGGTGTCTGTGAGTGGCCTGGACCCTTAGCCAGACTAACAGGCAGAATATCTGTGTCAGTGTATGTTATTCATCTGTCATTGGGTCAGGGTCTGTGGGATGGACCCCTGCAGTGGAGTCTTGCTCTGTTGCCAGGCTGGAGTGCGGAGGCGCGATCTCAGCTCACTGTAACCTCCGACTCCCTGGTTCAAGCGGTTCTTCTGCCTCAGCCTCCCAAGTAGCTGGGATTACAGGCACACACCACCACGTCCAGCTAATTTTTGTATTTTTAGTAGAGACGGGGTTTCACCATGTTGGCCAGGATGGTCTCGATCTCCTGACCTCATGATCTGCCTGCCTCGGCCTCCCAAAGTGCTGGGATTACAGGCATGAGCCACCACACTTGGCCCCTATTTCATAAATTTCTGTATTTTCCTTTTTAATAACTTTGAGATTAATTTGCTTTTCCTTTTTCTAATTTTTAAAGGTGGAAGTTTGATCATGGATTTGAAAGCTTTCTCTTTTCTAATATTGGCATTTAATGGTATACTAAGAACTGTATGGCTCCATCCCAAAATTTAAATACTTTATGTATTTATTTTAAAATTTTCATGCAATTCTAAGAGTTCTGTCAAATACATACTGTAAATATGCACTACTGGCAAGACACAGAACAGTTCTGCTCCCCTCTCAATTCCCTCTCTCTGCTCCTTTGTATTTAATTCTTCGCCGCACTCCTGGTACTCACTGATCTATTCCCTATCCCAATCATTTTATCATTTCTGGAATTTTTTTTTTTTTTTTTTTTTTTTTTTTTTTTTTTTTTTAGACAGAGTCTTGCTGTGTCACCCAGGCTGGAGTGCAGTGGCACTATCTTGGCTCACTGCAAGCTCCGTCTCCCAGGTTGACGCCATTCTCCTGCCTCAGCCTCCCAAGTAGCTGGGACCACAGGCACCCGCCACCATGCCTGGCTAATTTTTTGTATTTTTAATAGAGATGATGTTTCACCACGTTAGCCAGGATGGTCTCGATCTCCTGACCTCATGATCCGCCCGCCTTGGCCTCCCAAAGTGCTGGGATTACAGGCTTGAGCCACCATGCCCGACATTTCTGGAATTTCATATAAATGGAATTACACAGTATATAGCCATTTGAGTCTGGCCTGTGTGAGTCTGGCCTGTGTGTGTGTGTGTGCGTGTGTGTGTGTATGTGTATCAGAGTCTCACTCTGTCGCCCAGGCTGGAGTGCAGTGGCCTGATCTCAGCTCACTACAACCTCTTCCTCCTGGGTTCAAGTGATTCTCGAGCCTTAGCCTCTCGAGTAGCTGGGATTACAGGTGCCCACCACCACACCTGGCTAATTTTTGTATTTTTAGTAGAGGCAGGGTTTCACTATGTTGGTCAGGCTGGTCTCAAACTCCTGACCTCAAGTTATCTGCCTGCCTTGGCCTCCCAAGGTGCTAGGATTACAGGCATGAGCCACTGTGCCAGGCCAAGTCTGGCTTCTTTCATTTGACTATCTCTTCTAGATTCATCCACATTGTGTACATTTGTTTTTACATTTTACATTGTGTTCATTCCTTTTTATTGCTGAGTTTGTTCCTTTTTATCGTCCATTGTGTGGATGTACTATATGTACTCCATATCGTTTTCCCACCTACCAATAGAATGGCTATTGGGTGTTTCCACTCTCTGGACTATAAACAATGCAAATGCAAATGTTTACATACAGGTTTTCCTGTGAACTACTGTTTTCCAAAGTACGATTTTGCATTTCCATCAGCAATATAGGAGTGTTTCAGTTGCTTCACGTCTTCACTGGCACTTGGAATTCTCAGTTTTGTTTGTTTAAACTTTAGCCATTCTGTTAGGTATGTGGTAGTATCTCATTATGGTTCTGATTAACATTTCTCTAATGACTAATCATATTAAGTATCTTTTCATGTTAACCATGTATCTTTTCAGTGAAATGTGTTCAAATCTTTTGGTTATTAAAAATTTTTTGGTAAGATATACATAACATAAAATTTAACATCTTAACTTTTTTTTTTTTTTTTTTTTTTTTTTGCAACAGAGTGTCACTCTGTCACCCAGCCTGGAGTGCAGTGGCAGGATCTTGGCTCACTGCAGACTCTGCCTCCTGGGTTCAAACAATTCTTGTGCCTCAGCCTCCCGAGTAGCTGGGATTACAGGTGCACACCACCATGCCCAGCTAATTTTTGTATTTTTAGTGGAGACAGGGTTTCTCCATGTTGGCCAGGCTGGTCTCAGACTCCTGGCCTCAAGTGATCCATCTGCCTCAGCCTCCCAAAGTGCTGGGATTACAGGTACACACCACCATGCGTAGCCTTAACCATTTTTGTGTGTACAGTTCAGTACTGTTAAATATATTCCCATTGTTGTGAACTAACCTCCACTGAAGTGGTTTCTTGTGCCACTGAAACTCTATTTCCAAACTCCCCATTTCTTTCTCCCCACAGCCCCTGACAACCACCATTCCACCTTCCGTCTCTATGAATTTGACGACTCTAGGTGCTTCATATATGTACAATTATAGAATATTTTTTTCTTTTGTGTTTCGTTTATTTTACTTAGCATATCTTCAAGATTGATCCATGTTGTAGCATCCATCAGAATTTCCTTCCCTTTTCAGGCTGAGTATATTCCATTGTATGTATATTCCACATTTTTGTTTATCAATTTGTATTAATCCATTCTCACACTGCTATAAAGAATTGCCGAGAATGGGTAATTTATAAAGAAAAGAGGTTTAATTGACTCACAGTCCCGCAGGGCTGGGGAGGTCTCAGGAAACTGACAATCATAGTGGAAGGCAAAGTGGAAGCAAGGACCTTCTTTTTTTTTTTTTTTTTTTGAGATGGAGTTTTGCTCTTGTTGCCCAGGCTGGAGTGCGTGGCACAATCCCAGCTAACTGAAACCTCTGCCTCCTGGGTTCAAGCGATTCTTCCTGACTCAACCTCCTGAATAGCTGAGATTACAGGCACACACCACCATGCCCAGCTAATTTTTTGTATTTTTAGTAGAGATGAGGTTTCATCATGTTGGCCAGGCTGGTCTCAAACTCCTGACCTCAGGTGATCCACCCGCGTTGGCCTCTCAAAGTGCAGGGATTACAGGTGTGAAGCACTGCACCTGGCCAGGACCTTCTTCACATGGCGTCAGGAAAGAGAAGTGCAAGCAGAGAAAATGCTGGGTGCATATAAAACTATCAGATCTTGTGAAAACTCACTCACTATCACAAGAACAGCATGGGGGAAACCACCCCCATGATCCAATCACCTCCTAGCAGGTCCCGCCTTGACACATGGGGATTATAATTCGAGATGAGGTTTGGTTGGGGACACAGAGCCAAGCCATTATCACCTTTCATTTATTGATGAACACTCGGGTTGCTTCCACCTTTTGGCTATTGTGAATAATGCTGCTATGAACGTGGGTTTACAAATAACTGTTTAAGACAAACTTTCAATTCTTTTGGGTACATACCCTGAAGTAGAATTGTGGGATCATCTGGTAATTCTATTTTTTGTTTTTTGAGGAACTGCCCTACTATTTTCCATAGTGTCTGCTATGCACCATTTTACATTCCCAACAACAGCGCATAAGGGGTCTCATTTCTCCATATTCTCACCAACACTTGTTATTTTCTTTTTTGTTTGTTTGTTTTGACAGTACCATCCTAATGTGTGTGAGGTGGTATCTCATTGTGGTTTTAGTTTACATTTCCCTAATGACTAATGACATTCAGCATCTTTTCATGTGCTTATTGGCCATTTGTATATTTTCTTTGGAAAAATGTCTATTCAAGTCCTTTGCCTAGTTTTAATTGTTTGTTTTTGGTTGCTGAGTATGAAAGAAAATGAATTAATTAAGGCTTAAGTTTAAGACTTCCTAAAGTGGAGGAGTTGAAAGATTACGAGAAGACTGCTCTTATACATGCTAACGGTCCAACCACAGAATGTTCCGATAGACTTGGATAACAACTGATGTCAGTATACACTGGACTCCAACAGGAAGTACTCTAAACATCCAGAATGGGTTTGCAATTTAGGATTTCTGCCTAACCAATAAACTTCCTCTGAAAACAACTTTCTGTTCAGGGCTGCCCTGATTCAGTGTACCTGAATTGCAATTCCTTGTTTCCCAAACAAGGGCTATTTTATTTGACCTCTGAGGTAATTTCTTTTTAGTTTGCCCATTTAAAAATTTTAAGAATTATTATTGAGGCTGGGCGTGGTGGCTGACACCTGTAAGCCTATCACCTTGGGAGGACGAGGCAGGTGGATCACCTGAGGTCAGGAGTTCGAGAACAGCCTGGCCAACATAGTGAAACCCCATCTCTACTAAAAATACAAACATTAGCCAGGCGTGGTGGGGGGCACCTGTAATCCCAGCTACTTGGGAGGCTGAGGCAGGAGAATTGCTTGAACCTAGGAGGTGGAGGTTGCAGTGAGCCAAGATTGTGCCATTGCACTCCAGCCTGGGTGAGAGTGAGACTCCGTCTCAAAAAAAAAAAAAATTATTATTGAGTTTAAGACTTTTTAATATATTTCCTATACAAGCCCTGTAACATACGTGATTTGAAATATTTTATCCCAAATTGTGGCTTTTCCTTCCATTTTCTTAATATTGTCTTAGAAAATGTCTAAGTTCTTAATTTTGATGAAGTCAAACTAAGCAACCTTTTCTTTTATGTTACGCTTATGATGTCATATCTAATAAATCTTTGCCTAACAGTCACAAAGTTTTCTGTTCTCTTTTGCATGTTTTATAGTTTTTAGGTTTTACATTTAGGTCTATAATGCATTTTGAGGTTTTGTATGTGGTTAAGTGGTAAGAATTAAGGTGTTGATTATTATTATTATTTTTGCTTATGCATATCCAATTGCTCCAGCACCATTTGTTGAAAAGACTATCCTTTTTCTATTGAATTGTCTTTGTACCTTTCTCAGTCAGTTCAGGCTGCTGTAACAGAAGTACCATGAACTGGGTAGCCTATGAACAACCAACATTTATTTCTCACAGTCTGAAGGCTGGAAGTTCAAGATCAGAGTGTCAGCAAGATTGGGCTCTGGTGAAGGCCCTCTTCAAGGTTGCAGGCTGCTGTCTTCTTGTTATATCTTCATATGGTGGAAAGAGGACAAGAGAGCTCTCTGTAGTCCCTTTTAAAAGGGCAGTAATCCCATTCATGAAGGCTCCACCCTCACGACCTAAATACCTCCCAAATGCTCCAGTCCCTAACTACCATCACATTGGGAGTTTCACTTATAGTAAATGCTGAAATCACGTAGAGTTCTTCTAAATGTGTTCTTTTTCAAACTTGTTGTGTTCCTTTCAATAGTAACGGATTTTGTTCTGGAGTACAGTTAAGTTACCTGGAATCTGGGTGGTCCTTGTGAGGCTGGCTTTTGATCTTTCTTAAAATGGTTCCAGAGAAACCTTTAGTCTAGGACTAGCTTAGCTCCACTGCTGAAGCCACATGTTCCTGAGGATTCTATCTGGTGTCCTGTGTATTATGAGGTCTTTTCAGTCTGGCTGTGGGAACACACATCTTTGAGTCCTGCATGAGTCTGGGGGTGGTTGGCTTACTCATTCTGGGACTTCTCACCCCACCCTCTCACAGGTTCCTCTCTCACACGCACAGCTCAGCACTCAGCCAAACATGTGAAGGGCCTCTCTCTTCTACAGGTCCCTGGAGTTCCCTCTTTCCCCTGAGTGTTTGCCTCCTCTCTGCTACCATGCCCTGCAAATTCTCATCATTTGGCTTTTCTGAACTTCAGTCTCCTTTTTCCTTAACTCAGTGAGAAAACCAGGCTCTGAGCTTTCCCTTTCGGAGCTGCAGCCCATGCCTTGTCTATTTCCCTCTCTCAGGGATCGCTGTCCTAGGCTGCCTCTTGTCCAGGGTCTGAAATCCCTGTTTCTTCTATTTTGGGGGCCTTCTAGTTGTTTCAAGAAGGAGTTTAAGTTTCATCCTTATTTTTCCTCTTGGTCAGAAGCAGACATTCTCCGAAAATTCCATAGTCTTTAAAAACATTTCTCATTGATATTCATCATGTTTTCAATATTTTTCTATTAACAACCATGCTGAAATAAAGAAATTTGTCTAACTTCTTGTCCACTTGAATTTCTGTACAACAGATCTCTAGAATTGGAACTGCTAAGCCAAAGGGTACATACATTCTAAATTTTGTGTATGTCAGAAACTGCAAGGGTCTGAGATTTTCACTAAATTGCAACAGAGGTTCTGCACTTGGATGCTGACAGAAGTCACGAGACTCCTGGATTAAAAATAAATTATCTTATTACAGTAAAAGCAATAGCCAGAGTGACACCATATTTATATGGGTTCTTGGATCCTTAATTCCCACAGGGTTACATAGAGGGCCAGATGACTCCTGTGTTTGCAACGAGCAAGGGCCCAGCACTTTTTGCTTTCTTTTTTTTTTTGAGATGATGTCTCGCTCTGTCGCCCAGGCTGGAGTGCAGTGGCGTGATCTTGGTTCACTGCAAGCTCTGCCTCCTGGGTTCACACCATTCTCCTGCCTCAGCCTCCCGAGTAGCTGGGACTACAGGCGCCTGCCACCACGCCTGGCTAATTTTTAGTAGAGACGGAGTTTCACCGTGTTAGCCAGGATGGTCTCGATCTCCTGACCTTGTGATCCGTCCGCCTCGGCCTTCCAAAGTGCTGGGATTACAGGCGTGAGCCACCGCGTCCAGCCACTTTTGCTTTCTTTTGAGACAAAGTCTTGTTCTGTTAGCCAGGCTGGAGTAGAGTGGCAAAATCATAGCTCACTGCAGCCTTGAACTCCAGGGCTCAAGAGATCCTCCTGAGTAGCTGGGACTACAGGAATGCACCACCACACCTGGCTAATTTAAATAAATCTGTATTTTTTTTGTTTGGTACCAGAAGGATTAAAGTTATAAATATATGTACACATAAATAAATAAATATATAAACACACACACACACACACACACACACACATATATATACACACACACTAGAGATGCGGGGGGGGGGGTTCTCACTATCTCGCACAGGCTGGTCTCAAACTCCTGGCTTCAAGCAATCCTCCTGCCTCAGCCTACTGAGTAGCTGAGACTACAGGCGGCACCAGCCTGGATAAGTTTTTTAATTTTTTGGTAGAGACAGGGGTCTCGCTTTGTTGCCCAGGCTGGTCTTGAACTCCTGGCCTCAAGCTATTATTTACTACTCAGCTTCCCAAAGCGCTGGGATTTCAGGCATGACTTTGCAGGGAGCAGCAAACAAGCCAGTCTGCTGCCCCCATAGCCTCCGGTAGTGAGCAGTCACAGGATGCTCACTCCCTGGGTGCCTTGATTATTATATTGGCTGCCTGTGTAACTGACTACAGAAACTGCTCCATCAGAAGATGGAAGCTTTGGAGCCTTGTATTCTCAGCCAGAGCAGGCGCGGTTGCTCAGGCTAGCGGCTGTCTCAACAATGTACTGTAACATTCCCTCCAAAAAGTCCTCAACATTTAAGCTTGCCTTCTACTGTGTGTAAGTTGCATGTCCGAAACACTCCATTACGGATATGGGAATATAATCAATCCATGTGACTTAGCCAATCTGATGAGTGAGAGATGACTTATCTTCCTTGTGTTACTTTTCATTTCTCTTGAGGTTGAATACTTTACAAATATTTATCGATAATTTGTGAAACTGTTCTTTAAAAAACAAAACAAAACAAAAAAACCTAACCCCTCCCCTGAGATTTCTCTTTCCACGTTCCTGACTCAGGGGAAACAAAGGAAGACTTCCTTTTATCATCTCAGTGTTGGCTGCGGTTCCAGCTTGAGTACTGTCTCCTCTGTCTAATGACTGTGTCATTTCCCGTTCAGCTTGTGCTGTGTGGACGCACACCACTGTCAGGCAATGTGTGATGCCCCTTCCTCTTGGTCTGTTCCGGGCTCCAAGAAGGCCAGGAGTCAGGGCACGAGGGCATTTCCTTTTTCTGATACATAAACCGAGTGCAGAGTGTGCTCCGTGGAGGAATTCAGACGTGTCCTTCCGTAGCGCAGATGAACGCATCAGGTGTTCTCTTTCACTGCTGTCGCAGTCCCTGCGCCCAGTTCGCAGTTGGCGGCAGCGGCAGGCGTCTTTCAGAGACGAATTAGCAAAGGGGACATTCTCTGACAGTTTCTCTAGGGTGCTTTAGCGCTAGAGCCCGTGCCAGCCTGCCCGTGTCCCCTCCTATAGACACGGACTTCACGGTGAATGCTGACAGTCACAAGCGCGTGGTCTTCCCGCTTTCCACCCCCCGACGTGCCCCCGCGCTGGTCCTGCCCCTGCCCACGAGGGTCGGCGCGCCGTGTGTCTCCCGGTGTCTCGGGCCCGCGGCGCGCACCCCACTCAGGGACCAAGCGGCCCTCCCCGCCCTCCCGGTCCGCGCGCGCAGCCAATGGGCGCGGGACCCGCCCTCCCCGGAGCCCAGAGCTCGCAGCTCCGCCGGCGCCTGGTCCCAGCGCCCGCGGCGCCGCGTCCCCGGCCCAACCATGGCGTCCTCCGCGGCCGGCTGCGTGGTGATCGTTGGCAGGTAAAGGGCTCCGAGCCGCGCTGCTGCCCCTGGAGCCCGGGGAGACGCCGGGGACGTGGTGCCCTCGCGTGGGGCCCTCGGGGTGGGCGCCGGGTCGCTGTCCCCGCCCCGGCCTCCGGTCCTCCGAAGCCCTGCGCCCTGCGGCCCCTACGGCGCTGGCGGGCTCGGGGAGAGGCGCGGCTGGAGGGGCTTGGCAGGTGGAGGCGCCCCGCGGAGTTGGGTCTGCTTCCCGGGAGCCAGCGTTGCAGGAGGTTCCGAGGTTGACCGCCCAGGCCGCGGGGCCTGCGGTTCCTGGACTCTGTTGAATGTCGCCGCGTCTGCCCGCAGGTCCACATAGAAGTGCCAGGCACCGTGTTGAATGAAACGAATTCTGGCTGCGATCCTGCGACGACTGTGTTCTCATCCCCATTTTACGAATGAGAATACTGAGACTAAGCAGTTTACCTAAGGTCACAGGCGTTTAGTGACGGAGACAGGACTAGCCCAGCAGGGAGGGTGCCAGCGCAGTCCTGTCGGCGACGATGTCGCTGGAGGCCGCAGCAGGTGTTAGGCGAACATACACGCAGTCCTAATTCCTGGGCGAGGCGATGTTTCCAGAGGGGAGGTGGGGGCCGATGGAGCCCAGAGAGTTTGCTAAGTGTGTCCATTTAACAGCTTAAATTCTGCCCAAACTGATTTTTAGTGTGTGCTTCCCCCACCCCGCCCCCCACCCCTACGGTTACAATCCTTGCTATTTTTGTTTTTTAAAAAGGGGCATTTGTATGTACCTTTCTTTGGCCAGCTGTTAGCAGCAATCTATAAACATGTTAATACTTGCTATTGATAGTTAAAAGCACCTTTTTGGTGACTGCTGTTGAGGTGTTGGCCTGCCCCCGACTCCGCCCCCCATCAGTGTACAACCCGGTGTGGAGACCACTTCCAATGTCAGGGTGTTTCCTTCCCACTGAAGGAAGGCATCAGATTCCTTGTTGTCAGCTTTCTTTTCTCCAGAGCAGTGGAGTTAACTGTGCCTTTGTTCTTTCTGGCCCATGAGTGCCCGTGGTTGAATAGTGAAGGCATATTAAAAAGTGCACTTTGGGCCGCGCGCGGTGGCTCACCCCTGTAATCCCAGCACGTTGGGAGGCCGAGGCAGGCGGATCATCTGAGGTCGGGAGTTCGAGACCAGCCTGACCAATATGGAGAAACTCCGTCTCTACTAAAAATACAAAATTAGCCGGGCGTAGTGGCACATGCCTGTAGTCCCAGCTACTCGGGAGGCTGAGGCAGGAGAATCCTTTGAACCCGGGAGGCGGAGGTTGCGGTGAGCCGAGATGGTGCCATTGCACTCCAGTCTGGGCAATAAGAGCGAAACTCCGTCTGAAAAAAAAAAAGTGCACTTTGTACCAGTGGTGGTAGTTACCTCTGTCTTGCATTTTATTAATAGTTACCAGAGTTTATGTGTGTGTGTATATATATACACTCACACATATATATACACACACAGTTTTTACACGCATGCGTGCGCGCACGCGCACACACACACAATTTTAATAGGATAGGGTCTCGCTCTGTCGCCCAGGCTGGAGTGCAGTGGCACTATCATGGTGGATCTCCACCTTCCGGGCTCAAGCCATCCTCCCACAGCAGGCATGTGTCACCATACCCGGCTGATTTTTAAAATTTTTAGGTAGAGATGGGGTCTCACCATCTTGCCCTGGTTGGTCTTGAACTCCTGGGTGCAAGCGCTTTGGCCTCCCAAAGTGTTGGGGTTACAGTTGTGAGCCACCTTGCTTGGCCTTGTATAGGTCCATCATGCCTTGGAGTAGTGTTATGCATGCACCTAATACATGTGAAGTAAAGTTTTAGTTGATTGTGCAGTTATCTGGCTGTGGGTGGCTCAGTCTACTGAGGAGGAGCTTCAGTTAACAGTTTACTTCTGATTCCTTGAGGGATGTTGATAAGGAATTAGAGAAAGGCTTCCAAACTTTAAGGACCACATAATTCTCTGGGGCCTCTGCTTGTTTCTTTGTTTTCTGGTGTGAAAATCTTGTCTTTCCCCCACCCTCAGCACTTCAGCACACACCCAGCTCTGCCTCTGGGACAGTGCTGGTTTCTTCCCTTCCTCTTTACCACCCTTCTTTCTCGTCCCTCTATTTCTTTCCTGGCCCCACAGGTGATTCCAAGGAACACCCACTTAACAAATAGGGCTTGGGGAATGTCAATTAATTTGCCAAAACCTGGTTCAGTTTCATTCTTAGGTTTCAACAGACCAAAATATACATATTTCAATTTCAGGAGCATATTGTGTTTTCAGCTTTCCTTATCAGTTTATAGATTTCATCTTGAAAGTACCTGCTAGGAATACAGTCCCACTTAATTCTTTTCCGCTGATCTTTTTCCAAAGTTCACTCTTCCTTAGGGCCACTTAGCTGTCCTATAAACATCCAGGGCAAGTCCCTTCAGAATGGGGAGGGCTTGAAAGAGGATGAGAGAAACTCTTTTGGGCCTAGGGCTGCAGGAAAATCTGGTAGTGATAACTTTTAAAAATGGGAGTAGAAGTCCAGGCATGGTGGCTCATGCCTGTAATCTCAGCACTTTGGGAGGCCTAGGAGGGCAGATCACCTGAGGTCAGGGGTTCGAGACCAGTCTGGCCAACATGGCGAGATCCCGTCTCTACTAAAAATACAAAAATTAGCCGGGCGTGGTGGTGCATGCCTGTAATCCCAGCTACTCAGGAGGCTGAGTCAGGAGAATCGCTTGAACTCAGGAGGCGGAGGTTTCAGTGAGCCAAGATCACACCACTGCACTCCAGCTGGGGGATAGAGTGAGACTCCATCTCAAAAAAAAAAAAAAAAAAAAAAAAGTAGAAATGGGTATCATGAAGATAAATTTGCATTGGAGTAGTGTTCTAAGGCTTTCATTTTGTTAGCCTTACCTTTATAAAACACTGTGTTTCTAAATCGCTAAAATATGAGTTCTGTATTTGTATACACACTGCAAGATTCAGCTTGTAGCCCTTGAGCTTGTTTAGAATAGGAACACAAAATGTTCCTGGTGCAGGGCATGCCCTTTCTCCTGTCCTGCTTTTTAGGGGGCACACTCTTTCAGGATCAAGCTCAGGGACTGTCTCCTCCAGGAAAAGTTCTGCTTCTGGGCCTTTCCCCTAAGGATAGAAACTGTATTGTTGCCATTTGTATCCACCATGCGTGGTCCCAATAGACAGATAGTTGAGCGTTTGTAACAGAGACTGCTTATTTTTTAACTGATGTGCCCTATGAAGGGCTTGGTAGGACGTTGTTTTATATCAAGAAAAACATCCCATAAACTAGAAAGGCAAGAAAGAAAGGTATCCTATAAACTACAGTCTCCTTCATTTTTTTTAATTCCAAAATTTTGTTTGGGGTGATTGTACTTTTTTTTTTTGAGACGGATTCTTGCTCTGTCAGGCTCAGGCTGAAGTGCAGTGGCACCATCTCAGCTCACTGCAACCTCTGCCTTCTGGATTCAAGCAATTCTCCTGCCTCAGCCTCCCAAGTAGTTGGGACTACAGGCACGAACCACCATTGCTGGCTAATTTTCGTATTTTTAGTAGAGACAGGGTTTCTCCATGTTGCCCAGGCTGGTCTCGAACTCCTGGCCTCAACTGATCCGCCCACCCTAGCCTCCCAAAGTGCTGAGATTACAGGCGTGAGCCACTACACCTGGCCTGTGCATTTTTTATAAGAAACTTTCTGAGGCATGAATTTTCTTTGAAGTGCTATTCTAGGTATTTTCCTGCTAATTTTTGTACACATACACAGCAAACCCTAGGATGCCCTCCTTGCCTTTTGAGTCAGCTTAGACACTAAATGTGCCCTTCGCAGGAGTTACTTAATAGCTCTTTCTGGCAAAATTTCCATAGTAGACTGAGATCATGAGTGTAGGAACAGTTTTACTTCAATTTTTACCCAGTAAATAAGTAACTGTAGCTGGAAAGATACTTTCAAATGTATCTAAAGTGAATTTATTCAAAATTAAGTGACATTAATGATAGAATTGAAGCAATTATATCACTTTTCTCCCCTGCTGCTTTGCTACTGTGTAACAGAATAAATGTTCATCTGCATTCACCTTTTGTAGTACCCATTAAGATTCATGAATTCAGAAGCTTTAAGACATGTCGCAATAGTCACAGTGGGAAGGGCATTGAATTACCTCTATCGCTGGCTCCCATTTTGAGGTCCCCAGGCATATAGTGGTTGGAAAAAAGGCCAATAAGATGTCACAAGCTCTCAGGACAGGAAGTTAATTATTCTTGGGCCTGATGTAAGGTAGTATTGGGGAACAATACTGAGGGAAACCTGAAACAGAAACCTGAGGAAAACCAAGCCAGGGAACTTTCTAGCTCTGGGGCCGTGCAATCTGGTCCCTGTGCCTCTCTGTAGCTTCCTTTGCTCTGTAGATTCCCTCTCCTTGTACTTGCTCACTTTTCTTTCCTTCCCTGTGACTTTATCTTGCACATCACTGCCAACCCTAAGGTTATCCTCTTTCAAGTATAGTGCCTCTTACTGATTTTTTTTCTGTATTTTGGGTCCAATTTATTTCCTTTCTTTCTTTCTTTTTTTCGTTCGTTCGTTCCTTCCTTCCTTTCTTCCTTCTTTCTTTCTTTCCTTTTTTTTTTTTTTTTTTTTTTGAGACGGAGTCTCGCTCTTTCACCCAGGCTGGAGTGCAGTGGCGTGATCTCCGCTCACTGCAACCTCCGCCTCCGGGTTCACGGGATTCTCCTGCCTCAGCCTCCCGAGTAGCTGGGACTACAGGCCCCTGCCACCACGCCTGGCTAATTATTTATATTTTAGTAGAGATGGGGTTTCACCGTGTTAGACAGGATGGTCTCGATCTCCTGACCTCGTTATCCACCCACCTCGGCCTCCCAAAGTGCTGGGATTACAGGCGTGAGCCACCGTGCCCGGCCCGGGTCCAATTTTCAAGAGAGGAAACCCAGTGGTTTCACCTCTGTGCATCCCAGGCTGCAGATGTTATAGGGTGCTCCTAAGCCAGTTGATTGGCTGCTTTGGGTCAGGTGTCCAATCCATGTCCAATCAGCAATGACTGAGTGTGTGGGCGTGAAGGGGTGGGGGAAAAGACACCAGCTGGTCCCCAGGGGTCAGCGGTCTGCTGTTGGTCCTCTGCAATGAAGGGGCCAATCTCAAGACTGAAAGGGAAGTGGGGCCCAGTCCAATCACCTGATATTTGATGCCAGAATCCTGGCCGATGGTTACCCTCCCTCAGGTCAGATAATTGCGATTCCAAGGATTTGCTGCCTGTTTGATTAGGGGGCTGCCTTTCCCTGAGCAACAGCAGCGGGGTAAGACCCAAGCCATGGAGGCAGGTGCATTAGCCCCAGACCAAAGCACCATGCTCCCTCCCTCATGATTGCTTCCCCTCTCCAGGGTTCAGACCCCGCAGCCAGCAAACATATAGTTGTTCCCTGAAAACAGAAAAGCACCCTCTCTTGACCCCATTTTTCCCTCTGGTAATTGCCACATTGCTCCTCAAAACTTAATAAACTTATCCATATTGTCTCCAGTTTCTTTCTTCCTATCCATATTCTCTCTCTTAACTTTGTGTTAGGGAAACATTTCAAACTGTGTTAAAGTTGAGAGAACAGTGCAATGAACCTTAAAGTACCTTCCCCCACCCCCTCAACTTCAACAATTATTAACACATGGCTAATATGGTTTCAGTTATTCTCCCTTCTCTGGATTGTTCTGAAACAAATGCCAGGCATTGAATCATTTCGTCTGTAAATATGTCAGCATGTATAGTATCTAAAAGATATGGACTGTTTTAAAACTATATAACCACAATAGCATCATCATGTGTAAAACATTAACACAATTCCTTAATATCTTCATGTAATATCTTTAAATATCTCTTCCATATTCAAGAGTTCCCTGATTAATTTTTTAAATACTTGGCTTGATTGATTTAGGGTCTAAATAAGGCCCACATGTTATATTTAGTCAATAAGATTCTTAGCTCTTTCAATCTATAGATTGTTCATCCCTCTCTGGTTTTGTAAAATTTTTCTTGCCGTTTATCTACTGAAGAATTTGAGTCATTTGCCCTGTAAAATTTCCCATATTCTAGGTTTTGCTGAATGTATCCCTTCCCTCCCCTCCCCTCCCCTTCCCTTCCCAAGATGGGGTCTCGCTATGTTGCCCAGGCTGGTCTTGAACTCCTGGGTGCAAGCCATGTACCTACTTCAGCCTCCTAAAGTGCTGGGATTACAGGCGTGAGCCACTGCGCCCAACCCATGTAGTGTCATTTGTCATGTTCCACCATCCCTTCATTTCCTGAAACTGGTAGTTAGGGCTAGAGGCTCATTTTCTCTTAAACCTACCCTGAGCAGTCTTTCATCAATCCCACAAATCTGCTCTTGTCATGGTCCCCACCGCCATTCATCTTGCAAAACCCAATGGTCAATCCTCAGTTCAAGTGTTCATCAGCAGCGTTTGATGCAGATGGCAGCTCCCTTCACTTTCCTGACTACACCCCCCTCCCATCTCACTGGCACTCCCTTTTGTCCCCATATTCTTCCCCATTAAAGTTGGAGTGTCCCAAGGCTGAATCCTTGGACTTCTTTATCGATATTCACTTTCTTAGAGATCTCACCCAGTCACACACTTTTAATACCACATCTCTACAGTAAATCCCAAATTAATATCCCAGCCCAGCCCTTGGCTCTGAACCTGGATACTTACAGCCAGCGATTTGCTAGACCCACCCTTAGCATTTCTCACTGAAAACATCCCGTTTTGAACTGATCTTCCCTCCTAACATCTGCTCCATTGCTAGTCTTTCCCAGCAGAGTTAATGACATCTCCATCCTTTCTTGTCCAAAAGAAACTTGGCACTGTCCTCCATTTTTCTTTTTCTCACATCCACATGCAATTCGCCAGCAATTCTTCTTGGCTGTACTGTGAAAATACTGCACATTCATTTCTCAGCTGACCCCTTTCCAGCACCCCCTCTGCCTCCGTCCTGGTCCCGCCTCCCATCGCATCGGGCACCAGCCTCCTGACACCCAGCTGGTCTCCTGACTTCCATCTTTGCCCTTCTGCAGTATATTCTCAGTAAGACAACTAGAATGTCCCTTTAAAAACAGAAGTCAGATGATATCTTTTGTCTAAAACCTTCTATTAGCCAACTATCTCACTCAGTAAAAACCAAAATCCCTCCATTGCTTCTGAGGTGCCATGCAATGAGCTCACCGTTCTCTCCTTCCCTTTGACCTCATTGTCCCCTCCTTCCTCTCCCCCCACCGCCCCTCCAGCAGAGCACCAGCCTTGTTGATCTGGACCAGCTGGGCAAACAGACTCTTTGAGGAACACTTGTCGCAGAAATACACTCATGGCTTGGCCCCTTACCTCCGTTGCTAAAATGTCACCTTCCCAGTGAGACAGTCCCTGGTGGCGCTTTTAACATTTCTCTGCCTCTCAGTCCCTACTCCCCTGCTTTCTTTCTCCCAAGTGCTTTTGCTTATTTAGTTTGTTGTCTGCCTACCTACTATGAGCTCCTTGGGGTCAGGAACTGGGCAGTGCCTGCACATGGTAGGTGCCCTTTACGTATTTCCTCAGTGAGTCATCGTTGCCTTCTAATTAACCCCATGGCAAGAGCCAGCTGACCGTTATCTCGTATTTTTCACTTGATAACCATGGCTTTTTCACATTTATTGAGCCTCTACAACATGCCAGGAATATGAAGGTGAGTGCTAGTTCCTGGTGCATAGAGTTTACCCTGTTGAACAAATAAATTCATACTGCTCACTAGCATTGCTTTTTTTTTTTTTTTTTTCTTGAGACAGAGTCTTGCTCTGTCGCCCAGGCTGGAGTGCAGTGGTGTGATCTCGGCTCACTGCAAGCTCCGCCTCCCGGGTTCACGCCATTCTCCTGCCTCAGCCTCCCGAGTAGCTGGGACTACAGGCATCCGCCACCATGCCCGGCTAATTTTTTGTGTTTTTAGTAGAGATGGGGTTTCACCATGTTAGCCAGGTTGGTCTCGATCTCCTGCCCTCGTGATCCACCCGCCTCGGCCTCCCAAAGCGCTGGGATTACAGGCATGAGCCACTGCGCCCGGCCACTAACATTGTTTTTTATTTTAAACTTCACTATGCAAAATTTACTTTTTTTATTTTTTTGAGATGGAGTTTTGCTCTTGTTGCCCAGGCTGGAGTGCAGTGGTGCGATCTCAGCTCACTGCAACCTCCGCCTCCCAAGTTCAAGCGATTCTCCTGCCTCAGCCTCCTGAGTAGCTGGGATTACAGATGCGTGCCACCACTCCCAGCTAATTTTTGTATTTTCAGTAGAGACAGAGTTTCACCGTTTTGGCCAGGCTGGTCTCGAATTCCTGACCTCAGATGATCCACCTGCCTCGGTCTCCCAAAGGGTTACAGGTGTGAGCCACTGCACCCGGCCATAAAGATTTCAAAATCCAAAAACAATTTGCAATCTGAAATACTGGGCCCAAGCATTTTGAATAAGGCCCACTCGGCCTGTACTGCATTTGTCATCTGCTCCTGTCTCTCCATCCACTCCCAGGCTTGCACACCCATATAAGGTGGGTGCCAGAGGTAGAATTTTTTTCAGAGTTTTGTCCCAGGATAAAGACTGTATTGAGAAAGTTGACTTTGGGTAGAGCAAGATTACCTTCTTTTTTATACAGGGTCTTGCTCTGTCTGAGGCTGGAGTACAGTGGCGTGATTGTAGCTCACTGCATACTGCATCCTTGAACTCCTGGGCTCAAGTGATCCTCCTGCCTCAGCCTCCTGAGTAGCTGGGACCACAGGCATGTGCCACTACACCCAGCTAATTTAAAATTTTTTTTTGTAGAGATGCAGTTTCCCTCTGTTGCCCAGGCTCTTCTTGAACTTCTGGGTTCTAATTATCCTCCCGCCTCAGCCTCCCAAAGTCCTGGAATTACAGGTGTGAGCCAGGCCTGTTCAAAATTATCTTTTGGCCGGGCGTGGTGGCTGACGCCTGTAATCCTAGCACTTTTGGAGGCCAAGGCAGGTGGATCACAAGGTCAGGAGATCGAGACCATCATGGCTAACATGGTGAAACCCTGTTTCTACTAAAAAATACAAAAAATTAGCCAGGCGTGGTGGCGAGCGCCTGTAGTCCCAGCTACTTGGGAGGCTGAGGCAGGAGAATGGCGTGAACCCAGGAGGCGGAGCTTGCAGTGAGCCGAGATACCCCCACAGCACTCCAGCCTGGGCGACAGAGCAAGACTCCATTTCAAAAAAAAAAAGATTATCTTTTGATATTCAGTCCCCAGGAGAACAAAGCCATGTGCTGAGGCTTGAAGAGGGGCCAGGGAAACTGAGATTGAAATGTTACAAATACATATTTCCTCTAGGCTAGTGAGAAAGTGCCCAGTTGCCTTCTGGTGGGGTAGGTAAGCCTTGTCCCCACTCAGAATCATCCTTTTGCAGGGTAAGTTAGTGTTCATTTTTTTAAAAAAATATTTTTTAAACTTTTAAACCACATTTAGCATAGTAAAATAGACATAACATACAATTTGCCTTTTTTTTTTTTTTTTTTTTTGAGATGGAGTTTTGCTCTTTCGCCCAGGCTGGAGTGAAGTGGTGCCATCTTGGCTCACCGCAACCTCCTCCCCACCGGTTCAAGCGATTGTCCTGCCTCGGCCTCCTGAGTAGCTGGGATTACAGGTGCCCGCCACCATACCTGGCTAATTTTGTATTTTTAGTAGAGATGGGGTTTCCCCATGTTGGCCAGGCTGGTCTTGATCTCCTGACCTCAAGTGATCCACCTGCCTCAGCCTCCAAAAGTGCTGGGAATATAGGCGTAAGCCACTGCGCCCAGCCCAACTTGCCATTTTAACAGTTCTTAGTGTACAGTTCAGTAGTGTTAAGTATGTTCCCATTGTTGTACAATCAATCTTTTCATCTTGCAGAATTAAAACTCTGTACCCATTGAACAACAGCTGCTCATTTCCCCCAGCCCCAGCCCCTGGCATCCACCCTTCTAGCTTTCTGTCTCTATGGGTACCTCAGGTAAGTGGAATCGTAGGGCATTTGTCATTTTGTGACTGGCTTATTTCATTTGGCAAAATGTGCTCAAGATTCATCTGTGTTGTGGCATGTGTCGTTTCTTTTTAAGGCTGAGTTAGTGTTTATTCTTAAAAGCCTAAGACTCTGCACACAGATAGCTGTTTTTTGCATTCACACCTTAAGGCAACTCCCTACATTATGCCAAATGTGACATTTGTTTCCCCCTCACCCTTCTACTCAACTAAATTTAAGTATTATTATTATTAATTATTATTATTTACTGGCTCCATCCACTCTTATGAAAATTTAAGTATTATTGCTTTACATTTTTACGGCACGAGTTGGTTGTCAAAGCATGTTTACAAACATTTATTTTTAATAACAGCAGTACTGAGCTGTAATTCACCCATTTAAAGTGTACAATTCAGTGGTTTTAGTATATTCACAAGGTTGTGCATCCATCACCACAATCAATTTTACAACATGCTCATCATCCCAAACCTTGGACCCACTAGCTATCACTTTTCATTCCTTCCTCCCCTAGCCCTGGGCAACCACAAATCTACTTCCTGTCTCTATGGATATGTCTATTCCGGACATTTTATAAATGGAATCATACAATACGTGAACCTTTGTGACTGGTTTCTTCCACTTAGCATAATGTTGTCAACATTCATCCATGTGGCATGTGTCAGCATTTCATTCCTTTTTGTGGCTGAATAGCTCTGTTATATGGGTATGCCACATTGTATCTGTTGCATTTAGCTGTTATGAATAATGCTGCTATAATCATTGGTGTACAAGTTTTTTTGTGGACATGTTTTCATTTCTGTTGGGTAGATACCTAGGAATGGAACTGCTGTTACATGCTTTCATTAAAAAAAACCTTTATTTTTTTAGACAATTTTTACATTTTTACAGAAAAATTGTGGAGATAGTATAGAGAGTTTTCATATGTCATCTCACCAAATTTCCCCTATTATTAACATCTTACATTAATATGGTGCATTTGTAACAATTAATGAACCAATATATTATTGTTAACATCGTTTATTAATAATTTTAATAATATTGGCTATTCATGACCAACACATTATTATTTAACAACATTCACATTTTATTCAGATTTCCTTAGTTTTTACCTAATGTCTTATTGCTGTCCCAGGATCCCCTCTAGGATACCAAATTACAATAATCATTTCTCTTTTGACTCATCTAAACTGTGACAGTTACGCAGACTTTCCTTGTTTTTGATGACCCTAACAGTTTTGAGGAGCACCAGTCAAGTAGTTTGTAGAATGTCCCTCCGTTAGGATTTGTCCGATGTTCTTCTCATGATGAGAATGGTGCTATGGGTTTTGGGGAGGAAGACCACAGGGATAAAGCATCGTTTTCACTTTGTCTTATATCAAGAGTGCATACTCTCAATGTGAGTTACCACTGTTGTTGGTGACTTTGAACACCTGGCTGAGGGAGGGTTTGTCAGGTTTCTCCACTGCGTGGTGACCCTAACTTTTCCCTCTTCCATACTGTGCTTTTTGGAAGGAGGTCACTCTGCACACGGAAGTGGGGGTGATGCCCTACCTGCCTAAGGGGGAGTAACTACATAAATTATTTGGCATTTTTCTGCAAGGGAGATTTGGCTTCTTCTTCATTTATTCAAGCATTTATTTGTGTTATACTTTGTGTTATAATCCAGTATTGCTGTATTAATTTTGTGGCTCAAGTTCCAGCTTTGGCCATTGGGAGCTCCTATATCGGGCCCCTATCCCTTTGACATGCCCCATCGATGCGTTTTTTTTTTTTTTTTTAATACTTTCTTTTTCTTTTTGGTGCTACAAACTGCTCCGGGCTCATCTTGTATATTTTCTGGCTCTGTCTTCAAATTAGCCATTTCTCCAGGGAGTCCTGCTTCCTATTACTGGAGAATAGTATTGGAAACCAAGACTTGGACTCTAGATGTGTTCTGTACATTTGTTTTTCACTCTTTGAACAACCCCATGTGAACTCTTTATGACTTTTTTTGTCTTTTCACTTTTCAGGAAGTCTGAAACAGCAGTTGGAGTGTAGTGGTTAAGAGGAAGGACTCAGGAGTCAGATTGCTTGGCTTCATCTCATAGATCCATAACTTATCACCCTTGTGGACTTAATTCCTCCATGCCTCAGTTTATCACTTATGTAGGCTTAATTCCTCCATGCCTCAGTTTCCCTACATATAAAATGGAAATACTAATAACACCTACCTTGTAGGGTTGTTGTAAAGATTAACATAGGTAAGACCTGTGGTATGTTTGATGGTGCCTGATACCTAATCCATGCTGAAATGTGGGTGGCAGTGGCAGTGGCAGTAATTATTGGGGAGGACAGGGCAGATGCTCTCTCTGTTCTTTTAAATTAATTGACTTGCCTAAGACATGGTCAAATGGAAGTTCACTAACGGGTCTTGTGTCTCCATGGTACCCTGCTACCTCCTGACTGTAATATTTTATTCAGCGTGTGAGTACATGATAAATACCTGAGATGCTGCAGGGCTCCATGTGGAATATGAATACCAGCACTGGAGTTGAGGGCTCAGGAGCTCCTGGGTGGAAACAGTTAACATTTAAAATAAATAATGTTATTAAAACGTGTACTTAAAAAAATTCATACCTAATATTCCTACATACTTATGGGGTACCTGTGATATTTTGTTACATGCATAGAATGTGTAACGATCAAGTCAGGGTATTAGCACACCCATCACCTTTAACATTTATCATTTCTTTGTGCTGGGAACATTTCAGATCTTCTAGCTGTTCTGAAATATACAACACATTGTTGTGAACTCTAGTTACCCTACAGTGCTATCAAGCTCTAGAACTTACTTTTTCTGTTAACTGTATGTTTGCACCCACTCACCAACCTCTCTTCCTCCCTCTCCCACCCCCGTCCAGCCTCTGTTAACCACCATTTTATTCTCCACCTTCATCAGATCAATGTTTTCAGCTTTCACATGAGTGAGAACATGTGATATTTGTCTTTCTGTGCCCGGCTAAAATGTGTACTTTTAAGATATGTATTGAATATTTTAAGAATAGGATACTGTGAATTTAAAAAAAACTCATTCTGGGTTAGGAATGAAAAGCCATTCGATTATTAAATTAACTCGAATCCTTTCTTTTATCTCCCTTCAGTGGAGTCATTGGGCGAAGCTGGGCCATGCTGTTTGCCAGTGGAGGCTTCCAGGTGAAACTCTATGACATTGAGCAACAGCAGATAAGGAACGCCCTGGAAAACATCAGGTGGGCCAGCCGGCGCTCTCCAGAAGGAATGGAAGTGGGTCTGTTTCTCTCAGTTGGTCTTGTTTGTCATATCCTCAAGGCTATGAGGATCTGTGATGTCACATTTTCGTCTGATGGCTACTGCAGTGCCTCTGAGTTGGTAAAGGCCAGGCCTACAGTGGCTGGAATGTGAATTCACACTGGGGAAGGGCTCCCATGGGGGAGGAAATGACCCTTCTTGCTAAGAGGATCTGCATCAAGCGTGAGTGACTTTGCAGGCTTCTCCAGCTGTTTGCCCCGGGGCTGGAGGGCTGGGGTTTCCTGCTTCCATCTAGGCAGGAGGAACTCGCTTCCAGCATGTGACAGCCATAGCTGCAGGGGCATTACAGTTTAGGAACAGAGGTCCTGCAGCTTGTTTTGACCTGTTGATCTAGTAATGGTAGGACCCAAATGAAAACATCTTGAATTTTAGTTAGAGGTTTAGCACTCATGTGAGAGGACAGAACTGGAGCTGTTTATGTGGTTATTATTAACTGTGACAGCGGTACTAGTTAAAGGTGTGAGAGTGCATGAATTTACTTAATGCTGAGTGCTAAGAATGCGGAGGGCTGTTTTAGGGATGGTAGTCACGGGAACCAAAGAAAGGCTGAGAGTGAGGGAGGTCAAGGACAGGGGAAAGAAGCCATTGCAGCGTGCCCAGAAGCAAAGGCACTGGCGTGGAGCACCCTCACCGCATGGCGCGTCCCCCTGCGGTGCCGTCACGGAACAGGGTTCTGACCATCTCAGACACGCGTTAGCTGGTTATTATCCTTATTTGGAGGGTGTCCATGAATATATGACTTGAATTTGCATTTTTGTGCAACAAAAATATGCTTACTTTATTGTCTGCATTTTGAAAAGATTAATATGTAGGGTATAGTGTTAAACTATAGGCATGAAGAAATTATATACCCTAACCTGGTGTTGTTTTACACATTAAGAACTTGAACACAGAGAAGTTAAGTTACTTCTTCCATGTTGTTACAAATAGTCAATGCGAGGGTAAAATGTCAATCTAAAAAACAAAAACCTTGTCCAGGCCTGGTAGCTCACACCTGTAATCCCAGCACTTTGGGAGGCTGAGGTGGGAGGATCATTTGAGGCCAGGAGTTCAAGACCAGTGTGGGCAACATAGTGAGACCCCGTCTCTACAGAAAAAAAAGAAAAAAATAGCCAATGTGTTGGCACCCACCTAGATAGTAGTCCTAGCTACTCGGGAGGCTGAGGCAGAAGGATTGCTTGAGCCCAGTAGTTCCAGGCTACAGTGAGCTATGATTGCACCACTGTACTCCAGCCTGGGCAGCAGAGTGAGACTTTGCCTCAACATAAATAAAATAATAAAATGCAAAGCCAACCAGACAAAAATCAAAAGTAAAACAACACCGAAAAACCACTCACATAGACTGTACTGTTTTGGAAGGAAGGGGACTTGGCATTTCAGAACCAACTACCTGCCAGCCATGTTCTGTTCACTAGGGATACATAGTGGATAATGTAGACACAGTCTTTTTTTTTGCCACGGAGCTTGTGGCCTAGTAATCTTACTGTATTAAATTCTCGTAATAAACCCTTTTGCCTGAGCTCAGGAGTTGGAGACCACCCTAAGCAACATGGTGAAACTCTATCTCTACTAAAATCAAAAAAATTATCTGGGCATGGTGGCGGGCACCTGTAATCCCAGCTACTCGAGAGGCTGAGACATGAGAGTCACTTGAGCCTGGGTGGCGGAGATTGCAGTGAGCTGAGATCACACCATTGCACTCCAGCTTGGGCTACAGAGTGAGACTCTGTCTTGAAAAAAAAAAAAAAAAAAGATTCACTTGGTGTTTACACTCTATGGATTTGGAGAAATGTATACTGACATGTATCTACCCTTGTAGTATTACACAGAATAATCCCACTGCTCTCAAATTCTTCCTTTCCATCCCTCCCTTCCCCCCAACCGCTGGCAACCACTGATCCTTTTACGGTCTCCACAGTTTTACCTTTTCCAGAATGTTATATAATTGAAATCATACAGTATGTAGGCTTTGCAGACTGGCTTCTTTTACTTAGTAAAATGCATTTAAGTTTCCTCCATGTCTTTTCATGGCTTGAGCTTGAATGATATTGCATTGCCTGGATGTACCACAATTTATTTATCTATTCACCCACTGAAGAACATCTTGGGTGCTTCCAGGTTTTGGCAATTATGAGTAAAGTTGCTCTAAATTCCATGTGCAGGTTTTTGTATGGACATAAGTTTCCAACTCCTTTGGGTGAATACCAAAAAGCACAATTGCTAGATTGGATGGTAACAGGTTGTTTAGCTTTGTAAGAAATTGCAAAACTGCCTTCCAAAATGGCTGTCCTATTTTGCATTCCCACCAACAATGAAGGAGAGATCCCATTGCTCCATATCCTTACCAGCATGTGGTGGTGTCAGTGTTCTGGATTTTAGCCATTCTAATAGGCAAATAATGGTATCTCCTTGTTTTTTTGTTTCTTGTTTTGTTTTGAGACAGTCTCCCTCTGTAGCTCAGGCTGGAGTGCAATGGCACGATCTCGGCTCACTGCAACCTCTGCCTCCCAGGTTCAAGCGATTCTCCTGCCTCAGCCTCCCGAGTAGCTGGGATTACAGGCGACTGCCACTACGCCCAGCTAATTTTTTTGTATTTTTAGTAGAGATAGGTTTTCACCACATTGACCAGGCTGGTCTCAAACTCCTGACCTCAGGTGATCCACCCGCCTCGGCCTCCCAAAGTGCTGGGATTACAGGTGTGAGCCACCAAGCCTGGCCTAATGGCATCTCCTTGTTTTGACTTGCATTTCTCTGATGACATATGATGTGGAGCATCTTTTCGTATGTTTGTCATCTGCATATCTTCTTTGAGTAGTACTTTTTAATGTAAAAACATTTTTGATTAAAGGGGAAGCCTTAAAATTTTTTCTTTCTGCATTTGCTGCGACTCTCTGTGCATAAAAACTAGTTTTATGAAGGATCCTGAGATTTTGAAAAGAGAGGCCCTTCAGGGATTCTGGTCCATCATAGTGCTGGAAGTAGAAGTCTTCAGGTAGTCTTGAAATAAATTTTAAGCCTCAGTAAAAATAGCTCAAAGTCATATAGTCAGGAGAAAGAAAAAAAAAACCCTTGATAGAGCACTAATTCTAAAAACAAAACAAAACAAAACAAAAAACTATGAGGCAAAAAGATGTTTTCAGATTGAATCAATTTTTTTTTTTTTTTTTTGGGGATTGAGTTTTGCTCTTGTTGCCCAGGCTGGAGTGCAATGGCGCGATCTTGGCTCACTGCAACCTCTGCCTCCTGGGTTCAAGCAATTCGCCTGTCTCGGCCTCCCAATTAGCTGAGATTACAGGCACAAGCCACCACGCCTGGTTAAATTTGGTATTTTTAGTAGAGGTGGGGTTTCACCATGTTAGTCAGGCTGACTCCTGACCTCAGGTGATCCACCCACCTCAGCCTCCCGAAGTGCTAGGATTATATGGGATTATAGGTGTGAGCCACTGAGCCTGGCCCAAAATGTTGTTGTTGTCAGTTTTTTTTTTTTGTTTTTTTTTTTTTTTTTTTTTTTTTTTGGAGTCTCGCTCTGCCACCTAGGCCGGAGTGGAGTGCAGTGGAGCGATCTCTGCTCGCTGCAAGCTCCACCTCCTAGGTTCATGCCATTCTCCTGCCTCAGCCTCCTGAGTAGCTGGGACTACAGGCGCCCGCCACCACGCCCGGCTAATTTTTTTTTGTATTTTTAGCAGAGACGGGGTTTCACTGTGTTAGCCAGGATGGTCTCGATCTCCTGACCTCGTGATCCACCCATCTTGGCCTCCCAAAGTGCTGGGATTACAGGCGTGAGCCACTGCACCCAGCCCAAAATGTTTTTAAAAGGCATCACAGGAAATGTAACACAAACAGCTTAATATTTGGTTTTATGGAGGTGATTTAGGGAGCAATAGGAAGTAATTTATTGATAATAAAAAAGCCGTTAATTTTATAATTGTAAAGAATGTTAAGGAATTTGTGGTCTTCCTGAGTAAATTACATCTACTTAATTAAATTCATCTTTTATTCCCACATTTGTGTATTAAAGAGCATAGCAAGCTCCACTTTGGAAATGGTGGCTGCTAAAAAATGCTTCTCCTTCTGTCCTTGAGGGCTATCCTGGCTTTTCAGGAGGCCTGGACATTTATTTTATTTTATTTTTTTTGAGACCATGTCTGTCTCCATCACCCAGGCTGGAGTGGGGTGGTGTGATCTTGGCTCACTGCAGCCTCCACTTCCTGGGTTCAGTTGATCCTCTCACCTCAGGCTCCCAAGTAGCTGGGATTAGGGGTGTGCACCACCACGCCCAGCTAATTTTTGTATTTTTTTGTAGAGACAGGGTTTCGCCATATTGGCCAGGCTTGTCTGGAAGTGATCAGCTCACCTCAGCCTCCCAAGGTGCTGGGATTACAGTTGTGAACCACTGTGCCTGGCCAGGCATGGACTTTTTTTTTTCTTTTTTCTTTTTTTTTTTGAGATGAAAAGTCTTGCTCTGTTGCCCAGGCTGGAGTGCAGTGGCTCGATCTTGGCTCACTGCAAGCTCCGCCTCCCAGGTTCATGCCATTCTCCTGCCTCAGCCTCCGGAGTAGCTGGGGCTACAGGTGCTCGCCACCACGCCCAGCTAATTTTTTATATTTTTAGTAGAGACGGGGTTTCACTGTGTTAGCCAGGATGGTCTCGATCTCCTGACCTTGTGATCCGCCTGCCTTGGCCTCCCAAAGTGCTGGGATTACAGGTGTGAGCCACTGTGCCCAGCCTGGGCGTGGACTTTTAATCAGTTTTCTGGTGACAGTATATGCAACAGGTAGGTTTGGAGCTGAGAGACATTAGCTTCATAGCTGGCCCAGTACTGGAGAAGGAGAGTACCTCCAAGGGAAGAGGAGACCCGTGAATCTCTGATTAGGTCATGCTTTAAGCCAGCCCCAAGTGGACTCCAGACAAGGAGTTGACAAACTGTTTCTGTAAAGACCAGATAGTAAATATTGTAGGCTTTGTGGGTCATATGGTCTCTGTTTCAGCCGTTCGTTGTAAAGTAAAAGCAGCCATAGACAATCAATAATCAAATAGAGGTGGTTGTATTCCAATAAAACTTTATGGATTAACATCGAACTTTGTTCGTATAATTTTCAGAGTCACAAAATGTTATTTTAAAATTTTCCCAACTGTTTAAAAATGTAAAAACCATCCGGTATTAGTCTGTTTTCATGCTGCTAATAAAGACATACCTGAGACTGAACAATTTAAGAAAGAAAAAGGTTTAATGGAGTCATAGTTCACGCGGCTGGGGAGGCCTCACAATCATGGTTGAAGGTGAACGGCACATCTCACAGAGTGGCCAACAAGAGAACTTGTGCAGGGAAACTCCGCTTTATAAAACCATCAGATCTCGTGAGACTTATTCACTGTTATGAGAATAGCATGGGAAACACCTGCCCCTGTGATTCAGTTATCTCCCACCAGGTCCCTCCCCCAACACATGGGAATTATGGGAGCTACAATTCAAGATGACATTTGGGTGGGAACACAGCCAAACCATATCACATCCTTATCTCACAGGCCATATAAAAATAGGAGATGGGCCAGATTTGGCCTGTGGGCTGTAGTTTGCTCGCTGCTACCATAGACTTTTCAATTCTGTTATCATTTCATCTTTTATCCTGTAAAGCCAATTCCAACCCACTTGTAATTAAGAGAAAATCCCACGGTTCCTAATTGAAAGTCCTTTGTTCTATTTCTTGGGTATTTGTGTTTTAGGCCTTATTTTTAGATGCATCATTAAAGATTTTTAAAGTCCTTTCAGGCATCAGGACTGATGATGCTGAATGATGGAGGGTTGTGGATAAGTTTTTTTGTTTTTTTTTTAACCAGGTTAAAGGCTTTCCTGTTATCCTACTATGCTTAATTAAGAGCTGTATTTCTTAATATCATTGGTGCCTGATTAGATTTAACTTTTAGATACAGTCTGTAAGATTTTTGAACCAGAAAAACCTAAATAACTTATGACTGTTAGCAGTCATATTCTAGAAGAAGCAAATGTACTGAATTCTTATGTACCTAGGATTTTAAGGGAGTACATACAAATCTTTCCTCAGTAGCAGGTACTTTATTTTTATAACACACACATTTAAGCTGAGTTAAATATGCAGAACTGGTTGTACTTCTTTGGCAGGAAAAGGGAAGCTTAGGATATCTTGTGACCAACTACCTCTTCCTTCTCAAATAACTGGCAAATAACTTCAGGAAAATCCAGTTATGTTGTGTCATATTGCACCCCCTAGGAAGTACTGGATTCTTAGTCTTGAGTGACTTTTAAATAAAGCTACCTTTTTCTCTTTCTTACATCGCAAGATCTTCAAATGTACCATTCCCGCACAGAGAGTCCAAGGTAAAAGGACTGAAACCAAACTTTGTTTTTGTAAGTATTTTGGTCAGTGCAATGAGTTCAGAGACCAGGAGGTTAATGATTGTGAAGTCTTGTCAACAGCAACACCGTGTATGACCTGTGGTGCTTAGATGTTCAGAAACCCCAAGGTTAAAATGTCCCTGACCACATATCAGGCAAAAGGAATGTAAGGAAAACCAACTTAATCCTTTTGTCAAGAAGTATAAATGATGTATCTTTCCAATCGGGTTGCATTGACTTTTGGGTCCAAATAGCTTGTGTCCACAGGCATCTTCCCTGACACCCTGTTTTGTGGTCTTTGTCTACCACTGTAGGTCGTGGGCTCCCTCAGGACAGACCATACATCACACCCCCAGTGTCCCTCACTATGCAGTGACGTGTGGTCTCTGTACTAGCCATTATGGACGCAGAAATAAGCAACAGGCACGTTTCCTGTCCCCAGAGCCTGAACCTGCTAGCCTGAACCTATTAGCTCAGCAATTGTTTTGACTGAGTCACAGGAACCTTTTCTAGAGTCTCCGAAGGTAATGTTTCCAGTCATATTCCTCATACACTTTTTTCTCACCGTCTATTCCACCTTGCAGTTTGGCCCACTTCCCATATTCTGATTTTTTTTTTTTTTTTTTTTTTTGGTGGGATAGAGTCTCACTTTGTTGCCCAGGCTGGAGTGCAGTGGCACGATCTTGGCTTACTCTAACTTCTGCCTCCCGGGTTCAAGCAATTCTCCTCCTTCAGCCTCCCGAGTAGCTGGGACTACAGGCATGTGCCACCACGTCTGGCTGATTTTAGTATTTTTTATTAGAGATGGGGTTTTGCCATGTTGGCCAGGCTGGTCTCTAACTCCTGATCTCAGGTGATCTACCTGCCTTGGTCTCCCAAAGTGCTCGGATTACAGGCGTGAGCCACTGTGCCCAGCCATATTCTGATTCTTTTTTAACGTTTCATATTAGAAAATGTCACGTGGTTGAAATTTCACTACATCTGCATGAATATTCTGTGTGTGTTAGACCTATTAAAAACTAATGGTATTAAATAGTAGAAATGGTACATATGGATTCTGAACCTGTAAAAATGAACTTAAACGGGGGGAAGTTGATTTAAAAAAATATTAAAACATTAGAAGATAAAAGAAATTATCACAACTCATACCATGCCAAGGGATCTTAGTGAACTTGAAAAACAAAAAGCTGTCATCTGAGACTAATCTTTTTCTAACAGGGTGGCACAATAAGAAACTTAAAACTTAGCATGTTTACATTTCATAATAGAAGGTCGCTTGACCTTGGAGAACCTCATTAGCAGATACTTTACTGCTTTGTCTTTGTTCACCATTGTATGCCCAGTGCTTGGCCTGCATTAGGTCTCAAGTAAGAAGTTTAGAGGATGAAGCTGTGTTTTAAGAAGAAAAGCAAATCCCAGCACTTTGGGAGGCCAAGGCAGGTGGATCACCTGAGGTCAGGAGTTCGAGACCAGCCTGGCCAACGTAGTAAAACCCCATCTCTACTAAAAATACAAAAAAATCAGCTGGGCGTGATGGTGGGTGCCTGTAATCGCAGCTACTCAGGAGGCTGAGGCAGGAGAATCGCTTGAACGTGGGAGGCAGAGATTGCAGTGAGCCAAGATTGCACCACTGCACTCCAGCCTAGGTGACAGAGCGAGACCCTGTCTCAAAAAAAAAAAAAAAAAAAGAAAAGAAAAGAAAAGAAAAAAGAAAAGCAAATCAAGTAAACAAAGTTGTAACACGGACCTACAGATCAGGAGTGTTTTAGTTCTTAAGATTTGGAGCTAGACTCATTTCCACGTAGCAGGTGGGCCATTCTAGTCCTCAAGGGACCAGGCCGCCCTGACTTAGGCTGTGTTGACATCTTGGTGACCACCCCAACTCCAGGAGCCAAACACACTGCCTTGTCTGGCCTGAGTCCCTATCTGAAATCGCCATCTTTAGGGGCCTGTACGCTTCGATCTTGGTTTCTCCACCATCTGTACATGGTCACCCTGGCACCCAGCTCCACCTAAAAGTGAATCATCTTTCTGAATGGACTAGGAGTTAATAAACCACCAGCAGTGATCTCTGAAACTAGGTAGGCCTGTACTGTGTCTCCTAAGTGACTGAATTTCTTGTGCTTGGACGCAGGCATTTCCAGTAACTGGGTCTCTGACCTGTTTTTAACTTGCTACCTAGGTCTCTGCCCTGGCCTAATCTTGAACTGTGTTTTGATCTGGATTGGTCTGTTCTCCTGATTTGAAACCTTTAGTTTTCCCACATACTGTTGGCCAGAATAACTGAGTATGGTCACAAATTGTTCCCGTCTCTGTCTGCACTCCCCTGTGCATTGTGACTTTGCTCCTCTCACCCCCTTACTCTGGGCTTAGCCACGGGCTTGCATCGGCCAGTCGGTTATTAGCACATGTGGCATGCACAGCAGAAGGCCTGGAAAGTGCATGTGCATTGAGATTCGTTCGCTTCCTGCTGGGGACCCTTCTTCCCTCCTCATCTGGTCAGCCCAGCCTAGTCAGCGGGAGGTGTGTGGCCCAGCTACCAGCCAGCACCATCCAGCACAGCACCGACTGCTAAACAGATGAGGGAAGCCATCCTAGACCAGCCCCCAGACAACCCACTACTCATTGCAAGCCGCATGAGTGAGCCCAGCTGAGCCAGCCAAAATTATTAAAGCCCGTGTCTGTTGCCCAAAGTTCATGGCAGTGGCTGCGGGTTCAGCCGGGTTGTTCAATCTGACTTCCCTGTGAGTTCACAGATCCTGCTATCACTTAGCTGTCATTAGGACAGATCAAATAATTGCTTCATTTGCCTTATTTTTCTTCCCAAATAAAAATAGCCTTGTTTTATCTGATTTGTAAAAGTCATATATATGCTAATTATATATCCATAGTATTGGGGAGAAGCCAAAATATTAATACTTTGACTCTGGGCGGCAGGATTCCGAGTGATCTTGCTGCATATTCTGAGGCCGTGCGCTTCCGGTATGATCCTGCGTGCTTCCGGCATGATCCTGTGTGCTGTGCATCTAGACCAATGCACATTAGCAGTCATGGTTGGGCTATGAAGGTGTAGGTGCTGTCAAGGATTGGACTCAAGAATTGTGTGACTCCTACCTTGACTGGCCATTGTCTCCCTGTGAGGTTTCCAACAAGGTGAACAGGAAACCAAAGTACCCCATTTTTTAACCGGGCCTTGATACTCCAGTGTAAACTTTGGTGAAATTGATTGCCTTGACACTTAAGCAGGCCCTCTCCTCCCCTGTCTGTCTCCCTGCTACCCAGATCCCAGTGTTACCACTGGCCTGGAGGGAGGAGGGGAGGAGACCTTTTTTTTTTGAGACGGAGTCTCGCTCTATCGCCCAGGCTGGAGTGCAGTGGCGTGATCTCGGCTCACTGCAAGCTCCTCTTCCCGGGATCACACCATTCTCCTGCCTCAGCCTCCCGAGTAGCTGGGACTACAGGCGCCCGCCACCACGCCCAGCTAATTTTTTTTTGCATTTTTAGTAGAGATGGGGTTTCACCATGTTAGCCAGGATGGACTTGATCTCCTGATGTCGTGATCCACCCACCTCGGCCTCCCAAAGTGCTGGGATTACAGGTGTGAGCCACCTCGCCCGGCCGGAGGGAGGAGACCTGAGTGAGGAGGGGGAAGCGGGGAGGGCAGAGACCCGGATGGGCCACAGTGGCGTGGATCCAGGCAGGCAGACCCACAGCCCTCCTGTGCGACAGAAGGTAGTTTTCTTTCTTCCTACAGTGCATTTAAGTTCACATGCCTCACTACAAGGTTTGCAGATCCCGAAGTCTAAGGGGGCTGGGTGGCTAATGGGTGTGAATAATGGGGTGGGGTGGAGACCTGGGCAAACTGGAGGTAGTCTTTGGAGATAGGCATGCCAGATTTTTAAAACATTGTGCTGTCAAACGGAAGTCTGGAGCTACTCTTCTTAATGAAAACTTGAGTGTTCTGCCCTCTTCCCAACTTCAGAAACACCTGCCATGATTGTTAGTGTCCACACACTATCACCGTGCCACATGGACTGTGTGGTTGGGCTGTCTTCTGACTCTTTTGCATTGCAGTAACTTAATTAAAGATTTTTGTGCAGCCTCAACTTAACCTGCCCGTCTGGAGTTAGAGTGATCCCTGGGGCTGGAGTCGGGTGGAGTCTGGCTCAGCCCTCTGCCTCTGCATAATCAGGGCCTAGAAACAACAGCAATGTCAACGTCAAAGCAGACAGCACAACACAGCCATCCCATAAGGAAGCAATCCCTGGCCTTTCTATTTCCTCACTGCTCTCTGTTCTTTGCCTCCAGTGTGCTAGAATTTCTGTTGGCTGGAGATGAGGTAGACTCACCTCCTTAAGCTAATCTTACCTGATCTTCCATGTCTGCCCCATTCTTCCCCATCTTTAGCTCTTCAGATCCTCAGACCTTCAGGAATAGGTGGGAGCCAAAGACCCTGCCAGAAATCCCCTTGGGAGTTCACTATAGGCTGGCACTGAGATTTCTGAAAGAAATGTTAGCCATGCCCTTTATTCCTCAGGAAGCTGCATTATACATGGAGTCATACTGTAGATAGAAAGCAGGCAGCACAGTGTGAAAATAAGTGAGCAGTGCAGAGGGGTCCAGTGTGGCTCAGCGGCCCAGACTGTGAGCTTTGCAGTCAGATCTGGCTCAGCCTTCATAGCTGGGTAACTCACTCAATCTGTTTCCTCATCTGGGATATGGAGACATAATAATACCTTCCTCATAATGTGGTTTTGTTACCAAAACACCAAGAGTTTGGTCTAGGTGCTGCTGCTCACAGCAGTGAAAGCCAATGACTGAAATGATGAGTACAGCCAAGGAAGAAGGCTTTAATCGGCTGCTGCAGCCAAGGAGATGGGAGTTCAGTCTCAAATCCATCTCCCTGACCACCTAAAATCAGGGGTTTATATAGCAGGAAAGAAATGTAGCACTGTGTAGGAAAACAGGAACTAGGGGGGGGCAAGGAAGCAATCATGGTGAATGAGGGGCCTGGAGTCTCATTGTATGGATGTGATGATCTGGTAAGTTTCAGTTCTTCAACACTTTTTTTTTTGAGATGCCTGAAGTAATTTCCTGAGGAAAGAACTCAGATAAAACCAATAGAAATTTCAAGCTTTAAGGCAAAAAGTATCAATTTCTATGTTTACTGAAAAAATTGAGTGGGTTTCAGTCTCCCCTTGTTTATAGATTCCTCAACCATGGGGCATCTGGTCATCCATCTTTCTGTCTCCTTCCTGCTGAGGAGAGGCATTGTGGGCAGCTCCATACCATGGAAGACCTCATGACCATCCAGGAATCAAAGGCTAATCTAATACTAAAGTTTTTCTTCTGAAACACAATCTTTTTCTCCAGTCTACCACTTTCACAAAGACATCACAGCAGGACCAATCTACCTGCAAAATAAGCTTCAGTCCCATATACTTGGCCTGATTACCCACACAAAATGGAACAAGAATCACTGTTCTCATAGGCTCTCCTAAATTGGCTTTGCTAGAACCTCTCTCAAGGCCATTTTAGTCAAAGCCCTGGGAAAACAACCAGTTCCTTCAACTGTGTCCCATTACCAAAGAAAACATGTTGTTATTAACTGTATGCAAACAAACACATTGCCATGAATTAAGAATACTCACAAATAGTTTATAAATTCTGGATAAATTAGAGAAATATGCCTCAAATTCTGTTTACAAAAGTATACTCTACTCACTATACTTAAAAGATACTTAAAGGATGACTCAAAAGAAAAAAATTCTTCAGACTCTGAAAAACAAAAAGAATGAGCAATATTTCAAACAAAAAAGCCATAAAAGTTATTTCAGTCCTCCATTAGTTCCGTCCATGCAGACAACTCCTGCTCTGCTTCATGTTGAGTTAGCCATCTTTGTGAACACATCAGTGTTTCCATTAGTGCACTGGAAGTTTTCTCTCACATCCAATGGCACAATCTCCGAAGTTATCAGAAACTTGTATTCAAGAGTCCTTTTCATGAACTCCCCCCAAAGAAACAAGCCCTGGACAGTAGCTGATTATAAGTCACTTTTTGTGAAGAATCAACACAAAACAACAATTGTGGATGACAAAAGTCTTAGGACAACCACAGTTAAAGACACTGTTGACAAGGAAATTTGGTTATTTCTGTGGGATACAACAATTTAACATGAAAATCATAATTATTACTGACAACATATTAAGACATATCAGAATTATAAGAATCTAATATAATCCTGGAACACATTGACAACACATCTATATAAACATAACCAAAGGGAGCTAAACAACATCTCAGATTTGACAATGCTTCCTACATTTTTTTTTGTGTGTGTGTCAGAGTCTCGCTCTGTCACCCAGGCTGGAGTGCAGTGGCATGATCTCGGCTCACTGCAAGCTCTGCTCTCGGGTTCACGCCACTCTCCTGCCTCAGCCTCCCTAGTAGCTGGGACTACAGGCGCCTGCCACCACGCCCGGCTAATTTTTTTTTTCATTTTTTTAGTAGAGATGGGGTTTCACCGTGTTAGCCAGGATAGTCTCGATCTCCTGACCTCACGATCCACCCGCCTCGACCTCCCAAAGTGCTGGGATTAAAGGCATGAGCCACTGCGCCCGGCCACATTTTTTTTTTTTTTTTTTGAGACAGGGTCTCACTCTGTTGCCCAGGCTGGAGTGCACTGATGCGATCTTGGCTCACTACAGTCTCTGCCCCCTGGGCTCAAGCAATCCTCTAACCTCAGCCTCCAGAGTAGCTGAGACTACAGGCATGCGCCATCACACCCAGCTAATTTTTGTATTTTTTGGGTAGAGATGGGGTTTTGCCATGTTGTCCAGGCTGGTCTCTTTACTCCTGGGCTCAAGCAATCTACCCATCTTGTCTTCCCAAAGTGTTGCAATTACAGGCAAGAGCCACCATGCCCGGCTTAAATAATTCTAACATAACACATAAGCCTAATATGCCTAATATGTCTCTCTTGGACTTCAGGGAACCTAATAGCTGAAAAAGTTAGTTTAAGGTCAGAGAATTTAGAACTTGATATTTTGCTGTTGGGAAGTCTGTCAAATATCAAAGGTTTTAAGACACTTGATATCACAAAATAGGATCAGAAGTCACTATAAAACAGTCATTCATTTGGCCAAAATTATAATACAAAAACATTTTCTCTTTGATAGGAGACTGAGTTTCCTAAACATTAAGACCTAGTAAAGACAGCATGAGGCCAGCTAAATCTGTCTTTCTCCTTCCCTCTATTTGTTTTCTTCTGTGGTTTTACTGAAAAGGTAAATAAAAATCTCTTATCTCTTACATGAAAATTTTGTTCAAAAGAGAAAACCAAATTTTACCTTTGTATGGTATATTATTAATGTTAATGCTAATTTTAATAAAACATTATAAATAAATCTAATCAGTTTGACCATAAGGTGAGATTTCCATAAACTTTATAACCTTTTATAATTTTATATTAAAGAGCAGATCAATGCTCCAAGAAAACCCTGTTATTCCGACACACGGGCCTAGACACTGGCTTTCCATTAGGCAGTGTGTGTGTAGTGTGTATATGGTGTGTGTAGTGTGTATTGGTGTGCATAGTATGTATGTGGTGTGCGTAGTGTGTGTAAGTGGTGTGTATAGTGTGTGTATGAGGTATGTGCATGTGTGTGTAGTGTGTATATGGAGTGTGTGTAGTGTGTATGGTGGTGTGTGTGTAGTGTGTATATGGGGTGTGTGTAGTGTGTAGGGTGGCATGTATGTAGTGTGTATATGGGGTATGTGTAGTGTGTATGGTGGCGTGTGTATAGTGTGTATATGCGGTGTATGTAGTGTGTATGGTGGTGTATGTGTGGTGTGTATGTACTGTGTATATGGGGTGTGTGTAGTGTGTATGGTGTTGTGTGTATGTGTGGTGTGTGTGTAGTGTGTATAGGGTGTGTGTGTAGTTGTGTGTGTAGCTCTAGAGACAGAACTGTGACCAAAAGCATCAAAAATGTGATAAGTTCAATGCCAAAGTTATCAAAGTAAGACAACTAGTTTTCAATCCATCATTAAAAAATGGTAAATGAAAACATTAGTTTTGGAAATTCAATATGAGTATAAATCCTTATATTGTACTGTGTATATATGGTGTGTGTAGTTGTGTGTATGTGGTGTATGTATGGTGGTGTGTGTGTAGTATGTATATGTGGTGTGTGTAGTTGTGTGTATGGTGGTGTGTGTAGTGTGTATATGAGATGTGTGTGTAGTTGTATGTATGTGGTGTGTGTTTGTGTGGTGTGTGTAGGGCATATATGTGGTGTGTGTAGTTGTGTGTATGTGGAGTGTGGTGTGTAGTGTGTGTATGTGGTGGTGTAGTTGTGTGTATGTGGTATGTATGTAGTTGTGTGTGGTGTGTGTGGTGCATATATATGGTGTGTGTAGTGCCTATATGTGGTGTGTGTAGTTGTGTGTGTGTGGTGTGTGGTGTCTAGTGCGTATATGTGGTGTGTGCTGTGTGTAGTTGTGTGTGTGGTGGTGTGTGTGTAGTGTGTATATGTGGTGTGTGTAGTTGTGTGTATGGTGGTGTGTGTGTAGTTGTGTGTGTGGTGGTGTGTGTGTAGTGTGTATATGCGGTGTGTGTAGTTGTGTGTATGGTGGTGTGTGTGTAGTGTGTGTGGTGGTGTGTGTGTAGTGTGTATATGCGGTGTGTGTAGTTGTGTGTATGGTGGTGTGTGTGTAGTTGTGTGTATGTGGTGTGTGGGCACGCATGGCTCTCGCCTCTCAGGGTGTCCTCTATCTGAAGCCCCTGGTATCTGTAGCACCCCCCAACGGCCTCTTGTGTCTGGCCTATTGTGGTTGGATTTCTTTAGTAGTGGCACCGCTTTCAGTAAACTCTTGTCACCTCCCACTCCTCATTCACACTGTGTCCTCTTTGGTACCTGCAGATTCTGACCTTTTCCACGTCTCTCAGGAGCTATTGCGACTTGCTTTTCGTTGGCATTTTCCTTAACCCCATGCCTAAGTTTTAGCTTTCTCCACCTCATTCAATCATTTACCTGACTACTTTTGCATGATTTCCAATTTTCCAAAAAATTAGCATATTTTGTCCATTTTGTCTCCCAATAATCTCTGACCTTGTGGGCCTACACTTTTTTTTTTTTTTTTTGAGACGGGGTCTTGCTCTGGTGCCCGGGCTGGAGTGCAGTGGCATGATCTCTGCTCACTGCAGCCTCCACCTCGGGGGCTCAAGTGATCCTCCTACCTCAGCCTTTTTGCCATGTTGCCCAGGCTGGTCTCAAACTCCTGAGCACAAGAGATCTGATCTGCCTGCCTCGGCCTCCCAAAGTGTTGGGATTATGGGTGTAAGCCACCACACCAGGCACAGGTCTATGCTTTTAAAAAAAGATCCATTATTAGCCTGGTTTTACTAAGGTTTCTGGAGGGAGCAGAGATAAATAGATGTGCTTTATGTTACTGTGTGTAATTCAAAGTCCAGGACCTAGATTATTGCATGAATTAACGGGAATATACTAGCCAAAACGATTTTCTAAGTCATTCTGTAAAATCTATGAGCTTGTTATACCCTAAATCGACTTATTTCTAAATTCTAGTTCTCATGAAGTTTGGCCATCTTTGCCATTTTAACGTGTATAATAGTTGAGTAGCATTAAGTACGTTCACATGGTTGTGCAATCTGCAGAGCTTTTTCATCTTGTAAAACTGAACTCTGTGCCCATTAAACAACTCTTCTTTTGTGCCTCTGCCAGCCCCTGGCATCCACCATTCTACTTTCTGTCACTGTGAGTTTGACTGCTCTGGGTACCTGTTGTAGGTGGAGTCATATGGCATCTGTCCTTTTGTGTCTGGCTTATTTCACTTAAGCATAATGTTAAGTAAAAAGTTCATCCTAGGCCGGGCGAGGTGGGTCACACCTGTAATCCCAGCACTTTGGGAGGCCAAGGCAGGTGGATCACCTGAGGTTAGGAGTTCAAGACCAGCCTGGCCAACATAGAGTGAAAACCCGTCTCCACTAAAAAATACAAAAATCAGTTGGGTGTGGTGGTGCATTCCTGTAGTCCCAGCTATTTGGGAAGCTGAGGCAGGAGAATCGCCTGAAGCCGGGAGGGGGAGGTTGTAGTGAGCTGAGACTGCGCCACTGCACTCCAGCCTGGCATATGACATATGACAGGACTTCCTTCCCCTGTGGGGCCGAATAAGATTCCACCGTAGGTGTGAAACCATGTTTTGTTTATCCCTCCATCTGTTGGTGGACTTTTGGATTGCTTGCTTCTTCTGTTGTTGACAACACTGCTAGGAACATGACTGTGCAAATCTCTCTTTGCGATCCCGCTTCAGTTCTTTTGGATATATGCACAGCAGTGGGGTTCCTGGATCATATGGTGGCTCTATTTTTAACTTTTTGAGTTACCACCATACGTTTTCCACAGCAGCTGTGCCGTTTCCACATTCCCATCATCAGTGCACAAGGTTCCAATTTCTTCAGTCTTTTTTAAAAATAAATACATGCTCCTTTTGAGTACATTTCAAAGATAGAAACATTAAAAAAAATTAAAATCACCCATACCCTGTCCTACCGTGAGAATTGTTAACATTTCCTTTTCTCTAATTTTAAGTAAAAATTTAACTTTACTGGTTAGGAGCCAGTATTTTGAGTCCTAGTGTTAGGCTGACCTCTAGAGGTAGAACTGGCACATTGCAGCCTTCTACTAGTGCCTCTAACCTGACGTTAACTGTTAAGTGTGGCAATGCCACAGCCTGGTATGTGTGTGGCATTTGAAAATCCCGGTTGATTGGCACATCTTTTCTAGGTGTTTATGTACGTCTTCTACAAAGCTTGATGCAGAAGTTCTTCCAAAAGAATAAAAAAAATTGGAATTAATCTAACTGGGACAAAATGTTGCCAAAAGGCTGGGTTTGATTTGTGGCATGTGGATTTGTTGGCCCTAAAGAGAACACAGGGGTCTGTCTGCAGATGTCGGAAGCTCCTCCGCAGCTTTCACTGGACGTCCCTCGGGACCACACAGCAGGGTCCTGGAGTTTGCAGTTGGCTGATGGGTTCATGTGTGACCGTGTCTCTCCCTCATGCCCAGGTTCTCTGTCCTACCTGTGTGTGCTGCCCAGGGAGGAAGGGCCTGAGGCAGAACCACCACTGCACATTCCTCAGCCTGAGTCTGCTCTGAAAGAGGCGAGTGGTTGTGTCTTTTCTTGCCACTGCTTGCTGTCTCCATGGGACATTCTCATTCCGGGGTGGTCCCTGGAGGATCGAGGAACAAGAGACTCCTGTTCTCCCATTATCTGTCTAATCTCATGCAGTACTTTTGGGAAAAAAGGCTAAAAGTTTGCTTTGGATTAGTGGAAAGGTTTGAAGACGCACAGCTGGCCTACTAAGGCTTGGAGCAGGTGCTTTGAGCACATCAGGCGCTCAGACATAGTTTCCTAAAGGATGCAATGGTTACTCACTATGTTCCCAGACCTTGGCATCCAGAGACCCTGTGTGTGTTCAGTGGAAAGATGGTTGGGTGAGGCTGGGATGATGGCGCTAAGAGATTCATTTAGGTTTTGTTTACTTAAAAAGTGACAAAGAGGATTGGCGGTGGTTAGTTCTGGAGGGTGGAGAGATGAGGATGTTTATTATTCTTTCTACATTTAAAATTTCTTAAATAAATTATGAAAAGGAAATAGTCTTAGAAAAGCAATGGGCGCAGTATTAAACATCTCACTTATTCCTCCGTAACACAAAAAACTTTCAATTAAGCTGAAGTGAGTTTTTGCTTGGTAGCTACAAATAGCTCTTCTGCCATATGAATGTTTTTCTTCTGGTTGTGTTTATGGGCAGTGTGGTTGTCTTTTACCAATGTTGACTCCAAGGCTTAGCCACTGCTGCAGGTCAAACTTATATAAATCGTATAGTTAAAAACTGAAAAATTCAAATGTGTTGTAATCTCCAAACAAAGTCTGCGCTAGGCCCTTTCAGGCTATAAAGGACAGGGTACTCTGATTTCTGCTCTTGATGAGGGTTGATTGTGATACCAGGCGAGGGAGTAAGAGATACAGGACACCATCTCTGCGGCTGCATCTTTGTCGCAGAAACAGACATTGTTCAGGGGACACCTGAGCCTCTGATAGTCAGCCAGTGGCTCTGGCAGCTCACAGCAGTTATAGGGTGGCTGTGTCCTTTTCTAAAGTCCTGACTTTTTATGGCCTGTGGTCATGGTGACTCCACTACGGGCTGTGTTTCTGTTGCTCCTTCCTGCCCTCAACCAGTCTGCCCACTGTGGAAGTCTGCATTTCTTCTCCTTCTCCTTCTCCTTCTTTCTTCTTCTTCTTCTTCTGATGGAGTTTAGCTCTGTCGCCCAGGCTGGAGTGCAGTGGCGTGATCTCGGCTCACTGAAATATCCACCTCCCAGGTTCAAGTGATTGTCCTGCCTTAGCCTCCTAAGTAGCTGGGATTACAGGGATGTGCAGCCTCACCTGGCTAATTTTTGTATTTTTAGTAGAATCGGGGTTTCACCATGTTTGCCAGGCTGGTCTCAAACTCCTGAGCTCAGGTAATCTGCCCACCTCGGCCTCCCAAAGTGCTGGGATTACAGGTGTGAGCCACCGCGCCTGGCCTGGGTCTGCATTTCTGACCGCCCTGTCGCTATAGGGCTCAGGCTTCCCTTGGGCTGGTTACTGCAGCCACCACCGGCTGCCTATGGGCCTCTGCCATTGGCCCAGATTCACATGTGGGGTCCAGTCCGTGGAAGTCATGGTAGTAAGCTCACATGGCAAGAAGGTAATGGAGAATTTCAGAGGCCTGCCTCGGAGCACCAGTTCCAAGGGGTGCTTGACAGCCACAGCTGGCGGCTGCTCAGTCTTGCTAATCTAGAGCTTCGATTGTAACAGCCAACCCGAGTCTGTGCAAGATGGGAATCTAATTGGAGATCTCTGACAGAAGCTAGAGTTCTCTAACAGCTACATCATTGGCGAAAAAGAGAACTTGGATCCCCTAAATGGAGGGTCACCGGTGGGGGCATTGACTCTGAGTGGAGGGGAGGAAGAGTTTCTCTGAGAATTTATAACCATAGAGCAATCCTCAAATTCATACTACCTGTGTCATCTGGAAAACCCCCAAGCCAAGAATTCAGATTGGTTCCTTGGTTGGTAGCACCCCCAAGTGCCTGGCAGGAGCAAATTGCATATCATCCTCAGAACAATATACCTGCAACCACAGTTAGATGTCCAGATTTTTGGCATAGCTTTGGATGAGCCAGAACTTTACATGGCAAATGGGACGTTGCAGATGTAATTGAATTAAGAATGGCAAGATGGGGAGATTATCCTGGAATAGCTGGCTTGGCCTGGTGTAATCACATGGGTCCTTAGAGGGATAAAGGAGGAAGGAGACATGATGGCAGAAACAGGTGGGGCAGGGTTGGCTGGCTATGGAGGGGGAAGGGGTCATGAGCCACGGATGCAGGCAGCCTCTAGAAGCTGAGACAGGCCAGGAATGCATTCTCCCTGAAACCTCCAGAAAGAGTGCGTTCCCTGCTGACGCTTTGATGTTAGTCTACTTGGGGTTTCTGACCTCTAGAACTGTAAGATAATACATTTGTATTGTTTAAGCCACTGTTTGTGATAATTTGTTACAGTAGCAATAAGATATTAATGCTACTGCTTTATTGAGATAAATTTACATGTCATACAATTGACTCATTTGACACGTCCAATTCAGTGGTTTTATAGTATGTTTACAGAGTTGTGTAACAACATTTTCAAAGATGGATCAAAACATACTACACAGTGAATGATAAATGAGCTTTGGATCACATGGTGCTCTCTTTTCCTGAATAAAGCCACTTAAGAGGCACAGTCTGTGTTCAGGGAAGTGTGCTGAGTGCTGTTGATGCTGAATCGCAGGACCCTGTAGGACCCGTGAATGTCTGCGTTTCCTTTTTACCTTAATAGAGGAACCTTTTCTCATGACCCTTTTTGTTATATTTCCCTCCATGATGTTTCAAATATCTATTTACTGGCACTTACCTTGGACCAGTTCTTTTTTGATTTAGCTATTAGAAATCTTAAATTTCTAATCTGTTGCTAAGACACCTCATAGTACCCTATGCAACTAGTAAACTTCCAGATGAACTGGCCAAGACACATATTTGGTTTTGTATATTTTTCACTAACTTACTTTTGTTTTTTGCTTGCTTGTTTTTTGAGACAGGGTCTCGCTCTGTCATCCAGGTTGGAGTACAGTGGCACAATCATGGCTTACTGCAGCCTCCACCTCCTGGGCTCAAGTGATTCTCCCACCTCAGCCTCCCAAGTAGCTGGGACTACAGGTGTGCACCATCACGCCCAGCTAGTTTTTGTATTTTTTGTAGAGACGAGGTTTCACCATGTTGCCCAGGCTGGTCTCAAACTCCCGTCCTCAAGTGACCCGCCTGCCTTGGCCTCGCAAAGTGCTGGAATTACAGGCGTGAGACACTGTGGCTGGCCTCACTAACTTTATAAGCCTCTAATTCAAGGAATTTGTTCTATATGAAAATTTGAAAATGCCTGCTCACTGGGGATGGTGGTCCAGGATATTTAGTACTTAACACTGAGTTGTTTTGTGGGTGATGAGATCTGAGCAGGGATCAGTATGTTTGTCCTTATAATTGTCCAAAATAAGATAGCTGTTTTATGGCCCTATTTTAAGATAAGTAGATTTTTTTAAGCTGATATATTACGAATCTTCCAAATTACTTATATGAGAAAAACATCTCAAAGATTCTTTCCTTCCTTTTAAAAAAATTTAGGGCCAGGTGCTGTGGCTCACGCTTATAATCCCAGCACTTTGGGAGGCCAAGGCAGGAGGATCAGTTGAGCCCAGGAGTTAGAGATCAACCTGGGCAACATGGCGAAACCCCGTCTCTACCAAAAAATACAAAAAATTGGTCAGGCGTGGTGGCACGCATGTGTAGTCCCTGCTACTTGGGAGGCTGAGGTGGGAGATCACTTGATCCTGGGAGGTCGAGGCTATGGCGAGTCATGATTGTGCCACTGCACTCCAGCCTGGGCGACAGAGCAGGATCCTGTCTCAAAAAACAAAACAAAGCAAAAAATCAAATCAAAACAAAACAAAACCCAAAAAGCAAAAATATATTAAGAATTTTAAGAAGCTAACAGCAGAGCAGTAAACCCAGCACAGGCCCTTCTGAGCATGGTGGCCCGGGTGACCGCACAGACCACATGCCCCGAAGCCTACTCTGCTATAAGGTACCTTCTTTCAATCCTTCCATCCCAGGGGACTGACCCAAGGAAGAGGATTAAGAACCACTGTTTTCCAACATGCCCCCCCACCCCATCCCCTGCCATGAGATTGTTTCATTTTAAAAAAAGTAATTAAGATTTTAAGTTGTGGTAAAGTGTATGTAATAAAATTTCCCTTAATATTTTAAGTATATTAAGTATATTTACATTGTTGTGCTACCATCGCCATCATTCATCTCCAGCATGTTTTCATCTTCTCAAATTGAAACTCTGGACCCATTAAACCTTAACTCCCCATTCCTCAACCTCCAGCCCCTGGCAGCTACCAACATTCTAGTTCTGTCTCTGTTATTATTTTTTCAAGACAGAGTCTCACTCTGTCGCTCAGGCTGGAGTGCAGTGGTGCTACCATAGCTCACTGCAACATCTGCCTCCTGGGTTCAAGCGATTCTCCTGCCTCAGCCTCCTGAGTAGCTGAGATTACAGGCACGCGGCACAATGCCAAGCTAATTTTTCGTATTTTTAGTAGAGATGAGGTTTCACCATGCTGGCCAGGCTGGTCTCGAACTGCTGACCTCAAGTGATCCACCCACCTCGGCCTCCCAAAGTGCTGGAATTACAGGAGTGAGCCACCTAGCCTGGCCTGCCTCTATTATTTTGACTGCTTTAGATACCTCTTCTAGGTGGAATCACACAGTATTTTTCCTTTTGTGACTGGCTTATTTCACTCAGCAGAATGTCCTCAAGGTTCATCCATTTTGTAGCGTGTGACAGAATTTTCTTCCTGTTTACTGCTGAATAATATTCTGTTGTGTGTATGTACCATGTTTTTTTATCTACTCATCTATTGATGGATGCTTAGGTTGCTTCTAGCTCCTGGCTATTGTGAATAATGCTGCTGTGCACATGGGTGTACAAAAATCTCTTGGAGACCCTGCTTTCCATTATTTTGGGTTTATACCCAGAAGTTGAATTGCTGGATCATACTGTAATTCTGTTTTTGGGAACTGCCATATCTGTTTTCCATAGCGGTTGCACCATTTTACAGTCTCACCAGCAGTGCACAATGGTTCCAGTTTCTCCACATCCTTGCCAACAATTGCTAGTTTCTATTTTTGGTAGCCCCTAATGGGTGTGAGGTGGTATCTCACTGTGGTTCTGCTTGGCATTTCCCTGATGATTCCTGATGTTGGGCTTTATCTGTTTTTAAATGTGGTGTTGAATACTCACAGTGATCCTTCTCTCTGCCTTTCCAGAAAGGAGATGAAGTTGCTGGAGCAGGCAGGTTCTCTGAAAGGCTCCCTGAGTGTGGAAGAGCAGCTGTCACTCATCAGTGGTTGTCCCAATATCCAAGAAGCAGTAGAGGGTGCCATGCACATTCAGGTGAGTGAAGGACACTGGCGCCGCATCTGTGGGGCCTGAGACATTGTCTCCCAGCCTCTCCGGAGGAACAGGGCAGGATACAGAGCAGTGGCAGGTGTGGGCATTTTGCATCTTCAAGGGCAGGATTTTGTTTTATGTGATAGGAAATGTGATCCCCAAAACACCCTCTATCCTGGGTTCTCATCAAACTAGCGTGACAATGTTCTGTTTCAAGAGACCAATGCCTTATCCGTGAGGCCACTAGGGATTCTGGTGACAATGTTGTATTTTAGAGGCATTAACAGTTTTAGCAAAAATAGGTTTTCTGGACTGCTAATACTATTTTATTTTGTTTTATCATCTTATCAAATGACAGATTATATTATTGTTCTCATATGTAATTGAGCAAAAGCTTACATCATCAAAAAGAAAACCTTTCACTTGCATGTAGCCTTTCCAACAACTTTACTTTAAAAAAGAGAAATCCTCATGAGGGTTGTTTGCACAGCGGGATGAGCCTGGAGAGGTGAGTGGTCCCTGCAGGTGGAGCTGGGAGCAGCCCCTGTGGCTTGGCCCTCTTTCCAGGCATCCCGCTCCTGGAGCTCCTGTGCCCACGCACAGGCCCTGCCCTGTTGAAGAATCCTGAGGCATACCCTTGTCTTTTCAAAGGCTGCACTTACTGCTATAAGGTTTATGCAAATTTACCTAAAGCTAAAAGAGTCATTATTCCCAGTATCTTTCCTTGATATTTTGTGTTCTGAGATTTGCACATTTCACGTCGTTACTCTGTTGATATTCTAGCTGAGAATTTGGAAGCAAACCGAAAAGGCTGTGTGTGTTCTCTGGTCATTTCCTGCTCTAAGATTCGGGTCAAATACAGAAGATGGAGATTTTAGGTCTCTATGACTCTAAAATTTCTTAAAATTGTTAAATTCTCAATTTGCTAAAAATTCATTAAACAAATGTGTGTCACAACAGAACACAAGGAGAGGACTGTTTTTCAACTTCTTATCTCTTTCTAATATATTATCCTCTATCTCTTGATATGGTGAAGTTTGTATGAAGTTGAAGGGACTTTAAAGAGACCTGAGGGCTCCTAATGAGTTCCCAGTGCCACCTGTTTCTACCCGTAGTTGCAGGTGCTATAAGAGGAGTTGCTTCTGAAGAGCACAGATGTTCTCCAGGCCTGGTCTTGGCAGAGTTGCTTCTGAAGAGCACAGATGCTCTCCAGGCCTGGTCTTGGCAGAGAAGCTTCTTTCACATGAATTTAGTTTTATTTTTTATTTTTTTGAGACAGAGTCACTCTGTTGGCCCAGGCTGGAGTGCAGTGGTGTGATCTCGGCTCATTGCAGCCTCCACTTCCTGGATTCAAGCGATTCTCCTGTCTCAGCCTGTGGAGTGGCTGGGATTACAAGTGTGCACCACCACACCCAGCTAATTTTTGCAGTTTTAGTAGAGACAGGGTTTCACCATGTTAGCCAGGCTGGTCTCAAACTCCTGACCTCAAGTGATCCGCTGGCCTTGGCCTCTCGAAGTGCTGGGATTACAGGCGTGAGCCACGGTAAACTGCATGAGTTAAGTTTTTTTTGCTTTTTGTTTTTTGTTTTTTTTTGAGATAGAGTCTCGCTCTGTCACCCAGGCTGGAGTTCAGTAGTGTGATCTTGGCTCATTGCAACCTCCGCCTCCTGGGTTCAAGCGATTCTTGAGCCTCAGCCTCCCAAGTAGCTTGGATTATAGGCATAAACCACTGTTCCCAGCCGTGAGTTTAGTTTTTAAGGAAAGTATTTAGTTATATAATGTGATTGAAATATTAATAAGTGATCTATTATTATAATATTTCTACTTTCACATTTCACAGAATGCTTTTGTTCAAACTCTGGGCTGATATCTCCAACTTCAGCATGTTTGTCTTCATTACAATCACTTTTTGAGTCTCTCTGAACAGAGTTCCCAGACCATGTTACCTTTGCCTCTTGGAGATGTTTGCTATGCAGAGCTTTTTGAACCCATCTACAATGCTGGCACTGCAAATTTTATCCCCAGCCTCAAAGACTAATTCTCAAACATTTAGATGTTTTTTCCTTTTGTAATAATACACTTGTGATTCCATAGCATGGCAACTTGCTGTGCTTTTTTTTTTCTTTTAAAGAATCTTTCTATAGCTACTTTATAAATTTCCTAGCAGTAACAATTGTAAAGTCATCCCCTAGGAATAATTCATCTATCCATGTTAAATTTCTTTGTCTCCCCATCCCATTTTTTTGATAGTTTATCATATGATTTCTATAAACATCCAAAACTACCCTAACTGAATTAGTTCTGGTTAATGTGTCTCCCTCAAAGAGTATATTGTTTTTTATAAAGTGGTGAACCCTCCATAATATGAGAACATTATAATAGACTTGGGTAATAAGGCAAGTTTTTCTGTTAAAGAGTAATTTGGGGGGAATATGTGAATTTAGAAGGCATGTAAAGCACTTACATAGTACTTGGCACACAGAAAATGCTCAGGAAATGGTAATTATTTTATAATGTGGCCATTTATAACAATTTTGGTAATAAAGAATGACATGGGGCAGTATATGGCGTTCTGTACATGGTTGGCACTAGTGAAAACTGCTCTTTAACTACAGTCTATCTTTATTTTATAGATTAAATGAGTGTATTTACAAGGCATGACATGTTGAGCCATATCTATTATGTAGAACACAGAGCCAAGCCGGATGAGGAGAGGAAACTAGAGAAAGATGATGTAAACTAGTAGGTTTAATTCCTATGAGAGTTTATATTCTTCAGAAATTGTTGTACCTCCAGTACCAGAGAAAGGAGTGGGTAGGAATAGTTCTGACCGGGAGGCTTCGGGAAGGTTTAATGCAGGTAGGATTAGAGCTTGTCTTGACTTTTGACAAGTGGATTTTGGGGTGGGGGTGGGAGGATTGTGTGGGAGGAAGAGATGAATGAGATGAGAAGTCCCTTTGAGGATGTTTCTAAGGCCACGTTACAGACCCATTGGAAAGGTAGGAAAGGCTGGTCCAAGGTGGAAACCAAGTCGCCATGCTACGAATGCCAACCTGAAGAATTACTTAGGTGAATTGAGTAATACACAGTGCTTAGAGGAGTACACGAAGAGAAGCACCATTTATGTGTTTCTTTAAAGAAATAAAGATGAAGGCTGGGTGTGGTGGCTCACGCCTGTAATCCCAGCACTCTTGGGAGGCTGAGGGTGGCGGATTGCTCGAGCTCAGGAGTTCAAGACCAGCCTGGCCAATATGGTGAGACCTCATCTCTACTGAAAATACAAAAACTTAGCCGGGTGTGGTGGCATGTGCCTGTGGTCCCAACTACTTGGGAGGCTGAGGTGGGAGGATTTCCTGAGTCTGGGAGGTGGAGGTTGCAGTGGGCCGAGATCAGGCCACTGCACTCCAGCCTGGGCAACTGGAGTAAGACTCCATCTCAAAAAACAAACAAACAAACAAAATATTATGAGACCTGAAGAAAAAATAATTATAAAAAAAATAAAGAACTAAAGGGTTTGGATTTCAATCTAAGTCCTGATTAGAATCCTGCAAGGAAGGTATTTAGTAGGAGAATGAAATGAATCAGAAGGAAAGATGAGTAAGAAAAAAGAATCAGCAGTTCATTTTTGCCAGTTAACTGATTTTCTTGGGCATGTTTACACATTTCTTTTCTTTTCTTTTCTTTTCTATCTTTCTTTTTTCTTTGAGATGGAGTCTGGCTCTGTTGTCCAGGCTGGAGTGCAGTGGCGTGATCTCAGCTCCCTGCAACCTCCACCTCCTGGGCTCAAGGGATTCTCATGCCTCAGCCTCCTGAGTAGCTGGGATTACAGGCATGTGCCACCACACATGGCTAATTTTTTGTGTACATTTTTTAATAGAGATGGGGTTTCACCATGTTGGCCCGGCTGCTCTCTAACTCCTGACCTCAAGTGATCCACCTGCCTCCACCTCCCAAAGTCCTGGGATTACAGGCATGAACCATTGCGCCCAGCCTACACATTTCTTTATATGATGTAAAGCAAATTTAATCCTCTGAATTTTAAAACTAGTGCATAGGCTGGGCGTGGTGGTCCACACCTGTAATCCCAGCACTTTGGGAGGCCAATGTGGGCAGACTGCCTGAGCTCAGTAGTTCAAGACCAGCTTGGGCAACATGGTGAAACCCCATCTCTACTAAAAATACAAAACATTAGCCAGGCGTGGTGGTGTATGCCTGTAATTCCAGCTACTTGAGAGGCTGAGGCATGAGAATCACTTGAACCCAGGAGGTAAAGGTTGCAGTGAGCCGAGATGGAGCCACTGCACTCCAGCCTGGGCGACAGAGTGAGACCTTGTCTCAACAACAACAACAACAACAACAAAACCTAGTGCATATTAGTGTCTCAGGTTTACCAAACAAACAAGTAAATGAAACCCCCAGAGTGAAACCTACCTAATGCTGCCCCACATGTTTGTTAAAGTACATTAGTGTTTCTAACACAATGTAATGTTAAACATGTATCTTACCTAATTAAACATCTCTGTGTTGTAAAGAAAGTTTAGGACAATCCTGTTTAGGTTCATTATTCCAAAAATACTGAAGATTTTTGTGTATTTATATGTTTCCACTTCTCCTGTTTATTTTCTCTCTTTCTAATACATTTGAGATTATACTGTAAATAGAATTTTGCATCATGGTTTTTATTTAAAACTTAGAACATTTCCTGCTGTACGATGTGCTCGGGGCTGTATCAGAGAGAAGTGGCACAATCTTGGCTCACTGCAACCTCTGCCTCCTGGGTTCAAGCGATTATCGTGCCTCAGCCTCCCAATTAGCTGGGATTACATGCATCTGCCACTACACCCAGCTGATTTTTGTATTTTTAGTAGAAACAGGGTTTCACTATGTTGGCCAGGCTGGTCTCGAACTCCTGACCTCAAGTGAGACATATAATTTTTAGACTTAAAAAATTGTGATAGTCACCATTTGATGGCAAACCTGAAAGAAGCTTCCGTCTAAGAATTCCATTAAAGCTGAGGTTCCCAAAGTCCGCAGCCTCTGCCGGGCTGCAACCACTCATCTGCTGGCAACCACTCACCCGCCCTGTGGTGCTGCCTCATCTCAGGGTCCACAGACTTTTTGCCAGTGGCACCCTCTTAGCAGCTCTCACAGCTCCTTTTTCTGATTTATACAAGGGAAGGTTCTCAGTGTAGAAAAATCAATCTAGGCTACTTGGAGACAGTTTTCTTTTTTTAAAAAAAATTAATTGCTGTATTTTGGCCAGGCGCGGTGGCTCACGCCTGTAATCCCAGCACTTTGGGAGGCCAAGGCGGGCAGATCACGATGTCAGGAGATGGAGACCATCCTGGCTAACACGGTGAAATGCTGTCTCTACTAAAAATACAAAAAATTAGCCAGGTGTGGTGGTGGGCACCTGTAGTCCCAGCTACCCGGGAGGCTGAGGCAGGGGAATCACTTGAACCTGCGAGGTGGAGGTTGCAGTGAGCCAAGATCGCGCCACTGCACTCCAGCCTGGCGACAGAGCGAGAAGAGGGCTGGATGTGGTGGCTCATGCCTGCGATCCCAGAACATGGGGAGGCCACAGCGGGTGGATTACTTGAGCTCAGGAGTTCGAGACCAACCTGAGCAACATGGTGAAACCCCGTCTCTACCAAAAATACAAAAAATTAGCATGGCATGGTGGTGCATGCCTGTGGTCCCAGCTGCTTGGGAGGCTGAGGTGGGAGGATCACTTGAGCCCAGGAGGTGGAGGTTGCAGTAAGCTGAGATCCCGCCACTGTACTCCAGCCTGGGTGATAGAGTGAGACCCTGTCTCAAAAACAAACAGACAAACCAAAATAAAAGAAAGACTGTACAGAGCTCTTTTAGAATGATGATGTGGTACGTTACAGTCCAAGTGAGAAAGCTGACTTCATGTTGATGATATGGTCAGTCCAGATGGCGTGAACCCAGGAGGCGGAGCTTGCAGTGAGCCGAGATCGCACCACTGCCCTCCAGCCTGCGCGACAGAGTGAGACTCCGTCTTAAAAAAATAATAATAAATAAAAAATTACTTGCTGTATCTTAATTGTACATATTTGGGATTCATGTGTGATTGATTTGTGTGTTCAGTGTGTCATGGTAAAATCCCGGTGTATTAGGATATCCAGAACCTCACACGTTTATCTTTTATTGTGTTGGGAACACTATAAATCTTCTATTTTGAAATATATAACATTATTAACTCTAATTTCCCTACTGTATTATTGAATGCTAGACCTTGCTCCTTCTAGCGAACTGTATTTTGTACTCATTAACCAGCTTCTCTTCATCGCTCCTTCCCCTTCCTGGTAACTGCCGGCTGCGGGTGTCCACCATTCTACTCTCTACCTCCATGAGACCCACTGCTTTAGCTCCCCTACATGAGTGAGAACATGGGATCTTCGCCTTTCTGTGCCTGGCTTACTTCGCTTAATATAATGATCTCCAATGCCATCTATGTTGCTACAGTTTTCTTATAAAATATGTTGCTGTGGTTTTCTTATAAAAAGAAAATTATTACTATTTAGGGAATTGTTCACAAGCAGGAGGCAGAGTTTGAGGAGACGCGTGTGTGCGTGCGCACACACACGCGCGCACACACACACACACACAGACTGCTTGCCACAATGCTTCAACTAAAAATAATCCCACTGTCGGATCTGCCCAGCCCCAGGGGGCGAAGCCCAGTAATGGGAGTGTGGTTTTCCCCAGTGGATTGTTTTCTACCCAACCCTAGAGGGCGGGGAGCCTGGGTCAGGACGTTTCCTAATACTCTGCTGAAATCCGGGAGCACGCAAGAAAGAAACCTGAATTTCTAGAACTTAGTGCAATTTTGAAATCAAATCTTGCCTGGCAAGAAAACCTACTGTTCTGGAAAAATAAGTTTACTCTGAAAAGCTGGTCTCAAGCCTTGACTTTTAAAGCACATTAAAGCTCATTAGCCACTATGTCGAGGCCTTATCTAATCTCTGGAACTTAAAACCGGAGATCACAGTAGCTGGTGGGAGCCATGGGAATGATTTATAGAGTTACGAAGTTTAAATGGGGTTTCCTTACACAAAGTCAGAACAATCTGCAATAGCTGAAATCGAGAAGTTAAATGGATATTGTCTATGTAGATGATCAGAATTTGCATCTCAACTATATCTTTAAAATGGAGAGAATGCTAATCATTTTGAAAAGGACCTTCAGACACTGTCAGTAATTACAGGAAGTAGCGTTCTTTTGGAAATTTATTTGTTTTCTTAAAGGATTGTTGGACTTTCAGTCTTGGTTCACTGAGACTCAGAATATTTCTTCTTTTGGTAGAGATGGGTGTGGGGGTGGGGGGTTCAGGCAGCATTGGACACATGGGATGGCCAGCCCTGAGAATATTCGGGAATGTGCGAGGAAACTGGAGTTACACTTTTTCTGTTGTATGTGTTTTTTCTTTTTCCTTTCGAGATGGAGTCGCACCTTTGTCACCCAGGCTGGAGTGCAGTGGTGCGATCTTGATTCACTGCAACCTCTGCTTCCCGGGTTAAAGCAATTCTCCTACCTCAGCCTCCCAAGTAGCTGGGATTATAGGCGCCCACCACCATGCCGGGCTAAGTTTTGTATTTTTAGTAGAGACGGGGTTTCATCATGTTGGCCAGGCTGGTCTTGAACTCCTGACCTCAGGTGATCTGCCCGCTTCGGCCTCCCAAAGTGCTGGAATTACAGGAGTGAGCCACCACGCATGGCCATACGTGTTTTTTTCTTTAAAAACTGTAAAATCAGGTTTACAAAGATATAATTTCCATACAAGAAAATTCACTCGTTTCAGGGTTCAGTGCTATGTGTCTGACAGATGCGTACAGTCACGTATGAAATCAGCGTCACAGCTGGGGTTCAGAGCATAGAGCCTCTCCTTCCCTTTGCAGCTAATTTCCTCCCACCGTTCCCCAGGCCTTGCCCACCACTGATCTGTTCTTTGTCCCTATAGTTTTGCCTTCTCCAGAATGTTATGTAAAATGGAATCATACATGATGCAGCCTTTTGAGTTTGGTTTCTTTCACAGAGTAAAATGAATTTGACGTGGCTTGTGTGGTTGTGTTGATTGGTAATTTGTTGCTGAGTGGTATGACATTACTAAGGTGCGTGGGACTCTGGATGGACTGGGGCAAGCCCACCTCACACACTCACGAGATCATCTGGAAGCACGAGCCTTCAGTTTTCACTTGCGAAGTGTGAAAACATTCTGTCCTAATGTTCTACTAGCTTCCTGCCACAGCCCTTACTTTTCTGATGGCTTGCTCTTGCTTTATTCAAATAGTGTGCTTACAGAACTGGGCACGAGGTCTTATTTCTGTGAAGCTGTATTTTTATTTATTTGCTTGGCTTTTTTTTTGTAGTATGTATAGCTTCAAAGATATAATATGAGCAAGTAATGAAAAATGTTATACATTCAAGAGACAGGCAAGTTTTTCTCTTAATCTGTAATTATGTATTTATCTTCTTCTGTGACCAAATAGGACTTGAAAAAATGCTAAGTCAAAACATAAGAAGGACAGTAAAATAAAGTCTTAGAAGAGGAGGGCATCCTCATTGCATTCAGTGTGCCTGCAGGTGAGGACTAAACATGGCCAGCATTGTGGGTCCCCGCAGCATCCACGAACGGCAGGTTATTGGCATGATTTGCGCTGGCAGGCCCTGCAGTGATGGACGAGGCAGTGACCTGCCTGTGTCTCAGACATCGTGGGACCTGCAGGAGCATTAGGAAAGTACTCCACCATGATTTGTTCTCTTTGGCCTCTACCTTGTGGGGTGGAGTATGAAGTTATGTGTGCTGGAGCAGAATGTTAGAAGGCAACAGGCTTTGATCTTTGCCAGGAAGCCTGGCTCAAGGTCAGCGTTAGCCTGAATTTCTACTTTACCTTTCAGTTTGGGCATTTTGGCTTTTCCCCCTTCACAACCACCTGCCAATGGAAGACGGTAATTTTTTTTTTTTTGAGACAGAGTTTCATTCTTGTCACCCAGGCTGGATTGTTGGCTCACTGATCTTGGCTTACTGCAACCTCTGCCTCCTGGGTTCAAGTGATTCTCCTGCCTCAGCCTCCCAAGTAGCTAGGATTACAGGTGCCCACTGCTACACCCGGATAATTTTTATATTTTTAGTAGAGACAGGGTTTCACCATGCTGGCCAAGCTGGTCTCAAACTCACCTCAGGTCCGCCTGCCTTGGCCTCCCAAAGTGCTGGGATTATAGACATGAGCCACCATGCCTGGCCGTGCATTTTTTCAAAGAAGTAAATGTTTCTTCTTCATAATGTCTTTAAGTCTGGAAGGCTGGGATCTAGCTGTGTTGCGATTTTGACTTAGGTGTTAGGGAGTGGATGGGGAGGTCACCTGGTGTGTTCTTGCAGCAGTGTAGGAAAATGTAGTTCTTGGTAACAGCTTGGTCCATGACTTCTTGATGAACTGTGTGCCGTGGGAGAGCGCAGGGGCAGCCCCAGCATCCCTGTCTCAACACTGACATACTCAATGCTCTGTCCCCAGGGCTGGGCCAGCCAGTTTTCCTTCCAGGGTTCTTTAGGACAGAAACCCTCCCTTTAAAAAATATTATCTATAAATATTAACAAAGTTTGCATGCTACAAAGAGGAAGACATGCCTAATTCAATTCCTCTAATACCCATTTGTGACATTTTAATATATTTACCTCCAGCCTTTTTTCCACATATAATATTTATAATTGTAATGATAGTGTGTCTTTATAGATACAGTGTCATATTCTACTTATATTAATCAACATTTAACACTTTCTAGTGGCTGTGTAAGAGTCTGTCAAGTGGATGTATCAACTAAGTCAAATATCACCTAGAAAATAATGATCTTATGGCTACTTCCAGTACTGTGCGATTGTAAGTTAAACTTGGTTGATCATCCCTCTATCTCATTCTTCCATGCTTTTTGTGACTTTCTTCAGGGCAAGTTCATTCATAGGGAATTACTAGATGTAAGCCCCTTTCCAGCTCTTGATAACATTTTGCTGAGTGGCATTGTAAAAATTGCCAGTACACCTTCAGGAGTCATGTGTTAGCACAGTTGGATTTCAAGCTTGCCAGTGTTGGGTCTGCTGATCTTTAAAGTGATTATTAAAGTGTTACTTGAAAACATTGTCCCAGTTTGCAACAACCAATGTGGCATCATCCCAACATCCACATTCTTAATTTGGTTCCTAAAATAGTTTTAACCCTAAATTTCCTCTAAACTTAAACGGAATCTCAAATCCCTATTTAAAAGAAAGATGGCCAGGCGCGGTGGCTCACACCTGTAATCCTTTACAGGTGTAAAGGGAGGCCTTACAGACTTGGGGAGGCCGAGGTCGGGGGATCATCAGGTCAGGAGATTGAGACCATCCTGGCCAACATGGTGAAACCCCGTCTCTACTAAAATACAAAAAAAAAAAAAAATTAGCTGGGCTTGGTGTGGCGCATGCCTGTAGTCCCAGCTACCTGGGAGGCTGAGGCAGGGGAATCACTTGAACCTGGGAGGCGGAGGTTGCAGCAAGCCAAGATCGCGCCACTGCACTCCAGCCTGGCAACAGAGCGAGAAGAGGGCTGGATGTGGTGGCTCATGCCTGTGATCCCAGAACATGGGGAGGCCACAGCGGGTAGATTGCTTGAGCTCAGGAGTTCGAGACCAGCCTGAGCAACATGGTGAAACACCGTCTCTACCAAAAATACAAAAAATTAGTATGGCATGGTGGTGCATGCCTGTGATCCCAGCTGCTTGGGAGGCTGAGGTGGGAGGATCACTTGAGCCCAGGAGGTGGAGGTTGCAGTAAGCTGAGATTCTGCCACTGTACTCCAGCCTGGGTGATAGAGTAAGACCCTGTTTCAAAAACAAACAAACAAACCCAAATAAAAGAAAGACTGTACAGAGCTCTTTTGGAAGGATGATGTGGTATATTATAGTGCAAGTGAGAAAGTTGACTTCATGTTGATGATATAGTCAGTCTAGATGGAAACCAAATTGTCCCTTCTGCTTTAAAAGTTGTAGGTTGTTAAATTAATGCCCAAAGTCAAAATAAGCACATATCTAATAGAAACAATTTTATAAAGTCTGTTAAGTAGAAAATATAAATATAAGCTAAGAAAATACTTTTTGATCTTATCACTAGGTTAAAAACATGATAAGCCCATTCAAAAGTGGTCATGGCATACATATTTAATGCTTGGAAACTAGTAAACACTTTAGCAACTATAATATTTGCTTCTAGTCATTTTTTCTAGAGTATTTTACTTTCTGCTGTTAGCAATGGGAGATGGTTATTTATGAAGACTGTTGGATACTGTGTGCTACACAGAATACACCATGGAGCCTGCCCATATATATTTTTATATACATATATATATATATAACTACGTAATATATATATTATAAAATGATAATATATAATATACTGTAATATATACTATAATACATATGGTAGTATTTATAGTATAGTATTATATATTATCATATAATATATATTATACTATCTATATACTATAGTATATTATATTTTAGTATAATATATAATAGAATACATAATGGAATATTATATATTATCTATTATACAATTATATATTATCTAGTATACAAAATAATATATAATATAAAAATAATTTTTTAAAATTTATTATATATATTTTTAATATATTTTTAAAAATATTTTTATATATTTAATTTTAAACATTATTAAATGATAATATGTAATATTAAATACACCATGGAGCCTGCCTGTATATATACCTACTGTGTGTCAATCTCTTACTATGGGCCAGGTCCTGTGCCGCCCATTTTATGCAAAATGACCCACTTCAGTCCTCAGGACGCCCATGTAAAGTGGGTGCTAGTATTTATTCCATGCCATGCCCGCTCTCCAACCCCAATCATTGTTGCCTGCACACCTCAGGAATATTTTTGATTGTTTTACCTACTGCTATTTCTCCAACACCTAAAACAGTGCCTAGTTTATACAAATATTATATATATATATAAATTAATTACTTAAGATTTTTAGAGTCAAGGTCTTGCTCTGCTGCCCAGGTTGGAATGTAGCTGTGTGATCATAGCTCACTGACGTCTTGAACTCCTGGGCTCAAGCGATCCTCCCACCTCAGTCTCCCGAGTAGCTAGGACTACAGGCATGTGTCACCACACCCAGGTAATTATTTGTTGCTGTTTTTGAGACGGAGTCCCGCTCTGTCGCCCAGGCTGGAGCGCGGTGGCACGATCTTGGCTCACTGCAAGCTCTGCCTCCCGGGTTCATGCCATTCTCCTGCCTCAGCCTCCCGAGTAGCTGGGACTACAGGCGCCCGCCACCACGCCCGGCTAATTTTTTGTATTTTTCGTAGAGACGGGCTTTCACCATGTTAGCCAGGATGGTCTCGATCTCCTGACCTCGTGATCCACTCGCCTCGGCCTCCCAAAGTGCTGGGATTACAGGCGTGAGCCACCGCACCCGGCCTACACCCAGGTAATTTTTTAGTAGAGTCGAGGTCTCACTGTGTTGTCCAAGCTGGTCTTGAACTCCTGGGCCTAAACAATCCTCCAGCTTGGCCTCCCAAAGTGCTGGAATTGCAGGCATAAGCTACCTCGCCCTGCTGAGCCTGCGTTTTTAAGAGGTATGAGGCATAAGCGGGAATCTGGGAGCTTCATGTTAATGAAAAGTAAGGGACACCTGCAGAACTCGGTGCTGGCCCTGCTGCATGTTTTTCTTCCGGCTTGGGCTCCCTGCTGCTCACCTAGCGGTATCAGCACGCTGGGAGCATATCTGCTGACGCAGAGCTGCCTTGCTGTGTTTATTTTCATTTGAAAGTCAATATTCAAAGACTTGTTGCCCAGTAAGTCTGTTTGAACCACTGGGGGAAATCAAAAGGTTTCTTTCAAGGGGCGGCCTTTCACCTCTTATGGGTCTGGTTGACCTGTATCAGTCCCTGCTGCCCAGCAGAGACCTTCCTGCCTTTCGTTTTTCCTTTTTTTTTTTTTTTTTGAGATGGAGTTTTGCTCTGTCACCCAGGCTGTAGTGCAGTGGCGCGATCTTGGCTCACTGCAGCCTCTGCCTCCCGGGTTCCAGTGATTCTCTTGCCTCAGCCTCCTGGTAGCTGGGATTATAGGCACATGCCACCACTCCCAGCTAATTACCTTCCTGCCTTTCAGAGGCCCTGGCGTTCAGCAAGTATCGCATTGCACATTTGTGTGTGGGAAGACACCTGGGACACTGGAGTAGCTATTTCTGTTGTTTTGGCAGAGGAGGCTGCTACTGTGGTTTCCTCTGAGAGACCTACTGTGGTTTCCTTCCTTCCTGCCGCGTGCGCAGGACCTGCCCCGGAACTGCCGTGTGCGTGGGGCAGGTGACACAGGCCAGGATGAGGCTGTGGCCTTCCTGGAGCAAGTCCACTTTCCACTGACTGAGTACACTTACACAGCCTTCCTTTAACAGGCTCTCTGCCTGTGATTTGTGGATATGTCACCGGGACTCGTCCTGCGGCCTTTTGCTTCTTGCTTTGCTCGCGTTTGAAGGCACTTGCTATCTTGCCATCCTAGTTGGTAGGTGGTGGGTGGGAATCTTCCGCTGAAAGGGTCCCTGGTTTCTCTGAGCCTGGCCAGAGCCAGTTGCACAGCATCAGGTGATTCCCCTCTGTTCCCAAGGCCTCCTGAGGCTGATATGGCTCTTCTTTAGTCTTGGCCTATGACCCGCAGCTAATGGGAACTACTGTGCATCCATCCCTTACCATGGACCAGGTCCTGTGCCACACTCTTAACACAAAATGACCCACTTCAGTCCTCACGACACCCCCGTAAAGTGGGTGCTAGTATTTATTCCATGCCATACCCACTCTCCACCCCCAATCATTTTTGCCTGCACACCTCAGGAATATTTTTGATTGCTTTATCTACTGCTGTTTTTCCAGTACCTAAAACAGTGCCTGGCATGAGGCAGGAACTTAATAAACATTTGTTGATGACTGAATGGATTATCTGTTTAGAAATGACAGGATAAAGATCTCACCCCAGAGCCCAAAGGTGGAATCAGCCTTTGGGCCAGGTCGCTTGGACTCCAGCTGGAACCTGCATGCCTGCCACCCCTGCCAGGGAGGGAGAGACACGGGGTGTGATGGGGTCTGGGAATGCGGGGAGGCCCTCTTCCCGGTGCTCCTGAGGTGGCGGATGGCTCCCTCCTCCCTGTCCAGTTGTCTGCTCCTTCCCTGTCCCTGTAGCCTGGTGATGGCCATCCTGTCTGTGAGGCTGACTTCTGACTCGCCACTCTGGGCAATGGACATCGCGAGAGGACTTTGCTGCCCTGTGTTCCGGGTGTTGGAGGGTGAAGGAGGCTGCGCACGGGTCCAGATGCTGGGCTGTTAGAAGCTAGAGTGGATGGACCAAGAGTTCGGAGCTTGCTTGACCCTGAGGCAGGGGAGCCTTGTCCCTGAGACTTTGGGAGCTGAATCACAAGATCCAGAGTTGAGGAGGTCAAGATTGTTAAGGCCAAATGGTCTCCTTCCCTTTACTGAAAGTAAAGGAGGCTGGGGCAAGTCCAGGCAGGTGACGGTTTCTCCAGCAAACCTTTCTGGGCTGGTCATTGGCTGAGGGCCCTGGGAGGGGAGAGGAAGGTTGTGTGTGTCCCCCTGGACACAGCTGAGCCAGGAGCACTCTGAGTGTGAGCAGCTTGGGAGTCGCCGCTGCCTCTGAGGGGCCAGGAGCATTTTATTTCTTCCCAAGGTATCCTCTCATCTTTTCCTCAAGCTGTCCCTTGAAATACTTGGTTTGGCTGTGGAAAAATATTACTAATTACAATCACTTACATGAACAGGAACTCCATGCAGTAATTATGCATCTTGTCAAATAGGGGCTGACTGGCTCTTGGTAAGCCTTCTGAGGGCGACACAAAATTTTTCAAGTGTGTGTTGCTTTACCGGTTTGTTGCTTGTGGAATATGGCTCTCTCCTCCCAGCTCAGATATTAGAGGAAGCCTACATCCCATCCCTATGCAGCAACGGCTGGGGACGGGACAGGGCAGGTGGGCGTGAGAGCTGCCTGCTGCCGGCGCTGGTCCCGGACCGGAGGTTTCCTCCGAGATACCTAGTGAGCCCTTTAAAGGCCACTATGATGGCTGAAAGTGGAGGAAATTATGAAAAATATATTGTCAGCATCTTAAGATTCTGACTCTTGTATGCTTTTAAGTGGAACAGTTTCCAGGAGCCATAGTTGAGCTCTAGCTGCTGCTCTCTGTGGAATTCAGGACGTGCCCATGCCTTTCTCATTGTGCCCAGATGTTTTTATTCAGTGTCTGTCCCCTTCCCAGCCCAGAGGTAGGGAATCCCCTTCTTCAGAGAAGAAGAAATGGAAGCCGATGCCTGTCATTAATAGCCATGTGGGTGACCCTCAATGAAATTACCCTGTTACTTATACCCGATTCACTTGCTATGTTAACTAAATTACCCTGTTACTTATACCCGATTCACTTGCTGTGTTTTTGGTACTTTCCTGAGACGTTAGAATCCGTGAGAGCCATTGTTTTATTGTATAAATCATGATGAAAAGAGAAATGGAAAATGAGTTATCTTGAGTCTTAAGTGAACTGTTTTTGCTTTTCCTGTTTTGTTTTGCTCTGGGTGGGATGTAACGTCAGCTTTTACACCTGTGTTGCAAGTACCTAGCCCCACTTTCACCAACGGGCTCCTTCTACGTTGTTTGTACTTTCGTGAAGCACACCATGTTATCTGTGATGGCCAGGACGGTGGGCTCCGTGAAGCCCCAGACAGACACCTTGGCATCCAAGTGTGCCCTCTACTTTGGAGCGCCATCCTTGGCGCCCGCCCACCCACTCTGGCCAGGTCCGCTGAGATCACAAGGCTGCCTCTGGCTCTTCTAGCTGAAGGCCAGTTCAGAGGTCTCAGGCTGGTACCAGGGGCCGAGTCTGGCCATGTGCAGCTTTAAAAATAATTGTTCATTTGTTTGTTTGAATGACTCACTGATGTTTAAAAGTCTGGAAATTTCCACATAAAATATAGCTGTCTCACAGCTCCTTAAAGTCCGACGCTCCGGCCACAGTGAGCAGCATGTGGGTGCCGCACAGTGGGACTGCGGGTCTCCCCGCCACTCCTGCCGGCTCCTGTTCGTGGCTGTACATTACTGTTTACGCTGTAAGTGGAGAGGAAAGCGAAATATTTCTTAAATTCCTATTTCAATCAAAAGTGGGAAAACAAGAATTAGATTGCAGACTAATTTTACCTCACCTTCTTTAACTCACTCACTGTCTCTCTGAGCAGTACGGGCACTCGAGTTTGCTCCACTGGCCACTCCACCCCCGTTCCACCAAAGAGACTGGATCTTGGACCCCCAAATCCTAACATCCCGATGGCAAGAAGAGGCCCAAAAGTGAGTCCAAAAAGCGATTGCACCTCACAAACACTGAGAGCACAACGGGCTTCACTCCTTGACCTCTCTCCTCTGCCCTCCCCTCCCTGGCCCCAGCCAAAGTCCTGTGATTTCCTGGGGTGCCTCCTTTCTCCCCAGCATACCAGCATCCATGTGTTGTTCCAGCTGTCTGGGACCTGGGAGATGCAGAAGGTGTTCGAGCAGAGCGAATCCCCACCCTGCGAACCTCAGCTTCTTCCAGTGACAGGCCTGCCCCAGTGAGCCAGTCCCAGGCCTCAGAGGGCCACGCGCTGTCCTTAAGCTATCAGAATCCCATCTTTTTAGAGGTAAAGGCAGTGGTTGGGAGGAACCTTTGACTCTAGCTAGCCTTGCCCGTACGTTAGGAGGGCACAGCCAGCACTTTTACAGGAAGCTTAGAAAACAAGTTTTCTCATCTATAAAATGGAGATAATATTAGAAACCACCCCCTAAGGCTGTATTGAGGAGGAAATGGCTACGATGCGTAGTGCTTAGAAGACCATGCCTGTAGTAAGAGTGAGCTATGACAGCTGCCCTCCCTCAGATTCTGCATCGTGGATTCAGCCAACCACGACTTGAAAATATTTGGCAAAAATTGTGTCTGTGCTGAACATGTACATATTTTTTCTTGTCATTGTTCCCTAAGCAATACAGTATAACAACTATATACATAGCATTTACACTGTATAAGGTATTATAGGTCATCTAGAGGTGGTTTAAAGTATATAGGAGGATGTGCACAGGTGATATGAAAATACTAGGCCATTTTTTAAAAATCAGGGACTTGGGCCGGATGTGGTGGCTCATACCTGTAATCTTAACACTTTGGGAGGCTAAGGCGGGTGGATCACCTGAGGTCAGGAGTTGGAGACCAGCCTGGTCAATATGGCGAAACCCGGTCTCTACTAAAAGTACAAAAATTAGCCTTGCATGTTGGTGGGCGCCTGTAATCCCAGCTACTCAGGAGGCTAAGGCAAGAGAATTGCTTGATCCTGGGAGGCGGAGGTTGCAGTAAGCTGAGATCATGCCACTGCATTCCAGATTCCAGCCTGGGCAACAAGAGTGAGACTACGTCTCAAAAAAAAAATGAAAGAAAGGAAGAGAGAGAGAGAAAAAGAGAGAGAGAGGGAAAGAAAGAGAGAAAGAAAGAAAGAAAAAAATCAGGGACCTGAGCATCCTCGAATTTTAGCATCCATGGGGTTCCTGGAACCAGTGTCTGATGGATCCCGGGGGATGACTGTATTATTAATAGGAAAGTGGGAAGGAGCACCTAGAAACCTGGTTTCCTAATGTAACCATTAGCATCAATTTTGCATTTCCTTTGTCTTTTCCTTTTTTTTTTTGAGACAGAGTCTCGCTCTGTCGCCCAGGCTGGAGTGCAGTGGTGCGATCTCGGCTCACTGAAAGCTCAGCCTCCTGGGTTCACGCCATTCTCCTACCTCAGCCTCCCGAGTAGCTGGGACTACAGGCGACCGCCACCACACCCGGCTAATTTTTCGTATTTTTAGTAGAGATGGGTTAGCCAGTCTCTACTAACAATACAAAACTAACACTTCACCGTGTTAGCCAGGATGGTCTCAATCTCCTGACCTCGTGATCCACCTGCCTCGGCCTCCCAAAGTGCTGGGATTACAGGCGTGAGCCACCGCGCCTGGCCTGTCTTTTTCATATACATGTTTTTGTTTGCTTTAGTACACAGTTGTCATCAAAGTGAAGAAGTTACTTAATGTAAGTGTTCCATGTTGCTTCATAATCCCATAGCCACTTCCGTAATAGCCACGTCATACTCTTTCACGTGAATTTACGCTAACACACACAACCACCCCCGTACTGCAGTTCATTTGTTTTGATATTATTTCACTCTTCTGACACCTTTTTGATGGCTGAGACAACTTCTATGTATTGTGAATAATTTTGTTCAGAATACTTTCCATTAAGTGAAACTCAGACCAGAGGTTATAAGCTCTTATTTTTTTTTAAAGAAAGATTCTTCATATGTGTGTCATGGGTTTTTTTTTTTGTTTTTTTTTTTTTTTTGAGATGGAGTTTTGCTCTTTTTGCCCAGGCTGGAGTGCAGTGGCACGATCTCAGCTCACTGCAACCTCTGCCTCCTGGGTTCAAGCGATTCTCCTGCCTCAGCCTCCCGAGTAGCTGGGATTACAGGCGCCTGCCACTGTGCTCAACTGATTTTTTGTAGTTTTAGTGGAAACAGGGTTTCACCATGTTAGTCAGGCTGTTCTCAAACTCCTGACCTCAGGTGATCCACCTGCCTCGGCCTCCCAAAGTGCTGGGATCACAGGTGTGAGCCACCGCGCCTGGCCGGGTCATGGTTTTTATAGCTTTTGTCTTGAGACTCTGGGAGGAATGAAGTTTTGGGTTTAAATGTCACCATTCAAAATCTGCTTCCCCTTCCTTTCTGTTCTCATCTGTTGTTAGGGAAAACAATGAACTGGTTTTTTGTGTCAGTCTCTGGAAAAATAGAAAGTCCTCAGAAGATTGGACGATGTCACTGCTCTTGTCCAGCTCAGCGCCTTTGAGGGCTGGTGCCTTCCCTGTGGTTTCCCAGTGCTGGCAGCCCGGAGAGCTTGGTGTGGTCTCCTTCCCTGCAGCGGCCGCTGCCTGCATTCTGGGGAAGCACATTCTATGCACTGTGAACAGAACAGTGCTTGAGGCTGTGCTTGAACTTGCACCCGGGGCCAGGCCTGAGTCGCGGCAGTGGGGCAGAGGCTTTCCATGAACCAGAAGGGAGGTCCTGCTGCCCCTTCCAAAGCTGATTCTCTTCTCTTTTAATGAGACTTTGATTTTGGCAACAGTGGGCTGCTGAATGTATTGCTGGTCTTGGGATATTTGAGGAAGAAGAAAGCCTGCTTTGCAGGGAGGACGGGTGTAGCTTTATACCCCAACTCCAGGTGATCGCACTGTCGATAGTCTTCTTCAGGACCCTGAGGCGTAAATTAGCGAACTTAGTCCTGAACTTCTAAGATTTGGCATGAATGCTGTGTCCCTCCCATCCTTCCACTTCATTTTTATTAGATTCCATTTGGTATAATCTAATGGCTGCAGCTTTAGGAGAGGGGCTTACCTGGTCGTAGTCCATCGGGAGCCCAGTGCTTTGCCAGCAAGCCTTCCCATGGGGCCAGACATTGGTGTGAGATGAGTGACTGGCTCAGCCAAGACCTTTGACAGGTTTCCTGGGGCTTTGGGTTCCTCCTTCTCCTAAGCAAGCCATAGGAAGAAATTAAACGTTGTCATGCTTGGCTGTGGGGATCAGAGGTCATACAGGCATCTTGCTTCCAGCCTGAGAATAAACAGATACCGGAAGGAATGTATAGCTAAGAGAATTCTAGAGGAAGGAAAAGTCCCAGCCACTGAGTTAATTGAACCCCGAGTCCCTCCCAGCCTCTGGCCTTTCTGTGATGTGAGCCACTCCATTTCTTTATTGTTTAAGGTGGGTTAAATTAGATTGCACGTAGCTGAAAGCATCCTGACTGGTAAATATGATAAAGTATATGCTGACCCAGACCTGAACTTCTCAAGGGCTTCCTGGTAGCTTTTAAAATCCTATTGTAGGTTCAGAGGTGTAAAACATTGCTTGTTTTGTCTGTGGATTTACAGAAGAAAGATGAAAGTAAATTTGTGTTTATAAAGGACTGTTGAGCCTAGGTTTGAATTATGTGAACAAAGAAGTTGAAAAGAAAGTCCTAGGTTTGAACTTGCTTTTTCTCCTTGACATCTTCCTATGTGGTGGTCCATCTGCTTTAGGAAATGGCCTATATGTTTTTAGACTTCCACAACTTATTTTAATCATAAAGCCCTCAAAAGGCACCAGAAAGTAAGTTGTTGGTCGTATCTATGGTAGACACTTAACACTTCCTGAGAAACTGCTGACGGTGGATGGAGTTGTAACAGGGATGCCGTCCAGGGGAGCGGAGCTTGACGTCGACACTCTCCACTTCTTACCTCACATTATTGTTTCAGGAAGCCTAAGGTGATCGCTCTCCGACTCATAGCACTAGATGCTAGAAAACTAGGTAAAGGGAGCGCTGGGCATGGTGGATCACGCCTGTAATCCCAGCGCTTTGGCAGGCTGAGTTGGGTAGATCACTTGAGGTCAGGAGTTCGACACCAGCCTGGACAACATGGTTAAACCCCATCTCTACTAAAAAATACAAAAATTAGCCAGGCATGGCGGTATATGCCTGTAGTCTTCGCCACTCAGGAGGCTGAGGCAGGAGAATCACTCGAACCCGGGAGGCAGAGGTTGCAGTGAGCCGAGATTGTGCCACTGCACTCCAGCCTGGGCAACAGAGCGAGACTGCACCTCAAAACAAACAAACAAACAAAAACTAGGTAAAGGGAGAAGGTGATATCAGTGTCTCTAGAAAGAAGGCTTCGAAGCTGGCTTCTTCTTTGTTCAGTTAATGGTCAGTGAAATGAATCCCACTGTGGTCACTGGTAGATTGTTGAATGCTGGAGATAATTGAATAGCTAAGTTCGACTTCAACAAAAAAGTAAGTTTTGAGCTGAGTGTGGTGGCATGCATCTGTAGTTCCAGCTACTCAGGAGGCTGAGTTGGGAGGGTCACTTGAGCCTAGGAGTTTGAGTCCTGTCTGGGCAACACAGGGAGACGTTGTCTCTAAAAATAAACTAAAATAAAAAGTAAGTTTAGAAGAGATAGCTGAGTTGGAGAAGAGTGCAAAACTGGAAAATTGTAGGCATGTTTAACGCCTTAAAAAAATTTCAAATGGTTACATGTTTAATTACAGAAAGACCCAGAATAAAAGAGAATAATTCTGTTAAGGCGGCAGTTCTCAACTGTTTTGGCACCAGAGATGGGTTCTGTGGAAGACAGTTTTTTTCATTGCCAGGTGGGGGTTGGGGGAGGTGCGAATGGCTTCAGGATGAAACTGTTCCACTGCTGATCATAAGGCGCTTGTAAGATTCTCATGAGGAGAGCACAACCTAGATCCCTTAAGTGTGAGGTTCACAACAGGGTTTGCGCTCCTGTGAGAATCCAATGCCACGCTGATCTAACAGGAGGTGGAGCTCAGGCGCACGGCTCACCTCCTGCTGCGTGGCCTGGTTCCTAACAGGCCAGGGACCGGTACCAGTCTGAGGCACCGGGCGTTGCAGACCCCTGTGTTGAAGTATTCATGTTTATCTTTCCAGCCCAATCTCGGCTCACTGCAACCTCTGCCTCCCGGGTTCAAGCGATTCCACTGGCTCAGCATCCCGAGCAGCTGGGACAACAGGCGCGTGCCACCACGCCCGGCTAATTTTTGTATTTTTAGTAGCGATGGGTTTCGCCATGTTGGCCAGGCTGGGTTTGAACTCCTGACCTCAGGCGATCCGCCTGCCTCGGCCTCCCAAAGTGCTGGGATGACAGGCATGAGCTACCACGCAAGGCCCAGATATTTTAAAAGTGAACCTCATAGCATTTTCAATGAAATATTTTAGACATACAAAAACTCATAGAATAATATAGTGACGACTCATGTATATCCATCCAATTTAAGGAGAAAAAAAAATTCACAAGTACAGGTCCCTGCTATAGCTCTCTTTCCTCCACAAGGGATTGTGACATGAACTTTGTCATTTATACTTTCTATGTGTATTTTTTACTACATGTTTATGCAGCTGTAAATAATATATAGCATAGTACTGTGGGGTTTTGAACTTTATTTAAATGTTATACTGTATGGGCCGGGGGTGGTGGCTTATGCCTGTAATCCCAGCACTTTGGGAGGCCGAGGTGGGCAGATCATGAGGTCAGGAGAGTGAGACCATCCTGGCTAACACGGTGAAACCCCATCTCTACTGAAAAAAAAAAAAATCAGCCGGGCGTGGTGGCAGGCACCTGTAGTCCCAACTACTCAGGAGGCTGAGGCAGGAGAATGGTGTGAACGCGGGAGGCAGAGCTTCCAGTGAGCCAAGATCACACCACTGCACTCCAGCCTGGGCAACAGAGTGAGACTCCGTCTCAGAAAAAAAAAAAGTTATATTGTGTGACTTATTCTGCAACTTGTTTTCATTCATTGGTGTGTTTCATACAAATATTAAACAATTTATTTATCTGTTTCCCTGTTGACGGATGTATAAATATTATCAAAAATGTTGAATTATAAAGAGTGCAGTTATGCATATTCCTGTACATCTCTTCTTACATTCATGTGCATAGTTAGGGTTTGTAATTAAGCATAGACTCACTATTTTATGTAGCAGGTGCAACTTCAACTACACACACACACACACACACACACACACAGAGTTTTCCAAAGTAATATACCAGTTTATTTTCTCACCAGAACCATAAGAGAGACAGTTAAGTTTGTGCCAGTCTGATATGTATGCAATGATAACTCATTCTTTTAATTTGCATTTCCCTGATTATTCAAGGGCTTGTGTATTTGAGCTGCTTCTGCTTTGTGTGTGCGTGCGTGTGTGTGGATGTGAAGTATCTGTTGTACACTTTGCCCATTTAAACAAAATCTTTTAATGGTTCTTTCACTGATTTATAACAACTCTTTAAAAATTTTAGATGCTAAATCCTTTAATATCTGATCACATTTTGCCAGCTGCCCCTGTCTATAGTGTCCTTTTATGTACATACTTAAAAATTTTTTCAATGCAGTCAAATTTACCCATCTTTTCCTTTATTTCTTGTGGACCTTAACACTTGTTTAAGAATTCCTAATCCCCTCTGTTTGGAGATTGGGGCGTATGGAAGGCTGCGAGGCCATGCCTATAAAAAGGCATATATCCAAGTGCATTGTGTTGCTATGAAGGAATACCTGAGGCTGGGCAATTTATAAAGAAAAGATGTTTATTTGGCTCTTGGTTCTGCAGGCTCTTCAAGAAGCATGGTGTTGGCATCTACCCGGCTTCTGGTGAGGGCTTTAGGCTGCTCCCACCCATGGCAGAAGGTGAAGGGAAGCTGATGTGTGTAGAGATCACATGGTGAAAGGGAGAAAAGGGAGGTGATGGGCTTTTTTTTTTTTTTTCAACCAGCTCTCATGGAAACTAATAGAGCAAGAACTCATTCATAGCCCCCCTCCAGGAGGGCATTAATTTATTTATGTGGGATCCACCCCCATGACCCAAACACCTCCCTCTGGGCCCCACATCCAACATTGGGGATCACATTTTATCATGAGATTTGGAGGATCAAATATCCAAACATTAGGAGCATGTCATACTGTTGCTGCCAGCATTCTGGTAAACTCTCTATGGCTCAGGGCCAGGTCTTTGCCAAGAGGAAGATCTTCAAAACAATACTGCAGAATTCGGGAGTGGCATGAATCCACCCTTTTGGAGCCTGCCAAGCTGCAGGGTGACCGGTGCCTGCCTCTGTTTTCTCTTACCCTTGCTCAGGATTAATTGTCATTGTCCTCTCCAAGAGCCAGCAGTGACGCTTTCCAACTGTTTGTGCATGGCTCTTTCCTTCCATAGTGGAGAAAGTGAAACCTAACCTCCAAATTACTCCTGAGGTGCTCCTAGGAACTTTTTGCCCAAGCCCAACCCTAGGGCACCTTTGACATCTTGTGTTTCGGTTCATTGCTTAAAGTTTGTTATTTGTTTCTCTGATGTGCAGAGATCATAGTGGTCAAGTGACTTGCCCAGAGTCACTCAGCAGGGAGTGGGGAGTAGTTGCAGGTTTCGTGACTCAGTTTAGTTTTTTGCTTAGTCCCAAGCTATTCCCTGCTGCCTGCTGCGAAACCTTGTTTATCTGTCCTTTAGGCCACTTCTGGGCATGCTTAGAGAATAGTTGGGATATTTAAAAGTCTGATATCCCTTAAGCTGGAGATATTGTCCAGCCTTACAGTGCTTGTACAGGACTGCTAAAGAAATTATTCTGCTCCTCTACTTAAACTACTATGGAGTTGTTGGTGTGTCTTTTCTAAAAATAAGAGCAAATTTAACCTGAAATATTTAGAATCTTTTTAGTTGACTAAAGGATTCCTGTCAAGGGACTTATGGTCAGAAAGCATCATCAAAGTTGCTTTGAAAAAGGTGCAGAGGTTTTCTTTCAGGGATATGGCGAAGGCGGCTGTGTGTAGCATGTTTTTGTCCTGAAGGAATGTGTTTATATTCTTGAAAGTTTTAAAGGTTTTTCTGACACCAAATGGAATCTAAAGCAAAAGAGACAAATCTACCTGCGATGAATGCACTTTTGTGAGGCAGATGCAATGAACAAAGTCAGCAAATGGCAGATCAGAAAGACATTGAGAGCAATAAAAAAAATTCCAAAAGGCTAATGTATAAATAACTGCTACAAATGAAGAAGGATACAAACAGCCCACTATTAAGATGGCCAAAAGTTATGAATGTCTGATTATCACACAGAAATAGATTTTAATTATTGAAATTCCTGGTGAAGCGCTCCCCAAGACCGTTTCTCCTCCTTCTTCCTCCTTAAAGGCAACCGTTACCACAAATTTGATGGGTCTCCTTCTGTCCATACTTTTAGTACATATTTCTAACAATCAGAAAATAACAGTAACACTATTTTGTATGCTTTAAATTTTATTTTATTGTATTGTATTTATTTATTTTGGAGATAGAATCTCACTCTATTACCCAGGCTAAAGTGCAGTGGCACAATCTCGGCTCACTGCAACCTCTGCCTCCTGAGTTCAAGCAATTCTCCTGCCTCAACCTCCTGAGTAGCTGGGACTACAGGCACGTGCCACCATACCCAGCTAATTTTTGTATTTTTAGTAGAGATAGGGTTTCACCATGTTGGCCAGGCTGGTCTTGAACTCCTGCATGTAACTTGTATAACGAACATATTTATGTATATGGAAATGTTTATATTTTTGCAATTTGCTTGTTTTTACTCAGTCATATGCTTTTTGAGATCTGGTCTGATTGACACATTAACACCTTTTTATTCATGTTAGTTTTATTTATTTTAATGTCGGTTAACAGGAATGGGCACAATTGACACAGCCCCCATTTGACGGACACCTGGTTCATTTTTATGTCTTGCTTTTGTGTAGAGTGGCTCTCCCTCGGGCATTCTGCAGCCTCTTTTTGAGGGTTCTCCTCTGCATGGACGTAGACAGGCAGCATTTCTGGCTTGCAGGATTTGTGCGTTTTCGGTACTACTACATCTTCGAATAATGTCATATTGTCCAAAATGTGTCATTTTATACATTTCTAAATGTATTGAGTTTTCATTTCTCCATATCTTCTTCAGCACTTGGTATCATCAGATTATTTAGTTTTTCCAATCTGTTGAATGTGAAATGATAGGTCATGGTTTCAATTTGTGTGGGACCCCGAGCTAGCTACCTGTCCTTGTTTAAAAAAGGGCAGGAAGAGGCTCTCAATTTAGAAAGTACATGGGTCACATTTGCCTTTGAGAAGTCTCTCCAATAAATCAGTTTAACACCTAGTTCAGAAAGGGGGTGATAAAATTTCTCCAGTCTATTGGAGGATGAGGGTAAAAGCTCATGAGACAGAAGTCATTGGGACTGTTATGCTGGTTGGCTTCCTTTAGAGTGACATACCAGAGGAGAAGGAGTCTTAGATTTTTTTCTGGAGAAAAATCAATCACTATGTGTCTTAATCTTACTTGGAGTAAGACTGCAAGCCTGCATGTATAGTGATCTGTGTTTTCAAGGTAAGACACTGGGAAAAAACTCAAGCATCAATACTGGTCATCTCTTGGAGGTGGAGTTTGGTTGAGGTTTGTCTAAATTTTTGACAATGAGCATATATTACTTTTGTAGAGATAAAAGCATGTTTATTTTCTAAAAGGCCTTTGGTGCAGGTTGCCTGGTAGGTGCGACACGCAGGTCTCCTCTGGGCTGCCTGCACGGGTGGGAGCAGGCCAGCAGGCGTCCACACTGAGGCTCAGGAGGTGGGCAGACCCAGCTTCGGGTTCTGCTGCCGTTTCTTCTTAGTTACACGAGCTTGTAAAACAGATTTTTCCATTTACAAAATGTGGATAAGGTAAGTATAGCTTACTCTGAGAGTTAAATGAAAAGGCATATAAAGTGCTTGCTGCGTACCAGGTACTGTTTGGATTGCTGGGAGATACTAGTAATGATAATGGTTGACTTTTAGAGTTTCTTATGCCAACAGTTTTGCCTGTGCTTTTTCACATTTAAGTACAATTTAGGCACGTTTGGCTAATCATTAAGGCAGTGGGATGGTACCGTTCCTGCAGGTATTGGAAAACCTGCATCGTATGCCTGCTGCTTTAGGAGACAACAAACTCAGCAGCCCCTCCCCCGAAGCTGAAGTGCCAAACTTAAGGCTCCAGGTAAACTGCCCTTCCGATGAGAGCTTTACATTTAGGCAGTAGCCACAGGCCTAAACAAAGTCAAATGGATGAAACTTGTGATCTCTCCTTGGAAATATGGCCAAGAGTGAAACAACTACTTAGTTATTATTTTAAACGCAGGCTGCTAAATGGCTTGTGTTGGTATGTAATGGCATCCTAGATAATGGGGGCTGCCAAGAAAATATTCACACTGGCAAGTCAATTAAAATACCGTTCTCTTCCTAAGAGGCCTGGCTGGATTCCAGAGCTTCCTTTAGGGTAACGCTCAAACCTGTCATAGTTTATTTTGTTTCTGTTTTCAGGCAACAGATTTGGTTATTGCTTTTATTGTATGAGTGTTGAAATGGTGTCCTAACAGCCATCTGTACTGCCATCCCCTGGGCGCCCCCAGGGCCTCCCACCAGGCCATCCTCCTGCCTCCTTCTCCCACCAGGCCCTCCTCCTGCCCCCTCCTCCCACTAGGTCGTCCTCCCACTAGGTCGTCCTGCCACCTTATCCCTTCCACAAGGCCCTCCTCCCACTCCATCCCTCCCACCAGGCCATCCTCCCACCCCATCCTCTCACCAGGCCGTCCTCCCACCCCATCCCTCCCACCAGGCCGTCCTCCCACCCTCTCTTCTCTCCAGACTGTCCTCCTGACCCCTCCTCCCACCAGGCAGTCCTCCCGCCTCCTCCTCCCCCAGGCTGCCCTCCCACCTCCTCCTCCCACCCCATCCCTCCCACAAGGTTGTCCTCCTCCCACCCTCTCCTCCCACAATGCTGAGCCCCTGGAGGCCCAAAAGCACTCCTGTGCTTGGGAAGATGGCTTGGCACCTCTGCAGTTCTGGGTACTGCTTTCCTCTCTCAGGAGACATTCTGTTCACCTTAGACACCCAGTCTCAAGAGTGTTTCTTTCTGGGAGGCCTTGGTGAATGATTCCTGCCCCACTCCCACCAGAATCAATCAGGTTTTCTCCCACCCCCAAGTTGTTTCCATGATCCTGAGATGGGGTGAGTCATGCTGTGTTGTGGCTTTGTGTATCTGGCCGTTTCTCCACTTGGTTCTGAGCTGCTGGAGGTGAGACCGTGGCTGCCTGCTTTGTGGTGCCAGCCTTCACCCCAGCTCTGGAGCCTCCTGCCTAAAGAAAGATTGGTATCCAGAGCTGCCAGGTCTTTTTAATAAAGATTAATAAATTTTACTTCATACTACATATAAAAGTAGACATGAAAAAAGTAAACACAGATGGATTAAATAAGAAGACATCTAAGAAATACTAAAATGTTCTAGAAGATAGCATAGGTCCCAAAACATGGAAGTAGGAGGACCTCACAAAGTGAGATATAAAAACCATGAGCAAATGCTGGTTTTGTAAACATTGAACCTCTGTGGGGCAGGAGGTGCTATTTACAAAATCAGAAGATAAGCAGCAGACCAAGAAAAATGTTTGCAGTGTCTGCATCATATTAAAAAATATAACTCAGTAAGAAAAAGACAAATGCCCCAGTAGAAAAATGGGCAAAATATAGGAACCAGCAATTCAGGAAGAGGAAAACCAGAGAGTCAGTGTGCATGTGAAAAGATGATAAACCTCAGTAGCATTTAGAGAAATAAAAAATAAAACTACAGCTGGCTGTGGAAGTGGAGACAGCGGCTACCCTAGTTGTGGTGGGGAGGGAGGATCCCCACCGTGAGGCCCAGGGGAGGGCGCCGCTGGGAAGGGTTCCTTGCTGCCTACACGAGCCCTTTGTGTGAAAACCCACCCAGCTGTGCACTTACTATATACATTCTTCTGTATGTATGTCACTTTTCAATAAATTAGCAAATTACTTAACTCTTAGAAAACAGCAGCTGCCGGCGGGGCGCAGTGGCTCACGTCTGTAATCCCAGCACTTTGGGAGGCGGAGACGGGCAGATCACGATGTCAGGAGATCGAGACCATTCTGGCTAACACAGTGAAACCCCATCTCTACTAAAAATACAAAAAATTAGCCGGGCGTAGTGGCGGGCGCCTGTAGTCCCGGCTACTTGGGAGGCTGAGGCAGGAGAATGGCGTGAACCCGGGTGGCGGAGCTTGCAGTGAGCCGAGATAGCGCCACTGCACTCCAGCCTGGGCGACAGAGCGAGACTCCGTCTCAAAAAAAAAAAAAAAAAAAAAAAAAAAAAAAAGCAGCTGCCTATTATTTTTGCCTCTGACATAGGCAAAGATTAAAGAGCCAACACCCAGTGTTGAGGCTGTGGTGAAGTGGATATTCTACATTGTCCTGCAAGTGTAAATTGGTACCAACTTTAAGAGAATAATTTGGCAATTAGTAATTGAAAAATAAACTATCGCTTTCTATGCTGTAGTAATCTGTGGTTCAAAAATGCTGACTCTTTCTATATATGGAGGCAGCATTTATATCTATGTATATACACACACACATATACATATATATGTAATGTGGTGCAAGGATTAAATCACAGTATTGTTGGTCATAACAAAAAATAGGAAACAACCTAAAGGCCTGCAGATAAAGAAATGGTTAAGTATTGGCACATCCATCCATGGGGGTGCATGCAGCTGCTAAAGGTGTTTTTGAGATATTAAGGGTGAGGGGCAAATTGCTGAACAAGATATAAAATAGAAACCATTTTTGTTTAAAGAAAAAAATTCCAAATCATTTGTATATGTGTTTGTATAAACTGGAAAAAAAGATCTAAGTGTTTAACAGCGAAGGTTGAATCGGCAGGAGGAAAGCAGACAGACCCTCACTTTCTACTTCAGATAATTTTCCTGTGTTTGATTTTGTTACAGTGTCGGTATTTTTATTCTTTCTTTTTCCTTTCAACTTTTATTTTAGGTTCAAGGGGTACATATGCAGGTTTGTTGCATCAGTAAATTGCATGTCATGGGGGTTTGGTGTACAGATAGTTTTGTCACCCGGTAATCAGCATAATATCTGATAGGTTTTCAGTCCTCACCCTCCTCCCACCCTCCACCCTAAATAGGCCCCAATGTCTGTTCCCCTCTTTGTGTCTATGTGTACTCAATGTTTAGATTTCACTTATAAGTGAGAACATCTGGTATTTAGTTTTCTGTTCCTGCGTTAATTCAATTAGGATTATGGCCTCCAGCTCCATCCATATTGCTATAAAGGACATAATCTCATTCTTTTTTATGGCTGCATAGTATTCCATGGTGTATATGTACCACATTTTCTCTATCTAGTCTACCATGGATGGGCGTCTAGGTTGGTTCCATGTCTTTGCTATTTTGAATAGTGCTGTGGTAAATGTAACCTGTGCATGTGTCTTTATAGTAGAATGATTTATATTCCTTTGGCTATATACCCAGTAATGGGATTGCTGGGTCTAATGGTAGTATTCTCTTTTAAGCACTTCGAGAAATCTCCAGACTGCTTTCACAGTGGTTGAATTAATTTTTTTTTTTTTTTTTTTTTTTGAGATGGAGTCTCGCTCTGTCGCCCAGGCTGGAGTACAGCGGCGTGAACTCGGCTTACTGCAAGCTCCGCCTCCCGGGATCACGCCATTCTCCTGCCTCAGCCTCCCGAGTAGCCGGGACTACAGGCACCCGCCACCACGCCCAGCTAATTTTTTGTATTTTTTAGTAGAGACGGGGTTTCACCGTGTTAGCCAGGATGGTCTTGATCTCCTGACCTTGTGATCCGCCCGCCTCGGCCTCCCAAAGTGCTGGGATTACAGGCGTGGTGGCTGAATTAATTTACATTACCACCAGCAGTGTATAAGTATTCCCAATGTCTGTATTTTAAAATGTTTTTTAAAAGGGCACAATTGAATGAAATTTTTAATATGTAGCTTTTGAGAGATTCTACTCTGCTTTGTTGTAACTGCTGGTCAGATGGATGTAGCTGACTGCTTTGGCACCAGATTTGCACAAGGCATAAGGCTGCTGCAGAAATCTGGGTCCAGAACGGCACTATTTGGTGTCCACATGGCTTTTGAGCACTTGAAATGTGACTGGTCAAAGCTGAGATGTGTTGTCAGGTGTAAAATTCCCACTGAGTTTTGAAGACTTACTATTTTTAAAAAGCGTATAAAATATCTCAATAGTTTTTAATAGTGATTACATGTTGAAATGTAATATTTGAGTTTATGAGTTAAATAAAATGTTATTAAAATTAAGGTTAGCATTTTCTTTTTACTTTTTTAATGCGGCCACTAGAAAATTTAGAATTGCATGTATGGCTCACAGTATATTTCTGTTGGATGCTGGTCTAGATGTTAAGATTTCAAAGGGTCCACGGCTCCAGAAAGGAATTAGTCAAGCTCCTGTTTTAATTCTTCTTGGGGTGGGACCTGCCCTTTTGGTTATTGCTTAAAGGGAAATAACCACTCCTGTTACTTAGGTTTGTACCTTTGATCAAAAATTTGCCCAGAGAAGTCTATTGTGGTTTTGTTAGCACATTTATTTTTAAACGTCTGGGAACATATTTAATGAATTGTCTATGATTGTGCTATATTGTATCTTATCTAAGATGCTACTGATTGTAAGACATCTTCCAATTTCAGAAACATTGAGAAAAAATGTGCAAATTAGAATAGATGACATACAGTATTATCTAACCCTTGACCTATTTGGTGATGTGGCTTTCTTCCTGTGGTTGGCTGGTAAATGAATAGAACCAATTTTTTTGATAACTCTGTGCAAAGACCTTTAGAACTGGTTGAATCACTTTCCCTAACGTTGAAAACCTGGCTTTCGAGGCTCTGCCGGGGTCACCTTTTCCTTCCCCCACTGAGTACCTGGATAGACTGCACAGATGACTTCTCTGTGCTTCCGTTTCACCCTCTGTGAAATGAAGATAATAACCGTGGCCACAATCATCTTGTGAGTGAGTGAAAGTTAAACGAGCCCATGTCAGCACTTGGAGCAGGGCCTGGTGCAGAACAAGCCCAGCAAAGTGGGCCACAGCTTTTGGTCCTTTGAGGTTGGTGTGTTGTTCCCATTTCATGGATTAGGGAGCTGAATGACCAGGTTTATATGTTTAGTAAGTGGTAGATCCAGATTTGTCTTATGACACCGAAGCTTTGCTATTGTCGTATTGTTTTTCTGAGATAAAAGTAAACACTTCTCATGAAGTACCACAGGCTTGGTGATATGTTTTACGTAATTTTTTCTGGAATCGAATGAGTACTGTATTTCATCTGACCTCATTTCCACATCAGTTATTGATTCTTAAAGGTTTAGAATGAACATTCAGGATAATCTTGAAGTCTCATTAATTATTAGGGTGTGGCCAGGATTATTTTTAGCCAGTGAGTTTGGTGAGTACACCTGTTTCCTGTATTGGTGGAGGTCATGCCAGGAGACAGAAACCACACCATTAATTGGAACAGGGCAAATTTAATATGAAAAATTATTAACTGGTAATAAGGGATTAACTTCTAACTTTAGTGTTCTAAACAGAACACTAAAGAACACCCTAAGGCTGAGAGAGAATACCAAGGAAAGATGGGACTTGGAGGGGTCACAGCCCAGGGCCGAGGCTGTGGTCCAGTGGATGGAGGATGACTTCCTGTTCTCTAGGCTGCCCTGGGCCAGAGCTGGACCACAGAGGCTGGGCTGAGGTGGGTAAGCTGGGACTCTCAAGCTGGGACTGGAAGCTGGAATCCTTGAGCTGGGCTGCCAGTGCACTCATATCCTGCTGGCAGTCTGCACTGGAAGAGCCCAGGAAGAGAGGAAGGGAAGCCCCTTCATCCCACCAGACTCCTACTGTCACAAAGCAGGGCAAAGAAGCGTGGGTGTGCAGCTGAGAGGCAAAGTACTGATGACTGGTGCTGGTCCTTCATCTGACTTCCCTCTGCTGTTCAGAGTTTCTTCCTCCATATCCACTCTCTCCCAGAGTTTCCCTGTGCTGGGTCACCCAGGAAGGTGCAGAAAGGCCATGAAGAGTGGGGGGTGGGCAGGTCGTGTAACAGGAGCATAGCTGGCTAGGAAGAGAAGGAAGAGCTGGGGTTGCTAAGAAGGGCATTCTGGGGTGTGTGTGTGTGTGTGTGTGTTTTAAGAATCGTGGTCTTTGTGTGTGTGTGTGTGTGTGTGTGTGTGTGTGTTTTAAGAATCGTGGTCTTGCCCAGGCCTGAGTACAGATCATAGCTCACTGCAGCCTGGAACTCCTGGGCTCAAGCAATCCTCCTGCCTCGCCTCTCTTCTTTTCTTTTCTTTTTTTTTTTTTTTTTGTTTTGAGACGGAGTCTCACTCTGTCACCCAGGATGGAGTGCAGTGGTGGAATCTTGGCTCACTGCAGCCTCCACCTCCCAGGTTCAAGTGAGATTCTGGTGCCTCAGCCTCTTGAGTAGCTGGGATTACAGGCTTGTGCCACAACCCCAGCTAATTTTTGTATTTCTAGTAGAGACAGGGTTTTGTCATGTTGCCCAGGCTTGTCTCAAACTCCTGACTTCAGGTGATACGCCCGCCTCGGCCTCTCAAAGTTCTGGGATTACAGGTGTGAGCCACTGCATCCGGTCATTGTATTATTTCTTAAAATTTTTTGCCTAACCCAAGGCCTCACAGATTTTCTATTTTAGAACATTTATAGTTTAAAATTGTACATGTATGGCTATGATCCACCTGAATTAATTTCATGGAAAATATAAGGTATATACTAAGTTACATTTCTTTGCATGTGAAAACCCAGTTGTCCAGCACCATTTGTTGAACCCTATCTTTTCCCCATTGACTTATCTTTGTATCTTTCTAAGAAATCAGCTGCTTAGATTTGTATGGATCTATCGCTGGGCTCTCTTTATATAATATTGATCCATGTGTCAGTGTAACAGTATGTGCCCATATTACTTTCTCTTAATTACTATAGCTTTATATTAAGCCTTGAAATTAGATACTATGTCATCCAACTACTTTTGCAAAATGGTTTTGGCTATTCTGACTCCTTTGCCTTCCATATCTTAGAATCAGTTTGTTGATATCTACAAAATAAACTTCTGGGATTTCTATTGGGGTTTCAGTGAATCAGTACATCAAGTTCAGGAGAACTGATGTGTTAACAGTATTGAGTCTTCCAATTCATGATTATGGTATAGCTTGAGTTTTCCAATTCATGATTATGGTATAGCTTGAGTTTTCCAATTCATGATTATGGTATAGCTTGAGTTTTCCAATTCATGATTATGATGTAGCTTGAGTTTTCTAATTCATGATTATGGTGTAGCTTGAGTTTTCCAATTCATGATTATGGTATAGCTTGAGTTTTCCAATTCATGATTATGATGTAGCTTGAGTTTTCCAATTCATGATTATGGTATAACTTGAGTTTTCCAATTCATGATTATGGTGTAGCTTGAGTTTTCCAATTCATGATTATGATGTAGCTTGAGTTTTCCAATTCATGATTATGGTGTAGCTCTCCACTTTATGTAGGCCTCCTTTGACTTATTTCATCAGCATTTCATGGTTTCCTGCATATTTAAGGCATTTTTTTAGATTTATGCCTAAGTAATTCTTGTGTATGTGTGCTATTGTGAATGGTATTTAACATTTTTTTTGATTTTCCATTATTAATTGCTACTGTGTAGAAATACAGTTTTTTTATATTGACCTGTATCCTGCAATCTTGCTGAGCTCACTAGTCCTTGGACTTCTTCATAGATTCTTTGGGATTTTCTATGTAGGCATTTATGTCTTATGTGAATAGAGACAGTTTCATTTTCAATCTATATGCTTTTTATATCTTTCTCTTGCCTTATTGCACTGGCTAGGACATCAATATGATGTGGAATAAAATTCTATTCCGGAATAGAATCTGTCCAGCCTGGGCGACAGAGTGAGACAGCTTGCCTTATTCCCAATGTTAAGGAGGAAAGCCTTGAATTTTTCACCATTAAGTGTGATGTTAGCATAGGAATAATAGCTACCTTTCATCATGTTAAAGGGATTCCCATCTATTCCTAGATTGCTGAGAGTTTTAAAAAATATCATGAATGGGTCGGGTGCGGTGGCTCACGCCTGTAATCCCAGCACTTTGGGAGGCCGAGGCGGGTGGATCATGAGGTCAGGAGATGGAGGCCATCCTGGCGAACACGGTGAAACCCCGTCTCTACTAAAAATACGAAAAAAATTAGCCGGGTGTGGTGGCAGGCGCGTGTAGTCCCAGCTACTCAGGAGGCTGAGGCAGAAGAATGGCGTGAACTTCAGAGGCGGAGCTTGCAGTGAGCCGAGATCGCACCACTGCACTCCAGCCTGGGCGACAAGAGCAAGACTCCATCTCAAAAAAAAAAAAAAACAAACACGAATGGGGGTTGAATTTTGTGAACTGATTTTTTTTTTTACATCTATTGGGATGATCACATAATTGTTCTTTTTAAATCTGTTTATATCATGAATGACATTGATTGATTTTAAAAAGTTGAACCAGTCTTGCATTCCTGGGATAAACTCCAGTTGGTCATAACGCACTATCCTTTTTTGTTGAGATTTTTTTTGCATATGTGTTTGGAATAGATTTTTTTTCCCCATGTAATGTCTTTGTCTAATATTTTGATATTACGGTGATTCTGCCTTCATAGAATGAGTTGGGAAATGTTTCTTCTTTATTTTCTGAAAGAGATTGTAAAGATTGGCAGTAGTTCTTTAAATGTTTGGCTGAATGTGGCAAACCCTGGGCCTGGAGTTTTCTGTGTTGATAGATTTTGAACTACAAATTTAATTACTTTCCTATAAATAGACTAATGAGGTTTTCTATTATTTCTTAAGTGAGTTTTGGCAGTTTGTGTCTTTCAAGTAATCAGTCCATTTGTTCTAAGTTGTAGGATTTCTTGGCATAAATAATTATTCATAATATTGCTTTATTATTCTTTTAATGACTATAGGACTGGCAGTGATGTCCCCTCTTTCGTTCTTCATATTGGCAATTTGTGTCTTCTCTCTTTTTATTGGTCAGTCTGCCTTGAAGTTTGTCAGTGTTACTGTTTTTTCCCTAAGAAACCAGATTTGATTTCATTGATTTGTTTCTGTTGTTTTTCTGTTTTCAATTTCATTGATTTCTGCTTTTACTTTTATTGTTTTCTTCTTCCTTTCTTTGTATTTAATTTGCTTTTTTTCAGTTTCTGAAGATAGAGGGTTGGATTAACGATTTGAGATATTCTTCTTTATTAATGTAAATATATAATGCTATACATTTTCCTCTCAGCATTGCTTTAGTTGAATCCAATGATTTAATATATTGTGTTTTCATTTTCAAAATATTCAAATATATTAGAATATTTCAAAATATTCAAATATATTAGAATATTTCAAAATATTCAAAATATTTCAAAATATTCTAATTTCCCATGAGAATTTCACCTTGACTGTAGATTATTTGGAAGTGTCTTGGTTAATTTCCACATATTTGGGGATTTCCTAGATATTCTTTTCTCATAGACTTCCACTTCAATTCAATTATGGCCAGAGAACATACTTTGTTTGATTTCTATTCTTTTAAGTTTTGTTTCATGGCCAGACTATAATCTATCTTGGTAAATATTACATGTGAACTTGGAAAAGTCAGGCATTCTACTCTTGGGTGGAGAGGTCTCTGAATGTCAAGTAGATCAAGTTGGTTGATAATGTTATTCAGCTCTGCTATAATCTTATTGATTTTTAAATCTTGTTCTGAGAAAGAAAGTTATTGAGGTCTCCAGCAGTAATCGTGGATTTGTTTATTTCTCCTTTCAATTCTGTTTTTACATTATGAAATTAGAAAAAACTAATTTTAAAATTCATCTAAATTTAAACATTTTAGAAATTGTATTTAATACCCAAAATATGTTAAATCCAATATAACACTTTTTTAGAGCAGCTTTAGTTCCACAGGAAAATTAAGAAGAAGGGACAGAGATTTCCCATAAAGCCTCTGCCCCTACGCATGTATAGCCTCCCCCATTATCAGCAACTCCCACCAGAATGGCACATTTATTACAGTTGATGAACCTACATTGACACATATTAATCACCCAAAGTCCATAGTTTATATTAGAGTTCACTTTTGGTATTATGCATCCTATAGGTTTTGACAAATGTATATTGACATGTATCCATCAATATAGTATCATACACAGTATTGTCACAGCCCTAAAAATCCTCTGTACTCTGCTTCTTGATCTTCTGCAACCCCAACAACTTCATGTATTTTGTAGCTCTGTTGTTAGGTGCATAAACACATAGAGTTGTTGTATCTTCTTGGAAAATTGACCCGTTTAGTGTATTGTAATGCCCTTCTTTTTCTCTGATAACATTTCTTGTTTCTTAGGTCTACTTTTTGAGATATTAATATAGCAACAGCAGGTTTCTTTAGTTAGTGTTTGCAAGGAATATTTTTCCATTCTTTTACTTTTGACCTATCTAAGTCCATACATTTAAAGTAGATTTTTTTTTCTAGATAGTTTAGAGTTGGGTTGGGTTTTGCTTTTTTTTTTTTTTAATTCGGTCTGATGGTCTGCCTCTTTTTTACTTTTTGTTTAATCCTGTCACCCAGGTAGTAAGCATAGTAGCTAATAGTTTTTCAACTCTCTCCCTCTCCCTTCCTCTTCTAGTAGTCCCTGGTATCTGTGGTTGCCATCTTTATGTCCATGAGTACCCAGTGTTTAGCTCCCACTTATAAGTGAGGACATGTGGTATTTGGTTTTCTGTTCCTGTGTTAATTCTCTTGGGATAGTGGCCTCCAGCTGCAGCCATGTTTCTGTAAATGATGTGATTTTCTTCTTTTTTTTCAACAGCTGCGTAGTCCTCCATGGGCTATATGTACCACATTTTCTTTATCCAGTCCAGTGTTGATGGGTACCTAAGTTGATTCCATGTCTTTGCAATTATGAATAATACTGTGATGAAAGTGCAAGTGCATCTGTCTTTCTGGTAGAACAATTTGTTTTCTTTTGGATACCCAGTAATGGGATTGCTGGGTCAAATTGTAGATCTGTTTTAAGTTCTTTGAGAAATCTCCAGACTGCTTTCCACAGTGGCTGAACTGATTTACTTTCCTACCAACAGTGTATGAGCATTCCCTTTTCTCTGCAGCCTTGCCAGCATCTGTTGTTTTTCAACTTTAGTAATAGCCACTTTGACTGGTGTGAGATGGTATCTCATTGTGGTTTTGATTTGCATTTCTCTGATCATTAGTGATGTGAGCATTTTTTCATGTTTGTTGGCTATTTGTATGTCTTTTGAGAAGTATCTGTTCATGTCTTTTGCTCATTTTTCATGTTTTCTTTTGTTTGTTGCTTGTTCAATTGTTTAAGTTCCTTATAGATTCTGAATATTAGAACTTTGTTGAATGAATAATTTGTGAATATTTTCTCCCAATCCATAGGTTGTCTTTTTACGCTGTTGATAGTTTCTTTTACTATGCAGAAGCTCTTTAGTTTAATTAGGTCCCACTTGTCAGTTTTTGTTTCTGTTGCAATTGCTTTTGAGGACTTAGTCATAAATTCCTTTTTTTAATTATTATTATTTTTAAATTATACTTTAAGTTCTAGGATACATGTGCACAACGTGCAGGTTTGTTACATATGTATACATGTGCCATGTTGGTGTGCTGCACCCATTAACTCGTCGTTTACATTAGGTATATCTCCTAATGCTATCCCTCCCCCCTCCCCCCACCCCTCGACAGGCCCGGTGTGTGATGTTCCCCACCCTGTGTCCAAGTGTTCTCATTGTTCAGTTCTCATCTATGAGTGATAATGTGCAGTGTTTGGTTTTCTGTCCTTGCGATAGTTTGCTGAGAATGATGGTTTCCAGCTTCATCCATGTCCCTACAAAGGACATGAACTCATCCTTTTTTATGGCTGCATAGTATTCCATGGTGTATATGTGCCACATTTTCTTAATCCAGTCTATCCTTGATGGACATTTGGGTTGGTTCCAAGTCTTTGCTATTGTGAATAGTGCCACAATGAACATGTGTGTGCATGTGTCTTGATAGCAGCATGATTTATAATCCTTTGGGTATATATCCAGTAATGGGATGGCTGGGTCAAATGGTATTTCTAGTTCTAGATCCTTGAGGAATCGCCACACTGTCTTCCACAATGGTTGAACTAGTTTACAGTCCCACCAACAGTGTAAAAGTGTTCCTATTTCCCCACATCCTCTCCAGCACCTGTTGTTTCCTGACTTAGTCATAAATTCTTTCCAAAGGCTAATGTTCAGAATGGTGTTTCCTAGTTTTTTTTTCTAGGATTCTCATAGTTTTATGTCTTATATTTAAATCTTTAGTCTATCTTGAGTTAATTTTTGTATATGGTGAAAGGTAGGTGTTTAGTTCCATTCTTCTGCATATGGCTAGTCAGCTATCCCAGCACCATTTATTGAATAAGGAGTCCTTTCTTCACTGCTTATTTTTGTTGACTTTGTTGATGATCCAATCGTTGTAGGGATGAAGCTTTATTTCTGGGTTCTTTATTCTGTTCAGTTGGTCTGTGCATCTGTTTTTGTATCAATATCATGCTGTTTGGTTACTGTAGCCTTATAGTATAATTTGAAGTCAGATAATATGATGCCTTCAGCTTTGTTCTTTTTGCTTAGGCTGGATTTTTGTTCAGGCTCGATTTTGGTTCCATATGAATTTTAGAATAGTTTTTTCAAGTTCTGTAAAAAATGATGTTGATAGTTTGGTAGGGATAGCATTGAATCTGTAGATGTTTTGGGCAGTATGGCCATGTTAACAATATTAATTCTTCCAATCCATAAGCATGGAATACTTTTTCATTTTTTTGTGTTATCTGTGATTTCTTGTGGCAGTGTTTTTTAGTTCTCCTTATAGAGATCTTTCACCTCCTTGGTTAGAAGTATTCCTAGATATTTTAGGTTTTTGGTGGCTATTGTAAATGGGATTGTGTCCTTAATTTGGCTCTCAGCTTGAAGATTATTGGTGTATAAAAATGCTGCTGATTTTTGTACATTGATTTTGTATCTTGAAACTTTATTGAAGTCATTTATCAGTTTCAGGAGCCTTTTGATGGAGTCTTCAGGGTTTTCTAGGTATAGAAGAATATCATCAGTGAATAAATTCGATTACTTCTTTTCCTATTTGGATGCCTTTTTTTTTTCTTCCTGGATTGCTCTGGCTAGAACTTCCAATCTGTCTTCTATTTGATGTGTTTAAATCATTTACATCTAATGTGATTATTCATACAGGTGGCTAAAAATGTAGCAGCTGTTTTCTATTTGTTCCATCTGCTCTTTATTTCTTTTTTCTGCTTTTGTGTTAATGGAACATTTTTATGGTTCTATTTTATCTTCACTATTGATTCATTATTTATACATCTTTTTTAAAACTTTAGTAATAACCATAGGATTTAAAGCATACATCTTTAGTTAATCAGAGGCCACCTTCTAATATTAGACTGCTTCACATTCTTTGTGCCATTGTTGTCCCTTTACTTTTACATGTGCATTTACAATGCATTGCTGCTATTTTTGCTTTGAGTATTTTGGTATGTTTTAGAGCAATTGAAAACAGGAAAACATTTATTTTACCTTCAATTATTTCATTTCTAGTGTGAGTCTCACTCTGTCACCCAAGCTGGAGTGCAGTGGCTCAATCTTGGCTCACTGCAACCTCCACCTCCTGGGTTCAAGTGATTCTCCTGCCTCAGCCTCCTGAGTAGCTGGGATTACAGGAATGTGCCACTATGCCTGGCTAAGTTTTGTATTTTTCATAGAGACAGGGTTTCACCATGTTGGCCAGGCTGGTCTCGAACCCCTGACCTCAGGTGATCTGCCTGCCTTGGCCTCCCAAAGTGGTAGGATTATAGGCATGAGCCACCACGCCCAGTGTATTCTTTATTTCTTTGTGTAGATCCAATTTTCTGTCTGATATCACGTTTTCTTCTACCTGAAGACTTTCTTTTAAAAATTATTGTAGATTGATTAGGTCTGCTGAAAATGAATTCCATAAGTTGTTTCTCTCAGAATAGTTTTAATTTCTGCTCCATTTGTGAAAGACATTTTTGCTGGGTATAGAATTCTAAGTTGATAGTTTTTTTTCTTTCAGCACTTAAAAAATGTCATTGCATTGTCTTCTATCTTGCATTAACTCTAACAAAAGGTCTGTATTAAACCTTACCTCTGCTTTTATGTATATAATGTGACTTTTTCCTCTTACTGCTTTCAATATTTCTCTTTGTCTTCTGTTTTCAGCAATTTGAATATGGTATACCTAGGTACCTAGAAACTTTTTGGAAGGGAGAGGTGTATATTCTGCTTTGTGTTCTCTGACCTTCTTGGATATGGAATTTGGTTACTCTCATTAGTTTTGGAATATTCTTAGCTATCATTTCTTTTAATTTTTCTTCTGTCCTATTCCGTTTCTTTTACTTCTGAGGTCCCAATTACACATATGTTAGATTATTTGATACTTTCACTGGAAGTCTTGGATGCTCTGTTTATTATTCTCAGTCTCCTTGCTCTTTGTTTTTCATTTTGTCTGATTTCCGTTGACTAGCCTTTAAGTTCAAAGATTCTTTCCTCAGCTGTGTTGAGTCTACTGATGAACCAAAGACATTCTTCATCTCTGTTACTTTGTTTTTCAGTTTTAGCATTCTCTTTGATTCTCTGCTGAAATTACCCATACGATGTTGCATGTTGTCTAGAGTTTTCATTAGATATTAATCATAGCTATTTTAAATTTACTGTCAGATTTTTCCAATATCAGAGTCATATAGATCTTTTGAAAGATCACTTTCTCGGGTGTGTGTTGTTTTTCTCCTGCTTTTTTGTATACCTCGTGATTTTTTGTTTTTGAAAGTCAGATACCTGAATAGGAGAGTAGATACTGAGGCAAACAGTTTTTATGTCTGTGAATTGGCAAGCATTTTCTTCTGCTCTGCTTTCATTGTGGGCATTTGAATTAATTTAGTTGGGAATTGAGCAAGGTATAAGGTTTGCAGTTGTTATGGTTATCCTTAGTGCATTAAAGGTTTCAAGTTCCTCTAGTAATGCCTTGTATTTAAGATGAGGACTGGTTGGCCAGAGGGTTTTGTGGGGTTTTTTTTCCTCCTTAGTACTTGCTCCACCTTTAGCTTTCAGTTTTCCCTTTGCACTTCCCTCATAGAGGATCTCTTTCCATGTTCTCATTCTGTCTCTCTCCCAGAAGTATTATTCTGTTACTTTTTACCTAATACTTGTCAGCCTAGGGAGGGGGGGTGGTGGAAGGGCTCTGATTTAGTAGTAGGAGGCACTGTGTCCCTGCAACTTGGGGGTCGGACCTACTCAGTGCTCCTGGCTCTCCCTGGGGTAGGGGCGAGGGGGAGCAGCATCTTTTCCTGCCTCTCCCCCAGGGATAAAGGTTTTTATTTCTGTTCTCTTTCCCCAAATACTATGAGTTTTCAATAATGGGAGTTTGTGTGCTATTGTCTCTAGTCACTTCAGTGAATTAAACTGTATTTGTATCATATATTGAATGAATCAGATGTTGGGTTGCTCTTGATGTCACAAAGAAACTCTGTTGGTCCTGATTATTTCCCTTAGATTTTTCCTGTGGACATTTGAACTTTAAGAAATTTATGATAGTAGTCCTAAGTGGATTGGGAAATCAGTGAGCCTCATCATCTACTGGTAGGATTGCCTGTCAGTTGCCCTGTGCCAGAAGTAATTCTGTTAATCTGTGTGCAGCTCCAAAAGCTGTTGCAGCATGGACTAGAACATTTCAGCTGCTGGTTAAATCTTTCTGGCATATGTATAAACTTAAATAATTGCTAACAAAAAATTCCAACTAGATTATAAAGTGGTTTCACCACAAATGAAGGGCTCTTTTCTTTTTCAGTTCTTAGTAGCCACAATGAAGATTTTGAAGTGTCTCTGAAGCACTATCCCCAAATTAAAGGCTCTAGTCAATGCAAAAATCATCTTGGTAAGTCATTAATAAAAACACACACTCTACCAACAGGCATAATTAGAGCCTCGAGATTAACAAAATTGCAGTCCTTCTTGATTTAAAAAACAAAAAAAATTCTAGAGGTGAGTCACAGGTCTTAAATTAAAAGGGAGATAAGTCCTATTTTAAGAATGGAGAGCCTAGGTGTGAGAATGAGCTGACAGCAGCTTTTGTCACCCTATTGGTCATCAGCTGATTCTCTGGTCTGGCTAGTTCTCCCATTCTGCTCAATGGGGAAGGCTCAATCCCTCAACAAAGAATAATCCCTCTTCATTCAAAAGCATGCAAGGACAGTCAGAGTACCAATCAGTGGGGGCCTTTTCCTTTTTTTACCCAGCTATGTATGTCATTCAAACTAGTCCACTATATAATTTTTAGCCAGGTGCAGTGGCTCATGCCTGTAATCCCAGCACTTTGGGAGACCAAGGCAGGTGGATCACCTGAGGTCAGGAGTTTGAGAACAGCCTGGCCAACATGGCAAAAACCCGTCTCTACTAAAAATACAAAAATTAGCCAGGCATGGTGGCACAGGCCTATAATCCTAGCTACTCGGGAGGTTGAGGCAGGAGAATCATTTGAACCTGGGAGATGGAGGTTGCTGTGAGCCAAGATTGTGCCACTGCACTCCAGCCTGGGCGACAGGGCAGGACTCTGTTACAAAATAAATAAATAAAAAATAAATAATTAAAAAAAATCTACTGAAAACTATTTTGGGTTTTAAAATAAGTAAAGTAGTGCCCATTCTAATCTTGTATACTGTGCTTAGCTTTAAAGCAGCTTAGTGTATAGTTATGTGTGTCTCACCATTGCATTAATTTAAGCGGTATTCTTGGCTAGGTAAAGATCTGTAGGAAGCCAGCTTGAAGACAGAACCAACTGGGCTGGTTAATAATATCCACACATCTGTCCATTGTTAAACCCAACAACCATGCCAGGAAATTCCTTGATTCTCTTATGATAAGCCAGCTAATTTTTATTATTTAGTTGTTGACTTTCCATTTGATTTTTGTCATAGTTTTACTTTATGCTGAAATTGTTTAATATCCTTTTAGTTTCTTAAACATCTTAATTATAGTTATTTCACAATTTATGTCTGATACCACCATTATGTGAATGCCCTAAGGGTCTATTTCTAAAGTCTGTTTTCTCTCTTGGTTTTCATTCAGGTCTTCCCTAATATTGTCTATTTGTTTGAGTATGAGACATTGCTTATGAAAAACTAGGGCTCTGGTTGATATTATCATGCTCCAGAGAAGCTTCACTAGAAGGCAGGTAGGCTAGGAGCATATCTCCCTAACTTAATTGTGGATTGAGATAAATTGAGACCAAGTTTCAGTCCTTGTGAAGACTGGTCTGTTGTTACTATTATTCCTGGTATAAGGGATGCTCAAGGGATATAGCCCTTGAGGGTTCCAACTGGAAGCCTGGGGCAGTTACCAGGCCCTGAATGCCAACATTTCCCCCAGCACTCTGAGTATGTTAAAAACTCTGCTTGTCATTTTAGCCATTTTGTCTGTGCTTTTGAAATAAACAGTTACCTCATAGGTAAAAGTGGTGCCAAGTGTAAGCCTTATATCTCTGGGTTCCCCACTACCTGGATCTTGGAAATAAACCTGAATTTTCAAAAATGAAAATGCTACTGTGAGTTACTGATGTCCTTCACATAAACTTTTTTATGTTCCATTTTTCTTCTTTAAAACTCACTCTTTACTTAAAGGGTCTCCAATTTTATGTTTCGTGCTATTCCCAGCACTTTGTTAAAAATAAAAAAGGATTTGTTACAGGCTCACTCCTGTAATTCTGGCACTTTGGGAAGCTGAGGCGGGTGGATCACTTGAGGTCAGGAGTTCAAGACCAGCCTGGCCAACATGCTGAAACCCCGTCTCTACTAAAAATACAAAAAATTAGCTGAGCATGGTGCTGCGCACCTGTAATCCCAGCTACTCTGGAGGCTGAGTCAGGAGAATCGCTTGAACCTGAGAGGCAGAGGTTGCAGTGAGCCGAGATCGCACCACTGCACTCCAGCCTGGGTGATAGAGCAAGACTCCATCCCCAAAAACATTTGTATTCAAAACTCTCACTTGTTCCTTATGAGAAATACTAGAAATGCAGTAAAACTATATAATTGCAGGATTAAATGGAATATTTTCAGTTGTATTATTTTTTCATGTCAAGCATTTTAACACAATTCTAAAGAAATGATTTCACAAACGGTACAAAAACATCATTGGAATGAGGATGGGACGGACACATAATCAGGACAGCAACCGATGCCTGTGCCACGGTGGCCCCCTCTGGGTTCTCTGCGGTCACCTGGAGAAAGGACTGCTCTTTAAAGCAAACAACAATAATCCTTGTAACTGGAACACCTAAGCCCCAGGAAGTCACATTCTTAAACTCAGTCTACACTGATTTTTACTTTGGAAAGATCTCTCTCGATTGGGTATAATTTCTTCTCAATTATGGCAGAACTGTTTAGGATTGGTAATATGCTTTTATTTAATTAAAAATTAAACCCTTTATTTTGATTTTTAAGGAAAAAACAAGCTCCTGGTTAGAGCATAGTGCAGTTAGTTGCCTGTAATGTTGAAAATAGATGTGCTCTTTCCCCTTTTACTTAACACATTATTTATTCTAGAGCAAAAAGATTCTTTTTTTAAAAATGTAAATAATTATGGTGTCCACCTCCTAAAAAGTGTTGTCACAGCAGTCTATTAATCTGACAGATTTTAAAGATTGTACTCCTGGGAGAAATGGTGAAGAGAAACTGGGGTGTTAATTAGGCAGATTAAAGCCAGAGATGTAACTAGTGCTAACAGAGTTTATAATGTAGAACGCCTCCATCTTCAGCCTGAGAGTGGATTTCCTTTTGCTATGATTGCAGTAGGATTCTAATTCATATTTCCTTTCTTACCATGTCTTTTCCTCTTAAAATTATCTAATAGATCTTCTTTGCATGTAAAGTACTCTAAGTATTGAAGTCTTCTAATTTGTTTTTTCTTTCTGTAAAGCACGTTGAAAGCTGCTTCCAGATATCTTGCACTAGCCAATACAGATTTTCTAGCAACAGGATGCCTATTTAAAATGCCTGGGTTGGCCAGGTGTGGTGGCTTACACCTGTAATCCCAGCACTTTGGGAGGCTGAGGTGGGCAGATCACCTGAGGTCAGGAGTTCGAGACTAGCTTGGCCAACATGATGAAGCCCTGTCTCTACTAAAAATACAAAAATTAGCCGGGTGTGGTGGTGCAGGCCTGTAGTCCCAGCTACTTGGAAGGCTGAGGCAGGAGACTCGCTTGACATAGGAGATGGAAGTTGCAGTGAGCTGAGATCATGCCATTGTACTCCAGCCTGGGCAACAGAGTGAGACTCCATCTCAAAAAATAAAAACAAAAAATAAAAATAATAAAATGCCTGGGTGGATTTAAAAACAACAATAACAAACTTGACAGAATTTTTTTTTCACCATGAAAATGTATGTTTTGGAAAATGTATGTTGCATAAGCAAGTGGCTAAACTTCAGAAGTGAGTACTTACCCAGCACACCCTTCCCCTGGGAGTGGTCCAGTTAGCAGACTTGCTGGGGCTGTGCCAGTTTTCCACATCAGGGCCCTAATGAGTTGAATTAACCACACAGGTAACTTTTACTAACCATAAAACACTGAAGTTTATAAATGATTTACTTTAAAAATACAAGTTAGAGAGCACTAAAAGTAATGCCTGGAATAGCATCATGTCGTTTCTTCCCTTCAGGAAAGGCAGGGAAACACCAGTGTCTAAACTCTGCCTCACCTGTCAGCTGCTGATACTGCCTGAGCCAGTGATCAGTCTAAGGAAGAGGGTGATCCTTCTGACAGAACAGTTGTGAGAACTAGGAAGTTGTATTGTGCTTTACCTCTCCCCAGAGTTTTATTTGTCAAAATCAGGGCATGCCGATGGTGGTTGTGCATGAGAATATTATTTGTCATGAGTTGTGTCTCCCTCCCCTGCCTCAAAACAAACAAAACCCAAACAAACAAAAGTCAGTGCTTTGAAAGATGCTGTCAACCTTTAATTAAGCAAAGTCAAGCTGATTACCTTTAGTAGTGGTAGAATTTTTGCTAGTGCTTCACATTTGGTGCCTGTCTCTAGAAAGGGCCCCTGAAAGACAGAGTTGAGAGTGCATGGGTTGCATCTCTCTGGGTTGGAGAGGGAGTGCAGGTGCCTTCTCAGCTGTCTCACTGACATTCTTCCCTGCCTGTCCTCCCAGTCCCTTTAGGGCAAAGAGAATGACTGCAGCTTCTCTGAGCTTTGTAACCAACTGCAAGTGAGGAAGGTGCTGATAAATTTGTCAGACTCCCTTTTTCAGACCAGGGGTATCTGAATGAATAATAGCAAGGAAATAAACTCAGTTGTGACATGGACAGCATCCTTATAACCCCAGCCCAGCACATCCAACACAATTGGGTCACTCTTAAAAACAGCAACAACTACAGCAACAAAACTTCAAGCAAATGTGCCATTAAAAACTCTTACATAATTGTAACAGATTTGAGTTTCCTCTGGTTCAGGTTTTCTTGCCTCTTTGATAATCAAATGATCTGAAGAAAGGCATAGAATTTCAAGGGAGAATCTGCATGACAGGATTACAATAAGGCTATTCATGGAGACTCTTTTATTAGCTTACACAGGATCTGCATCATTCTTCGTCTCTGGCTTTGCTACAAGGCTCCATTTAAACTTAACCCAACTTGCAGGCTTAACTGATCCAGGAATGACTCAATACAATGAGCCAGCTACTGTAGCTCTTTTTCCCCTTTTGATAAGGGGAGTTAACACAATGGGCTTTACAGTTCTTAAATGACTGATTTTTTTTTTCTGTCTTTGAGATGTGGTGCTCATGCGAACTTTTGTTTCTTTAAAAAGATTCACATGGTTTGATTATATTTTTGAAAAGCATAAACAAATCCAAAATGGACTCCCTACCCTTAGAATAAAACTTCAAAAATCTTGTAGATGATATAGATGCAAAATTCATGTCACACTATTTACACAGCTGATTTCAATATATTAGATATTAACTATTAGTATTATTCAATTAAACTTGAAAACATTTATTTTTGAAGGGTGGTTCTGATATAATTTCTAGCAGTACTTCAGCATTGAATTTCACATTTGCACATTTCTTGTTATCTGCTCGTGTTTATACTGTATTCATGACCTAATATGATGTGTAAATTTAACATTTTAGTGAAATTGGTCAGGTGGTTAGAGACCATGAGATGGCTGCAGTGCTAATATACTTCCCATTTCCCGTCAGGGCACCTTGTTTATCCCTGAGTAGCTGGGATGGAGAGGAAACCCTTGAGGATGCATTTGGTGGCACACTGCACTGAGAGCATTAAGGACCCCCGCTTTGGACACACACCTCAGAATAGTGGTTCCCAAACTTTAGTGGGAACAGGAATCATCAGGGATGCTTGTTAGAACTGCAGATGCCTGGAACCCACCCCCAGAGACTCTGATTCAGCAGGTCCGGGATGGAAGCCCAATAATTTGCATTTTTAACAAGACACGCCGTTGATTCTAATGGGTGGTTATTGCACCACACTGAGAGTCATTCTCCTGAAGTCACTGGGGAACGTTGGGAGGCCCTACCTCCTCCCCTACAGCACCTGTTGCCCCTAGGTGAGCAGAGACCTTGGTTAGGAGTGACCCCTGGTGTGATCCCAGAGGTGCAGATGTCAGGAGGGGAAGGACAGCTCTAGTATTTCCAAAGTGTCAGAGCAGCTCTTGCGTCTTCCACCTGGTGTGCTTCCATCCACACAGCAGGGCGGTGTCCTCTTCATCCTCATGTGGCAGGGAACACCTCGCCTGTGGACCAGCGCTGGATGTTTGAAGGTGTCATCTCACTCTCACTCTAGCTTTGTAATTAGAATCTCAGAGCGGTCGTTATCTGCAGCATTTAATCCAAATTTGCATCTTTATCCCACTCCCCTACCCCGATTAATGTAGTTTTGGATTTTTGGAAATGGAGATCTTTTTCAAAAGGACCTCCAATTAGAAATGGATTCTCAAGAAGCCTTTTGGGAATTATGGATGTAACGTGTTTGTTCATTTCACGAGGATGAGATTTTTCCTTAAAGATCTGTTGATCTGATGGTCAAAGCAGATAGGGAAAATAAATGTTGATGATAGCTACCGATGTTTTTAACAGTTTGCCTGGGGTGCTGTTGTGTGTTTTGTTTGTAGAATCCACCCCCATATCGTTGGCAGACTTTTTTATTATGAGAATTTCCAGGCTATTCAAAATTAGAAAGTACAAGAAACTCCCATATATTCCTCACCCGCTTTCCAACTTTCCAGAGTTATCAAGATTTATCGTATTTTCCAGCAGCCTTTTCTCATCCTTAAATCTTGCTGGTGGTTTTTGTAAGGGAGAACAAGTAAAATCTTTTCTTCACCTACGGAAAGTTTCATGGCTGAGGGCCCTATAACAAAAGACAGATGAACAAGAGAGAAACATACAGATGTATTTATTGTAAGTTTTACATGACACAGCAGCCTTCATAAGAAAGTGTAGACCCCAAGACACAGGGAAACCTCTGTATTTTTATGCTTAGGTTTGATAAAGAATGGACAGTCTTTCAGAGGTATGACAGGACAAAGGGGTACGATCTAGCTGGCATGAAACTGGAGGGAAGTTGGCAAGGCCTGTTTGTTCAGATTCTTCCCTGTGTCTTCAGAGACAAGGAGATTGTTTTTCTCTGGGTGTAGGGAGGGCACCTCTGGAATGAGGGTCTTATGCCCTGCTTCATGGGAAGGGCAGAAAATTCTTTTATGGCTTGCTTTAGGGGAGGAGAGAGCAGAAGGGCAGAGGGACCTCCCTGCTTCCGCTGTTTTCTCAGATGCCAAGTTGCCATATTTTGGGATAACACGTCTTGAACCTCATCATTTTCAAAGTGGTTCATTTGAGGAATGAAACAAACATGAAATGCTTTGCTTGGGGCCTGAGTCGAGTGGTCATGAATAGTCATTTAAACGTGTCCTTTTCAGGAATGTGTTCCAGAAGATCTAGAACTGAAGAAGAAGATTTTTGCTCAGTTAGATTCCATCATTGATGATCGAGTGATCTTAAGCAGTTCCACTTCTTGTCTCATGCCTTCCAAGTTGTTTGCTGGCTTGGTCCATGTGAAGCAATGCATCGTGGCTCATCCTGTGAGTATTTTAAATCCAGAGGATTGATTGTATCTCATCTCATTCTGTGTTTTTTTTTTTTCTTTTTTTTTTTTTTTTGCGGGGGAGGGGGGTCAATAACTTGTGAGTAATCCATTAGTCTTTTAAACGGCTTTATTGAGATATAATTCACTTACACAATTTGCCAGTTCAAATTGTGCAGTTCAGTGGTTCTTATTGTATTCAGAGTTGCACAATACTAGTATTTTAAAAAAGAATTTTATCCAAAATTCCTTGGATTTTTATCTGTGTACCTAATGTGCAACGGAATAGAGTGAGGACTGCTTTGAGGCCTTCACCCCCAAGTAACTGTGTAGCTGAGGAGGCCGACTAATAAATAATTCTACTATCAATATAAAAGTGCTACATCAAAAATGTATACATTGGGTAGGATTGTATAGATACGTCACTTGCACTGTGTAGTTTACTCAACACAATTCAGAGTAGGGTTGGTTTTGTTAAAATGCAGATTCTGGGTCCTGCTCCTGAGATTCTGACTGTAGGTCTGACTTCAAGGACTTTTTCCCCTTGTGGTTTCCCTTCCACTCACTCATTGTAATTAACTATGCAAGCTTGTTTGCCAGGAGTACATTATGAGGTGCCTGGGACAATGAGTTTCAGATTGGCGTGCAAGCACTCAAGGAATCTTTCAGCGATTAATGTATTGAAGTGAGGAAAGGGGAATGAGAGAGGAGATTCAGTGAACGACGTTTGAGCCCCAACTGCGAGCTCAGTGTGACCTTGGAGGACCAGGACTGCCTGTTAGAATGGGAAAGGTGACTTAGCTCAAGCTATGATAAATATAATAGTACAAAATAGTGACCACACCCTTGGCACCACCAGGTTGTCAGAGGTTCGGATCAGGGAGAAGCAACACAGAGGGCCCAGCCTGGCTAGGACCTAGTTGGGCTGATGAAGGGAAGAGAGGGTCTGAGGCTGGGGAAGAGCATAAGCAAAGACCCTGGGCCAAGAACACGCTCGGTGTGCAGAATTGTGGGAGGCCAGCCTGGTGGCATGAGCACACATGCCTTGGAGCCATGGGAGAACACTGGAAGGCTTAGTAACAGTTGGGTCTGGAGAATCGTGAGGGTTACTCTGAAGAGCTGGGACAGACAGCTTGGGTCCAGAGCAGCAGTGTGAGGTTGTGGAAGTGCTGCTTGGGGAGGGTAACATGAAGGTCCTTCCTGGGATGAAGACGGGTCAGAGAGGGGAGCAATGATGTCACAGGACTTGGGCAGTAGTCCAAGCATGAGTGAGCAGGGCCTAGGATCGAGAGCAGGGCAATTCCTCTTTCTGAGCAAGAGCCATTTAGAATGTGGAGGTAACAGACTCCTACCGGATCTGTAGATGCCCACCAGGTTTTATGTGCTAAGAAGAGCAGCAGCTTGGACCACCATTTACATAGCTGCATGGTCCTGGGACATACGATGGAAAGAATGAGGAATGGTTATAAAATAAGGAGGCTGAGATGCATAAAAATAGAAGAGAACCAGTCACATTTGGTTACCACTCAATTACGAGTGAGATTAGCATTACGAGGGACCCTAATTGAAAGCAAGTCCCGAGAAGCCTGTCGTGCCTTTGCTTTGGTGACATATACATGTCCACGGACAGGGCTCCTGGAGACCTCAGCACTTTCTAGGTTGCTCCTTGATTGCTTCAGTGGAAGCTGTCAGCCTCCTAATTTCTAACCCATGTTCTTGCTTCTAAGTTAGTTTGAAACAAAACTAGTCTAAATAAAGTTGCTCAGAAAATACCTCCTGAGTTATTTGACGAGACGTTTACTGCATCTCTTTAATTTTAAATTGCCAGATGGGTGAGAGGACACCTGAGTCACTTTCTTCTCCCTCACACCCAGCCCAGTCCCTTGACCAGCAGGAGTTGGTAACTGTTGAATAATGACACTTCTCTCCCTCCTTCCTACTCTTTTTCCATCCCACTATTGCTCACTTATTTAATGAAACAGCATAAAGTCCAGACCCTATTTTAAAAATTAATCTTCCCCTTTGGGAGGCCGAGGTGGGTGGATTAGGAGGTCAGGAGATCGAAACCATCCTGGCTAACACGGTGAAACCCCGTCTCTACTAAAAATACAAAAAATTAGCCAGGTGAGGTGGCGGTCGCCTGTAGTCCCAGCTACTCGGGAGGCTGAGGCAGGAGAATGGTGTGAACCCAGGAGGTGGAGCTTGCAGTGAGCCGAGATCGCGCCACTGCACTCCAGCCTGGGCGACAGAGCGAGACTCCATCTCAAAAAAAAAAAAAAAATTAATCTTCCTTATTGTTACAAATTATTTTTAAACAAAACCGATGTTAATTAAAGCAAATCAAATAACCCAAGTTAGCCATCTTTGGACCTTTCCCTTTCTTTCCTCTATGTTCCAGCTGCCCACCTCTCTCTCTCTCTCTTTTTTTATTCTTTCTCTGTGGCTCTTTCACCCAGGCTGGAGAGCAGTGGTGCCATCAAAGCTCACTGCAGCCTTGAACTTCTGGCCTCAAGCAAGCCTCCTGTCTCAGCCTCCCCAAAGTGATGGAATTACAAGACAAAGGCACCACACCTGGCCCCACCTCTTGCTCACCCCACGGGACCTCTAGGGGACTGGACAGGCAGTCCCTACAGAATCAAGACCCATTTGTAATCTCTGAGGAACCAGTTTCCGAGAAGCACCCCCAGGCCAGCTAGGAGCCCACCCTGCAGCCCCCAGTCCCTGCTTGGGGCCCTTTGTTTCAATCATTAGTGATTTCTGCCTGGGCCAAAAATAGGATGAAGAAAAAGGAGGCTTGTTCATGCCGTGCCAAAGTGGATATTCAGCAAATTGGAAAGGTTGCTTGTCTCTGCCCACACAGAGAAGCCTGCAACCCTCGTTGCACGGCCACGTGTTCCCTCAGTGAGTGGGGAAAGGCGCTGGCCAGGCGGGCTCGTACTCCCAGCGCAGGAGTTCAGGCTGGGTTTTAGGGTGGGCTTCCAGGACTAGAGCTGCTGACGGCCACACTGAAGGCCCAGGAAGAGGCTGGGCCCGGCTCTGTTGTGGACATTTTCTTCTCCAGTGTCTTTTGTGCTGTTTCCTCAACTCCTCGTGGCAGTGACTCCCGAATTCCCACGTGGAGGGGCTGAGGGAGGAGAATGTGACGGCTGGGGCCTGTGGGTGACAACGGTGTGCATGTTGCACTGCAGTCTCAGTCCTTACTGAGCTCTATGTTAGCATTGACAGAGTGGCAGTTTTCTACTGATAGTTTAGCCACACTTTACAAAGAGGCTCCCTGCTTTTTTCTCTTCCTTAGTTCAGTCTGGGAAGGCGATGGTCCGACAGGGCTGGTGGGGTCTTCGGAGCCCACCAAGTACTGTGCTGTATGGACAGGCCTGCTTGGGAAGGGGGCCGCGGCTGGCAGACTGGGGCGTGCGGTGGGCGTTGGGGGAGAGGCCACCAGTTAGCCCGCTCCCCCGCCCCTTGCTTGTGCGTGGCCTTTTCGAACTCACCTCACGTCTCACACCGAAGTCATCTGCCCTGGTATTGGTGGTAAATATTGGATGTATGGGCTTGCTGTCTGCAAAGCGCCCGTGCTCTGTGCGTCTCTTTGCACATCTGCACGGCCCTGCGGCCGCTCCGAGCTGCCTTTGAGCCCTCCCTGCGAGCGCGCCGCCGAGAGGATGGGCTACCCATGAAGCATCGAACACCGAGGGCTGGCAAGAGGCCCCAGCCCGGCTGCCTCCCGCGAGGGCGCTGTCGGCCCTGTGGGCCTCGCCGTTTTGGTTGCTCCCGGAGCGGGGGTGAAGGGAGTCTCTGTGGGCAGCCGCGCTGTCGGCGCGGTCACATGGGGCCCGGGCGGCGGGGAAGAATGCGTCCCTTGTGCTCCGCCGGCCTGCGCAGGCCCAGGCCCCTGCGCTGCGCTGCCGTTGTATCTGTCGAACCCTTTCGGGGGCGTGTTTCCGAGTCCACCTCGCACACTCCCACATGGAAGGTTTGGGGCGGGGGAGCTGCCTCCTCTCCTGTCTCGCCTCCTCTCCTCCCCTCTACTGTGGTAAATTCAAGGGGCACCCGACCTTATTGACAAGATTGACCTCTTGGGCCAGAGGCTGAGGGCTGTGGTTAGGGAGACTGTTTCCCAGCCGGGAGACCTCGAAGGTCCTTTTGCGGCGGCTTCCGTAGGTGGACACGGAGGTGTGGATGGAAGTCGGTGTGAATGGAAGTCTGTTTTGGGGGGCTGCGTGGGGCCCAGTCGCTGGCCCCTGCGTCCTAGTCAGCCGTGTGCCTTGTACAGTGGGCGCTGGGCAGCCCTTCAAGATTTTTCGTTGGAGAAGGCATGATCAAAGTCCTGTTTTTTACTTTTAAAATGTATAATTGTGGTAAAATATACATAACAAAATCTACCGTCTTAACTATTTGTAAGTGTGCAGTTTGGAGGCATTAAGGACATTCTCACTGGTGTGCAGCCACCACCACCAACAATCCATGGAACTTTCTCCTCTTATAAGACTGAACCTCCTACCCATGAAACACTAACTTTCCACAGCTCCACCCCAGCCGCGGCACCTGAACCTAGCTTTCTGCTGCTGCTGTGGATTTGATAGGCTCCCGCTACAACACGGATTGCTCTGGGAGGATGAGATAGAGGGGCTGAGACCCCAGCAGGAGTCCCATGAAGGGAGTGCAGAATATATATGGAAACGGGGGCCCTGAGCTGAGGGTGGCAGTGGCAATGATTTTTTTGAGAGAAGAGTAAAGAGAAGTAACAGGACTTCAGTAACTGATGGTGTGTCCGGAGTTGGTCTTGGTGGGTTGTGGTCTTGCTGACTTCGTGAACCACAGACTTGGTGGTGATTGTTAACAGCTCTTAAGGATAGCACGGACCCAAAGAGTAAGTGGTAGCAAGGTTTATTGTGAAGAGCAAAAGGACAAAGCTTCCACAGCAGGGAAAGACAGCGGAGTGGGTTAACGCTGCAGGTGGGGGTGTAGGGGTGTGGGTGGGGGGGCGCGTGTGGGTGTGGGTGGGCGGTAGGGGTGGGTGGGGGGAGTGACCAGCTTTTTTTCCCTAATTGGCCCCTCCCCTGTTCCATTTCTGTCCTATCAGAGTTCCCTTTTTTCAATCCTTCCCCCGATTAGCTACTTTTAGAATCCTGCTGATTGGTGCATTTTACAGAGCGCTGATTGGTGCGTTTTGCAGAGTGCTGATTGGTGCGTTTTACAGAGCCCCGATTGATGTGTTTTACAGAGCACTGATTGGTGCGTTTTACAGAGTGCTGATTGGTGTATTTTACAATCCTCTTGTAAGACAGGAAAGTTCCTGATTGGTGCATTTTACAATCCTTTTGTAAGACAGAAAAGCTCCCCAAGTTCACACTTGACCCAGGGAGTCCAGCTGGCCTCACCTCTCAATGGAAAGTGAGAGGGGCTAGGGAGAGGCAGGGGCCAGGAACATTTCTCCTGGTACTGACTTGGGTGTGGGGATGTGACACATTCTCACTGAGATCAGGAGCCTGCCAGGGTTGGGGACCATGGGGATAACCCACATGAGACAAGTCTGTGCTGGGGTGTGCCCAAGGGAAGGCGTCCAGCACTCAGTTGCAGATGTGGGCCAGGGTGAGGCTGGGATCTGTGTGAGACATGCAGGTGTATTCTGTGTCCTCAAGTCTTGGTGGTGGTGACACCAGGGAGTGGGCACAGATGGGCCACTGTGGCAGACTGGGGGTCACCATCACTCAGTGAAAGTGTGAGCAGGAAAAATCGCAGAGAAGACTGAGAGGAGGGAACTGGTGAGTTGTACATAGAAATGCTTTCTAACTCCTTGTCTCAGTCTGTTTTTGCTACCAGTGAGGCTTACAATGTTTGAAAGACCCCAATCCCAGCATGCCTGCTTTATATAAAATAAGGTAAAATTCATCTGAGAAAGACACACTTCCAGTTCTTCTAATCTTCATTTTTCAAAAGGTCAGAGGTTAAGCGTTTCTATAAGAATTCAGTAGGTGACAGGTGTTTAACCGAGGCATCGATTTACCATCTGTCTATTTGGAAACAGGAGCCGTCTTTTCTTGATTCCTGAGAGGGCAGAGCAGGTGCCCAGGATGGCCCTTATTTCTCCTTTCCTCTTCTGTGGGAGTCATCTTTAAATGGAAGCTTCTGCTCATGGAAGCATCACTTAGCAAATGTGACATTCTACCTATCACCCATGTAGTGGAGGAAAACCCATTGAAAAGCATCATTTCTGTTTGCTGTGGTATACTTGGCTCAGTGCTCAGGCCAGTCAGGTTCTACCAGGCACTGTTTTCTTTGGACATTTGATAACTCTCTGTGAGGAATCTCTAAGAACAGTTTCTCAAAGTAAACCAAGAACACCAGAGTTGAACAGTGAAGTCCAGGGTCCTCCCTTGGGGCATGCTCACCTGGACAATGCCTTCCTGTGTTGGGCTCGTCGGGGTGCTGGGGCTGCTGAGGTGTGTTGATGCCTGTTGATTTCTAGAGCAGGAAGGTGACATTAGACTGGAAGAGGCAGACACTTAAGGTACAATATGGAGGAATTAAGGAAATACCAGGTTTTGGGAAGACACTGCTAATAATTTATTTTTGAGATGATCTGGCACTGTCACCTAGGCTGGAGTACAATGGCACAATCATGGCTCACTGCAGCCTCCACTTCCTGGGCTTAAATGATTCTCCCACTTCAGCCTTCCAAGTAGCTGGGACTACAGGTACACAACACCACACCTAGCTAATTTTTTTATTTTTTGTAGAAACAGGGTCTCGCTGTGTTGCCTAGGCTGGTCTTGAACTCCTGGGCTCAAGTGATCCCTCCACCTCGACCTCCCAAAGTTCTGGGATTACAGGTGTGAGCCACCGCACCCAGCTTGCCAATAATTTTTAACACTGACACAGAAGAATGTCAGAGCCTGTGGTGACTGCAGATGGGAAGACATGATTCTGGGGGGTGGTGGGCTGGGAGGAAGCTTTGAAGACAAGACAGATGGGAGCAGAGAAACTCTGTCCTGGGGAGGCCAGGGGCTTGAAGATTAGCCATAAACATACAGGATAGCAAGCTGTTCCTCCAAATTCCAACTTTGTATTTTGGGTATTTTTTTTTAAACAAAACCACACAATTCTGCATCAGGTTCCCTTTTTCTCTCTCCTTTGTGAATAAATTTCTTTCTCAAGTATCTTGTTGTTGGCCACTGAATCTAAAGGCACCATTCCAAAGATGCATCTGCTGCTCCTGACCATTCAGGGTGGGTGCAGTTCCCCAAACCCAGGATCATCTCCTTGACTCCCCCACTTCTCTCTCTCTCCTAAGGTGAATCCGCCATACTACATCCCGCTGGTTGAGCTGGTCCCCCACCCGGAGACGGCCCCTACGACAGTGGACAGAACCCACGCCCTGATGAAGAAGATTGGACAGTGCCCCATGCGAGTCCAGAAGGAGGTGGCCGGCTTCGTTCTGAACCGCCTGCAATATGCAATCATCAGCGAGGCCTGGCGGCTAGTGGAGGTGTGTGTGCCCGTCCTCTCTCCCTCCCTCCCTTCCTTTCTCCCTCCTTCTTCCCTCCCTCTCAAAGTTGAGCAGGACAGTGAAAGTTGTTCCTTGGGCAGCCTGGAAGCTGGGAAAGTCAGAGGCTGCTTGCTTCTTCTTGCTCTATTCTGGAGACCAAGGGCCAGCTTTAGAACCAAAATAAAATGCAGCGATTCACTGTCTGCCTGAGAGGTTCTTCTTACAGTCACCTGATACCAGGACACGATGACAGGCTTCTCTCCTTCCTGCCCTTTCATAGCATTAGACATAATAACCTATGTGGCCCACTGCATTTTCCCACAGAGGCAGCTTTTACCCCTCAGTGTTATAATTTTTCAAAAGGAAAAAAATTATATTTTGTGTAAACTTCTGTCTCCTGAAGGAACCTAATTGTTTCAAGAGCTTGAGGAAGAAGTGATGAATAGACTTGTTAGAGTAAATGCTTGTCTTACCTATAAAGAGGAAATGATATGTAAATATATTTAACATCATCCTCTAATGAAAGGATTTTACATGGAGGTGAAGAAATGGCCTGGCTGCACGCATTCTCGTGTACATTTGCATGAGGGGCCGTGGTGCCTGGAGGAGATAGGTCAGCTGGACCCCAGGACGAGGCGGAGAAGTCTCGGGATCTGGGAGTGGAACTGTCCGGCCTCCCTTATGGCACTTGCCCAGCTTCTGCAGGGGGAAGGCAAGACTCTGCCCACGCCTGTGTTGCAAAAACATTGTGGAAGGCTCAAGGGCCGGAAGTACCCAGCTGCACCGCGTAGGGAGGACGCTGCTCGGGCTCGAGTCATCTGCACCTGGCTCCACAGTTCCTTGTTTGGACTCGCATGGACACACACCGAGCCTTGCCTGAGATGGCAACCAGGAAGCTGACTGTGCCCCAGCTTCCTTGAGTGTTGCATTTCAATTTCCCAGCAGTTCTTCCAAACCAGGCAGGTGTGCATCACAGATGTGGCCTCCCGCGGCCTGCTTCTCTTGTTGGGCCAAATCCCCGTTAGGTACATTGTCTGACTGGACTGCCGGGTGCATTTGCCACGCGGTTGCCTCGATTCTGTGTCTTGATGTCTAAATCCACTTAAGGCTCCTGTATTTTCAAGAAACAGTGCTCGGGTTTCCACTGTTAGGGCGGCGGTTTGAATTTCTTAGTAATTTCTTGAATATCAGTCAGTGTCAAGGTATTTTTAAAGAAACACGGATCTATCAGAACCTTTTTGGAGATTTATTTAAAATATTTCCATTTGTCTAGAAAAGGGGAACAACTTTAGACTCCTTGCCCATGTTCACTTGTTGAATTAAACCTTGTGGGGTTTTACAGGCAATCTCAGCTTTTTATTTGTAAGATATTTTAGCGCCCTGAGTAAACTCTTGCTTTCTCCAATATGAAAGGTGTGAGCCCACTCAAGGAAGGGTTTGGGATTCTGGTGTAAGGGGATCGGGTGGGAGGTGTACACAAAGAACTCTCCATTGCAAGAGCCATGGAGGACTCTGGTGTTTCCTTTTGCTGCTGGAGGAGGGCAGGCGGAGGGGTGAGTTGGGCTGCTCTGGTAGTTCTGCTGACTCACGATGTCCACCCTGCTTTTGGTTGTCCCTCTTCATGGGTCATGGCAGCCTGAGTGACATTGTGTTACTGGCTAGCGGGAACATTCTTACTCCTGGCTTTCTGTGGTGACATACCTCCTGAGAAAGTGAAGCCTGCATATGTCTCTGTGTTGGCTGCTGTGGGACTCAGATGCCTGGAGTCCCTGTAAGGAACTGAGTGCCAAAATCTAGCAGGATACAGTTTGTGACAGAACAGGAAGAGGTCAAGAGAAATGGGAAATTAAGAAAATGTGAGTAAAACCCAAAGAATTACCTTGGTGAAAGTCTAGAAGATAATTTGTTTCTAAAAATAAGGATTATCTACAGGTAGTGGGGCCCAAGGCAGCTCTAGAAACTTCAGGTCCTCTCCTGGCAGGGGTGGGGTGGGAATGGCACTACCAGGCACCCCGAGCCCCACAGCGATGACTTCCAGGGTATGAGGGGCTTTAGTTATGGGGCAGGGCTGGCAGAGAGGGAGCATGGAGGAGTTCGGGGAGGAGGAGGGGGCTTGTCGTGGTGCTGACCTTGACCATCACCGCTCAGTGGCAGCACCTCCGTTGGCCAGCTACTTCAGGAGCAAGGTCACAACCAGCGTGCCAGCATTCCAGTAGCAGGTTGAAGTTTGACCCTTGCTTGGCATGTTAATTGGGTAGAGCCAGGATGCTTTCAGGGTAAGAGAGGGGCCAGGTGACTTGGTTCAGGGCGCTAGGGGAGCCTGCTGGAACTGGAGCACTGGCACACTGGTCATGACCTTGTTCGTGAAGTAGCCGCTGACATGCACACCTGAGCATCCACTTGGATGCCCTGTATTCCATAAGACTCTGGGGCTGCGCGGCAGAACCGTGCCTCGTCTCAGTGTGGCCCTAGAGAAATCTTGCCTACCGTGATTGTGCTGGCTACAGTGTGCCTCCCACCTAGCAGACAGTGGTGTACCTGACACTGTTCTGGTGGGTTGGTTTAAGGATTCTTGATTTTATTGCAGGAAAATCTATGCTGCTGTGGCCGGTTTCCATGCCAGATACTGCAAGTCAGCAAAAGTGAACAAACCTCTCCAGGGCCTCACCTCCCCGTCTTGCAAATCCGTATAGTTGCTCCAAACCACAGTTGAACACAGGGTGCAATGACACCCCTTTGACTCACAACTTCCAAGCCAGATGAACTTGAATTTGCATTTTGGAGTCTTTCAATAGTTGAGCTTAGATTTGGTGTTTTCCAAGTTTGCCTCAAAACTTTCAAGAGCAACTTTTAATAGAAAAGGAGCAGAATTGGGGAAGTTTTACAGAAGAGGCTAAGTAGGCTTGTGCATGTTTTAAGTTGAAAAGCTCCAAAGGCCTTGCAGAGCTTCTCCTCAGTGAGGCCTGGTGTGGGTTCCATGTGTGGCCGGAGTGCCTGGCTCCTGAGCCTTGACTGTAGTGAATGGAATGAGCATTGGTCGGGGGGCAACTAGGACTCACTGCTCCTCTAGGACTCACTGGTGTGGGCGCTTCTGTTTCAGGATCCTCTGGGCTCATAAAGCAAGTTGAAGTTTGACAGCCTTTTCTGTTTGACCCTTGGCTTGGCATGTTAATGGATTAGAGCTGGATGCTCCTACCAGGGTAGGAGAGGTGCCAGGTGACTTGGTTCAGGGCGCTGAGGGAGCCTGCTGGAAATGAGCTGTGTGCCTGTGTCCAGGCGTGTGGGTACTGGGTCAGCAGGTCAGGGAGGAATGCCGTTCCCTGCCACCCCTGCCATCTGCAGGTGAGGCAGCTCTGCACAAATCATATGAAAGTATGAATTTCCAGGGGTCTGACCTCCAATTTGAGGTAGGAGCTAGAGCAGGATGGAAGGACGGCTTGCATTTCCACCCGTGACAGTGTCTTGCTGCTGATGTCAGCTGCGTTGCCACTCACTAAGTGGTGATAACAAGGGATCCCATGGATTGACTTTTGCATGTTCAACCAGCCTCACATACTCGGAATAATCCTACTTGGGATTGCTGGATTCAACCTGGTTATGCTTTGTTGTGAATTTTTTTTTGCATCTAAATTCATAGGACATATTTGTCTGTGGATTTCTTTTTTTGTATTATCTTTATTTGATTTTGGTATCAAGGACGTACAGGTGGAGAAGCCCAATGCTTGGGACCAGAAATATTTCAGATTTTGGATGTTTGCAGATTTTGGAATATTATATACTTACTGTTTTAGCATCCCTAATCCGAAAATCTGAGATCTGGAACGCTCCAGTGACCATTTCCTTTGAGTGTCATGTTGGCGCTAGAAAAGTTTCAGATTTTGGAGCACTTTGGGGTTCAGATTTTCAGATTAGGGATACTCAGCCTGTTCTAGCTGCATACAATGAATTGGGAAGTTCTTCCTCCTATTTTCTGGAAGAGATTGTGTGTACTTTTTGTTAATTCATTTTTAGATATTTGGTAGAATTTTCCAGTGAAACCATCCGGGCCAGGGTGGGGTTCCTTTCTGGGAGCTTTCTAACGATGAATTTAATTTCTTTAATGGTTATGGAACCATTTGGATTGTCTGTTTCATCTTGATTGAGTTTTGATGGTTCGTCGTTTCTGAGAAATTGGTCCATTTCTTCTAAGTCGTTGAACTTAAGAGCATAAAGTTCTCGGTAGTCCTCCTTTTTATTCTTTCAATGGCTGCAGGGTCTGTAGTGATATCCCTGGTTTCCTTCCTGAAATTGGTGATTGGTGTTCTCTTTCTGTCTTTGTTCTCTTGCTAGAGGTTTATCAATTTTATTGATTTTTTTTTTTTTGAGGAGCAACTTTTTGTCTCATTGATTTTTTTTTCCTTTTATTTTCCCGTTTTCAGTCTCACTCACTCACTCTGGGACCATATTTTTACACCTGCAGCCGAGCATTAAAGAGACATTCTAAGAAAGGGGCGGGGGTGGCAGGGAGGCTCCCTCACTGTGGGGGTTTGTGGAGGGGAGCCACGCTGCCAGTGCCATTTCTAGGTCAGAAAGAGAAAGCACTGGGAATGACAAGCATTTTCTTTTCTTGTCTTTGTGGCATCCTGGGCTATGAGACGCTCCCCTGTCATCACCCATTCTCTCTCTGTTCCCTTGCAGCTCTGTAAGCCCTTAGACCTTCGTGGGGTAGAATGGACACCCGGATAGCCAAGGGAGTGAAGGAGCCAGGTCTATTGTGCCATCTCACAGATGTTCACTCCGTTTTGTTTCTCTTCCAGTTGGCTTCAGTTTTGGGATGAAGCAGCCCTGTGGTCTTGGAAATGCCAGATGGACATGTCTGGCCACAATCTACTGACACTTACTTCCCCTGCCGGAGGCGTGCTCCCTGGGTCACGTGATCTTATTGGCTGGGATGTCATTTCAAGTCTACATTTTTAAGGCATTAGCATAATGAAGGACATTGTGTTGTGACAATAGACTTTTGGCTGGACAGTAGCTAAGTTTGTTGCCTGTAAATTCTTTCCCATGAGGGCAGGGTATGTGGAGGTGCCTGGGAATGAATCTGCAACCCTCGGCAGGTTCTCAGCCTGCTGGTGTGAGTTGGTGGTGATGAGCTTCGGAAATTGCTGACCTTGGGTTCTGCCTGTCCTTCGGAATGATGTCATCCCTGTGCTGGACTGCTGTCCTTAGGGCCTGGGCCGCAGAGATTGAGTTCTTGGTCTCTTGATTTGTCAGGGTGGGTGTGGTCTGGGGCATCTGGATGGGGCCCTGAGATTCCAGAACTTCATCGTTGAGCTTTACTTCAGACATGTCTGCCAACTGTTAGGAGACATTGTTTTAGTTAATGAAGTGTATCTCAAAGATCATGTAGTAAAATTGACAGATGAGGCTTTTTTGTGGCAAACTTATTCAAAGGTTTCTGTTGAATATCATTTGTATGCACATACCACGTCCCTGGCTCTGTATGTGTCTCTGTGTGTCTCTATGTGTGTCTCTTGTTTCTGACTCCTTCTCTCTGACCGCAAGCTCACAATAGATACACATGCAGCTCTAACCAGCTTCTGCTTAGTTGGAGATTCTCATGTGGTCACTATAGCTGTGATTCACAGTCCTAGTTTTAAGACACTGAATACCTCTGGTTATACCAAAAGATGTAAAAATTGATTTTAAAAAAGTAGCTGGGCAGGTGGCACACGTCTACAGTCCCAGCTACCGAGGAAGCTGAGGCAGGGGGATTGCTTGAGCCCAGGAGTCCAAGACCAGCCTGGGTAACATAGTGAGACCCTCTTTTTTTTTTTTTTTAAATAAAGATAGACAGTTCACTTTTAATTAAAAACAAACATATTAGAATGAATGAACAATAGGTTGTAACTGCACAGAGGATGAGAATCGCTCTTGCAAATCAAAAGCTCACCCAGCCAGACCTGCCCCGCTTGGGCCTGCTGGAGAGTGACGCCCCAGGGGATCTCCCTTGTCATCCTGCTTGCATGCTTAGCCTCAGCCACCCGCCTCCAGCCATTTGATTTCCTGAGCAGGGATGCAAATTGTGATGAGGTTTTCCTTTTAGGAGGTTTTCCCTTTAGGAGTCATGAGCCTGTGTGGGCAGAAGCAGGTCCCTCAGGAGGGACACCCAGAAACAGCACTCCCGTATAGCTGATTGTAGCTGAATGCCTGTGCTTGGGTGTATCCTGCCTGCCGACTGTACAGTGGGGCCTCTGTGTACTGGGGCCTGATCTCATGCTGTCAGCCAGGTTTGCGCATAATCCACTGCATTATGAACTGTTATGCTGAAATTAGAATGTAAATTAGAAGCTCCTTGGCAGACTGGGAGGTTACACAAAGGGGAGCCAAGGGCATGAACATGTTCTAGGGGGAAGATGGCCTAAAATGTTTAAATTTGCTGCTGTAACTACCGCTTACATTTCTCTCACATGTGCTATGTTCACTTGGAGGTGAATGGTCCTTTGATTTCTTCTCTCCTCTTATCAACCAACATTCATATGGGTCTAGTTCTCCACCTCTGCATGAATACCCAGGAAGGTGCCATCTCACATATTTCATTTTCTGAGCAGGAAGCCATCTCAGCAAGCTGCCTGCGTGGCCTGTCCTTTTCTGGCAGTCCGGTGAGGCTCTGCCGTTTCACTAATATCATTGTCAACGTGAGCAGGTGCCCTGAGACCCTATAACAGAGCAAGGCAGGCTCACTGACGGTTATTCAGATGTCGACTCTGGAAGAGAATCAGCACAAAGCGGGCACTCCAAGGAGGAGCAGAACTGGGCTCCATCATCGTTTCACAGGCTTTGAGGTCAAGGACAGGAACAGCAGTCTTGTGGCTGGAAGCAGCAGAGCTTGACAAGAGGAAGCCTGTGCGGAGCCACCGCCAACAGGAGACGGGGTCCTGCTGGCAGCTTTTCTGGGGAAGGACGGCGTTGGAAGTGAATTGCTGTGGTTTGCTTCAGACTGTGGTGCACCTGGAATGTGTCCGGGGGAAAATGTTGAGGCTTGAGTAAAATAGCACAGCGCAGACATTGGCAACATCTGTGTGGTCTTGGCACGAAGTCACATAGAGCGATGGGCCCAGTGTGTAGGGAAGTTGGGGGAGCCAGGAAACAGCCAAGTCTGGCCTCCGCACCATGCCTCAGCTGGAGGGGTTCTACATCTTACCTACTTGAAAACTGAACCCTAAGAGTTTAGGATTTTTTTTTAAGACACAACATTTGAAGCATCTGAGTGAATCGCTGATGGGGCTTCCAGAGCTCCGTGTATCTCAGCGCTGCCTTTTCTTCCTGTTGCTCTGAGGCTCACATCACCCCAGAAAGGATGTGTTCTCCCTCTGCCGGCTTTGCCCTGGGCTAGGCCTGTGCGGGCTCTGCAGGGGGTTGGGGGAATCTTTCCCCTGCTTCTCCTACCAGGCTTCTTCTGTGACCGGTTCAGTCTCTGTCTCCTCTGACAGCATCTGTCCAAAGCCCCAGGTGCCGCTTAGAGCTGATCCCTCGGGCACCCCAGGATGCTGTGCCTTTCTTTCCTCTCTCACATGGCCTGGGCCATTGTCCCTTCGCTCAGCTGGCCTCTGTCTTCTGCGCCTTCTGAAGTCTGGGTGGTCAGTGTGTCTGTGGGAGTAAGTGCCTTACCAGAGGGTACTGGAGAGCTCTCTTGGCTCTGACTATTCCAGCTCCTAGTCCCTGGGAGGTTTGCTGAAGACCATCCTAGCTCCACTGTGCCTGTCCTCTTCCTCAGCTCCTTTCCAACAGAGTCCACATGCTGCTTCTCAGTCCAGCCACTCAGCAGCACCTCTGTTGGGACTGCAGGGTCGTTAGAGCGGATACATCACCCACGTTGCTAGGACCAGCCTCCTGGTTAATTGAGACCTGTGTTTTTGTTGGCTTCAAATGCAGAGAGCTCTGTAAGAATGATCTTCTGCCAGAAGCAATGAGAGAGGTGATATTTTTCATCTACAGGGAAGTACTGAAAGATTATTTTGAGGAGCCCTAGAACTATATCAGAGCCCATTCCCGGCCGGGCGTGGTGGCTCACACCTGTAATCCCAGCACTTTCGGAATCCAAGGCAGGGGAATCACGAGGTCAGGAGTTCGAGACCAGTCTGGCCAACAAGGTGAAACCCCGTCTCTATTAAAAATACAGAAATTAGCCAGGTGTGGTGCTGTGCACCTGTAGTCCCAGCTACTTGGGAGGCTGAGGCAGGAGAATCACTTGAACCTGGGAGACAGAGGTTGCAGTGAGCCAAGATCACACCACTGCACTCCAGCCTGGGTGACAGAGCAAGACTCTGTCTCAAAAAAAAAAAAAAAAAAGAACCCACACCCCCACACCCATGAATCAGTGAGTACTCAGTGTCCACCGAGAGAGCCTCCAGTCAAATAGAGAGTAGAGTCTGGCCTTCCTCAACAAAACACTAGCAAACTGGATTCAATAGCACATTAAAATGATCCTATATTTAATAACATAATCAAGGGGAATTCATCACAGGGTGCAGAGATACTTTACCATAGGCAAATCTATAAATGTGATATGTCATGTTAACAGAATACAGGACAACCATATGATCATCTCAACAGATGCAGAAAAAGCACACGACAACATTCAGCATCATTTTATAATAAAACTCTCTTCAAATTAGATATAGAAGAAGTGTTCCTCAACACGATAAAGGTCATACGTGACACACCCACAGCAAATATACTCAATGGTGAAAAGTTGAAGGCTTTTCTTCTAAGATTAGGAACAAGACAAGGGTGCCTACTCTCACCACTTCTATCCAACGTAGTATGGAAGTCCTAGCCATAGCAATTAGGCAAGAGAAAGAAATAAAAGGTATTCAAATTGGAAATGAAGTTAAATTGTCACTGTTTGCTGGCAACATGATCTCATATATAGAAAACCCTAAAATTCTGTTGGAACTGATAAATAAATTCAGTAAAGTTGCAGGATACAAAGTCAACATACAAAGGTCGGTAGCATTTCTATACACTAACAAGGAACTACGTGAAAAAGAAATCAAGAAAACAATTCCATTTACAATAGCTGCCCCCAAAATGCTTAGAAATACATTTAATCAAGAAAGTGAAATATCTGTACACTGACAACTATAATTACACTGATGAAAAAACTGAAGAAGACACAAATAAATGGAAGGACATTCTGTGTTCATGGATTGGAATGATTAATATTGTTAAAATGTCCATACTGCCCAAGGTGATCTACAGATTCAGTGCAATCCCTATCAAACTTCCAGTGGCATTTTTCACAGAGTAGCGTGGCCCTTTGTTTGGAAAGACTGTAGATACCACTCGAGATGGGTTAGGATGCACATGACAAACTGTTGGAATGTGGGGCTCTTCCAAAAGGAGAGCAGGAGTGCAAGACTTTTCCAGAAAGGCTGGTGGCTTTGGCAGAGAAATGGCATCTAAGCATATTTGTAAAGCTTTCTCCTCCTCTATGTTAGAGTCAGAAGCTGCATGCCACCCGTGTGCAGAGCCAAGTCCAGCTCAGCTTTCCCACAGGTTTGCTTACACTTGCTGGGCGACCCCAGCCTGGCTGGAGGTGCAAGGGAGCACGTTTGTACCTTGTAATGATTTCTCTCTAGAGTAGTGCAGATGTTCGCAGGGATAATGTCAACTGCCACAGCAACTGGAATTCTATCTGCAAACTTTTATTTGCTGTGTTGGAATCATTAGTTAATTAGGACTTTTTTTTTTTTTTTTGGAAATGGAATTTCACTCTGTGGCCCAGGTTGGAGTGCAATGGCGTGATCTCGGCTCATGGCAATCTCCATCTCCCAGGTTCAAAGGCTTCTCCTGCCTCAGCCTCCCAAGTGGGTGGGACTACAGGCGCATGCCACCATGCCTGGCTAATTTTTTGTATTTTTAGTAGAGATGGGGTTTCTCCATGTTGGCCAAGCTGGTCTTGAACTCCTGACCTCAAATGATCGGCCTGCCTTGGCCTCCCAAAGTGCTAGGATTACAGGTGTGAGCCACCGCGCCTGGCCTTAATTAGGATTTTTTTTCTAGCAGCAATTTTCCATAAGAAGTAGACTATTTTTATACCATTATTTATTATTTTGTGGGTGGCCATTTTCTGAGTAGTCATATTGGTGAGCAACAAAACCCTATTGAAAAGAGAGATACTGCTGATTTATGAATTTAGAGATACCTGTATCCCCATTAATAAGCAAATAAATAACATCAACCACATACTCATTAAAAATCCCCAAAATGCTGCAAAGCTTCTATGTTAGTATTCTAACTCTAAAAATAAATAAATAAATAAATAAATAAATGAAAATGCTGTTACTATAACACCTTCTAGCAATCATTACCAATAGGTGCTTGAGCAGTGAATATAAATGATGGATTTCAGCTCCCTCAGTTTGAAGTTGGGAAGTTAACAGGCCAGGGGTAAGGGTCCCCAGAAGTAGAGGATGGGGGTAAGGAGCCCCCAAGAGAAAAGGCAAAGAGAAGAGAGGTGGGAGGTGACAAATGACACTGCATCCCTCTTCCCTTGTGGGAGCCAGCCTTTGTGCCTTCCATCAGCTGCAGGTAGAAGCCAGGTGAGAGGCCACTGGAGCCCTATGGGCCATCAAGGCAGGAAGCATCTCTGGGTAAAGATGTGGGGAGTAGGCAGATATGGGGCTTGTGCTCCATGGCTGTTTTTGGAGTCAGGGCTTACACTCTTTGGTTCAAAACTTATTGTAGTAAACTGTATTCCCAGAGGACCCCTCAATTAAAGTATCACTACCCTCATAGAATGGAAGTGAATGTATTCACATTCATACACAATGATGGATTCTTTTTGCTGTTGTATTTGTTGTAAAAGTCGAGGCTTTCCCTTTCTTTCAAACTCTATAATACTGTTGTTTTTCCCCCTAAAAGCATCATTATACACACAGTGTTCTAAGAAAAAGTGCACCAGGGAATTAGCACTGGGGCCTGAAGTACTCTGGAATGTCCCTTTTATTAGGGCAAAGTCTTTCCTCTCTTTCCTTTCCATTTTTTTTTTTGTTTGTTTGTTTCTATTTAAAAGCTCTATTTTAGGCTGGGCGCAGTGGCTCACGCCTGTAATCCCAGGATTTTGGGAGGCCAAGGCGGACGGATCATGAGGTCAGGAGATCGAGACCATCCTGGCTAACACAATGAAATCCTGTTTCTACTAAAAATACAAAAAATTAGCCAGGCGTGGTGGCGGGCCTGTAGTCCCAGCTATTTGGGAGGCTGAGGCAGGAGAATCGCTTGAACCCAGGAGGCGGAGGTCGCAGTGAGTTGCGATCACGCCACTGCACTCCAGCCTGGGCGACAGAGTGAGACTCTGTCTCAAAACACACACACACACACACACACACACACACACACACACACACACACACAACCTCTATTTTAAAGAAAAGTCAAAGGGAAAAACTCCACCTGTGTTTGCTCTACCCTAAGTCAATTGCTTTCATTTTCCTTTGTTCCTGTCTAGTCTCTATTATGAACATGCTACTCAAGTTTTTATTCATTCTTAATGGCTTTATGATATTTCATTTAGCTGGTCTTTTTTTTTTTTCTTTTAAATCCAATCTTTCCCTTACTGCGGGATGTTTTAAGGTCAGGCCTCAGTGAGCCTCTATGCACATATGGTTTCTTCTTCTGGAGTCTTTTCTGGAATAATTCTGGGAGTGGGCTCAGCCTGCGGGAGAGTAACATTTTTATAACTTGATAGATGTAGCTGAGATGCCTCCCAGAGGGGAGACCCGCCTCTCCTCCGGCAGCTGTGCACGTAGGCTTGTTCCCAGCAGCCTGGCCAGGGTGGTCCACCTGGTGTTTCTCATCTTCTTTCCCCGGAGCGCTGACTCCTGCGCGTCCTCTTGGAAGACTCTTGACAGGACGGGTGTTTTATGGGTGTGATTCAGTGTCCTCTTGCATCAGTTCAATGTGGTGGTGTTCAATCAACCCTTGTAGCGTTAGCAAAATTTGCTCAAGTCATTCCGCAGGAATGTCTGTGTCTTGCTTCCAAGAAAGCTTGTAAGTGCCGGCAACAGGCCAAGCAGCTCACAAACCTGACCACAAGCCTGTGAGTAATTGTGGGGCAGCACTTAGCAGTCTTTTATTTTCGACTTATTAAAGTCTCATCTTGGCCTCACCTTCTCCCTGGAAGGTGGCGTGGGTGGGAACCACTGGGTCAGATCTTTTTCACCCTTGCCGTGGAGCCAGTTTCCTGTTGCATGTGGGGGAAGCAACATGTGGTGAAGAGTATAGAAAACGAAAACATGTGGGTACAGTATGTATAAGTGGAGGGAACAAACTCATAATTCCAACTAGTTTCTCATGAGAGACTCATGAATCATTGTGGTAGTTCTCAATATAAACTTAATCTAGGCCGGATGTGGTGGCTCACACCTGTAATCTCAGCACTCTGGGTGGATCACTTGAGGTCAGGAGTTTGAGACCAGTCTGACCAACATGGAGAAACCCCATCGCTACTAAAAATACAAAATTATCCAGATGTGGTGGCTCACACCTGTAATCCCAGCACTTTGGGAGGCTGAGGCGGGTGGATCACTTGAGGTCAGGAGTTTGAGACCAGCCTGACCAACATGGAGAAACTGTGTCTCTACTAAAAATACAAAATTAGCTGGGCGTGGTGACGCATGCCTGTAATCCCAGCTATTTGGAGGCCGAAGCAGGAGAATCGCTTGAACCTGGGAGGCAGAGGTTGCAGTGAGCCGAGATCCTGCCATTGCACTCCAGCCTGGACAACAAGAGCAAAACTCCATTTCAAAATAATAATAATAATAATAAACTTAATCTCTAACTCTGTTACTCCCTGTAGCATTTGCAAGGACCCTAGGGCTGGATGTTTCTCAGAGGGATAGTCTAGTACCCTAGCTCATGCTCGAGTTACTTCTGTGCAAGTGACTGTTCTTGTCTGGGTCTGTCCTTGAACATCTCTGGAGATGAGAAAATCACCGAGATTTAACTTTGTTCCATCCTTTCTTTCACTAGAGATTGAGATGGACGTGCTGGTGTAATCCTTTCTTCTTGGCCGCTGCCCTGGGGTGATCCACACAAGCCCAGTGCTTTCTTCATGTCGCCCTCGTAGGGCTGAAGGTGGCAGAGTACTCTACTTCTCGCTGTTGCGTTTCTTTATTTGACACTCACCTAAGATAAAACCTTTTGTGACTCCTGACTCTTAATTTTTCTCCTGTTTCTCAGTTGACAGTGGACTTATGCCCAAACTCTAGCTGAGGAGTGGAAGAACTTGAATAGAACCTCATCCAAATTCCTGGGTAGCAAGTCTGTGTTCCTGCTGGTGATAGTAGTAGTAAAGTTATTGTAGTGTTTGCACAAGAAAAATGTGAAAATTCAGGACCAAGTTTGGGGGAAAAGTAGAGCAAAACAAAATAGAAGATCAAAAGCTGGGAATTAGTAAAAAAGAAGTGGATGAGGAAGAATGGTATGAAGAAAAATGAGAAAAGCAAATGAAAATGAGGCCATGCAAAAAATACATGAATCAGAAAATTAAATCTAGGAATGGGATGATTATAGAGAAGGAAAGATGGTTCGGTGTAGCTGGTGATCAGTAGAGGAGATAGTCACGGAGGAGGATTTATCCATCAAATATCGTGTGCCTCCACCACACAAGTTTCTCTCCTGCCTTCCTCTTCTTCTGGGACTGTCCGAAGGACCAGAGTAAGTACCACAGCATCTGTTAACCCTTTGCTATTGTTAATTGTTAGATGTGTCTTGCTTCCTCTTCTCCCCATCCCCACCCCACAAACAAACAGAAGTGCTTGATCCAAGATCCCTGAGGGTATCTGTCCCCTGAGAGGGTCAGCTCGGCCAGGCTAGAGCGTCCAGTCACTCAGTCAAACTCAGTCTAGATGTTGCTGGGAAGGTATTTGGTACATAGTTGACTTTAAGTAAATGAGATTATTCTCCATAGTCTGGGTGGGCTAAATCCAGTCCATTGAAAGGCCTTGCAAGCAGAACTGAGATCTCCCTGAGGAAGGAGAAATTCCACCTGCAGACTGTGGGGTAGTTCCTGCCTGGAGTTGCCGGCCTGCCCTCCTGATGGCCTGTCCATGGCTTTCTGACTTGCCAGGCCCACAGTCACATGAGCCAATTCCTTGAAATAAATCTCTTGATGTATGTGTGTATGTGTGTGAATCTTACTGGCTTTGTCTGGTAGAACCCTGAGTGATACATCCCTAAACCTTTCATTCGACTTAACATTTGTTTCATAGCAGTTGGGTACGTTATTAACTATCTTGCATTTTCTCCTACTTCACGGATGTCTTGTGGCTCCTCTCAGCCTGGGCATTTTCTCCTACCAAATCAGGTGCAAAATATGTGCCCCAGCTATGCATGTGTTACTCCACTGTGGAAAAATCTCAGGTTTTAACTAAGGAAGCAGAAGCAAGGAGTTTTTCAATAAAAGGGGTTCCTTAACACTGTCTGGGATCTCTTTGCCCAATGATTTTCAGGACGCGAAACCATGTTTTGAACTAACAGTGATTGTAGTATTCATTGCTTTGTATGATTTTTAAATAATCTTTTCTTTGTATGTGTGACTTGAGAATTTTACCTTAAAATGGAGTAAGTACTGATTGCTAAACTGATCAATGTTAACAGAACCACAGAAGGGCTGGACTCAGGTAGGGTTCCCATCTCCGCACAGCTGTGTTGCCCGTCACCTATTATAAGGAATCGCTTGTCAGTTCCCTGTTTCAACACAAGCACTTGTTTCTGCCTGTCATGCTGCTGCGATTATTTATCAATGACAAATGATTATTTGTCATTGTTATGATAATATTAGGCCACAGATGTCACAAGGCTTTGGGTGGAATTAAGCTCAGTGGCAAAATTAAGCAACCTGAGCTTCAAAACATCCTAAATGGAAAAGCTTTAGTTCAGCACCAAGTGCAGCAGGGAGAAACTCAAACGTTTGCCTTGGGGACATGATATCCTAGTTGTGGAGCTTCTCAACTGAATGCCTTGTGGTCCTTTTCTTTCTCTATATTTAGCTTCTTGGTAAAAACTCAAGCTTTGAGAAATCCATTTCAGAAATTCAAATGGGCAGAAAGAAGCAGTGAGGAAGGGAAAGTATCAAAACGTTTTTCCCTTTCTAACTTGTTCTACTGGTGAATAGTGACTGATGGAAGACCCACAGCCCTCCTCTAGATGAAATCAGGCAGAACTGAGAACATGGGAGTTGGAGGGAATGTGGTTCCTCCCAGGTCATGGGGCAGCATGGAGAACCCTTCTCAGGCGTTAGTTAGGGGCTGTTAGCTCAGATGATACAAACCAAAAAGGACCTACTCTTGAGTGGCTCACCTTTTTTCTATTTTGCAATCCTAAAAATGATTTTTTAAAAATCAGCTCTAAAAATACTAAATACGATTCTAAAAGAGCCAAGCCAAATAACACTGCAAGTATAGGGTGGCTTCCATGTTTGCATACTTCCCAGTTTGAATACTAAAATGAAAACTTGGGGCTGTTTGGAATGTTGGCCTGGAAAGCAAGGGTGAGGGAGCGACTGCAGGCCGCCTGGCTGCCTTTCACAGCATTCCAGAGCCCACGGGGGTGCGAGGGGCCACAGCCCAGGCCTTCCAGCAGCCTGGAGAGAGGGCAGGGAGCCACCCTTCCTGCCTCCAGACCTCCTGCCAGGGAGAGGAGGCGACAATGCCTGTGTTCCACACGGGATTCTTGACGGTTCCGGGAGTTTCTGTGGGCCTTAGGTAGATATCCCCCAGCCCCCGTGATGCCCCGACCCGTTACAGCTTCGCTATTGGGAGTGAAAGGAGGCGACCCTCCTCAGCATTGCAGTGACTTGCACAGACTGATTCACTCTCCTTAGCAGTCAGTGAACATGTGGTAGGGTGATTTAGAACTCGAAGGAAACCTGGTGAGATACCATTTCACCCTACCAGATTAGCGAAACTTTGCAAGGGTGAGGACACCAAGCGTGGCGAGGCTGAGGCGCGACGGGACCTCTTCTACACAATTCTGGAGGCCGGGGCGCCGCAGTGACGGGGAGAAGGATGCTCTGGGCCCCAGCCGCGGCCCGGGCCCTGTGCGCGTGACCCTGGCTGCCCTGCTCACAGGAGCCCCAGACTAGCCAAAGGCTCATGGCCGCAGGGTGGATGACTAAACTCATATCTCTGCATCAAGGAGATGGACACATGACGCAGGTGAATCTGAGAAACAGGATGGTGAGAGACAAGTCACGAAAGAACGCGCGCTCAGTGATTCCACTTACAGGAAGATTAGAAATGGGCCAGCAGCAAACGCTGCAGCTGAGGAATGTGAACACGGGCGGCCAGTCTGAAAAGCGGGAAAGCCGCAATTGCAGGAGTCAGGGTGCGGGCCTCTAGAAGCGGGCGGAGTCTGCGGCAGGCGAGGCCAAGCGTTTGCTTTGTAATTCTCCTGGAAACGTGGACTGTGGCTTGTTCAGCCTCGATATGCTTGTGTCCCGTGTGCGCAAACAAAACGAAACGCAAAGTGGCTCTCTAAAAGGGAGTCGCGGGTCACAGTGAGTGGCCCTGGCCCTCGCCCTCGCCGGTGGTGGCGTGGCTGTGGCCGTCCTGGCTCCTGGGCCAGGCCGCCTGCTCCCGCTTCACCGCCGCGCTCTCTGCAGACGCAGGGCGGTGTCCAAGCCAGCACACGGACCTGAGGCACCTGGCTGTCGCCCGCCGCAGCCGGTTGCGGGGCACGGCGGGGGTTTCGAACCCCTTTTCTCGCTTCTCGGGGGACCCCTGGGGCTGCCCTGGAGGCCCAGGAACCTCGAGGCCAGGCCCAGGCGCCCCAGGCTCGCAGCAGGGCAGAGGGTGCCTCCCTGCAGGCCGCTGTGCCAGGGTCCCCGCAGAGCCCTCCGGGCGGAGCAAGCCCCCAGCTTGGAGACGGCCTTCTGGGCAAAGACAGGCTCTACCCGCAAGCCTGGGAGGGACTGGGGCCGGGTGCGGGCGAGGGGAGGTGCCCCGGGGTAGGGAAACCGGGCTCAGCCGAGGGCAGGCGGGCCCGCCCAGGCCGCGATGGGAAGGGCGCGACGCATCGTCCACGGTCGGGCTCTCGCAGGCGGGCCAGCGCTACTGCCTCAGTCCTACAGAGCTCTGGTGAAAGACAGCGCTCAGATGAGACCTGGGGCGGCGGATTCCGCGGGAGTGCTGCCTGTCTGAGCCGTGAAGGCGTAGGGGAAAAGGTGGCGGCTTCCCTCCGTCCGCCCTCCTGACAGTGGAAATGCCCAAGGGGGAGGCATCCTCTGACGGGAGGGACCTCAGTGGAGCGCAGCTCTTGCAGATCATTATCTGCGCTTGCCTGCCTCCATCCCAAAGCCACGTGAGGCCAAGGAACACAGGTGGCTGATCAGACGTCTAACCTTAATACATAACAACTTGCCTCTTGCTTTGCAATTTACATTGCAGAAGATTCCAGGGCCCCACCTTAGCAAACAAACCCATGGTTCTAAGCTGCATTTCATCAAAGAATATCACTTTTTACGAACTCATTAAAAGCTGAACAAGGCCGGACTTGCAGGCATGTGAAGCCTGGAGAGCACCTTCCCACGTCTTTTGATGGCTCTAATCTTACTCCCCCCTGGGTCCTAGGCAGAAATCTAGAAAATCCTTCATGTCCTTTTACTACGATGCCCCGTCCTCACGCTCCCCTTGTCGTCAGCTTCTCTCACTCCCTGCAGCTGCAGGCGGTCCGTAGGTTGTAGGGTGAGCTAAGGAGGCAGGGAGGTCAAGAGGAATTGATTTCAACCCCTAGTAGATTGCAGGGATGGAAAAGGTGAATTTGTGTTTGACCATTTCACACACACACACACACACACAAAAAATCTCTTTTTAGTGTATACATATGTGTGTGTGTGTGTGTGTGTGTATTTTTTTAATTTTTATTTATTTATTTATTTTGAAACAGAGTCTTGCTCTGATGCCCAGGCTGGAGTGCAGTGGCATGATCTCAGCTCACTGCAACTTCTGCCTCCTGGGTTCAAGTGATTCTCGTGCCTCAGCCTCCTGAGTAGCTGGGACTAGAGGCATGCACCACCATGCCCGGCGAATTTTTTGTATTTTTAGTAGAGACAGGGTTTCACCATGTTGGCCAGGCTGGTCTCGAACTCCTGACCTCAGGTGATCCCCCACCTCAGCCTCCGAAAGTGCTGGGATTACAGGTGTGAGCCACCACGCCAAGCCATTTATAACATATGATAATATTATAGTTTTGTCATGCAAAATTCAATCAAAACACTATCATAGGTTGAACATCCCTAATCTGAAAATCCAAAATCCAAAATGCTCCAAAATCCAAAACTTTTTGAGCACTGAAATGAGATAGTGATACCTTTGCTTTTCTGATGGTTTTGTGTACACAAACTATTTCATGCACAAAATTATTGAAAATATTATATAAAATTACTTTCAGGCTAGGTGTATATGAAACAGAAATAGATTTTGTGTTTAGTCTCAGCTCCCATCCCCAAAATATCTCATTATGCATATGCTAATATTCCAAAATCTAAAAAATATCAGCCATCCAAAACATGTCTGGTCATAAGCATATTCGGTAAGTGGTACTCACCCTGTATAGTGCTTTGGAGAAGATTTTGGGATCCTGCTCTAAAGAAGTTAGGATGGAAGTGGTGGTCATGAAATTGTCTTTTTACAAAACTCATCTATGCCGCCCAATTTCTCCACGTAGGAAGGAATCGTGTCTCCTAGTGACCTGGACCTTGTCATGTCAGAAGGGTTGGGCATGCGGTATGCATTCATTGGACCCCTGGAAACCATGCATCTCAATGCAGAAGGTATGCATCTGGGGCCAGGATGGGAATTCCATTCTATTTAGTGTTGTCATGGGTTTTGTAAACAGTCACATTTTGCCTTTTCTTACAACTGAATAGAGACAGTATATAGGAGATGATGGCCAGCCCTGGTGATTCACAGACAAGGCAGGGATTCGAAACGCTGTGTACTGAGATGTAAATCCATGTGGAGTGCATGCACCTCAGGGCTCCGTGTGGTGCATTGTGCTCAGGTGAGAGCTCAAAGGAAGAGAGGTTGGTGATGTCACAGAAACTTCGCAGCATGTCACCCAGCCTGGCAGAAGGGAAAGTGGTAGTTTCCTGAGGAAGATGATGACATTATTTACAGAGGCAAGACGAAAAGATAGGGGACTGACTTAACCCACAGGGACCTCTGCTGGATATCTCTTCTGCCCAAATATGAGCAAGGTTTTCTTCTAGAAGGCTAGGGAGCCTATAGTGAGGGAGGGCTTCCACAGGCTGGGAGCTGAGGAGGGGCATATGGGTGGGGCAGACCAGACATTGGCCAGACGCTGCCTCCAGAAGGCTTGGGGGGAATTAGGTCTGAGCCCATTATCTGTGATCTGGTAACTCTAAAGGAAAGACGACTTGGGAAGGACAAGAAACTTCCAAGAATGAAACTCTGTCAACCAGATTTTAATTGATCCAAAAAGAAAATGTCATTTGATAACCAATAAAACCTATAGCAAATTAAAACAAAGTAAAATTTTAAAACTATGTATAAAATCTGGAGAGAGATGTAACCTAGATGTTATTATTGCCAGCTATCTCTTGGTACTGAGATTATAAGTAACTTTTAGTATCTTTTTGCTTGTCTGTGTTATAAATTTCTACAATTACTATAGATTAATAACATTACTAACTTAGAAAACATATAGAAAGAGAAAAGAAATATTGTATGCAGCTCCATGGCCTGCATTTAACAAAGGATACTGAGAAGCTGGGGCTTATCCAGAAAAAAGTGACCAGAGTCTCTCGTATGTCTCTCGGTCTGTATGTTTTGTGGGGGCGGAAGTGGAGTGAAAGACTGGAAATGGCAAGCAGACAGACAGGTTTGGGCTCAGTACATGGCAGGAAGAACTTCCTAGTAACAGGAGCTGATGTCCAGGAAAGGCCCATGCTTTAAGTGGGTAAGCTGAAAAGGGGATGTGGTTGCCTGCCTGTGGGAGGTTTAGATGTTGAGAGGAAACTCCCTCTGCGAGAGGGGAGGTTGAGAGTTGGTGACCTCTCTCAGTCTGTTTGACTTCAGTTCTATAATTTCAGTATTACATTTTGGTAATAGTTCAGTCAATTTTCACAGTAGTTAATGAAATATGCTGTCCAATGAATAATTCAAGGAAGCTTTACTAGACATGTTCCTGCATACAGCAGGTGCACAGATGATTTCTGAAGTGGATGGGCCGTGTGTTCTCTGCTTCAGTCCTTATCAGAATCAAGCTAAGAAGAGCTAAGAGGAGTGAAGGGAAGAGGGGAATCTGCTCCAGCACGTGTGTGTTAGTTTTATGGGAAGATAACCACTGAATAGAAGAAGATAATGTAGAGAAAGATGGCCTCATGCAGTGAAACAAGAGTTTTCTTGTATTATTAACACAAAGTCTTAGATCATTTCAAATGGTGTTTTCAACCAGAACCTCAAAACTTGTGAGCATATTTAAGCATTTGAAATGTATATAGATTTGTATATATACTTAAGCATTTGAAATGTATAGAAATTTATACATTTGAAATGTATACAGACGCTGCCTGATAACCACTGTGTTTTTCTTTCTCCCTTTTTTTTCTTGAGAAAAATAAGATAATTGAGGAATCATAAGAAATAGATAGGGACAGAACTGAGAACAGCTTTGACTTTCAAACAAATAGAAACAGAAGCCAATGAAACCAGAAACTCAAGAATCAAATAGAGTGGCAGACAGGAAGGAGGCCCATAACAATTTTTCAAACAAAGCAGATACGATAAGAAAACCTAATTGGCTTCATATGATAATGGTGGACGGATGTAGTTTTCAACTTCAGAGCATTCCAAAGACCAGAGTTGGAGAGTTATAAGATCTGGCTGGGAACCCATAGAAATGTTTATCATTCTTCCCTGTGTCACCCAGAATATATCAAGATTGGAGTTGGGAGAATTTTTCTTCTTTTCTGATACTGTTTTCATAAAGCCAGCATCTCAGGTTAAGGGTAGTTATTAGCCTGAAAAGCTACCATTTATCTAGAACTAGTGCAAATATTTTAGGATTTATTTTTAATCTAATGAAATAGTTTCTGAGAAACAGGAGGCCAGCGTGCCATTGCCTTTTGGCTCCTTTTACAAACAACACCCCTGAAAGACGGGCCCTCAGAATGGTGGTTCTGGCCTGTGGAGCCAGCCGGCCGGCTCCTTACCCTGGCTTTCCAGCCTACTGGCTGTATAACCTTGGGCAAATGACTTAAGTTCACTGCATCTCAGTTTCCCCATCTGTGAAATGGGGACAACAGTAACTGCTTCCTCAGGGTGGTGTGAGAATTGAACCAGATGGAAGCTCTTAGCTGGATTGCTGGCACCTGTTAAGTCCTTAATATATGTTATATTCAAACAGAGCTTTGTCTTGTTTCTTTCACGTACTACTTTTCTAGTTTTTTTCGTTGTTGTTTTATTTTTGGTTTTTAAAATTCTTCCAAAAAGATTCACAAGTGCAGAGAGAGGAATAAATACAGATTAGGATTTTATTTATTTATTTATTTATTATTATTATACTGTAAGTTTTAGGGTACATGTGCACAATGTGCAGGTTAGTTACATATGTATACATGTGCCATGCTGGTGCGCTGCACCCACTAACTCGTCATCTAGCATTAGGTATATCTCCCAATGCTATCCCTCCCCCCTCCCCCCACCCCACTACAGTCCCCAGAGTGTGATGTTCCCCTTCCTGTGTTCATGTGTTCTCATTGTTCAATTCCCACCTATGAGTGAGAATATGCGGTGTTGGGTTTTTTTGTTCTTGCGATAGTTTACTGAGAATGATGATTTCCAATTTCATCCATGTCCTTACAGAGGACATGAACTCATCATTTTTATGGCTGCATAGTATTCCATGGTGTATATGTGCCACATTTTCTTAATCCAGTCTATCATTGTTGGACATTTGGGTTGGTTCCAAGTCTTTGCTATTGTGAATAATGCCGCTATAAACATACGTGTGCATGTATCTTTATAGCAGCATGATTTATAGTCCTTTGGGTATATACCCAGTAATGGGATGGCTGGGTCAAATGGTATTTCTAGTTCTAGATCCCTGAGGAATCGCCACACAGACTTCCACAATGGTTGAACTAGTTTACAGTCCCACCAACAGTGTAAAAGTGTTCCTATTTCTCCACATCCTCTCCGGCACCTATTGTTTCTTGACTTTTTAATGATTGCCATTCTAACTGGTGTGAGATGGTATCTCATTGTGGTTTTGATTTGCATTTCTCTGATGGCCAGTGATGGTGAGCATTTTTTCATGTGTTTTTTGGCTGCATAAATGTCTTCTTTTGAGAAGTGTCTGTTCATGTCCTTCGCCCACTTTTTGATGGGGTTGTTTGCTTTTTTCTTGTAAATTTGTTTGAGTTCATTGTAGATTCTGGATATTAGCCCTTTGTCAGATGAGTAGGTTGTGAAAATTTTCTCCCATTTTGTAGGTTGCCTGTTCACTCTGATGGTAGTTTCTTTTGCTGTGCAGAAGCTCTTGAGTTTAATTAGATCCCATTTGTCAATTTTGGCTTTTGTTGCCATTGCTTTTGGTGTTTTAGACATGAAGTCCTTGCCCATGCCTATGTCCTGAATGGTAATGCCTAGGTTTTCTTCTAGGGTTTTTATGGTTTTAGGTTTAAAGTCTTTAATGGTTTATGTTAAAGTCTTTTATGGTTTAAGTCTTTAATCCATCTTGAATTGATTTTTGTATAAGGTGTAAGGAAGGGATCCAGTTTCAGCTTTCTACCTATGGCTAGCCAGTTTTCCCAGCACCATTTATTAAATAGGGAATCCGTTCCCCATTGCTTGTTTTTCTCAGGTTTGTCAAAGATCAGATAGTTGTAGATATGCAGCATTATTTCTGAGGGCTCTGTTCTGTTCCATTGATCTATATCTCTGTTTTGGTACCAGTACCATGCTGTTTTGGTTACTGTAGCCTTGTAGTATAGCTTGAAGTCAGGTAGTGTGATGCCTCCAGCTTTGTTCTTTTGGCTTAGGACTGACTTGGTGATGCGGGCTCTGTTTTGGTTCCATATGAACTTTAAAGTAGTTTTTTCCAATTCTGTGAAGAAAGTCATTGGTAGCTTGATGGGGATGGCATTGAATCTGTAAATTACCTTGGGCAGTGTGGCCATTTTCATGATATTGATTCTTCCTACCCATGAGCATGGAATGCTCTTCCATTTGTTTGTATCCTCTTTTATTTCCTTGAGCAGTGGTTTGTAGTTCTCCTTGAAGAGGTCCTTCACATCCCTTGTAAGTTGGATTCCTAGGTATTTTATTCTCTTTGAAGCAATTGTGAATGGGAGTTCACTCATGATTTGGCTCTCTGTTTGTCTGTTGTTGGTGTATAAGAATGCAGGCCAAAATCTCCTTAAGCTGATAAGCAACTTCAGCAAAGTCTCAGGATACAAAATCAATGTACAAAAATCACAAGATTAGGATTTTTGCTATGGCATGGAGAAGCCTCTGGAACCAGGTACCTAGAGTTTCCCAGCCGGGTTTGTTTCTTTGCTAAGCTTTAGACTCGCAGGTCAGTAGAGAGAGAAACCGCTCAGCCTTGTCCCTGGGGCTGTTTGGGTTCCTCCTGCATTTTGTTCCACTTGAAATGAGGACATCTCAGAATCTGGCAGCGTGGAAATCGCCTCCAGGGGAAGTGGATGTTTATTTACCATTTTGCCTCACAGATTTCCTCTCCTGTGTAGACACTTGCCTTTTTCAAAACTGAGATGCCTGGTGGCTGGTGGGTTTGGTTGATTGATGGGAAGCAATTATTTGCCAGCCAGTGGAAGCAGGTGAGCTGATGGGCGGGGACTTGCTGAGGTGAGGTGAGGGGCCCGGGTCGGTTCTGCCTCCCCTACCCTGGGCAAGTCCTCACTCAGGTGGGAATTTGATCCTGAGAGTAGGAATGAGATAATGTCGCTCTGTGCTTTGAGGCATTTTTGATCTTCCTTAATGAGTTCTGTGAAACCCTGTCTCTAAAAAGCAGGTGAATTCATACAGGTGTGGGTTCATAGCTGCGTGAAAGAAAACCGGACTTCCCATGTATGGGTGGCAATTAAGGCTCTCCAAGGAGCTGATGCCTGGAATCCCTCCTAGTGGCTGTGGCCTCGGGCTGGGGTTAAGGCCTCCTCTGGTGCCTGCTGCATACATGGGAACAGAAAGGATTCCTGCCTGTGCACCTGGGGCATTCAAACCCACTGTCCCTCAGAGGCCCACAGCCCAAGGCTCGCAAGTTAGAAAGCAGCAAGTTAAGCTACATCCAATCTCATGAGAATCAATTCTTTTTTCTACTCTTTGTCTTTTTCTGGATAAGCATCTCTTAAGAAATTAGGTTCAGAATCTTCTAAAAAGCCAAGCTCTACAAGGGTTTTGGAAGAATTAGAACTCAAAGGGACAGAGGGCATGGAAGCACAGAAGAAAAAATACAGGGGAGGCTGGATTAGATAGAAATAGTGGGGAAGGGCAGACCAGGGGATCAAAAGTGAAGTGGGCTGTGTTGTATTTTTCCTATTTCCAAAGAAATTGGCATTTTAGAGTAATTTACACCCAATTCTCCTCTCGTGGTGTAGAGAAGCCAAAATAATTGTTGAAAATAAATTACACCTCCCTAAAATGGAAGGGGAGGAGTTGCAAATAACAGTCACAGTCATAAGTTTACTGGGACATGGTTGTAAATAATCAGGCAGATGCAGGTCGTGAGTCTAAGTCACTGAGAACTCCTGCCCTTGGAGCACCCGGAGGCTGCACCCATCTCATGGTGAGCACGTGGTGTGGGCGCCTAAACTTCATCACAGACAGTGAGGCTCTTCATCCCAAGAGCATGTTACAGAAAGTTTTTATATCAGTAAGATTGACATTTTAAAGGGTTTCCTGAATAAAAATGGGGAAAATTATGAATTGCACTATTATGAATTCCAGCATGATAAGTTTTAAAGGGACATTTATTTCTACAAAACAGAATAAAACAGAATAAAAGTTTTGTAGAAATAAATGTCCCTTTAAAACGTTACAAAGGCAGAAAGGAAAGAAAGTTCTAGAAAGCTCCTGGGAGGTTCAAATGGTTTCACAGAACAGGGAGAGATGAACACTTGCTCAGAGAATGTGACATGTTCCAGAGAGCAAGTGCTGCGTGAACTGAACCCCTGGCCTGTGGCTGCTCTGGTAGGAGAGGGAGATGGAACTGGCTGCTGAGGGGTCTCGTGAGGGCGCCTGCCTGCCTGCAAGTGGGGGGATATGCAGCCACAGCAGCTCTTTCCATTTTCTTCTAATTTAATGTATTTTCAACTTGATTCTTGTGTCTCTGCCCTCCCCCACCCCAAAAGGAAGGAATAAACTGTATTTGTGTCTAGATTTTGTCTCCTTTAGTTTTAATAAATAAGCAACTAGCAAAAGTGAAGTAAATAATTTCCCAAATGAAATAAATGTGTAGGTTGTTTTCTGTTCTCCAGAAATGCTAAGCCATCTACAGTACGTATCCAGTGCTGGAAAGCTCAGGAGACTTCCAGAATTCTGCACTGCCAAATTAACACTTAGGTTAAATGAGATGACACCCCTTCTTTTATAAACAGAGTACCCATCCGTTAATTTCAGATGCTAATGTCAGAAAAGTTGGTATGTTTGAGTCTTTTACCCTTCAAAACCATTTTGGGGGAAATTTTAACACACTGAGAGAGAAGAACTATTTGAAGCAAATAAATTGCAACCCAATGATTTTAGGCTTTCAAATCAGCATAGGTCAATCAAAACTAAACCCCAAAGATGATGTTTGTTTATTTTTTGCTTTTTGAGCGTATCTAGTACCGATGGTTCGTATTTTAACTTAATCATCCACGGTTTTTGTGGGGAGTGGGAAGCTGAGCTGGGGCAGGCTCTGCACGTTCTGCAGCTTCGTTTGTCCCCATGTTACCTTTGTAGGCGGACTGACCAGCTGCTGAGCCTTTAAGGGTTTGAAAGATGTGGGAAATGAGTCAGGGTCGCAGCAGTAGCCCAGCCTATGTCCTCCATGGCGCCCAGGACTAGAAACGCCTCCTCCTCCTCTTCCAGGATCCCGGCCCTGGCTTCTGACTTGACTTGCTAAGCACAGGCCGGCACCAGCCCGTTCGCCTCCCGGCAGCAGGGAGGGGAGGAATGTGAGGGAGAGTAAGTCTGCGGGGCCCAGCGGGTCGGGGCAGGCCAGTGCTGGGTGGGGGCCGTGACTGGCCTGCGCTTTCCCCTGGGCGCACCCCATTCTCGCACAGTCAGCCTAGCCCGTGCGGCTCCCTCCCTCTCCCTCCAGGATAAGCCTCTTCCTGCATCTCTTCACCAAAGTCCCAGGGCCCTCTCCTTAGAATCTGAGAAATCATGGCTCTCCAAGGCTGGGGAGCAGCAGGAGCGTGGGGAGCGTGCATGGGGGCTTGTGCAGATGAGCGCCTGGCTCCATCCACCCAAACCAGCAAGGTACAAGCCAACGTGAGCTCTCCAACCGGTGTTTCAAGTACCTGCAGCCTTGACCGTACCCAATACAGTGCTAACTGAGATCTGTGGTCTAACAGTGACATAAGTGACAGGTTTACCTGAGATCTGACATTTTTAATTCTTGGAAAATGCATTCAAACGTTGTACACAAATAACCTTGTACACCCATGGTTGGAGGAAACACTTGGTGACATTAGGACTTACTGTGATAGCCAACAAATCAGTGTGTGAACGCAGGCCAACCGGAGGGTCCCATGAGATGCACCAGCAGAGGTGGCATGCAAGGTCTGAGGGACCTGGCACTTTTTTTTTTTTTTTGAGACGGAGTCTCGCTCTGTTGCCCAGGCCGGAGTACAGTGGCGCGATCTCAGCCCACTGCAACCTCTGCCTCCCGGGTTCAAGCGATTCTTCTGCCTCAGCCTCCTGAGTAGCTGAGATTACAGGCACCTGCCACGCCACCTGACTGATTTTTGGTATTTTTAGTAGAGACGGGGTTTCACCATGTTGGCTAGGCTGCTCTTGAACTCTCAACCTCAGGTGATCTACCCGCCTTGGCCTCCCAAAGTGCTGGGATTACAGGCATGAGCTACCGGGCCCAGCCAGGACCAGCACTTTTTGGCATTCGAACCCCCAGGAGCCAGCGTGGACAGTGCGTAATGGGGAGGGTCGCTTCTCCAGTGCCAGCAGGCCCTTACACATGCCCCAGCTCTGTCTTGTCTTCACAGGGAGGGAAGAGTGTAGCTTATCTGACCCCAGGGTGAAACTCTCTGAATGCATTTCTGAGTTTGAATATAACTAAGAATGTTTTTTTCTGAGATTGTGGATTCTTGTCTTCATACAATTCCAGGTATGTTAAGCTACTGCGACAGATACAGCGAAGGCATAAAACATGTCCTACAGACTTTTGGACCCATTCCAGAGTTTTCCAGGGCCACTGCTGAGAAGGTTAACCAGGTATGTAACTTCTCTGCAACTCACTGCAGAGAAGCATGTTGGCTACCTGGAGCACTTGCTGCCCCTCACCTCTGCAGCGGGTGGGCCTGCCTCTGCAGCTGGAATCTTTACCCTTGATCTTGGTGGTTCCTCATTCATAACTTTGTTCATACTTCCATCGTGTCACCAGGACACCTTAAGGACAGGGTGACCAGTGAACTGGTAGCTCATTGTGACTTGTCTCTGAGGGACTGAGGTCTTTCAAGATTTGGAAAGCTGCTGTTCATTGAGGGTTTATTGCTTTTGTCTTTGAAAGCAGTTTCTGCACAGTTTGCATAAACAAGAGCAATAATTACACTCTTGATAAATTATTTCCTCTTTATTGTCCTTTTTTTTCCTTCTCCTTCTTGCAGGACATGTGCATGAAGGTCCCTGATGACCCGGAGCACTTAGCTGCCAGGAGGCAGTGGAGGGACGAGTGCCTCATGAGACTCGCCAAGTTGAAGAGTCAAGTGCAGCCCCAGTGAATTTCTTGTAATGCAGCTTCCACTCCTCTCATTGGAGGCCCTATTTGGGAACACTGCAAGCCCTTAATCAGCCCTCTGTGACATAGGTAGCAGCCCACGGAGATCCTAAGCTGGCTGTCTTGTGTGCAGCCTGAGTGGGGTGGTGCAGGCCGGTAGTCTGCCCGTCACTTTGGATCATAGCCCTGGGCCTGGCGGCACAGCAGCACTTGCGTTCTCGGGGCTGTCGATTTCCTGCCACCTGGGCAGATAACCTGGAGATTTTCACCTTTTCTTTTCAGCTTGATTGCATTTGACTATATTTTACAGCCAGTGATTGTAGTTTCATGTTAATATGTGGCAAAATATTTTTGTAATTATTTTCTAATCCCTTTCTGAGTACTCTGGGGCCCTGCATTTATGAGGCACCTACCTTCATTTTGCTAACGCTTATTCTGAATAAAAGTTTTTGATTCCTTAAAGACATCTTTTCTCTTTTGGTTTTTTATGAGAAACACAGCATTTGATCCTGATGACCGGCATATTTTAGGGTGACCATGACGCATAAGTCATAAGCAGATACTTTTTTCCAGGCCCTTTGTCCATCACTCAGCAGAAATCCAGAAATGTGGGCTTTTCCCAGAGTAGGTTCCATGGTACCCTGAGGCTCTATGGTCAGATGATGTTTGGGAAACATCACTGACTGCCCAGCCCTTAGACACCCCATGTCTGTAGCAAATTAAAGGCACCAAAGTTCTACACTAAAGTACCTGTTTGATCCAACACTCAATTATTGTCTTTGATGTGGTCTTTTCCTAGATCTAGTCCCAAAACACTCTGGGAGTACCATTACATGCCCCACCACCCACAAGGCCATGCACACCACAGTGGCCAGATGCCACCAGTGGGCTCCCCTGACACTTCCCAGCCTTGCAGCTTCTGGTGCCCAGCTTCGTCCAGCAGGGAGCTGCCTTTCCTTGGGGCCAGGGCTGTGGAGGTGTTGGATGCAGTGCCCCGGTCAGGAGCCGTGTGGAAGTGGTCATCGTGGCTAACCTGTGCTCACAGACTTCTGCATCACACTCATTTATTCTCACAGCATGCACTGAGTGGCTGTGATGTGCCAGGCGTCCCACAGGTGGCCCCTGCCCTTCAGAAGGTCACCATAAAAGAACATAAATTGAGAATAAAACAGGACTGGTGCTCCAGAGGAATCCAACACAGGAGAGCCTGGCCAGCTGCCTGCCCCATGTGCCCTGGAAGGTCTTGAGGAGGTGGCCAACCTGAGGGGGCTGGGGTAACAGGTGGAGTCAGCCAGCCCTTCTGGGAGAAGGAGAGCATAGGGAAGGGCTGGAGTGCTCTGGAAATGAGGAGCTGCCCACCCTGACCAAAAAGGAGCCCTGGAGGGGACCCTGAGTGGAGCCAGGTAGGGAAGAATCCAGGGGCTGTGCCAATGGCTGGGCCTTCACCTAGAGCCAAGCGTTCCTCAGGCAAGGAGTTGCCCCAATCAGGTCAGGCTCTCAGAAAGCTCATCCCACAGCAGAAGGGGCCAACCTGGAGGCAGAGAGTGTTGGGGTCCACGTGAGAGTGAGTTGGGCAGTGAACGCAGAAACCATCCCAGGTGGAACCCACAGTCCCCGCAGGACCCGAGAGAGGCGAGGAGGCTGGAGCTGATGTCACCCACGAGATAAAGAGATTAGGGGAGAGGCAGGAAATGTGAGTGCCCCGATATGCAAGCTTCACTGAAAAGGCGATGTGGCCAGACATGAAGGAGGCTTCAGCAGGAAAAGGATCCTTCCCTTCATCTGATTAAGTTTCAGAAATTCCTTAACTGGTGACTAAATCCCTCAGCCCTCACACCCTGTGACCTACTGACAGAGTTCCTTTCCGTCAGGTCTGCGCTCCTCCCTGAAGCCTCCAGCTTTGGCTGCTTTCCTTCTGCACACTCCCAGGTCTTGGCCCTGTCACTGCGCTGTCCCCTGTGCCTGCAGGACTCCCCTGATGAGCCCGCCAAGGCCATCTGCAGTTCCCAGGCCCAGATGTGGGGTCGCTGAAACGAGGGGGTCGTGGGGTGCAGGTGGCCCCACTCATGGCCTGCTGGGCTCATGGTATCCCTGAGCCACGCATTCCAAGAGGAGCGGCCACAGCAGCCCTGGGCAGCACTGGCGCCAGCATGCAGGGCGGAACTGTGCATGGCTTGGAGGTACATCGCTTCATATAAGTTCTATTTTCCCACTTTTGCTGTCAGGTATTTTGTGCGGATATCAGGCATGTTTTGGCAGAAGGAAGCAGACAGAAGTGCTTCATGATTTTGCTTGAAGCAGGCACAGTGTGCAATGAGGAGTGATCGGCTGTGGGAGTGCCCAGAGGGTCTCACGTAAGGGCTGAGAAAGTCAGGCTCTTCAGGCTTGAGAACAGCAGCGAGCTCATCGGTGGTTCTGGGCCCAGCTTCAGGAAGACAGTTATGGGAACAGCTGGATAGAGTCAGGAATTGGCCCAACACAGAGCTGAAGGGAGAGTGGGGTATGTGAGCCTAACCTCACACAAAACCCAAGCAACAGGCCCTTCAGAGATAAGTGGGAGGGCTTCAAAGCAATCAGCTGTGGCTTATGGGGGCCTTTCTGCTTTTCAGTTTGCCGTCCCTGGGGTCTGGCTACCAAAGCGCTTGGTTGCTTTATGAGTTTAGTGGCTGTATAATTTCATGTGCCAGTTTTCCCATAAATATCCTCTTTCCAGGATCCCATCCAGGAGCTCACATTGCATGTCATTGTTCCATCACCCAGTCTCCTCTGGTCTGTGCCCATTTCTCAGCCTTACCTTGCTTTTTAGGACCTTGACATTCTGAAAGAGCCCCAGCCAGGTGTCCTGTAGAAGAGCCCCAGTCTGGGTTTATCTGATGTTTTTGCTGTGATTAGACTTGAATTAGATCTTGGAAAGAAGACCCCAGGGGTGACACGCTCTCCTTGTCATGTCATATGGAGGGTGCACAATACCAGTGTGACATGACTAGGATGTTGGCCTTCCTCGCATGAACTTGCTGGGTTCATCCACTCTGAGCTACTACTAAAAAATAGGAAGTTAATCAGAAGGACCAGCCGAGTGAGATATTGTCCTGACTGGTTTCTGAGTCATTTTCTCAGAACTGCGAAACTATAATCTCCATCCACATTAACGCTCAATGTGGCATAGTGCACACACAGTTCCCTTCCTGCTAGTCTTGGAGTCCAGATGTCTTCTCTCCCTGAACGGCAGCATGGACTCATGTGCGTGGCATCCACATGACTGCTCTGTTGTGCCTGCTCAGCTCGAGAGGCTGGCAGTGGGGTCCCCACAATTTATGTCTGGTTCCTACTTGGTTTGCAGGCCTGGAAACTATCTTGCTAGGGCATAAATTGGAAGGGGATTTTTCTCATGCTCATCCAACTAGCAAGACTGCCAGAAAAACCAGAATGCCAGTTTTATTAACTTTCCATGGATTCATCTAACATACATTTATTGAGCATCTACTGTGTGCCAGGCTCTATTCAAAGCATTGAGGATACAGCAATGAATGAAACAGGCCAAAAAAATACTTTCCCTCATGGAGCTTATATGGTAGTTCTGGTGGGGGAAAACAAAACATATGCCTATCAAGAGGCAAAGTATAGAATATATCAGAAGGGTGTTCATTAAGTGGATAGAAAATGGAGCAGGAGAGAGTGACAGGGTGTACAGGTGGGGTGTGTCTGCACATGTGTGTACAATTCTAAAGAAGTAATCAAGGAGGATGATAATAAGATAACATTTGTGCAGAGACCCACAGGAGTGAGCAATGAGACCATGGGGAGCTGTAGGGAAGAGTGCTGCAGGGAGAGAAAACAGAAGGGCAGAGGCCCTGAGGCCAGGCTGAAGGGGTGCATCCAAGGGGCAGTTGGATGGTCCATATGGCTGAGTGGCAGGAGGCAGCAATGAAGGAGGTGGCGGGGGACAGACCAAGATGGGGATGGTGGGCCCCGAAGGCTGACAGGAGGATTGGCTCATACTCTGTGAGGTGGGAGGCCAGAGGAGCAGCGCCATCTCACTCAGTTTCTCAAAGCCCTTTCTGGCTTGGGTGGAAAAAGGACTGTCCGGAGGCTGGGGTGGAAGCAGGGAGTCCAGGCTTTCTTGCCACTGTCTTGGTCAGGGATGGCAGCAGAGGTCTGGAGGAGGGTGTGGCAAGGAGGAGGGGAGCAGCAGCCAGATTCTGGAGCTGTCTTGGAGGTAAAGCCAACAGGATGGGCAGACAGCATGTTGGGGATGAGAGAAAGGTAAACGTCAAGGACAACTCTTCTGTGGATGGAGGGAGAATTGCCGTTTCCTGGGATGAAGAAGATGGGTAGGCAGGAGAGTAGGACCCAACCATGACCAGGAAGTTGCTTGGTAGCCTGGTGGTTGAGCAGGGGCGTGGTGGGCACTGCTGAGCCATGACAGCCTAGGGGAGGGAGCGTGTGGTTCTGTGGGAAGAAGCTTGGCCCTGCATGGTGACGGGGAGGAACATAAGACCAGTGCCTAGGCTCCCTCCACACTCTGTTGTCACCATTTTGTCTTCAAAGAGGTGAATACTGCTGATTTTGCCACAGTTCCCTTATTCAATATATGTGTTTAGAGCAAGGACTATGTAGGCGTCTGAGGCTACGGAATTGTGTCGACCTTGACCATGACAAGTTCACAGTCTGGTGGGGAAGATGCATACATGAAGAGAAAAGCATAATTTAAAGCTGCAAGTGCAACCACAGAGCCATGCACAGGGTGTCCTAGGAGCACCCGGGAATGGCCCTGGGCTGAGCCTGGTGGGTGACAAGGGCTGTCAGGGGGTGTTTCCTAAAGTAGGTGATGTCTCAGTTGTCAATCCAAAAAGAGAGAGGAAAAGCCTAATAGAGGTGAATTCCTACAACCTAGAATAGCATCAGGTCCATAGAAGGTGCTAAAGAAATAATTGTTGAGGTCAGGCATGGTGGCTCACGCTTATAATCCCAGCACTTTGGGTGGCCAAGGCGGGTGGATCACCTGAGGCCAGGAGTTCGAGACCAGCCTGGCCAACATGGTGAAATCCCATCTCTACTAAAAGTACAAAAAAAATTAGCCGGGCATTGTTGCGGGCGCCTGTAATCCCAGCTACTTGGGAGGCTGAGGCAGGAGAATTGTTTGAACCTGGGAGGCAGAGTTAGCTGAGATCGCGCTGTTGCACTCCAGCCTGGGTGACAAGAATGAAACTCTGTCTCAAAAAAAGAAAAAGAAAAAGAAAAAAGAAATAATTGTTGAAAGAAAGAATGAAAGGGCATAGGAGGGAGGAGCTGCAGACGGCAGAAAAGCGCATTGTGATCGGGGTGGCCTGAACCTCCAGCCCTGGCCCCTTAAAGGCGACGCTCTTTGTGTGTGTCTGGAAGATGTCCCACCCCGCAGGGCTTGTGCAGCTGGCTCACCTTCATCCTGTGCTCATTTCATTTCATGTCGTCATGGTTTACCTTCATTATGGGCGTCACCCTGAGACCAACCTCACATCTAAGTGCAAAGGGCAACTGAAGCACTGATTAAACCCCCAAGCCATACAGCCGTCAAACATTTTCTAGTTCTGTTGGCTTCCTCCTAGCCTGGCTGACATCAGAGACGTTAGCACAGTCCACCAGGCAACTGAGAGGAGGATTACAGGCCCTTGGGTATCTGTCAACATGGCATTGTCTCTTCAGATCTTTCTCCATACCATTTTGCTTGTATTACTCTCTCGTTTATGTAGGCAAAAGCTAGAAATGTCTACAAACAGGTTACCAAATATCCTGTATGTAAATATGGCACAAAATATCATCATTGGTGAAGCTTCTACACATAGCAAAGGCATCTAGAGAAGACTAAGCCATCTTCACACAAGTGTCTCAGGCACAGAGTGGCAGTCTGAAAGCCTGATAAAGGGACTTGAGTCCAAGGACTCTGCGTTTGTCCTCTTTGCATCCCTGGTCCTGAGCCCCAGAGCTGTTCATAGCAGGTGCCCAGCAGGATCTAAGCGCAAGGCCATAGACACAGGTGGAGCTCCCAGTGAGCGGAGGGTGGTATCCCTTTGCCAGGCTGATGGGCGTGGGGAAACTGCCCACTTGTAGCACCTTGGAGGATGGGGCAGAATGGAGGGGGCTTCAAGCCCACACCTGAGTGTAGATCATGAGTGTGAAAGGTGTTTTCCTCAAGTGGTAAAGGCTGCTGACACTGGAGCTTTTTTTTTTTGAACGGAGTCTCTGTCATCCAGGCTGGAGTGCAATGGCACGATCTCGACTCACTGCAATCTCTGCCTCCCGGGTTCACGCCATTCTCCTGCCTCAGCCTCTCGAGTAGCTGGGACTACAGGCACCCACCACCATGCCCGGCTAATTTTTTTTGGTATTTTTAGTAGAGACGGGGTTTCACCGTGTTAGCCAGGATGGTCTCAATCTCCTGACCTCGTAATCCGCCCGCCTTGGCCTCCCAAAGTGTTGGGATTACAGGCACCAGCCACTACGCCCAGCCTGGAGCTTCTTACTGAAGGAGGAGATTGTGTACTAATCTCTCGGCACCTTGAAAATAGGTCAGTTTAGAAGAAAGAGGGCATTGGCCTGTCACATAAGGAGAGTCAGCCATTAGCTTACATATGAATATTTATGTGGAAAACACCTGGAAGAAAGCACACGGAAATGTGAAACCTGCTTATTTTGGGGCAATTCTGATTTTCTTCTTTATGGTTTTCTTTATTCTGTCACTATCACCATAAGCATATGTTATTTTTATATCAAACACCTTGATGCTTTTACATTGAGCTCTCTCTATCTGCTGTGGGGACGTCCGTGTGGCCATGTGCATGGAGATGACCTCTGGGCCCTCTGTCGACTGGTTTCATGTGTTTGACAGGCCCCAGCATTTGTAAGTTGTAAGTTGTCCAGTGGCCCAGTAGAGCCAGGCAGGTTGTACACCATTGAGAGCCCAAGCATCTTGACGCAAAGCAGATGCTGTCTCTGTACAGAGTTGTGCAGTCCCTCCCAAGATCTTTCTGCATGTCCACTAACTCAAAATTGCAATCACCATCTCATTGCCATCTACCACCACCACCACCATTACCATCACTATCACCACCACCATCACCATTCCCACCACCACCAATACTGTCATCACTACCACCACCACCACAACCACCATCACTACCACCACCAACACCACCATTATCATCACCATCACCACCATCAACACCCCTACTACCACCAATACCATCATCACTACAACCACCAACACCAACTTTACCATCACTATCACCACCAACATCACCACTACCACCACCAATACCATCATCACTACTACCATGATGGTAGTACTACTACCACCATCAACACCACCACTACCACCACCATTACCATCACCACCACCATCACCACTGTCACCATCACCACTGCCTACTCTTCAACAGTTACTGATCTACTGTCCAAAGTCCAGGGGATACTGTGTGAAACAATACTGATCAGAGGTAAGTGTCCATCAGAGAATGCAGCTGATGATGAGACAGTATGCAGCTGAATGTCTACTCCATGGTGGGTGGCTGGGAAAACCTCTGAGATGTGAATGACAAGGAGGATCTAGCCCTGTGTGGTTCTGGAAAGGAGTGATCCTGGAAGACAGTGTGTTTCGAGCCCAGGACCCGAAGTAGGAGCCTCACCCGGTGCAGGAAAAGCCAGAAGGCAGCATGGGCATTGGGGGGGGATGGACAGAGAGAAGGCTGGAGAGGGACCTGGGCTAGATCTTCTGGGACTTTGTAAGGTTAGGTCAGAATTTAAATGCAGAAGGAAGCCCCTGGAGTGGCATGATTTAATTGACTTGCATTTTGAAAAGATGACTGGCTGCTGTGTGGAGTCAGAGGTCAGCAAATTTTTCCCATAAAGGTCCAGATAGTGGAGCACGTTAGGCTTGTGGGCCATCCTGTGTCATGGAGTGTGTGTTGCAACAACTCAACACTGCCTTGTAGTCCAAAAGCAGCCATGGGTAACGTGTGTGAATCAGCGTGGCAGTGTCTGTTCCAATAAAACTTGTGTGTGGACAATGAAACCTGAAGTTCATACAATTTCCACATATCACCACGTGTTGTTCTTTTTATTTTTCCCCCAATCCTTTAAATGTAAGCCTATTCTTAGCTCAAGGATGTGCAAAGGTAGACGGCAGGTGGGTCCTGATCGCGGAAAGGACCGAGGGAGGCAGTCTGGGCACAGGGAGGGGGTCGGAGAGATCCAGGCTGTGGCTGGTGTGGACAGAAGGGAGCACAGAGGGTCCAGGAGTGAAGGTGGACGCAACAGAACTTATTGATGGTTCTGATGTGGGACGTGAGGGAAGGAGAGTGAAATGCCTCATGACACCTTCGTCATCCAAGTTGCAAGTCAGACCAGACCTGCGTGCCACCAATGATTCAGCATTTGGAGTGGGTGAAGGTTAAACTGCTGTCTTGAGCTTATGACAAAAAAGGGCTTCCGGCCTGTGAAAGGTGGATTGCCAAGGGCTGCCCCAGGGACACGTAGGGGCTAGCAGTGGTTGGAGAGTCTGACCCTCGGCTAAGGCACATCCTGCAACCTCAGCTCCAAGTGCACGGCTCAGGCCTTGTCACAAACTCTGATGCAAGGACACCTCTGAGAGAGCAGGGGGAGGAGCGCCCGTCATTCTACCAAGCAGACGAGATCTGTCCCCTTCAGGAGAGTGGGAAATGCGGTGTGGCCAAGAGGACACGCAGCATGCACACATGGCATGATGGTGTGCACACGATGACACCAGAGTGTGTATCTACACACGGCACGGTAGTATATACACAATGGCATGGATTGAAAATGAGTATCACACAACTCCCCCGTGAGTCGGCTGGCTCTTTGAGAAGCAACCAGGAGGCAGAGATGACCAGCTGAGGCTCTGGGCCAGACTGCCTTCGCTTGGGTTCTGGGGCAGCACATGCTAGCAGGTGGTCCTGGGCACATAGCCTAGCTCTGGGCCTCATTTCCTCTGATCCTAGCACCTCCTGGCGGGGTTTGAATGAGATGATGGAGAGCGTCGTTACTTCAGTGTCTGGCCGTGTGAACAGCCGCCGTGGACAGTGGATGAACCACAGTGAGAACGGCATGAGGCGGGAATGCCCGCGGAGGCGCAGGTGCTCACGCACCGCAGACACCTCCCTATGGCCTTTGAGTCCCTCTCAGCTAAGTAAACGATGCTGGAGAGTGCTCTTCCCAGGAAGGGTGCCACGAGGTCTCTGCACAGCGTCGCTGCCATAGAGGGCCCAACTCCGGACAAAGGGAATGGAACAGGAAGAGGAATTCTGACGGGGTCTTTCGCCTGCTGGGGCTGCTGCCCCACCGTGCAGTGCCACGCCCGGGAGGCTCAGCCCGCAGAGAACTGCTTCTCACGCCATGGGGCTGCGAGCCAGCGTCAGGGGCCGGCCGGGCTGCTCTCGGCTTGCAGGCGGCCTCTTCCTCGCCGCGTCCTCACAGGGCCTGTCGGTGTGTGTGTCCGCGCGCGCTCAGGCCACCAATCCTTTCGAATGAGGACCCCACCCTAAGACCTCGTTACTTCCTAAAATCCCGACCTCCAAATGCAGTCACTCGGGGCGTTAGGGCTTCAACATATGAATTTGTTGCGGCTCAGTCCACAGAACCCCTCAAAGAACGGGAAGGGGAACCCTGCTCAGCCCAACGCGATCTTGTCCCTGCCGCATCCTCCGAGGGGAGCATTGAAGCGATTCAATGTGAGTGTGGTGTGTGATATGTGTGTTTCGTGTGGTGTGTGTTTTGGTTGTGTGTGATGTGTGTTTTTGTGTGGTGTGTGGTGTATGTGTTTAGTGAGTGATGTGTTTGTGTATGTGCAATGTGTCTGTTTTGTGTGTGGTGTGTGTGAGTGGTGTATGATGTGTGTATGTTTTGTATGTGGTGTGTGATACGTTTTTGTGTAGGTGTGTGTGATATTTGTGTGTATGTATATGTGTGATGTCTTTTTTGTGTGTGTATTGTGTGTTCACTGTGTGTGTTTGGTGTGTGCGAGGTATGTGTTTTGTGTGTGGTGTGCGATATGTTTTTTGTGTGTGCCTTTTTGTGTGTGTTTGCTTGTGTATGAAATGTGTGTGTGAGGTGTGTGTAGAGTGTGTGACACACATGTGGTGTGTGTGAGGTGTGTGATATGTGTGTTTTGTGTGTGGTGTGTGTGATTTGTGTTTGTGTGGTGTGTGAGGTGTATTTTCTGGGTTTGTGTGGTGGTGTGGTTTGTGTTTTGTGCGTGAGGTGTGTGTGATATACATGTGATGTGTGTGTGAGGTATGTGTTGTGTGTGGTGTGTGATGTTTTGTGTGTGTGGCTTCCATGTTTTTGCTTGTGTGAGAAGTGTGTGTGTGGTGTGTGTAGAGTGTGATATGCGTGTGATGTATGTGTGAGATGTGTGTGATGTGTTGTGTGTGTGGTGTGATGTGTGTGATGTTTTGTGTGTGTGGTGTGTGAGGTGTGTTTTCTGGGTGTGTGTTTTGTGTGTGGTGAGGTGTGTTGTGTGTGTGATATGTGTGTGAGGTGTGTGGGGGTATGTGAAGGGTGTGTGTGTGAAGTGTGTGGTGCATATTGGGTGTGTGTGTAGTGTGCGTGTGAGGCGTGCGATATGTGTGTCATGTGTGGTGTGATATGTGCAAGGTATGTGGTGTGTATGAGGTATGTGGCGTGTGTGTTGTGTGTGATATGAATTTTTTTGTGAGTGATGTGTGTCTTGTGTGAGATGTTTGGTAATGTGTGCGTGGTGTGTAATATGTTTTTGGGTGTGGTGGTGTGTGTTCTGTGTGTGGCTGTGAGGTGTGTGACTTGTGTGTCATATGTACTTTGGGGTGTGGTGTCTGTGCGTGTGTGAGGTATGTGTGATGTGTGTGGTGTGTGTTGGCTGTGTGTGGTGTGCGTTGGGTGTGTGTGACGTGTGTGGTGTGTGATGCATGTGAGGTGTGTGTGATGCATGTGAGGTGTGTGTGATGTGTGTTTTCTGTGTGTGTGTGGTGTGGCTGGTGTATGATATGTGTTGTGTGTGGTGTGTGTTGTGTGCGTGGTGTGTGGTGAGGTGTGTGTGATACGTGTGTTGTGTGGGTGTGTGTTTGGTGTGCGGTGTGTGAGATGTGTGTGGTGTGTGTAATATGTGGGTTTTCTGGGTGTGTGTGGTGTGTTTTGTGTGTGTGATGTGTGTGACGTGTGTGATATGTGTGTTTGGGGTGTGTGGTGTGTGTTGGGTGTGTGATGTTTGTGTGTGTTGGGTGTGTGAGGTTTGTGTTGTGTGTGATAGCGTTGATGATGTTTGAGGTGTGTGATGGGAGTGTGTGTGAGGTGTGTGATGAGTGTGTGAGGTGTGCCATTGTGTGTAATGTGTTTGAGATGTGTGAGGTGTGTGATGGGTGTGTGTGAGGTGTGTGTTGGGTGTATGTGACGTGTGTGTGGGACGTGTCTGAATGTGTAATATGTGTGTTTTTTAGGGGTGTGTAGTGCATGTGATGTGTGCAGTGTGTGAGGTGTGTGGGGTGTATGTGTGTGATGTGTGTGTTGGGTGTGTGTGTGAGGTATGTGTGATGTGTGTTGGGTGTGTGTGAGAGGTGTGTGGTGTTTGACGGGTGTGTGTGAGGTGTGTGGTGTGTGTTGGGTGTGTGTGTGGTGTGTATGTGAGGTGTGTATTGGTGTGTGTGTATGTGATGGGTGTGTGTGTGAGGTGTGTGGTGTGTATTGGGTGTGTGTGTGTGGTCTGTGTGTGATATGTGTGTGTGGTGTGTGGTGTGCGGGCGGGCGCTGCGGGCTGGCGTCCGGGGCGGCGGAGTGGGCGCCCTGTGGTCAGGGGTGGTGGCGCTGCGCGGGCCTGGGCGCTCTGGGGTCCGGGGTGGGGCTGGTGGGCCCTGGCCCCTCTGCGGGTCGCTGGGGCTGCGCGGTGCGGGGCACTGCTGGCTGTGGCGGGCGCCGCGTGTCCCGCCGGTGCTTGGACTGCCCCTGCCTTTGCGCGGGCCGCTCGGCGAATGCCTGCGACCCTCCGAGGCCAGCTTTCCGTGGGGTCGGCTCGGTCCGGGTGGACGCGGAGAGCTTGAGGCCCCGGGGCAGCTCTAGGACTGGGCAGCCTCCAGGCGCGGGGGAGCAGCCCATGCACCGGTCAGCACCTTGTCCCGGGACCCTGCGGGGCTGAGCTCCCTGCGGTGAGAGGGGGCGCAGGAGGCAGGACAGAGGGGGACGCGGCTGAACGAGACCCTCGTTCAGCCAAGGAGGCCTCGGGCTGGCGAGGAGATGGCCCAGCGGGACTTGAGAGGCCTTTGGGCTGCACAAGGGGGCGTGCGCATCGTCGGTGCCTCCTGAGAGGTGAAGCCAGCCAGGCAGGGGTGATGCGGGGCAGCGTTGCGAGAGAGGGCAAGTCTCTGGAGTCCAGAGAAGGAGGACCAGGAGGACGCAGGAACATTCCAGGCCTGGCCCCAGCACCGACCCGACCTGTTCCGCAAGGTGGTGCCTCCCGGTGCAGTGCGCCCAACCCCTCCGGCTGACTGCGAGAGTCCTCTTCCTGCCTTCCGCTCCACCTCACCTCCCTTCCCTGCCCACCCCTCGCCTCCTTTCCCCACCCCGACCCCTCGCCTCCCTTCCCCTCCACCCCTCGCCGCTCTCCCCTCCTCCTTGCCTCCCTTTCCCCCCAACCCCTCGCCTTCCTTCCCCCTACCCATCGCCTCCTTTCCCCAACCCCGACCCCTCGCCTCCCTTGCCCTCCAACCCTCGCCTCTCCCCCTCTTCCTTGCCTCCCTTCCCCCCCAACCCCTCGCCTTCCTTCCCCACCCAGACCCCTCGCCTCCATTCCCCCCACCCCTCTACTCTCTCCCCTCCACCTTGCCTCCCGTTTCCCCCAACCCCTGTCCTTCCTTCCCCCCCAACCCCCCGCCTCCCTTTCCCCCTACCCCTCGCCTCCCTTCCTCCCCATCCCCCTCGCCTCCCTTCCTCCCCATCCCCCTCGCCTCCCTTCCTCCCCATCCCCCTCGCCTCCCTTCCTCCCCATCCCCCTCGCCTCCCTTCCTCCTTGCACCCCCTGCCTCCCTTCTTCCCCCAACCCCTTGCTTCCCTTCCCGGCTTTCCTGAGCCAGCCTTAGCAGGGAGGAGCCTCGTGACTGCAAGCCTGGTGACTCCTGCGCCCTGCTGGCTCCACTCAGCTTTGGCTTCCCCGTAACCCTTTCCAGGGCTGCCTGGCCTGAGGCTCTATCTCAGTTTCCCTGACTAGTTCCACAGGATCATGCAGGCCTGGACTCTGCTCCATCTGGGACCCAGCTCTGGCTGACCTCCTTTCCCTGCTCCCACCAGGACCACAACTGGGCCTCGGGAGTCCCTTCTCGCGTGGGCCGTGCCTGGAGCGCCAGTCTGGACTGTGGCAAGGGGCACGGGGCCCTCTTGGCAGCCTGCTTGGGGCAGCGCGGCCCGCCAGCGCCTCTGCCTGAGGCTCTTCCAGCCGCTTCCTGTCCTGACCACAGCGGAAGGTGGCCCCCCAACACCCTACCCCCCACTCAGCACAAGCCCACGCCCAGGCCCGCAGGGCCGCCCATGACCAAAGGAGGGCCGGGGTACGTGGCACAGGCTCCCCTTTTTGTTCTCCGAGGACGAGTCTGGGACGCCTGGCGAGGCTCCTCGGAAGGCTCCGTGGGCTCAGCACTGGTCACAGTCTGGCTCTTCACCCTGCTCCATGCCAACATCTCCAACAAACTTCCTGCTAGAAAGCCTGGGTGGGCTGAGGGGACCCAGACCCAAACAAGAACCTTCTTCCCCTCGCCCCTTCTCATCTCTTTTGCAAGGGCAACCTGAGTGACCTATAACCATGTGTGTCAGGTCCCACCCTTTGCTTAAAACCTCCCTGCGGAGGGAGGGGCAGCCCTTGGTCTTAAAGTGCAACCCAGACTTCCCCTGGCCGGCGAGACCCTGCAGATCCCCCTGCCAATTCCCTTCTCCAGCCACTCTGGCTGTGTTCTGGGGATTCTCTCGGCCTGGAACATTCTCAAGTAGCTGGCCCCTCTTATCTTTAGGTCTCTGCTGGAATGTTCTCTCTCTGGAAGGGCCTCCAGGAGCCCCCCACTCCAGGGGGCTCACTGAAATTCTCCAGCAAGATAGCCTGTTTATTTTCTTCTTGGTGCTTATGAAACTCTTTGATGTTTGTTCACGTGGAATTTTTCTGACTCTTCTCTGGAAAATCAGCTCCACAAGGGTGAGAGCCTCCTCTGTTCTGTTCAAGTGCTGTCTCCTTGCATATGTTAATATTAAATAACATTAAGACAGCCACATGTGGACAGCAGGAACCTATGGGATAGATCAGATATAAAATGTTTCTATCACGGCAGAAAGTTCTATTGGGCAGCGCTGATTTGCCTCAGATTCTTGAATGAAGCAATGACTCAACAAGTGACCCCAGCGTCCCTACAACTCATGCTCACCTGCTGGGTTGAGATTAGGCTCTGGGCTGCGGACCCCAGGAGGTTTTCTAGGGCTAAATTTAACCAAGTTCGAAAATGACACACTGCTCTTCACAGCAAATGGAGAACTGAATATATTGCCTTATGTTTAAGGTGGCTCTGGACAGGATTGATTCCCATGTCACAATGAGAGGCGAAGCCAGCTGGACTTCCTGGGTAATGTGGGGACTTGGAGAACTTTTCTGTCTTACAAGTGGTTTGTAAAATGCACCGATCAGGCCAGGCATGGTGGCTCATGCCTGTAATCCCAACACTTTGGGAGGCTGAGGCGGGTGGATCACGAGGTCAGGAGATCGAGACCATCCTGGCTAACATGGTGAAACCCTGTCTCACTAAAAATACAAAAAATTAGCCGGGCTTGGTGACGGGCGCCTGTAGTCCCAGCTACTCGGGAGGCTGAGGCAGGAGAATGGCGTGAACCTGGGAGGCGGAGCTTGCAGTGAGCAGAGATGACACCACTGCACTCCAGCCTGGGTGACACAGCAAGGCTGTCTCAAAAAAAAAAAAAAATGCACCCATCAGTGCTCTGTAAAAACGCACCAATGGGTGCTCTGTAGCTAGCTAGAGGTTTGTAAAATGCACCAATCAGTGCTCTGTAAAAACGCACCAATCAGCACTCTGTAGTTAGCTAGAGGTTTGTAAAATGGACCAATCAGCACTCTGTAAAATGGACCAACCAGCAAGACATGGGCAGGGACAAATAAGGGACTAAAAGCTGGCCACTCCAGCCAGCAGCGGCAACTTGCTGGGGTCCCCTTCCATGCTGTGGAAGCTTTGTTCTTTTGCTCACAATAAATCTTGCTGCTGCTCACTTTTTGAGTCCATGCCACCTTTAAGAGCTGTAACACCGCGAAGGTCCACGGCTTCATTCTTGAAGTCAGCGAGACCACAAACCTACTGGAAGGAACCAATTCCGGACACAACAAGGATGCCTGGCACTCTGCTTGAAAGTCCCTCCTGTCCAGGACATCTGTCCAGGACATCAGTCCAGGGTTCAGGGAAAGTAGCAGACTTGGGGAGGGGAGGAAAGGGAAGGGAGAGACAAAGGAGGGAAGAAGCAGAGAGGAAGGGCAGTGGGTCCCAGGTGCCCTTCAAGTTCAGCTGGTGGCCTTTGCTTTTTTTCCTTGGTGAAGAGGTTAGCCTCCTCTGGGGAAGGTGGTTTGTATTTGGCTGCAGTAGGGCTCCTTCTGTTCACTTTCCCTTAGCCTTGGTGTTTCTGCATTTTTTAGATCTCTAGGCCCAAGTGTGTTAGATCACCGCCCCACCCAGCATACTGACTGAGAATTCAATTTCCTCCCTAAAAGTCTGGCTCCTTTTGGCCCCATAGCTCCCTAACCAAACCAGGGGAAGGCTCTGGGACCTGGGCCACACTAAAGCCAGCCTGGCCTTTCCTGGGCCCAGCGTGGGGGCTCCCAGCCAGCCTGGCCCACAGGGCACTGGGGTTCCTGCCCAGTCCTGTGCTCTGGGCTGACATTCTTTTTTCCCCCCATGTGAAGATCTGAAATGATCTTCTTACCTTTTTGGAAAAATTGCCTTCTAATTTTGTGTCCTCAGATAAACCATGCTACTTTTTCTGTTTTGTTTTGGTTTTGTTTTCACCCGAATAATTCCCAGAATAACTTCACTTCTACTTTCTCTCTTTTATTCCAGGAGCTGGCTGTAGAAAAGTATATATTAGATGAAAATTTGTCTTAGGCCTCTTGTGAGGATTAATCTAAGAGGCTCCACAGAGGAGTGGTTGTGGTCAGAAAATGTTTCCTCTTCTGCACTTGGTATTTTTGTGTAGAGGCTAGAAGACTTGTGAATATTGTGAAATACTAGAAATACAGGCCACCAGGTGCAGTCCGGAATCCTTTCTTGGGGGCATGTCTCTTTTGGGTCGGCTTGGGTTAGGAGGCTGCTGGTATGTGATCTCAGAACATTCCCAACAGCCTCTGCTGAGTCCATGTGCCAGACACAACTAAAGGGGAAGAAGGTAATGCCTTCCCCATGTCAGAATGCCCAAATCCTGCTCAAGCTTCCCGGCGCCACTTCCCTGTTGAAGCCTGCCCCGTCCCTGCCAATTTCCTTGAAACTCTGCTTGAACTTACATGCATCACGTCTCCATCCTGCCCAGCAGCCACGGTGCTCTTGTTTCCGACTCCCCTAGCTGACTGCAAATTCTTTAAGGGCATCAGTCATTCTTGATTCATCATCTTGTTTCCTGTAGCATCTAGCACTAAGCAGGTTCTCAGCAAATACTTGTTAAATAAACCTATGATCAGGTATCTTAACTTCTACCAAGGCCAAACAAACAAAAATGAATCTATAAAAATCTTAAAGGCAGAGAGGAGATAAAACAAGATTGTGAGAAAGTACTGGGCCACCATCTGAAAAACTCAGAAAGAGGATACTGTTAAGCAAAGAAGCTCCCCAGAGCAGCGGGGCAAGTCAGGTCAGCTCAAAGCCAACCCGGGGCGGGGGTGCTAATGCCCAAAGAGCGAATGGTGTTGGCGTCAGTAAGAATAATAACTGCAGAACAGAAAATCAAATACTGCATGTTCTCACTTCTAAGTGGGAGCTAAACATTGAGCATACACAGACTAGAGTGGGGAGTGGAGGGGAGGAGAATGGGGAGCATGGGTTGAAAAACTACCTGTTTGGTACTATACTTGCTACCTGGGTGATGGCATCTCTACCCCAAACCTCAGCATCATTCACTGAATTAGTCTGTTTTCATGCTGCTGATAAAGTCGTGCCTGAGACTGGGCAATTTACAAAAGAAAGAGGTTTAATGGACTTACAGTTCCACCTGCCTGGGGAGGCCTCATAACCACGGCAGAAGGAAAGGAGGAGCAGGTCACATCTTACATGGATGGCAGTGGGCAAAGAGAGAGTTTGTGCAGGGAAACTCCCATTTTTAAAACCATCAGATCTCATGAGACTTATTCATTATCATGAGAACAGCATGGGAAAGACCCTCCCCCATGATTCAATTACCTCCCACCAGGTCGCTCTCACGACACATGGGAATTGTGGGAGCTACAAGATGAGATTTGGGTGGGGACACAGCCAAACCATATCACTCACTATACCCGTGTAACAAACCTGCACATGTGCACCCTATATCTAAAATAAAAGTTGAAATTTTTAAGAAGGAAAAAACCCTGCAATTTATTAAAGCACAACTAATGTGTAAAAAATCCATGAGTTTATAATGATGCTGATGCATTTTAAAACCTCATTGGTAACCTTTGGAGCTGTTATAGGCTAATTCATTACTCAGAAAAATTGCAAACAAAGAAAAGGACTCAAATATTTAACCTGCTTTTCTTATATGCAACATGCCTCAGGGTAACCAAACAGTTTAGGAGGCCATAGTTTTCTCTATGTATTCAAGCTAATAAATTAAGAATGATGGAATTACACATTTTACCCACTTTTTGCAAAAAACTCCTAATGCACAAATAAATCTAGAAAATGAGAAAAGGCTGCTAGCATCACACACATGCAGGTGTGTGTGCACATACACACATACACTACCCACTAGGATTCCATAGTCACTTGAAAGACAAGACCATATTATAAACAACTTATATATATCAACTAAATAGAAAATTTGGAAAAAGAGGGATAGTTTCCTAGAAAATATAATTTATCAAAATTCACTCTAAAAGACAAAATAAAAAAACACGAATGGTTCTACAACCATTTTTTAAAAACTGGATGAATCATCAAAAGCCTTCCCAAAAGGCAAACATTAGGCCCAGATGGGTTCTCTGGAGAATTATATCAACATTCATGAAAGGACTAATTTCAGTCTTATATAAACCATTCTGGATAAACTTTATAAGGCTAGATAACCTTGATACCAAAACCTGATAAGGACTGTATAAGAAAATAAGATTTTCTGCCGATTTCAGTACAAAAATACTAACAAACCAAGCCCCATAATGCATGAACAGAGTACTGCATCAACACCAAGTTCACTTTATACTACAGATGCAAGGTTGGCTTAACATTAGAAAATCGATATATATCTTTTACTACATTAGCACATAAAGCAGAAAAAAGATTATCTCAATAGTTGCAGGAAAAGTCTTTCATAAAATTCCCCTGCTAAACCAGGAGTAGGCAGGAACTTCCATAAAGAGATCAACAAAAACCTGGAGTAAATATCACACTACAGGGTGATGTGTCAGAAGCATTCGCCTTGAGATTTACAAAGAAATAAGGCAACTACATCTATTCCACATTTTTCTGCAGATCCTACCAAGAACAGTTAGTCAAGAGGAGGAAATAAAAGATATAAGAATTGCAAAATAAGGAGCAAAGTTGTCCTTATTCAATATGGTATGATTATGTGCATAGGAAATCTAAACAATTTACAGATACATTTTAGAATGAATATGAATGTTTACCAGGTTTGCTGGATATGAAATCAATACACAAAAATCAACTTGTATTTACATAAAGAGCCACAAATGGAAAATGAAGCAGAATAGGTATTAGTTGTCATAGCATCAAACGACGTGAAATTTCTAGGAAAAGGCAAGCTAATATATTGCCTTTTTTATTATATTATTTTTTATTATATTATTAAAATTATATACCATTATTGACAGATATTAAGAAGACTTTAATATGGAGATATATACCATGTTCATGTATTAGAAAGCTCAGTATTGTAATGTCAATTATCCCCAAATTATTCTTATAGATTCAGTGTCATACAACGTGTGTGTGTATGTGTAACTTGCTAAGTTGCTTCTACTTTTATTTAGAGATTCAAAGGTCAAGAAAAGCAAAACTTAGCCATGCGTGGTGGTACACACCTATAGTCCCAGCTACTAGGGAGGCTGAGGTAGGAGAACCGCTTAAGCCCCAGAGGTTAAGGCTGTGGTGAGCCGAGATCGCATCGCTGCACTCCAACCTGGGTGACAGAGTGAGACCCCACCCCTCAAAAAAATTTTTAAAAAGAAAGAAAGAAAAGACAGGCAATTCTCTTTAAAAAATTAGTCAGTTTTTGCTCTACCAGATATATGTATTACAAAATTTTAGTAAGATGGTGTAGTTTTGGTGTGAAGATCACTGGAATAGAACAAGGGGCCCAGAAGCAAATTTAAGCAGATGCACACTTAATTTATAGTCAGGATGGCATGAAGGAATGAGAGAATGGGTATCTATACAGAAAAACATAAAATTAGACTCCGTCATCCTACCATACACAAAACTGGCTATAGACCTTCGTGTGAAAGCAAAACCATGAAGCATTTAGAAGGAAATGTGGAATATTCTTACCTTCATGAGCTTGAGGACAGGTTCCTCTTAGCCAATATACCAAAAACATGAACAGTAAAGGAAAAGATTTATAAGCTTGGTTATGAAATTCTGTTCAGCCAAAGATATCATAAAGAGTGTGAAAAGACAAGCCCCACAGTGGGAAAAGATAGGAGTTAAGTTCAGAATTATAAAAACAACTGGCCGGGCGCAGTGGCTCACGCCTGTAATCCCAGCACTTTGGGAGGCCGAGGCGGGTGGATCACGAGGTCAGGAGATCGAGACCATCCTGGCTAACATGGTGAAACCCCGTCTCTACTAAAAATACAAAAAAAATTAGTCAGGCGTGGTGGCAGGCGCCTGTAGTCCCAGCTACTCTGGAGGCTGAGGCAGGAGAATGGCGTGAACCCGGGAGGCGGAGCTTGCAGTGAGCCGAGTTTGCACCACTGCACTCCAGCCTGGATGACAGAGTGAGACTCCGTCTCAAAAAAAAAAAAAATCTTCTGCAAACATATTTTAAAATAAAAAATGAGGAGAGTGTTTCTAGAGCTATCAGCATTCTATGACTTGACTTGGGTGGTAATTTCACAGATGTGTTTGCCTTTTAGTTTTTTATTATCCTAAATATGCATTTATGTTTTATGAACTTTGTGGCTTGTATCTTACACAAAAAGTATTAAGAGTATGTCTATGGCATTTAAAACACTTTTTACTATGGAAAATTTCAAATATACACAAAGGTAGAAATAATAATGTAACAAGCTGCATGCACCCCTCATTCAGCCTCTAGCTTTACTACCCATCACTATTTCAACATGACCTCACCTCCCGTCCCTCTGACGCCCTCTCTGTCCGGGGCTTTTGGCCATCAGGACCCACCCTTCTGCTGTGCCGTCCACCCCTTACACATCCTCATGAACCCTCCCTTCCCCTCTTTCTGCGTGCTCTTTTCCCTCTGGAAACTAGTATCCATGTATTATGCTAAGAAAATGGTCTTAACAAAGTAAGAAAATATACCGTTCATAAGAAAAGCTTACAACTTGTTATGAGTTAACTTTTGAAAGCTAAGCCAGCAGTGCTTGTATAATATGAGGACTTGAGAAAACTGTTTCTGACAAACCACCTGAACTAGGCATCCTTCCAAGTAATAGGGCTGCTGTTATTATTGTGCTTAAGAGAACAATAATAACAGTCCTTTAAAAAATGCTTACTGCACTCAGATATTCTCTGCAGCTGAATAAACTACCCCTTGCTGTGCACATCGGGAAGCTACTTACATCCTTTAGGCAGATGGGGTGACATTTAATTCAGTTTTACCAACAATTAAAGATTTCTCTATGTATAGATATATAGGTAGATACAGATCTCTCTATATATGCCTGTCTCTATACCTGTCTATCCATGTATCTATCTATCTACCTACCTATCTAGTTAGATCAATAGAACCACTTTTCCTCCTTCCCAATACACAATGAAAAAACTTGCTTGCTTGCAATGAGGTGTTTTCAATTTGAAAACCACAATATTTTTATTATGTTTGACATTTCTATAAGAAAATTTGCAGTTTTCAAAATATACAAATAGGGTCTTTAAACCATATTACCAAAAGCTATACATACTAGGTTTTCTAGCTTCAGAGTGTTAGTTCCACCACAGCATAGCTCTGATCCTAAAATACTGCTTGCCTTTCCTGTATATCTACAATTGAAAACCTACCGAGATGCTATAGAAGACATGTATCTCAACGTTAAAGTTATTACTTTGAAAATAGTATCTAAGTTGCTATGGCAACTGAACTCTATTTGTTGATAAACCTTCTTTTCTTGTTCTATACCATAATACAACCAAGATCACCCCATTATTAGATTATAAGTTATAGACTACTGGAATCAGGAGAAACTTTTTCTTTTTTTTCCCGAGATGGAGTTTTGCTCTTGTTGCCCAGGCTGGAGTGCGGTGGCATGATTTTGGTTTGCTGCAACCTCCGCCTCCTGGGTTCAAGCGATTCTCCTGCCTCAGCCTCCTGAGTAGCTGGGATTACAGGCGCCCGCCACCACATCTGGCTAATTTTTGTACTTTCAGTAGAGACAGGGTTTTGCCATGTTGGCCAGGCTGGTCTCAAACTCCTGACCTCAGGTGATCCGCCCACCTTGGCCTCCCAAAGTGCTGGGATTACAGATGTGAGCCACCGTGCCCAGTCCAGAAGAAACTTAAAAGATCAGAATACCCTATGATGTGTAGTGCTTTATGGTGTTATCTAAGATCTAATTTGTCTTCACAATTACTATTCCCACTTTACAGGTGGAACGAAGATATGGATCACAGAGCTAGCATATGGTGAAGCTGGATCTAACCTCTGATTTCCTTGCCCCTCAGTAATAATAATTACCATTTTATTGAGCATCTGCTATGTTTCTGACCCACCTGATGACGGGGCTCTTTATATACATCATAACCCTGAAAGGAGGTAATTTCATTATCAGTTTTGCAAAGGAGATCAGAACACCGATCTGTTAGGCTTCAAAGACTATTTTTTCCCTCTACGATTTTCTGAATTTCCCTCACTTTTACAATAAATATAAGTGTGTTTCCATTACAAATAACCAGGCATCCTAGGGGAAGGGAAACAGCAAAGAGCTGAGAACATCACAAACGGTGTTCAATAGTCCCAAATAGCCTTTCATTTACAACTGAACAACTCATAAATTGGCTTTTCCTTTCTATCAGCCAAGGCCTATGCTACTGTGAGTGGATTCTTCGCTGCAAACAGATAACATCACAGCCTAATTCTCAGGAATTGCTCTCAGGAATTCAGCATCTCTTTACAGTAGATGCAGCATTCTTGCTCAGATTCCTAAAATCAAGTCTTGGTAAGTAAAAGAGTGAGAAAGGGAAAGACTGAATGAGGTTGCACAAGAATTTGTTCCAATGTTGCTAGTTCGAAGATTACTTCTTGTTGATTTGTCTATGTTGCAGAATATTTTAAAATCACCATAAGGATAAGGATTTTTGGACTTCATGTTCCTATCCTGAGAATTGCCTGTGCCCTTGTTTTATTCAGGCCCTACACTTCCATTCCCATCAACACATTGATTAACTTAAAAGGAAACGCTGTCGACTTCAGGAGGATAATAGTCGGAAAGATGAGTTCGATTGTAGCTCAAAACGGGCAAGCACTGTACTTCATGAGTTTTCAGGATCACGGCTTTCTTGGGGACTGAGGCACCATGACTGTAGGGATGAACAGTGACTTTGTGGGCAAAGCCTCAGAGAAAATTATCTCCACGGATGATACTGTTTGCCTTTTATGGCAGAGAAAGTGTTCCTGGTAGGTTCTGTGGTTTACGCAGTCCTAGGTATTATATAGTTACATGGAACTGGCGCTCGACCAAATGAAAGTTTGGTGGGCACTGAGCTTGGTAGGGCAGCTACTCTCCAGATTTAGGTCATCCAGGGAGAAACGCATAAATAACACTGGATGTGTCGTGGCCATGAAGGATGGGAAAATGAATGCTCTGGTTCCCAATAACTTTGTGTTTCAGGAAACAGCACGTTAAATGAGCATTAAATGGGTTAGACGAGGGGTGGGCCAGAGAGAGTGGTAGGGGCAAACTCCACTTTGGTATCTGTATTCATTCCTTAGGGCTGCCATAACAAATTCTGCAAAACTGGGTGACTTAAAACAATAGAAATGTATTCTCTCACACTTTTGGAGGCCAGAGTCCAAAATGAAGGTGTCAGCAGGGCCACACTCCCTCCAAGGAGAACCCTCCTGCCTCTTCCAGGTTCTGGTGGCCCCAGCCGTTCCTTGGCTTGTGGCAGCAGCACTCTAGTCCCTGCCTGTGTCTTCAGGTGGCCTTAACCTCAGGGGCTGTGTCCCGTCTCTCTGATCTTACTATGCCTCACTCTTATAAGGACACCTGTCATTGGACTCAGGGCCCACCAGGTAACCCAGGAGGATCTCATTTTGAGATCTTTAATTATATCTGTGGAGATCATTTTTCCAAATAAGGTCACATGCACAGGTTTGGGGGCTTAAGACAAAGACATCCCATTCTGGGGGGCTACTACTTAATCCACTACAGTATCTTCTTTGCCATGTACTACATTGCGTGACTGCCGACTCACAAATGATTACCCCCTCTACATCTCATTTCCTCATGTGTAAAGCGGGGCCATTGATAGGACATGTGTCTTGGATGGCGTGAGAGCAGATGAAAGCGTGGATTCCAGGCGTTCAGCACAGTGACTGGCATGGATTGTAGCAATCATTATGATCATTATGCAACTCCTGCATTACTTGTGTATAAAAACATTTTATTTTAAAATGTCCAGTGAGTGGACTGGACTGATTACCTATTTATTGCTGGGCACCTGTGGAATGTTTTGTATACATTTTTCTCTAATTGTCCCATCCTGTCAGAGTAAGTCATATCATTCCCAGTTTTGGAGGGGGAAGCTGAGGCTCTGCAAGACTGGGTAACTTGCTCAGTGTAGAAGAACGGTACCTTATACCTTCACTTTCAAGCCACTGGTGGCCTGAAGCCATTGGAGAGGCAAAGTCATGAAACAAATTCTGAGACTAAACTCTGCCAGACTCCCTTCCAAGCAGGCAGGTCCTACAGCAGGAACTCACACAGAAATATCTCTGGGGTGGGAGGAGTGTCCTTCAACTCTGAAACACCCCAACCGGGCACCAGCGACAGCAGCTACGTAGTCCCAGCACAGATCTGGGGTATCCATCGATTCCAGATGAATCCAGGGGTCCAATTTGTGTGAGGGGATCTTTGCACTTAGGATAAATGGGCCCTGACGACTTCACTCTTGGGCTGGACGAGTGGGCCTGTGGGCCTGAGAACAGGGCTTTGGGGGGCTCACACCCCATGCTTTTCAGGTATGAGCCGATGGTCTACAGGTAATCAGGATTTGTTGATTGCATAAAGTTTGATACTGACATTCATTGTTTTTTTCTGAGTCTGTCCTACATGTTCATTATAGAAACTTTGGAAATTTTTTTCATACAAGTATGAGAAGTATAAGGGAAAGAGAAAAGGAAAAAGGAATCACTTATAATCTCACCACCCCAAATAGCTAGTGTTTATATGGTACGTTTCTTTCTGGTCTTTGTGTGTGTATATAATATACACAAATACATGTGTATTTTTACCTTTAGAAACTAAAATAAGCAGTATGTAAAATTTTTATTTTTATTTTCTTTCTGGACCAGTGTTACATTTGAACGTATTCTTTGTCTTTCTCACTCAGTCATTCAATCATTTATTTATTCAGCAAGTGAATGTGGCATGTCTCTTCTTGTCTAGAGCTTCTCTGCAGAGACTCAGAGGCAGGTGGGCACTAGAAAGAGCTTGAGAGGGGCCCTGGTAGTGGGGAGAGAGCTCCAAACCAGTGGATAAACTGGAGGCTGCCGCTTGCCAACCTCAGACATCAGCAGGAGATGCCACAGATGCCCTGGCCGGGGACCAGGCCAGCCACACCCTGGGACAGCACAAGCCCAGAGCCACGTTCCCCACTGGGACATGGGCGTGTCAGGCCCTACTGCGTGCCCCACAGCACACTTAGAGAGGAGCAAGAATCAACAGATGGATGCACTCACCTGAGCTATGCAAGCAGAGACTGAATTCTCTAAAGAGATGGCATAAATGACGGGGTTGAGGCTGGTTCATTACCAGAGGGAGGAAAATAAAAGCCTCTCTCCAAATGACTCCTCCCACAGTTTTCTAGCACGGAGGGTCTTGTGAGGAAGCCCAGCTCCATTGCAGACAAAACACTTTGCATTTTCTTTGCACATCTGCATTTGTGATCTTCACTACATGTTCATTAATTCAAATACGTATTTACTAAGGGCCTGCTTTGCGCCAGGCAGTGTGCTGGGGTGTGCAGGATAAGAAAAGGGACATGACTCCTGCCCTCCTGGAGCGCACACTGCAGGATTGGCAACAGATATCAATCAAGTGATCATAGGAACAAATACACAATGACAAATGGAGAAGTGCTGGGACAGACGAGGACAGGGCCTGAGACAGCACACAGTGGGGGACTCACCTAATCTGGGGGACTCAGGAAAGACTTCCCCGAAGAGCAAAAAGCTTGCAAATAAGTAAGCTGTGTGATGAGGTGGAAGGGGAAGGGGCCAGGCACAAGAAACAGTTTAGTGATGGCTGTGGTGGGAGGGAGTAGAGCTGGTTCAGAGAATGAAACAAAGCCCAACAGTGAGTGGGGAAGGGAGGAGGTGCCCCCCAAGACCTAAGGGGAGACAAATTGCACACAGGCAAGATGTTGTGGCCAGGCTAAGGGTGGAGACTTTAACCTAAGGACAGTGGGATCTGGTGGACAGCCGTCGGCCAAGGTCAGACTTACACTTTCATCGTTCACTTTGTCCACCAGGGCCCAGAGAGATTGGTGAGAGCTGAGCCAGGATGATGGAAGCAGGGAGCCTGGGAAAGATTCCAGCGCAGGGTCCAGGAGACAGCAGATGGTGGCTTGGACGCAGGGTGGGGTGGGGACGAGAGAAGTGTAAAGATCAAGAATGTCCTTAGGGGAGTAATTAATAGGACTTGGTGGTGGACTTGGGGGAGAGGGAGATGTCAGAGATGACTTCCAGGTGTCTGCTGAGAGTAGTGGATTCAAATTTCTGTTCTGCCACTGATCAGAGGTATAGTCAGAGTTGGGCTGCATATTTCTGAGTTCGTCTAAACTAACTAAATAGTCCATCATGATAGAGATGTTAACTCCTCTTTTATTTTCTTTTTATAAATTGAGATGTATCATATATACACTAAAAGACACAGATCGTAAGTGTTCAGTTGGATAAGTTTTGAAAAATATATACAGCTTTCTAACTGTAGGCCAAATCAAGATATAGAATATGTCTATATATTTCTGTATAGAACATTTCCATTTCGCTCCTGAAGATTCCCACGCGGCCCTTCCCAGTGAATACCACGTTCTCACCTGCATGCAAACATTGTTATGATTTTTTTCCCTATAGATTAATTTTACATGTTCTTGAAGATTCACACAAACATAAAAATACATTATCCATCATCTTTGTCTTGTTCCTGATCTTAGGGGAAAAGCATCCCATCTTTCCCCACGAAGTATGACGTTCATTGTAGGGTTTTTGTGGTTGCCCTTTATCAGGTTGTGAAAGTTCGTTTGTACTCCTAGTGTGCTAAGAGTTTAATCAAGAATGGATGTTGGATTTTGTTAAATGCTTTTTCTGCATCTATGGTTACATCTGTATTATCCTTTTACATACTATTGAATTTGATTTGCTGTAACTTTTTAAAAGAATTATTGCACTTACGTTCATGAGAGATAATGGTGCATGGTTGTTTTGCTTTCTTTCTTGTAATGTCTTTGTCACTTTTGGTGTCAGGGTAATGCTGGCCTCATAGAATGATTTGGGAAATAGTGCCCCTCTTCAATGTTCTGCAAGGGTTGGGGTAGGATTGGTCGTATTTTTTACTTGAATGTTTGGTAGAATTCACCAGCGACACCACATAGGCCTGGGGTTTTGCTTGTGAAAATGTTTTGAATAAAAAATTTCATTTCTTTAGTAGAAAAATGGCTATTCACATTACTTATTTCTTCTCTAGTTTGCTTTGATAGTTTGCATCTTTCAAGGGAATTATCTATTTCAATTAAGTTATCTAATTTATTGGCATGAATAAATATATTCCCTAATTAATTCTAGAAAAAGCTATAGAATCCATAGTAATATCATCTCTGTAATTCCTGCTATTATAATTTGTATCTTGGCTCTTTTTTTCTGCCTCATTTTGGCTAAAGGTTCATCATTTTTATTAAATAACCAGCTTTTGGTTTCACTGATTTTTTTCCTATAGTTTTTCTATTTTTTTAAATGTTTTTGATTACCAGTCTGAGTTCTATTTTTTTCTTTCCTTTCACTTACTCTGGGTTTAACCTGTTTTTCTTTTTTTAGTTTCCTATGGTGAATGGCATATTTTATTTAGTTTTATTTATTTTATTTTGAGACAGGGTCTCCTTCTGCCGCCCAGCCTGGAATGCAGTGGCACAATCTTGGCTCATTGCGACTTAGACCTCCTGGGCTCAAACGATCCTCCCACCTTAGCCTCCTAAGTAGCTGGGACTACAGGTGCATGCCGCCACATGCAGCTCATTTTTGTATTTTTTATAGAGATGGAGTTTCACTGTGTTGCCCAGGCTGGTTTTGAACTCCTGAGCTCAAGAGATCCACCTGCCTTGGCCTCCCAAAGTGTTGGGATTATGGGTGTGAGCCACCTCGCCCAGCCGAAAGGCATTTTTAAAGATGATATTCCAGTGCATGAAGGTCTCTCTCAGGTGGCCAGAACCTGACTGTCCCGGCCAGCCCACATGAGGTCTGAGAACTGTTCAGAGGACAGTTCCCTGTTGGTTCTTTCTCTGGTCTTTCCTCTCTGTCTACCCCGTGGAGCGTCACCCTATACACATCCAGTGTAGAGTTCAGCCCAGTACTCAAGGTTCCCTGTGTGCCAATGTCCAGGGCTTTTCTCTGAGTGACCTCCCCCATCTCTGACATGCCGCCCTGCAACTTACAGCTGCCCCACCCTCCTGGAACCCCAATCTCTGTCTTCCCAGTTAGCAAGACCACCACACTCTTCCTGAGGACCCCTTCCTGCACCACTCTGCCAAATGTATTTCCAGACAGAAAGCGGCGTCAACCTTGTTTGTCTCTTTTCCCTTGGAGGTCACAGTCTTTGCTGCCTCTCATTCAATGTGTAAAAACAGTTGTTAAATGATTTGTCCAGTCTTCTCATTGTTCAGGCCAAAAGGGCCAGTTGGAAAAGTTATTTCATCATAGTGGAAACAGAAGTTCAATTCATTTTCAACTAGTATAATTAGCGGTGGGTTGAATTTAATCTACCTTCTACTTGTTCTCTATTTGTCTTGTTTGTTCTTCCTTTCCCATCTTCTTTTAGTTTATTCAAGTAATTTATAGTATCTGTCGACGTAAATAACAGAGAGACACTCTCTAAAGAACAAATATTTATTTGGAATAAAGTGTTGCAATGGGACTGTCATAGTAAATTATATGCATATTTAGGGAGGTAAAGGAAGACAAGGTTTTTAAAGGAAATATGCGGAGGATTATATAATTAATTGTCTTGATTTACAAAATTAATAAAAATTAATTGTCTTGGTTACAAAGATCAATAACGAGGTTGATGCCAGTCTGAGGTTGGACAGGCAATAGCTGGGCAGATGTTCCTGTAGAAGTATTTTCTTTTCTGTAAGGTTGTGATGGCTTTTGTACGGTTTTGCAGTCTTTTGTGATAGTTTTTGTCATCAGACCTACAAGCATGAGAACCCTGTCTTCATGGCCTCCCTGGCTCTGCTTGTCATGGTTCTCTCAACATTAGTGACTTCATATTTATTCTGACAACGTTCACATATTCTAGCTCCTTGACTGGCTTTCGATCTCTTTGCTTAACCTATTTTAGTGGTTGCTGTAGAGATTGGACTATACATCCTCAAGTTATCATGAACTTAAAATGGCATTATGCCCCTTCACATATAATGTAAGAACCTTGAACTTTATAATTCCATCTCCCACTCTAGCCTTTTATGCTATTGTTATCACACATTTTACTTCTACTTATGTATAAATCATACAACAAACACATTTTATTGTATTATTTTGCATTTTAAAGATCATATACTTTTAAAGAATTTGAGAAAAATAGCCTTTAATAAAACCCGTAGACTTACCATTTGTGTGATCTTCAGTCTTTCTTATGGATTTAGATTTACTTGTGGGATAATTTCCCCCCAGCCTGAATAATTTTCTCTAGCATCGTGTGTCCTGAGGATTTATGAGCAATTAATTCTCTCAGTTTTGTTTGTCTCAGTTATTTTGCCTACATTTTCAAAGAATATTATTTCTCTGCATAGAATTCTAGATTCTTTTCTTTTTCCACACTTTAAAGATGTTTTTCAGTTGTTGTTTAGCTTCTGTTCCTTCTGTTGAGATGTCAGGCATCACTATTTTTGTCATTCCCTTGAATGTAATGTGTCTTTTTCCTGGCCAGTTTTTTTTTTTTCCTTTTTAGAGATGTTTTTCCTTTTTTATATTTTTCAAAAGTTTGGCTATGATGTGTTCTTTTTATTTATCATACTCAGTGGTTGCTGAGCTTCTTGAATCTGTGGGTTCTTATGTCAATTTTGGAAAGAAAGATGGCCATTGTCTCATTAAATATTTCTTTTACTCCACTCCCTCTGTCCTCTCCTTCTGGGCCTCCAATTGCATATATTAATATATGAGACAACCATTTGCTATTGTCCCACAGGACTCAGATGTTGCTGTTCAGTTTTTTGAAATTTCTTTTTCCTTTTGTGCTTTGGAAAGTGGATAACTTGTACTGGCCTGTGTTCAAGTTCATAATCCTTTCTTCTGCTGTGTGGAGTCTCTAGTGAAGCCATATTTTTCATTTCTAGAATTTCCATCTGTTTCCTTTTTAATGTTTCTATTTCTCTGCTAAGATTCTCTGTCTTTGCCCTTCTTTTCACTCTTCTTTGTAACCCCCCTTACTTATTGATGGATTGATTGATTGAGACAGAGTCTCTCTCTGTTGCCCAGGCTGGAGTGCAATGGCACGATCTTGGCTCACTGCAACCTCTGCCTCCCAGGTTCAAGCGATTCTCCTGCCTCAGCCTCCTGAGTAGCTGGAACTACAGGTGGGTGCCACCACGCCCGGCCAATTCTTGTATTTTTAGTAGAGATGGGGTTTTACCATGTTGGCCAGGCTGGTCTCAAACTCCTGACCTCAGGTGATCTGCCCACCTTGGCCTTCCAAAGTGCTGGGATTACAGGCATGAGCCACCGAGCCCGGCCACCTGACATATTTATAATAAATAGCTGCTGACATATTTATAATAGCTGCTTTAAATTGCTCGTCTGCTAAATTCAACATCTAGGTGATCTACAGGTCTGTTTCTTTTATCCTGATTATGGGTCACATTTTCTGTTTTTGTGCTTGTCTAGTGTCTTTTTAGAAAGTTATTATTGTTTTGGGAACCGTGGATTTGTTGTGGAGACTGAATTACATTACCTTCCTTTACAATGTGCTGTTTTGTTCCGGCAGGCACTTACATTGCTGGCAGGTTCTGTAGCTCTTGTGAAAGCTTGGATTTAGGGTTTGTTCTTTGGGTTTGTCATGATCCTGGGTCATAGCCTTTAGTCTTGGGATGTGGTTCTTACTCCTAAGGTGTGGTCCTGCTAGTTTTTCAGGGAGAGCCTGTAGTGTTTGTCAAAGCCTGTCTAACTAAGTGGGACTCGAACCCAGAACTCTAAGCACTAGGTACCTGCTGAGATCCAGCTTTTTGGCTTCCAAGTTGCTGCTTTCTGCTGGGCTCCTGGGTGTCTCCTCATGTACTCTGCACAGTTCATAAGTCAGCCAAGGACCTAGGGGAATTTTACACTAGTTTGGTGGTTTCCTTCTTTCTTCCTGCTTTCTGGGATTTTGCTGTTCAATTTCCAGATGGGATGGCAGCTCTGAACTTCAATCCGTGTCTGTTTAGCCCAATAACATCACTACTTCCTGCTTGACTGCCTATTTTGCCTTGCTGGATAGCGTCCTCCAGGGAAAGCCGGTTAAATGTGGAGCTGGTTAATGTGCTCCTTTTCTGTCAAGGATGAGGTTTGTGCCTGCTTTGGGTTGGTTTCTTGTGTCTTCAAACGGTTGCTGATTATATTCTGAGAAGAGTTTGTAATTGCTGTTAGCAGGACTAATGTTCAGTACAAGTGAGTGACTCTCTCATGACTAGAATCAGAACCTACTAGAGGAGCTTTGACAGATCTGGATGCTGAGTCTCCATCTCAGACAAGTTACATCAGAATTTCTGGGTATGGAAGCCAAGCAGCAGTATTTTTAAAGTATCCCAGGTGATTTCTGTGTGTAACCAAAGTTACCAGCAGCAACTCTGTGGAGGCTAAAGCTACTCCATCTTGGATGCGAATCAGCTATGTGGACTTCCGATTAACCTGTGTTCTGGGAATGCCTCTGAGATCTCTACTTTACTGTTACTGTAAATCCTGCTCTTAGGTCAAAATGATCTTGATCAGAAATCCTGCCTTTAGGCAGATTCAAATAGAATTCTTACCTGTCTCTCAGGGGTCCACTTCGCCTGTCTTACACATTCCTCACCTGTGGTACATAAGCTCTGGGTCTGCAGGGTAATGGCTCAGAAATCCACCAACTCATCCCACAGCCTCTGGGGACAGGGCTTCTGTTTGCAAGTCCCTGTTAAACATTTCTTACTGAGAAATCGGATGTGTCAGCCTTTTTCTTTGTCCCCTCAGCTTCTTTGGACTTTGGAAATAGGTTTTCATAGAGCTGTTCACCATGGAACATTTATTGAGCCTTTATTATGTGTCAGCATTTTTCATTAATTATTTTACTGAATTCTCTGGTAGCCTTATTATTTTCACAAGAGAAAACCGAGGCTTAGGTAAGTTAAGTAAATGTCCAGTGTCACACAGTTAGAATGTTCCAAAGCCAGGATTTGCGTGTAGTCAGTCTAACTTCAGAACTACAGTGTACGCACTATACTTTATTGCCATGCATTGGGGAGGACAGGTTCAGAGGGGAAGACCACACATTTAGTTTTGCATGAATAGTATTTTATCTTATTGGTATAATTTATTTTACAATTATCCATATTGTCGGATAGTTGGGATACTGTCAATAGACAATATTCTGCATAGGATATTTTGTACATGAACCTAAGTAAATCTCTACTGATTTACTTAGGATAAATTACTAGAAGAGGAAGTAGTTGGTAAATTGATAGGAATTTTTAAAAATCTTGGTACACTTTGCCAAACACCTCGCACAATGAACAAAAATGCTGGGTAGACCATGGCTTGGGTAATTTTTTTTCATTGGGTGATGTGTAATAGGATTGTTTTTATTTCAACTCGCCAATCTAGACTTGGACATCTGATTTTTATTCCATCTTCCTAGTTGTTGACAATGAATTTGTTGAGCCTCAAACTTGTCCATCGGAATGTGCTTGGGCCATTGTCTGATGGGCTTCCTGGTGGGGGTAGTGCCTAGAAGAGAAGGGAAGGGGGATGGCACTGTTCACACAGCACAGACACATCCTCCACAGAGTAAAACAGGTACTTCTGCAACTGGAGCTGAGTCACAGCCACAGCCCAGTTGTCTCTCAGGCCACCTTGGAATTTCCTGGCCATACTTACCTTTTCACAACTACCTTTCTGTAATTCCCTGTCATATTTACCTTTGGAGTGATTTGTGAGGGTTGGTGAAAAAATAAGATGAGATTCCTAAAAAACATGATACACCCTTTCTGGATTGACTACCTTCTTGTTTGGTGGTGAAAGGGCAGGAACAGAAGGAAGTTGAACACACGGCAGGATATGTGTGAGCCTGATTTGGCTGGATCATGATCAAGAGAATTGAGTGTTCTTAGCTCTTTCTTTTTTAAAAAAAATTATGACAGACTGATAACCTGGCATTTGTAGATATTTTCAAAGCATTGTTTCAAATAGAAAATGCTATGTAAACTGAAGCAAAAAGTTGATCATGCACAGCTCTGTAATGCAATACCTTACATTTTTCTTCTTTTGTTTTTACTGATTTTTTTTTTTTGAGACAGTCTTGCTCTGTCGCTAGGCTGGAGTGCAGTGGCACTGTTGTAGCTCAGTGCAGCCTCAAATTCCTGGGATGAAAAGATTCTCCTGCCTCAGACTCCCTGGTAGCTGAGATTATAGACGTGAACTACCATGCCCAGCTAATTTTAAAAAAATATTTTGTAGAGATGGGGTCTCACTATGTTGATCAGGCTGTCTTTCTCTTTTTAAAATGCTCTTTTCTGGGGAACTGACACCAAATCAGTAGTTTCTCCAAGGCATAGCACCACTGCATGGAAAATACAAAGTTACGCTTAAAAGTATTTTTGAGGTTAAATTCAGAATCTGTTGAAAATTCAAAGTAACTTCCTGACTTCCAAGATGAGTATATCAAAACCCAATAAAAATGAGTCCTGTTCAGTGTTATTATGGTTGTGTGGTTGCTAAATCTTGGAACCGATTTCTGTGACAGCCACATGAAGACCTGCCAATGCGTGACAGAGTAGTCCACAGGTGACTAATTCTGAAGAAGTTCTTTGTGTGTGAGTTAACCGTCTTTGTGGAGGTATAGCTACATGCAATAAAATGCACACATTTTAAGTGTATGCTTCAGTGAATTTTGACTAATATGTACAACCGCGTAACCACCATGCCAATCAAGACATGGAACATTTCCACATAAGGTTCTCCTGTGCTCTTTGCAATTTTCCCTCCAAACCCCTGCCCCAGGCAACGACTTATCTGATTTCTATCACCAGAGATTAGTTCCGCCAACTCTAGAACTTCATGTCAATGTTGTCATACGGCATGAATTCTTTTGTGTCCAGCTTATTTTGCCCTCAGAGTGATGTTTCTGAGAGTCATCATATGTGGGTGTGTGTCAAGTTCATTTTTTTACGGCTGAGCGGTAGAGTTTCTATTGTATGAACATTCCACGGTTTTTCCATTCACCTGTTGATGGACATCTGGGCAATTTTATTTTTAACCCCCAAGTGTTGGTTTTTGTGAATTAAGCTTCTGTGAATATTTGCATACAAGTCTTTTTATGCAAACATGTTTTTATTACTATGTCTAGAAATGGAACACATGAACGGTATTGTAAGTCTATGTTTATAAGAAGTGGCCAATCTGTTTTTCAATATGGGGGTACCATTTTCTATTCCTACCAGCAAGATGTAAGAGTTTTAGCCAGTCCTGGCAACATACAGAGACCCTGATTCCGTAAAAGTAAAAATAATAAAATCAGTGGGGTCTGGTGGTGCGCACCTGTGGTCCCAGCTACTCAGGAGGCTGATGTGGGAAGATTGCTTGAGCCTAGGAGGTTGAGACTGCAGTGATCCATGATTGTGCCATTGCACTGTAGCCTGGGCAACAGAGCGAGACCCTGTCTGGAAAAAAAAAAAGAGTTTCAGTTGCTCCATATCTTTGTCAGCACTTAATACACTGATCTTCTCAATTTTAGCCATTCTAGTGGATATGAAGATACCCTAACATGGTAATTAACATTTTCTGATGATGATGTTGAGGATCTTTTCATGTGCTTTTTGGCCATATGTATATCTTCTTCTATTTTCTGATTCCAATTTTTTAAATTAAAATTGTTTTAAACTTTTATTTAAAACTTTTTTTAGAGATAGAGTCTCACTATGTTGCCCAAGCTGGTCTCTAACTCCTGTCTTCAAGTGATTGTCTCTCTTCAGCCTCTGAATTTCCATTTTTAATGGCTTGCTTGTTTATGAGATTTGTAAGAGTTCTGAAATATTTTGGATAGAAGTCCTTGGAAGATTATGTGTCCTGCAACTACTTTCTCTCAGTCTGTGATTTATCTCATCATTTTCTGAATGGTTCCTGGAAGAACCCTTCTCCCTCTCTTTCATACAAATTTACACTTGAATTTCATTTTTCTGAACTTTTCAACTGTGGCAACCTCAGCACTTTTAGGAAGTATTGCTCTTTCTAGAAGAGATATGCTGTTCAGGAAACCTTGGCCTTTTCTCCACCACATGTTGTCAACTAGAGTAAGTTGTCCACACTGGGCTGTGGATCTATTTAACTGTGCCCGGGTCAGGGAAGCGACTCCTTTCCTGATTTGGGCCACTGAAGACCTACGTCAGGTTCCCACCTTAAAGCTTGTGTCTCACGTGCAACAGCTTTGCTGGTGCCAAGATCAAAAAGTGCAAAAACTACCTGTGGGGTGGGCCTTCAATGGGGAAGATGAACAATGATATGATCCAGGCGAAACATGAACATGCACCCAATGCAAAGCCACCAACTTTCCTCTTATACCAAACTCCCGAGCCAAGGCTGGAGTTGCCACGTGGCTGTTTTATGACCCAGTGGTAACCTAAGCACACAAACGCCTACTTTGGGCACTGTGTTACCTGGAGTTCCATCAGCATCCACAGGCCTACATTTTGGTATGGAACTTTAAAAAAAAAAAAAAAAAAAAAAACCAAATCCTATGTAGTCTCCAGGATCACTCTCCTATCCTAAACATCAGAACCAAATGGATCACCGAGCCTCCCTTACCACTGTCTGAAAAATGTCACCTCCTGAGCCAGAGTCATTTTTCTGGCACAACCACCCAGAACTGTTAACAATTATTTTCTGGTCACCTTTGGATTTTAATATTCAGAGCCACAAATACGGTCTTTTACCACATTTTGCTACAGTTAATTACACCTGGGGTCTGGAAAAGAGTGGCGCTACTTACTACAAATAAGAATTTGCATGGAAAAGGAGGAATGAGCAAGAAATAGAAACAGATTTAAGGAAATCTAGGTGTTGGCTGTTCTAGCTCAAGCTCATGATAAATCACAATTTTATCCTAGTGAATATCCCAGCGATGGGATGGATGGACAGAGGGTGTGTGAATTTTAGAACCTCACTTGTATTAGAGTCTGCACTAAGAACCCAGACCAAGGTGCAGCATTATCCCAAACTTCAGTCGTCTTATTGGACATGCTCTCAATGTGTTTGCTATAGTTTGGTTGTTTGTCCCCCAAACCTCATGTTGAAGCTTGAGCCCCAGTGTTGGAGGTGGGAACTGGTGGGAGGTGCTTGGGTCCTGGGGGCGCGTCCTTCACGAATGGCTTGGCGCCCTCCTTAAGGTAATGAGTGAGTTCTTGCTCTGTTAGTTCCCATGCGAGTTGGTTGCTAAAAACAGCCTGGCACTGGCTCCCTCTCCCTCCCTCTCTCTCCCTCTCTTTCCCTGTCTCTCCATGTAATCTCCACACACACCTGCGCCTGTTCACCTTCTGCCACGAGTGGAAGCAGCCTGCGGCCCTTGCCAGATGACGCCCAAACTCAAACTTTTGTCGACATCACAATCATGAGCCAAATAAACCTTTTTTATTTATAAATAACCCATCCCTGGTATTCCTTTACAACAACGCTAAACCAATGAAGATGTGTTTTTATTGCGAATTCTTTTAAATAAATATTAAATAAAATAAGATTTATTCATGGCATTGACATGGGCCTTCATATTTCTTTCTTTCTTTCTTTTTTTTTTTTTTTTTTTTTTTTGTTGTTGTTGTTGTTTTTGAGACAGAGTCTCACTCTGTCGCCCAGGCTGGAGTGCAGTGGCATGATCTCAGCTCACTGCAGTCTCCTCTGTTCAAGCGATTCTCATGCCTCAGCCTCCTGAGTAGCTGGGATTACAGGCGTGCACAACCACGCCTGGGTAATTTTTGTATTTTTAGTAGAGATGGTGTTTCGCCACATTGGCCCGGCTGGTCTTGAACTCCTGGCCTCAAATGATCCACCTGCCTCAGCCTCCCAAAGTGCTGGGATTACAGGCGTGAGAAACTGTGCCTGGCCTTTACTTTGAATTCTTACTGTGCACATTTCAATTGTTCTTTCTTTTTCTTTTTCTTTTTCTTTTCTTTTTTTTTTTTTTTGAGATGGAGTTTCACTCTTGTTGCCTGGGCTGGAGTGCAACAGCGTGATCTTGGCTCACCACAACCTCCACTTCCCCGGTTCAAGCGATTCTCCTGCCTCAGCCTCCCAAGTAGCTAGGTTTACAGGTATGCACCACCACACCAGGCTAATTTTGTATTTTTAGTAGAGACAGGGTTTCTCCATTGGTCAGGCTGGTCTCAAACTCCTGACATCAGGTGATCCACCTGCCTCAGCCTCCCAAAGTGCTGGTATTACAGGCGTGAGCCGCTGCACCCAGCCAATTATGCTTTTAAGCAACACCACATCAACTTTCCTAGGGAAAATATTTTCTGATGAAAATTTTGATTTTGATTTTGATTTTGAGTGAATTTGGGTTTATGTTAGAGATAGATATCCAAAACACATAGAAAATTGTCTTACCTTCTCTTCCTTTTCCCAGGGGTGAGGAGAGTGACCTAGGGAAACTGCTAAACACCTCCCAAGGGTTTCTGCTGTCTTGCGCCTGAACTCACCGGTCAGCCCTCCTCATGTGTGACTGCGGTGTCTGCACAACCATCCTGGAAATAACTGAGCAGGCCAAGGTGCCTCAGGTCTAGCTTTTGTGGGCGGTTAAGACTGTGTCCACCAAGAGGAAGAAAAGGAGAACCTGGCTTCCAGGTTTTGGGGCATGGCCCTGTTACCCAATGCTGTTTGCTCCAGAGAAGCATGGAAACAAGAGGTCTGCATCTGTGCCAACGGTCATTAATTCCTGCAGTGAAGCCCAAGCCGCATGCTAGGGGCTCGTCTCCCGTCTTCATGCTTCATGCTGCACTTGCTTCTCTTCAGCCATTTACCTGAGAGATGCTTCCTGGTCATGTCTCCACAGAGCAGAGGGAGCCCTGCATGTAAGACCCCAGGCCCAGGCTGGATGGGCAAGTTTGCCGGCTCATTTGCAGGGTGACTTGGGAATAGGAGCAGCTGTTGCTCAACAGGAGTTTGAGTAAAGATCATAGTGCCTTTTCCTGCATAGTAGCTCTTTTTTTTTTTTTTTTGAGATGGAGTCTCGCTCTGTTGCCCAGGCTGGAGTGCAGTGGCACAATCTTGGCTCATTGCAACCTCTGCCTCCCAAGCTCAAGCAATTCTTCTGCTTCAGCCTCCCGAGTAGCTGGGATTACAGGCACCTGCCACCATGCCTGGGTAATTTTTGTATTTTTTAGTAGAGATGGAGTTTCAACATGTTGGCCAGGCTGGTCTCGAACTCCTGACCTCAGGTAATCTGCCTGCTTCAGCCTCCCAAAGTGCTGGGATTACAGGCACCTGCCACCATGCCTGGGTAATTTTTGTATTTTTTAGTAGAGATGGAGTTTCAACATGTTGGCCAGGCTGGTCTCGAACTCCTGACCTCAGGTAATCTGCCTGCTTCAGCCTCCCAAAGTGCTGGGATTACAGGCACCTGCCACCATGCCTGGGTAATTTTTGTATTTTTTAGTAGAGATGGAGTTTCAACATGTTGGCCAGGCTGGTCTCGAACTCCTGACCTCAGGTAATCTGCCTGCTTCAGCCTCCCAAAGTGCTGGGATTACAGGCATGAGCCACTGCGTCCAGCCTGTATTAACTCTTTTGATCTAGAGCCCAACAACAACAACAACAACAACAACAACAACACACACACACACACACACACACACACACACACACACACACAGAAGCAGGGCTGGCACTGTTATCCCCCTTCAGCACAGAGGAAGCCAGTTTTCCCAAAGATGGGGGCTGAGTGGCTTTGCTGTTTTCAGCACTGAGCTACAGAACTGTCAGGAATTCAAGAACAACAGACCTGGTCCCAGTTCCTTCTATAGGTGCTCTTGATCTAACTGGAGCTTCATGGTGATTACATAGAAAGTCATCAGAGGACCATCAGTGGCCTTCCAAGCTGTGGTTACACACACACCAAGGGGTTTGTAGAGATGGTAAGTGCTCAAGGAGACAGAGGATTCGCCAGGACAGAACAGTTGAAGAAGCCCTCATTGAAGCCTCAAGCTGTATTTTGAAGGCTGGGAAAGACTCTTAGGAGTAGAGAGCATGGGCGGGGTGCAGAGTGGGTGCACGTGGAATTGGAGTGGATACAGACACCCCATGGTAGGGCATGTGTAGGATAGAGAGACCAGCCTGCCAGGCCAGATGTCAGAGGAGGAGTCATGGGGAGACAGAATTTCTTTGGTTCCTAAGGCTGACAACGGGTCTGAGGGTCCCTGTGCCCTCCCCAACTCTCAAGGTCCCATGGGTGGAGATGACACCTGGTCTCCAGCATCATTTCACTCTCCCTCCTGTGTAGAAACCAAACTTGAAGCTGTCCATCTCCAGGCCCTCTGCAGTTAGAGACTAGAATAGGATTCGCGTTCAGCTGGTCAGCACACTCCGCGAGACCTGGCAGGCCTAAGTGACTTGGAGGCTGCGTTCCTGCTGCTCGGGCTGGCACAGGTGTGCAGGCGTTTGTTCAGCAGAGGTTCCAGGCGAGCCATAGCTAGGAGGAAGTTGAGGGGTGGGTTCTAGGGCATCCATTTGCTGCTGCAGATGGCAACAGGTATGATTTGGTTCTGGAGTCAGGGGAGAATTTGTGGCTTCTGGGCCAGATGGAGGCAGAGGTGAGGTAGTTCTGGGGCTGGAAGTTTCCAGAGCCTGGGGGAGGCAGCATCTGCAGTGGCTAGTCCTGTGGTGTGGTATGGGAGTAATTTCTGAACTGGGAATCTGTCTTCCAGCTCTCGCATAAAACTGTCAGCTCTGAAATAATCTGTAACAAACCTCTCTCTGCTGTGACTTACCTAGAATAGATTCGTTCTCTGCAGTGGAGCCACCCCAGTGATATGGTCTTACACTGTCTCATACGCTGTGAGCCCACAGTGCACATCTTCAGCCAGTGAGGATGAACAAAGGCTTCCATGCAGCACATTGCTCTCCTCAGAAAGGAGAAGCCATTTGTATTACGCTAGCTTCTAGCTGAAGTCAGTGCGGGAGCCGAGCTCTGACAATGCTTGACCAGACCACAGCATACCCAGACGGCCTCTCGGTGCCAACCAGGGCCCCCTGTGGAGTCAGCACAATATCCTCCTATTGTCTCTCACGATTGGTCTCTCATGATTGGTTCTGTGCCAAGACAACTCTATGATTCCCAGAAGGCACTCTCCTAGGAGAGAGGGAAGCAGGATCTCCTGATAATGCATCATAACTTTTGCATTTACTTTAATCACCAAAGAAATACAGTTCTCCCATGCTTTCATTGTCAATACACGGGTCCATCTGTCTGGAATGCTGCGTGTATAAAATCCTGAACCCAAGGGGGGCTCTGGAGTCCTCCTTCTGTGCAGCCCAGCGAATGGACCTCAAGGCCCTGCCACGAAAGAGAGGAGAGGACCCAGAGGGCAGGAAAGCCCTGCCCACACTCCCTCCCCGCCGCTGTCCTCCACTTCCCCTGCTAGGGCATGGCTCTGCCCACAGCCCTGCCACATGGCAGCATCATTAGGTGTGAGAGCAATGGGTCTGATGAGGAAGTCACACCCCTTAAAGAACCCGCCACAGCACAGGGGCAGGATTACTGTCTTCAAGCATTTGAGGGCTGCCTCCGTGATGTGTCCTGCTTCACACATAGTGAGTTCCCCATGTCTGCTGAACTGAACCACATGTTAAACTCTCCTTGCCGTAGTCACTGCCCGAGCTGGGGCATCATTAACACTCCTGACCTGGACTATTACAGGACAATTTCAGCCCCTCAAGTCCGGCAGCTTCTCTTCCCTACCCTCTCTCAAGCACAGGTCAGTCACCTCTGCCTTCAACCTTGAGCACCTTGCATCAGCCTAGAGTGACCATGGCCTACAAGGCGCCCCTCCATGGGACCCCAGCAAACCTTCTCTATCTGCTTCCACTGTGTCCCCTGCCCACCACAGATACCTGTGCTTAATGGCATCTGGCCTGGACAAGCCCTGTGCCGTGCCCACATGCCTGCCCACACCTGCCCACACCTGCCCACGCCTGCCCACGCCTGCCCACGCCTGCCCACACCTGCCCACGCCTGCCCACGCCTTCCCACGCCTGCCCACGCCTGCCCACGCCTGCACACACCTGCCCGTGCCTTTGAGGTGCTTCTTTGCATGCACCTGCTCCAGACCCCACTCAAATACGCACTCCCGCTTCTCCCAGGCAGAATTCATTTCCTCCTCCACCCCGCCCTGCAGCACCTTGTTCCTACCCCCTCCCCGCATAGTACTATTGCCAGGCGCCTTGCAGAATTGTTCACTGTTCAGGGGTGGCTGCCTCTAGCCTCAGGCTGTTAGCTGCCCAAGTCAAGGACCCTGTCTTCAAATCTCTGCAAAATGCATTACATGAAACAGGTCCGTGGAAGCAGGGAAGTGAGTTGCTTCTGCCGCTCTAGTAGCAGAGCCCAATCAAGGCCAGGAAGTTGAGGACAAATTTTACCTTAGTTTTAAAAAGCTCACTTTTTTCCTGTTTTTGTTTGTTTGCTTGCTTTTAAAACCGCAGCGTTCCATAATGGGGGAATTGACCTCACCTCCCCAAATACTATCTGTGTGTAAGGGTTTGAGCAGCACCTGCCAGCCCATTTGTCCTGGATATTACAGATGGAGTCCCTTTAACTCTGGTCTCTAACACCACAATGGCCCAGCGCTCTGTGTGGCCCCACAGCTGGAGGTGAGGGAGCAACTGTCGAGGGGAACCCTCAAAAGGCTCTTTGCTCTGTGAGCTAAGCCAGGGGTTCCCAGTCTTTGGTATGCACTTACAAATCCCTGGGGAGCTTTAAAAAAAAAAACAACCCGGGGCAGGCCAGGTGTGGTGCCTCACGTCTGTAATCCCAGCACTTTGGGAGGCTGAGGTGGGCGGATCACAAGGTCAGGAGATTGAGACCATCCTGGCTAACCTGGTGAAACCCCGTCTCTACTAAAAATACAAAAAATTAGCCGGGCATGGTGGCGTGTGCCTATAGTCCTAGGTACTCAAGAGGCTGAGGTAGGAGAATTGCTTGAACCAGGAGGCAGAGGTTGCAGTGAGCTGAGATCATGCCACTGCACTCCAGCCTGGGCAACAGAGCTGCCTAATTATTCTAAAAAAAACAAAAAACAGAAGAAGAAGAAAAAAAAACCCTATGTCACACTAAGGATGGGGTGGTAGCCAGGCAGCAGTATTTTCTAAGAGCCCTGGAGGTGAATCTTTATGCAGAAAAGGTCGACGATCAGTGGGGCCTTAGCCTGATGGCAGAACTTTACTGAGGCTGCCGGTATGAAATTAGAAGTGTGAACAACTGGACCTGGATCCTGCTCCCTTATTAGGAACCGGCATATTGCAGAGGTCAGATGGAGTGCAGAGGGCCCTGGCATCTGTCTGAATGGACAAGCAGGCCTGGGTGCACTTTGGTCAGCGGAAAGAGGAAGTTTGAGGGCTCAGTGTGGTGAGGGGAGACCACTGTGAAGACAGACCACTCTGTGGGATGAAGGGCACAGAATGTCATCACCACGGGTGTCTGTCCTGGTGTGTCCCACCTAAGTCATTCAGGTTCCTTCTCTGTGCATTGGGATTTTCCTGCTGTTACTGGGAAAACATTGAGCTGCTCAGCATAGTATAATTCCAATCTCTGCCTCTCAGGGGTAATTAAGAGAATCAGTGGAAAGTAAGCCAATGATTTATTTTCAAGGAATGTGCCAGGAACCAAGGATTCCAAAATTAATAATTAATCATTGCTGCCCTTGAGATTCTCTGAGATTGGTAGGGGAGAAAGAACATGTAAATAAAAAGTAATACAATGTGATAATGCCATTGGGGAAATTAGTATGTTCTATGCTCAAGCCCTGGCAAAAATAAGTGCTAGTTTCCTAACGGCCTCCTGAGATGAACCAGGACCATGCCGCACACTTTACACTTGCATTATTTACTTCACGCTCAGCACACTTTGGGCATTCCACAATCCAGGGAGTTGCAGTTCAAAGGTTATATGACTTGCTAAAATCTTCGGGTTAAGAAGAGGCCAAGGTGGGCTTTGAATGAGCTCCATCTGCCTCCTGAACATAAGGGTTCATCTGCTGCTCTCTTGCTTCCTCCAGCAACGTCCCTGAGCTGAGAGGGAGCATATGAGTTCATGGAAGTTACAAGAAGGGAGGTGAGCCTTAGATTAATAAGAGTCCTGGGAGAAGGATAAGGGTGGGGATCATGTTTGTGTCGTTTACTGCTGAATCCCAGTGTGTGGCGCATAGTAGGCACTCTGCTGGGCAGTTGGATGAGGAAATGGGAAGGAGTGGATCTGAAGGAATCTACAGGAGCTGAACATAGCCAGGAGGTACCCGAGAACCGCATGCAGCTCCATGCAGGTGGGGGTTTGTGTTCAGGGGATACTGGGCTCAGATGCAGCTGGAGCAGCAGGTAAAGGCCACATCATTCCTGGCTTGTGTGGGCCCCAGAGTGTGCCCATGTTACTGAGCAATCAGTGGGCTCACTGCCCAATGTGCACAGAGGCCAATACCATGACACCGGCTTTTGAGAAAAGAAAACCTTTTTTGCTGGTAGTCTGGCAAGGAGACAGAAAAAAAAAAACACTCAAATCTGCCTCCCCAAGCTAGCGGCTGGCCTGGATTTTATAAGCCTAGGGTAATGAGGTGTGGTCTGATTGGATCTTGCAATGAGGTGCTGCAGGGAGGTGTGATCTGATTGGATCCTGCCATGGAGTGATGCCAAACTCAGTCTGATTGGCTCCTGGATCCTGGATCCTGCCATGTATGCTCTGCTTCTTAATTCAGCCCCTGCTCCTCAGTCTGAGCACTCAGGTTCTGCCCATGGTTGCATGCTTGGTCCGTTTGGGCATGCTCAGCTTACATGACCTACGACTTGGGGTCCATGGCAACTGAAAGCAACTCACAACTTCCTTTCATAAAAGTTGAACCTGACTGGTCTGGTGCAGTCACACCAGCTCTATCCCACTGATGACAAGACTCCAACATTGGGGTTAGAGCAGAGAGGTCATATTAACTAGCATTTTCAATAGGGCACCCTGATGTCTGGATGAACTTCAGGGCAACAAAATAGGGGGAAGGTGAGCAGTTGAAGACACCTGGACACTGGGCCTGACCAAGGTGGGGTGGTGGGGATGGCACAGGACGATGCAGAATGTGAGTTAGTGATGGCAGGGGCTATGTCTTGCTCATTGATAAGTCCCTGACCCATAGATGGTGATCGGTAATGGTGCACAGCCCTGTGACTCAGAGTACAGACGAGCTTGGGCAGTGCCTCCACACATGGGAGATGCGGGGATGGGCGCATAGGCATGCTCCACTCATGGAGAAAGAAGGTGGCCCAGCAATTCCACCCCCAAGCAAACCCAATGGAAGGGAAAACAGACATCCATATAAAGACATGTACACAAGTGCTCACAACAGCATGATTCATAGTAGCCAAAAAGTGGAGTGACTCATTGTCCATAAGCCAGCAGGCAGATAAACTAAATGTGGTCTATCCATACAGTGCAATACTATTCAGCCTTAGAAAGGATGTGGTGGCTCACGTCTGTAATCCCAGCACTTTGGGAGGCCGAAGCGGGCAGATCACTTGAGGTCAGGAGTTTGAGACCAGCCTGGCCAGCATGGTGAAACTCCATCTCTACTAAAAATACAAAAAAATTAGCCAGGCATAGTGGCACATACCTGTAGTCCCAGCTACCTGGGAGGCTGAGGCAGGAGAATGGCTTGAACCTGGGAGGCAGAGGTTGCAGTGAGCCAAAATCGTGCCATTGCACTTCAGCCTGCACGACAGAGCAAGACTGTGAAAAAAAAAAAAGAAAGGATGGAAGCATGGGTGCATGCTCCAACATGATGAATCTCATAAAATCATGCTAAGTGACAGATGTCAGTCATGAAAGGACATATAGTGTATGATTCCATGTATATGAAATGTCCATGACTGCTAAATCCATAGAGACAAAATAGATCAGCAGTTGTCAGAGGCTGTGGGGAGAGAAGAATGATGTGTGCAAAGTTTCTTTTTGGAGTGATAAAAATGTCCTGAAATTAGGGGTGATGGGTGATGGTTGCACAATTCCGTGAATACACTGAAAACCCTGGGTTGTACACTTTAAAAGAGTGAGTTTCATGGTAAGTGATGCATATCTCAATAAAGCCGTTATTTTAAAAAATGAAGGTGGAAGAGTTTGCTTATGGTCAAAATCATATGAAGTGATTCTCTTTGATGGCAGCTAGGGGCATGTGTTCTCAGCACGCACTCAAGGCTTGTTCTCCAGTAGCCTTTAATAACTGAGGGCAGGCAGGTGGTCACTCTCAGCCTCCACTGTTGGCCACTCTCTTGTGGGCAGAGAGTGTGTCACAGGAGTGGGACAGGGCACAGTTCGGGGGAGGGTCCCAGTGGCAAACTTTATTTGTCCCGGAATCCCCCCTACAGTTGGGGAAACACCAGGTACCCTATGAGTCCATGTCCCCTGGGCTGCTTTGTTGTAATGTAACATAAAGGCTGATGAGTGACTTCAAGCAAATGTGGAACCCGCAATTCTCTGAACTGCTCTCTCCCCATCTGTGAAGCCAGAGATCCTGTAACATGCTCCTTTGGCTCCTGCCAAGCACCCAGGATGCCGGTTCTGTCTTGGAGCTGACAGTGACTCAAGAGTGGGTGTCAGCCAGGTGTGGGAGAAGGAGAGGTGCGAGTGGGGAGGATGAGAAGGGGGAGGTAGCGAGGGGTAAGGGGTGCGAGGGGAAGGAATGCAGATTGCATCAGCCCCCCAGCACCATCCAGCAGAGTGATTCGGGTTCACTGGCCCCCCTTGGGCGGAAGCAATCCTTCACGGAGGGCCAGGGCTCTCCCCACTCTCCTTGGAGACTGAAGCCACAGTGTGAGCTCCCGGGTGTAACTGGGGCTTATGGATTCTCCATCTGCCATCTCTGCCATGTCAGGAAAGTAGTCACTGGGGATCTCTGGCCGTGTCAGCTGGGCCCGAGCCTGCTGCTCACCCCAGCACTGCCTGAATAGGACCCAGGCAGGCCTTGGAATTGGCGCCGGGAGCGCATTCCCACGGGGAAAAAGACGTTCTGTCCTGGTTTTGGCTGGGCAGCGTGCATCATCCCTTTGAGTCTCGGCAGGGAGGGAGCGAGAACACACTGAGGCCCAAGAATCATCCAGGTATCTATAGAGAGCACAAACACTGAAACAGACACTGAGCTCCATTGTCCGCGCAGAAAAATTCTCACAGCCTCCCCGCGGTTAACTTACTCTTCTTCATGCAGCCTCTTCTGTTGAAAACATTAAACGTACACTCGGGTCTCAAAACAACTGTGAGAATGGAAAGTTTATAGTCACATCTTTTTTCCCTTGCTGATCTTTAGTGTCCACTATGACCCCACAACCAAATCTGGTCATTTTCACCACCTAGAGGCATAGAAAACTTCTCTGTCCATTACAGTTTTCATGATAAACAGGAGTCGGAGGAGACGGGAGGGTAGGGCCCCCTGCAGATCACCTCTTGGGGATGACCAGAAGCCAAACCCAATACCATGTGTAGTGGGTCAGTATAGCAAATAAAGTCCCCTGCAAGGTCCTTCAGGAACATGTCTGCCAAGGCCTTTCAGGGCCACTGTCCTCCCAGCCACACCCACTTAGGCTGGGATCTTCTTCCTCCCTCCCTGCAGCCAGGTGTCTGGAGAGGGTGTGGTTACCCCCTAAACTTGAGCCTTAGACCACAGCTAGTTATACAATTCTTTGAGCATATGTTCTGTAAGAAAGACTTGCCTAGGCTGTGGGTCAACATAAACTTTATTATTTTATTTTATTTTTTTGAGGCAGAGTCTGGCTCTTTTTCCCAGGCTGGAGTGCAGTGGTGTAATTATAGCTCACTACAGCCTCAAACTCCTGGGCTCAAGCAGTCCTCCAGCCTCAGCCTCCTGAGTAGCTGAGACTACAGGCATGTGCCACCAGACCTGGCTAATTAAAAATAAAAGAAAAAAGTTTTGTAGACACTATGTTGCCCAGGCTAGTCTTGAACTCCTGACCTCAAGTGATCCTCACACCTCAGCCTCCCAAAGTGCTGGGATTATAGTCATAAGCCATCGTACCTGGCCCTGATGTGAACTTTAATAAAACTCCAGCACCATGGAACACCCCCCTTCTTGGGTATTAATGGGGGATCGCAGCCCGGAGCCTGACTATGATGGATGTGAGGACCGGAGGCATTTCAGGGAAGGCACACAGCGCGGGGCTGGAGCAGCTCTGGAATGTAGCCAGCTGACAGCCAAGGGCTCCTGGAAATGACTTCCAGGTGCTGTTTATACTGATGCAGTAGTGATAGCAATACGATAAGAAGTGGATTATATGAAGTTCAAAGACTAATCCAAATTCATACTTCAAGACTAATAATATTTATAAAAACAAGAAAATGAATAATGAAGCTAGTTTTGATCCTTTGAGAGCATCTGTTAAAATTAAATGTACTGTTTGGAGGCAGGGAAGGAGGGATCTAGGCCACAGGGCACAGGAGATTGTCCAGCCAGTGAAACCATTCTGTGTGATGTTGTTAAGGTGGATGCAAGACATTATGCGTTTGTCAAAGCTCCTAGTACGTACAACATTAAGAGTGACCCGCCTGCAAACCATGGCTGTTAGTTGATAATAAGGCATCCATATTGGTTCATTAACTTTAGCAGAGGTACCATACTAATTAATGTGAGATGTTAATCACAGGGGAAACGGGAAGGCTGGGGCACAAGAGAGCTCTCTGTACTTTCTGCTCAAATGGTTCTATCATCTATCTATCTATCTGTCTGTCTGTCTATCTATCTATCTATCTATCTATCTCTAATAATTTAAAAAAAGCACTTTGGCCATTTGTTACCTCTGTAGCAATCTAATTTTTTAAGAATGATTGGCTATGTAGAGTGGAATTTTTCATAAGCAGTGGTGCTGGGAAAAGAGAACTGACGCCCACCATTTGGGCAAACTTGGAGCCCCAGTGTTTTATGAGAGTTTTGCTTTGGAGGTGATCATGGGTACTCATATACGACATGAGAATTGGGCTGTGTTTCCCATACATTTACAAATGCCAGCCAATTCCCCTCAGGTGTTCGTGTGAGTGTGCTTGGCAGACCTCCTGTGTTAGATGAGATATGAGTGAAAAAGCACAAATCTTGGGTCCTACCTGAAACTTACCAAAGTGAAGCTAGAGCACAGAAGTCTGCATGTTTAATCAACACCACAGGTAGCTGGCATGCAGGTTGATGTCTAAGAACCACTGAAGTATTATTCCCAGCATATAGCCCCAGTGTTTGCATGTGGTAGATGCTCAATACAGAAATGAATTTATGGAAGAGGCATGGAACCCCAGGCCATTGCACAGGATTCTTAGAAGTGGTTGGGCAACATGAGATTTTCTCATGATCTAAAATTACCTATAGTTTAAGCAAGCAGGTAAGTAGAAAGGTCATGTGTGCTTTATTAAGAACCCATGGGGAAACACACAAAATGATCTAGAACCTTATAATCTGGCTAAATTCATTAGAGGAATCAGGGAAAAATAGTGCTGGGTCACGTCCCCAGCAGTCACTTTTTAAGGAGAATACAGCCCAAGGGCTTAGCTCTCTCCAGAGTGAGATGAGGTTTCGGTTGCAAATCTGAAGTTTTCTCCAATGCTCCAAACCAAGGTAGATTTAGGGACGCTGGAATAATATGCCGGCTGTAAGGTTTCTAAAGATTCTGGGAGCAACCACTGTGATGAAATTTTCATAGAAGAATAACATGAGCTCTACAACAAAGAGCTCAAAGAAGAGTCTAATAACAAGGGAGTGTTGACCACAATTCACTATTTACAACTTAGTTCAGCTGTGCTGGCTTGCCTATTTACTCAACAACTGTTTATTGAGAACCGACTTTGTTTTAGGCATTAAGGGTAAACCTGGGAAAAACAAGACAGACAAGGTGTCTGTTCTCATGGAGCTTATAAGAGGGAGACAGGAAACAAACCACAAAATGAGTTTGATACCTTTGGATGGTAATACCTACTGTGAAGAAAATGAAACATGAATCATGTGGAAAGATGGTCAGGGCAGGCCTCACTGGGAAGGTGATATTTGACGTGAGACCTGAATGACACAAACAGCCATCCCGCTGAAGGTCTAGGGCAAAGGTGTCAGCAAGTGCAAAGGCCCTGGGCATATTCTAGAAATAGAAGAGTTGATATGATGAGAACATAGAGAGGCAGGGAGAGAAGGAGTCTGGTAAAGTGAGGAGTTAGGATTGTGTTTCAAGGGTAACGTAAGCCATTAGAGGTTGTAAGCAGGGGAGTAACACACTCAGATTTAATTTTTTCAGGAACATTCTGCTAACTCTTCAGTTGTGGGGTGAGTTCACAAGTGTTATTTTATTATTATGCTTTGCAAACTATAAAATATAATGTATGTAATGTTAATAATATAGAATATTTTATAATTTAAAAGATCCTCTATCTTCTGTGTAGGGAATAGTTTATAGAGGTATAAGAGAGATGATATCTGCAGGAAAGGTCAGGTAGAGAAACTACGGAGGGCTTGGACTTGGATGGTAGCAATGGGGATGGAGAGAAACAGACAGGTTCACAAGGCATTTTGTAGATAAAATCATAGGACTTGCTGATGAGCTAGATGTGGAGAAATAATGAAAAAATGAGAAGAACCAAAGATGACTCATTTTTGGCTTGAGCAACCTAGTGGATGGTGAAAGTATTTACTGAGATGAGGAAGACTGAGGTAGAAGTAAATTAAGGATCATATTTGGAGGAAAAAAATAAGACTTCTTATTTTGACCATGTCAAGTCTGAGATCCCTATTATTCTTTCAAATAATAGGGTGCTGTGAAGTAGGAACCCGGATATAGAAGTCCTTACTCTTGGATGATATTTAAACTGAATGTGCAATACCAGGTTGACAATTATTTTCTCTCAGTTCATTGAAGCTATTTTTCTATAGCCTTCTGGCTTCTCTTGTTGCTTTTTAAGAAGTCAGTATAACTGTAATTTCTTTGTAGATTGTGCACATTTTTTCTGTGGCTGCTTTTTTTTTTTTTTTTTTTTTTTTTGAGATGGAGTTTAGCTCTTGTTGCCCAGGCTGGAGTGCAGTGGTGCGATCTCTGCTCACTGCTACCTCCACTTTCTGGTTTCAAGTGATTCTCCCGCCTCAGCCTCCCGAGTAGCTGGGATTACAGGTGCACACCACCACGTCCGGCTAATTTTTGTATTTTTAATAGAGATGGGGTTTCATCATGTTGGCCAGGCTGGTCTCAAACTCTTGACCTCATGACCTACCCACCTCAGCCTCCCAACGTGCTGGGATTACAGGGGTGTGCCACTGTGCAAGGCCCTATGGCTGCTTTTATGATCATGTGTGTCTCTTTGGTGTTCTGCAGTTTCACTGTGATGTGTCCAGTGTGGATTTATTTATTTTTATCCTACTTCAGACTTGTGACCTTGGAATCTGAGAATTTACATCTTTCCTCGCTTTTAGAAAATTCTCGTTTACTTGCTCTTTAAATATTCTTCTTTTCTGTTTTCTCCTTCTCAACATATGTGGGACCTTCTTATTCTACCCTCCATGTTTCTTAACCCCTCTTTCCTAATTTTTCTTCTTTTTATCTCTCAGTGCTAATTTTGAAGTAATTTCCTTTTATTTATCTTCCAGTTCAAAATTGGCTCTTCAACTGTACTAATCCATTGTTTAAATTCATTAAAGAGTTTTTCATCTTAATAATTATGTTTTTAATTTCTAGAAGTCCTAGTTGAGTATTTTTCAAATCTACTCTTTTTATTGGAGGTAGAGATTTAGTAATTTGTTTCAGTTTTATTTCCTTTCATTATACTCTTAATCATTTAAAATACATTTATTTTGAAGTCTTCTAGACTCTCAGGCCAAGAAAGCTTTGTCATCTTCCTTTGTGTATTCTTCTAGCCCTGCTTTTCACAGAGGATGCCATTCTTTGAACATTCTCAGGTTTGCCCACAAAAAGGTTCACCATTCTATCTTATTTGGGCCACTACCTCCTAGCCTGTCCTCATACAGATATGAAAACTGAAGGCCCCGATTACCAGAAACCAGGTGAGCAGTAAGAGTGTAAACTGCGAAGCCTTAGGGAAGGCCCAGGACCAGCCTGGGTACTCCAGCATTTAGAGGCCAGGCTCGGGGAGGAGAGGGAGTAAAGAGGCCAGGAAGCAGCGGTAAGTAGGGGGAAAAGAAAACCAGGAGGGTATGGTGTCGCAGAAACAAAGAGAAAGGAGTGGGTCAAGAAAGAGACAGTGGCTGATTGTGCCAACTGCTAACTGTGCCAAGAGGTCAAATAAAATGAGGATGGAGAAGTGATGATGGGATGTGGCAGGAACAAGAGAGGAAGAAGTGGAGGCAGTGATTACAAGCAGTTCTTTTGGGACTATCTCTCAAGGTGGGGGGACAGAGATATAGTAAGGGAGGTAGAAGATTGGGATCAATGGGGAGTTTAAAGACATAGCAGGTGCCATGTACTGGAGCACATTATACATTATTCCCAATAGTCCCAAGCACACAGAGTCTTACAGTGCAGGAGAGGGAGGGGGGTGGGCTTCCTGCAGGTGCAGTTCCTTAAAGAGGTGGCGAGAGGGGCTTTCTGACAGGAGCCAGGATATGCCACACACCCACTGTACAGGAGGATGGAGAGCAGGGGAAACGCAGCACGGTGGACAGACGGGAGGTGGGGAAACAGGGATTCCAGTCAACAGATGTGGGTTCAGGTCAACAGCAGAGAGTAAGGATGGGCAGAGGTCTCAGAGTGTGAGGAAAGAGCAGGGCTGGCATGGGAACTTGTCAAGTGGGCAATGACAGTGGTCTGTAGTGACTCTCAGCAAGAACTTCAAGTTCTCTGTGCTTCCTCCACATTGCCAGGTGTTGGAGAAGCATCGCTGTGTGTGGTCCACTGGCTTTTCTGAGGAATCCTGGCTGTGGGCACTCCAGGGCCTGTTACCATCCAGAAAGTCTCCTGCCTGTGACATGAGAACCAAGGCAGGTGCCTGTGCTGGGGGTGAGGCCGTGGCTGTTCTCTCTTACCCACTTTGGCCCTCTGAGGAAACAGTTACTGTGGTTTAAAGTCCTGGGATCTCACACCCTTAACCATGTCTACCAGCCCACTTCTGACCAAGTGGGTGAATCTAAGATGTAATGGGAAGAAATTTACTTTCTCACAAACTAAACATAAAAGCGTTCATTTAAAAAGGCATCCCTTGATTACATTAAATGGGATTACATTAATTGTTTTAAATGGGTCTGTATATGCAATAAAACCTATGTGGGTTTTTCAAAGAAACACTTCACTGAGATATGATTCACATACCATACAATTCACCTCTTCAAAGTCTGCAGTGTAGTGGTTCTTAGGATATTTGCGGAATTGTGCAACCATAACCACAACCAATTTTAAAGCATTTTTCTCACTCCACAAAGAAACTTCATAACTGCGAGCAGCCACTTCCCATTCTCCCCTTTTCCCCATCCCCCACCGACCTACTTTCTGTCTCAATGGCTGTGCCTATTCCACACATTTCTTATAAATGGAATCATACATTATTTGTCCTTTTGTGATTGGCTTCTTTTCACTTATCATCATGTCTCCAAGCCTCATCCATACTGTATCGAGCACAACTATTTCCTCCCTTTCTATGGCTGAATAATACTCCATTGTACGAGGATGCCACACTGTGTTTGTTTATTCATCAGGTGAGGGGCATTTGAGTTGCTTCTACTTTTAGCTCACAGAGGTTTTAGAAACACTGTAAAATAGAGTTTCTCGCCCCACTGCTTCAGTGGTAAAAGTAGCCCAGACTGGCTGGTTAAAACCTGTGCTGGTGACTTGTGCTGACAGGAGCCTGCCCCTCCCCGAGGCCCAGCCCCAGCAGCGCCTGATGAGCATTGAGATTCCATGAACACTATACACGGAGCTGAGTTGGAACCTGGCCTCTCTTGACACAGTGGTCAATGTGGCATTAAGATTTGACCCAAGAAACTGACAATCAAAGGTGATAAGCCACAATCTAGCTTCGGTTAGATCCACTTTTTTTTTTTTTAAGTCATGACTCGGTGTTGCCTCGTTGTGCAACAATTTTCTAAATCGATAAATTGACCATTGTATGATCAGATAGTGACATGAAAAATATTGATCTTAGTCACAGGTTACAGCTGCATCTTAGAACCAACCTAACACCAGGTGCAGGAAGTAAAACTTATTACTTGACATGAGTGTAGGCCAATCTTCCCCCAAAGGCATGATCCATCATGGGTGGAGCCCAGACCCCTGGTGTTCTAGGCCTTCCGGGATCCCCCGTGGACCCTGAGGGCATTCATGCTCCCATTCCTCCTGTCTCCCTCCTGCTTTTCAGGGACCAAGCAGAGAGGATAGATGGAAAGCAGACAGTGCCTGGAGATCAGCAGCCCTAGGCCCTGACTTTCCCAAACCCTGAGCATTGTAAAGGCAAGGCCATCACCAGTGTCAAGCCTCCTTCCACTAGGAAAAGAAAAACAGAAGTAATTGTGTTCTCTGGAGGGCAGGGCTCTGAGTACAAAGTCTCATGTTTTCAAAGTAGGAAAGTGTCCACAGTTAATATTTGGATGGGCCCACAGTGCCTGTCTTGCTCACTGGAGCCCAGGCCTGTCCCATCACAGACAAAGGGCTCTTGCTGTGCACCTGTGGAGAGGGGAGCTTGGTTGGAGGAAGGCACGGTCAGCCTCTTTGTGCTCTTTTTGTTTGAAACAGAGTTTTGCAAAGGGAGTGGTTCTGGAGGAAAAGCAGAGCGTGGAGTGTCAGAGGGCGGTGTGTTGTGAAATGCATTAGCCCTAGAGACCCTCTGTAACTGGCCTTCCACGTACGCCTGCCGCCAACGACAACACTGAACCATGCAAGCGGGGTGTTTGCCAGCTCACGAGCCTGGGAGACATGGAGCTTCCACTAGCAGAGGAGGTGGAGGGAAAACAGAAAGAAAGAACTGAGTCTAGCAGCCTCCTTGGACGTTTCTTCGAACGCCTCCAGCCCAGCACAACAAACAACCTCAGGGCATCAGGCCCGTGCTGCGCCCCAGCACACCCAGCTTTGCCCTGCTCCAAGAGCCCACAGAGGGCCTCGGGGTCACACTCAAGGAGCGTGCCTGGAATCCAAAGTGCATGCTGTGGTGGGGATATGGACAAGGGCAGAAATAGCACCAAGCAAGGGAGGATGAACTGGGTGAGAGGTGTGAGGAAACTGCCCAAGCGCTGACACCTGGGTAGATTTTTAAATGGCAAGAAATCACATAGACAACATGGGGGCCAGGGAGAGGGTTGAGAGGTGAGGGCCTCACAGTAGAGGGCTTTCCAAGGGAGGAAATAGCACGGGCAACGGCTGAAGCATGCAATGGTGTGGTGTGTGTGTGAGCATGAATGTATGTGAGCAAGTATGTGAGCAAGTGTGTGAGAGCATTTGTGTGTGAGAGCATGTGTGTGAACATGTGTGTGAGCATGTGTGACCATTAATGTGTGATGTGAACATGAGAGCCTGTAAGAATGTGATCATGTGTGTAAACGTGTGTGACACGAGTGTGTGAGCATGTGTGCACATGTGTGATCATGAGTGTATGTGCATGTGTATGAGCATGAATGTGTGTGCATGTGTGTAGCATGTTAGTGTGTATGTGTTTAGCATGTGTGTGTGAGCATGGATGTATGAGCATGTGTGAGAAAGTGTGCATGAGCATGAATATGAATATGTGAGCATGTGTGAGCATGAGTGTGTGACCGTGTGTGAGCATGACTGTTTGCAAATGTGTGTGAGCATGAGTGTGTGTGCATGTGAGCACTGAGTATGTGAGCGTGTGAGCACGTGTGAACATTAGTGAGCATGTGTGTACACGTGTGCATGTGGGAACATCAGTATGTGAGCATGAGTGACCGTGTGTGTGTGCATGAATGAGCATGAGTGTGTATATATGTGTGTGTGTGAGCTTGAGTGCGTGAGCATGTATGTGCATGTGTGAGCATGTGAGTGTGTGAACATGAGTGTGTGCCTGTGTGAGCATGAGTGTGAGCATGTGAATATGTGCATGTGTGAGCATGAGTATGTGATCATGTGAGTGTGTATGAGCATGAGTGTGTTTAGTGATACATTTGTGATTATACAAATGATTTCATGATCTGCAAAGTCCAATGGACATTTTAACACTTCCCCTATCAGCACATCACACTTTATTAAAGTTATTTTGTACAGTCTTCCCACTAGATTATAAAAAGTCATGTCTACCTTGATCAACCTTAAGAAGACTTGAACAAGTGGACATATTCCGCCTTCCTAGGTGAAAAAGCTTGATTTTGCAAAGATAGAAACCTTCCCAGTTAAACTATACTTTTTTAATGTGGTTCCAATAAAAAGTTCAATGGGATGAATGATTTTGTAATGTGATTCTAGATTTAAATTGTAATTGTACTAGTAAATATAAGAATATTCAAGCCAATATTTTAATAAAGAATACTATTTTATCATGTACAGCTGCCATAATGAAACAGATGACGCACGACAGATCAGAATAAGAAATTCAGGAAACAAATTAAGGTACATATCATAATTCGGTTATTATGACGGCATTTAAAACACCAAATACATGGTGGCAAAATAGCTGACTAATCATTTGGGAAACAGCCTGGGCAGGCGCCTCTGCTGCGTTCCCACCGTCAGGCGGCAGAACACGCAGGGAGTCACCGGGGTGCCTACTAGTTCTCCCACTGATCCTGAAGCTGGGTGAGAGCAGAGACCAGCTAGTGTTCAACTCCCTGTCCCCATCATTCCATGTGCCTTCCACAGAGGATGCACTAAATTCTCGCTGAAGGAATAAATGGCATTTGAACCTCTTCATGGTATCGTTTGGGCCTCGGAGGCACACAACTCTTAGATAGCTGCCCTTTATGGCAGGTCACAAGTGATGCATGTCTGAGCTGAGAAGTCGACGTCCCACTTCTCCTTCATTTTCTTGGCCATCCCTGAAGCCATGCTAGGTCTATGCTAGAATCCTAGTGAAACTTTTGCTCACTCAATAAGCACAAATAATAATAATGTAAATATTTACAACCTTCTGACTAAAGTGTCCACATTTTTCCTGGATGTTATGGATCTATTATAGAAGTATATGTATAATATAATCTTAGTGGAAATTTTGAATAGAAGATGTAGAGAAAATAACTAAGAATTTGCACAGTAATTTACATGGTTATTTTTTTCTTACGTGACCAGTGAGCGAACTAAGCCTGATTGATAAAAATGAGATGAGGTGACAGATCTCATGGTTGTAAATGAAAACATTGTGATTCAAACTCAAGTGACTGACTCTGAAATACGTTTCTTTTTCAGCGGAAGCATTGCTGCTAGAATAAATCAGTCATTACTGATCCATGTCTTAGTCTGTTTGGGCTGCTATAACAAGAATACCTTAGACTGGGTAATTTATAAGTAATAGAAATTTATTTCCCACAGTTCTGGAGGCTGGGAGGTCTAACATCAAGGTGCTCACAGATTGGTGTTTAGTGAGGGCTCCTCTCTCCTTCCAATATGCAGGCACCTTCTCACTGTGTCCTCGCATGGCAGAAGAAAAAGGGCAGAAGAAAAGCCCTTTTTAAAGGGAGTTAAACTCATCCATGGGGGCAGAGCCCTTATGACCTAATTACCTTCCAAAAGCTTCATCTCTTAATACCATAACTTTGGGGTTTACATACCAACATATGAATTTTGGAGGGACACCAACTTTCAGGCTGTAATGACCCATGTCAACAAAGGAATAACAGTGTATTTGAAATAATGTAATTATTACTTTCGGTATCCATCAGCCCCACAAATATGATTAGAAGTATAGCCCCACATTAGCACCACAAATATGATTAGAAGTTTGAAACCTCTGGCATTTGGTCTTGTTTTATGTAAGTTTTCTACATGAAAATATTTGAGAAAAATAAGATACATTCTGTCTCTCATAAAACAAATTTTATATGGGTTTAAGAAATCAACCACACATAGCTGAGAAAAAACTAACATTACTAAAATGTTTAAACGATTTGAATTTTTTGTAATTACATAAGTAATATATCTTCAGGTTAGAAAATATTAAAAAGATAAAGATAAGAAAAGATAATAAGTCTCACATAATCCTGCCACCAGTGATAACTGCAGGCAACATTCTGGTACATGTGGAACAAATACATGTTGAATGAAAAAATGAATTTTCTTCCATCTTTGTCCTAAGTATGTATGTGTATGTTGTTTACACATTGAACTCATATCACGTTAAGTTCTCAGGCTTTTCTTTTTCCATGCAACATCATATCTCAAGCGTAGCAATGTGAATTGCAGTCTACAGCTTAGGAAAGTGAGAAATAGAACTTTCCTTTTCTTATCACACTTATTTCTATTTTAGCCCCCATCTGACAAGGCAGCAGCAGATTCATCTGATCAGTTAAAGCATTCTCTGTCCTGATAGTTGTCTATTGCCGAGGGCAGTAGAGGCAGGAAGGTCACTGAGGCCCTAGAGCTTCCTCCCCCAGGGTTCAGGGCCTGTCTGGTGTCACTGTGAGTCCCCTTCTCCCTGAGGTTGTAGGCAAAGACCAGGGCACTGGGGCGCTTGGTCCTCTCAGACCTCTCAGGATTCAGGGCACAGGGTCCTTCTGATGGGATCTGCTGATGTACCCTAGAAAACAATGCTACCGCAATGAGCTTTCTATGAAATCTGTCAGAAGTTCCATTATTTCCTATGGTAGATTCAGAAAGTGGAATTACCAAGTCAAAGGCTTAAGGCTCTTGATACACATATCAAATTGCTCTCCAGAGCACACCAACCTAATTTTCAGCATCAAGTTGTGACTGCAGCTGCTTAGAGCAGCCTAGCAGGCATGATCATTCATGGCAGCCTTTCTTCAGCTCCTCCAATACATTTCGACGAAGACATGATTTTTGTCTGTTCACCTGCAGAGTTCCATTTCTTTCAGTTAGAAGGTCAACTGTTATTGAGAACTCATTAAATGCAAAGCTTGTATAATTGGAAAAACTCCAAGCCTCAGTTTTTCATCTTCAAAAGAGGTATTAGGTTGAAGCACTTACTTAATTGAGGCTTTTGCCATTACTTTTGATGGCAAAAACTGCAATTCCTTTTGCACCAAAATTACTTTTGTGACCACCCCGCCTGCCCCCACCACGCTCACGAGAGAGAGTTCAGGATAGGGCATGTTCTAACTGATGAGATGAATCTGCTGCTGCCCTGTCAGATGAGGGCTAAAGTAGAACAGATCTGGACTCCTCTGCAAAAATGAGGGCAGAGGCCACTGGCAGGGACACAGAGGACCCCCCGATTCTCTCTACAAAACTTGGTCACTGGGAAGGTTGGCGGCTATGGAAACCCCACAAAATCTTCATGCAGAGCATTCTTAAAGTCCACCTAATCCCAAGCCTTCCTGTTACAGAGGAGGAAACAGCAGAGCCATAAGGTGACCATGAGTCAGGGGTGCAGCCTGGCCTGGACCACTCTCCTCCTGGCCCGGATTCTTTCCATCCACCCTCACAGGGGCTTGGCCTCAGCCAGGAGCTCTGGGCTTCCTATTGCCAGTCCTCAGACAGGGGCCCTGGGCTGCCATATTCACCCCCTCATCCCAGGGGTCACACTGCTCAGGCCACCTAGACCACCTCTTAGGACAGCTGGCCCTCATCCCTGTCCCGGGACAGGTAGGAGCGCAGCAGAAGGGCCGCCGGACTCTTCAGAACTTTTCTCTGCACCGGGCTCAGATGTCCGTCCCAGGCAAGAGCAGGATCCTGTCTCCCTGTTCAGGTTGCGACATTTCCTGCTTTCCATTAATTACATCTAAGTGGAGCGTTTAAACAATTAAAAGAATTTCTAGCACCACTCCTGGCTTAACACTGTTTACCTCTTGTTTAACATACTGATTTGGATTTAGGGTGGTTTATTAAAAAGGCTTTTCCTCAGTGACAGTTCCCTTTGGGCCCTGTCACCCAGTTTCTTGACCAGCTCTGAAGGACTCTGGAGGCCTCTGTGTGATGCTAAACAATTTACACACACACACAAACACAAAACATGAGTGCTCCAGTATTTTTAACCTTGGGAAGTTTTGGTTTATGACATTGTGACGTTTTTATTTTGTGCCATTTTTTCTTAATGGGGGAGAAAACAAATACTTCTTGGCTCCCTATAATAGCACAGGCATTATAACAAGTACTTTCTGAGCCTTCTGTCCTTTATTCCTTGCAACCATCCTTATTGTACCCATTTTACTCACAAGGAAACCAAGTCATAAGGCCAATAAACAGCAAAAACACGGCTGAAGTCCAGATCCAACTCCAGGCCTGCATCCTTACCTCTGTGTGGCATTGCAGCTTCTAGGGTTGTTATCTTCGGGCCTTTGGCCCCCGCCTTTTTTTTTTTGGAGAGAGTGTAACGTTCTGTTACCCAGGCTGGAGTGCAGTGGCACCATCTCAGCTCACTGCAACCTCTGCCTCCTGGGTTCAAGTGATTCTCGTGCCTCAGCCTCTCCAGTTGTGTCCAGGGTTAGTTCCTGCCAGTGGGTTCGTGGAGGGTTCCTGGCCTCGCTGACTTCAAAATGGAGCCACGGACCTTCCCGGTGAGTGTTACAGTGCTTAAAGATGGCACGGAACCAAAGAGCCAGCTGGAGCAAGATTTATTGTAAAGAGCAAAAGAACAAACGTCACACAGCGGAGAAGGGGACCTGAGCGGGTTGTCACTGCTGGCTGGGGTGGCCAGCTTTTATTCCTTTATTTGTCCCCTCCCATGTCCTGTTTCTGTCCTATCAGAATGCCCTTTTCCCAATCCCCCACGAGTGGTTACTTTTAGAGTCCCACTGATTGGTCCATTTTACAGAGTGCTGATTGGTCCATTTTACAGAGTGCTGTTTGGGCCATTTTAAAGAGTGCTGATTGGTGCATTTTACAGACCGCTTGCTAGCTACAGAGCACTGATTGGTGCATTTTTACAGAGTGCTTATTGGTGCATTTTACAAACCTCTTGCTAGCTACAGAGCGCTGACTGGTGTGTTTTACAATCCTCTTGTAAGACAGAAAAGTTCTCCAAGTCCCCTCTCGACCCAGGAAGTCCAGCTGGCTTCACCTCTCACAGTGGCTGGGAATACAGCTGTGCGCCACCATGCCTAGCTAATTTTTGTATTTTTAGTAGAGATGGGGTTTCACCACGTTGTCCTGGCTGGTCTCAAACTCCTGGCCTCATGCAATCCACCCACCTTGGCCTCCCAGAATGCTAGGATTACAGGTGGGAGCCACTGCACCTGACCAGCATTTGCACATTTTAGAGGGTGACTGTTCTGGGTGACAAATCACTCCCCAGGGACCACAGCATCAGTTTCACATGTAAAGTGGCCGGGGAAATGGAACTTAGCCCATTTAATAGACATTTGCTCACAAGTTGCCTGTTTCACCAGGATGGCTGCATGAAGGAACATGGAGTTAGGAGGTTGCTGGGTTAGATCAGCTAATGCTTCTAAATGGAAACAAGTTTCAATGGGGTGAGAGTCATGGGGTGGTGACATGGACTAAACTAAGCCCTTCCTGGGGGCCAGGTTACCATGAATGTTTGCCAGTGACAGCACATCCACGACCTCGGCCAGGATGGAGGCCCACAGGGAGAGTGAGGAGGACGGACAGGGCGAGGCGTGAAGGCTGACCTCAGAAATGCACTGGATGAGCCGTGGCTCCTTTTGCTGGGAAAGAAAACACAAGCGAGTTAAGTAACCTAAATTATATGTCTAGCCCTACAAATGACCTAAGGCAGATAATTCTACCTGTTATGACTCAAATCCTCTCTCTACAAAATGGGAGAAATAATATTGCACTAAGTAATCTTCCTAGAGATGCTAGGAGAACTTCCAGAGAGATTTATTTCTCAACCCATAAACTAATGTTGGTTACACCCAACATACAGTTCTTTAATTTCTTATTTCTTGTGTCCCAGGATCACAGGAAAAAAAGCTTTCTGACATAAAACACAGAAATTGCACAGAGCTACCCAAGTTCATTCTAAAATTAAGTTTTGCCTGATCCAAGAACCCTTCTTGGTTATAGGTTCATAAAATGAAAAGGATTTAGAGATGACTCAGTCCAGCAATGCAAGTGTCTAGAGGGTAACCTTCCACCCCCGGGGCCAGTTAGCAGGTGGACAGCATTATTCCCTCCAGGTCTCATCCTTGGAGGCTGAGCACAGCCCACAGTGCTCCTCCACCAGCCATGCCAGCTGACTGCAGCTGGCATTTGAGTGGAACCCTACTGGCTGTCCCTGACCTGGTCCAACCCTTTCATTTATAGGCAAACCTCCAGAAGCCCACAGAGTTTCAATGAAGAAATAGGGATTGTACAACTAGTGGGAGGCCACTGATAGAATCTAGATCTTATGACTTCCAGCTTCATATCCATATCCTAATACAGCAAGATTCCCTCTCTACAAAATGAATTTTAAAAGAATCAGCCAGGCGTGGCAGCATGCACCCGTAGTCCTAGCTACTTGGGAAACTGAGGCAGGAGGATCACTTGAGCCCAGGAGGTCAAGGCTGCAGTGAGCTCTGATCATGGCACTGCACTCCAGCCTGCATGACAAAGCAAGTCCCCATCTCATAAATAAATAAATATAAAGCTAACAAGACCCAGCTGTACTAAATTCCTCATTTTATTTATTTACTCAATAAATATTATTGAGCACCTGCTGTGTACCCAGCATTATGCCCAGATAAGTGACTGCCCCTACTTCACTCAGCTAGAAAGGAATTTCATAAAACATAGTCCTTTCACTCTGTAGGAGCTGGAGCAAAATTCAAGTATAAGTAAATATATATATAAGTATAATACATATAAATATAAGAATATATTATTTTATGATATATAATATAAATACAATTTATATATATAAATTATACTATTATAAATATTATTATAAATATAATTTATATATACAAATTATGTTATAAATATTATAAATATAATTTGTATATAAAATTATATTGTTATAAATATATATATATATAATTATGACATCACTTAGTCCAAGGACTTAGAAATATCTCTGAAAAAGAAGTTTACAAAGTTAATAATAATAGTGAGTGATGCTATCCACCAGGAGCAGACTTGTTTGTGTATTATCTTCAATTTCCTCTTTGGTCTTCCCAGGCATTGTGCTATAGGAACCTATAGTAGAATGTGGCTATATAGGCCGGGCGCGGTGGCTCATGCCTGTAATCCCAGCACTTTGGGAGGCCGAGGCGGGCGGATCACGAGGTCAGGAGATCGAGACCATCCCGGCTAAAACGGTGAAACCCCGTCTCTACTAAAAAAAAATACAAAAAATTAGCCGGGCGTAGTGGCGGGCGCCTGTAGTCCCAGCTACTCGGGAGGCTGAGGCAGGAGAATGGCGTGAACCCGGGAGGCGGAGCTTGCAGTGAGCCGAGATCCCGCCACTGCACTCCAGCCTGGGCGACAGAGCGAGACTCCATCTCAAAAAAAAAAAAAAAAAAAGAATGTGGCTATATAGTTTCAATGGGAAAACCATCACGGAAGGAAATTGAGCACATTGCTCCAAGTCTTATATCAAGGTTTTGGATAGAAGAAAAGATCTAATCATCATAGCTTTTGGTTACATTTAAATTATCAACCAGCTTCCCCTGGTTGTGTTACAGGGAAAACAGCACCAGGCTGTGGGTGGGAAGACCGGGGTTCTGGTTTGCTACTCCCCAGGCAGCTTGTAATACCAAATGAATCACTCCAATATTGCTGAGTCTCTCTCCTTGTTTTAAAATGCGAATGACTACGTGCCCTGCCTGCCTGGCAAGGCTGTTATTAGGATTGATAATAATAATAACAACTCCAAGACTATTGTGCTTTGCAACATTTGCAACGCTCTTTCACAACAACCCATTTATAATTACTCCAATTAGAGATGAGAACCCATGGCTCCGAGGAGTGATGCAACCTGCTGGAGGTGCCCAGCCAGAAAGTGCTGGTGTGGGGCAGAGCCTCCCCCTGCGGGAGGCGTTCCCTCCGTTTCCTGGTGCTGCGCTGCTGAGGCGGGTTGTGGGTGGCTCCTGTGCCTTCCACAGATGCCCGGGTGGGGATCATGGGTGCACGGGGCTGCTCTCACTCTCTAGGCAACTCCCAGGAACTTGGAAATATCTGCGTGGCTCTTGGCAGGTTTTCTGGGTGCGGAAATTAGGACAGGATGTTTTCAGTGAGAGGTCTCTGCTGCTCTTACAGGGTCGGCCTCTTCTGGCTCTGCCTGCTTTACTGCTCTACTGTGTTGGTCACTGTCTCCTGTGTGTGTCCTTCATTGTTTTCCTCCAAAAAGCACAGCCCTGACATACACACACAAACACATACACAAACATCACCATTTCCCTCACCCTCTGAGTGTCTGCACCCCAAGCAGTGACTCCATTCTTGCCTGGACGCTCCTCTCCTGTGTGTACAGAAGTCCCGGGGCACACACCACCTCCCAGGGGCTGGAGGGCAGGTGGCTGCCACAGCCGCCCATAGGGCGTCTTCTCCATGCTCGGCTCCATCAGCGGTAGTATGACCCTGAATGCAGCGGCTTGCAAACTTCTAAACACATGTTTATGTGAATGTAAAACAAAAAGCAATACTCACCCTTATTGCTTGTGGTGTACTTTGAGATTTCCTGGCTGATTCTATTTCATGTAAATGAAATGCTGGTTGCAACCTAATACATTGATTATTTGACCCTCCAATGAGTGAAGGCCCACAGCTGGGGAAACACTATGAAGTGGCATTTTTCAAAGGATGATCTCACCTTCTGTCCACCATAGGCAAACCCCACTGTCCAGGAAGGGAGACTTGCCATGTTCATACATCCCAGGCTGTTCTCTCCACTGTCCCCCGCCACCAAGCCCAGGCTCCTACAATCTCCCTTCACCAAGGTGTGGTCCTGTGTACTCCATCTTCCACTGGCCCAGAATGGTTTTCTGAAAATAGAAACCTGCCCCTTTCACATCTTTCTTAAAATCCTTCCATGACTGACTTCCCCAAGTGCCATCACCTCAGGGAGGAAGTCTGGGCTCTCGAGATGGCTGAGGCCCTCTGTGCCTGCAATCTAACCTCCCCGCCATTTCTACACCAACACTGTCCCCACCCACACTGTCCCCTTTGCATTCTGCCTACACACAGTGCTATAGGCACTCCACAGTGCGTGCCACCTCCTGTCCCTCTGACTGTTTCTGGGGCTGTCTCTGTTCTTCCCCAGGCTGGCACTGACCCAGTGCAGCACTTAGGCAGGAGGGCACTTCCTCCAGGAAGCAGACGTAGGCCCTTCAGGCTGGCCAGTCCCCTGTAGTGCATGATCCCATGGTACCTGTGTGAGCCCCTGCTCTGGCACTGCCCCTCCCAGACAAGTGTGTAGGTGGGAGGAGGGGCGGGACCCTGGGTAGGACAGGGGCGGCCACTGCTTGCTCATGGCTGCAGCGTGTTGCTCAAGGAAGTGATTAACAGACAGCATCTTGGGGGAGAAAATAAAATCAAAGCCGGAAAGTCTGTCCAACTGAGTCATCCACAGAGCAGGGCTGGCTAGGAGGGAGAGTCCAGGTACAAGGCAAGCTATGGGCCCCAGGGAAGTCCAGTGAACAAAGAAGCTGAACGCAGAGCCTAGACTCTGGCTACTCAAAGTGTGGTCCACCGAGCAGCACCAGCCAGAGCTTGTTGCAGATGCCCCAGCCCAGATCAGAGAAGCTCTAGGCCTGGGGAAGTTCCCGAGCTGGAGAGAGCAGCTGCCCCCCAGTTGCCCACAGGGAGTGTTCACCCTGAGCACTCACGGGGCTGTGCTGAAGTTTTCTTCTTTCCTTTTTTTTTTATTTTATTTTATTTTTTTTTTTTGAGACGGAGTCTTGCTCTGTCACCCAGGCTGGAGTGCAGTGGCGTGATCTCGGCTCACTGCAGCCTCTGACTCCTGGGTTCCAGTGATTCTCCTGCCTCAGCCTCCCTGGTAGCCGGGATTACAGGCGTGAGCCACCACACCTGGCTAAGTTTTGTATTTTTTTTAGTAGAGACGGGGTTTCACAATGTTGGCCAGGCTAGTCTTGAACTCCTGACCTCAGGTGATCCACCCACCTCGGCCTCCCAAAATGCTGGGATTACAGGTGTGAGCCATTGCACCAGGCCCACTTTAATCGTTTTTTAAGTGTACATTTCACTGGCATTAAATACATTTACATTGTTATTCAGCCATCATCACCATCCATCTCCAGAACCCTTTTCATCTTGCAAAACTGAAGCTCTACTCATTAAACAATAACTCTCCATTCCCCTACCTCCCAGACTCTGGGAACAACTGTTCTCCTTTCTCTGTGACCACTTTCTACTACATTCCATGCATCCACTGCATTTAACACATATGCATATGTATCTATGACTGCATTCTACTTCCTTTCTCTTTTGACTGCTCTAGGAGCCTCATAGCAGAGGAATCATACAATATTTGTTCTTTTGTGACTCGCTTATTCAGTATAATGACATTATTTAGTATAATGTCTTCAAGGTGCAGCAGTGCTGTCACCTGTCATAATTTCCTTCCTTTTTAAAGCTGAACACTACTCCACTGTAGATATATACCACATTTTGTTCATCTAGTCATTGGTTGGACAGTTGGGTTACTTCCACTTCTTGGCTGTTGTGAATAGTGCTGCTATCTATGAACATGGGTGTACAAATATCTGTTTAAGTTCCTGCTTTCACTTCTGCCCTAGATGTTAGAAAGGCAGCGTGCATTACCTAAGATACTAAAAGATGAGACATTACAAAGTGGCGTAAAAATACCAAGACACATGGTTCCTGCTGCAATTGCAATTTCTATTACTGAGGATAAAAAGGAGAGTGCATCTGAAGAACTAAACAGAACTATGCAAAACGCTCTCGGGTGAAGTCAGATTTTAAAGGTTGTGGTGATGTGAAGTTGTAAGAATAGATCAAATAGGCAAAATCTAAAAGTATGGCTATAAATACAAGTCATCAGGCAATACAAGGGACAATAAAGAGAAAAGTCTACTGCTTGTGGCTGGGAGCAGGATACTAATAGAAAACAAATATAAAGTTACACTCATTATCTTCTAACTTGAATCTGTCATTTTTGTTAAGGAGAAACATTTTTAGACTAAAAAGAATAGAAAAAACATAAATAAGAAAAAATGAAATTTTATGTCAGTAAAGTGATTAGTAGAGATTTCACAAAATCTCAGAAGAAAAAGGAGAGCTCAGGGATTCTTAGAAAACTATGCAGTGTATCAGCTGAGTGCTTCCTACCTTCCCATTCCCTCAACTGGAGAGAACACAAAAGGCCTAAAAGCCTGGCCTTCTAGATCAGAAGGACTTAAAGGCACCCGGAGGAGAGTAAGGAAGCCACTCACACTGTGTCAGGGTGCAGGTGTGAATTAGACAGGAAGGACCAACAGATCAGCCCTGCAAACTCATTTCGGCAAACAAGAAAAAAGAAGGGGAGCAGAGTGAAGGAAGAGACCAGAAATTAACCCGAGAGAAAACATAACTTGAGAAGTAAATTCCTTACCATTGCTTCACTCTGAAGAAAATCACTTAATAAGAATAGGAAGTCAACAAAATAGTCATAAGTGAAAACAATATACACAGTAAGAAAAAGAGAGACTGCAGACATAGGCAACAAACTGGGGATCAAAACCTCACTGTTAATTAACAAACAGGAAAGCAAAGGACAGAACTAGACACTGACGGAAACTGAACTGCCTGCAACGTGGAGAGGTCAGGCATGATCCTAGAGAAAACCACTGAAAAAGACAAGAAAATTAAACTAGAATGACGACATAACCGATACTGGTGACAAAGACAATCCACATAGGGATAGAGATAGAGAACTCACAGATGGAACTGAGGAGCCATTCAGAGATACAGCACAAGAGAATTTTCCTGAAAAGGAAGAAGAACAGCATCTTTGTATCAAAAGAACATGCCATATTTTAGGAAATTTTGAATCAGAAGCCTCAAGCAATAGTTAAGCTATTGAATTTCAAGGATAAAGAACAAATTCTCAGCTGAGTGTGGTGCCTGATGCCTGTAATCCCAGCACTTTGGGAAGCCAAGGCAGGTGGATCTCTTGAGGCCAGGAGTTTGAGACCAGCTTGGCCAACATGGTGAAACCCTGTCTCTACCAAAAATACAAAAAGTAGCTGGTCATGGGGGCTCATGCCTGTAATCTCAGCTACTCGGGAGGCTGAGGCAGGAGAATCACTTGAACCTGGGATGCGGGGGTTGCAGTGAGCCAAGATCACACCATTGTACTCCACTCTGGGCAACAGAGTGAGACTCCCTCTCAAAAATAAATACATAAAATAATAAAGAACAAAAGAACAAATGCTCAAACAAATTCTCAAGACACCAGGCAGAAAAACCAAAACATCTACAAGGGCAATAAATAAATAAATAAATCTGATCTCCAGTGTCCCTACAGCAGCACTCAGTGCTGGAAGGCAATGGAGCAGTGCCGGGGGGGAGTTCTAAGGAAGCTCAGCCCGGGGCACTACAGCAGTCACGAGGGTGGGAAGAAAGGCACCAAGGCAGCCATCTGCAGACACGTCAGGGGGCAGGCACTACGATTAAAGGCTGCCGTGAGCTAATACAGAACACTGTGGTCACCAATAAATATGAACGTCACAAACCTGCACTGAGTAAAATAAGAGTATGATTAACAAAAATAAGGAGCCACAGGCAGGAGACAAGGCAGAAAGACGAAAGGACTCGATGTCGCCTTTAAAAGCCAAGAGTCAACACACGCTGTCAGACATGCAAATAGACTTTGAGAAACCAACAGTAATGACCCTAACCTATCTGAATGTTTGTCGCGATTTCTTTGTTTAAACCGAGAGTGATTTTTAGGAAATCGTATCTCTTGCCACAGAGGAAGTTTTATTTGAGTTTCAAAAATGCCTTCAGTTTAATTTTACTTTATTAAATTCAAGGAAAATACATTTGCTACTATATAATAATTATGATGTTTCAGCCTGATTACTTTTTTTTTTTTTTGAGACGGAATCTCGCTCTGTCGCCCAGGCTGGAGTGCAGTGGCGCGATCTCCGCTCACTGCAACCTCCGCCTCCCCGGTCGATTCTCCTGCCTCAGCCTCCTGAGTAGCTGGGATTACAGGTGCACACCACCAGGCCCGGCTAATTTTTGTATTTTTTTTTTTTTAGTAGAGATGGGGTTTCACCATGTTGGTCAGGCTTGTCTCGAACTCCTCCTGACCTTGTGATCTGCCCGCCTCGGCCTCCCAAAGTGCTGGGATTACAGGGGTGAGCCACCTAGCCTGGCCGATTACATTTTTATGGAAGTGTTTCTAAGTGCCTTCTATTTTTATGCACAGGGAGCTGTCTGAGACCATGTTCACCTAATGGTAACAATAGCAATTTCTGAGTGTGGAATTGGTGTGATTAAAAACTGTTACCTTTCTACTTACTACATTTTTTTGTACTTGATATTATTATACATATATCACTTTTATAAAAAGCAATGTAGTGATTTTTCTTACAAAAAAAAAAAAAAAAACCTGGAAGCCAAATATGCCAAGATGTTAATAGTGGTTAAATCTGGTGGGAATATGGAATATTAGGGGCTTTATCTTTTTTCCTTTATCATTAAAAAAGGAGTTTTAAGAAGATTCTAGTAGAGTTCATAGCTGCTCTAAAACAGTTAAAATCTCCTGACTTTGACAAATTTCAGCCTGAGGAGTCACAGGCTGGAATATCTAGTTGAGATAACTGAACCGATATGAATTTTTGAAGAAAGGTCACAGAAAATAAGAAAGGGCTGAAAAGGCCAGATTTTGAAAAACATGGATCTAATTTTCAAAGAGGGAGAAAAAGGACTTTTTAAGCCATACTCTACATACTCTATGAGTTGACATTCATCCTGGAAAGATTCTGTAATGGATTTTTAATGAGATGTTTTGCAAATACACTTTAAATTAAAAAAAAAGTCATGCCGATCTAAACCAGTTTTTACTTTTGATAGGCTTGCTAGAAAAATCAGAGAAATGTGTAGATGCTCTTCATCGGGACTTCAACCTGGTGCCCTTGAGCACCATGCAGGCCAGGGAATAATGCAGACAGGGGGGTTAATGACTGCCTAAAAAGACCGTGTTCACAGGACCATGGGTAGAGGGCTGTTGTCATTAGGAAGGGGACTGGATTGGTGCCCTCTGAGGCCCTCAGCTCGTTCCTGTTCAGTTTGGGCAACAGTGGTGGCAGTGGGAGGTGGGCGTGTGGGACAGTAGGGGTAAGAGCCTGGGATGTTGCAGGCACCAGGATAGTCACTGTAGGCACGTTGTTTACTCGCTCATTGTGATGAAGCTACACAGAGGGTGTTGTGCTCCTTTGTTACAGATTAGAAAATGGCAGCGAGTTGCAGGTCAAAAAAGAGATGAAGGTGAGATCAGGATGTCAACACAGGAAGGCAGAATGTGCCCTCAGCAGGCCCCACAGGGGTGAGTGTGGAGACCCCTGTCCCTGTTCCAGAGTGGTGTGAGTCAGGGGTATGTGTGCAGTTAAACATACGAGATGCAGTGTGTGTACCGGGCGCCAGTTATTGTGTCCACTGGGGGACGTTCCTTTCCAGTGACCAGATGCTCACGACTCCCATCAGCACTCCTGAGAGGTCAGTGTGTTGCTCCGTTCTGACGCCTGGCTGATTGGTGGCCCCTGTATGGCAGATGCACCTGACAATGAGAACTCAAGCATACCCTGAGAATGACTCCATGGTCTAAGAAGAGTGTCTGTTCAGAGTTCTCAGCTAAGCAGTCCAGGAGTGGCCAACTAGGAGGTCCATTTCTTACCTATGAGGAACATCTGAGCCCCTGGCCCATCCTGTGGCAGGTTGCTGGGGGAGGGTGCTAAGTGAAAATGCTACATGAACTGCATGCCTTTTATGAGAGGTAATGGTTCCCCTGTCAAGCCTGCTGCCACTGGACCATCCCTGAATGTAAGTTCCCCCAGTAAACACTGTGTCTCATTTGCTGGCTCTGGGTCTCTTCTTGGGCCTCTTGAACATGGTGCTATCCTTATTGAAGTCAATAGGAGCCTAGTATGACAGCTCCTATTAGGGTGAGGGCTATTTTATTCAGGCCACAGTGAGGCCTGTTCCAGAAGGTTCTGTTGTCTAGGATACAGTGTTTCTCTCCCTAAAATAGATAGCTTCTGGCTTCCTTTTTCTGTGGTCTGCACTGAACCATCTGTTCCAGGCACACATTCACTCTCTGCACAGGTTACTCTCAAGTTGCTTAGGTTTTGCTTCCTAAATTACAATCCCACTGTAGCGCCTCCTTCAGACTCCTGGGGCCAACCCCAGGGGGTGTGTGTTTCCTCTCATTTAGCTCTTCAAGAACAGCTTACATCTAAACAACACTCCATGTATTACAAGAAGGTCGCAGGGTTCGGTACCATGGTTGCCCAAGGTTGCACAGCTCGTAAGTGTCACACCCAGAATTTGAATCCAAGTTAATATGACCTTAAACTATGTTCTTTCCTCTAGGTAATGCTGCATAGACAACAGAGCCGAAAGTGTGGAAGATATACTGAGTACCAAAACTGAATTTTAGAAAATACAAAGATAAATTAGAACATTGTGCTCAGTCTATCAGGATGCAATTTATTAAAGACAAAATGTAAGTTCTTAGGTTTAAGTTCACAAAACAAGCTGTGCAAGTATGGAGCACAGCATGTCAGAGGAAAACCTTTCATTTGTTTTCAGTAAACTCCATTTGAATCAAGACAATGACTGTGCCCCACACTGTCTCCCCCTGACCTCTGTGTGTTCAGGCAGACAGGATGATGGAGGGACTGGCTCTTTCTGATGTCTGAGGAATCTTGGAAGTCCTGGGAACATTTAGCCTGGAGAAGAGGAGAATTCACAGAATGCTGGCTGCTGTCACAAGTCTGAAGAGCTGTCAGCAAGAGGAGGGACTGACATCAGGACCCGCAGAGGAAGAGACCTGCTTCCACCCAGTCTAACAAACAACCTCCTGGAGAAACAACCACGCAGGTGGTCAGGAGCGCAGGCTCCAAAGTGAGACAGACCTGGGCTTAAATGCCCCCTCCACCTCCTAACCTCTGAATATGAGTCCCTCCTGCGTGTGAAAGATGAGGATGCAGCAGCTCCCTCAGAATTCCCAAAGCATTCGATGAGAGGTGCACTACAGGGGCTCAGAAATGCCAGACAAAGTCAGTGCTAGACTGTCAGCTGCTGTGAGATTATGATCTCTCTTCGGCAGAGCTGCCCAGGAAGCAGTGCCTGTTTCCAGAAGAGCCTTCCAAAGTTGAGGCTCTCCATTTCCAGTTAAGCTAATTTAGGAAGATTGCACAAGTGGAAACACCACATGCGACTAACTGCATGATTAATAAGAACATGTTGACTTAAGTTCTTGATTGCCAAATGGATTTTTGCCTTATAAATATTTTTGAATGGATTATCACTGAAATCTTGGGGTTCAGTCAGAAGACTACTGTCTAAATTTTTTCTGTATTTCTTTTGGGGTCGTGATTTGATCCAGGGTGTGGCCAAATCTACATCGTTGAATAGTTCTACGAAGCTCCCCGGGTGTTACTGGGGATGTTGACTCAACATTTTCATGGTTTTCAGTTTTTATGGTCATTCGTGTAAAATGGGGCTCAAGTGTTTGTCTTTTCCACTTGAAAAACTCATCATTGGTTTGTGGTAACTAAGTCATTTATTCTTCATAGAATGATGCTGAGAAAGAAAAAACTGTGACAACAGTCATGGATATTAATGAATGAGCATGAACTTAGCCCATTTGCATTCTGAAGTATGGAGCGTGGGAGAAACAGTGACTTGCTGCTCCGCAGGGGACCGTTAGCTTACTCTCCGACGTGTTTTTGCTGTTGTTGTTTCTTTCTTCGTTTTTAACATTTTTTGGTTTAGTACTTTATAATGCATATTTTGAATTAAAAAATGAATTACAGAGTGGCTATGTCAGAAGAACTGAGGGTCTTTGGACTTTTTTTTTTTTTTAATAATTGCAGACTCAACTGTGAAATTGCTGCTTACATTTCCTTCAGAAATAATGAACTCCTGTGACAGTGACTTTGAATGTGTCTTTAACACACTTGACTTAATGAGATCCCTTTTCTGGAGGATATAAAATGTTCCCCAGAGATGTAATGTCACCACTAGGGGATAATCTAATGTCCTAAAAGGGCTAATTATTTCCCCTAAAACATTACAACAAACTCATTACTGTAAGGACAACCCTATGAACTCTTTAAAAGATGATGAAAATGACAGCACCGAGAAGGGAGATGGTCCTACTCTTTGGGGTAATAAACGACATTCAGAGTTAGAATCCTTTGACAATCAAATATTTTTTAAAACTTTTTTAAAATTATACTTTAAGTTCTAGGATACATGTGCAGAATGTGCAGGTTTGTTACATAGGTATACATGTGCCATGATGGTGTGCTGCACCCATCAACCCATCATCTCGGTTTTAAGCCCTGAATGCATTAGGTATTTCTTCTAATGCTGTCCCTCCCCTTGCTCCCCACCCCCTGACAAGCCCCAGTGTGTGATGTTCCCCTCCCTGGGTCCACGTATTCTCATTGTTCAACTCCCACTTATGAGTGAAAACATGCGGTGTTTGGTTTTCTGTTCCTGTGTTAGTTTGCTAAGAATGATGGTTGCCAGCTTCATCCGTGTCCCAGTAAAGGACATGAACTCATTCATTTTTATGGCTGCATAGTATTCCATGGTGTGTCTGTGCCACATTTTCTTTAACCAGTCTATCATTGATGGGCATTGGGTTGGTTCCAAGTCTTTGCTATTGTAAATAGTGCTGCAATAAGCAAGCATGTGCATGTGTCTTTATGGTAGAATTATTTATAATCATTTGGGTATATACCCAGTAATGGGATTGCTGGGTCAAATGGTATTTCTGGTTCTAGATCCTTGAGGAATCACCATAATGTTTCCACAATGGTTGAACTAATTTGCACTCCCACCAACAGTGTAAAAGCGTTCCTATTTCTCCACATCCTCTCCAGCATCTGTTGTTTCCTGACTTTTTAATGACTGCCATTCTAACTGCCGTGAGATGGTATCTTATTGTGGTTTTGATTTGTATTTCTCTGATGACCAGTGATGATGAGCTGCTTTTCATATGTTTGTTGGCCACATAAATGTCTTCTTTTGAGAAGTGTCTGTTCATATCCTTTGCCCAATTTTTGATGGGGTTGTTTGTTTTCTTCTTGTAAATTTGTTTAAGTTCCTTGTGGATTCTGGATATTAGCCCTTTGTCAGATGGATAGATTGCAAAAATTTTCTCCCATTCTGTAAGTTGCCTGTTCACTCTGATGATAGTTTCTTTGCTGTGCAGAAACTCATTAGTTTAATTAGATCCCATTTGTCAATTTTGGCTTTTGTTGCAATTGCTTTTGGTGTTTCAGTCTTGAGGTCTTTGCCCATGCCTATGTCCTGAATGGTATTGCCTAGGTTTTCTTCTAAGGCTTTTATGGTTTTAGGTCTTAAGTTTAAGTCTTTAATCCATCTTGAGTTAATTTTTGTATAAGGTGTAAGGAAGGGGTCCAGTTTCAGTTTTTGGCATATGGCTAGTCAGTTTTCCCAGCACCATTTATTAAATAGGGAATCCTTTTCCTATTCCTTGTTTTTGTCAGGTTTGTCAAAGATCAGGTGGTTGTAGATGTGTGGTGTTATTTCTGAGGCCTCTGTTCCGTTCCATTGGTCTATATATTTGTTTCAGTGCCAGTACCACATTGTTTTGATTATATAGTTTGAAGTCTGATAGCATGATCTTTGTTCTTTTTGCTTAGGATTGTCTTGGCTATATGGGCTTGTTTTTGGTGTCATACGAAATTTAAAGTAGTTTTTTCTAATTCTGCGAAGAAAGTCAATGATAGCTTGTTGGGAATAGCATTGAATCTATAAATTACTTTAGGCAGTATGGCCATTTTCACAATATTGATTCTTCCTATCCATGAGCATGGGATGTTTTTCCATTTCCGTGTATCCTCTCTTATTTCCTTGAGCAGTGGTTTGTAGTTCTTGAAGAGGTCTTTCACATCCCTTGTAAGTTGGATTCCTAGGTATTTTATTCTCTTTGTAACAATTTTGAATGGGGGTTCACTCATGATTTGGCTCTCTGTTTGTCTATTATTGGTGTATAGAAATACTTGTGATTTTTCACATTGATTTTGTATCCTGAGAATTTGCTGAAGTTGCTTATCAGTTTAAGGAGTTTTTTGGCTGAGACGATGGGGTTTTCTAAATATACAATCATGTCATCTGCAAAGAGAGACAATTTGACTTCCTCTCTTCCTATTTGAATACCTTTCTTTCTTTCTTTTGCCTGATTGCCCTGGTCAGTACTTCTAAATACTATGTTGAATAGGAGTGGTAAGAGAGGGCATCCTTGTCTTGTGCTGGTTTTCAAAGGGAATGCTTCCAGCTTTTGCCCATTCAGTATAATATTGGCTATAGGTTTGTCATAAATAGCTCTGGTTTATTGAGTGTTTTTAGCATGAAGGGTGTTGAATTTTATCGAAGGCCTTTTCTGCATCTATTGAGATAATCATGTGGTTTTTGTCATTGGTTCTGTTTATGTGATGGATTACGTTTATTGATCTGCATATGTTGAACCAGCCTTGCATCCCAGGGATGAAGCCTACTTGATCGTGCTGGATAAGCTTTTTGGTGTGCTGCTGGATTCGGTTTGCCAGTATTTTATTGAGAATTTTCACATCGATATTCATCAGGGATAGTGGCCTGAAATTTTCTTTCTTTGTGTGTCTCTGCCAGGTTTTGGTATCAGGATGATGCTGTCCTCATAAAATGAGTTAGGGAGGAGTCCCTCTTTTTCTATTGTTTGAAATAGTTTCCCAAGGAATTGTACCAGCTCCTCTTTGTACCTCTGGTAGAATTCGGCTGTGAATCCATCTGGTCCTGGGCTTTTTTTTGGTTGGTAGGCTATTAATTACTGCCTCAATTTCAGAACTTGTTATTGGTCTATTCAGGGATTCGACTTCTTCCTGGATTCGACTTCTTCCTGGTTTAGTCTTGGGAGGGTGTACGTGTCCAGGAATTTATCCATTTCATCTAGATTTTCTGGTTTATTTGCATAGAGGTGTTTATAGTATTCTCTGATGGTAGTTTGTATTTCTGTGGGATCAGTGGTGACATCCACTTTATCATTTTTTGTTGTGTCTATTTGATTCTTCTCTCTTTTCTTCTTTATTAGTCTGACTAGTGGTCTATCTAGTTTGTCAGTCTTTTCAAAACACCAGCTTTTGGATTCATTGATTTTTTTGAAGGGTTTTTCGTGTCTCTATCTCCTTCAGTTCTGCTCTGATCTTAGTTATTTCTTGTCTTCTGCTAGCTTTTGAATTTGTTTGCTCTTGCTTCTCTAGTTCTTTTAATTGTGATGGTAGGGTGTCAATTTTAGATCTTTCTCACTTTCTGATGTGGGCATTTAGTGCTATAAATCTCCCTCTAAACACTGCTTTAGCTGTGTCCCAGAGATTCTGGTACACTGTGTCTTTGTTCTCACTGGTTTCAAAGAACTTATTTATTTCTGCCTTAATTTCATTATTTACCCAGTAGTCATTCAGGAGCAGGTTGTTCAGTTTCCATGTAGTTTTGTGGTTTTCAGTGAGTTTCTTAATCTTGAGTTCTAATTTGATTGTACCGTGGTCTGAGAGACTGTTTGTTATGATTTCCGTTTCCTTTTTTTTTTGCATTTGCTGAGGAGTCTTTTACTTCCAATTATGTGGTCAATTTTATAATAAATGCTATGCAGTGCTAAGAAGTATGTATATTCCGTTGATGGACAATCAAATATTTTTCATTAACCAATCTGAGTAAGCCAATTTGAGTTCCTTCTATTGGCTTTCTCACTTAGTGAACTACTTAGAAAAGCCTCATGTCTCAGAGGGAAATGCAGGTAGATGAAGAACGTTGAGCTCAGTAAACTCCTGTTTGGGGGAATGGGTCAGGTCGAAGGTCATTTTGTGATTAAAATCTGACCCAGCCTTCAGATGACAACCTAGATGTCACTCTCTCCAGCAGTTATTTCAAGGCATTTTGCATGCTCCTCCCCACCTGAGGACTCTGTTAGTACCTGCCATGAACCTTTGGACCTACTGCACGTGGATGATATGGTTTCTCAAGGGCAGGGTGCAGGTATGTATTGTTGGCCGTGGAATACTGAGTACATAGCTAGGTACCTGGTACGGGAGAGCATCACACGTTTGTTGAATAAATGAGTTTTTAAATGACATTCATCAAAATGAAATTGCCAAGAGTCAGGAGGCAGCTAGATGATCTATAAATTAACATTGCAGAGTAACTTCTGTTGGGGGACAGAGCACCCACAGAAGATCTGAAGAGGTTTATGGAAAGTTGCAAGGGCCAGGATTCAGGCCCATTTCAAGTTTCTGTTTCTGACGCTCCTGTTCTTTAAATCAGACATTTCTGTTAAAGTGGAATTATGGTTAAGCAGGGAGCGGGGGGGCTTCATACCAAATAGTAGCCACACCTAACAACTTCTGGCAGCTCTGATTTCTGATTTCTAGCAAAGTGGCTCTTTCAGCACACATTAGGAATATACCCTTCTTGTAAAAAATGATTAAGTACCATTTCAGGAAGGTCATACAACGGGGCCTGGGAAAGGGATGGCATGCACAAGGACACATTCCCCTCTAAATAGACAGCTCAGGTCCAGGGTGGGAGAAAAAAAACACAGCCACCAGCAGCTAGAAAGTGTCAGAGTGGACCTTGATCCACAGGGCAGTGCTCAGGCCAGGCTGTGCTGTGTCCAGCCCCAGTCTGGTGTTTTGAGAACCCACCCCGGGAGTACTGAGCTGAACCAAATCCTCAGCAATGCTGCTTAAATAATGTGAGTGTCCCAGGGCTGGGCATTCACGGGGGTGCAGGAGTTTGGTTTTAACTCCTGCTCAACCTCAGGTCAATGTTTGGAAACAACTTGCTCCAGGCAGCCTTACTGGGAATAGGCGAGGCCTGGGCAGGAGCAGCGGAGGGTCTATGCTGAGGCTGGAATGGTTTGCAGGGCAAGGTCAGGTCAAAACGCAGCCTGGCCCAGCCTAGGAAGACCTGGGCACAGTGGGCTTCAGCCCCCGACAAGGTGTTCGGATGAGATGCAATCAGCAACCAGGGCCTCTGAGCATAGAGAGGGCAGAACCGAGAGAGACGGCATCACCACAGGGGCTGTTACCACAGAGATTGCTACTTATGAAACAGGAAAGATTCCCTTATCCCCTTTGTAGGGCGTGGATGGGAGTATGGCTCACTTCCTCAGTGCCTCACTGCACAAACCTCTAGGGGAGCATACAGATAGGCAGGCTGGGGGGCTCCGACCCCACGGCAGTGTCTAGGGGTGAATGTTTACAGCTCCTGAAGCCCCAGTGGGCCTGTGTTACAGGGTGCTTTCTTAGTTTGCTCTCTATAGGTGGCTTGTATTAACCAGCTCAATTAGACCCTCTACCTTGTCACAAGGACAGAGGGATTCTTGCTTTGGTGTACCGGAAGAATCGGATCACACCTGGGCTTGGTGAATAAAAGCCAAGTTTTATTGAGCAGAAGTAGCTCTCTGCCGGGGGAGCCAAAAGAGAGATGGTTTTCCCCTGGAATTGGGCCGCTATGCAGCCGGGCTCTTCTCTGACTGCCCCAGCCAAACTCCCCCTCATGCCAACAGTGGATAGCCTGCCAGCAGGTTCTTCCATCGGCGTGCTCCCTTGACGTTCTCTTGTGATGCCTTCTTGTCGTCCACCCTTTTGTGTCTTCAACTGCTGATGTGCTGTTCTTGACGTCTGGCCACCTGTGTGTCTGTCCGCTAGGGTGGTGGGTTTTTATAGGCCCAGAATGGGGGCATGGCAGGCCAGGTTGGTCTTCGAAAATGCAACATTTGGGTGTGAAGCCAGAAGTGCCTTTCCTCACCTAGGTCTGTGGGGGTGGAACCCTAGCTGGGGATCCACCTTTCTCTACCCAGCACTTCCCTGCCCCCCTCCTGTATAATTTCCCCTCTGAAGAGGTACGTTGAAGAAATAAAAATTGACTTCATTCGGAAGCTGGGGGCAGAGGAAAACATGGCAGAGAATGGCTGGGCTATTACTGTTAGGGGAACAGGAGCATAGAAGAGCCAGGGTGACATGATTTTAAAAATCAACTCCATCTTGAAACTAACAAGGCACATTCCTTGCCGGTCACGGCCCACTGGCTAAATCATAGGAATACTGCCGTTAGAATATGGTTGATGACCAGTCTTGCTGCTTCCTGCTGACAAGGGGTGTTGTTTTGGAGAAAATGGCAGTCAGAGTCCTCCCAGAGGTCTATTTAAGGGTTCCTAGCAAAGGGGAGCTATCATCTGAGGCTCCAGTTGCCTGACCATTTGGAGTTTGATGGCTTCTAGGCATGAGAGAAAAAAACAAGTTTTATAAGGTCAAGTATGCATAAGTTAAACATGTGTATTATACAAGGAAAGAATTTAGTGCCAACAGAGATAAGTGAAATATACTAACAACAACATTGTACTCCAAGCTGTTTCACCCTGGTGAAAGAAATTAAACCTTGTACGGGGGCAGATAAACTTTAGAAGAGAGAGAACTGTTCTTGCCATATCTTTAGAAGTTAACAGGTGCACCCTGGAATACCTGTATCTCCTCTCTCTTTCCCAGGCCTCCCTGTCTCAATCATAAAAGACCAAGGTGGCCATTTTCAGGAGGTCCTCTAATGTACTTTCTGGACCCAGGGCCCCTTTCTGCAACTTCCTCCTGATATCGGGCAGCTTGAGTAATAAATTTATCCCTTTTATTTTTTTGAGATGGAGTTTTGCTTGTCACCCAGGTTGGAGTGCAATGGTGCGATCTAGGTTCCCTGCAAACCTCTGCCTCCCAGATTCAAACAATTCTCCTGCCTCCACCTCCCGAGTAGCTGAGATTACAGGCACCTGCCACCACACCCAGCTAATTTTTTTTGTATTTTTAGTAGAGACAGGGTTTCACCACGTTGACAAGGCTGGTCTCAAACTCTTGACCTCAGGTGATCCTCCCACCTCAGCCTCCCAAAGTGCTGGGATTACACGCATGAGCCACCATGCCCAGCCAAATTCATCCTTTAGGATTAGCTGTCCCTTGACTGAATCAGGAGATAGAGAGGTGTGCTTTACCAAGGCCTCTCTTAACCTTTCTAGGAAGGCAGTGGGATTTTCATCAAATCCCTGGTCAATCATGGACAACTTAGTATAATTGAGAGGCTTGGTCCTAGTCCTACGTAAGTCTTCCATTATGCACACCTGAAAGTGTCTCATCTTCCAGTCTTTCATCAAGTCATTGGGATCCCATTTAGGGTTGCCCCCTCCCCTATCACTTACCATCCAGACATGAGACGGTCCTCCATAAAGTCAATCATTTTAGAGTCAAGCCTGCAACCCCTCCTTGTATACGGAAAGCAAAAGCATTGCAGCAGGGCGCAGTGGTTCACGCCTGTAATCCAAGTACTTTGGGAGGCTGAGGCGGGTGGATCATTTGAAGCCAGGAGTTCAAGATCAGCCTGCTCAACGTGGTGAAACCCCTCCACTAAAATCCAAAAAAATTAGCTGGGTGTGGTGGTGCACACCTATAATACCAGCTACTGAGCAGGCTGAGGCAGGAGAATCACTTGAACCCAGAAGACAGAGGTTGCAGTGAGCCAAGATCACACCATTGCAATCCAGCTTGGGTGACAGAGTGAGACTCCGAAGAAAGAAAGAAAGAGAGAAAGAAGGAGGGAGGGAAGGACGGAGGGAGGGAGGAAGGAAGGAAGGAAGGAAAGAAGGAAGGAAGGAAGGAAGGAAGAAAGGAAGGAAGGAATGGCACCAGTGGTTCCCTACTGTGCCTAAGTCATAGGAGTACTGGCTAAAAATGCAGACTCCAGACATCTCCCCCAGAATTACAAGCATCCCAAGGAATTCCGCTAAAGGTGATATGCAAACCACATTCTGATAAGCAGATAACTGGGGACCAGGGGCTGCACAAGTCCCACACCCACTAGGAGTGGCATTTATTCCATCTCTTCACCTGACAGGTACAAAGTCTTTCATCTTTGGAAAGAATGGTTTTTCCTTGGGGCATCTCAAGCACTACTTTCATGGAAGAGGAGGTAGTATGGGACTGTTATTGCTTTCTATGGGAAAAAAAAATTGAAAACTAATATTGTTTTGCTTTGGGGTGAAATGAAGAGTAGTAATTGGACCTTTTGTTTTCTTTGTCTTGATTGTCCATTTTTGTAAGAAAGTGAATGCCAAGCAAAATACAAATGGATATAGAAAATTCTGCCTAACTCAGCAATGTCTTTAAATGTAAATACTGCACTAGAAACAGCTAATCTCCAGATCACACACCATACCTCCTCTGCACAGGGGGCTGATGTGCAGCTGCGGCCAAAACCCCAGGAGTGCTCCCTCCTGGGAAAACAGGTCCACATGCCACACAGCTCAGCACAGAGCAAACCTTTACTTTACCCAATCTCTGCTTTTAAATCTTGTTTTTAACAACTTCATTGAGATATAATGCACATGCCACACAGTGTACCAATCTAAAGTGTATAGTGGTTCAGGGAATATTATCCTATTAACTTTTAAAAACTATGGTAATTAACTTAAAAACTATGGTAAAATACGTATAATAGAAATTTGCTATTTCAAACACTTTAGAGTGTTCGGTGAGTGGCATTACATACATTCACAATATAGTACAATCATCACCACTATTTCCAAACTGTTTTCATCACCTCTAAACAGAAACTCTGTACCCATTAAGCACTAACTCTCCATTCTCCCTCCCGCCCAGCCCCTGGCAACCATGATTCTACTGCCTGTCTCTATGGATTTGCCTATTCCAGGCACCTCATGTAAGTGCAATTATACAGTATTTGTCCTTTGTGTCTATATTATTTCACTAAACACAATATTTTGGAGATTCATATGTGCTGTAGTATGGGTCTGAACCTCATTCCTTAATACGGCTGAATAATATTCCATTAAAGAGAACCTGTTTTTCTACTTGTATAACACTTTTGACACCAAATATGTGGGCTTGGTTTTCACTCCAAGCAATGCTCCAATTCTCTGCAGTCACCACCTGCATGTCCTACAATTTAATTCAGTTCTGACACTAACGACCCTATGTTAGCCAGGGCCTCCTGCAATCACGGTAAACATTTAAGGGGTCATATAGCCAGTGGGCCCAGAGGGAAACATGAAACAGGATTTAGAATCCTCGTCGTGTAATCATGCCCAGCCACTGGTTATTAACATCATTAGACCACAGCAGACCTCAACAGACAGAATAGAATCCTCCTATTTTGGCTGAAATAAAAATTGACTTCATTCTGAAGTTGAGGGCAGAGGAGAACATGGGAGAGAATGGCTGGGCTATTACTGTTAGGGAAACAGGAGCATAGAAGAGCCAGGGTGACACCATTTTAAAAACCAACTCCATTCCTTGCCGGTCACGACCCACAGTCATAAGATATTTACAGTTGAAGAAACAGCCTAAAGATACCTGCAAGGATACAATCATATGACAACGAAAAGTCCAGAGGTCCCAATACCCATAACAATATATGCTTTCAAGATAATTATAATTATGACTTGATGTACTTACACATTAAAATATTGAGTATAGTTTTCTTTAAATCAACAGAATAATAAATTTTGTCACGCTGTCAGCCCACCCACATAGAGACACAGCTTAGCTCTGTCTTTACATAGAGAGGACTCCTATGTAAGAAAAACTTAAAGACGAGGCAGTTCCTCCTCTTGCTTTCTGAGGACACCCTACTCTGTATCTGCGTAACTTCCAAAAAACTCTCTCTTCTCACAGCACTTTGTGACTCACCTTGAATTCCTTCCCATGAGAGATCCAAGCACCCTCTTTGGAGGTCTGGATTGGGACCCCTTGTTCTGGCAATGTTACGACTGGTTTAGGACTTTCTCCCTCACAAGGATGGCAGATGAGAGCCCCTCGAGGCCACCTTCTGAGCCCCTGGAGCCCTCGCTACCCACCTTCTCCACGTTCCCCCAGAGCACCTCTTCTTCAACGTGCTTAATTAACACAGAAGTACAGCTTAAATCTTTACCCACGTGATTCCTGACTTCTGCGCAAATTTGGATAGCGATTGAGAAACACAAAAGCAGAGCGGGAAGGAATGTGTGACTTGATAAAAGTGGTACCCTGGAAGGAGGCAAAATCTGATGTTCTGAGCCTGACCATCTTCCAACCATCCTATGTTAGTGTTGCCTTCTAGCCCTCTTAAAACATGACCCAGAGTAAATATATTTTGTGACCCATTACTGCACACACACATGTGCACTCACAAATATCTGAAACAACGTTTACAAAACAGTATCTTGCAACATACGATGCACTCATATCTTAACTCTGTTTTATTCTAATTATGTAGAAAATTCTGGTTGGGACTCACAAATTGATTCTGAAGCCCACCAGGAGGCCGCAAAGAGTTTGCAAATCACTAGGCTGTCCTCGTTGCTCCAAGGAATGCACACGCTCCCTCTCCCTCCCTCTCCTTCCTAGATGTGCATCATTAGGGAGACGCTACGGATCAGAATGTAGAGTTGTTCACACATGTCTAGTGAAGTTCCCACAGTCCCTGGAGCTCAGGATTTTCAGACTTGGCAGAGATGAGGTGACAGACAGGGCAAGAGCGAGGCAGAGACTCACCTGAGAGACCGCCCAGGCTGTGCTGCACTGTGCCTGTTGGGTTTTGCTGGGCTCAGGAGGTGCGGTTTGTGCTAACCATGGCCCTTTCATTCTTGGGGCTTACATATTTTTTAGGAAGAATTTTGGTGCCTAATGCTTCCAATTAAGGGAATGTTTACAAGCATTAGGCTTCCCCGTTTCTTGAGCCAGTCTCAGCTTTGGTGAGGTTTGTCTTACCTAAGGGAAAGCAGCATGAGTGTGGAGGAAGCCGTGGGCAGTGCCTGGGCTCTGTGTCTTTAACCGGAAAGGCCATGTCTCCAGAGCTTCTTATCTGTAAAGTGAAATTAACTAGGAAATTAAGACTGCACAATTAGAAAACTGGGTTTGAAATGTACATGTAAACATTCCTCAGCATATATGCAACAAACAAGTCCACCACTTTTTAAATAATAGATACAAAAGTGCTTTGAAATGCACTTGCTGCTGTCTCTATAGCATGTGTGCTTATTATCCAAGTGCCACCAGGTACCCAGTCTCTTCCATGCATAGATGGTGATCCCTGCAGCACTGAATATGGATGTGGTGCATCCAACTGCAGAAATCACGCTCATAACCATGACCACACACAACTGGCTTCAGGGGCTAATATTTCCAACCCAAGAAAACAGGTTGGCACCTGCTATTTGGGATTACAGGAAGCATGTACACAAATGGTATCCACAGTTAATACAGCTGCAGAATGTGGTGTTCTTGTTTGCTGTGAGAGGCGCAGTCACTTCGGCTTTTCCTTCTTTTCTTACCTTTGGGTTCCTTTGGATACTGTGATGCTGAGGCTTCCCTTGGGGTGGATGATGAGCATGATACACTGATTCAATTACTCTCTTCTGTGAATTGTGCCCAGGGATTACAACTGGATTGTTCCCTGTCTCAGAGACATGCCTGTCTTCAAGCTGAGTGCAGACAGCATTTGCGCTGAGGTTTCAATCACCTAATCATTCTAATCTTGTTTAAATTTTATGGAACTAAGCTAATTCCTCATAATTATGTACACTAAAAATCAGGGTGCTTCTGGGCTGGGCACGGTGGCTCACACCTGTAATCCCAGCACTTTGGGAGGCCAAGGCGGGCAGATCACGAGGTCAGGAGATCGAGACCATCCTGGCTAATGCAGTGAAACCCCGTCTCTACTAAAAATACAAAAAAATTAGCCAGGCACGGTGGCGGGCACCTGTAGTCCCAGCTACTCAGGAGGCTGAGGCAGGAGAATGGCATGAACCCAGGAGGCGGAGCTTGTAGTGAGCTGAGATCGTGCCACTCCACTCCAGCCTGGGTGACAGAGCGAGACTCCATCTCAAAAACAAACAAACAAACAAAAATCAGGGTGCTTCTGAAGCATTTGGGGATGTAGGACTGAATAAGAATTACTTAAATGAAATAAGGTGACATTCTCCAGGAGATAGTTTAGGGAAATGTGTTAATCAGCATTCTTCAGAGAAACAGAATCAATAGGGAAAGAGACAGAATTAGAAGGAGACTGATTTTTTAGGAATTGGTCCACGTGATTATTATGGATGCTGGGGAGTCCAAAGCCTTCACAGCAGGTCAGCAGGCTGGAGACCCAGTGAGGAGCTGGTGTTGCAGTTTAAGTTTGAAGGCAGACTGCTGCAGAATTCTATCTTGCTGAGACCTACTCAAATCATGGAAATCTGCTTCACTGAAAGTCCACCAATTTAAATGTTAATCTCATCCAAAAACACCCTCACAGAAACATCCAGAAGAACGTCTGACCAAATATCTTGGCACGGTGGCCCAACAAGTGGACACCTAAAATTAACCCTCACAAGCCCACCCCTTGTCAACTTGGCATCCAGCCCATCTCCTTAAACCTTGCTTAACCTCCGAATAAAGACAATAACAAGGTCATGCTTCAGCCTCACATGATAGAGCTATCCTGCATACACCCAAAAATACACCAACTCTTTCCCAGAAGAGGATGCAAGGTCCTTGGGGATGTTTACTCTTCTCCTTGATAGCCCATAACTTAAACACTATGATGAAAAGTTAATACTTCAATACTATAGTATAAAATCAACACTATTAACAATATTATGTTATGTGTTAAAGTGATAAGAGAGGGACAAAAACAAATAATTTGCCTAATATATATATGCAAACATATTCATAACAAAATAGGGAGGAAATACTCATGACAGTGACAGTCCTTGTTTCTGTACTGGTCCCATGGTGTCGCTGGTATTTATAGCTACTTTCTTCCACTGCCCATTCTCTATTACCATTTCCCTCAGCAAGCTCCTCAGCTGGGCGTAGTGTTTGACCTGGAAGGGTGACCTAAATTGTCATTCCTGAATGGTTTGAGTCATTCAGACCAGAAGGTTGTAGAAACAGGAGGCACATTTTTTGCTAATAGGCTTCCAAAGGTAATAGTGATTGGTCTATTTCCCATTTCCACCCCTTGATTCCTGGACCTGTCCATGCTGGGAGACACCGCACCATATACAGGACACTGACTCGAGGCACATGCAGCCTTCTGGGGAACCTTGCCCTAGCCATGTGAGTGAGGTATTGCCACCTAGCTGGTGCTACAACCGAGTCTTCAAAAGGTCATCCCACTGTTGTCTCAAGCCGATTACTTTAGGATGGTGGGGAACACGGTAAGACCAGTGAATTCCATGAGCAGGGGCCCATTGCTGTACTTCATTTGCTGTGAAGTGAGTTCCTCAGTCAGAATGCTGTGTGGAATAGTATGACGGTGGGTGGGTAAGGCATTCATTCCGTGAGTCCATGGATGGTAGTTCTGGTAGCAGCATTGCATGCAGAGAAGACAAATCCATACCCAGAATAAGTGTTTATTCCAGTAAGAACAAAAGAAAGCCCCTTCCATGATGGAAGGGGTCCAATATGATCAATCTGCCCCCAGGTAGCTGGCTGATCACCCCAAGGAGTGCAACTCAATATTAGTCCCTGCTGCTGGCAGATGGGGCACTCAGTGGTGTCTGTAGCCAGGTCAGTCTTGGTGAGTGGAAATCCATGTTTCTGAGCTCATGCCTAAGCTCCATCTCTACCACCATGGCCACTTTGTTTGTAAGCCCTTTGGGTGATAACATAAGTAGCTGGGGAGAGGCTGGCTGGTATCCACAGAATGGGTCGTTCTGCCCAACTGGTTGTTAAAATCCTCCTCTACTGAGGTCACCATTTGGTGAACATTCACAGGGGACACATATATCTTCAAATTTTTTGCCCACTCAGAGAAGTCTATCCATGTACCTCTTCCCCAGACTTTCTTGTCACCAATTTTCCAATCGTGTTCCTTCCAAGTCCTTGACCTTCCATTGGCCACGGCCCAGGAAATGGTATATAATTACACATCTGGCCATTTCTCCTTCCAAAGTGAACAACCAGGTATAATACTCAATGTTAACCATCACAGGGAATTCAAGACCTGGGAACTTCACATTACTGGAGCATCTGCCACAGGACTGGATTCTGCATCAGACAGACCAGCACATCATCCTTAGCTGGGTGGGGGTTTTACACCTTCAACAATTCAGTGGGTAATTATCAAGACCCATTTCATTGTAGATCTAGAACACTGAATTCCTCCCCAGAGGAAATTGTATTACTATTACATACAATTATGAGACTTCAGACCAACAGAATGGCCATCAGCTGTATCTAAAACTACATAGAAAGAAAAGCGAAAGGCCCAGCACAGTGGCTTGCACCTGTAATCCCAGCACTTTGGGAGGCTGAGGTGGGTGGATCACTTGAGGTCAGGAGTTTGAGACCAGCCTGGACAACATGGCAAAACCCTGTCTCTAGTAAAAATACAAAAATTAGCTGGGTGTGGTTGTGCACACGTGTAATCCCAGCTACTTGGGAGGCTGAGGCATGAGAATCACTTGAACCCAGGAGGCGGAGGTTGCAGTTCCGAGGTCACACTACTGCACTCCAGCCTGGGTGACAGAGCAAGACTCTGTCAAGAAAGGGAAGAGAAGGGGAGGGGAAAGGAGGGGAGGGCACCCTAAAGTAATGCAAATACAGTGGGAAAATATTTTTGTTGGTCAACAGCATCATGAATGTGATAATCACACTAGGATTAAAAATACATATAAAGAAGAAGTTTTGCTGAATTTTGTTAGTTTTGAAAACCCCGGAATGGAAATATGAAAGGAACTGGAAAACCAAGATATTTATTACATAGTGTTGCTTGCATCTGCTTCTTAGAAAAATCATGTTTGATAACCTTTTAAGGCGTAAGCTAAATGGAGGGTATTAAAACTTTTACAAATAAAAAATCATTATAACAGGAAATCAGCATAAGCCACTTCTAGTCATAAAATTTAGAAACAAAGCCCTAAAAACTACCAGAGTCAAGAAACGGACATTTTTACTTATAGTTCAAAATTTATACCTCACTTACTTACAAAAAGCATTTGGTGTAACGTAAAACGTTAAAAGGTATAGGGAAAGGCAGTTAACCATTGAAATTGAGATAACCATTTGCAAGGGTGAGGGGAGATAATTCATTGGTTCCAGGGAACTTGGATCTATAGGGAATTTTACTTACATTGCTAATCCAAGGACCTGAGTTATTAAATATTTTCCCAGGCCTCTGACAAATTCCTCCTTTTTCAGTTCTGTATTAGCTCTCCTGGAACTTCTTGTCCATGCACATGAAATTATCAACCAGCCATAAACTACTACCTTCCAAACCTATTACATTATATGTAATAGTAATATGATTTCTTCTGGGGGGGAATTCAGTGTTCTAGATCCAGCCTACACTTATATCCCAACCAGATGTTTCACAGGTTCACCCGACTCAGTACCCCAGGACCAAATTCATCATCCTCTCCCTGGTGTCCTGTTTCGTTTTTTTTTAGTAGAGATGGGGTCTCATCATGTTGGCCAAGCTAGTCTCGAACTTCTGACCTCAAGTGATCCACCCACCTCAGCTTCCCAAGTGCTGGAATTACAGGCATGAGCCACCATGGCCCAGCCTCTCCATCTTCGTCTCTATCTTAGATCTCACTACTATTTCCTCAGTTGCCCAAAACAGCCTGAATCATACTTCTGTTATCTCACATCTAATTGGTCATCAGGTTCTGTTCCAACAACACCCAAATAAATCTACATCCTCCTCCACGTTCCCGCTCCACTACCTTAGCTCAAGAGCTCACCCTCTCTCCTGGAATATTACAAAACCTCCTTATTGGCCTCCAGAGCTCTAGACCTCACTATCTTCTTCCTTTCTCTGAAAAACTCCCCCCCATACCACCACCCCCCCCACCCTCCACCCCCCAAAAAAGATCTGGTCACCTCATTTCCCAAGCTCAAAATTCTTCAACAACTCCTCCTGGCTAACAAGATAACATAACCTCCTCACCACAGCATACGATGGCCTTCATGATGGGGCCCTGTCCATACAGCTGGCCTCACTAAAGAATGAGCTGTTTTACCTGAGCACATTTTCAAGAGAATTCATGTTTATCTCTAAGTATAATGAAAATAATTAGGTTCATATTGTTAAAAATATTTCCAACATATATGAATTGTTGGAGTTTCAAACAGATAACTCCAGACATAATCCCCCCTCTGATGGCACGGGGCCACCATTATGGATCCCAATTCCTGGGCTGCACTGCAGGCATGAGGCCCTTGGGGGTCTCCCCGGCAGCCTAGGCCATCCACCTCTCCACTCACGCCCCAGAATTAGAGGTGGTCAGTCTGCTAATTTTACCACTTCTTTTCAGTTCACCTGTCAAATTCTACCAACACCCCCTCAGCTTCTGACAGTCTCTCCATTGGGCTCTATAGATACAATAGCTCATGTTAAATTCATCAGCTTACTTTTACATATAACTCAAAATCAGTAGGCTCCCAGCTGAGGGCTTGGAGATGGGTCAGCCCTTTCCTCTGGATTAGAGCGCATGGGCTCCCAGCAGCTCAGCTTCTCTCCCTGCTTCCTCTTCCCTGTAGATGACTGTGTTCTTGGGGGTTGAGGCAATCTATTCACTAGTTTGAATGGTGGGGTCTACTGTACCTCAAGGTTTACTGAGCTGACTTAGGAATTTATCCATGTGTTTGTAAAAGAGCAAGGAAAAGGACTCCAGAAACTCCAACCCATGTCCCTGTTTCACTCTTAACCCATGTATCTCTCTGAAGTTCTCCTCAAACAAAGGGGAAGGCTGCTCCTCCAGTGACCCTAGGAGGTCCCAGCCTGGCCCCTCAGTGGTTGCCACAGCTGATGCATGACCTGACTGCCAGCAGCCATGCAAAGAGACTGCACTGATCCAAATACCACAGGCTTGTCCTTGATCCCAAGGAATACTGAAAGGGTCAGATTTTGGGGGTTGTATAAATAAATCAAAATATCTCCCAGAAAAGTTAAGTAAGTATGGAGAAAACTAGCTCCTGTGAGCACACACTCAACGTTAGTTTGCTGGATTTGTCACTGTGGACATTGATTTTTTTTTTCTCCCCAGGAAAATGAATACGAGGGAGAATCTTTTTGACAGTGTTGTAATTACAGGGAGAAGAAAGAACTGCTCTGATTGAAAGCATATTGTCACATAGTCCAAGTGTGTATATGTATGTCTGTATCCTGCATGTCCTAAACTAAACCCTGTAAAGGTTTGTATCATCCCATAGCTCCTAGCATTGTGCTCTGAATGAAAACATGTTAAATAAATTTCTTAACGATTTCCCAAAATATTCAAGTGATTTAAGTTTTATCTGATAGAATGACCCATTTAATGTGAACCCATTGTCTTGACGGTGCTGTGTGTGGTAAGCAGAAGCACATGGTATTTGCCTGGGAGATACAGTATACATCAGAGTTGCTGGAAAAAAGATGAGGTCCTTTAGGAAGCCACATAGCTTTGCATGCCGCATGAACTCTGGGTTGAAGAGTGACAGAAGGCATCACCCCACTTACTGAGTCACGCAAACGCCTCTTGCAATACCTGCATTTTCCCAATCATGGTCTTCGCCAAACTAGATCCTTCTAGGAGTATTAACAGCTGGTAATAAATATTTCATGGGGCATCAGAGGGGAACAGAGTGTAAACACCTGGCTGTGACTGGCAGAAGACAAGGACATAGGCAAGGCTAGGACTTGACAATGACAGAAGGGATAGAGGTTGGTGTAAGAGCAGATGGTGAGGGTTAGTTTTCTAGAAAGGAGCAGTGCAGACTCTTAGGGTTCCATGGCTGTCCAAGAGACCAGACAGGAAGAGAATCTCATGTATGTAAAGAGGCTCAGTGAGTGATGGCTCAACCTGAGGCAGAGGAACATGAAGAACAGGGAGGTCAGCGTCCCTCCCTGTGATTTGGCCACGTAAGTGGCAAATGTGACTGTGGCCACGGATCTGAGGGAGGTATCGTCCTCCCTGCCCAGGTCACCTGCACTCTGCAGCCTGACAGCAGGCAAGCATGGGGAGACAGGGACAGGGAAGGCTTCCAAGCGGTTGTTACCAAAAGGGAGGTGGTTTCATCTTTTTCCCCAAATCTTTCTATTTTGTTTCTGGGACTGCTACCCTTTTCCATCTGTGCCATCCTTACAGTTTCATCTTAATTCTGGTGATTCCCAAAAGTATATTTGCAGTCTAGCAAGCACTCTGAATTTCCCAACATCTACCAGACATTTCTGCTTATACGTATTGCTGTTCCATCAAGCACTACATATGCACAACAGAACTCTTCATTCTCTTTCCCCCATAGAAGCAGTTTCCTCTTCCATACCCATTTTCTCATCTTGGTCAACAGAGCTATGAGTCCTCCATTCCTTCAGGCTAGAATCCTGGGAACCCAATTTTGAATTCATGTTTCCTCTTCACCTTAAACCTAGGATCCTTCATCCCTCATCCCACTCAGGCCCCAAGTCCTGTTGGTTCCACTTCTAAAATCTCTCTCCTTTCTCTTCACCGCACCAACCTTGCCTAACTAAGCCTTTTGTGCCTTCAGGCGCAGATCATGAAATCGGCCTTCTAGCTGATGACTCTGATTCCCATGGCACTCTACTGTAATCCATACTGTCTACTGCTTTCCAGCTATCCTTCCAAACGTGCTACTTTAGTACAATGATTTTCTTCTCCAAGAACCCCAAGTGTCATACAGTCCAATCTCGACACCAGACCATGAACCCCCTACCCCATGGTCTGGTCCACGTGCTCATTTCCCAAAGCTCCCGATGGGTACCCTCTGAGCCTCCAACATGGCTCCTCTCTGTCTGTCATAGACACATGGCCATAGCCCACCTCTATGATTTGGTTCAGTTCTCTCACATGTCCTGCCCTGGAACCACTCCCTGCCCATCTGTCCAGGTGAGATCTCAGTCTGGCTCATTACCTAAAGCTTTGTTTGTTCATCCGGGTCTTCCAAGAAGCAGACACCAAGATGGGATTACGCAGGCCAGGATTTTATTAGGGAAAATATCTTTGACAGGAAATGAGGATGGAGCCAGAGAAGGCTGGGAGCATCTGCAAGTCTGACCCTGAGTGAAGGAGACAGGGAAGGCAGTTCGAGTGGAAATGTCCTAGACAGTGTTCACTCAGTCACTGGCTCAGAGCAGCCAGAGGGCAGCTTTGGCCTTGGGACAAACACTGCTCTGGATTTCAGAGCCCAGCTGCTTGGGCTCTCCATCAAGAACGTGCTTGCAGTTGAAGATCTGCAAAGGGCATTACCATAGTACCCACACCTGGTTTAATGCCATGGGCCCACATGCATCTCTTCATTCTGCGAATTCATACTGCACCCAGAATCAATACCTGCGTCATCTGGAACTTCACTACTTTTACCTCAATTGTGTGTTTTATCTCCCCAAACTCCTCGAATCAGGTACCACATCTGATGCTTCTTCAGTATGCCCCCACCATCTGGGAATACCTAAGACATTGCTGCAGAGATAGGTGCTCAATAAATGCTATTAGACTCTGAGTCACGTATCCTTGGTTCATTATGGAAAGGCATTGGGCACTGATTAATAGAGAGAATGGTAAAACCACTCCTACCTTATTTCTGATAGATTTGCTTGCAGATTAATAGCAGCAAGGGGAGGAATACCATTAAAAATAGCCCTTTTAGTAACAAGAGGGACTCAGAAATTTAGCTATGCAAATTATGGGAAAATTGGAAAGAAAAGAAGAAGAAGGAGGAGAAAGAAGAAACCCAATGTAAGAATGCTTCTCTGTTCTGTTATTATGGATACGAATATAAAGACTAAGCCAGTCATGCTTCCATTTCTAAGGGAGGAGGGGGAGGTGTTGCAATCACCAGCTGTGTTTTGTTGTGTACAGGGATCCACGAAAACAGTCCTGTGGCAACTATAAAAAGTGGCAGGTTGGCCAGATAGTGGGAAAACAGCTTCCCAAAGAATCTCAATTCTAAATTTATTTTTTTTTAATTTAAACAAGACTCACCATATTTTTAAAGTATTGTTTTGAGTGAGCTAGTGTGAGAAATGTTGAGCTCTGGGAGGAATATGAAGAGTACTTCCTATTTTCACTCAGGCCCATCAATGGCTATCACCTGTCTTTGTTTCCAACAATGACAAAGTACATTCTGTATATCATCTATGAAGTTGCTTCCCGTCTCTCAATTCCAAGATGTTAGAGCCAGGGCACAGGCTTACAGAGTTTTCCCAAAGATGCAGGAGTAGGATTTCAAAAGCCTTGCATTTCAGACTTGAGTTTCACTTTACTGAGATGATTTAGGTAAAACTTTCCAATTTTTCTTGCTTACAGACAATAGTCATGTGTCGATTATATTTTAAAATATAGACTATTTTAATACATTAAAATACATACAATGTGATATATTAATATATAATTTAATATATTGATTAATATATTTATTTCATATATTTTAATATATTAAAATAATATTGCTATTGATCCAACAACTCCTGAGACTTACTTTATTAAAAATATTAGCATCAAGATTTACTCATTTTGTATATTGTTTGGTTCAATTTGCCAATATTTAGTAAGGATTTTTGCCACTATGTTCATGAGGAACACGGTGGTCTATAATTTTCTTTTCCTGTAATATTTTTATCTGGTTTCGGTATCAAGATAATGCTGACATCAAAGATGAAAGAACAATTTGGTAATTGTTCCCTCCTCTTTTTTTTTTTTTTTTTTTGAGATGGAGTCTCACCCTGTCACCCAGGCTGGAGTGCAGTGGTGCTATCTCAGCTCACTGCAACCTCCGCCTCCCAGGTTCAAGCAATTCTCATGCCTCACCCCCCAAAGTAGCTGGGACCACAGGCGCATGCCACCACGCCTGGCTAATTTTTTTGTATTTTTAGTAGAGATGGGGTTTCCCATGCTGGCCTTGAACTCCTGACCGTATGTTATATGCCTGCCTCAGCCTCCCAAAGTGCTGGGATTACAGGTGTAAGCCACCACGCCCGGCCCTCTTTTATTTTCTTTTATTTTCTTAAAGAGTTTGTGTTAGGATGGTAATATTTCTTCCTTAAGTCTATGATACAAATTTAATTTCTTTCATAGATAGAGGACCATTCAGATTTTCCATTTCTCTTTGTTACAATTTTTGAAATTTTAAATTTTTTGTTATTTACACATTTAATATAAATTGTCAACTATATTGGCATAAAGTTGTCTGAATATTATTGCCTTATTATTCTGTAAATGTCTGTAAGAACTGTGATGATATCCCATTTTTCATTCTTGTTACCAGTAGTTTTTTTCTCTCTCTCTCTCTTTTTACGTGATTAGTCTTGCTAGAGATTTATCAGTTCTCTAAAGTTTGCTATTCTATAGTTCATTTATTTTTTCTCTTATTTTAATCATTTCCTCCCTTTTACACACACTGGGTTTAATTTGCTCTTCTTTTTCCAACTTCTTAAGAAATAAATTTAGATCATTATTTTAATTCTCTCCTCTTTTCTGTTACAAGTATTAAAGCTCTAACTTCCCTCTAAGCATTGTTTTAGCTGTATCTTATTAATTTTCATATGTTGAGTTTTAATTACCACTTGGCTTGAGGTATTTTATAGATTCCCTTGTGATTTCTTCCTGACCTATGGGTTATTTAGAAATTATTTTTTGGGCTGGGCGTGGTGGCTCAGGCCTGTAATCCCAGCACTTTGGGAGGCTGAGGAGGCAAATTGCTTGAGTTTATGAATTCAAGACCAGCCTGGCCAACATGGCAAAACCCCGTCTCTACTAAAACTATTTAAAAAATTAGCCAGGTGTGGTGGCACACGACTGTAGTCCCAACTACTTGGGAGGCTGAGGAGGAAGAATCGCTCGAAACCAGGAGGCAGAAGTTACAGTGAGCCAAGATTGTGCCACTGCACTCCAGCCTGGGTGACACAACCAGACTTTGTCTCAAAAAAACAAAAAAAGAAAAGAAAAGAAACTTATTGTTACTGACTTCTAATTTAATTGTAGTCAAAGGACATATTCTGTAAGATTTTCAATCTTTTGAATTTTGTTGATACTTATTTTATTGCAAAACACGTTGTCTATCTTGATGAGTGGTCCGTGTACACCTGAACAGACGGTGCACTCTTTCTTTGGTGCTGCTATGCTTTATAAACGCCAATTCGTTCAGGTGGCTGATGTGTGATTGTTATCATCTAGACCCTTTCAGATACTTTTGCTTAGTTGTTCTGCCATTTACAGAAAGCCATTTAAAATCTCCAGCCATGACTGTGGATTTATCTATCCCCTCCTTTAATTCTGCCAGGTTTTGTTTCATGTTTTTGAAGCTCTGTTTTGAAGCATATGCACGGTTGGGATTGTTATATCTTCCTGATGAAATGTCACTATCTTTGTTAATACTCCTTTCTTGAAGGCTACTTTTTCTTACATTAGAATGGCCACATCAGATGCTGTGTAATCACTGTTTTTATTGTATATATTTTCCTTTCCCTTTTCTGTCCACCTGGCTCTGTCTTTGTACTTAAAGTACATATTTTCTAGACAATATATATTTGAGTATTTCTTTTAAATAGTTTAACAATCTCTGCCTTTTAATTAGGGTGTTTAGTTCACTTACATTAATGTAATTTTCACATCGTTGGGTTTAAGTTGACCATTTTGTTATGTGTTTTCTTGTTTTCCCATCTGGTTTTGATCCTTGATTCTTCCTTCCTTGCCTTCTTTTGGGCTAATCAAATGCTTTCTAATATTCTATTTTAATTCTTCAATTGTATTGTTTTAGTGTTTACTCTAGAGAATCTATTTAGAATTAATATTGTACCATTTTACATAAAACATAAGAATCTTACAACAGTAAAACCGCATTAACCTCCATCTCTTGTGCTCTTCTTATCACATATTTTACATCTATGTAAAAGAAAAATCCTGGAATATAAAGTTATTATTTTGCTATAAGCAGTTTTTTTCAAAACAAAATTAGGAGAAAAAATATATTCTTTTATTTTTGCACACATATTTATTCTTTCTGGTGTTTTCTTATTCCTTTTTGAGAATTCAGGTTTCCATCTGTTCTGATTTCTCTTTAACCTGAAGAATTTTCTTTAGCACTTCTCGTAGGCTAGGTCTTCTTGTGATGAATACTATCAACCTTTTTTAAAACATCTTTATTTTATTCTCAGTTTTGAATGATTTTTCACTGAATATGGAAGTCCAGATTGGCAGGGTTTGTCCCTTCAGCATTTAAAAAGTGTGATTCCGTGGACAGGGAGCATCCAGTGAGAGGCACAGCTTCTGTGCAAATTCAGGGGTGAGCATCAAAGTGCAGCAGTTGGGGCCAACACTCAATTATATCATCTGGGGAAGGAGGCAAGCAAGGTGCAATCTCATGGGTTCCACACCCCTCCAGCGAATGTTTTTATCTTAGATGTTAAATTTTCCAGTTCTATCTTTCCTTAAACTTTTCCATATTTTTTTAAAGTTTTTGTTTGCTTATTCCAACATGTAATCATCTTGAGGTCTGTTTCTATTGACTGCTGTTTTTCTTGATTATGGGTCACAGTTTCCTACTTTATCACAAGTCTGGTAATTTTATATCATATGTTAAGTGTTGTGGATGCTATTTTGTAGGGAACATGTATTATGCCATCTTTTATTAATGGGTATTGAGGATTTTCCTGGCAGCATATCTTTTTGATTCTGCCAGGTGTGGTTTTATTCTTTGTTAGGTTGGGTCTATTTTGGCTCTGAACTTAATCATAGGGTGTTTCCATTGCTCTGGGATGTAGTCTTTCTCCTAAGGAATGACCTTTCTGGGGTCTCAACTGAAAACACAGGTCAGTAAGGCGTCTCCACTTAGGCTGGAGCAGATCTCCAAACATCTGCCAACACTGCACAGCCTCTCGTATCATTGCTCATGGCTCATCTGCAGAGTAAGCCATCTTTGCTAGGCCTATGGAATCTCATCCTGCACAGACCGGCCATCAGCCAGGAAACAGTGAATCTCCACATAGACTCCTGAGCAGCCACTCCCCATTATTTTAGCTCCCTGTTCTTTAGCACCTGCCCACACATTCCAGCTGCCTCACCCACCCCAAGCTCCAGTTTCTGCCTGTTCAGCTCAGTGAGACCACCATTCACTTGGACTCCACTCTCTGATGCTGTGGCAGAAAAGTCCCTCCACATAGAAAGCCAAGGCTCTGAGGGCCGCCTCGCATGTCCCTGTTTCTCAAGGTCACAGTTCTGCGGTTTCTCCTGTTTTATAATTGCCTTTGGCAGGACGGCTGGTCCTCCACCAGTGATCCCGCCATGGCCAGAAATGAAAGCATAATTTCCCATCTTTAAAATGTTGTACTTGGAAGAAAATGCTTCTGGGAGCTGGGAAAATTTTTTACCAACCAATGCAAAGCTTTGTAGTGCAAGAGGTAGTTAGCTGTTTGGAAATGGAAACCTCAAATGTCTCTGGTTTCTTACCTCTATTGATCATGATGATTGTCACAAACATAATTTATACTGAGACATTATATTCTTTGCAGTACATTCTTGAAATTGCACAAACGAACTTTTCAATGTGGAAAAATTCAAATACATATATACAGACGTGGAGAATAATGACCTCCCATGTTTCCATCAATTTGCTTTAACAACTATCAACTTATGAACAATCTCATATGCTTGGTGCCCCCAGCGCCTCTCCCTAGATGGCTCTGAGGCAAGTCCCAAACAACAGACTATTTTATCCATACATATTTCTAAAGACACAGACTCCCTCTTTTAAATAAAAGCACAATGTAATCTCACCTTAATATTTCCTCAGCATCACTAAATATCCAGTGAGTGTTCACATTTCCCTAATTGTGCTATAATTTTTAACCCTTTATTTATTTGAACGAGGTTCTTATAAGGCCCCTGTCCTGTGATTTGCTAATAAGCCTCTCATGTCTCTTTGAATCTATAGTTTCCTGCCAATGTGTTTCCTTGTTTTTCCTTCTAACTTTCAGAGCTTCCCATAGTCTGTGCTTTGCTGATCACTTCCCCAGTTGTAGACCTGTGGTGTCACTTAACACGTTCCTCTGTTATCTGTATTTCCTGTAAACTGGTATAGATCAAGATGCCTAACTGGGATCAGGCTCACATATTTGGCAGGGTTATTTCACAGGTGGTGTTGGTTCTTTTGTTGGCCTAGGGTTCCCCAGTTCCCTACTCCCCACCACCCGCAACTTTCTTTCCATGTCCTGACCAAAAATCACAGAACGTCTTGACAGCTCTATGACCCTCTTAGCTGCAGGTTTTCCCCTGCAGGCTTGAACCCAAACTGGGCCCTTGAACATTTGCAGGCACCAAATAAGATATCTGCGTTGTTGTCCAAAGTACTGAGAGAAACTGGCCCTGGCCCTGAGCCAAATTCCCTAAACCCTCACATAAACTCCATGCCCTGGCCCTCCCTAGGTAGAATGCTTCTTCCCTCTCGCTGTCCTTCACAAGGATACGTTGTAGCCTACTCTGTGAGTTCCCCTAATAAATGCTGTGGACTGATCACCCTGGCGTCTAGTGCTTCTTTCTTTGGAATCCCAACCAACTCCACCTTAGGATGGTTTGGGGCTCTCCCTTGTAGGAACTCCCCTGCCAGCACTTTTGGGGTGACTCCAGCCACAGGTTTGGCAGGATGAAACAGCTGGGCACATATGTCTGAGTTTTCTCTTTATGTAGGAGAGGCAGGATAGGCGTTTGACTCTTTCCCTTTATTTATGAGTTTTCAAAATAATGAATTGGCCCCCTAGTGTCTCCCAAAGGTAATCAATGATCTTCCAGTATCACTAGGAACTCATAGATCAGACCCATTTGGTATGTTTCTATCTGTTGCAGTCAGCACCTTTTTGATACTCACGTTGTGCCATCCTTGACCAGTGGGGGTCTCAGAAGTTGACTCCTGAGTCCTAACACAGCCCTAGCTGTCTCTAATGACTTCCTTGCTTTCTGGTGTGACAAGATGTTGAGGGTCCTTCTTGCACATGTCCTGCCCCAGGCTGGGACTCAGCCATTTCTCTGGGAAGCCCTGTTTCATTTTGCTGGGAAATGCTATTTAGAGCCCACTCTCCAAGCACCAAGACACCTTGTTTCTACTGGATGGATCATCATTTTTAGGGTAGATCTAGATTTTTTTTTTTTTTAGGATAAAATGAATCATGAGTTCATCCTGGTGCTTTCTGTTTTCATTCAGGGTGGTGGCTTTTCTTACTGAACCTCATTGATCTTACCTCTCTCCATACAAAAATCCTGGTTCTTAACAACCAAAGTGATTACTTCTTTGCTTTGTCTCACATCACACAACAATCTCAGAATGACAATACCAACATTAGCATAAACAATATCATTACTGAAAACACAAGTTTTCTTGGTTGTTTTTTGAAGTTCATGTTACCCTTCATGTAAATCCCATAGTCAAATTACTGTGGTTTAATGTTGCTTTAGATGGTTCTGATGTGGGGTTCTGTCACCATCTGAATACTCAGATGCATTTGTTTCTTTTTCTTTTCCATTTTTAGGGATTGATTTTAACGTTTAAAATTTGTTTTATAATTAAGTAAAGTATTTATATGGTTCCACAGTCCAGTCTACAAAAGGAGGCACATTCAAAGAAATACAGCTTCTGCCTGGTCCTCTCCACTTCATAGTATCTTAGAGATCACTCCATAACAACCTGTAATATACATGGATGTGTGCATATGTGTTTGTGTGAATGGGTGCTTTTGTATACATTTAAGTTCATAGCTCTCCTAAAGAATATGAGCAGAACATCTGAATCTTGGTGTGAATTGCTTCCTATGCATTGTATTCAAGTTCTATTATTTACCATTTGAAGAAATGAATAAATTTCTTAGATTCTGTGCAATTAAAAATTGTGTAATTTGGTTGAATATAATACTTCATTGCATAATAGAGAGATTTAGATGGAATGAGAACAGACAGACCTTTCTATCCCTTACTTTTGTATCCCTCCATTTCCTGATCTGTAAAGTCAGGAAGTTAGATTCTTCCATGTCACACATTCTCATGGGACCCTGTCCTTGTCTTTTAGCTCATCTTTCATAACTGTAATTAAAATGACTAATTTCTTTTTCTTTCTTTCTTTTTTTTTTTTTAAGATGGAGTCTTGCTCTGTCGCCCAGGCTGGAGTACAGTGGCATGATCTGGGCTCACTGCAACCTCCACCTCCCAGGCTCAAGTGATTCTCCTGCCTCAGCCTCCTGAGTAGCTGGGATTACAGATGCCCACCACCTCACCCGGCTAATTTTTTATTTTTAGTAGAGATGGGGTTTGGTCATGTTGGCCAGGCTGGTCTTGAACTCCTGACCACAGATGATCCGCCTGCCTCAGCCTCCCAAAGTGGTGGGATAACAGGTGTGAGCCACCGCATCCGGCCTAAATGACTACTTTCATGAAATCTGTCTTACCTGCTAGATGGTGAGCATTAGGAAGTGAGGAACATGTCTATCATATTCTGCACTGTATATATAGTGCCTAGCACAGTACCTGGCATGTGTAGATTAAAAATGGTTGTTGAGTAAATGAATGAACAAACATGGTTCTAAAATTTTGGATGAGAGGCATTTAAAATATGTAGTTGTCTATGTAGCTATTAGTAAACTCATCAGTTAAGAAAGTTTTTTTTTAATGAGGCAACATGCCTATGCCTGAAGGACACTTAAACACGCACATTCCATTTTATATTTCTTGCTAGAAATCTGCATTCCTGTGGTGACAGTAAACTGTGTTGGCTGCCACCCGCTGTGTGTGCTCTCCCCTGTAACTGAGGCAGGACAGACTGCCCGGGGCCAGCGAAAACACTGCAGGCAAATGACTACTATGGGCCAAATTGCTTCCGAGGATTACTTAACAATATGTGCAGAAGCCTCATGATAGTGAACTGCTCATTCCAAAATGTATACAAGGACGTTCTCTGCCATAAAGCTCATCAGAAGAACTAGAAAAAGCAACCTAATGTTAGAAATCACATTGTTGGGTAGGTCCCAGCAAGATCTCCCGGACTGCAGCAGCACCGAAAACAAACCACCCACTTGCAGTGTGTCCTCTCAAAAGCCTTGAGGATCAATATTCTCTACTATCACTACCCATCTTAAAGGATGACTTTTAATTTTCTTCTCAGGAGCATCCAGTCCCCTGATAATGATAGGATTCTTCTTTAAAAGGGACATTTCCGTTTGACACATCAAATATAAACAGAATCCAAAATAAAATATGGGGTGAGAAGACAAAAAACAACCAAACTTGACAAGCAGGAGAGCCCCACATTTTGTGCTTGAGAATAATTATAGCCTGGCTGAAGCCTTGAGGAGGGTCTATTTCTTAACCACACTGGAAACACCCTTCTCTTGTGTTTCTTGAACATTAATACACCCAGCAAGAGGTGACGGGTGCTAAAGGCACAATACCCTGATTTGGAAATCCTGCTGTTGTTTTAAGGGGACAGCTTGGTGAGCAGAAAGAACATGGGCTTGGGAGCCAGGCATATCTGAGTTCACCTGGCTCCACCCTGCAGTGGAGACTTAAACAGTGAATCCAACCCCGCTGAGCCTCAGTCTCTTCGTCTATAAAATGGGCGTGACACCACCTACTCTGCATGGTTATTTTGAGGCTTGGAGTGTAAGGTGCCTGGAACAATGTCTGGCACATACTTGGCACTCAAAATAACACCCCTGGGATTTCATGCTATCTCTGAGATCATGACCTTTTTAGCCTATTTTAATACTGGGTTAGATTAGGGGGGTGAACCAAAAGAGGGGTGACTACTCCCCACTACCTTCTCTCTAATGAGGAGCGGGCAGCCTGTATCATACACGCTAAAGGTAACGCACAAGACCGTTTTCAATGGCGCAGTTCTCCCTTTGGTAGAATGGGGTGCCAGAAAGGACTCTGGGGTTTGGCTTTCTGTTCCCACTGGTTCCATGACTTTGGAAGTATCATTTAGCCTCTCTCAAGCCTCATTTCTCCACCTATAAATAGATATAATACTATCTACCCCGCCTGTGCCACAGTGGTGTTAAAAGCACAGGGGAGTTGATGTGGACATCACGCTCTGCACCCTTCAGGGTGGCACACGAAGGACAGTCAGTATCCATCTGTCCATCTCTCCTGCCTTCCCTCCTGGCAACTGTGCCGTCAGCCTCTGGCAAGCCGTCCTCAACGAAGTATTAAGCAGTCTTGAGCGTGTTAGTGGATGCCTCCCTGGGGTGAGCGCATGTGACCAGGCCCAGGAGGAGCCCTCCCGGGTCCTTCCTGTCCTGGGAGCTGGGGTCACCTCTAGGCCTCCACGCTTTCCTCTGCTCTTCCAATGCACCATTCACTGTTCTAGGGATGTCTCAACAAACAGAAAAGACAAAACCCTGCCCTTTTGGAATGCATATCCTGGTGGGAGAGGTCAGAGAAAAAGCAAGTGGGTGAAATCCACAGTACACCCACGGCGCTAAGTGCTGTGCAGAGGCGGGAAGCAGGAGACAGGATGGAGGGGCCGGAGGGCTCAGGGGAAGGGTGGGAGTCAGGTAAGGCCCCGAGACCCTAGGGCGCGACAGAGGTGAAGGGATGAGTGAGGAACGGCTGGGGAAAGGTCTCGGCAGCGGGGAAGCGCGGAAGCCCAGGAGAAGTGCAGCGGGAGGCCGAGTGAGGCCGGGTCAGCGGCGGGCAGGCCACCAGAGGGTCTGCGGTCCTACCCCCGGAGACAGAAGGCCCTTTGCAGCGTCTGAGCGGATAAAGGGACGATGTGTGGGTGAGGGCGCCAGTGCGAGGCCAAGAGGCCCGCGGGAGGCTGTTCCGGGGAGAGGCGGGTGGCCCCCAGCGAGCGGCGAGCGGCGCCTGGTTCCGGGCTGTTCTGAGCGCGGAGCCCATGGGACCCGCGGAGGGGCTGCTGGTGGAGCAGGAGAGAAAGAGAAAAGCCAAGACCGGCTGAGAAAACCAGCCCCTGCCCTGCACCCCACCGCATTCACGGCGATTCAGGCAGATTCGCCGGGAGCGCGCCTGCTGCCGTTCCAGAGGGCAAGACCCAGGGCGTGGGGCCTGGTGGTAAACACCCTCCACCAGAGCCCGATCCAGGCCTCCAACATCACCAAGCGCGGTTTCTGGGAAGCGCTGCGCAGCCGGCGCAATCGGACCAGCCCCCGCGGGATGAGCCCTGGGCCTGCTCCCGTGAATGCTTCCCGGGGAAACACACCAGGCCGCCCTGAAACCTGGCTGGACCCCCGCCTCCTCCGCTAACTCTAGGCTCCCAAGGGCGCCAAGGAAGAGTTCCTTCACCTTTTTTCACCAATGCAAACCCAGAGTCTGCAGCAGTTCAATGGACATTTCTCCAAAAGAAACAACTTCATTAAACGGGATATTTCACTATGCAAAGGGGAATGTGATCTCAACCCCACTCTTACAACTCCCAGCAACCTCCAGGCTCACTGTATTTGTTTGATAGGTAGGAAGAGCTGAAACAGCATCTAGTCACGTATGTGTACAATGCTTAGACTAAATAAATTCTCCTGAGACTGTCTAGCTGATGATCCAATTTATACGTAGTGAAAATTGAGCTTATACTGAGCTGAGCATCAGAGGATTTCGGTTTTGGTATCTTAATTGTCTAATAATTAATGTCCGTTATATTAATCATAGCAAGAGTTTAGGTATTAAGCTATTAAATAACAGTGAAGAGGAAGGAAGATTATGCCCACTATACATACATCTACAATATAGTTTTTTGGTAAATACTAGGGTTTACATCAAAAAAAGGAATGAGCTGTAATCAAAGTCATTTCACTTCTTTGTTGACTACTAGGCTCAGATAGCTTTTCTATGACATTTATTCTGTCACTCTTAATTCTTTACACTTTATTTTGAAAACAAAAGATCAATCACATAACAAGAAGGGGTGAATAGCCACACCCTGCGGCAATGCCACAGTCACTCTATTTTATCAAATCACTGATAAATTCCTGTTTCGCCTGACTTATTAGTATCATCAGCTTTCCTTCTTAATGATATTAAAGAAATAGTGGACATATGGCAGATTAAACATAACTTCTTTTAATCTCTGCTTTTCCCCAAGCCTCATTAAAATGATCATAAATTATTTTTTAAAGTGTGTAAATCCCCAAGGATAGAGACCAGGTGAAGAGGCAACAGCAGATGACAAGAGTGCAACGAAATGTGGAAAGTGGAAACGGGTGCTGGTGGTGGCCACCTCAGCAGGGCGGCAGAAATCGCACCTTCACTGCCTGCAGGTGAGTTCCTCCCGTGCCTGCTGCAGAGTCGCTGTGGGGACAGGGCCTCGAAGGCAGAGGGATGGAGTGAGCTGAGAGGGGCCCCCCTGGAGGGCCATACGCGGAGCAGCGGTGTCCCCCTAGCCAGGAAACTGCCCTCCCCTTCTGAAGGGAATGGTAGCTGGTTCTCCAGTGAGGTTGAACCTGAAAGGCTCTGGACTCAGGGACACCAGGAACTGCTGAAGACAGGGAGCAGCCATCCTGAAAACAAGGGCTTCCGTGACTGTGTAGGTGCTGACCAGGGAAAAGTCTAGCCCTCCTATGAGACTTCCGCCAGTCACCCCGCTGTAGAGACACCAGCCAAAGCCCTGCCACGCACAGAGACTCCAAGCAACATTTTACTATGTGACTTCTCAGTATTAACAGTCAACTGCATTCTCCAAGAATGCTCTTAAAGGAAAAGATAAAACAAACTGAAAAAAATAAATCAGAGGAAAAAAACAATTCAGGAAGCAAGAAAATAAAATATCCCCAAACCTTCCACTATAATTAATATCCTCAAAGATGGGTATCATTTTCATGAACTAAGAAAGAAATGTTATGAAAATAGAACATTTAGAAAACAAGATAAGCTCTGAGAAGTTAAAAGTATGAGAGCAGAAATGTACAAAATAAATAGAGGCATGACATCACAGTCAAGGAAGACTCGGGCACCGAAAGAAAAAGTCCCTCCACTGAAACAGCCATAGCTGCCAAAGACTGTTGGTATCAGCTTTTGGGGGACTCTGGAATCTAATCTGAAATTTGTAGCAACCAAGGCACTGAAAAATGAAGAAAAGGCAGCTGGATTTCAATAAAACAGCAATGTGGCCCGTTCCCCTACCTGACTACGGTCCCATCCCCTAGTGGTAGTGGCTTTGGGGATGGTGGCCACATTCCTGGTGCAGCTTGCTGGTGCCAGGGACTAATACAGTCTGGTGGATCTGGAGTGTAGGGGGGAAGTCTACAAAGCAGGATGTGAAGGCCACAGTAAAGTCACAGGTGGCCTGGCTAGCACCGAAGGAGTGCCCTACTCTGAATCAAGCGGCAAAATCCGAGAAGGACGTTTTCCGCCTCTCTTTTGGCTTCAGGCATTTAAGGAAATCTCTCTCTCTGTTTAGATAGGATGATAAGATAAGAATGATCTCCCAGAAAGCAGAACAAAAAAGATAAATGAGCTCTGAGATATAGGAGAAAAAATATTTTTAAAAATCGAATAAGAAATCCAGGAAGTCCAAAATTAGAGTTCTAGGTAGAGCAGACTTAAGGAAAAAATGGAGGTAAGAAAAATTTCCCAATAAATAAAAACAGACTGACTGACACCATGAAAAATTGTGTTGAAACTTTAGAACATCATCATTCCAGAGAAGATCCTAAATGCTTTCAGCAAGGACAAATGAGGTCAGACACAAAGGACATGGAGTTGAAATAGCACTGGAAGAAGTCACGTCTGCCTAGGATGTAGAAAGCAGCACTGGTGTCTTCCCTACTGTAAAGATGAGAAAATAAACGTTTCTTGAGCCCCTAAGAGAACTAAGTTCATAAGGCAACCAAGTAAACTGGATTTCAAAGAGGCATCAGCCCCTCCAACGAGAGATGGACACACAAACCTTTGGTGGAGCAGAGGACAAAGAGAGAGATTGTTGCCGATTGGGTAAGAAGAAATTGGCTAAAATTTTAACACGTTTTTAAAGGCCAAGTGGGGGCAAGCACATGCAGTGCCTGTGGTGCAAGGAGAGTCTGTGCTTACTGGTGAGCTCATTTCCATGGGCTCCACAGTGAATCCTTACAAACACCCAGACCACAGGAAGAGGGCAGGAGCACAGAGGCTGCGGCAAGGCTGAGGAGCAGGTACCCCCTCCCACTTCCTTGGATGCTTCCCTGCTGAGACGTAAAAGCTACTGGTGCAGGGACTGTAGACCCTCTTGCCTGTTGCTTCTGGGGAAAGAGTAGAGGCCAGACCCATCTGCTTCAAGGAGAGAGGTGAGACAGCCCCTCCCAGGATGCAGACAAAGGGCTGGGTCACTGCTGGGGGATGGTGGAAGCAAAAACCCTATACCACTGGGGGACCGGGAGAACATATTTGGGGTTCAGGATCCTACATTTACAACAGGAAGAGGTCTGCAGGTGATGGAGGTGGGGGAGAAAACTCCCACCCAAATCCAAATGCAGATACAAGCAGCATGGTGGCCAAGGGGAGAAGGCGAAGGAATGCTTAACAAGCTCCGTCCCTGAGGCCCAGGTGCATAGGGCCTGCCTAAGACCGAGGTTGAAACAGGACAACAGAGAGCCCCGCCAAGCCCCCACCGCAAGTCCAGCTCTGAGTAACAAACGACAGCAATCTACTGCTCTGGGAGGGCCAAGAGCAGAGAGAGCCCCCTGTGTGCTGTGGTATAGGGATGGCCGAACGCTGAAAGGGAGCAAGCAAGAACACTGAGAAAACCCTCTGGCTCCTGAGTCCCTCTCTAAGCACCAGGCATGACAGCAGCCTGTCACAGGGGTATCTGAAACCCACGGTGCACTGAAGGTAATGACAGGAACAACAAAACTCCAACTCGGTAACTATCACACACAGACTTTAAAATACAGACGAAGGCTGGTGCAATGGCTCATGCCCATAATCTCAGCACTTTGGGAGATGGAGGTGGGAGGATCATTTCAGCCCAGGAGTTTGAGGCTGCAGAGCACTATGATCACACCAGCGCACTCCAGCCTGGGTGACAGAACAGGACCCTGTCTCAAAAATAAACAAGTAAATAAATACAGACTATGATTAAGTTGTTAAAAGATCCAGTAGAAAAGGTAGACAACAGGCATGAAGGGATGAGGAATTTCAGCAGAGATGGAAACCGTAAGAAAGAATCTAATGAAAAAGCTAGAAATTTAGAAACATGATATCAAATCAAATAATTCTTTCAGTGGATGAATTGCTAGCCTGAACACGAGCTGAGGAATGACTCAGTGAACTTGATGAGAGGTTCCAGAAAGACATTAGACTTCTCAACAGTCATAGTATGATCTGGAGGATGATTGCTGCCTTCAACCATCAATCAAGAGTGACTTTAAAGGTACTTTTGTACCTAAAGGGTCTCAAAAAAAAATGGATCTTTCATGCACCTTTTCTCAGGAACTTCTTGGAGTATATTCTCCACCAAAACGGGGGAGTCACCCGGAGACAGGAAGACATGGGTTCTCGAATCACGGTATCCAACAGAGGTGAGAGGCAAGGGAGGTTTCCAGGATGACAGTGACAGGAAGACGGCTATGGAAGTGGCCTAGAGGGAGAGGAGGACAGGGAGACAGAGGGCGGTACTGCCAGAAAAAAAATGGAGTGGTAGCTTATCTGAAGTATTGGACCACTGAGAGGAGTTTTATAGTCTGTTTGAATGTATGGGGCTGGATTAGTGAAGGGTACATTAAAACAAACAAACAAACAAACAACAAAAAACAAAAAAAAAAACTAAGCCAGCCAGCAAACACAGAAAGGACAAGAATTATTCTAGGAAAAAAATTAAAATGCCATACCAAAAAAAAAAAGGCAGATAATAGAGTGATGCCGCTCCAAGCAGGGAACTTCAGGGACGGATGGCCACCACCAGGAGCTAGGGACAGGCACAGGACTCAGCCCAGAGTCTCAGGGGACTGGTGGCTCTGCCAACACCTGGATCTCAGGCTCCTGGCCTCCAGATGTGTGAGAAAATTAATTCCTGCTGTTTTAAGCCACACAGTTTGTGGGACCTTGTTATAGCAGCCCTGGGCTGCTGATACGCTTACCCTTTTAAATAAGAATGTTCACACCTGAATAACTCTCAATTATCAACTGTCCAACTGGCCTCGCTCCTAATTGGCCAAAACATCCCTGTTGATAACCACGGACACACAACTCGCCGCAGCCTGGCTCCTCAACTCCACGGACCTCCACCTTCACTCATCAGCAGAGTACACCATGGGTTTTGTCACCACACAGACCCGCAGAAAACTCCCTTGAAGAAAGTGCCAAATTGTGGCAATTAAACACAGTATCAGTCATATATCGGCAGGGCCCTTCCTGCTGTAAAGGAGTCTTTTTTCTTCATTCCTTGCTAATCTCCAGCCACAGTCTCTGCAGCACCTGTTCTCCATCTTCCCGGAGCCCTCACTCAGGACTGGCTCCTGGGTCTGCTCAGTTTGTGCCCCCGCGCCTCGGGGAGCTGAGGTTCCCTCCGAGGCAAGTCTCCCACAGGCCCACCGCTGGGGAGCCCAGCTGCTTCATTGCCCAGGGCCTTTCTTTATCCTAGTCTCTAATCAAGCAGGCCTCCTCCTGGAGCTGGGTCAGCCACAGAAGCTGAAACACGGTGTAGTGGAAAGTTTTTTACTTTTTATAAATAAAATAAAAACTTTTTATAAATATAAATAAAAGGACACTTTTTATTAAGAAAGGCAGTTTTGCTTTTAAGCAACTTCAATAGCACTGAGAGACTTGACTGAGGGTGTTAGGAGGCTGCTTGGCCACAAACCCCACACTGCCAGTCCCCCTGGCCAGCAGCCTCACGCCCTGACCTCCTCAATTCCACTGACCTGCACCCGACTCCTCCACCAGCCACCAGAAGTATCACATCTTGTTCCTTGTCATGGCTTCGACCTGTTCTGCCCCCCAGGATGTCCCTGCCGGGAGATACCTCTCTGGACGGGAACTTCCTTGACTTCTGTCCTCCCACACTCGCACATTTGCTGAAGCTGCTTTCCTCCTCATCACCTGTGTCTAGCCCCTCCCTGTCCTCCTGCTCCCTTGTCACCCTCCTTTGAAGGTGATCATTGGCCTCTCCTCCTTCCCACTCAGAATTAGGCACTGTGGGTTGAAGATACTATGAGTGTATCATCATCACATTCAAATTACAATAGTTGAGAGTTACATTTGACTTTGGAATTCAGATGATACTGGTCCTGTTATTTATAAGTCTCATACTTTTGTGCTACATAATGAACACTATAAATAAGTGAAAAATGGGCTGGGCAAGGTGGCTTACAGCTGTAATCCCAGCTCTTTGGGAGGCCGGCCAAGGGTGGAGGATCACTTGAAGCCAGGAGTTTGAGACTAGCCTGGACAACATAGTGAGATCCCATCTCTACAACAAACAAACAAAAAGCTAAGCCTAAAAGCAATCCCAGCTGCTAGGGAGGCTGAGGCATAAGGATCTCTTGAGCCCAGGAATTCAAGACTGCATTGAGCCATGATTGCACCACTGCACTCCAGCTTGGGCAACAGAGCAACATCCTGTCCCTAAAAAAAAAAAAAAAAAGTAATAAACAAATAACAAAAAATGAACAGCATAAATAAGAGAAAAGATTATTCATAGCTAACATAATTATCCATCAAGAAGAGTTTTCATGGCAAAGGGCTCTGAAAGGGGCAGTTTGAGTGCCTCGTGGTTAGTGGAGGAGTTTTAGGAGATGGCTGCAGACCACATTCCCATGACAGACCCCAGAGAACATCCAAACTCATGGCAGTTTCCACAACGTGGCTGAAATTCACAAGAGCAGGGTAAGAGTGGATTCTAACAGTGAATAGAATCAAATGCCAAAGACAATGGTGGAATTGAAGAATACCCCAGGGAAAGTGAATCGGGAGGAAGTTGGCACATCAAGGATGGATGTGGACTGCATGTGCCACAGGCCTCCAGTGGTGGCGCTCACACTTGTATTTTTTTTAAGCAGTGGAACTCTTTCTTCAAGTTGAAAACAAACAAAAGCAGGACTCTGATTAAAGCTGAGGTCAGGGATCTAGAGCCCCCTCACCCCATCCCACTGAGTCTAGAGGTGGTTCCAGAACTCCTCCCTTACAGCCACAGAGATGAGAGCTGGCTGGAAAATTCACGACTCCTAACCCAACACTGTTGGCTACTACTGAAACTAGCTATTGGGTATAAATATTTACTAGAATATTTGTATTGAGCTATCTATGTGTGTGGACTTATAATATCTAGTAAATGGTTGAATCTGGGCACGCCTTTCTATTTGTGATTTTTTTCCTAAGAAACCTCAAATTCTTGTATTTTGCAAGTTTCCAGATACTGTTGCTTTTATTTGCTCTTAGCTTTGGCACCCACACACTCACAGTTGGGAGCCACCATCTTCAGTATCTCCCTTAATTATTTATCTATTCATTATATATTTAGTAAACAATTACTATTTACATATGTATACACAGTATATATATATACTGTATATACTGTAAATATATGTATATATACAATTCTCATATGTATATACATATGTAAATATATGTATGCAATTGAGAAACTAATTTGTTAATTTACATGTTACAAACTAACATATGTAAATATATGTATATATAAGCAATTGAGAAACTAATTTGAATAAGGCATAATCTCGGCCTCCACAAAGCATGGAGTCTAACAGGAGACATAATAATACCTGGCATGTGAAAAGCACTAGATTAGAAGCACGTGCAGGATATCATGGGAGCCCAGAGAAAGGGCGCCTGAATCAACTTACCGGCAGAGTACAGAGGTCCCGGGACAGGTGACAGAGAGATGACATTCGACATGAGTTTTGAAGGATAAGTGGGATTAAGCTAAAACCAAATGATTCACTGGAGAGATGGGTGAAGTCCAGATTGTGAAAAACTTTGTGCTTTATTATCTCGCATGTATATGACCTCCTCCAACAGACAAAACCGCAGAAATGGAGAACAGATGAGTGACTGCGGGTTGAGGGCCCGAGGGACTGCCGTGGGCTAGCACAAGGGAGCTTATTGGGGTGACTGAAGAGCTCTGCATCCTACCTGGTGTTCAGTGGTGGAGACATAAATCTATTCATGTGCTAAAATCCACAGAACTGTATGACCCCCCAAAAGATCAGATTTACTATTTGATCATTTCAAAAAAAAATTTTTAATTTAAATAGCTTAAACGTATATAACTTTATCAATAATCGCAATAGACTTTTTCACATTACTTGTGTATTACATGACTGTATAGAAAGAAACTCCAAGGGCATCAACCAAAAATATACAAGAAGTAATGAATGTATTCAGAGGGAATGGCTACACCAGGGAAAACTATAAACACTGTGTTCCTACTGGTCCTAAGAAAACACAGTGAAATTCTCTTTATGGGATGATTGAAAACAACAATAACACCAAATGCCTGAATATTCATTTACCTAGGAACAAAAGAAATGCATATCTTAGGGCTCAATTAATTTAGTGCTTTAATAAGAAAACCATGGCCCACTGCAGAATGATACGCATGTTGTGATCCTAATAACATTCTTTTAAATTTAGATGTGTCCACAGACAATACGTATGTCAGTGCACAAAAAACAAAAAAAAGCCACCAAAACAGGGGTTACCCCTGTGGAGGAAAGAGGGATGGGGCATGGGATGGCTCACCAGGGAACTTCCATTATTTATTACTTATATAATTCTCCATTATTTGACATTTTTGGTAGAATGCATTCATGTGTTGTCTGTGTAATCGCTCAAACAATAAGGTGAAGAAAACTAAGGCCCAGGTAGGAAGGTCACATACTTAATACACAAGTAATAAGAAAAAAATAGAGTAATAAGAAAAAATTATTTGTAAATTAAAAACAGCTTCACAGCATTTCTAGAACCCTGAAAAATAGAACCCCCCCCCGCCACGGGGAGTGGGGAGGCTCAGGCATGGCGGGCTGCAGGTCCCGAGCCCTGCCCGGCAGGGAGGCAGCTAAGGCCCTGCGAGAAATCTACCGCAGCGCCGGTGGGCTGGCACTGCTGGGGGACCCAGCATACCCTCCGCAGCCGCTGGCCCGGGTGCTAAGCCCCTCATTCCCCGGGGCCGGCAGGGCTGGCCGGCCGCTCCGAGTGCGGGGCCCGGCAAGCCCACACTCACCCGGAACTCCAGCTGGCCCGGCAAGCGCCGCGCGCAGCCTGGTTCCCGCTCGCGCCTCTCCCTTCACACCTCCCTGCAAGCTGAAGGAGCCGGCTCCGGCCTTGGCCAGCCCAGAAAGGGGCTCCCACAGTGCAGCGGTGGGCTGAAGGGCTCCTCAAGTGCCGCCAAAGTGGGAATCCAGGCAGAGGAGGCGCCGAGAGCGAACGAGGGCTGCAAGGACTGCCAGCACGCTGTCACCTCTCAATACCGTCTGTTTATATACTTTGAAACGGTTTATATAACATGAAATTTCCATCCTTCAAAAACTCTGAAAACCCTTGCACACTGTTGGTGAAACTGTAAAATGTTGCGACTGCTATGGAAAACAGTATGGCAGTTCCTAAAAACATTAAAAATGGAATCACCACATGGCCGAGCAGCTCCACTTCTGGATATCTGTCCAAAAGCACTGAAAGCAGAATCTCAAGAGATAGTTACACATCGTGTGCAAATATGCACATGTTCATATCAGCTCTATTCACAATAGCCTAGAGGCTGAAGCAACCCACATGTCCATCAACAGATGAATAGATAACAAAAATGTAGTGTATACATACAAGGGAAACTTTAAAAAGGAAGTAAATCCTGTCACGTGGTACCACATGGAAGAACTTTAAGGACATTATGCTAAGTGAAATAAGTCAGTCACAAAAGGACAAATACTGTGTGATTCCACTTATACGAGGTACCAAGAGTAGGGATATTCATACAGACAGAAAGTAGAATGGTGGTTACCAGGGGCTGGGGCGGGGGAGAACAGGGAGTTATTGTTCATGGGTACAGAGTTTCAGATCTGCAAGATGAAGAAGTTCAGGAGAGGGACTGTGATATGCATGGCAATGTGATGGAATTGATGCCACTGAGCTGTAAACTCAAAAACAGTTAAGATAGCAAAGTTTATGTTATGTGTTTTTTATCACAACAAAAATTAATAACTCAGAAAAATTCTTTGGTGAGACAATTGGGATTAATTACCCTTGGGTCTTAATAGCAGTTCCTTAGAGAACAAATCTATTGCCTTTTCTTTTGGGCACGTTTTCTTTATAGGTTAGTTAGTCTCACCTCAGAACCACAAAATGTCAGAGCTAAATGGGACCTGAGGGATTGTCATTTGTATCAGAAATTAAACACCTGCAGGGGCCTAGCAGCCACCCGACAGCAAAGTACAGCTCAAGGAAGCACAGTGGAGGGCCACGCCCATCCACAGCTGCTGCCCAGCTGCAAGCCACGTGCCACAGCAGTGGGGCCCCAGAACACCACGTTTACAGGTGGAATCCCCTAACTTTAAAAATATTAGCTACTAATTAAGAAAAAAATGTTAACATTGGAATGGCTAACATACACAGGTGCATGTGCGCACACACACACACATGCACACACGTATGTGTGTGCATAAAGAGGAGAGGCAGGGAGGAGGGAAGGAAACAGACGCCCTGGGCTTGGGCTTGCAATATAATATAATATTTTTAAATATAAGAAAGGTAAGCACTGGGCAAGGTCTTTTGTGGGGGTTGAGACCACAACCTAGCAGTCTACTGTGCTCAGTGGGTCTTCAAAAGCCCCTGAAACCTGATAGTATAACATTGAAGTCTGCAAGTACAATTTCATCTCTGCATCTTCCATGTCTCCACTAGTTTTTGTTATGCATTTAGTTGAACTTGGCCTTGTTCCTTTAATTTCTCTGCCCTTCAGTTTCTGTGAAATGGAGATTGTCATTCCTAACTTTATAAGGTGGTTTTGAAGATTAAATGGAACAATACATGCAAACACAGAGTCTGAACCTGGCATTTCATAAATGTCAACTGCTATTATTATTTTAAGTGCATGACTTAGAGCCACAACTGTGTAAGGCATTATAAGTTGCTTTATATATAGTCTCTCATTTTATACTTTCAAGAAAACTGTTCTTCCTATTATACATATGTAGAAAGAAACTGAGCTCTAGATAGAATAATAACTTATCCATAAAACAAAATATAAGTTTTAGGGGCTGAATGGTATCCAGTTTGATAAATGGAACACAATTTGTTTAACCATTCCTGTATTTTGAAGCATCTCAAATGTGTTCAGTATCTTGCTGTTCTAAGTAACTGTGGTGATTTTCCTGGTACATATTTATGTACATCTCTATTTCTCTAGTGTAGAAATCTACAAGCAGATTTGCCAGGTCAACAGAGATTATTTTTATGACTTTTGTTATATGTTGAAAAATTTCTATTGGATTAATTCTTTGTCAACCCTGAGAATTATAATTCTAACAAAACAGCATGGCACTGGTACAAAAAACAGACACATAGACCAATGGAACAGAATAGAGAACCCAGATACAAGGCCACACACCTACAGCCATCTGATCTTTGGCAAAGCTGACAAAAACAAGCAATGAGGAAAAGCCTCCCTACTCAATAAATGGTGCTGAGATAACTGGCTAGCCATATGCAGAAGATTGAAACTGTACCCCTTCCTTACACCATATACAAAAATTAACCCAAGATGGGTTACAGACTTAAATGTAAAACCCAAAACTATAAAAACCCTGGAACACAACTTAGGCAATACCTTTCTGGACATAGGAACGGGCAAAGATTTCATGATGAAGACACCAAAAGCAATTGCCACAAAAGCAAAAATTGACAAATGGGATCTAATTAAACTAAAGAGCTTCTGCCCAGCAAAAGAAACTATCAACAGACTGAACAGACAACCTACAGAATGGGAGAAAATTTTTGTAAACTATGCATCTGACAAAGACCTAATAGCCAGCATCCATAAGGAACTTAAATAAATTTACAAGAAAAAACCAAACAACCCCATTAAAAAGTGGGCAAAGGACGTGAACACTTTTCAAAAGAAGACATACATGCAGCCAACAAGCATATGAAAAACAGCTCAACATCACTGATCATTAGAGAAATGCAAATCAAAACCACCATGAGATACCATCTCACACCAGTCAGAATGGCTATTATTAATAAGTCAAAAAATAACAGATGTTGGCGAGGTTGTGGAGAAAAAGGAACACTTATGCCCCTTTGGTAGGAGTGTAAATTTGTTCAACCATTGTGGAAGACAGTGTGGCGATTCTTCAAAGACCTAAAAACAGAACTACCATTCCACCCAGTAATCCCAGTACTGGGTATATACCCAAAGGAATATAAATCTATCAAAGACATGTTCTGTCAAAGACACATGCATGCAAATGGTCATTGCAGCACTACTCATAACAGCAAAGACATGGAATTGGAACTCGAAAGAGGCAGGGCTCCCGCTTGTCCCTGTCTCCTGCCTGCTTCCTGGAGGGGGAGGCCCAGGTCTGCAGTGGCAGGTTCGGCAGCTGCAGCTGCACCTGGGAGAGCAGATCCTGACTGTTCCCAGCTCCCCCAAGAGCACAGGGAAGCTTGGATCCACAGCTGCAGTTTGGCCAGCTGTAGCCCCATCCAGGAGCTCCATGAAGTATGCAGCCCCAGTCGAGCCTCCGTGCTGCAGCTGGCATAATGTCAGTGCCATCATTCCCCCCTCTGAAGAGGTACACCTAACTGCTGTTAGGATAGAGATGATGACTGCTCTTAACTGCTTCATGCTGACAAGGGGCATTATTTTGGCAAAACGAGAGTAATGTCTCTCTCTCTCAGAGGCCTATCTAAGGGTCCCCAGTACAAAGGAGCCATTGTCTGAGGCTCCATTTTCATGACCATTTGGAGTTTGATGGCCCACATCCCTTGTTTCCTCTGAGTTGCAGTCTGAGATCACTGGTGGTTCACCCTACAATTGTTAAAAGCTACAAATAGCTCAAAAGAAAGACTTCCTTGATTCTGAAAAACAGAACATAGGGATTAGCAATGTTCCAAGAAAAAGCAAATAGCAAAAAGTCAAAAAAGATTCGTCTTCCAGTAGCTCAGTTCACCCAGTCCATTCCTGTTCACAATCTTCAAAGTTATCAGAAACCTGCACTTGAGGGTTATAATCCATCCTATGAAGAGGATCAAAACAAGACAATTGTCTATGAATGTCAAAATGTCCTAGGGTAGTCACAGTCAAAAACACAATTGACAAAGGAATTTGGTCACCTCTGTGATTTACAATAACCTAACACAATAATCCTAATTATGATTGATACCACAAACTCAGATAGCAGAACGAACTCTAGAAATCCTGTACAATTTTGGAACACACATTAGCATTTTTCATTAAAATATAACCTGAAGATCAAACACTACCTTATTTCAACAATCCTATTTAACTAAACATGTCAAATAATCCTGTTTACCTTTCCTGTGGACACTCCAGGGGCCCTCTGTAGAATCCAAAAGTTAGGGGTTAGGAAAGACAATTTTGAATCTGTAAAGGCTCAAAACCCTTAATAGAATTTCAGGTCACCATAAGACATTCATTTAGCCAATGATCACTCAAATTTATTTTAAAAAGCAAAAGCATTTACTCATTAAGAGGGAAGACCTAGTTTTCCAAATAATCTGTTTTTTCGTCCTTCCCTTTTGTTAGTAGTTTACTCACAAGGCAAACACAAATCTTTCATTGCACAAAAATCTTGTTCAAGAGAAAGCCAAATTTCACCCCAGTTTTTTTAAAAAAATAAAACCTTACAGACTAATCCTCAAGAAAACCTTGTTGTGCTTTTATTCCAGTGTTGAATTTGTGGAAAACCAAATATAGATTTTTTGAATTTAGTTAATATGTTCACACACAGGATTCCTTTTACAAGATTAATTTTTATAAAACTTCCATAACTTGTTTGAGCCTTTAGCTTTCTTATCTAATTTAAAACAATCCTTGAACCCTCTGAACTAGGTAAAAATTTACATACCATGCCTTCTTATATTCTTTTACTAAAGACACATTTTACTCTCTTTACACATCTTGCATGTAAATCTATTTTCAGTAGACTTATTTACATGTCACAATGGTAGAAAAATATACAATCCAGACAAAAATGTATACTAAAAATTCTGAAGGACTTCTTCAATTTATGAGCACTCTTTTACTTATAAACCACTTTGGTCAACACAACATACAACAATAAATGTACAAATAAACACATCTAGAGATGTATACACACACACACACACACACACACACACACACACACACACTAAGATCCAATAGCTTGGAACCCTAACCATGAGATAGAAATACAAGCTCACCAGTTTTACTTTGTTTGCCCCGATAGATAATCCAATGAAGACTATGAACCAAAATTTCAGGTAAAGCAGTTTCCATGGCAGTTTGATTTTTAAAGGCCAAACCTTCCCAGACTCCAAAGGACACTGGGGCCAAACAGCACCAAAGGAGAACATCACCCCATTAACCTGGCCCCCTGCTTAGAACAGCAGCACAAAAGCCTGGATACATGCGATGCCACTCCACTTACGCATTCAACAATAAACTCCAGATTCCATACAATATTGGGGCCAAACAGTATTGCAACTGCGAGAGAAAATTCTAAGGAAGGTTTAGTACTAGACCTCAGAACTTCTGCCAAGGGCACCCCCTTTGGAGAGTTGGGGGTCCGAAGGATCCCCTTTGGGATCTAATCTTACTCTGGCCTTAGATGGGCACTGGTGTCACTTTATGTTTTCCCTACTATGAGCTTTAAGCCCATGTGTTCCCTTGCTTCCCATTCCACCAGAGTGATAGCTATGAACTAAAAGGTATTACAGCTTTACTCATCTTTCAAAATATTTAAGCACTTATTTTCTTTAAGCCAATCAGTTAGAGCTCTTTTATATAAATATGATACACATGACACATACATATCTACACAGACAAAGAGATGAAGATCCAGTAGTTGTAAGATGTTTCATGTGCTGATCTAATTTCATTGCTGGCCCTGGGGTGGAGCCCTTCAAGAACCAGGGCCAAGAAAACATGCAGTTTCTATGGCCTAATAAGCAGGCATAGCTGGAAGACAAAAACAGATTTTGAGAGGGATACATCCACCTCTAATCCCTGGGGCTCCATGAGGAAAATGGAGGTTTTTTCCCCAAATGGGTCAATGGCACCTCCTCTGTTTTCCCAAGAGGCCAGAGATTATCTTGGGGTCCCCTCATGTGTGCATCAAGAGTGGCAAGACAAAAATGAAGAAAGATAATTAAGTTGATTGACAAGAAAAAATCTTTTTCCAGAAAAACAAGATCAAACAAGAGAAAAGACAAAGGCCTTTTAAATATAGCTATAGCTTGGATATCCATGAACATCTACTTTAACTAAGCTAACTTTTAATCACAGTGCTCCTTTTTTAAGTTCTTTTAAAACTATTACCTCACCTTAGCGATGCCAAATGGTTAATACTTCTGGCTTTTGCACTCAATACAGTGATTTTTATTCCTGCAACCAGTTTGCACAGAGAGAAGCCAGAAGTCCAACTGGCAAGAATCTTTACCTTTTTGCTGGCATGTCAGGCTTCTGGGTTCCTTTCGCCTGAGCCAAGGACTCTGGAGTCCTGTCCAGTGATTTAGGATGCACTCAAGGAGTGCAGGCTGAAAATGATTGGTTGCTTACTCATCTGGGAAAAGGGGAAAAGGGCATCCCTTTGTTCCTCTTTCTTCCCAGCAAATACCCAGGGTACATGACAGAAAGGAGAAAAGGCATCCCTCTTTCTTCTTCCAACCTTATATTCCTGAGTCCTGGCGACCTGTGCAGGTGCCAACCATGGGTGCAAGTGCGACCTTCACCCATGAAGCAGGCAGCATAACTGACAGGCATATTCACACTCATCTGAACAAAGCCTAAGCCTCCCACCATTGGTAACCTTTGAGTTCCCTAGACCTTATCTATACCATGGATGCAAGCATGACCTCCATCCATGAAGCAGGAGGGCCTAATCAGCAGGAATTAGTCATGCTCTCCTGAGCTGTGCCCCTCAACTCCCACTGTCATCTGCCTCAGGTCTAGTGTTCCATTCCAGGGTTTAAACCAAAGCTTTGGATAAAAAGGTACCTCAGGAGGGTGTATGAACCCTTAAAATTAGTCCCAGATAGCCCTTGACAAATTGCATCTAGCAACTGGCAAGGACCACTCCTCCATCACCTTCCTATCACAAGCAGGTGAAGCTGTGGGGCCAGGGCCTCCTCAAACAAGGGAGATAAAGGGAGTTCCAGGAATTAAGGCCCTGGCCTAAGAAGGTGACAATGAAGAGGTTGAGCTTTTCCTGAGCCCCTCATGGTTGTGCTAAGAGAGGGGGGCCTAGGTTGGAAAGGAGAACTGAAAGGTCCACTCAAGTCCAGGAGGAGGTCCATCCTCCTTCCCTCGATCCCCAGAATCACCCAGCGCTCCTGGATAACAATAGCAGTCTGGATCACCAAAGCCAGGGAAAGGAACCCTGGGACCCACCAGCCCTGTTGCACCATTTGAAAGACCAGCCCTGGAACCAGCGACCTGTGTCTTGGGAGCAGTCCACCCTCCAGTGGTCCACATTTGCAGCAGTCAACAGGTGCGTCTTAGAAACTCTGGGGTTTGTGAGCCTGTAAGGTGGCTATTAGAGCCTCTGCCTTTTTCTTTGTCTCCTTTCCCTCTCTTGGGCCTCCTGATTCTTATTGTAAAAGACCTAGGTGGCCACTTTTATGAGGTCCTCTAAAGTACTACCTGGTTATATGGCCTGTTTCTGCAGCTTCCTCCTGATATAAGGAGCTAACTGAGTAATAAGCTCATCCCCTAGAACTAGCTGTCACTTTATTGAATCAGGAGACAGAGGGATGTGTTTTACTAAGACCCTTATCCTTTTCAAGAAGGCAGTGGGACTCCCATCCGATCCCTGATCTACCATGGATAACTTCTTCCATCATCTCATTTTATCATTGGGGTCCCATTTAGTGTCCTCCAATGGTACTTCTATTCTTCCAACTAAATAAGTTTCCTCCTCTTCCCTTATGTAGATAAGATGTAAAGTTCATCCCCAAAATTCTTTGCCACTTGCTGAAAATGGTCTGCTTTTCAGAGATGGTCAGTTTAATTCAAAAGTAACATGACATCCTTCCAGGAGAGTTCACAACTCGTATAAGTACTGGAAAGCCTCTATATACCTATCAGGGTCATCTGAAAACTTACCAAGATCCCCTTAATTTGACATAAGCCCTGAAGAGAAAGGGGACCTCGACCTTAATGGGGCCATATTCACCAGGCATCCATTGTAGGGGCTGTTGAGACTGGGACCTGCCTAAAACCAGGATTCCTAGGCTGGGGTAAGCTTGAGAGAGAATCTGGATAGGAAGGAGCAGAGGGGGTTGATTCCCCTCCTGGAGGTAACTTTGGGGTTTCCTTCCCTATTTCCCTGAGATTGCCCCTTGCAGCCTCTCCTGAGATGGCCACTAAGAGGGCTGAATCAATCCTCAATGTTGGCAAAGGTCTGGGCTACCCTGAAAGGCAAAGAAGGCCTGTACATATGGGACCTGGGACCTTTCTGTGCCTCAAGGTGCTTGGCACTAAATTGGAAATGACAAGAACATTTTTGCCACAAATTTACCTACAGATACCAAAGTACACTTTGCCCCATCTGTGCTACACTTGATCTTCTAATTTATACTTTTGATGACTAAGCCAAATGCTTATTTTACCCAATAATACCTCTGGTTTGCAACAACATCCTTAACATTTAACATTGTATATAAAATAACTAGGAACCATGACAGCTGGGAAAGAAAGCAAGAAAGAAACAATAGGAAAGACTGGAGGTCCTAGCGCAAACGGACGGAGGTCCTAGTGTCAACACCCTAATGGGCAGTTGGGGACTGGAGTTAGTCCAGGGGCCTTTGGATAACACAGAGGTGTGGCCTTGGCCAGATACCTTCAGTTGCCCCAGGACCTCCTTCCAGTCCCACACAATAGCTAGACCTCTGTGAAGGGAAACTGGGTTGGAACAAAGCCAACATTCCCAACACCCAAAGGTGATGGGAGATTGACAGTGTCCTCCTCAGCAAGCCTGTCTTCTGTGTCTTAAGTCTGGCAACCACGCTAGTCGCTTTCAACTGGCTGACAGAGGCCCGGTATTTTTCTTTCATTTTGACTATTACGGAGTATAGAGACTCCGAAAAAAAGGACAGAAAGCAGATTCACTTTTATTCACCCTTCTGCAGATCCTAGATGAGCCCCCAAAGTGTTACGGGATCTCTGGGGTGTTGATTTTTCTGGCTGGAAACCTCTGTGGCCACCACACCTTTGCCCCAGGTTCTTGTCCTGCATCCAGGAAGAATGAGGTATGCAAACAAGTAAAGGGTGAAGAAGTAGAGTTTTATTTAGTGTTAGAACAGCTCAGAGGAGTGGATAGCTCTTAGCAGAGAGGAGGCCCTGAAGAGGGTGGCTCTTTTCTGCAGCCAAGTCATTCGGATGTCTCTGCAGGTCTCTGAAGCTCTCAATAGAGAGGGTCACTCCTCTCTGCCAGTCAGTCATCTATGCAGCTCTCAGCTGATAGGGTACTGCTCTCTGCAGCTGGTGATCCTGTCCCATCATCTCTCTCTGCCCTCTTCATCCTCTGGCTGAGCCCAGGGTTCTTATGGACCTCAGAGGGAAGAAAGTGTGTGCAGATTGGCCCAGGGGCAGGCATGGGCAGGCCTGGAAGAGACACCATGAGTCCCCACTCAGGTCTGCAGGACTGGCAGCCCGACCCCCAGTCTTCAGGCCCCTCCTGGCCTCAAGGAGGGGCCTTACTGGGGACCCACCCTTTTCCACCCAGGAATTAATCTGCCTCCAGCTGCCATTCATAACCCCGGGCCTTGGCCCCAACCCCTACTCCAAGATCAGAGCAGGTGCCAGGAGCAGAGAGAGGAAGCAGACACCACCAAACCTGCAGGGATGGTGGGGGGGGGGCGAGGGGGGGATCCTTCTTGGGTCCCCCAAGGGTGCAGACTGCAGAGACACCTGGGTCCTGTGCCTGAGAGAGCAGCCGCAGCTGCGCCTGGAAGCTCCCGTCCCGCCATCTTGGAAGAGGCAGGGCTCCCACTTGTCCCCGGATCCTGCCTGCTTCCTGGAGTGGGAGGCCCAGGTCTGCAGCAGTGGGTCCAGCAGCTGCAACTGCAACCGGGAGGGCAGATCCTGCCTGTTCCTGGCTCCCCTAAGAGCACAGGGAGGCTCACATCCACAACTGCAGCTCACATCCACAACACCCAGGAGGGCAGGGCTCCCACCAGCTCCATAGAGTGTGCAGCCCCACATGCGCTCCTTGAGGCAGCCGGCATGATGGCAGCAGCCACTGCCATCAGAATCAACTTAGGTCCCCATTGATGGTGGACTGAATAAAGAAAAATGTGGTACATATACACCATAGAATATGATGCAACCACAAAAAAGAGTGAAATAATATCCTTTGCAGCACCATAGATGCAGCTGGAGGCCATTATTCCAAGCAAATTAACACAGGAACAGAAAACCAAATATCTTATGTTCTCACTTATAAGTGGGAGCTACATGATAACACATGGACACAAAGAGGGGAATAACCCACACTGGGGCCTATTGGACAGTGAAGGGTGGAAGGGGGTAGAAATCAAGAAAAATAACTAATGAGTACTAGGCTTAATACCTGGGTGATGAAATAATCTGTAAATAATCTGAACAAACCCCAATGACACAGGTTTACCTATGTAACAAGCCTGCACTTGTACCCCTTAACTTAAAATAAGTTAAATACAAAAAAGAGAATTATAATTCTAAAAAAAACTTGCGAGTTTAAAAGATGAAAATGGTAACTCATTTTAGCTAGCTTTTCTTATCATGAGCTACACTTTTTTTCCTTCCCATTTTTACTGAGCATGTACTATGTCCTTTTGCAAATTGCTGTTGATATCCTTTGCCAATTTTTAAGTCTGCAAAATGGGGTGTAAGATTTTCACAAATTAATAATATCAACACCTTTTAATATATATTATAAACATTCTAGCTGTCATTTATTTTTATTTTATTCTTGTAGTTTTTTTCATCCATTCTGATTATTGTTATAAATGATATGTCTAATACTCCCCATCATTTGGTATATTAATCTTGTAGCAGCTATTTTTTTAAAAATCTTTTGTTTTAGTAGTTTCTGTCCTCAACTTGAAGCTTTTGTTCCAAACTCTAAATTAATTGACCAGGGTAGAGAAGGGCAGTGATATACTTTTGAAAGCTTCTCAGGTGATTCTAACATCGGCCTAGCTAAGCACCGTTGCTTTAGATGATACTAAAGACGATTTCAGCCTATTGACATTTTTCTGTTTGTAACATCAAATATACATATATATACACACAGATATATATATACACACACTGATATATATATACACAGATATATATACACACTGATATATATACACACTGATATATATATATACACACTGATATATATATATATACACACTGATATATATATATATGTATGTGTATATATATATATATATATATATATATATATATATATATATATGACGGAGTTTTGCTCTTGTTGCCCAGGCTGGAGTGCAATGGCACAATCTTGGCTCACTGCAACCTCCACCTCCTGGATTCAAGTGATTCTCCTGCCTCAGCCTCCCAAGTAGCTGGGACTACAGGCATGCACCACTATACCAGGCTAATTTTTATTTTTAGTAGAGACAGGGTTTCACCATGTTGGCCAGGCTGGTCTCAGACTCCTTACCTCAAGTGACCCACTTGCCTCGGCCTCCCAAAGTGCTGGGATTACAGGCGTGAGCCACCGCACCCGGCCTAACGTCAGTATATTTTAACCCAACTATTTTCATCTAAGGATATCGTTAAGTTTAGCTCTTTTTTCCCAAACACCAGTGCACTTCTTTTTTTTTTTATTTTTTTTTTACAGCAGCGTTTATGACATTTAATGTCAACTTTGCATTTCTCACAGTGTTTTGCTTAACTCACAAGGTCTCATTTTCTTCATGCAACTGTCTTAAACCATTTGCCTTTTAAAATGAATCACCTGTTCTTAGATCTCTGTTGCCTTTTGCAGCTGTAGGATTTTGTGGAAAAATCATTTTAGGGTCTCCGCCTTAAAACTGTTTCATCCTGACTTAAAAGAAGACCAGCTTGGCTGAGCTTGCAGTGCTGTGTCCTGAAGGTAAGGTCTGAAATCTTTCTCAACACAGCACTTTTACTGCGGCCACTCTTCTCATCTCAAGAGCTTGTAAGAGCCTGTCTTTGTCTTCATGGGTTAAAAATTTGACAATCAAGTTTTTGGAGGTTCTTTGAGGATGCTCCTGAGGGAAAATTCTATCTCCTTAAAAATTTCTTGCTGTTACCGTTTCAGTTGGGAAAAATATTCTTGAATGATTAATCTGGCTTCCTTATTTTTGCTTTTAAATTTTCCTCTTGTTTCCCATCAGTGATTGTCCTTGATTCAACCTCAGTTGCGTGTCTTACCGTATACTTGGGTGTGCAGCTGTGATTCAGGTGCCTGAAATAGTGAACTTCCTCCATCTCTGAGCAGTCTACTTCCATCTGCTCTTTACCAATACTCCCTTATATGGTTTCAATACCCAAATTATGTTACTACTTTGACTTTTTTTCTTTATTTAAACTTTAAAAATAATTATGAAGCATGGGCATTTTTGTTTAAAATTGTTATTTTGGAAAATATTTCTATGAAATAATGTACAAACATTATGTTAAAATTAAGCAAACTTTTATAACAATAAACTGAAAAGTGAATGTCCTCTACTATCTCAACCCCCAAAAGATAACCATACTTAACTGGTACATTTCCTTTGAAAATGTTTTTCTGGCCATCTACTGGTCTGTTTTTTCTTGTGTGTGTGTCTGTGTGTGTTTACTACTGGTATTGCATTGTACTGACTGTACTTACTATAACTTACTTGATTACATGCTAGATTATTATCATTTTCCACACTACTGTATGTGGAGCCACCTCATTCTTTTTATGGCTATGTAACTCACCATTACATAAATGACATTTTTAGAAATAATTCCATATGAATAAGCATCTAAGTTGTTTCTAATTTTTTCCAATGCATCAATAACTATCCAAACACACACATACATATATATCCTCCCAAAGTTTTGTAAGAATTTCTATTTCTGTGGAATGTCTAGAAGTGGAAAAACTGATGAATAATTTAAATTGTTCTCCTGAAGGCCTGGCGCGATGGCTCACACCTGTAATCACAACACTTTGAGACGCCGAGGTGTGTGGATCACTTGAGGTCAGGGGTTTGCGAGTGGCCTGGCCAACATGGTGTAACCCGTCTCTACTAAAAATACAAAAATTAGCTGGGCATAGTGGCTCAGGCCTGTGGTCCCAGCTGCTCAGGAGGCTGAGGCACGAGAATCACTTGAAGTCAGGAGGCGGAGGTTGCAGTGAGCCAAGACTGGACCTCCACACTCCAGCCTGGGTGACAGGGCGAGACTCCATCTTAAAATAAATAAATAAATAAATAAATAAATAAATTGTTCTCCTGAATAGTAATACTAATTTTCTATTTCCTCAGATCCTCCTCTAAACTGATCATTTTACCTCTTTTTCCTAGACCTTCCCTTAACCTGGTTATTATTATTAGCTTTTTATCCAGGCTAAAATAATAGATGAAAAACAATATTGTGTTTTAGTTTGTATTTTTAATGAGATTGCCCCTTACCAAGTGTTTATTGACCATTTGTATTGTCTATTAGTGTCCTTTATTACTTTTTATTGTTCTTTTTTTTTTTGATTCATAGAAGTTCTTTATATATTAAAGGTGTTAACTGACCTATATGGAACAAATTGTTTTACTTTGCCCCAAGTGCATCTGAGTTTATATATGCTGGTCTGCTTTTTTTCATCCAGAAGTTTTACACTTTAATACAATCAAGTCTGTCTATGTTTTCCTTTAGCAGTTTTTGGGCTTGGTGTCAGGCTAACAAAGCTGCTTATATTTTTATTTTTTATATTTTTAGGTATATTTTCTTTAATTTTTTAAATTTTATTTTTTTTTCTTTTGCAACTTTTACTTTAGATTCAGAAGGTACAAGTGGAGGTTTTTCACCTGGGTATGTTGCATGATGCTGAGACAGGGTTTCATCATGTTGGCCAGGCTGGTCTCAAACTCCTGACCTCAAGTGACCCGCCCACCTCGGCGGATCACTTGGGTACAAATGATCCCATCACCAGAGTATTGAGTATAGTACCCAAAAGTTAGTTCCCACCTTTATGTCCATGAGTACCCAATGTTTAGCTCCCACTTATAAGTGAGAATATGCAATATTTGGTTTTCTGTTCCTGCTGAGGATAATGGCCTGTAGCTGCATCTATGTTGCTGCAAAGGACATGATTGCATTTTTTATGGCTGCATAGTATTCCATGGTATATATGTACTACGTTTTCTTTATTCAGTCCACTGTTGATGGGTACCTAAGTTGGTTCATGTTTTTGCTGTTGTTGATAATGCTGCAATGAACATGCAAGTTCATGTGTCTTTTTGGTAGAATAATTTATTTTCTTTTGGGTATATATCCAGTAATGGGATTGCTGGGTTGAATAGTAGCTCTGTTTTAAGTTCTTTCAGAAATCTCCAGACCGCTTTCCACAGTGGCTGAACTAATTTACTTTCCAACCAACATTGTGTAAAAGTGTTCTCTTTTCCCTGCAGTCTCACCAACATCTGTTGTTTTTTGACTTTTTAATAATGGCCATTCTGACTGGTGTGAGATGGTATTTGATTATGGTCCAGTTCTAATCTTCTGCATTTGACTAGCCAGCTATCCCAGTACCATTTACTAAATAGGGAGTCCTTTCCCCATTGTTTGTTTTTCTCAATTTTGTCAAATATTAGATAACTGTAGGTGTGCAGCTTTATTTCTGAGTTCTCTATTCTGTTCAATTGATCTATGTATCTGTTTTTATACCAGTACTATGTTGTTTTGGTTACCGTAGCCTTATAGCATAGTTTGAAGTCTGGTAATGTGATGCCTCTGGCTTTGTTCTTTTTGCTTAGGATTGCTAACAAAGCTATTTTAAACCCCGAAGTTATAAAAATATATTCCTATTTTTTTACTAATAATTTTACGGTTTGGGTTTTTATATTTGGAGCATTAATACATCTAAAATTTGTTCTAGTACATGGTATAAGTGGAAAGTCTAGCTTCATTTTTCTTCCAAATAAATAGTCAATCTTATTTTTAATACAGAATCATTTCCCTTAAGACTAGAAACAAGGAAAAGAAAGGCATAACTTGCATAACTCCAGTTCTAGAAATATTCTGGAAAGACTGTTCTTGACTCTTTGTTGTTGTTTGTTTCTTTTGAGACGGAGTCTCACTCTGTCACCCAGGCTGGAGCGCAGTGGTGCAATCTTGACTCACTGTGACCTCCACCTCCTGGTTCAAGCAATTATCCTGCCTCAGCCTCCAGAGTACCTGAGATTACAGGCATGTGCCACCACACCCAGGTAATTTTTGTATTTTTTTAGTAGAGACAGTGTTTCACCATGTTGGCCAGGCTGGTCTTAAACTCCTGACCTCAGATGATCCTCCCGTCTTGGCTCCCAAAGTGTTCAGATTACAGGCATGAGCTACCACGCCTAGCCGACTTTTTTATCCTTTAGAAAATGTAAAATATATGAAATATGTACAGAAAAGTACATAAACCAAAGCTGCACAGCTGCAGGGCATCAGGGGCGGATGTTGCCGAGGGCCAAGGGCATGATGCCACCACTCTACTGGGCCCAGATGGCAGGGCTGGCACCCCAGTGTGAAACCCCTCACTTCTTACTTCTTTTCCATTTCTCCCTTTTGGAATGGGAATATCTAATCTATGCCTGTCCCACGACTGTATTTTTTAAAAATTATTATTATAGATTCAGGGGGTTCATGTCCAGGTTTGTTACATGGATATGCTTTGTAATGGTGAGGTTTGGGCTGTTAGCATACCCATCACCCAAATAGTGAAACTTGTATCCTATAGGTAATTTCTCAGTCTTTACCCCATTCCCACCCTCTCCACTTCTGGAGTCCCCAGTGTCTATTATTTCCATCTTTATGTCCATGAGTACCCATTGTCCAACTCCCACTTATAAGCGAGAATATATAGTACTTGATTTTCTGGTTTTTAGTTATGTCACTTAGGATAATGACCTTCAGCTCCATCCGTGTTGCTATGAAAGACATGATTTCATTATTTTTTACGGCTATGTAGTATTATATGGTGTATATGTACCAAATTTTCTTTATCCAATCATCCACTGATGGACACTTGGGTTGATTTTGTGACTGCTATTGTGAATAGTGCTGCAATGAACATATGAGTGCAAATGACTTTTTAAAATATATAACCACCATTGTATTTTAGAAAGCATATAACTTGTCCGGTATCACAGATTCTTAGTGGAGATAAATTTTACCTTGGGATGAATCATACTTTGAGTCTCACCCATACCTAATTTAGATGGTCTTTAGGTAAGACTTTAGACTTGAAATGGATGCTGGAACAGGTTAAGACTTTTGGGCCATTGGGATGGGGGTAAATATATTTTCCATATGAGAAGGATATGAATCTGGTGATTGAGAGAATGAAACATTACGGACTGAATTGCGTCCCCCAAAAATTTATAATTGAAGCCCTAAGCCCCTATACCTCGAAATGTCACTATGCTGGAAGATAAGGCCTTCAGCTGAAATACGTAGAGAAGTATTTAATTAAAACGAAACGAAGCCATTGTTGGGGTGGGCCCTATTCTAATCTGACTGGTATCCTTATAAGAAGAACAGATTGGATACACAAAGACATAATTGGGCTGTTTATTTTTTTTTCTCATTTAGTCATAAGTTTTTCTTTATTTTTAAACATATATTCTGAATATGAGTTCTTTTTTTTTTCTTTTTCTTTTTTTTACAGAGTCTTGCTCTGTTGTCCAGACTGAAGTGCAGTGGCATGATCTTGGCTCACTGCAACCTCCGCCTCCCGAGTTCAAGCGATTCTGCCCACCTCAGCCTCCCAAAGTGCTGGGATTACAGGTGTGTGCTACCGCGCTCAGCCTTGGAGTTCTTTTTAAATTACAGGTGTGGCAAATATCTTCTCCCACTCTGTGACATGATTTTTCACTCTCTTAACAGGGCATTGGTGTCTTTTTTTTTTTTTTTTTTTTTTTTTGAGATGGAGTCTCGCTCTGTCGCTCAGGCTGGAGTGCAGCAGCGCAATCTCGGCTCACTGCAAACTCTGCCTCCTGGGTTCACGCCATTATCCTGCCTCAGCCTCCCGAGTAGCTGGGACTACGGGCACCTGCCACCGCGCCCGGCTAATTTTCTTTGTATTTTTAGTAGAGACGGGGTTCCACCGTGTTAGCCAGGATGGTCTCGATCTACTGACCTCGTGATCCGCTCTTCTCAGCCTCCCAAAGTGCTGGGATTACAGGCGTGAGCCACCGCGCCTGGCTGCATTGGTGTCTTTTGATGAACTGAATTAAGTCTTAATTTAGGATTAAAATAAGTAAATGACTTACATTAAGTAACTTAAGTCTTAGGTAAATACTTAATTAAATATTAAAATAGTTCAATTTATCATGTCTTTCTTTATGGTTCATCTCTTTTGTGTCCTCTTGCCTTTCACATTTATAACTACAGCTTACCTGGAATGATTTTTGCTAATGGTGAGAACTAAAGATCAAGGTTCATTTTTTCCACATGGATAGTTAATTGATTATCTTCTTTTAAATAAAAATTGCAATTTTGCAATGCCACCTTGGCCATAAGTCTAGCATCCACATATGCCCAGATCTCTTTCTGGCTATATTCTATTCTATTGGGCAATTTACCTGCCCTCGTGCCAGTGCGGTAACTGGTCGAGCAAGTTCTCTCAGGTTAACTTCTTCAAGAATGTCTTGTTAATTCTTGTCCCTTTGCATTCCACAGAAAGTTTTTCAGCTCTACTGAGGTATAATTGACAGATGAAAATTATGTATACTCAGAGTATACAATTTGATGTTTTGACATATGTATACATCTTGAAATGATTACCGCAATCAAACTAAATAACTATGCATCACCTCACATAGGTTACTATTGTGTGTGTGTGTGTGTGTGTGTGTGTGTGTGTGTGTGTGTGTAGAGCACTTAAAATCTACTCTCTCAGCAGATTCAAGTATCCAATACATTATTATTAACTATAGTCCACCATACTGTACATTAGGTCACCAGGACCTGCTCATTTTACAACTGCAAGTTTGTACCCTTTGACCAACATCTTCCCATTTCTCCCATTCCCTATAAATATGCATTTTAGAATCAGCTTTTCAATTTCCATTTAAAAAAATCGATTGGGATGGTATTGGGTTATATTGGGCATCAAGAGGGCTGAGATGTGCCTTACAGAGCAAACACGCGTGTTAGAGAAACTTCCTTCAGGCACAAGCTACAGTGCCAATGGCCGTGAATACAATCTTAATGAATCAACAATAGATATTAGATTGGGTGTCTTCAAACAGAAACACACATAACACAAGTTTATATATCTATCTATTGATGAAAATGTTGTGACCACAGGCTTGCAGCAATCTAAACTTGTATTTCTCCTAGAAGCAGTGGTTCAGTATTAGCTCTTTCAGAGTGTGTGGCAATTTTATAGAAATAACTATTACAACTACTGAGAATTGACTATTTGATATTTTGTAAACTATTGTAAACGTTATCTTTTGAAAATTCCACCTCTGTGAAACAAAAAAATAAACCTTTGTCCTTTAGGAAATAAGCCTTTTTGGGATACTTACAAATCTGTTCTTCCCTTAAACAATAAGGGGAAAAAACCATGGCACAGGTTAGGGTGGAGGGGTGGCAGTGGGCCATGAACATCTGTGGGCTGGGTAGGGCTGTGCAGATTGGGAATAACAGAGAGAAGACTGGCTGGGGTGAGGAGACTGCTGGAGTCAGAGCTTGGGAGCTGTGTGTGTGTGGGCTCCACACCCACAGGACCTCCACACCCACAGGTCCATCATAGGGCGACCCTAGCTCAGCGACAATCAGGGTTGCAGGATAGGGCTTGCAAAGGAGGAGTCAGCCTGGAGAAAGGGGCGAAGGTACTCTAGGAGGAGGGACTGGTGCTGGGACAGTGCTATCATCCAAGCCGAGAGGAATGCTCTCTGCAAAGGAAATGACCAACCAAGTCAAATGCCAGAGATCGGTGAAAAATTGAGGGCGGCAAGAGTATCCACTGCCTTTAGCATTCAGGCGGAGCGGCTCCCTAGAGCTATGGGGTGGATGTCAGATTGCAATGCGTCAAAGAGTTAAGTGAGAAGCAAGAAGAAAATGAATGCAAAGGCTTTCCAGAAGCAAGACCCTGAGAGAAAAGAGGCGGGGTGACCACAGGAGATGGATATGGGGTTAAGGGGGGTTCCAACAGAGGAGAAGACAGCTGGAGGGAAAAGCTGGCAGAGTGGCTGAGGAGAGGCCCCTCCTTCAGCAGGCCCGGCTGGGTGGGAGGCAGCCCAACAACCGCTGGATGCGGGAGGTCCCGGGAAAGGCTGGAGCGGGGAGCCAACGGGGCGCACGGGAAGAGCACGAATATGGAGACCTGAAGGTCTTCTGGAAGTTTTCTCCTGTGGTCCTCAGCAGCCTGTGGGTGGAATGAGAAATGAGAGATGGCTAAATCGACCCTGGGCAAAAGTTTGTAAGGGGAGGGGCAACAAGGAGAACAGTGGGGTGGAGGAGGGGCCAGTGCTGGTCAGAGAGATCTGTCAAAACGCAGCCACCACAGTGAGCCACTGCACTTGGCCTGGGCGACAGAGCGAGACTCAAAAAACAAACAAACGAAAAACGCAGCCTGCAGGAGCTGGGATGTGGGAAGAAAAGGAGGTTAGTGGGGCCATGGGACTGGGAGAAAACGAAGGAGTGGAGAAGGAGACCAGTGGAGTTCTGGGAGTGAAGGGAGATGAGGGATACGTTCAGGAAATGGAATATACAAATTTAACAGAGGTCTGATGAGTTGGCCTCAGAGCCTGAATGCATTCATTTCAGCTGCATGTAACAGAAAATCCCCAAATAACACTTTTTTCTCACTTAAAGGAAGTTTGGGGGAAGGTACTTTGTCATCCTCTTGTAGCTCTGTAGGCAGCCACCTGTTTTCTGCTGGACCATCCCAGCACGTGGCCTCTCTTCTCAAGGTCCCCTCATGATTTAAGATGGTTGCTGTGCACCAGCCATCACATCCATGTTTCAAGCAGCAGTACAAAGGAAGAAGGAAAGAGACAAAAGGCTATAACCTCCCAGCTGAATCAGCCCTCTTTGAGGGGCCTTCCAGGAAGCCCCACTCAACACGTTCCTTTCATCCTTTTGGCCAGAATTTAGCCACTACACCCAGTGGCAAGGAAGGCTAGGAAAACTCATTTTTTATTCAAGGTGGCAATTGTCCAGGCTAAAATCAGGGTTCTGTCACTAAGGAAGAAGGGCATGGTGGCTAATGGGAAGCCTGCCATCTCCAGCACAGAGATGGGAGCCAATTCTGATATAAGAGCATGCCATTGCTGCCCAAGGTTTACAGGTAAATAGAACCACCTTTTTCTGGCTCTCTTCTGGAAGCTGCTGTTCCAGGTGCAAGGGGAGTTTGCCAAGCTCAGGAAGTTCCCGTGGGTGAGTTGGGAAGGAAGCCCTCATTGTGATTCTTAGTGCAGTCATTCAGAAGAGTTGATATCTTTAGCTGCCTAAAAATAAGGCACCAGCCTTATTTTTTCAGTCTGGCTTTAGGATGGAATGAATATTGGATGGATAGTCTTTAAAAGATCTGATCCAGGGCGAGGGGTCACAGTGGGAATTCAGTGCCTTCCCCCTAATACCCTCTGTCCAGCCCGTCCACTCACCCACCATCCACCACAGGTTGGGTCTGACAGCTGAGTCTCTGTCTCCGCCCCACTGCCTCTGAAGTTCATTCATCACTAAGCTAGAGAGGAGAAATGCATCCATCCCAAGAATGCAAGGACCAAAAGATGCTGTCAGTCCTGTCCTACTCTGCTGACAGACCTCCACATGGCCTGCCTGTGCAACATTTGGGATTTGAGTCAGGGCCTCTCCAGCATCTTTGGGGCTCCGGGTCCCATGCACATGGGAGCAGACAGAGGGTACTTGGGCCCTGACTCCAGTAAAGTGGGAGAGACCAGGCTTGATGACTTGAAACCTCTTGCCACGTTTCACAAGCCAAGGCTTTCTTCATGTCCAAACCTGGTCACTCTTCTGTGTTTCTTCTAGGATATGTTTTCTTTAGCATAAACACCAGACCCAGAGAAAAGCTGTAATCTGCATTTGAACTATAAAATGTAATCAGTTGTTTATACAACTCACAAAATGAAGCAATTAAAAAAACTGACCCTCCTAAATAAGTTAATAAAATTTATTAAATACAGTTTAGAGAATAAATTTAAAAACTGAACCCTCATCCTCCTGTTATGGTGATTAATGACTATCACTCTGTGCTACAGTTATTTTATACATCTTAACTTTCTATTCAATTCTATACTCTGAAAAAAGACCATATCTGATTTGCATTTATATAAATTAATTTACATGGAGTTATATAAGTACATTTATATGATTATGATTTTATATGAAGTAATAGTGTACTATTAATGCCAATTAAATGATTTCATGGAATGGCCCCCTTTTAGACATTTTATTACAAAGTGCCATGAAGATTCAAAGGAAAGCTCGTTATTTTGCAAGATTTTCAATTAAGTTTAAAGATTCAAGGTAAATTCATGTTCCTAAAGCCAGGAGAGAAGTCTGTGTGTGCGTGCGTTGGAGTGTGGGAGCTTCAGGAATGCATCTTCAGGTTTTCCTGGGCAATTTTCCAGCTTTCATTACACGAGTCACTGTGCCGGGGGCTGCTGTGAGGGGCTGTCTCTGTGAGCAACTGTTATGGCTCCACGGGGCTGGTGTGCCCTGGGGTTTGCAGGCACTCTCAGGCACAGACTCCCTCCTTTCTATTATTGTATGGGAACAGTTGAGATGAAACAAATCACTATATGTTCTATTAGAGAAACTATTGTTGAATTGATGAGGGTTTTCATTTCAGAGAGAGAGAGAGAGAGAGGCATTCAATGCCCAAATGTTCTTGGCATCCCTCTGTAGCACCCAGCCTGATGGAGCCATGCTCTGTGGGGCCACCGGGGCCAGTGCCAGTGCCAGTGCTGCTGTTCCCCACCCAAGTAGAACACCCGAGAGCAGCTGGCAGAAGCAGCGGTGAGCTACTGTTTACTGTCTGCACTGCAGAGCATGTCAGTAGGAAGTTAAACTGTTTACTTTCCATAATGAAGGCAAATGGAATTGGCTGTGGAAAGGCCCAATCAGTGTGGCCCAAATTTGTAGAAACTCAAAGGACATTGCTCCTTTGGTTTCCAGATTCTTGAAGCCCTCTTGCTTTGTAAAGCAGCTGTCTTCTCTTTTTTCTTTTTCTTTCCTTTTTTTTTTTTTTTTTTTTTTTTTTGAGACAGAGTCTTGCTCTATTGCCCAGGCTGGAGTGCAGTGACGCAATCTCAGCTCACTGCAACCTCCGCCTCCTGGGTTCAAGTGATTCTTCTGCCTCAGCCTCCCGAGTAGCTGGGATTACAGGTGAGCACCACCATGCCTGGCTAATTTTTTGTATTTTTAGTAGAGATGGGGTTTCACCGTGCTGGCCAGGCTGGTCTCAAACTCCTGATTTCGTGATCCATCCGCCTTGGCCTCCCAAAGTGCTGGGATTACAGGCGTGAGCCACCGCGCCTGGCCTGCAACTGTGTTCTCTAACTGTGAACTTGGTGCTTGCTAGTCCAAATTCCTGGATGGCTCTGTCTAGTAGAATTTTCAGCCAGGACAGAAGTGCTCTACGTTTGCGCCGCCCAGCATGGCAGCCACTGGGCAGTTGTATTGAATACTGGGCACTTATAGTGTGGCAGGGGTGACTGAACTTTAAATTGTGTTTCACTTTAATTAATTAAAATGCAAACGTCAAAAGCCACATGTGACTAGTGGCTACCACGTATAGACAGGGCCAATCTACAAAAGCAAAAGAATTTTTTGCTCACCTGAGGAAATACTATTTCATGTAGTGGCTCCTAATAGTTGGTTTCCTGTCTGTACTGATGCAGAACCACGGCTCAGATGAAGGTTGGGGATCTGTGACTCTCTACTTTCCACCAAAACAACAGGCTTTCCCTACAGTCCACTGGAAATGTTGCTGATTCAAAGCTTTTCTGAGTGACATGGTCACTCAAAAATTCAGAAAAGCATGAAACAGAAAAAAGATCCACATTAAACATTAAGACAGGACTATATTTATCAATAGCTGAGTGGAATAACACACCCTCCCACAGAAACACCTTTAGAGTTTTTATAGGCAAGCAATGAAAATGCTGGGTTTTTTTTCATCAAGTTATATAGGAAGTAAATGCCCCAAATAGAGGCGTGTCTTCATAGGAAGACTGAATAATACAATGGTTAAAAAGGCACACTTTGTCCACATCTGATTTGAAAATGGCTTCCAAACTTTTGAGTCATATGAGCAAGTTGTTTAACCTCACTCACCCTCAATGTGGCTATCTGCAAAATTATAGTACCTACTTCATTAGGTTGCTGTGAGGATTAAAGAAGACAATGATTAACATGGTTTTCATCCACACATGGTAAACATTCAATAAACGGTAGCTACTTTTATTTTATCTTTACCCACCACAAAGTGAAGACTAATAATAATGTAGGGTGGTCCGGAGGTGTTTCCCATATACTAATCATTCACTAATATTCTTTTTTTTTTTTTGAGGCAGAGTCTCGCTCTATCGCCCAGGCTGGAGTGCAGTGGCGCGGGCTCGGCTCACTGCAAGCTCCGCCTCCCGGGTTCATGCCATTCTCCTGCCTCAGCCTCCCGAGTAGCTGGGACTAGAGCAGGTGGCTGCCACCATGTCCAGCTAATTTTTTTGTATTTTCAGTAGAGATGGGGTTTCACTGTGTTAGCCAGGATGGTCTCGATCTCCTGACCTCATGATCCGCCCGCCTCGGCCTCCCAAAGTGCTGGGATTACAGGCGTGAGCCACTGCGCCTGGCCCACTAATATTCTTAGTTAGACATTTGGGGACAGTTAAACCAGACTTGCTAATACTTCTAGTTGTGCATTCAGGCGTTTTTTCTCCAGGCTGTGTGCCCTGGAAGAGTCTCTGCTTATCTAGCAGGTGGTCTGTGGCTCAGTAAATAGAGTGTCTCACTCAGACGCAAAAAATGACAGAGCTTAAAGAGTAAGTTAATAGATAAAGCATGATTGTTTCCTAAATGCCAAGGCCTTTGGGGATTTATCTATCTTTACCCTATAAAAAGAGAGTAAATACCATGTACTGTGTCTTAAGGACAATACCAAGAGCTGACATTTTATCCACTCGTATAGGAAATTCCAAACTTGTTTTTCAAAGACTAAGCCAGAGCTTGCTCTTAAATTTTCTTTGTAGAACTATTGTATAATGGGCCGGGCACAGTGGCTCACACCTGTAATCCTAGCACTTTGGGAGGCCAAGGTGGGTGGATCACCTGAGGTCAGGAGTTCGAGACCAAACTGGCCCACGAGGCAAGACCCCCGTCTCTACTAAAAATACAAAAATTAGCTGGGTGTGGTGGCACGCGCCTGTAGTCCCAGCTACTCGGGAGGCTGAGTCAGGATAATTGCTTGAATCTGGGGGGCGGAGGTTGCAGTGAGCCGAGATTGCGCTACTGCACTCCAGCCTAGGTGACAGAGCAAGACTCCATCTCAAAAAAAAAAAAAAAAAGAACTATTGTATAATGATCATATTTAGAAGAACTAGCAGGATAATAAAAGTGCATTAAACATAGCTTGGGACATATTGTTGTATATCTGTATTTCACAGTAGAAGTTCTTATCCTGACTTGATAATTTAGAAACACATGAGCATGTTTACACACACACACAAATGTGTGTTCACATCTTCCCTCCTGCTCTTGAACGTTGCAGGTGAGGAAGAAGGAGTAGATGGAAAGTAAAATTACACCCAATGTTAAAGGTTTATTTCTTTTAATTTTTAATTTTTTTTATTTTTTGAGATACAGTCTCCCTCTGTCACTCAGACTGAAGTGCAGTGCCCCAGTCACAGCTCACTGCAGCCTCAACCTCCTGGCCTCAAGTGATCCTCCCATCTCAGCCTCCCAAAGTGCTGGAGTTACAAGCATGAGCCACTGCATGCAGCCTAACTATGAAGGTTTAATGGAAAATTTTAAATCTCATTTGATTAGAGCCATCAGTTTTTAATCATTCCTTGCTTCCTAAATAAAACCTTCCTTTGAAAGGCCTCTCGCAGTGCAGCTCACGAGGTACTACGTAAGCAATGGTGTCCTCTGTTGCCTTGCACCCTGTGTGACCCTCTCTCAGTGAACAATGGGAAACATTGAAACCGACTTTTTCAAATTGTTTTATGCTATGTTTTAGCCTTGGAACATAAAAGTTGGTTAAAAAAAAAGGAACAACCTGCATTTCAACAAAGTAAAATAAAAACGTTTTGCCATCTTCCGCCTTGGAAGACCCAGTGGGATGCTAACTGGGTTTTAAATGCATGGCACGACCTCCGCTCCTCTGTTCCTCCTGTCCAGGAGTCATATATTATGATGACCTGTGCTGCTGGAAGCTGGCCAGGCCTGGCCAACAACCACCAGGGGCCGGGAGAGCTCAGATCCTACCCGCAAGTACTGAAGATCCAGAAAACCCCAGAACAAGCCCCTGAAGCAGAGGAGGGACTCTTTCAAGCACTCAGACCTCTCTCCCCTCCTGACCTCCTTCCTTCCCACTCCCTTGTCTCTCAGCCACCATTTACTGATCAAACCGTGCAGGGCGCAGGATGAAGGGACAAAAAGACAAGTCAGGTGCACACCCTGCCTTTCAGGAGACTGCAGTCTAATGAGGGAAAGAGAATAAACCTCAGCTAGGATCACACTGCTGGGCAACAGACGAGCCTGCTGGTGGTGGATGAGACCCGCCATTCTCGAGGCCCCTGCTGCAGGCCAACTTCTCCACTTCTCCCAGGAGATTGATTCCTTCTGGAAGGCTGACCACAGCACACTCCTCCTGGCCGTGCCACGGATGCACTCGGCATCTTAATAGAGCCTATGGGCAGCCATCCTTGCTGGGTACCGGGGCTATGAAATTGAAGACAACATGACCTTGTGCCCAAACAGCCCACCATTTGGAGGGAAACAGATGATTTCAACAAAGTAAAATAAAAACGTTTTGCCATCTTCGGCCTTGGAAGACCCACTGGGATGCTAACTGGGTTTTAAATGCATGGCACAACCTCCGCTCCTCTGTTCCTCCTGCCCAGGAGTCATGTATTGTGATGACCTGTGCTAACGATGACCATTCAGTCAACGGCAAGGTATTCAGAGGGCAAGGGACGGGAAGGCTGAGCCACAGAGAGTGCTGGGACTGTGCAGCATGGGAACCCGGAGACGACATGCCTGACAATCCCCTGAAAATCAAACTCCATAAAAGAGGACCCCAAAAATGTTCATTGTCATTTGAATTCCTCTTTCAAGAAGAGAAACATATCAATGGCAGCAAAAATCATCCGATAAATGCTGTATTTACTATACCATTAAAACTCCTTCTCAGAAGCAACCAAAGGAAAATTGTGGGTTTGTGTGTGTGTTGTTGTTTTGCTTGGAGTTTGTCTTGGAGTTGTTTGGAGGGGTCGTTTTTGCTTCTCTGATTTTTTGGAATAATGAATAACAGTTGGCAACAGAGAGTGTCAGCACTGCCCTGACACAGCAGTCAAGTTCTCAAACAATCTTCAGGAGCCTTCCAAAACTGGACATAAAAAAAAGTACCTTCATTGGGGAAAAGAAAAGAAAAAAAAAAGAATCACAATTGCCACCAAGGCTCTACATTTTTGCAAAAGTCCAGCATTTAAAAGAAACTTCCCTGGATGGCCTACATCTGCTGATTGGTAATTTGTCATTCAGGTTAAAAACAAAACAGAAGTGGGCATTGTTGTGATATCATCCTTGATAACATCCCAAGAAAACTCTAGAGCTGGCAGGAGAGGAAAGCAGATAATGGTCAAAGCTGTCATCTGAGTTTTAAAAACACTGTGATTTTTCTTTTAAAGGAACATCTTCAGTTTCCAAGGCCATACACACAGTTCCTAACTGCAGCTTCAAATTTTCCACCGGGCTCCCTTCTGAGAACAAACGCTATTCAGTGGCGAGCCCCGGACACCACTGCGCTTTCAAAGGCAGCTGCCAGAGGACACTCAGGACTTCACAGCCGCCGGTGAGCCAGACTGGGGTCAGTCACTCCCCCATCAGAATTATTTTGTTTCTCCTTTGCTTAAGAAAAGAAGAGTTCCTCAGACTGGCATCCCAGGTCTTCTACAATCATAATGGATCCTTCTAAGCTGATAGAAATAATATCTCATATGTATTAAGAACTTTAAAGTTAGTATGTTGCTGCAAAACTAATTGCGGTTTTTACCATTAAAAGTAATAGAAAAAAACCACAATTACTTTTGCACCAGCCTAATGACAAAATGCATGTGTTGTTTAGTCCTCCAAATAAGGCTCAAAGAAGCGATGTCACCCCCGCCTCCCAGATGAAGCCAATGCTTAGAGGAACCACTTGCATGCAACCCCATAGGTGACAGGGTGGAGCTCACCCACCCTGGGCTGGGGCTTTAGCCTGTGTCTTGGGGCTGTGGCTCCCACCACTGGGTGCTTCTCTCTGGCCTTCTCTAGAGCTGCCAGCACCTTCCTGAGCACCTGCGACTCATGCTCCAGGGAACCTCATTCCCACTTATCTTTGACATTTTGCCTGTGCTTTTCCTCTTCCTCAAAGCCTATCCACATCCCGCAGCCAGCAGGGTCTCCTCTGCTGATCCTCACACGCTGAGGTGTGGCCTCAGCCCTTGGGCTTCAGTTATCAGTGCAGTGGACAGAAAGGGAAGTGATCGACTCAGGTTTGGTTTAGAATCTCAGATCTTCCAATCATTAACCATGTGGCCTTGGGGAAGTTCCTTCTCGTCTCTGAACCTCCATTTCCTCACCCCTCAGAGGTGCCCAATCCTGAACTTACTCAGCACCAGCCCTGCAGGGCCTTCACAAGTACTCAGCGCAGCTCTTGATTGAGAGAAGTCTGATAAACACCCATGCACTGAGGCGTGTGGTTAGTATGAGCCTACACAGGTGCATTTATCTCTACTCCCATCTTAAATGCCAATTACACAATAGTGAAGAAAAAAGGTGTAAGTTCATAAAAACAGAGAAAATAAGAGAGGAAAGGAAAGTACATTGGAGGCGGGGAGACAGATCGGGTTTGAGGGTGATATGAAGACTTTATGTGCATAGAAGTTTAGTTCCACATTCCCCTCCTGAGGAAGTTCCTGGAAGGTGTGTGCTTCAGCAAAATGAAGGTAGAGACCAAGACAGGAAGACACGGACTCCAGAAAGCACAAGCTCTGGCCCAGGGGAAAGGCAAGGGGAGCCCAGGGGACCACTGGGCAGAGGGCCAGAGCACCCTGCCCAGACCACAGCCCCCGGGAAAAGGGAAAGAAACAGATGGAATAGATGGACTGTGCGGAACCATGTCTGGGAACTTGAAAAAATTGTTTCCGGGCATATGACAGATTTGTTGGAAGAGTAGGAAAAGCCGAACAATAGACACATAGAAAGCCAAGCAAATGAAAACCCCAGTCATGGTTCACTCTCAGGGAAGGGAGGCAATTGCAACCAAAAGAAAATGTAACATAGAATACAACTTGGTCCAGACGTCATTATGCTCGCAGTCAAAATAATATAAATAACAATATGTATTTGACCAGAGTATGAGCCATGATCATGTCATGAGGGTGAGGGAAGAGGTGTGGGTGGAGCAGGAGCAGTGGGGCTCAGGTCAGAGCTAAAGCCTCCACTACCATAGCAGAAAAAGTCAACAGGTCTAAAGTCCAGCAATCAGTAAATGGCATAATAAGCACATTATTTGGAAACATAAAGGTAAACGTCAGAAGAGCTCTAAAAAATGAAAGGCGTTGGTTGCCTCTGGGACAGCATACAGGGTGGGAGGAGCAGAGAATGGGGCAGAGGACTGAAATATTGCCTTGTAAACCTTTTAGTTCCACTTGAATTTTTAAGCTGTGTAAATGTATTCCTTTAACAAAAATTTGAAATTGTTAATATTTTATAGTTAATATCTAGTTAGTTAAAGAGTATGAAATACAATTAAAGCCTGTTTTTGTTGTTGTTGTTGTTTTTTTTTTTTTGAGATGGAGTTTCATTCTTGTTGCCCAAGCTGGAGTGCAATGGCACAATCTTAGCTCACAGCAACCTCCGCCTCTCGGGTTCAAGCGATTCTCCTGCCTCAGCCTCTCGAGTAGCTGGGATTACAGGCATGTGCCACCAAGCCTGGCTAAGTTTGTATTTTCAGTAGAGACGTAGTTTCACCATGTTGGTCAGGCTGGTCTCAAACTCCCAACCTCAGGTGATCTGCCCGCCTGGGCCTCCCAAAGTGCTGGGATTACAGGTGTGAGCCACCGCGCCCGGCCTAAAGCCTGTATTTTACAAATTTAAATAATGAAATGGTTTGCCAATATACTCACCAAGATCTGATCTTAAGTGAGACAGAACTGGGAAACAGAACCTTCAAGCTGAAAAGACCCTTAGACACCACCTACCACAATCCTGGAGAAGCACTGTTACTGCCAGTAGCATCTTGTAGCACCTGTTGACTCTGGAGACTTACTGGATTTGAAAGGCAAAACCTCTAAACACTTAAAATTTTAGCTATTAATGCTATTTTCATGATAGAGAAGAATTTAGGAAAACTCAGGAAGAAGGAAAAGTTTATTACCTCAAATAAATAAGCTGTTTAGATTGGTTCAAGCTGTTTGCTCACTTTTAAAGCATGTGATGGCTGGGCACAGTGGCTCATGCCTGTAATCTCAGCACTTTGGGAGGCTGAGGTGGGAGGATCGCTTGAGCCTAGGAATTTGAGACCAGCCTGGGAAAGATAGTGAGACCCCATCTCTACAAAAAATAAAAAATTTTTTTAAATTTAAAATAAAATTAAATAAAGCATGTGGCTTTGGGAAAGTTACTACAGTTTCTATACTAAGTTTTCTTCATTTATAAAATTAGGACAATCAAGTACCCCAAGATTGCTACAAAGACAGTAACAATATTCATCTTCTTTATTTTTTAACATATTGAGTTCCACAGTCAACTAGAATTGAATGAGGTTTAAGACTTTGATCCCACCCAAGAAAGAGCATATGGTTATAATGAAGGACCCAAAAGGACCGCATTTATGAGCAATTTTGATTGTATAAGAAAATTCTACAGTAGGCTGGGCATGGTGGCTCACGCCTGTAATCCCAGCCATTTGGGAGGCTGAGACGGGCAGATCACCTGAGGTCAGGAGTTCGAGACCAGCCCGGCCAACATGGTGAAACCCCGTCTCTACTAAAAATACAAAAATTAGCCAGGCGTGGCGGCATGCGCCTGTAGTCCCAGCTGCTCGGGAGGCTGAGGCAGGAGAATCGCTTGAACCCGGGAGACAGAAGTTGCAGTGATCCAAGATCGTACCACTGCACTCCAGTCTCGGCGACAAGAGCGAACTCCATCTCAAGAAAAAAAAAAAAAGAAAGAAAGAAAAGAAAAGAAAAAGAAAAAAAATAAAAGAAAGAAACTTCAATAGTACATTTCCCAGGGTCTGATAAAATGCTCGATCAAATGAAACCCAGTTGGATGTGGTTATCGGCATCGAGAGGAAAGAGTGGTAGAAGGAAGAATTCTTGTCCCTAAGGAACTTAGCATCCAGTTAAGGATACATAAAAGTATCAAACTCACTACAGAGCAGGCAGTTTGAGACCAGTGCCTTATGAATAACATAAAACACTGTAGGAGCTGGAGGGGAGAGAAGATGGTCTGCTGGAGCGAGTAGACTGGCCATCAGCTCCCACTGGGTGCTGGTTCCAAGACAGAGCTAGGACTCCAGTGCCCTTACTGGGATAGATTGTCCCCTCTCTGTTTCCTGGCCTGACATCACCATGTCATCAATCTGTTGTACAACTACAAAAGAGAACATCCAGATTTAAGTAGGGGCCATAATAAAGTGTGCATTTCGTGTTCACTTAAAACAGTGTCACTTAACTGCACGGCTGAGTCTCAACCCTGCTGGTCCTTCAACAACCCCGCCCTGGCCTTCCCATACACTGCACATCACCTCATTTGGTTGCCTACAATTGTTTTGCTTCTGGCAGTGGCTCCTAACACCAGTTTAAAGCAACATGAACAGCAGCTGCTGCCCATGCCTTCACTAATGTCATGAAACTCTGAGAAACCGTGAGATTTCAGGCTATGGCTATTTGCCATTTCATAACACAAAATACCAAATTCCGTGGGGCTGCATCTGCCTTATTCTCCACCATAACCTCTGTGCTTAGGACAGTCACTGGACATAGTAGAAACCTGACAAACCTTTGTTGAGTGGGTAAATGAATGGCTGTCAGCACACTTATTAAAAATTTTTCCACAAGAAGTAACAAACAACAAACTGTCTAATCATATAATAAATTCTATGCCTTGAAAAATGCATAGAACAATTTGGGGCTTCAAGCAAACATTTTAAAAAAGCTGATCTTAATCAGATTAAAAAATGAGCAAAAGATCTGAATAGACATTTTTCAAAAGAAGACATACAAATGGCCTACAGGTATATGAAAAAGTGCTCAATGTCACTAATCATCAGAGAAATGCAAATCAAAACTGCAGTGAGATTTCATCTCACCCCAGTTATAATGACTTTTATAAAAAACACAGGGAATAGGCCGGGCGCGGTGGCTCACGCCTGTAATCCCAGCACTTTGGGAGGCCAAGGCGGGCAGATCACGAGGTCAGGAGATGGAGACCATCCTGGCTAACACGGTGAAACCCCGTCTCTACTAAAAGTACAAAAAATTAGCCAGGCATGGTGGCACGTGCCTGTAGTCCCAGCTACTCGGGAGGCTGAGGCAGGAGAATGGAGTGAACCCAGGAGGCGGAGCTTGCAGTGAGCCGAGATCCTGCCACTGCACTCCAGCATGATGACAGAGCAAGACTCCATCTCAAAAAAAAAAAAAAAAAAAGACAGGCAATAACGAAGGTTGGCAAGTATTTGGAGAAAGCAGAGCCCTCATATACTGTTGGTGGGAATGTAAATTAGTACAACCACTATGGTGAACAATATGGTGGTTCCTAACAAAACTAAAAATAGAACTGCAATATGATCCAGAAATCTCACTACTGGACATTTATCCAAAAGAAAGGAAATCAATATATTGAAGAGACGTCTGCATTTTCATGTTTACTGCAGCACTATTCACAACAGCCAAAATATGGAATCAACCTAAGTGCCCATTAATAAATGGTTAAGGAAAATGTGGTGTATACATAATGGCATATTACTCAGCCATAAAAAAGAAGAAAGTCCTGTCATTTGCAGCAACATAGAGGGAACTGGAAGTCATCATGTTAAATGAAATAAGCCAAGCACAGAAAGACAAATATTGTATGTTCTTACTCAGATGTGGGATCCCATGAAAATAGAGAGTAAATTGCTGATTACCAGAGGCTAGGAAGAGCAGGAGTGGGGAGCACGAAGACAGGTTGATTAATGAGTACAAATATACAGTTTGCTAGAAGAAATAAGACATAGTGTTTGATAAATCAGTAGGGTGACTATAGTTTACAATCATTTATTGTATATTTCAAAAATAGTTAGAAGAGAATAATTCAAATGTTTCTAGCATGAAGAGAAGATGAATATTTAAGGTGATGGATATCCTAATTACCCCAATTTGATCTTTACAAATTAAATGAGTGTATTAACATGTACCCCCAAAATATTTACATCTATTATATATTAATAAAAAAAGAATCATTTGCATAAATATACACACTTGCACACAATCCATGACAATTTAATATCAACCACTTCTGGAATCAGCAATGCTGTCAGACATTGAACAGTGAAACTAATATGGGAATTCAAGGAAGCACATAATTCGTAAATAAATAAGATCTAAGGGACATTGGATGAGACAATAAAGACAGATTATAAACTGTAGAGTGGTGCTAACCCTGGATGTGGAGTTGAAGAATCAAAAATAAAAATAAGATAAAATAAAATAATAACTGATCTTATGAAAGTGAGAGGCTGAAATCAGCCACGTGAAAGAATCATTATAGGCTAGGCATGGTGGCTCACACCTGTAATCTCAGCACTTTGGGATGCCAAGGTGGGAGAATTGCTTGAGCCCAGGAATTTGAGAGCAGCCTGGGTAATGTAGTGAGACCCCCACCTCTACACGGTGGTGTGTGCCTGTAGTCCCAGCTACTTAGGATGCGGAGGTGGGAGGATGGCTTGAGTCCAGGAGGTCAAGGTTACAGTGAACCGTGATCACTCAAGCCACTGCACTCCAGCCTGGGCAACAGAGTGAGACTCTCTCTCTCTCTCTCTCCTCTCTCAAAAAAAAAAATCGTTATTATAAGAAAAACTGCAAAACTATTTGCATGAAATAAAAAGAAGGAAAATAATGAGCAACATAAGGTTAAAATAACATTGCAACCCCATGGAAGCAAGAGAAATGGAAATCATTAATAAATAGACAACATATAAGGGAACGCTGCTGTTCTGTTGTAGAGATTACAGAGAGCAATTTAGGAGAGCCAGGCACTGGGGCCAAGAGGGAAATGAAACAAAAACCGAAGGGATTTGTTTAGGAAGAAAAATGAAAACAGATAAAAGGTGTTCATTTCAAAGCTTCCCTCTTTCCCAGCATTTTTCTGAAGTAGAGTTTGAAAAGAAAGCAAAATAACTGCAAACCAATACAGCGGCACGGAGTTCACTGACGCAGAGCTAGAAATGACGTTCAGAGATCCGCCAGCCCAGCCTCCTGTTCTGGGTCACCTGGCTCCTTGACAACCCTGAAAGCTGCCTGTGCAAATCCCCAGGCATGTTATACCCATGAGCAGGGACGCGTGGCACTGACAAAGGGACTCGTACACCTTTGAAGTATCCTGGGAGACCACGCTCATATTCCACACACGCTCAGGAGTCATTGAAGAGCCACACCGGAAATACGTGGCACGGTCTCATTCCATGTTTGACCAAAACCACTGTTTACCCAGCTCAGCCAATCACTTTATTTTGTTAACCAAACCTAATGCAGAATGATGTTCAGGTGTTTCCAAGGATCAAATCCACTCCCACTGGGAGAAGCTTCCTTCAAGAGCAGCTTCTGTAGCCCATGGAGCCAGGAGTCAGGAGACCCTATAAGTTCTGGCTCCATTTCTTACTATGGATAGGACCTAGGGTGAATCACTTTCCTGCTCTGAGATGTGCCTTTCTTAGGTGTAAGGGTTATAAGTGCTCTGCAGATCACATTAAATAATTGTGTGAACATGCTCTAAACACTCTAAACACACATTAGCATGTGTTCTGAAAATAGATAACTGTGATGTTATGTGCGCCTAAAGAGGGCAACTAAAAATAGAGGCATGGCCCCACTGCTTGAATGCCTGCTATCCTCATGACCCGCTTGTGTCAATGGACTGCAGCAAAGCCACCACAGAGGCAGCTCTGAACCTCTGCCTTGGGATCCAGCTGCCATGTAAGAAACTCAGGCTAAACCACCAAGTGCTGGGAGGCCATGAAGAGTTGACCCAGAACGAAGAGAAGGCACCCTGAAGTCCAGCCCAGTCCAGCTTCCAGCTGAGTTGAACAAGACACCTCATGTAAGAGCAGCAGAAACCACCCAGCTGAGCCCCACAAACCCACAGAATCACGAGAAATAATAAATTATGGCTTTTTAAACCAATAAGTTTTGAAATACTTGTTATACAGCAGCAGATAACTTAAACAATGACTCTAAAATAAAAGTTCTAAAACAATCTCCATTGCAGACAAACTCTGTACCTTTTTCATGGGAGGTTCTGAATAGGACAATCATCATTCTATTGTATAACGACTCCTTTGGTGTATGTGGATGAACCAATCAGTATTGTTGTTTTACTGGTCGGAAGAAGGAAGGAAAGAAAAGAAGGAAGGAAAGTACCCACTGGGCACTGGGATTGCTCAGATCTACCAACTTAAGTCACTTTTCCCAGTCCTCATCCCAAGCTCCACAAACATTTGACTCCTTACAAATGCAAACTAAGATTTTTGCTATCGTCTATTTTTTATTAATATTATGCTTTGCTCATATGGGCATTCACTGAAATAGTTACTCAGCTTACTATAGAAGAGAATGGAGAATAGTCCTGGAGATTTGAACTAAGCCTGTTAACTCCAAAGAAGCCAAAGACTTCTCATGCCAGATGCCATTTCTCCTTGCTCTCCCCAGAGCCGCCATCACACTCCGCCTGTATTACAACCTGGCTTAGAATGGGTCTGCTGCTTGGTTCTGTCATCCTCAGACTTCCCAAGTACCTGCTGTTCTTCTGCACTTGGCCACCCACCTTGTGTTCTCCACCCATCTTGAGCGGTCAGCTCCTGACACCATCTGCCATGCACAGTCCTGCTGATGAGATGCTAAGGAAATTATATGTGTGTGATAGAATGTCAGGATGCTGGTCAAGCTCTAGTTGCCCAGACAGGAGCAAGATGGAGCTGGTTCACAGTGAGCAGAACAAGGTGAGTAACAAGAGGGAAGGATGGCTGCTAATAAGAAACACCCTAAGGAGACTGAGTTTGGAGGCAGGCTGCCCTCTCACTGCTTTGTACATTTTAGGATGTATAAAAAAGTGCCAGCTGTCTAAACAGAGGAGTTACTATTTCCAGGTATAGAAATTCCCCAGGAGATAGTCTTTTTTGATGACGATCCTTATTCTTAAAATTTTGCTCCCTCCATCCATACCTGGGTCCACACTACATCACAGATAAGAGACCAAAAAGATCCAAGATTAGAAACACTTTGTAATCAGCATCATAGATGTGAATTTTGGGGACAGAATTAGTCACAAATGGTAAGTGGAACCTGACACTGCATTTCAGATGTGGTAAAAAGGCCAGACATTTATATCAGGAAGAGTTGATCTTCTCTAGAGAGTTCATTAAGAACAACCGGGTAGCCTCAAGTAGAAGTGAGATTTGGTGAGTGTCACCATACACTGCTTCATCTCTCCAGAGCTGTGGATCCCTTGGTGAATCTAATTAATGCTACAGACATGATCACTTAAAAAAATGGATATGAGGTCTGGGCACAGTGGCTCATGCCTGTAATCCCAGCACTTTGAGAGGCCTAGACGGGCAGATCACCTGAGGTCAAGAGTTTGAGAACAGCCTGGCCAACATGGTGAAACCCCATCTCTACCAAAAATACAAAAATTAGCCGGGTGTGGTGGTGGGCCCCTGTAGTCCCAGCTACTCCAGAGGCTGAGGCAGGGGAATCGCTTGAACCCAAGAGGTGGAGGTTTCAGTGAGCTGAGATCGGGCCACCATACTCCAGCCTGGGCGACAGAATGAGATCCCATCTCGAAAAAAATAATAATTTTTAAAAATACAAAAATTAGCCAGGCGTGGTGACAGGCACCTGTAATCCCACCTACTCAGGAGGCTGAGGCAGGAGAATCACTTGAACCCAGGAGAAGGAGGTTTCAGTGAGCCAAGATTGTGCCACTGCACTCCAACCTGGGCAACAGAGTGAGAATCCATCTTGAGAAAAAAAAAAGAAAGAAAGAAAACAGAAAAGAAAAATGCATATGAGCATAGAGACACAGACTGTATTTTTTTTTTTTTTTTGAGGTGGAATCTTGCTCTGTCACCCAGGCTGGAGTACAGTGGCGTGATCTTGGCTCACTGCAACCTCTGCCTCCCAGGTTCAAGCAATTCTCCTGCCTCAGCCTCACGGGTAGCTGGGACTACAGGCGTGCGCCATCATGCCTGGCTAATTTTTGTATTTTTAGTAGAGATGGGGGTTTCACCATGTTGACCAGGCTGGTATTGAACTCCTGACCTCAGGTGATCCACCCACCTTGGCCTCCCAAAGTGATGGGATTACAGGCGTGAGCCACCATGCCCGACCTGACATAGACTTTTATAAACAATTTCATGGAGCTCATGAGTAAGAAGTCCATCCTTGAGCCTTCACTGCCAGACCATGGATTCCAGATCAAGAATTGCTTGCATGATGACTCAAGTAAGGGGAAGATGGGGCTCCAGTCCTACCCAGCTCCGTGTGTGCTAGTTCTGCATCTTGGGCATGTCACCTAACGAATGTACTTTGGTCACCTCAACTGTAGAACAGGGATCACAACACTTGTATTTCAAGGATTGTTGTGAAGCTGAAAATCAAATGGAGAAGATACGTCTGACAGAACATTATCTGCACACAAATGAATGTAAAAGTCATGGCTGAATATACAGCTGAAATGTGTCTATGAGTTGTAAGTAGGCATTGATTGCAGCTAATGGAGTCTAGACCATATTTCTAACAGTCACTATTAAACACAGGACATAACATCTATAGATCAATCAAATGGAGACTAACATCATACCTGGGAGAACTGGGTCTAGGGCACCACCTCAGCAGCTCACTTCAATTCTGCTGGGATGGTTGCAAAGAGCAGAAATAGAAGGGAGTAGGTGGCCCTTGCCCCCTTTGGGGGACTCTTGGCTGTGATGGTGAAATGAAATAATATTGTTAAGAGCTTGACCAACAAGAAAGATAACCTGATTTTGTGAAAAACTGGAGAAAAGGGGCTAAGCTCATAGGGGTAGGATATCTCATAGGGGCTTTTGCACAATGGCAGCCAGACTTGTGGCCATCACTGTGTCCTTCCCTTCATCCCACGTAAAATCCCTCTCTTACCTTCAATTTGTTGCATCACATTTTTGCTTTATTTTACATTTCTTCTCCTTCAGGAAGCCATAACTACTGTTTACCCCATATCCTCAGATAGCATCATGCCATTGCATTCCATCTAATGACTTCTGCTGATGTGTGCATTGAATATTTTAATATTCCTGGTGTCCCAAATTAAAATGTAATGTTCTTGAAGGTGGAACCTGTGTTTAAGCTTTAACACATACCCCCAAGCATTGTGTCCAGTGGCGGGGGCAGACCATCTCCATATCGACTGGGGCCCGTAGGATCTTATCTCCAACTGTTATAATTTATAGTTACATAAGAAGCTACTCCAGTGCAACTAGCTGCTCTCACCTCAAAAAGCTTGAAGATCTGAATCACACTGAAGTCATAAGAGACCAGCCCCAGAACAAACAAGCTCAATTGGCCATAAAGAGCTCCAAACCACAACACAGTCGTTTGTGTGTTTACATCACTAAGGACTGAAGAAGAAACTAAATTGATAAAACCAAGGTGGCATGAGGAAAGAACCTCTTAACTCTGGGGGGCCCATCAGACTATCCTCTGTGTCCACAAAATAGCCCTATAATTGGTTAGTTTCAAAGCAGTCTTCACTTCTCACTTCTGCCTATTCTATTCTGCCTCTAAGCCTGCTTGTCATAGTGTGTTTATCATATACTCTTCTTTTGAAGCCCTGCAGTATTTTTTCTTTTGCATCTCCCTGTTGACATTTATCATTCTCTGCGATGTATTATTATCATGGGTCTGTTACCCCCCTCTTCTGTCCCACCCCTTCCTCCCCAACAGGATTCTTCCCTCCAGAGGGCCAATGCACAGCATGTTTCCCCAGAGGTCTGAAAACACAGAGAAAGATCGTCCACAGACACCTCCACCTGCTTAAAGGTCTGAGTCCTGGGGGCTCACTGCCTCTCCATCTAAGTGTCAACCACGCAACTTGTGGCTGTCACATCTACATCTGTCCCCTGCACACGTCCATCAGGCCAGTGCTGACTCTTACTGACTCTCACTGGCACCAGCAGTGAGACCACGATGTCCAGACCTGCAGACCCATTTCAAGCCAGCGTGTGAGAACAGAATGATGGGCAATATCATTTGGATGTTGTCCCTTCTAAATCGCATGTTGAATGGTAATCCCCAGTGTTGGAGGTGGGGCCTGGTGGGAGAGGTTTGGGTCATGAGGGCAAATCCCTCACGGCTTGGTGCTGTTCTTATGCTAGGGAGTGAGTTCTGTCAAGATCTGGCTCTTTAAAAGTGTGCGGCACCTCCCCGCTTCCTCTCGCTCTTGCTTTTGCTCTCACTATATGAGACGCCTGCTCCTCCTTCACCTTCCGCCATGATTGTAAGCTTCCCGAGGCCTCCCTAGAAGCTGAGCAAATGCTGGCACCAGGCTTCCTGTACAGCCTGCAGAACCACGAGCCAATTAAACCTCTTTACTTTATAAGTTACCCAGTCTCAAGTATTTCTTTATAAAAACACAAGAATGGCCTAATGTGATGGGGGATCTCATAGATTAGGTGAAGTGCAGTTTGGATAGGTCTAATCGAGGCTCCAGCACATTTATGTGAAGAAGGTAGGTCAACAGACTGTAACGCCAATGTAATCTAATGTGTTTTAGGAGGAAAGAAAGTCAATCAGAAATAAGTAGCTTGATCGAGATGGAGCACTGTCTACACTCTCTGCCTCTATCTCTATCACCTCACCTGCTCTTCAAACCCCTTCGCCCCCACTTCATACTGAAACTCTTATCCTCAAGGCCTTCAGTGGTCTCCTCATTACATTGAGAACATGAACAGTGTGCTTCCCACAGCTTTCCACAGCCATTCGGCATGAGAATGACCAGGCATGCTTGCTAAAAATGAAGACTTCTGAGTCTTAATACCAGAAAAATGAAAAACTCCATCAATCCAGGATTCCACATCTAGAAAAATATCCTTTAAAACTGAAGGCAGAGTAAAAGCATTTTGAGGCAAACAAAAACTGAAAGGACTTATTGTGAACAGGCAATCTCCTCAAGAAATGCTAAGGGGAGGCTGGGTGCAGTGGCTCACACCTGTAATCCCAGCACTTTGGGAGGCCAAGGCAGGTGAATCACTTGGGGTCAGGGGTTCGAGACCAGCCTGGCCAACATGGTGAAACCCCGTCTCTACTAAAAATACAAAAATTAGCTGGGCGTGATGGCAGGTGCCTGTAATCCCAGCTACTTAGGAGTCTGAGGCAGGAGAATCGCTTGAACCTGGGAGGCAGAGGTTGCAATGAGCCAAGATCGGGCCACTGCACTCCAGCCTGAGCCATAGAGCGAGACTCAGTCTCAAAAAATAGATATTAAATAAATAAATGCATATTTAAAAAATAGAAATGCTAAGGGGACTTCTTCAGGCTAAAGGGAAACAACACCAGATCATAGATTCAATCTCCAGGGAGGATGAACATCACAGGACATGGGAAAGTGTGGTTAAATTAAAAATAAAAAAAACTATATTTTTTCTTTTTTCTCTTAATTTCACTAAAAGGCATATGACAATTTAGTACAAAAAGTAAAACAATATGTTGTGGGTTTCTAAAATATACAGATGTGATATATATGACAACAACAGCACCAATGATCAGGTGGGAGGTAAATGAAACTATATGTTGTATTTTATATAAGGTAGGACAAATTAACTGTAAAAAGTTAAAGATGAAGGCCGGGCATGGTGGCTCATGCCTGTAATCCCAGCACTTTGGGAGGCCGAGTCAGGCGGCTCACCTGAGGCCAGGACTTGGAGACCAGCCTGGCCAACATGGCAAAACCCTGTGTCTACTAAAAATATAAAAAATTACCTGGATGTGGTGGCAGGCGCCCGTAATTCCAACTACTTGGGAGGCTGAGGCAGGAGAATTGCTTGAACCCAGGAGGTGGAGGTTGCAGTAAGCTGAGATCACACTACTGCACCCCAGCCTGGGAGACAGTGCAAGACTCCGTCTCAAAAAAAAAAAAAAATAGAAAAAAATTAAAAAGTTAAAGATGCAGAGTTGATTCCCAAGTGGTGGTTCTCAAAGGGTGTTCCCCTGACCAGCAGCAGCAGCAGCAGCAGCAGCATCTGAGAACTTGTTGGAAATGAGACCTCCTGAATCAGAAGCTCTGGGGGTGGGGCCCAACAGTCTGTGTTTTAATAAGCCCTCCAGATGATTCTGATGCACATAAAGTGTGAAAGCCACTTCCCCAGAGCAAGCTATTAAAATATGATGGAAAAATATATAACAAAAAAGCCAATAGAATGAATAGTTACACTGGAATACTAGAAAATATTCAATGGACTCCAAAGAAATCAAGAAAGGAGGAACAGAGAGGGAAAAAAGAGAGAGGGAAAAGAAGTAGAAAACAAATCATAAAATGGCAAAATTAAATTCAATCATACCAATAATTTCACTAAATGCAAGTGGACTAAAAGCTTTAACTGAAGGCAAAAATTAGCAGACTGGAGGAAAAAAAAGAAGCCAGACCAAAGTATATTCTACTTACAAAAGACTTAGTTTAAGAAAAAAGATGTAAACAGATTGAAAGTAAAAGGATGGAGAAAGATATTTCATGCAAATGCTAATTATATAAAAGCTGGAGTGACTATCTTACTCTGTGATCAAATAGACTTCAAGATAAGGAGTCTATCAGAGATAAAGAGATATATTTTATAATGATCAAAAGGCCAATGCATCACAAATACATAACAATTATATGTGTGTGTACCTAATAATAAAGCTTGAAAATGCATGAAGCAAAAACTAACAGAACTAAAGAGAAAAATAGGCAAGTTGCGGTGCCTTACACCTGTAATCCCGTCACTTTGGGAGGCTGAGGCAGGTGGATCACTTGAGATCAGGAGTTCAAGACCAAATATGATGAAACCCTGTTTCTATAAAAAAAAAAAAAAAAATTTTCCAGGCATGGTGGCACACGCCTGTAATCCCAGTTACTCAGGAGGCTGAGGCATGAGAATCGCTTGAACCTGGGAGGTGGAGGTTGCAATGAGCTGAGATCATGCCACTGCACTCCAGCCTGGGCAACAGAGTGAAACTCTATCAAAAAAAAAAAGAACTAAAGAGAAAAATAGACATAGCCATATCTAACAAGTTATAGTCAGATCCCCTCTGATTAATAGACAGAGCAACTAGACAAAAAAAATCAATGAGGAAGTAGAAAATCTGAATGGCGCCATTCACCACCTGGACCTAGTTGACATTCACAGAACACAACATCCATCCAAAAACTGTGAAATACACATTATATTCAAGAGCTCCTGAACTATTCACCAAGATTGACTGTATGTTGGGACTTAAAACACATCTCAATAAATTTTGAAAGATTAAAGTCTTACAGAGTATCTTCTCTGACCAAAATGGGATTAAATTAGAAATCAATTAAGATTTGTAGAAAAGTGCCAAATATATGTAAATTAAGTAAACACTTAAATCATGAGTCAAAGAAGACATTGCCAGATAAACAAACTATTTAACCGATTTTTAACTTTTTAAATTTAAAATATTAAATATTTTTAATTAATATTAATTAGTATTTTTTATTTAAATACTTTTAATATTTTTAACCTAATAATAGTGAAAATACAAGATCAAAGTTGTGGGATGCAACTATAACAATACGTAGAGTTCAAAATTCATAGTTGTAAGTGTGCATACAAGAAAGTAAGATGCTTAAAAAATGACACACACCACAGCCCCTCCATCCACGCGCCCACACCACCACGGCCGCCTGGATCAGTCTTAGGAACTGGAAATACACAACAGAGTTCTCTGCTTTAAGATATCTCCTTCAGCAGCGTTCAGAACACCTGAAAATGTTACGAGAGAATCCTTTCAACTTAAACAGCTCAAAGAAGCAGCACCTTGAGCTTTTATGTCATCACTTCTTAAAACAAAGGGGTGAGTTGCAGCCTGAGGGAGATCCGGTTGTGATGGAGCACAGGTTAAGGGTCCCTGAATAGAGCAAAGCTGCAAAGGCGGAAGGATGGATGTCAAAGATGGAGGCCGGGAAGGGTGGCTCACGCCTGTAATCCCAGCACTTTGGGAGGGCAAGGAAGGAGGACCACCTGAGGCCAGGAGTTTGAGACTAGCCTGGCAACATAGCAAGACCCTGCCTCTACGAAAAAAATTAAAAATTAGCCAGGCGTGGTGGTACGCGCCTGTAGTTCCAGCTACTCAGGAGGCTGAGGTGGGAGTATCACCTGAGCCTGGAGGTCGAGGCTGCAGTGAGCCGAGATCACACCACTGCATTCCAGCCTGGATGATACAGCAAGACCCTGTCTTTTAAAAAAATAAATAAATAAAAATAAAAATAAAAATAAAACTTCTGAGTAGTGACAAAAGCCTTGGAAGTAAACTCAACACAATTAGTAAACAAAAACATTACGAATGACCTTGATTCTAATACTACTATTAATGTTAAATGATAAATCTAAAAAAGTGTCTGTTCCTGAGGACCAGAATATAGTGGATAAACAGGAGAGGATGTCAGAATGTTGCCAGAAAGACAAGCGCAATGCTATGGTGTCCGCACTGCACGGAACCCGTGGAAGGGGATTGAAGGGGGCACTCCACATGAAAACGCAGTGTGGCTGTTGTCTGCCGCACAAAGCTAGGGTGCCCAGGTGTCGCTGCCTCTCCCATGATTCTCCCCTCTGATGAGACACCTCCTGGGGGGTGGTGCAACCATTTCTGGACTCTGCTTAGGAAGAATGTGGTAACCGGAAACCAAGCTCTGCACACCCCACTGCGGCCGTCTGGAAACTCCTGGAAGTCCCTGAAAAGGCTGCCATACAGAACTAACAGCTGTTGCTGATATTGACTCCACAGGCCCCGGACGGCCCCACCGTCAAGGCCTCCTCTTCTCTGTCACTTCTCTCTCACTTACCTGAAGTGAAGGTGATGGTTGGTCGTGGGACACAAGGAACCACAGTCAGGAGATGGGCAACGCATCCTTCCAAGAAGCAAACAGGTGAATGCAGGCTTGCAAGGGATGCAGAAGTGGAGAAGGCAGCTCTGTGGAGCCCCAGGCACGACCTTAGGTGCCTGACATCATGGCCAGATCCACTGATCCAGCCTATCCACCACTTCCGCCTGAGGACTCCACCTCTGTCCTACTGGGAAGAACACACTAGAACTGCCATGCGTGATTTGTGATTGTCAGTGTGCATGATGCCTAAGGGAACTGCCTAAGAAACCACAGGTTTCCATCCCACTGCTCCTTACAGAGACTTGGGTTATATTCAGACATTGCTAGGGTGGACCTGATCAGGGTTTGCGGCCCCTACCTGGGTGCTCATCTTAAGTGGGAACAGGCGAGCAGCACCCTTTGCCAGGTAGCTCAGAACGAGGGGCCGTGTGCTGGGTGTGCCCCTCTGACCCAGCCATGCCATCCTGCACCGGTCAGCCAATCGGTATTCCCTGCTGACTCTGCAGAGCTCCCTGTGCACTCTTGCCACCCAGGCTTACAGGAATGGCAGGCTGCTCGGGAATGACTGACACCTCTCTGGGTGAAATCACAGCAGATCACTCTGCATCATGACACATCATCTCTGTGTCACCAAGCCTACATCATCCTGAAGAAAACAAGGCCAACTCGCAATGCTGGGGATGCAGACGATACCCCCTCGCTCTAACTTAAGCCAGTGCTGGGTAGTAAAATCAGAACATTATCCTAAAGGAAATTATTTTCCTGTCAAACATTTCAATGACCTTCGTATGCCCCTGTGAAGAAAAGCTGATATTATTATCCAGGTCTTGATGGGGATATGGGCAAAGCATGAACAAAATATTTCCCCTTCTGCCTGACAAGTTACCTTGCAGTTAACTTCTGGACTCTGTTCTCCTGGAAACAGACAAAGATGGAATGTGTAATTATGTCACCAGGCAACGTCCCAATAGTAGAAACAGCCTGATTGATAACCTGCCCCTGGAATGAACACTGCCGGGAAGTCATTTCTACGGGCATGACAGTCACGCCCCACGTGGGGACTGGGGACCCTGGAAGCTGCGTCAACGGCTCCTATGGGGAGCAGGGCTTCAGGGCAGCCCCCACACCTGCCAATGACGTCGTCTCTTTGTACCCGAGCCACTCACCTCACGCAGAGAGTCCAGCCCCTGATGGGGTTGGCAGACCTGCAGACACCTGCAGGAAGGTGTGGCACTGGCCTGGCTGCTGCCCTGCGCTCTGCAGAGTAGCGAGGCCGAGACTGCCAGTGGGAACCTGAGGGCTTACTTGGCTCTGAGGACACTCTGGTGAGTACTGTAGGGGAAAACGTCTTATATCACAGCGGTAAATTATCCAGCTTATATCTGAAGGAACACACAAGTAACAGCTCTTGGTGGTTTCTAAGTAGTCTACCCATTTAAAAACTAAAAAGTAATTGTCCAGAAAACACAGACCAAACACAGCTAACAAAGATCTCAAGTAGCTTCACCAGGTAGCTGAGCCCGAATGGACAGAAAGTGAAAAGTTCAACTCGGAAATACCCCCATGGGATCGTGCTGAAGATCCAATGGGCGCTATGAGTTCCCAAGAATCTTAAGAGGCATAGAGTTGGCCTCTTTATTTGAAGCTCAACTTTCCATCTGAGTGAAGAGGCAAGGTATAACATGCATCCCAGATGCTCACTCCAACAGCTCCGAGGCACGGAGGCAGGCACTCCTGCCAGCTCCCACGTTTAGCATCCACTGCACTCCGCTGCAGTCATGTGGGGACTTAGGCACCGTCCCTGCCTGCTCACACACTGGGGCGAGTTCCTCACTTGTGTGTGTCTGGAACAGCCACGGCCAATAAATAGTTGTTAAATGAAGAAATAAATGAACCATCCTGAACCTGTGGCTTCTTGCTCTGTAAAATGAAAACAATACCTACCTCATCCACTGAAAATTGTTTTCAAGTGAAATCATGTAAAAACTCTTCATAAACTGTAGGGCACTGAACAATTAACAGTAAGCCAACATTAATAACACCTCCTCCTTTCATTAGTGAGTACCATGGGAAATGTGCCTCCCGAGACTAGGCCTGGAGACTAGCCACCCACATCCTTCTGCAGCGGGGCTGGGGTGAGGGCCAGTCCATCCCAGCCGCAGTGGAGAACTGGGCTCAGTGCAAATGATTCTTTGCCTTAGTGTTATTTTTGCTTACAGAATGGAGCTTTGTGGGTTTGCTTTTCAACTCCATCTTCTTAATTCCATCTGCAGTAGCTCTGTAGGGCTTACCCCTGTTCACTCAGCCAAGTTTAGGAAATATCTCACTGTCACTCCTTACATCATATTAAATTACACGCACTTAGGTGTTAGCAATTATAGGGTATTAATTTTTAATGACATGCAAAAACATTTACAGCAATCTCATACCCACAGAGTTGTAACTCTGCAATGATGATTTCTTAGTATGGGAAAAATCTTCTTCAGAGTTATTAATTGAATTACAAAAGTGAGTGTTAATACAATTTAACAAACATTCACAGAAACACTGCATCATACAAGATATTTTACTGGAGGCTGGATGCTTGTGCTAGTGTTCGGTGCCAGTACTAATGTTGGGTCCTAGGTGCTGGTGCCAATACTGACCTGAGTTCTAGTTTGATTGCACTGTGGTCTGAGAGACAGTTTGTTGTAATTTCTGTTCTTTTACATTTGCTGAGGAGTGCTTTACTTCCAACTATGTAGTCAATTTTTGGTGCTGAAAAGAATGTATATTCTGTTGATTTAGGGTGGAGAGTTCTGTAGATATCTATTAGGTCCACTTGGTGCAGAGCTGAGTTCAATTCCTGGACATCCTTGTTAACTTTCTGTCTTGTTGATCTGTCTAATGTTGACAGTGGGGTGTTAAAGTCTCCCATTATTATTGTGTGGGAGTCTAAGTCTCTTTGTAGGTCTCTAAAGACTTGCTTTATGAATCTGGGTGCTCCTGTATTGGGTGCATATATATTTAGGATAGTTAGCTCTTCTTGTTGAATTGATCCCTTTACCATTATGCAATGGCCTTCTTTGTCTCTTTTGATCTTTGTTGGTTTAAAGTCTGTTTTATCAGAGACTAGGATTGCAACTCCTGCCTTTTTTTGTTTTCCATTTGCTTGGTAGATCTTCCTCCATCCCTTTATTTTGAGCCTATGTGTGTCTCTGCAAGTGAGATGGGTTTCCTGACTACAGCACACTGATGAGTCTTGACTCTTTATCCAATTTGCCAGTCTGTGTCTTTTAATTGGAGCATTTAGCCCATTTACATTTAAGGTTAATATTGTTATGTGTGAATTTGATCCTGTCATTATGATGTTAGCTGGTTATTTTGCTCATTAGTTGCAGTTTCTTCCTAGCCTTGATGGTCTTTACAATTTGGCATGTTTTTGCAGTGGCTGGTACCAGTTGTTCCTTTCCATGTTTAGTGCTTCCTTCAGGAGCTCTTGTAGGGCAGGCCTGGTGGTGACAAAATCTCTCAGCATTTGCTTGTCTGTAAAGTATTTTATTTCTCCTTCACTTATGAAGCTTAGTTTGGCTGGATATGAAATTCTGGGTTGAAAATTGTTTTCTTTAAGAATGTTGAATATTGGCCCCCACTCTCTTCTGGCTTGTAGAGTTTCTGCCGAGAGATCCGCCGTTAGTCTGATGGGGTTCCCTTTGTGGGTAACCCAACCTTTCTCTCTGGATGCCCTTAACATTTTTTCCTTCATTTCAACTTTGGTGAATCTGACAATTATGTGTCTTGGAGTTGCTCTTCTCGAGAAGTATCTTGTGGTGTTCTCTGTATTTCCTGAATTTGAATGTTGGCCTGCCTTGCTAGATTGGGGAAGTTCTCCTAGATAATATCCTGCAGAGTATTTTCCAACTTGGTTCCATTCTCCCCGTCACTTTCAGGTACACCAATCAGACGAAGATTTGGTCTTTTCACATAATCCCGTATTTCTTGGACGCTTTGTTCATTTCTTTTTATTCTTTTTTCTCTAAACTTCTCTTCTCACTTCATTTCATTCATTTGATCTTCCATCACTGATACCCTTTCTTCCAGTTGATCGATTCGGCTACTGAGGCTTGTGCATTCGTCATGTAGTTCTCGTGCCTTGGTTTTCAGCTCCATCAGGTCCTTTAAGGACTTCCCTGCATTGGTTATTCTAGTTAGCCATTCATCTAATTTTTTTCAAGGTTTTTAACTTCTTTGCCATGGACTCGAACTTCCTCCTTTAGCTCAGAGTAGTTTGATCATCTGAAGCCTTCTTCTTTCAAATCGTCAAAGTCATTCTCCGTCCAGCTTTGTTCCGTTGCTAGTGAGGAGCTGCGTTCCTTTGGAGGAGGAGAGGTGCTCTGATTTTTAGAGTTCCCAGTTTTTCTGCTCTGTTTTTTCCCCACACCTTTGGTCTTTGATGATGGTGCCATACAGATGGGGTTTTGGTGTGGATGTCCTTTCTGTTTGTTAGTTTTCCTTCTAACAGTCAGGACCCTCAGCTGCAGGTCTGTTGGAGTTTGCTGGAGGTCCACTCCAGACCCTTTTTGCCTGGGTATCAGCAGCGGAGGCTGCAGAACAGCGGATATTGGTGAACAGCAACTGTTGCTGCCTGATCATTCCTCTGGAAGTTTTGTCTGAGAGGAGAACCTGGCCGTGTGAGGTGTCAGTCTGCCCCTAATGGGGGGTGCCTTCCAGTTAGGCTACTCGGGGGTCAGGGACCCACTTGAGGAGGCAGTCTGTCCGTTCTCAGATCTCCAGATCTCCAGCTACGTGCTGGGAGAACCACTGCTCTCTTCGAAGCTGTCAGACAGGGACATTTAAGTCTGCAGACGATTCTGCTGCCTTTTGTTTGGCTATGCCCTGCCCCCAGAGGTGGAGTCTACAGAGGCAGGTAGGCCTCCTTGAGCTGTGGTGGGCTCCACCCAGTTGGAGCTTCCTGGCCGCTTTGTTTACCTACTCAAGCCTCAGCAATGGCGGGTGCCCCTCCCCCAGCCTCACTGCTGCCTTGCAGTTTGATCTCAGACTGCTGTGCTAGCAATGAGCGAGGCTCCGTGGGAGTAGGACCCTCCGAGCCAGGCACGGGACATATTCTCCTGGTGTGCCATTTGCTAAGACCACTGGAAAAGCACAGTATTAGGGTGGGAGTGACCCGATTTTCCAGGTGCCGTCTGTCACCCCTTTCTTTGACTAGGAAAGGGAATTCCCTGACCCCTTGTGCTTCCTGGGTGAGGCAATGCCTCACCCTGCTTCAGCTCACGCTCAGTGCACTGCACCCACTGTCCTGCACCCACTTTCCAACACTCCCCAGTGAGATGAACCCAGTACCTCAGTTGGAAATGCAGAAATCACCCATCTTCTGCGTCGCTCATGCTGGGAGCTGTAGACTGGAGCTCTTCCTATTTGGCCATCTTGGTTCCACCAGGCCTGTTTTTTAATTGGGTTGTTGGTTTTCTTATTGTTAAGCTTTAAGAGTCCTTTGTGTATTTTGAATACCAGTCCTTTATTAAATATGTGCTTTACAATGATTTTCTCCCACTTTGTGACTTGTCATCTGATTTCCTTAGTGCTCCATGACTTTCACAGAGCAGAAGGTTTTACCATGAATGAAGTCCAACTTACTGATTTCTTCTTTCATGGATCGTGCTTTCAGTGTTGTATCTAAAAAGTCACCCCCAAACCCAACGTCACCTAGATTATCTCATCTGTTATCTTCTAGAAGGTTTAAAGTTTTGCATTTTACATTTAGGTCTGTGATCCATTTCAAGTTAATTTTCGTAAAAGGTGTAAATGCTGTGTCTAGATTCTTTTGTGTATGTGTGTATTTGGATATTCAGTTGTTCCAGCACCATTTATTGAAAAGACTCTCCAGTCTCCATTGAGTCGCCTTTGCTCCCAAAATCTAAATCTTTAAACTGATAGATATGCTGTTTAAAGTCAGCCAACTCTAAAGAACCCAAAGGAGTAAAGAGCTATTCTGAACATACGTTTCAATAGGTGAAGGCAAAAGAGACCCAGGGGGCAGCTTTGGGCCTCAAGGCCTGGACTGATCGCCTTGGCTGAACACTCTATGATGCTGGGTTCAGCCGAGGGTTCAGCTGGGGACATTGTGACATCTCCCTGGGAAGTCTTCAAGTACAGACAACCTGGGCACACCTGAGAGTGTGCAGGAGGCTGAAGTCATCCAGCAAGATGTCACCAAGAAGCCTGGGCACTGAGCGATGCAATGGGGATCCCAGGAACAAAGGAGCCACCCGGCCTCTGCACGACACCATCCACGCTGAGATTAGACCCGAACTCACACTGCAGTGACACCATCAAATTATAACCTGGCAAGACAAGAGAGGAAGGGCCATGGATAGGAAACATGATACAAATGAGACTGTCAGCAGCTGAAGGCTTTTCACTGAGTGGGAAATGTCATATAGGAATAGAGAGGAGTAAAGATGGAGACTACTGTATTCCAGACACTGTAGCTGGTCTTTCAGACACAAGGTCTGGTATAAGACTCCAATAATTCTGTGAGGTGCTTAAATATCCCCACTGGACCAAGGAGGACACTGGGGAGAAAGGAATAAGAGGACAGAACAGCAAAGAAGAAAGAAGGAAAGCGAGAGATGAGCTTCAGGGAGCACCTGCTGGGGTGCAGGTATTTCCAGGAACTTTCCTTGGTGAGCATTTAAGGCAGCAAGCTGACTTGTCTGGGGTCTGTCATTAACAAGAGCTGGGCCATGGCTGCAGGTAAGTCCTCCAAACCTGGCACCATCCAGAAAGCACTCAGAATCTTGGCTAAGCAGCTGACAGGTGTGCCACAGCCATGCACTGAGCAGGAGCTGAGGCAGCATTGAGTGAAATGTCCCACGAGATGGGAGGAGAGCAGAGGTGTGCAGGCTGAGTGAATCAGCTTCCAGGAGACAGGAGTCAAAGGTGGTGCCAGGCAGAGAAAGGTCATAGAGTTAGGAATTGCACTAAACACAGCCTGATTAGGCTCTGGCACCTACTAGCTGGGAGGCCTCTTGAAGTCACAATGGCCCACTTGTAAAACAGGGACAATATGACCGCTGTTGTAGGACTGCTGGAAGGTAGAGCTAATGCCTAACCCATACCATTTATTAATAAGTGGTAAAGACAATTATAATCCCATCCTTAGAGGATGGTTGAGTTCCGCTAGGAAGCCCGGAGAGGGAAGGCATTCCTGTTACGGGAGATTTTAAGGTGGCATTTAAGGTGGGGAGGGGGGGGCTCTGCAGCCATTAGCTCCTCCCTGCTCTCTCCCTAGGGCGGGGCCTTCTTTTCTAGCCCCTTAGGTTTCCTTTAATCTCACCCAGCACATGGAAACAACACCCAGATCAGCTGACAATGTGGTTTCAGACTTGCTGCAAGTCGAGTTAGGGACCCCAAACCCAAGGACCGCTTCCCCCAAATGAGCTGAGCCTCTGTGGACTGTGGAAAGGCTGCGGTAAAGCAACTTTCACTGGGAAGGACTGGGACCTGGACAACTGAACATGCTTCATTACTGTTAAGAGACAGTAGGAAAAAAGTTACCCCAAAGGCCACCTGGAAACTAACGGGAAAGTCAGGCGTAGACTTTAATCACCTTTTTCATTTACTGACACAAGTAATGCCAATGGACTCATGGGGCATCCCAATAGTCTACGCTAAATGCCTTAATTCTTATCTCAGGCCCCCAACAAAATCGCAATGGCTCTGTTCAGCTCAAGCCCTAGCCAGATAACTGTCTTTGGTAATATGCCTGGGCTAAGACTCCCGTACCATAAGACTTGTATTCTGGAAACTGGTCCAGGAAAAAAAGTAAACAACAACAACAACAACAACAAAAAGCCATCTCAGAAGCTCATGGCCGTAAAGGCTGCATTTGTAGTTAATGAATGGGATGCTTATCAGCAGGTGATCATTTCATTTCCAAAGAGCAATTTCCATTACATTTCCAATACAGTCTTCATTATTTTTAAAGAAAGGATAAGAGAATGATACTCTTAAATATCCCTTGTCTCTTCTAGTTTATTTTTTAATCTTTTTTCTTACAATAAATGTATTACACAGTCACTGTGGGAAAAACATAACAAATTAAGATGACTTTTGAGATCACCTATAGCAGGTATCATAACTGTTACCATGACTTGTGAGATCACCTATAGCAGGTATCATAATTGTTACCATCTGTGGTGGTTCCTTTTTGTCAGCCTCACACATACACATAGGGTCTGAATAAGCCTTTTTATTCTATGTGCTTCCTTTGCTCTCCTGTTCTCGACCTGTCTTGGCACCTGCTGCCCTGGCGCCCTCTCGGCAGCCCTCCCTATGGGCCTGCACCTTCTGGTTTACTGGCTGCCCTGCTCAACCATCGGCCCCTGGAAGGAGCAGCCCTGTGGGCTGCGGTGGCCCTAGAACTTTCAGTGTGGCAGGACTCCGAAGCCTCTGCTGGGAGGAAGAATGAACTCACCTGTGGTTGTCAGCTGGGCTAGTCTGTGGAGCCCAGATATTTGGCCAAGCAACAGTCTAGATGTGGCCGTGAAGGTACTTTTAGGTGAGATTAACATAAATCGGTAGACTTGAGCAAAGCAGATGCCCCTCCACCTTGGGGGTGGGCCTCAATCAATCAGGGGACAGTCATAAGCGAGAAGACTGAGGACCCCTGAGGAAGAAGTCCTCCTCACACTGCCTTCCGACTCCAGGAGGAATCCTCAGCTCTCACCTGGGCCTCCAGCCAGCCCTGCAGACTTTGTACTCACCAGCCCCACATGGCGACAGCCAATTCCTTAAAATCAATCTCTGTGTGTGTGTGGTGTGTGTGTGTATTTTCACATACACACACACACACATCCTCTGGGTTCTTCTCTGGAGTGCCCCCGTTAACACACCATCCTTCTGGAAATTGTCCCCACCTGTCAGCAGTCAGCACACAGCCACGCTGGCCCCTCTCTGGCCTGGCCTCCTCCCCCTTAATTCCTCCTGCCTCCCACCATGGCTGGCTCCCCAGTTGCCTTCCTGCAAGGCTCAGCTTTGGAGCTCTACCTTCTCTCCCACCCAAGTCCTTCTTAGACAACTCACCCTTCCACCCAGCCACTGTGGACTGATTCGATTATTCTGGAACTCAGGAGCACGGGCAGGTTTGAGCATGAGGAGATGGTCCTGGGGGTGACAACCCTCCCCCGACTTTGTCCTTGTCATGTCCTCCTGTTCCCCTGCACAAGCCTCCCATGCAGCCAGGCCAGCTCATCTCCTCGCCACACTCCTGCCAGCAGCCACATGCTGGCCCCCCGACCCTCCAGCCATTATCTCCTCTCTGTCCAGGCTCTGAAGCTTCTCCCAGATCCTCATTCTCACTGAGTTCTCTCCTGATTCCCTGCAGAACAGCATTTGCCTTTCATATGTCTCGTGTTGTGAAACAATATTCTGTGAGACATTATTATATAATACACTCTTCTGTGGCCAGAGCTAACAGGATTATAGTAAGTCACCCCAGGATGTGGATTTAATGTCATGGAAATGCCACCCAAAAAAATGAGTGCTGCAGAAGTATCTTACTCTCAGAAATTACTGATATGTTACTAAAGAAACGCTGGAAATACTAAAGTTCATCTAAAAACAAAGCAAAAGAAGAAAAACAGGCCAGATATTTGTATCAACAGGAAAAAGTTACAGCCTAAGTAGGTGTACACCGAGCCGGGTGTGGGAAGTGAAGGTATGCAAACAAGGGCTGTGCTCTGTGTGGAGTCAGAGAGCAAGGAGTCAAGGGCCAGGAGTCTAGCGCTTTTTTGGGAAGTAAGCCTGGCTCTGGATGGTAGACCAGATACTGGACAGAGAAATAACCCTGTAAAGCACCCACTCTTTCTGATCTAATTCTAGGCTTGGCAGAAGCCATGTGAGAGGAGACTGGGCTCTGGGCCTTCCCACCAAGCGCATCCCAGGCCAGAGGCATCTCCCAGAGAAAACAGTCACATTGGCACTGTGGCTTTGGATCCAGACTGTTGTGGCTTTGATGACCACAATATTGTTTCTGGGATGTGGAGATAAGGATCAGAACGCTGCACTCTGTACCTCACTGAGAATGCCTGTGACCACTGGCTGGATAGGGGACACCTTCATATTTAACAGCCCCGTCCCTATAACAGCAGGTGTCACACCTCCCAGTTAGAGCCCAACTATCTGGGGGGTCAGCACAATGTCCCATCCTTACCCTAGAGCTTCCCTCTCTGAAGTACAAGGCATCTGACTAATTATAAGTTATCTGGGAACTACTCTTTTCTTCATATTTTCACCTACCAGACCCTTCTCTGAATATTTGCAAGGAGTCCATTCAACAGCTACTTCTCAAATGTACTCATTCATTCAACAAACACTTCCTGAGCCCCCAGAATGCATCAAGCATGGCACTAGTGCTTGCACAGGAGCACAAAGAGCTGGACCATGAAGCCAGCCATGGTTCCTGCTGCCAGGAGTCCCTGGTTGAGTGGGAGGGCAGACAGCGAATGAGCCAGTGCACATCACAAACAGTGCACCACGATGCCTCAGAGAAATGGCTGATGCTAGGGCTGGGGCCGGAGTGTACCACGTGGTCCAGAGCATCTTAGAGTGCAAGAAAGAAAATGCTACACACACACACACACACACAAAGATGGGTGTGCGTCAAAAGGGAAATAGGAGCCAAATGAAAGAACAAAATAAAGAATAATAATCCAAAGTCTAAAATAAATATCCATGAGTCCATGCTGATATCAATGAATGATTGGACACATGAATAAATTGGGGGAAGGGACAAACCTTCCGTGCAGAAGAATAGCAGGTGACGATGTGGCCACTCCTCAGGAAGGCGGGGTGCCTCTCCCCCCCCAGAGCAGGGGTGACTTCTCCCAAGGAACACAGCGTGGAAAGGGGAAAGAGGCCCCTGACAGTGGAGAGACCCAAGCCACACCACCTCAGCAAGGGGTCCAAGCTGAGCATCAGCAGTGACAAATGCGGTTGACTGTCATCTGTGCCTTCAGTGTAATGTGACAGAAATGGCTCTTTACCTCTGTGGTCCTCCTCCCAAAACACACAAGCCCATCTGATCATGAGAAAAACTTCAGACAAACCCAGTGTGAGGGACATGGATGAAGACAAGAGCTTGGTACCAAGTAGTGGGGCTGCTGCTATAACAAACATCTGAAAATGTGGAAGCAGCCTTGGAACTGGGTAATGCTTAGAGGCTGGAAGAATTTGGAAGGCAGGCTAGAAAAAGCCTAGGTTGCTGTGAATGGAGCATTCAGGGCAATTCTGGTGAGAACTCAGAAAGAAGAAGAGAGCTGTAAGGAAAGTCTGGATCTTCTCAGAGATTGCTTAAGTGGTTGTGACCAGAATGTTATGTGGTTGTGACCAGAATGTTATGGAGATACGGGCAGTGAAGCCCATTCTGATGAGGTCTCAGATGGAAATGAGAAAAGTTTTGGAAACTGAAGTAAAGGTCATATTTGTTATAAAGTGGCAAATAACTTAGCTGAACTCTGGCTATGCCCAAGGGCTTTATGGAAGGCAGAATTTGAGAGCAACAAACTAGGATATCTGGCAGAAGAAATAGCTAAGCAACAAAGTGTTCAAGGTGCTGTGTGGCTTCTTTGGGCTGCTTACAGTATAATGACAAAAGAGAGAAACAATTTGAAGACAGAATTTAGGCCTGGTGTGGTCGGTGGCTCACGCCTGTAATCCCAGCACTTTGGGAGGCCGAGACGGGCAGATCATGAGGTCAGGAGATCGAGACCATCCTGGCTAACACAGTGAAACCCCATCGCTACTAAAAATACAAAAAAATTAGCTGGGCATGGTGGCGGGTGCCTGTAGTCCCAGCTACTCAGGAAGCTGAGGCAGCAGAATGGCGTGAACCCGGGAGGCGGAGCTTGCAGTGAGTCGAGATCGCGCCACTGCGCTCCAGCCTGGGTGACAGAGCGAGACTCCATCTCAAAAAGTAAAATAAAGACAGAACTTATAAATAAAGGGGAAATGGAACAGAAATATTTGGAAAACTCTCAGCCTGGCCATGTAAGAATAAAAAACATGTTCACGACAGACTATTGAGGGTGGCCAAGACACTGCTAAAGAGATGATGGATAGAAGGAAACCAGGTTCTTTCTATTCACCAAGACAATTAGACAATGACCCTGAAGGGTCATTACCCGGAGATCTTCAAGGTAAGCTAAGACTTTGAGGGCAAGGTTCCCAGAGAGGTGCCTGTGGGACTTCAGCATACACTGCCCTACATTGCCCTGGGACTCTGCTCCCCAAATTCTGGCACAGCACCCCACAGTTTGACCCACCATTCTGGAAGGTATAAGCTGCAAACCTTGGTGGCATGCATGTAGTGCTGACTCTGCAGACATGCAGAATGTACAAGCTGTGGGGCCATGGTGGCCTCCACCTAGATTTCAAAGGATGACTTGGACCGGCTAGGGGCTCAGGCAGACACTTGTCACAGAGGTGAGGCATGGGAGCCGGGGAGCCCCGATCCCCCAGAACTGTAGGGTCACTAGTGTGCAACTCCAACCTGGGAAAGCTGCAGGCATGAGACTCCAACCTCTGAGAGCTGCTGGGTGGACTGATCCCAGCAAAGCCATAGGGGAGGGGCTGCCTGAGGTCTTGAGGGGTCCAAGCCCCACTCCAGTGTGCCCAGATCGCAGGACAGGGAGTCAGAGGAGATTATTCACCAGTTTTAAGACTTAATGTTTTTTTTCCATTGATATAGTTTGGGTATTTGTCCCCTCCAAATCTCATGTTGAAGTGTAATCTCCAATGTTGGAGGCGAGGCCTAGTGGGAGGTGTTTGAATCATGGGGGTGGATCCCTAATGAATGGCTTAGTGCCATCCCCTTGGTGACCAATGAGTTCACTTGCGATCTGGTTATTTAAAAGTATAGGGCACCTCCCTGCTTTTTCTCTTGCTCGCACTCTCACCATGTGAGACATTTGCTCTCCCTTGTCCTTCCAACGTGATTGGAAACTTGCTGAGGCCCTCACCAGAAGCAGATGCTAGCACCATGTTTCTTGCACTGTCTGCAGAACCATGAGTGAATTAAATTTCTTTTCTTTTCTTTTTTTGAGACCGGTCTCACTGTGTTGCTCAGGCTGGAGCACAGTGGCAAGATCATAGCTCACTGCAGCCTCCATCACCCAGGCTCAAGTGATCCTCCTGCCTCAGCCTCCTGAGTAACAGGGACTACAGGCACACACCATCACACCCAGCTAATTTTTTTTTTTTTTTTTTTTTTTAGTAGAGATGAGGTCTCACTATATTGCCCAGGATGGTCTTAAACTCCTGAGCTCAAGCAATCCTCCTGCCTCAGCCTCCCAAAGTGCTGGGATTACAGGCGTGAGCCACCACACCGGCCTGTCTTTTCTTTATAAATTACCCAGCCTCGGGTATTTATTTGTGGCAATGCAAAAACAGCCTAACACATGCATGTTGGGTTCTAGATGTAGCTGGAACCAGTTACCCCTTTCTTCCTGCCTCTCTCTCCCTTTTGGAATGAAAATATCTCTCCTATGCCTGCCCCACCATTGTCTTTTGGGAGTAGATAGCCTGTTTTGATTTCACAGGTTCACAGCTGGAAAGGAGTCTGCCTCAGGCCAGCTATGCCTGCCTTGGAGTCTTAGCTTTATCTGATTTAGATGGGACTCTGGATTTGAACTTTTCAGTTGGTGCTGGAAGAGTTAAGCCTTTGGGGACTATTGGGATGGAATGAATGTATTTCACATGTGAGAAAGGCATGAATTTGGGGGGCTAAGACAGAATGCTATGGTTTGAATGTGTCCCCTAAAGTCCATGTGTTGGAAACTTAATCCCCAATGAAACAGTGTTGAAAGATGGGAGGGACTTTTAAGAGGTGAGGAGGTATGATGGCTTTGCCCTCATGAATGGATTAATGCTGTGATCTCTAGAGTGGGTTAGTTATCTTGAGAGTGGGTTCCTGAAAAAACAATGAGTTTGAACCCCTTCCTCTCTCTCCACCCCCACCTCTCTCTCTTTTCTTTCCCTATCTTCTCATTCTTTTGCCCCTCCACCTCTGCCATGGGAAGACACAGCAAGAAAACCCTCGCCAGATGCGAGCATCTTGATATCAGACTTCCCAGCCTCTAGAATTCTGAAAAATAAATTTCTTTTCTTTATCAGTTACCCAGTCTATGGTATTCTGTTATAGCAACACAAATGGACTAAGACAACTAATTTTCAGTTTTCAAATGCGCATCCCATCAAGTCCTTAAGTTTTATACAGTCCACATTTAATTTCTGCTGCAACAAGACTGTCTGATGAGTAGCAAAAACTGAAGGACAGTGTTCAATGTTAAGGCCATGCAGACTAATATAGATAACCTGAACAGAAAAAGAGATATTTTACACAGTGATGAGATGGTTTCATTTTTGCACACATGAGCAAATGCAACACATTCTCTGTGACAACTTTGGTTTGAAAGTTCTATCCTGCACCAGTCCTAGAACAATTTCCACTGGTCCAGGATGTCAATGCTCAGACACAGTACTGCATGGAATCAGGTGCAGGATTGAGAACAGGGCATGCTTTAGAAAAAGCAAAAGCTATTTCCAGGACTATCTGCTATGCTGGTTCAGCTTTGCCAAGCAATATTCAAATACTCATGGAGCAGCACATACTATGAGCAAAGTACTTAGTATTGTAGAAATGCAAAAGAAGAAGAAGAGGAAGAAAAGCTTAAACTGTTTATAATCCCCAAAGAAGTTTACAATCTGCTTAGAAAAATTATTTTACTATGCAAACAGCTGAGCCTGGCTGAAGCATCTGTTTGGGAGAGGAATGGAGAGAAGACTGGGAAGTCCACAGTTAGATTGTGTGGGGCAGGACAGAGCACCCAAGATTTACCGCATAGGGCACATCTGGGCAGTGTGAGGATGTCTAACAAAAAAGCCTAGAGATGCTCGGCGCGGTGGCTCACGCCTGTAATCCCAGCACTTTGGGAGGCTGAGGCAGGTGGATCACCTGAGGTCAGGAGCTCCAGACCAGCCTGGCCAACATGGTGAAACCCAGCTCTACTAAAAATACAAAACCTAGCCAGGCATGGTGGTGCGGGCCTGTAATCCCAGCGACTCGGGAAGCTGAGGCAGGAGAATCACTTGAACCCGGGAGGCAGAGGTTGCAATGAGCTGAGATCACACCACCACACTCCAGCCTGGGCAACAGAGCCAGACTTAGTCAAAATAAATAAATAAATAAATAAATAAATAAATAAATAAATAAATTTAAAAAGCCTAGAGATTTCTGTGTCTCTCCACTCTCCAAGTTCAAGGCCATTTCAGGGGCCTCCCCAAAGTTTTTAAAACTTGACTTGGGCAAATTCTTTAAGAACCTTGTTCTCCTCAAATAAAATATTTTGGAAAGCGGATTTTTATGAAGTCTTGGCTCAAATTCCATGACCTTTAACAGACATCTTAATTGTTTCGTGGGAGAATATGACCCAACAAGTGGCATATGGTTTAGGTGGGGACGTTTAATTACCGAACAGTTTTGTAGAATAAGCAAGTCACACATCTTTTGTCCGATGCGTGACAGGTTTGAACCTGTAAAGCCAGGTGCCTAAATAGCTTCCAACGTTTCCACCCCACCAGCCCTTGCACCACTCCCTGTACTGGCCCTGAGCTTTCTAGTCTTGACTGAAAAGCGGGGAGGCAATGTGGTCTCTCCTGGTGCACTGTCCCGAGGAAGGCCTGCTCCGCTTCCCCGGAGGAGTCTTCAAAGGATGGAGGTAATTAATAAAAACAACCCCTGTACCTCCTCTAAGTGGTCATTAATTAATAAAGAACCTCCAGGCTCCTATAGGAGAGGTCTGTGCACCCCGCGGGCTATGAGAAGGCTGGATCACCCAGAAAGACTGAGGATGTGTCCTGGCAAAAACACAGCCTGCCCCTCACACTGCTCCCCACGGGTGCACTAGGGAGGAAGAGTTCCCTCGAGGGCCTGAGCAGGCGCCCCACACCTGCACCCGTGCAGAGGGGGCTGGGCCCGCCCTCTGCGCTCCCGAGGGAGAGCCCTACCCCCTGCATCCCCGGTACCCCGTTCCCTCCAAGGGCCGGAAAGAGGGCCCCGCGCACTGTGCACTTCTTAGGGGTCCCCCACCCTGCGCCCCCGCCACGGGAAAAAGGTCCCCGCTCTGCGCATCCGGCCCCGGAGGGACAGCCCCGGTCCTGCACTCCTTGCTCCTCAGGGGGACGGTCCGCGCCCAGCGGCTAGTGCGCCCCGGGTAGGTGGGGGCGGGGGGCTCGTCGAGTGACAGCGCTCGCCTCCCGCAGCCCGCCCGAGCCGCGTCAGGGCAGAGGCGGGGTGGGGCGCGGTTAAAAGGCGCAGCAGGTGGGAGCCGGGGCCTTCACCCGAAACCCGACGAGAGCCCGACAGCCGGCGGCGCCCGAGCCCGACCTGCCTGCCCAGCCGGAGCGAAGGGCGCCGCCCCGCGCAGAGCCCGCGCCAGGGCCGCCGGCCGCAGAGCAGGTAAGCGGGCGCGGACCGGCTGGGTCTTGCGGGGGGCGAGCGGGCGGTGCCACCTCGGCCCCCCAGCGGAGGAATTTCCTCCAAGAAAACAAAACAGGTGAGGTCGGCGGCTGGTCCCCACCTCGCCCCTGTCGCTCCTGTCTGGCACCGGATCAGAGCCGGCAGAGCGCGGCCGGGATGGGTGTCTGGCCGCACGTGGGGCGACCGGGCCCCCGATCTGCCTCTATCCGCACCCTCCTGTCCACGCGCCCCGGCCCCGGCCCGATGGCAGTGGGCGCCGCCCGCGCTGGACCCTCTCTCTGTACGCAGAGGAACGAGGATGGACTGGTTTGACTTTTACCCCAGCGTGGTCCCCTTTGACTTGTACAACAGGTTTTATGAAGGTTTCATATCGTGTGTCTAAGAGGCCAGAGTGAGGGCCGGTGCCCCTTTCCCCCGTTTCATTTGCTGCGTGTTGGATTTTCTAAGCTTTTGTGGGTCACCGGGGTGTCCCCTTGGATTTGGGGAGAAGAAAGCCAGGTCTAGGATGCGGGTTTCAGTTCAGACAAACCCTCAACTTGGGCCGATGCATAAGTCCCCGGAGAACCGCAGGGTATGGGCTGCGTGATGGGCTTCCGAGAAACTTGTGAAATGCTGATGACAATAGCGTGGACGACAGTAATTAAAAGTAATTGGCGACACATCTTAGTTAAAACGTGCAGGCACCAGAAGGCACTTCCTGTCGGTGAAGAAGACCTGTCTCCGGTGTCACGGGCATCCTGTGTTTTGCAAACGGGGCTGACCTCCCTTCCTGGGGAGCAGGAAGGGTCAGGGTGAGTGTGGCCTGCCCGCAGCTCTGCACTCCCGGAGGGGTTAGGGACCTGCAACCAGGCGGGGACACTGGCCCAGCGACCTCAGTGTCCCCTGGGTGGGCGTGCACTCTGTTTAGTGTCTGATTGAACGTAACCGTGCCGGGTTGTTCTTTTCCCTCAAGTAGACTTTATGCCATACAGCTATTTTCTTGCCCCAGTTCTAGCAGAATCTAACCAGTGTTCTAGAAGAAAATGTCCTGCCCCCATGCAGTCTCCTTAGAATTGCAGGGTGCTGCTCAGAACTGCTCCTGTGGAGAGCTTTGTCTGTTGTTTGGATCCAGCAGCGTCTTTGGGGGTGTTGCTTGAAGCTTGCCAAGGAGGAGAGGGGGGTTCTGAAGAGAGAACACCAGGGCTCTAGCCTGTCACATAACTGGGGGTGTGGAGAGCGCCTCATTGCCACTGCAGTGACTAAAGCTGGGAAGACGCTGGTCAGTTCACCTGCCCCACTGGTTGTTTTTTAAACAAATTCTGATACAGGTAATGATGACTTTATGCTTTTTTTCTTATGTCTTCTCTTCTGAATTCTGAGTGTTAGGAAGGAAAAGAAGTACAGAAGATCTGGCTAAACAATTTCTGTATGGCGAAAGAAAAATTCTAACTTGTACGCCCTCTTCATGCATCTTTAATTCAATTTGAATATTCCAGGTGCTGTGAGCAGTTTGCATATATTAGTTTAAATGTTAAATGGGATAAAATTGTGGGAAAGTGATTTCTGACCCAAGCTTCTTGGTCTGTGAGGGCATAACCTTCTAATGGCCACCTGCCATAGGTTATGATTTCTGTTTTAGTTGCTTAGTGCATGAGCATAGACCTGGAACCCCAGAGGGCCTGCTCCATTTTTATTCCCAGGGTCATTTAAATCTAGTTGAGCTTAAATGTTTGGAAAGGACACAGGTTTGCTTGAATGAACAAACATATATTGCTAACAAGACCCAGAGAAGGAAAGTTTAACTTAATGGAAATTAATTTTTAACTCTTTGAATTCTTAAATGATGTAAGAAACATACGTAATTGCATGAGTTTTCCATTTTTACATCTAGACTCCACAGACAGAAACGTTTCATTTTTATTGAGTTAATTTTGAAATATATGAATCCCTGACCCATTGTTATCACTAGCTGTTACTCTATCAGGACAGTTGCTGAAGTTTTTTGTCACTAAATTTAAAAATCAACTATCAGGTTGTCCCTTGGATGACCTGAGATTTCTAGAGACAAAAGAAATCTATTCTTCCTGATTGAAGAAAGAGTCTGAGATTTTTTTTAAACCACTGATTTGGGGATCAGGGTGTAGCCAGTGTCTCAAACTCTCCCCTGTCCCTTTTTGTTTTGCTCAAGGAGTGGGCTTGAGGCCTCAGATTGGGTGTTACTGTTATTTTGATAGGGAAAGGATCCTACTAAAGAGCACCTTTGATTATTTTGTGTGTTCAAAGCATAGAGCATCAGGAAGCTGGCAATTTCTGAACTTACCTCATAACAGTTCTGGGAATGAAGAAAAACTACCCACAAAGTTTATTCAGGGGACATATTGCGGGGGGCGGGGGGGGGGGGAGTTAAAGGAATATGGCAACAGCTACTATTTTTCCCTCAACAGGCGACATCCTCACTGACCGAGCAAAGATTGACATTCGTATCATCACTGTGCACCATTGGCTTCTAGGCACTCCAGTGGGGTAGGAGAAGGAGGTCTGAAACCCTCGCAGAGGGATCTTGCCCTCATTCTTTGGGTCTGAAACACTGGCAGTCGTTGGAAACAGGACTCAGGTTTGCTTGTTTTGCTTTGATATTGTTTTCCTTTTATCTATGCAGACTCCCCGACTATCCAAAGCTAACTTCGAAATTGGGAGGCACATGTTCCTGTTCTCAGATCTATCAACTACTCCCTAGATGGCCAGGCGCGATGGCTCATGCCTGTAATCCCAACACTTTGGGAGGCCGAGGCTGAGGTCAGGAGTTCAAGACCAGCCTGACCAAGGTGGCAAAACCCTGTCACTACTAAAAAAAAAAAAAAAAAAAAAAAAAAAAAAATTAACCAGGTATGGTGGCATATGCCTGTAGTCCCAGCTATTCAGGAGGCTGAAGCACAAGAATCACTAGAACCGGGGAGGCAGATGTTGCAGTGAGCTGAGATTGCACCATTGCACTCCACCCTGGGCAACAGGGCAAGACTCTGTCTAAAAAAAAAAAAAAAAATTTTTTTTTTTTTTTTTTTTTTTTTTTGCTAAATGACATTGAAAGGGGAACAGAGCTATCTAGAAAAATATGCTGAGGGGTTACACTCTAACTTTGGGGGCTTTAGTTTTGGTTCTGTCATTAGTGAAATTATAATGGCATAGATAAATAAGCTAGTTGTGATTAATTTCCTAAGAAGTTTTAAAACAATCAAGAAATTTCATTAGTGCAGTCAAATGCCAATAGATCTAAATTATTTGAATTGTAAAAGGAAAGAACAACCTATCTTCACAATGCTGTGTGGATCCTCAAAAGTAAAGTCCATGGTTTACTTATTTTTAGAGCTAGATATTTCAGACTGGAGCTTTAGTATCAAGAATATAGCATGGGCCGGGCGCGGTGGCTCATGCTTGTAATCCCAGCACTTTGGGAGGCCAAGGGGGGCGGATCATGAGGTCAGGAGATCGAGACCATCCTGGCTAACACGGTGAAACCCCGTCTCTACTAAAAATACAAAAAATTAGCCGGGCTTGGTGGCAGGCGCCTGTAGTCCCAGCTGCTCAGAGAGGCTGAGGCGGGAGAACGGCGTGAACCCGGGAGGCGGAGCTTGCAGTGAGCCGAGATCGTGCCACGGTACTCCAGCTTGGGCAACAGAGCTAGACTCCATCTCAAAAAAAACAAAAAACAAAAACAAAAAACAAAAACAAACAAACAAGAAAAAACAGCATCGAGTTCTTCACTATGATTACATTTACTACAAAACCGAACACAGTTTACCTTTTTAAGTTTAAATGTAATCACATTCTTAGAAGTTGAAGACTGCAGAAGCTAAGCGTATCTATTCTTTCCTTAAAAGACAGCCAGAGAGGCATCAGTTAAAATGAACCTCTCTGGTTTCCGAAGAAAGAGTTAATATTTCACTTTGTATTGAAAAAGCTCCTCCCATTGGCTCCAGCCCTCCAGAAGCAGGAGAGGAAAGAGGTACTTTGTTTACTACAGTTGCAAAGGGTCCCAGTGGATGCGATGATTTTGGAAAGTAATTTGAAATTAGTGACGACTTCACAAATTGAAATAGCCTTCAAATCTTCTCCAACCAAGAGGGTTTGTGAAAGATTATGCCCTGTGGTTATGTGTTTTTACAAGGGAGAACCTGGGGGCTGGGCGCTTTCTTTGCCACCCCCAACCCACAACATCCTTCCTCTGGGCCCCTCTGCAGTCTGTCCACCCACCCTGTCCACCCACCAAAGTCAGGACAGGAGCAGTCAGTGGAGTTGAGTCCTCCTTAAAACTTGCTGAGTCTCCTGCGTTTACTGCCATCCTCCCACCGCTCCTTGAATGGGAGCGTCTCCTGGGGCAGCCAGGCCTGGCCAGTAATGGCAGCAATGTGCTGGAAATTTGGGGGCTTGATAACCCGCAGCTGACCCATCACCCTGGCCTATCTCTTGACACTTGCGAGGGGAGCTCTCTTCTCCCTGGCTGTTGGCCTGCAGAGAATGATACGCACGGCAGATCCCCGGAGCTGGTTGGTGAGCCCCTCAGGTGTGACACAACCTGGAAAAGAATGGAAAGAGCCACTGTCTCACTGTCTCAGTTGGGAAACACCAGCTCAGGGTCACTGAGCACCCAGGGGCAGCCCACTCAGGACCGGGCAGGTTCGGAGAGAGGACACAGCTTCTCCCTTGGATCACTTCTGCTGTTAGGAATAACAGGGCCTTTGTGGCTCTTGCAGGAGGACACTCTGAACCAGGAGACTGTCCTGAGTGACCGGGGAGTTAGACACACTTGTATTGGATTTAACCTCATTTTTCTCAGCAAGCTCGGCATCTCCTTTACTTTTCTTCCTTTAAAGGCATAGGTGGATTGCCAATTTTTAGTACCGGTATCGAGAAGCGCGCATTGTGAAACAGATTATATTCTGTTCAGTTTTGCTATGTTGATAGAACACCCTCAGACCGTGTGGCTTGGGGACCCAGAAAAATCCAAAGAAATTTAAAAAGCTACTGCCCTTATAATTGTCCCTGTTTTTAGAAAAAAAAAACAGGGAGAAGCCCAAAGCTGCAGAGGTCAGGGACCCTGCTTCTAGAAAGCGTGGACCAGTGTTCCTGGGGGGGAGTTGTGACCTCTTGACCTTTTCTGTGACTTTAGCCTCTCAGAATCATCCAGGCCATGTCCCCCTCTGGCTCCCTGATCTGTTTACTTCCTAGAAGGTTGGACCACAGGGGACCACGGGGTGCCGTTGTTCAGGCAGGCCACGGGCTAGAGAACCGAGAGAACACAGCTGTCTCACCTGCTGGGGAGGTTAAATTCTATGGACTTTGAAGTGTTGGAGAAAATGTGAACCATTTTTTGATAAATCAAACTCTTGCTGATTGGGCATTTTGTTGACCAAATTTCAATGGGAGGTGTTTCTTGGTTAATAAGAAAACATCTTCATTTTATAAATAAACAGGACTGACCCCATAGGTGAACAGCTGCTGTAAAATATGTTTACACATCAAGACGTACAAATTTCTTGCTCCTCACTGGTCACATTTTGAAATGCTTTTGAGATAGAACATCAACAGTTAGGAAAATGTATTATGTCTTTCATCTGAGAATAAAATTAATTTTACAAATCATATCATTTAACATGAGCTTTTTAAATGGAGCTGCATTTACTGTGGACATTGGCCATCTCTTTTGGCTGTGAAATATGTTGTATATGAAAGGGAGGCATTAGTACATACACTTTAATTATGGAACGCTGGGACCAGGGCTTCCAGAGGAGTCCCCTGTGCATTACCCCAGCAGACACTCACACAGCCTCTGATGAAATGCTTCAAGGGATGAGAAAACATGGTGTGAAGGGTAGCCCATTTCAATTTTCTTTTTTTTTTTTTTTTAAGAAAAACCTGGCTTTCTGTTAATGCTGAGTGTCAGATCCAGTTCTTAGTCCTAGATCCACGCAGGCATTGAATCCTCTGTTTCACATTCCAGGGTCACCGCCCTGTGCCTCAGCGTCTTCCTCAAGCTAGTGTTTGTTCTGTTCTCTCGGCTGTGAGGTAACCTCCAGCCTCTTCCATCTGTCCACACACCTGTTGATGCGCCCCCGAGGGCCAGGTCTTTCCTGAAACATGGAAAGAGCCCACCCTTCCAATGTGGGCTGCCCGGGGAGCCCAGCACTCTGTTCCCTTCACACAGCCTGAGCCTCAGTCTCTTTTTCGCAACCTTGTGCTGTGGCGCTGATGTCCCGCTGATAAGGATGTTCCTCCTAAGGAATACTGATATTCCTGAAGTAAAATGCTAGGCTGCAGTTATTGAAGGAATCATGAAAATACAACCTCCCAACGATAGCAGAGGCGGCAACAAAGACCATTGTGATTCCAAGACTCGGTGCCATTGCCGTTGTCATAGTTGCTATCACGGAACTCTTAACAAGAAGTTTAGTGACACTGTTTTAGAATGTTGCTGGGGGCTCAACAGAAAGTCCCCCAGTTCACACATATACGTTTTCTCTTATTTTAAAAATCAAGATATTTGCCCTTCTCCAGGAATTGGGCCCCTCTTTTCATTCTGAATAATAATATTCTGCTCTCCTGTGGAAATGCTTAAAGAATTGAACATAGAATAACCATGAGATCCAGCAATCCCACATCTAGATACCTAAGAGACTTGAAAGCAGGGTCTTGAAAAAATAGTAGTATACCCTCACTCACAGTAGTGTTACAACAGCCAAAAGCTGGAAGCAACCCAGTGTCCATTGATAGATGAATGGGTAAACAAAATGGGGAGCATCCATACGGTGGAATAGTATTCAGCCTCCAAAATAAGGAAATCCTGTCACACGCAGCAACATGGATGAACCTCGAGGACATTATGCTGAGTGAAATAAGCCAGTTCCAGAAAGACAAGTGCCGTGGATTTCTACTTATATGAGGACTGTAGAGCAGTCAAAATCATAGATGCAGAAAGTAGAATGGTGGTTGCTAGGGGCTGGGGAGGGGGGAATGGAGAATTGTTGCTTAATATTAATACCCAACCAAGGGCAAAAAAAACAATTTCTCAGAAAGCCAACGGAACTAGGAGTCGGACTTTTCCAACAGGTCTGCTGACTTTCTAAGTCTACAAAAGATGTTGCCTTGGGGCACACAGTAGCACCCCACTCTGAGGCCAAGGCACTCCTGGGTGGGGAGAGGCTGCCTCCATTTACCCCACTGCTTCCAAGAGCAGCCAGCGTAATGCAGAGGGGCAGGTGTGTGGGCCAGAGCGTGAGGTCCAGGGGGCTGGCCTGAGAAGGGGAGGCTGACAGGTGTCCCTCACCCACTCAGGGATAAGAAAGTCTAAGACCGGTGAAGAGAAGGACTTTGGTGACTCCCTCATGCCCCGACAGCCTGTAAAAAAAATGCCTGAGTGAATTACTCTGGGGAGAGGTCTTTTACTTTCTGAAAATTTTCAAAGGGTCCATGATACCTCCTTTTATTTTTCAAAGGAGAATGCTGACCAATTCTATAGTCTTCTGTGGCAGTATAGGCTAAGAAGGCAGCTGTTTGAATTATAGCAAAAGTGTCCATAGCTGTAAAGAAGTCCTTTTTCTCTCGGGATAGAGAATCAGTGCATTAACAGGGAAGGAGGCACTGGGTGGCAAGGGCAGCAGATCCCCTCCTCGGCTGCCCCTGGCGCAAACAGGACCCGCTGGGGAGGCAAAGCCAACGTGGGCTTGGTTATACTGCAGATATATTGGAGAACAATGGAGCAATCTTTATAAAAGATTGTGAATCTCTTTTAGAAGAGGCTTTCTCAGTAGTTGACAATATTAGATTTCCTAAGAACACATGAGTATGGCAGATGATGTTATTCAAGCTAGAATTAAGTATAAATATATTGTATAAAGTAAGCTAATAAGTATTTTGTTTTTTCCCTTCTTAGTCTGTTGGGTAAACTAGAATATGTCATTCCAATGAAAGTTTTTTTTCCCCCTGAATAAGCTATTTAATGAATAAAATCTACTGTGGAAGCTAGGTGAGCCCTAGGAGAAAGCCAATCTGGTGTAATGGATCAGACAGTGATTAAAAGGGAGCTTGGAAATGAATTTGTTTACCTGTGTTCCTGGATTAATGCAAACAGCAATCTAATATATGATCTGAATTTAGTTGAATCAAGATGATCCTAACCCCTCTTCCAAAAAGTTGTTTCTGACCAAAAACATGATAATTTTTTTTTTTTCGAGACAGAGTCTCGCTCTGTCACCCAGGCTGGGGTGCAGTGGTGCAATCTCGGCTCACTGCAAGCTCCACCTCCCTGGTTCACGCCATTCTCCTGCCTCAGCCTCCCAAGTAGCTGGGACTACAGGTGCCCGCCACCACGCCAGGCTAATTTTTTTTTCGTATTGTTAGTAGAGATGGGGTTTTACCTTGTTAGCCAGGATGGTCTCGATCTCCTGACCTCATGATCTGCCCGCCTCTGCCTCCCAAAGTGCTGGGTTTCCAGGCGTGAGCCACCACACCTGGCCAAACATGAGAATGCTTTCAGGGTGGGCATTCCTTTTCAGAAAACCTCAGACTAGCAGGGCAGGGAGTTGAAGTTGTAAAGTATCACAGCCTACCTTAAAATAAAGTTGGCTTCAGTCTGTAATATCACCGTGTCACTTTCCCAAGGCCTCTTCCACTAATAAACCTTTGCCCACTTTTGTCTGTTTAGGGATAAACCAGCGCAATGGATTGGGGGACGCTGCACACTTTCATCGGGGGTGTCAACAAACACTCCACCAGCATCGGGAAGGTGTGGATCACAGTCATCTTTATTTTCCGAGTCATGATCCTCGTGGTGGCTGCCCAGGAAGTGTGGGGTGACGAGCAAGAGGACTTCGTCTGCAACACACTGCAACCGGGATGCAAAAATGTGTGCTATGACCACTTTTTCCCGGTGTCCCACATCCGGCTGTGGGCCCTCCAGCTGATCTTCGTCTCCACCCCAGCGCTGCTGGTGGCCATGCATGTGGCCTACTACAGGCACGAAACCACTCGCAAGTTCAGGCGAGGAGAGAAGAGGAATGATTTCAAAGACATAGAGGACATTAAAAAGCAGAAGGTTCGGATAGAGGGGTCGCTGTGGTGGACGTACACCAGCAGCATCTTTTTCCGAATCATCTTTGAAGCAGCCTTTATGTATGTGTTTTACTTCCTTTACAATGGGTACCACCTGCCCTGGGTGTTGAAATGTGGGATTGACCCCTGCCCCAACCTTGTTGACTGCTTTATTTCTAGGCCAACAGAGAAGACCGTGTTTACCATTTTTATGATTTCTGCGTCTGTGATTTGCATGCTGCTTAACGTGGCAGAGTTGTGCTACCTGCTGCTGAAAGTGTGTTTTAGGAGATCAAAGAGAGCACAGACGCAAAAAAATCACCCCAATCATGCCCTAAAGGAGAGTAAGCAGAATGAAATGAATGAGCTGATTTCAGATAGTGGTCAAAATGCAATCACAGGTTTCCCAAGCTAAACATTTCAAGGTAAAATGTAGCTGCGTCATAAGGAGACTTCTGTCTTCTCCAGAAGGCAATACCAACCTGAAAGTTCCTTCTGTAGCCTGAAGAGTTTGTAAATGACTTTCATAATAAATAGACACTTGAGTTAACTTTTTGTAGGATACTTGCTCCATTCATACACAACGTAATCAAATATGTGGTCCATCTCTGAAAACAAGAGACTGCTTGACAAAGGAGCATTGCAGTCACTTTGACAGGTTCCTTTTAAGTGGACTCTCTGACAAAGTGGGTACTTTCTGAAAATTTATATAACTGTTGTTGATAAGGAACATTTATCCAGGAATTGATACGTTTATTAGGAAAAGATATTTTTATAGGCTTGGATGTTTTTAGTTCTGACTTTGAATTTATATAAAGTATTTTTATAATGACTGGTCTTCCTTACCTGGAAAAACATGCGATGTTAGTTTTAGAATTACACCACAAGTATCTAAATTTGGAACTTACAAAGGGTCTATCTTGTAAATATTGTTTTGCATTGTCTGTTGGCAAATTTGTGAACTGTCATGATACGCTTAAGGTGGAAAGTGTTCATTGCACAATATATTTTTACTGCTTTCTGAATGTAGACGGAACAGTGTGGAAGCAGAAGGCTTTTTTAACTCATCCGTTTGCCAATCATTGCAAACAACTGAAATGTGGATGTGATTGCCTCAATAAAGCTCGTCCCCATTGCTTAAGCCTTCACATGCCTTGTGGTTTCTGTTGCATCTGGGCAGCTTGCTGCCAACCCTCGTGGTATGATGAGTGGGTTGGGTGCTTTTGCTGGGAAGGCCACCAGTTACTGTGGGTGGAGGGGCCTGGAACTTCAACAGCGATACTTGCACCCTCCCTGCAAATGGGCAGAGGCTAAGTTTAGCAGCCTACAGAGCACTCAGCTTGGAGGGGGCCACTTGTACGACACTAGGATGATGTCCTCAGGGTCAGTTCATCCCAGAAAGAGAGGAGGTTAGGGAAGTCTTAAGCCTTCATCCCATGTGACTGAGAAAAGCACCCACAGTTTAGCACCCAGAGGTGGGAAACCTCTTTCCCCCCAAGGATTTCCAGATGGGACACAGATGCCATTAGTATGGGTGTGGGTGAGGCAGGTGCAGACTGATCACTGCTGGGAGCAATGGCACACCCATGATCTCACTCCTAAAGAGACATAGCATGATACACCACCCATGGGGACATCCAGTGAACGGTGAACACAGATGTGGGCTTGGTGTGGCATGCTGATTCCTCCAGGACCTCCTTCAAAAACTTGCTCCAGAGAAACAAAAATACTCTTCTCATTTTCTTTAGTCTAAAGCAAACCCCAAAATATTTCAGCCATAATATTTTAGTACCAATCTATAAAAACCAAGGACTAAGCTTTTAAAGCAAAATCACAATTTCATCATCACACTAAACCAACCAAGTTGGCATTCATAATCCCTGCTTTTCCTGGGATGTTCCTTTCTTTTTATTTTATTTATTTATTTTTATTTTTATTTTTTGAAACAGAGCCTCACTCTGTAGCCCAGGCTGGAGTGTAGTGGCACAATCTTGGCTCACTGCAACCTCTGCCTCCCAGGTTCAAGCGATTCTCATGCCTCAGCTTCCCAAGTAGCTGGGATTACAGGCGTGTGCCACCATGCCCGGCTAATTTTTATATTTTTAGTAAAGATGAGCTTTCACCATGTTGGTCAGGCTAGCCTCCAACTCCTGGCCTCAAGTGATCCGCCCTCCTCGGCCTCCCAAGGTGCTGAGATTAAAAGCGTGAGCCACCGCGTCCAGCCCTGTTCCTTTCCTTTTAAATCGCTGGTTGTACGGGTATTGCATGAAGCCCACAGGAAGTGGGGAAGATAAGGGGCAAATAACACAGCCTTGGCAATAATCCCAGTATGAATGGAGGAGGCATCTTCTCCCCACCTCTCCCCCAGGACTGCTGCAGTTGGCCACTCCATTCTCTCTCTCCTTTTTTAAACAACAAACTGAGGTAAAATGGATATACACAGAACTGCACATATTTAAAGTGCCTAATTTGATGGGTTTGGACCTATGGAAACACCCGGGATACCCAGCACAACAATCAGGGTAATAAACATACCCATCACCTCCAAAAGGCCCCTGTGTTGCATTGTTTTTTGCAGTAAGAACATTTAACATGAGAACTGTCCTCTTAACGTATTTTGAAGTGTGCAATACATATTGTTCACTACGGGCAGGATGCTGTGCAGAAGATCTCTAGAACATATTCTTCTAGCATAACTGAATTATATCCATTGAATAATAATTCCCCATTTCCTTAAATCCACACCCCTCCCCAGCCCTGGAAACTGCCGTTGGATTCTTTGCTACTCAGAGTTTGACTGTTTTAGACGCTCACATCAGTACGATCAGGAATATTTACCTTTCTGTGCCGGGCTTATTTCACTTAACATAATGTCCTCTGGGTTCATCCATGTTGCCGCAGATGGCAGGATTTTCTTCCTTTTTAAGGTCGAATAATATTCCATTGTATGGATATACCATACTTTCTGTCTTCATTTATCTGTCAAAACTACCATAAGATATCACCTTACACCTGTTAGGATGGCTATTATCAAAAAACAAAACAGAAACAAAGGATGAGTGTTGGTGACGATGTGGGGAAAATGCAGCTCTCATGCAGTGTTAGGAATGTAGAAGAGCGCAGCATTATGGAAAGCAGAATGGAGGCTCCTTAAAATATTAAAAGTAAAATGGCCAAATGATCCAGAATTGCACTTTTGGGTATATGCTCAAAAGAGTTAAAACCAGGATCTCAAAGAAATACTTGCACACCTGTGTTCATTGCAGCATGATTCACAATGGACAGGATATGGAAACAACCCTCCTCTCTCTTTCACTTTCAATCTCTTCATTTTTAGTTTCTTTCTGCTCTTTAACCTCTCTAAAAGCTCCTTCCCTCTTGAGCTACAGCCTGGTCTCTCCATACCCTGCCATCAAGATTCTGAGAATGGCAGGCACTTACTTCCTCTTTCCCCAACTATTCCACAGCAATGAATCTGGGTCCACCTTCACCACTGAACTGAAGCCATTATCAACACCAATGACTTTCTGAATGCCACATCTGATGGCTTCTTCTCAGGTGTCTTCTTCCAACAATTCTTTTAAAAATCTTTTACTGGCTGGGCAGGGCGGTTTGCGCCTATAATCCCAACGTTTCATGAGGCCAAGACAGGAGGATCGTTTAAGGCCAAGAGTTTGAGACCAGCTTGGATTCTTTTGTACAGCAAGTCCCAGTCTCTACAAAAAAAAACAAAAACAAACAAACAAAAAAAACTTGTAATCCCAGCTACTCAGGAAGCTGAGGTGGGAGGATCGCTTGAGACCAGGAGATTGAGGCTACAGTGATCTATGATCACGCCCCTGCACTCCAGCCTGGGTGATAGAACAAGACCTTATCACAAAAAAATTAAAAATTAAATAAAACTAATATTTTACTAGATTCCCACACACTGCCCAACCTAACCATGGTTCTCCTGCCCCACCTCCACCTGCCCATCAATCTCCTGCACTGGCTTCTCTTCCTCTCTCCGTCCTCAGGTAAAATTACCCCAAGAACCTTTTATTACTCACCCTGCACTCTTCCTCAGCAATCTTGTTTATCTTCCCAATTACCCTATGAGATATTAGCCTCATTTTACAGACAAAGACACTGAGGTCAGAAAGGTTGAATAGAGGCTGGGCGTGGTGGCTCATGCCTGTAATCCCAGCACTTTGGGAGGCCCAGGCGGGCAGATCACTGAGGTCAGGTGTTTGAGAACAGCCTGGCCAACATGGTGAAACCCCGTCTCTACTAAAAATACAAAAATTAGCTGGGCGTGGTGGCACCCACCTGTAGTTCCAGCTACTCGGGAGGCTGAGGCACAAGAATTGCTTGAACCCGGGAGGCAGAGGTTGCAGTGAGCCGAGATCACGCTATTGCACTGCAGCCTGGGTGACAGAGTGAGACTCAGTCTCAAAAAAAAAAAAAGAAAGAGAAAGAAAGGAAAAGAAATAGAAAGAAAGAAAGAAAGAAAGAGAAAGAAAGAAAGAAAGAAAGAAGGAAAGAAGGAAAGAAAGAAGGATAGAAAGAAGGAATGAAAGAAAGAGGAAAGAAAGTCTGAGTAGATTGAGCGAGGTCACACAGCTAATAAGTAGCAGAGCCAAGATTCACAGCCGGTCTGACCCTGTCTAAAGCCAATGGCCTCCCCACCATGTTGCCCTGCCCCAGGCACTAGAATCACATGTAGTGTCTAATGTAAAGACACCCACATACCCACTACCCAGCTCCACAATGCCCTGCTTACAGCCATTCACTCTCCTGGTGGACCTCACCTGTTTCTCCCTCGCTCTGGATTATTCTGAAGCAAATACCAGACAGAATGTCATCTGAAATATTTCAGTATGGATCTTTTAAGAATACAGACTAATCTTTCGAAAAAGCTCAATGTCACCATCACACTAAAAACTACAGCCAGTGTTCTCTGACTGTCCTATAAGTGTTTCATTCTTTTTTTAATTAAAATTATTATTTGGAGATAACTGTAGATTTACGTGCAGGTATAAGAAACAATGCAGAGATCCCATGTGCTGTTTGCAGTTTCCCTGGTGGTAATTTTTGCAAAACTGTAGTGTAAGATCCCAACCAGGAAACTGACACTGATACTGTCAAGATACAAAACATTTCCATCACCATAAGGACCCCTCATGCGGCCTTTTATACCCGCACCCAACTCCTTCCCGTCCCACCTACCATCCCCTTCTTAAGTCCTGGCAACCACTCATCTGCTCATTATTTCTATAATGTGTCATTTAAAGAATGTTATATACAAGGAATCAAGCAGTATGTAACCTTCTGAGATTGGTTACATGTTGACTGTTTCTGGTTTTTTACATATATGAATAATATGAATTGTTCCTGTAAAGATTATTCTGTGAATGAAAGTTTTCATTCTCTGTGATAAATGCCCAGACGTCCAATTGCTAGGCCATATGATAGCTGCATTGTTTGCTTTTAACAAACCGCCAAACGGTTCTCCAGAGTAGCTGCCCCATTTTACAATCCCACCAGCAATGGAAGAGCAATCTAGTTTTTCCTCATCCTCACCAGCATTTGGTACTGTCACTATTTTTTATTTTATACATTCTGACTGGTGTGCTTAGCTCGCATTTCCCTAGTTGCATTAGCCGAAGTTGAACATCTTTTCATGTGCTTATTTGCCATCTCTGTATCCTCTTCCTGTCTTTAGTCCTTGTTCTAAATGGATTGTTTGTCTTCCTACTGTTGAGTTTTGATAGTTCTTTATGTATTCTGGGCACTGGTTTGGACAGATAAGTGGTTTGCAAATATTTTTTCACTTCGTGGCTTTAAAACAAATTAAACACATCTCTGTAGCTTTTATTTTCATCTTCTTAACAAGGTCATTGAAGAACAAAAGTTTTTCACTTTAATGAAGCACAATTTATCACTTTTCTCTTTTATGGATTGTGTTTTTGGTGTCAAGTCTCAGAACTCTTTGCCTAGCCCTTGATCCTGAAGACTTTCTCCTATGTTTTTCTAAAAGTTTTATAGTTTTACACCGTATATTTAAGTCTGTGACCCATTTTGAGTTAAATTTTAGATAAGGTCTGAGACTTAAGTTGGGGTTCATTTTTTTGCATGTAGATGTCCAATGGCTCTGGCACCATTTGATAAGAAGGCAATCTCTTCTCCATTTGAGTTTCTTTTGCATCTTTATCAAAAACCGGTTGGGCATGTTTGTATGGGTCTAGTTCTGGGTTCTCTGTTCTGATCCTTTGACCATTGGGTCTATCCTTCTGCGAATATCAAACAGTCTTAATTATTGCAGATACATAATAAATCTTGAAATCTGCAAGAGTAATTCCTCCCACTTGATTCTTTTTTGTCAAATTGTTTTAGCTATTCTAGTTCCTTTGCCTTTCTATTATATGAATGGATCCATTATAAGGATTATTTTAGAATAATCTCATCTCTGTATACAAAAACTTTTGCCGGGATTTTGATAGAAATGGCATTAAACCTGTACATCAGTTTGGGAAGAATTTACATCTTTACTATGTTTGATCATCCTAGGCTCAAACACAGTTTATCTATTTATTTATATCCTCTTTAATTTCTTTCATTGGTATTGTGTGGTTTTCGGCATACAAGTCATGTAAATGTTCTGTTAGATTTAGATTTTAAATATTTCATTTTCTTTGATTGATTGAATATAGTATTATATTTTAATTTCAATGTTCCCATGTTCATTGCTAGTTTATAGAAATACATTTGGGTTTCGTTTGCTTATTTGTTTGAGTCCTCCAATCTTGCTGAATTCATTTATTAGTTCTAGATTTTTGTAGATTTCTTAGGAGTCTATGTAGACAATCATATGTAGACAATCATATCATCTGTAGATATGAAGAATTTTATTTCTTCCTTTCCTGTCCACATGCCTTTTAATTTCTTTTCTTGTCAAATTGCACTGGCTAGACATTCCAGCACTACACTGAATAGGAATGGTAAAGGCAAAAATCCTTTCCTTGTTCCTGATTTTAAGGGGAGCATTAAGGACTCAATCTTTCACCATTAAGTATAATCTTAACTACAGGTTTTTCTGTAGACGCTCTTTAACAAATTCAGGAAGTTCATCTCTATTCTCATTCTTCTGAGAGTTGTTAAAATCATGAATGCCTTTTGAATTTTGGCCAAAAAAAAGTTTTTCCATGAATTGATTAATCATATGATTTTTCTTCTTTAGCCTGTTAATACGGTAGATTATATTGACTATTGTTTTAGCATTAAACCAGCCTTGCATCCCTGGAATGAACCTCACTTTCTCATGGTGTGTAATTCTTTTTATACAGTACCAAACTCCATTTGTTACTATTTTATTAAGAATTTTTGCCTCTATATTAATGGAGGATATTAGTCTGTAGTTTTCTTTTTTTGTATGCTGTACTTGTCTGGTTTTAGGATCAGTATGACACTGGCGTCGCAAAATGTACTGGGAAGTGTTCCCTCTTTTTTTATTTTCTGGAAAAAATGTAGAATTGGTGGTAATCCTTCTTCAAACATTTGGTAGAGTTCTCCAGTGAAACTATCTGAGCCTTGAACAATTCTTTTCTGAGAGATTTTTAATTATAAATTAAACTTCCTTAATAGTTATACAGCTCATATCATCTATGTTATATTGGTTGAGCTATGGTAGTTTGTGGGTTTTGAGGAAATGGTCCATTTTGTCTAAGTTGCAAAGTGTATGTGTAGAGTTGCTCACAAGATTCCCTTATTATTGCTTTGATGTCCACAGGGTCTGTAGCGATATATCCTGTTTCATTCCTGATATTGGTAATTTATGTCTTCTCTCTTTTTTTTCCTTTGTCAGCCTTCCTAGAGGTTTGTAAATTTTAAATTTTGTTGATCTTTTCAAAGAACCAACTCTCTGTTTCATCAATATCCTCTTTTCTTTTTCTGTTTTCAGGATAATTGATTTCTGCTCTTATCTTTATTATTTTCTTCCTTTTTGCTTTTGGTTTATTTTGCTCTTCTTTTTCTAGGTTCTTCGAGTAGGAACTTAGATCTCAGTCTTTTCTTCTTTCCTGCAGTATGCATTCAGTGATATACATTTCCCTATCAGCACTCCTTTAGCTATGCTAACAAATTTTGATATGTTTTATTTTTAAATTTCATTTGGTACAATGTATTTAGAAGTGTGTTTTAGTTTCCAAGTGTTTGGAAATTTTCCTATTATCTTTCTGCTATTTATTTCTAGTTTGATTTTATTATGGCCAGAGAACACACTATTATTTTATTCTTTGAAATGTATTGAGGTTTGTTTTATGGCTTATGTATTAAGCATGTCTTTTTACTCTTCTGTTTTGATATCAGAATAATGTTCGTGGCCTTACTAACCTTGGGGAGACTGTCCCTCCCAGAGCCAGCTAATTCCTAGAGATGGCAAATAACTCCCTGTGAGTGCACCAATCATATGCAAACCAACCATTCCAAACCTAGACCCTAACCACCCCCTTCATCAGTCGCTCACAGAGATTTCACATTCTAGGCCACTGTCTACCTGCCCCAATCAGTCCAGGGCCAGATATCAGACCAATGGGGATAGCCCCTATGCCTCAGAGCCCCCTGAAAGTTTCACACTAGCCAATCCCAAGTCTGCTAAGCCTGTTTACTCTGCCTTGCCTTTCCCAGAGTAACCACATTAATGGCTCTTGCCCACATTTCCCCCTGACACCCTCTGCCTCCTGACTGACTCTGGTACTTTTCCATGTGGCTCTGCAAGGTGTGTTTGCCCCCTATTTCTAGAGCACTCTAAGTAAAAACCTCTTCCTTCATGACAGTCATTTCCATGCCTGCATTTCTTATCACACCTGATTAAAACAGGTGTGATATTTTTAAATAAAATGTGGCCTATCTTGGTACACATTTGTTGGACTAGAAAAGAATGTATATTTCAGTGTTGTTGGGTGAAGTGCTTGGCAAATCCCAACTAGAGCCTTTTGGTTGATGGTGTCATTGAGTTCTTTTATGTCCTTGCTGGTTTTCTGCCTAGTTTTTCTATCAGTTATTGAGAGAGGGTGTTCAAGTATTCATCTATATTTGTGGATATGTCTATTTCTCCTTTCAGTTTCATCAGTTTTTGCATCACTTATTTTTCAGCTTTGTTATTTGGTGCATACACATTCAGGATTGCTATGCCTTCTTAGTGAATTAACACTTTTAGCATTATATGACGTCTGTCTCTGGCTCATAATTTTCTTTGCTCTGAAGTTTACATGGTATACCTTTTTCCATCCTTTTGCTTTTGACCTGCCTATATCCTTAAATTTGAATTGAGTTTCTTATAGACAGCACATAGTTCAGTAATGTGTTTTAGTCCATTTTGTTAATCTGTCTTTTAATGGATGTATTTAGACCAATTATATTTAATGTAATTGTTGATGTTTTAAGGCTTAGATCTGCCATTTATTTTTTGTTTTCTGTTTGTTATGTCTGTTTTTTATTTCCGTTTTCTTTCCCTCGTCCCTTTCTGTAGTTTGCTTAAATGTTTTTTAGAGTTCTATTTTTATGTATCTATTATTTTTGTGTGTATCTTTCTGTAACATTTTTAGTGGTTGCCCTAGGTATTATATTGTATTTACACAACTTATCACAGCCTCCTAATGTTGTCACTTTACCAATTTGAGTGACATAGAGAAACCTTATTTCCCATTATGTCCCTTAACCCTCCTCCATTTATAATTGTCTTAGATATTTCCTCTACATATATTTAGAACCACATCAGTCAGTGTTGTAATTTTTCTTTCAACTGCTAAATATAATTTAGAAAACACAAGAGAAGAAGGAAAATCTATTGTATTTACCCATACTGTTGCTTAACATGTTCTTTCTGATGTTCTAAGATTCCTTCTTTTATCATTTCCTTTCTGAATATAGAACTTCTGTTGGCTATTCTTTTATGATTGGTCTCTTGGTGATAAATTTTTTGCTTTCTTTTATTTGAGAAAGTTTTTATTACCTCCTCACTCATGAAGGATATTTATGCCTGGAATAGAATTTTGAGTTGACCTGAAAAATATTGTGCCACAGCCTCCATGATTTCTTGCGGTGGTGCAATCTCAGCTCACTGCAACCTCCACCTCCTGGGCTCAAGCAATCTTCCCACCTCAGCCTTCTGAGTAGCTTGGATTACAGGTGCACACCACCACCACTGGCTAATTTTTTTTTTCTTTTTTTTTTGTATTTTTAGTAGAGCCCTGATTTCGCCTGTTGGCCAGGCTGATCTCAAACTCCTGGCCTCAAGCAATCTGCCTGCCTCAGCCTCCCAAAGTGCTGGGATTACAGGCATCAGCCACCACACCCAGCCTGGCCTCCATAATTTCTAAGGAGAAATTTGAATGGTTTTTCCCTATAGGCAATGTTTTTCTCTGGCTACTTTTAAGATTGTTCCTTTGTCTTCAGTTTTCCGAAATTTAATTATGATGTGTCTCGGCATGATTTCTTTGGGTTTATTTTGTTTAGGGTTCACTTCTTGAATTTGTGGATATAGATCTCTTACAAAATTTGGAAAGTTTTCAGCCATTATTTTTTCAAGTCCTTTTTTAGTCCTGCCCTCTTTCTCTTCAACTTCTGGGATTCTGATGGCTCAAATGTCAAGGCTTTTGTTGTAATAACTCAGGTACCCAGAATTCTGCTCATTTTTTTTTCAGTCTCTATTCTCTCTGTTGTTTAGATTGAGTAGTTTCTATTGTTTTGGTCCACTAATTCTTTCTATTTTTAGTTTTTGTATTTTTATTTTAGTTATTGTATTTTACGGTTCTAGAATTTCCATTTGGTTCTTCTCTATATCATCTATTTCTTCACTGACATTTTCTATTTCTGTTTCAAACATGTTTGTATTTGTTCATTGAAGCCTTTTTATCATGACTGCCTTAGACCTTTGTCAGATTATTCTAACATCCCTGCCATCTTCGTATTGTTTTGATTATTCAGGTTGAGGTCTTGGTTCTTGGTATGACAAGGGATTTTCAGTTGAAACCTGGACAGTCTGGCCAGGCGTGGTGGCTCACACCTGTAATCCCAGAACTTTGGGAGGCTGAGGCGGGTGGATTGCCTGAAGTCAGGAGTTTGAGACCAGCCTGGCCAACATGGTGAAACCCCATCTCTACTAAAAAAAATACAAAACATCAGTGGGTTGTGGTCATGGGCACCTGTAATCCCAGCGACTCGATAGGCTGAGGCAGGAGAATTGCTTGAACCCAGGAGGCGGAGGTTGCAGTGAGTCGAGATTGTACCACTGTACTCCAGCCTGGGCAACAACAGCAAAACTCTGCCTCAAAAAACAACAACAACAACAAAAACCTGGACACTCTGGGTGTTATGTCATAAGACTGGATCTCCTTTAAAATCTCTGTTTTAACTGGCTTTCTCTGTCACCCCTCCAGAAGGGAATGGGTGCCACCTCATGCTGTCAGGTGGAGGTAGAAGTCCAGCTTTTCCATTTGACCTCCATTGACACCCAAGGTGAGGAGAGGCTCCTTGTGGGGCAGGGTTGGCAGTTCCAGCTCTCAGTGTAATCTCCACCAACACCATGGTGGGGGTGGCCTCATTTCTAGTAGGCACTGATGAAAGTCCTGACTCTCCACTAGACCTTCTTTGACACCACCTGGGGGAGGGGCAGTGGTGCCTCATTACTGCTAGGTGGGATGGGGTCCAGATTCCCAATATGGCCGCCACTAACATCATGTGGCAGGAGGGTCTTGTTACCTGCTGGGACAAAAGTCCAAGCTCCCTACTTTGCTTTTTCTGACACTGTCCCAGTGGGGATGTTGGGGCACCCTATTACAGCCTTGCTAGGGCAGAAGCCTGAGCAACCTGTTTGGCCTTTGCTGGCATGGGTGAGTGGTAGCAGGGACACAGTTTTTTCTGCGATATTTGGCTGAAGTAGACTGGTTATTGTCTAAAAAAAATTTTTTTTTTTTTGAGATTCAGTCTTGCTCTGTCGCCAGGCTGGAGTGCAATGGCACGATCTTGGCTCACTGCAACCTCTGCCTCCTGGGTTCCAGCAATTCTCCTGTCTCAGCCTCCTGAAAAGCTGGGACTACAGGCGTGTGCCACCACGCCTGGCTAATTTTTTGTATTTTAGTAGAGACGGGGTTTCACCGTGTTGGCCAGGATGGTCTTGATCTCCTGACCTAGTGATCCGCCCGCCTCGGCCTCCCAAAGTGCTGGGATTACAGGCGTGAGCCAGCGCGCCCGGCCTAAAATTTTTATGTCTTGCTAGGCTTCCCCTTTACTGACCCTTAGACTGGAGACAGAAGGCTTTTCCTGGCTTGTCTTTGAGTTTGTTTTGTTTTTGTTGACACCCATCTGTGTTTTGGGCCACTGTCTTCCCAACCCCTCCAACCACAGTCCAGCCTTAGTTTTCCAGTTAATCTCTCAGTCTGTGAGAGAGTGATGGGGAGTCTCCATGCTCTCCATTTTCAACCTTCCCGAGGGCACTTGCTGTTTCTCAAGGGTCATTTTCTTATCCCCACCTCTGGGCATTACACAAGCTCTCTTCTACCCGGAATGGCCTGCCTGCCTGTCCCTTCCTCCACCCTGTCCTTCTAGACCAGCTCAAAGTCTTCTTCTTGAGGATTCTCCTGCCTCCCTCCAGGCAGCATCATCTCTCCCGACCCTCCTCCCCAGGGTGCTCTGAGAGTGTTTCTGCTTTGCTAAGTTCTCTCTGCTTCTCTACTAGGGCAGGGGCTCCTGAACAGAGAAGAGCTGATCTCATTCCCTTTGCTCCTGCCTCAACATGATTCTTCACATACTGAGTACCAATAAGTGGATGTTGAACTAATCAGCATCTGAAATACCAATCCTTTTTCTCCTGACTTTGTGGCATGGCTGTTGGGAGGGGAAGAAGGCTCATTGGCTTCCTTACTGTGAGGGACCTGCCAGTAGTTTTCTGAAGCCCTGTGAATAACCTCCCTATGCGCCAGAACTGCTGTTGCCATGGTTTCTCCCACCCATGAGGAGTACTTAGGTGAATGCTGATGGAAGAACAGAGCAGGCTGGCCAAGGCCTTTTCAGGCCATTTTAATAGGGAAAAAGTTGGTGAAGTAACAGAAGGCCTTGAAACCATTCAGATGGCAGAGTGCAGTGGGAAAATCTCACCAAGATGAGGAATTAAATTAACTGTGAAACTACAGCCAAGAATCTCTTTAAAGATAATATTACAGACAGCAGAGACTCTATCATTAATCAGCCTCAGAAATGTGAAGGTGCTTGTCAACCTAAATTATTTCTAGGTATAATTGATTTCTAGCTTTTTCCTAACCAAACTTTTAAGTTTATAGATTCAGGATTAATGTGGTATTTTAAATTGTGGTTAGCAGTAAGCTGTAAATAATTATTTCTTTGTATACCATTTACTTTTATTCATCTCTTATTAACTTAGACATTAGTTCTCTATTTGAAATATATTAATACAACATGAAACAGTCTCTTCCCAATGGTAGCCAGTATCTATTCAACTCTTCAATGTTCACTGAAGAGAAGGCATAAATCCAGAGGGGAATTGACTGTTTCTGGCTGAACTTCAGCTCAAAGAGAGACCTGTGAGTGGTCTTCTAGATTCTGCTCATGAAGGGGTATGCCTGGCACTTGTCAAAAATTACTATTTAAGTTCAGAATTAATATCAGAGAGAGACTCTTGGCTGAAAGTGTGACACAGGCTCTAACCTCCTTAAAAGAGGTGTGGGATTTGAAATTTAACACTGTGTGTTTCCTCCCCATACACCACATTTCTACGTGCTGAAGACAGACACCCTTCAGTTGGAGCTAATGTCAATGGGCTCAAGATCTTAAGTTTCCCCAGAAGTATGTTCGTCAAAATAGGGCTGTCCTAATCAGTTCAGGCCGCTATAAGAGAATACCATAGACTGGGTGGCTTATAAACCACAGAAATTTATTTTTCACCATTCTGGAGGCTGAAAGTCCAAAATCAGACATCACCAGATTTGATGTCTGGTGAGGACTGCCTCCTAGTTCACAGACACGGCCTTCTCACCGTGCCCTCCTGTGGCTGAAGGGGCAAGGGGGCTCTCTGGGATCTCTTTCATAAGGGCACTAATTCTATTCCCCTTCACCTCCGCAAGACCCCACCTCCTAATTGGGGGTTAGGATTTCAACACAGGAATTTCAGGGAGGATACAAACATTCAATCCATAACAAGTGCTAAGTCCAGCTATAAGATCATAAGAACCAAATAAGTACAGACTATAGCCCATGGCTTCCCAAATTTACTGGATCAGAACTTCTGGTCCCACAACCCAGAAATCTGTATTTTTATTTTTTATTTTTTATTTTTTTTAGACGGAGTCTCGCTCTGTCACCCAGGCTGGAGTGCAGTGGGACAATCTTGGCTCACTGCAAGCTCTGCCTCCCGGGTTCACACCATTCTCCTGCCTCAGCCTCCCAAGCAGCTGGGACTACAGGCGCCCGCCACCACACCCGGCTAATTTTTTGTATTTTTAGCAGAGACGGGATTTCACCGCATTAGCCAGGATGGTCTCGATCTCCTGACCTCGTTATCCACCCGCCTCGGCCTCCCAAAGTGCTGGGATTACAGGCGTGAGCCACCACGCCTGGCCAGAAATCTGTATTTTTAATAAACTTAGGAGTTGATTTATTTTTTATTTTTATTTATTTTATTTTTATTTTTATTTATTTATTTTATTTTATTTTATTTTTTGAGACAGAGTTTCACTCTTGCTCCCCAGGCTGGAGTGCAATGGCACAACCTTGGCTCATCACAACTTCCACCTCCTGGGTTCAAGCGATTCTCCTGCCTCAGCCTCCAGAGTACCTGGGATTACAGGCGCCCAACACCACGCCCGGCTAATTTTTTATATTTTTAGTAGAGACGGGGTTTCACCATCTTGGCCAGGCTGGTCTCGAACTCCTGACCTCTGGTGATCCACCTGCCTTGGATTCCCAAAGTGCTGGGATTACAGACGTGAGCCACCACGCCCAGCCAGGGGTTGATTTTTAATCAACCAGGCTTAGTCCAGGTTGCAAGGAGCAGCAAAATGGTCCCATTTCAGTGTGCCTAAGAATTACCCGGTGGGGTTGCTTAAAATGTCCATCCCAGCACCCACCTTCAGAAGGTCGAATTCAGTCAGCCCGGGATGGGCTCCAGAATCTGCATTTTGATAAGTCCCTCAGGTCATCCTCATCTCATGCTGGTCTTCAGAAACGCTCCCAGACACATGCCATTTCGAGCGGCCCGTAGAAATAGCTGTGCCTCTCTGAAACAGTTCCACTCTGGACCTGCGGCTGTGAAATGTGGGCTGCATTCAGTCATTGGTGTGTAATCACTATAGACAGACCCTTTTCAGCCCTATGGACTGAAAACATGAGTTTGTTTTTCAGCAACCTGTTCCACGCGGGGATGGGGTTGGAGGGGTCAGGCAGTCCCCGCCCTGGGAGGGCCACCGTGTCACCAGCTGCTGCCCTCCCTGCCTGCCCTGCGCATCTCCCCAGCGAGGACTTCTCCAGCCTCCATCTCTAGGCATTGGATGGGCCCTTAGATATCCAGCCGTAAGAGATCGAAAGAACGATAAGTCGTTCTTTCTTTTTTTTTTGGAACAAAGATTTTCTAGGAAATTTAATCTTTTTTTTTCTTTTTTCTTTTTTTTATTATTATTATACTTTAAGTTTTAGGGTACATGTGCACAATGTGCAGGTTTGTTACATATGTATACATGTGCCATGCTGGTGTGCTGCACCCATTAACTCGTCATTTAGCATTAGGTATATCTCCTAATGCTATTCCTCCCCCCTCCCCGCACCCCACAACAGTCCTCAGAGTGTGATGTTCCCCTTCCTATGTCCATGTGTTCTCATTGTTCAATTCCCATCTATGAGTGAGAACATGCGGTGTTTGGCTTTTTTGTCCTTGTGATAGTTTACTGAGAATGATGATTTCCAATTTCATCCATGTCCCTACAAAGGACATGAACTCATCATTTTTTATGGCTGCATAAGTCGTTCTTTCAAACACCCTGCAGTCAGCTTCTCCTCACGAGAAACCACATGAAAGCCCTCGGGGAAATGCCTCTCGGGATCTACTTTTCTTTGTGTGTATCCTACTTAGCCTATCGGTTTCTGCTTCCTGTGGGGCTACAGCCGTCTCGTCTTTTTCTGCTGGCTCCTTTGCTCTGTTCTCCAGTGGCTATCTTCTTTCTCCTTTCTTTCAAATGTTCTCCCTTATCTTCTCTGATACAGACAGAAGGTCAGGAGCCACGCCCATTACACTGACAGAACCCGATGTCCTGATGCGCTCTGTGCCTCCCAGATTTGGATGTGGATGCGAGGCGAGCTGGCCAGAGAGCAATCATTTCAGCGAGGGTCGTTATTCCCATCTTCTCTCTTAGGACGGAGGTAGGGGGACTTCTGGCCCCAAATGTTCCTTCTTCCAGCTGTGGCTGCCTCCATCCCGCAGAGTGAGCCTTTAATTTGGAGATCCTAATGCCCCAGTGCTGTGCCAGGCACAGTACACGTTCTGCATGGAGGACGGTTTACGCTCCCCTTACAGAAGAGGAAGGACACTCAGAAGGCTGAACTGTTCTGCCTAAGGTCACCGAGTTGCTAAGGCAAGAAGCAGCCTCCAATTCCTGCCTTACTGATTTCTGGGATGTGAAACCAAAAGGGTGAGGCGGCAAGCCCCGGCTGCCCTCGGGGGCTCTTCCCAAGTGCTCTCTTAGGTTCTCCCTCAATCACACAGACTCAGGAGAGCGCACAGGGCAAGGTGGGAAGACACCTGTGAACTGCATATGACAGGGAGGACCCCAAAGGCCTCCTGCCTGGTGTAGTGCGTCTGCCCCACCTAGCTGCCATCTGTCTCCTCATCTAGCACCAGAAATTCATTCCCACAGGCCTTACCAAAATCGTAAACAGAGATCCTTTTTGATGCAGTAATCCCACTTTTAGGAATTTACCCTGCAGAAATATTCAAGTGCAAAAAAAAATAAGGATGATTTTGCAAAATTATGTATAATAGTATAAAAATGGAAATGACATATATATCCCTTATTAAAGAATAACCCAGAAGCATTAGTTAGTATCTGGAAAACATTTACTCATTTATGTAAAGAATAGCTGTTAAACTGTTGTAAATGGGGGAGGGGAGCAAAGACAGAATTTATGAAAGAAAGGGAAGGGAAGGCAGAGGGGAAAACATGAACATCATGAGAACAGTGAGTTTTGGTTTTTTGTATTGTTCAAAAACTTTGAGAGTTTCACTGTGGGGTGCACTAGTCAGGCTGTCTCCAGGCAACATCGCTAATGTCCTTCCATTCATGCCCCTCAGTGAAGCCTTGTCTACCATGTTTCCATCATCAGAATTTTCTCACAGTTAGTAAGGAAAAGGTTAAATAAATTATAGTGGAGCTATGGAACAGAACAAGGTAGATCTCTGCACACTGACAGAACTGAAAAACATGGGCTGTGGCCACAAACCTCCGTGTGTGTGTGTGTGTGTGTGTGTACAGAAGAAGAATGAACAATCATACACCAAACTGTTCATGGGGAGGGAACAGGGATGACTTTTACTTTTTATTCTTTTAGTTTTTATTCTACCTAATTCTGTAGTTTCTTTTCTTCTTCTTCTTCTTGTTTTTTGAGACAGAGTCTCTCTCTGTTGCCCAGGCTGCATCGCCATATCTGCTCACTGCAACCTCCGCCTCCTAGGTTCAAACGATTCTCATGCCTCAGCCTCCTGAGTAGCTGGGAATACAGGCGTGTGCCACCAAGCCCAGCTAGTTTTTTGCATTTTTAGTAGAAACATGGGGTTTTGCCATGTTGGCCAGGCTGGGCCCGAACTCCTTACCTCAGGTGATCTGCCTGACTCGGCCTCCCAAAGTACTGGGATTACAGGTGTGAGCCATCATGCCCGGCCCTAATTCTGTAGTTTCTTAATTTTTGCTGATTATATATTACTTATTTCAAAAATTATAAATGAGAATTAATTTACCCTTAAAAGAAATTTTCTTTGTATTGAAGTATTTCATCAGTAAATAGGTTTTCTCAGCTGCAGGTATAGCCATTCTACTTGTGGAATTATCAAATTGCTTCCATACTAGTTGGAAATAATATGATAGAGACTACAACAAGAAAGAAGTAAACTGAATTAATAATGTATGGTGAATGCTATCATAAACTCACAGATCCAGCTAATTGTCCTAAGATATCATACAGCCCATTGACAAATGGGCCTCGAGGGAGAGCCCGAGACACCTGAGACGCCCCCACAGGTGTCCCTGCCAGCTCAGCCCCCATCTCACAGGACAGCGTGGCTGCTACATGCAATGTCGGGCAGCCCCGCACACTGTAGAGAATCACCAGGCTAATGTTATCCTCAAATTATGTCATTGTTACTTTTGACTAATGATTAATAAGTTGTCATTCTTCTGTGAGTAGTAAGGGAGCAGTATTTTATAGTTATAAATTCAGAAACCTAGAATAAAATATTAAAAATAAAACCTCAGAAATAGGAAACAGACTTTGGATAATTTTTAATATTCCTTTTGAATATCAAAAACAGCAATCTTCAGAATCTGTAGGAGAAAAAAAAAGTGAATTATAGCCTAGAGTATCTCTTGATAGTCTAAACAAAAGCAGAATAGCCTAGAACATTTTTGACATTGTGTAAGAATCAGTAATAGTTTGTATTTCAGAAATAAAATGCAGTTTTATTGTTTCAACAAAAGTAGCGGCTTATTGTTGCTAGTAACATAACCACTGGATAAAAATGATGCTCAAAAGTCCTATTATTAAAAGCTGAACATACATACATTTTATCAAAATAGTAATTACTTCTATTAAAGCTCACAACTCAATAAATGAAAACTTATACCCATGAATGAATAAAAACTTAAAAGTCTATCCTAAATAAGTTTCACATAATAGGTCATCTGAAATAATAAAAATATCATTTATAAGGGAAATTTAAAAACATTTAGTAAGTAAAATAAGAAATTTTAACATTATCTACTATATAATTTTAAGTAATCGAGCAGGTTGTTTCTGGTTGAAATAATGGTGAGTTAGTTTATCCAAAACAAATGCTACTGCTGAGAAAAAGAGAAGTGGAGCAATGTAGACAAAACATCTGTTTGAAAGCATCAGAGGGCTGCCAAAGTAGCAAGGGCTTGAAGATCCCAGAAAGAAAGAAAAAGCAAAGGGATAAGACAGTTGCCGATTTGCAAAACAAGGAATAAACAAGCAAACAAAAACCCTAAATAGATACCCCAGGCTTTCAGTTCAGACATTGAAAGGGATAGCTGGGAGAAGGACTCACCTGGAAATTGGCTGACGCTCACCAAGACTAAAGCCAAGCTTTGAATTCGCTTAATCTTTGGCTGGATTAATAGTACTTTCCCTACCCCAACTGCCTTCCAGAAGCAAAAATAAATCCTGCTGGGAAGAAGTTAGCATCAGCCTGGGCCTCTATGTGCTGCATTCAGACTCATTCTCCTGTTGGCCACCATAGAGCCACTCTCTACTCAACAGTGCCAACCTTGAGTTCTATCTTTATTTCTGGCACTTCGAGACCTGCCTTTCTTTATTTCTTTCACTTAGTTATTTGTCAAGGTTTTTATGTGATATTTTATTGAGAATTATTATATTTAATGTGGGAAGAGAAACTTCTTGGACAGGTCCTACTGACATGTTGCAGGAAGTCGAAGTCACCTAAATGAATCTTCTAACTCGGTTTCCAAATCTCTTTAAATTAAAGACATACATATAGTCTTCAACAGTTTTTCCTGGCCAGGTGCGGTGGCTCACGCCGTTTGGGAGGCCGAGGCGGGAAGATCACCTGTGGTCAGGAGTTTGAGACCAGCCTGGCCAACATGGTGAAACCCCATGTCTACTAAAAATACAAAAAAATTAGCTGGGCATGGTGGCACACACCTGTAATTCCAGCTACTCAGGAGGCTGAGGCACAAGAATTGCTTGAACCCGGGAGGCAGAGGTTGCAGTGAGCCGAGATAGCACCACTGCACTCCAGCCTGGGCGACAGAGTGAGACTCTGTCTCAGAAAAAAAAAAAAAAAGTTTTTCGTGAGTATTGAAAAGATGGTTATGAAGTACATCTTTTTCTCTCTTCTTTCCTGCTTCTCTATTACTATTTCTTAATATTCCTATAGGTGAAATAAAACTCAAAACTACAGCTTTTCTACTTGTTAGAAGGTTTCATAAAACATCTTCTGGAGGAAGAGATTGGTACTGATCTCGAATGCAGGGCTCAAGAAACTTCACCCACATACTTCTTTCCAAGGACCTCACACACCCACCCTGTTATGCCACCTTAATTTAAATTTTTGCTCCAGTAATTAACAAGAAAAAAAACAAAATATATGAAGGAATAATAAGAAGACACACATTTTCTGAAAATAAAAGCTCTAGTAATTGGTCAGTGAGAAAAATCAAAGAAATAAGAAGAAGACACACATTTTCTGAAAATAAAAGCTCCAGTAATTGGTCAATGAGAAGAATCCTCTATCACTCATTTCACATCAACGTGTTTAATAACTATCAGTGAAAAATTTTAAACTGGTTTAAATTTTTTAAACTAGTATAAATCTGTTGGCAAAGGTGTAGAAAAACAGGTCTTCTCATTGCTGATGGAATGAAAATTGGTTCAATCCCCATGGAAGGCAATTTGGCTATATCCATCAAAATAACAAATGCATGTACATTTTGACCCATCACATCTAGTTTGAGGACATTATCCTCCAGAAGTACTTGCATAAATATATAATGACATATGTACATGACAAATAATTAGAGTACAATTTGTATTATTTATTACTTAAATGTTAGTAGAATTCACCAGTGAAGCTATCTGGGCCTGGAGTTTTATTTGTGGGAAAGGTTTTTGTTACAAATTCAATTTTCTTAATAGATACATTTTTTCATTTCTGTTTGTGCCCATTTTGATAAGTTGTATTTTTCAAGGAATTTAAATTTGTTCACTTCAATCAAGTTATTGAATTTATTGGAAGAAAATTGTTCCTACATTTTATTATTAACTTTTTTAGTGTCTGTAGGATCTGTTGTGATTTCCCCTCTTTCATTCCTGATGACATAGTTTATGTTTTTTCTCTTTTTTCCTTAATTACTGTTGCTTGGAATGTTATGGACAGAATTGTGTCCCTCCAACAATCATACATCAAAGCACTACTGTGCAGTGTGATGGTGTTTGGAGACTGAGCCTTTGGGAGATAGCTAGGTTGAGATGAGGTTATGAGGGTGTGGCCCTCATGATGGGATGAGCGCCCTTATAAAAAGAGACACCAGAGAGCTTGCACCTCTCTCTCTCTCTGCCATGTGAGCACACAGCAAGAAGGCTACCATCTGCAAGCCAGGAAGAAAGCCCTCACCAGAACCCAAGCATACTGGCATCCTGATCTTGGACTTCCAGCCTCCAGAACCATGACAAAATAAGTTTCTGTTGTTTAAGCTACCCAGTCTATGGTATTTTGTTATGGCAGCCCAAGCTAAGACAAAGAGTTTATCAATTTTATTAATATTTTCAAAGTATTAAACTTTGGCTTTGTTTGATTTTCTCTATTAGTTGCCTTCTACTTAATTGATTTTTTTATATTTGTTATTTCCTTTCTGTACATACAATGAGTTTCATTTGTTCTTTTTTCACACTTCTTAAGGTGGAAATGTAATAGTCAATTCTAAATTTTTCTTCTTTTTCTAATATTTATTTTTAATATTTAAGGCAAAAATTTCTCTGTTAGCACTGCTTCAGGTACATACCCCAAATTTTAATATTTATGTTTTCATTTTCATTGATTTTAAACATTTCAAATGTCTCAAAATTCCTTCTTTTACTCATGGGTTATTTGTTATTTAATTTCCAAATGTTTGGTATTTTCTAGATATTCATATATCTAGTTTAATTCTGCAACAGTCAGAGAATATATTCTGTGAGATTTCTATTCCTTGGAATTTATTGAGACATTTCATAGTTCAGCATGTCTTTTCTCAACAAACATTTCACATGCACTTGAAAACGATGTGTATTATGCAGTTGCTAAACCTGGTGTTCTATAAATGTAAGTGAGGCCAAATTAGCTGATAGTATTCCTTAGATCTTCTATATCCTTACTGATTTTTATTATATACATGTTCTGTCAATTACTCAGTTATTATAACTATGAATATGGATTTGTCATTTTTCCCTTTGGTGTTCTTAATATTGCTTTGTGTATTTTGGATCTCTGTTACTTAGGGAATACACATTTAAGAGTGATGTCTTCTTCTTTTTTTTTTTTTTTTGAAATGGAGTCTCGCCCAGTTGCCCAGACTGGAGTGCATGGTGCGAACTCAGCTCACTGCAACCTCCGCCCACTGGGTTCAAATGAATCTCCCCGTCTAGCTGGGATTGCTGACGCCCACCACCACGCCCAGCTAATTTTTTGTATTTTTAGTATAGATGGGGTTTTGCCATGTTAGCCAGGCTGGTCTTGAACTCCTGACCTCAGGCAATCCGCCTGCCTGGGCCTCCCAAAGTGCAGGGATTACTGGTGTGAGCCACTGCACCTGGCCAAGATTGATGTCTTCTTGATGAAAAGACCCTTTTACCATTTGAGATGTCTTTTTAACTCTGTTAGTTTCCTTGTTTTGAAGTATATTTTGTACAGTAAAGCCACCCCAGCTTCCCTATAATTTAAGTTTGCATTGTGTATGTACATTTTCCCATACTTTTATTTTCAATATGTAGTGTATCTACTTCTATTGACTGTTTTTTTTTTTCCTCCTGATTATGGATCTCATTTTCCTATTTCCTCACGTCTTGTGATTTTTTTACTGAAGGTTAGACATTGCATATAAAAGACTCTCCAGGAGTGTTTTGTTTTTGTTTTTTCTAGTGAGTGCAAGTCCTTTTCTCTCTGCCAGCTGGCTGGAATGAGAATCTGATCAGATTTCATCAAGAGTCAGGTTGAGCTGAGACTGAGCTGTAGTGTTCACTAAATTGAGTGCACCACTGATATCTAATGGAAACAAGGACGTTTTACTTTGCTCCTCAGCCTAACCTGAATTTCCTATGCCGCCACTGTATAATGGCTAGTTTCTTTGGTTTTACTACTGTTCAAACTGGAAGCAGGTTGAGACATAGATTTCATATCATTTGGCTTACCTTGCATCTAACATGGCTCCAAAATTCAAGCACTATGAAATTGTTTGTTTTCCAGCCTTGCCTCCACTGCCACTTTTGCAGTAAAATCAGGGACAGGGGGTGACTGTTGAGCCAAACTATTTTTGCATTTGGTGGACTTCTAAATTCTAAACCATCTCCAAATCTTTTGGCAGATTTTTCTTAAAGGTACAAAGTCTCTTCATTGATAGAGGCCTGCTTCTCCACCTTCCCACACAGAAATCAGGTACTTTCCCTCAAGTAAGAAAGAAGCTGTGGGCTCTCTGCTCACCATCACGCTCAGTAATTCAGCTCATCAAAGCTTACCCTCTCCACTGTTCTTTGGTAATTGCCACAAAAAAAGTATGATTTTCATTTTATCAGGGTTTTTTGTTATTGTTATCATACGAATAATGGTATTTTGCATTCTATATTTTAATTGGAAGCAGAAGCCATATTATTGTTAGTAACAGCGAAATATTAGAAATAATCCAAACACCCATCAAAAAAGGGTTTTTAATTAAATGATTACATAATCATATAAAGGAATACTATGAAACTGTGTGAAAGAATGAAGAAACTCTTTGTTCACTTATATAAAAAGATCCCATGATATGTTAAGAAAAGCAAAGTGTGGAATAGTAGGTAAAATATTCTATCTTATGTGCAAAAGGGGAAATAAAAGTCATCAATATTCATGTAGATTCAATTCACATATAGATTCATATCACATTCCTATATATATAGAAATTCTGGAAAGACACAAAATAAATTAATAAAAGTTGTTACTTCATTGTAGTTTTTAAAGTTTTTTGAGTCTTAAGACTTACTTTCCACTTCTGTAGAAAGGAATTACAAATCCTTTCTTTATAGAGCTATGTGATGAAATAAACATAAAGCATTTGGCACACTTCAGGATAGCAACTTGTGGATTAATGATTAACACAGTCACCTTTGCACCAGATTACACCCAGAGATTCCTTCATTTATATTTATGTGGTTTTGTGTGTCAGTTATGCAGTCTAACTCAGTCATTCAACTATGTTACAGCTGCAACACTCTATTTTTTTCTTTGGTACAGGAGTCGCCCTCTTATCCACTGTTTCATTTTTGTGGTTCCAGTTACCTGTAGTCAACCACAGTTGGAAAATATGATAGCATTTTGAGAGAGAGACTGCATCCAAAAACTTATATTACAATATATTGTTATACATTGTTATAAGTGTTGTTTTATTATTCTTTATTGTTAATCTCTTACCATTAAGCCTTATGGTAGGTTTGTATGTATAGGAAAAAACAGATTATATAGAGGGTTCAGTACCATCTGAGGTTTCAGGCATCACTGGGGGCTTGGAATGTACCCCTCATGGATAATGGGGAACTACCATAAATTGTAAGCAGAGGCTGTGTCTTTCTAAAGCCCAGCCACCTAATTACCTACATGCAATATCACGTAGCCTGTAAGAATAAGTGAATGTTTCCCATCAGATGGTGACTGAGATGACCAATACCATCTTCACCCATGAAAGCTATGTGTACTAGAGCCCCATATCACTAATAGCAATAGTCTAATACGCTAAATTCCCCGCCATCATTGATTCATTTCAAAGCCAATAAAGAGACAATATAAACCATTATGTTTACTGCCTCCTCTTTTCCAAAGCATAATTGTTCAATGCATACGTTTGGCATTAAAAGTCTCTATCTGGCTCTTTAAATATGTAACCCATTAAAATGACTGATCCCTGATTTCTGAGCATACTACATATCAAAGTATTATTCCTATCCTTTTTTAGACAAATAATTGTATTAAACTAGTAAAAGACCTAACTAAATGTTGCTATTGCTTCTCAGATCACAAAGAGGAGCCCTGGGACGTCCTTTTCCAAGCTGAAATGATGGTCCTAAGCAGCCCATCCACAAATAAATCTCACCAACCTGGGGTTTCTGGGATCAACGGACTGTGAACTTAAGGCACAGCAGAGCTGGGGCTGCTCTTAAGGCCCTGCTGTCTCTCCTCTTAGTAACAACACCATTTCACATGAAGTGACAGTGGTATCTTTTGTTGCCCTGGAAATGGAATACAACAATGGCTTTCCAACTTTTCTGTGGCAGAGACCTACAGACAGAAGTACATTTTACACTGGATCCAGGACACACATCAGTCTGAAAACACACACATGAACCAAACGTTTCCTAAAGCATTACTTATCCTTGCTAATAGCAACACATTCTCATATTCTTTTATACTTCATTTAATTTCATATAAAAAAGAAAAGGAAAGGAAAGAAATCTATTTCTCAGCCCATTAATAAGGTCAGGAGCAGCAACACCAGACTAGAAGAAAAGCTTACCTATAGATTTTTCTGCCACCTCTTGAGTGCGTCCAGCTTTCCGACAAGTCTCAGTGCCATCTACTGTGCGCTCTGGGTATTGCAATTGCTTTTTTTTTTTTTTTTTTTTTTTTTTTAGAATGAGACTAAGTCAGAGAACACAAAGAACTTCTTTCCCCACAGTGGAGATGGCTCTGAAAGCGTTTAAGGAATAGCTTAGATGAGTGGCTAACACATTCTCCCGGTTCTGAATTCTAAGACCACAGACTCCATGTCCAGTCCCCAAAGAGAGGCTTTGCAAGCTACAGAATACCCCTCTGACTGGGACCTCAGGAGCTAAACTGACCACGTAATTGGTTCTAGAAAGTGAAACGTTTTAATTTGAAACATCCAAATGAGCATTTTGTGAAAAGCTACTGCCGTCCATCAAATACAACACAGCCAGGGAGTCATCGCTCTATTGCCCTTGTCAATCCTACATCTATAGTTTTTTTTGCTACAGCAGTTCATGAGTGTTGACTCTATTCTAACTTGTTCCAGAAGCCCTTCAAGATGATAGATAGCACAATATTTTTGTAGCCAGAGCTAGAATGTAGAGCTCTTTTTGGCTTCCTTGTGAATGATCCAGAATTTCCATGTTGGCAAGCCACCATAATTTACAGAATTTACTTTTTATATTCAATAGAAGTAAAAAAAATTTACCTATTTAAGGAGTTATAGCTCTGGATTCATTTCTGACCAAAATGTGCTTTTTGACACAAATACAATTGGAAATGTCTTTGTAATTTATCCACAGTCTGCCTAGATAATCATAAAAGAACTGCATGGATATATTTGTGAGTAAGAGCACGTGTCCATTCAGCAAAACCAAGGAGATCAACTAATTCTACCATTGCCTTGAAACGGAGACACATCTAGCAGTTTGAATTTCCCCCAAAAGATTGTATGTGTGAAAATAAGAATAGAATGAGGAAAATTTAAAAGCCTATATAATAATTTCAGTCACAACTTGGCAATTAGAATTTTATGAGATGTCTTTAATTTGGAAGCAAAGAACAATTAAATTATTGAAGGCTGGAATTTTTTTTTAACTCTTTGAATGGAACAACAGATTTTCCCCAAAAGATTTGACTTTAACAATTTTCAGAAAACATAAGTCAGGGTGTGGTTCAATTACACAGAGAGAAATTGTAGTGAAATAGTGTTCCCTGTAATAATTACCCACAAAGGAGCACAGTGGAGCCACTCCTGCATTAAAATTACAGTATCATATGTAAGTTATTATTAATTAACCAGAGATGCCAGGAGCTTGTCAGTTTCCAACTGCTATTTTGAGGAGAGCTAAAGTTTCTCTTTTTTTGCCAGTTATTATTATTATTAATATTTCAACAGCAAGGCAAGAAAAGGGAATGTGGTCCATTAACTAATGGCTCTTGAAAAGACACTCAATGAATCCAACTTGCCCTAAAACTGCCAAGTGGTAGGACAGTCTCTTCGCGTCTTGCATCATTTTCTGCCATCACCTACGTGTGATTCGTGAGTCGGAAATTCAACCAAGACATGTTTAATGTATATTTAGAGCATTCTTCCCGGCGGGAATTCACGGTGCCATTCCATCAGGCAGTTGGCAAGCAGTCACTTGAAATATTAAGAAATATGATTTGTGTCACACTGATTTATTGCAAAACAGCAACTTCTTTCTTTTTGGTTCATTTATAAAACAACTGTCAAATTAAAATGCCAAATAGCTTTAAACATTAGCATTTTCACCTTATAACCTTACAAGTGCATCACTTTAAACATCTGAGTAAAAGTTCAGCTCGATGACAATCACCTGGGATTTACCTGCATGGTACTAAGCATATATGTAAAAATATTACTGATGGGTATCTCTGGCACTCTGAAGTGACAAAGTGTAGCCTTCACAGATCTTTGTCAGTTAATCATCAATAGTTACCTGAAAAGTGCCCACTTGCCATCATTCAAGATCAACCAGGCAGACACCACAGTGAGTTTTCCATCAAAAAACCTTCTCTATCTGGTCAGTCTCTGCACGTCAATGAGACAAAGGTGTATGCTGCACGCAGCAGTACTATCCTAAGCTCCCTGTGTCCTCACCATGGGGCTGGGTGGCTGGGGTGGAGGAACACAGGATTGGGCTTCAGCTTCTCTAGGGACTGGTACATTAAGAGATGAAGACATAAAAGGTGAGAAAAACATGGTTTATTTCCAATGTTTCCATTTCTGTTAAAAGTAATGCTTTCAACAGAAAAAAAATGCAGCAATATAAGTGTGTAATTTACAAAATAATTTCAGGATTTCTTTAATCATTAATTTGTGGTGTCATCTGTTAACTGGATTTACGTCTAAGCTCATTTGTAAATAACTTCAAATATCCAAGCCTTCCCTCACCCTTTTCCCACCTCACCTCTCCTCCTTCTCCTCCCCTACACTGGAGGACACTATGTACATGCATATAATGTCCTGCCCTAGAGGAGTCCTGAGCCTACTTGGGAAGAAAACACCAACTCACAGGAAAACAGCAGAAATCACACAAAACAGAATAAAAGCAAGCGCTGATCTGTAAGTGAAGACTTAAGTGCTATAGGACTTCCAGCTACAAATCCTGAAAACACGGAGTGGCTGTGATAATACGACTAGCCAACATCACACAGTAATTTTGCACATAAGGAGAACTAAATCAAAGAAAACAAGGAAAAGAAAGTTGAGCCTATAATCGTGATACAGGCACTAAAATCTCAGGTGACATTTTTCAATGGGGGAAAGTCAGTCAACTTCCGATCTCCAAACCATCTTTACTAGCGAGCTTCCCACAATGGTTCTAGAACCTTCCTTCATTCCAACCCAACCAGGATTCCAACAGACTCATAAACACCACAGCCTTTGAGAAATTAAAGGGAGAACCCACCAACCGGCGCCCCACTCCCCACCCCAAGTCACCTCTGGCTCAACCAAGATGCGCTCAGGCCAAGAAAGCTGCCCCACCCCACAGGCTTTGCCTGTCATTTTTAACAAGCCGACTCAGCACATCTCTCAGATGGGCCATGCAAGGCTTTTCGCAGCTCCTGGGGCTTTGCCTCTTCATGAGCAGACACTCCCTCTTAGACTAAGACCTGGAGCTGGAAAGTAGGTGGTAACCGCGGTACAAAACTCACGCTCGTCCCTGCAGAAACTGCCTAGGTCGGCCCATGGCCACGGGGCGCCAATTTTTCAAGGAAAAGTCAATGCTAATAATGGTGGCAATCACGGGAAATCCATTCTGAGGCCAGATCTGACTTGTCAGGATTAATCATCATTTCCACTTAACTTCGAACTGACCTGGGTAAAAACGTGAGCGCGAGGGGACCAGGCTGCACCTCTGACCTGGCTCCCCTCTGCAAAAATCGCGAAGTGGGTGCCCGAGGTGGGGCGGGGGTTGGGGGAGACCTCCCCGGGAGTCCCCACCCAGCCTGCTCTGCACATCTTAGTCCCTCATCCGCTTGCGCTGTGCAAATCTGTCTTCTGTCATTTGTATCGCAAGACATCAAAATCCCCAACCAAATGCAAATACTGAGACCTCATAATCTGAGACAAAGTTTCACGGTATCCAGAAAGCCCCCAGCAGGTGTGCAGTGCAGAGCCAGCCCCCCAGCGGTCTTCCGCAGAATCCTATCAGTTTCCCCCTTTCGTGCTGTGTGCATCGAGCAGGAAGGGGCTTGGCAGGTTTTACCTGCCCTCTTTCCTTTCTGAAAAGTCTGGGCCTCCTCACCCCGAAAGGAGTCACCTCCTTGCAGTTCCCCAGTTGCGAAAAGAGGAGGAAGTTGGCTGGGCCGGGGGCCGCGGGGGGCACCCTCCGCAGATGGCGGGACCCCCCTGCCGGCCATGGCAAAAACGAGGCTTGTCTCTCCCACCGCCCCCAACCTTAGTCCTTGGCACATTGTTGAAAGTAATTGAATAAAATCGGAAATTCGAGAAGGCGTTCGTTCGGATTGGTGAGATTTTGAGGGGAGAAAGAAGCGGGGACTTCGCCGGCACCAGCGGCGCCCCCTCCTCGGCCACCGTTAACCCCCATTCCAGAGGGCACTGCCCCGCCACCCAGCCTAGGTCCCCCTGCGAGAGCCTCGCGGGCCCGCGCAGCCTCCGCGACTCGAACAGATCTTCAGTCCTTGGAGGAATGCCTGTTTCTCTAACAATAAAAAATTAAAGAAGCGCTCATAAATGCCAAGTCCTCTCGCACTATGCGGAGTACAGAGGACAACGACCACAGCCATCCCTGAACCCCGCCCACGGCACAGCGCCGGAGCCGGGGTCTGGGGCGCCGCTTCCTGGGGGGTCCCGACTCTCAGCCGCCCCCGCTTCACCCGGGCCGCCAAGGGGCTGGGGGAGGCGGCGCTCGGGGTAACCGGGGGAGACTCAGGGCGCTGGGGGCACTTGGGGAACTCATGGGGGCTCAAAGGAACTAGGAGATCGGGACCTCGAAGGGGACTTGGGGGGTTCGGGGCTTTCGGGGGCGGTCGGGGGTTCGCGGACCCGGGAAGCTCTGAGGACCCAGAGGCCGGGCGCGCTCCGCCCGCGGCGCCGCCCCCTCCGTAACTTTCCCAGTCTCCGAGGGAAGAGGCGGGGTGTGGGGTGCGGTTAAAAGGCGCCACGGCGGGAGACAGGTGTTGCGGCCCCGCAGCGCCCGCGCGCTCCTCTCCCCGACTCGGAGCCCCTCGGCGGCGCCCGGCCCAGGACCCGCCTAGGAGCGCAGGAGCCCCAGCGCAGAGACCCCAACGCCGAGACCCCCGCCCCGGCCCCGCCGCGCTTCCTCCCGACGCAGGTGAGCCCGCCGGCCCCGGACTGCCCGGCCAGGAACCTGGCGCGGGGAGGGACCGCGAGACCCAGAGCGGTTGCCCGGCCGCGTGGGTCTCGGGGAACCGGGGGGCTGGACCAACACACGTCCTTGGGCCGGGGGGCGGGGGCCGCCTTCTGGAGCGGGCGTTTCTGCGGCCGAGCTCCGGAGCTGGAATGGGGCGGCCGGGGAAGTGGACGCGATGGCACCGCCCGGGGTGCGAGTGGGGCCGGGCGCGCGCGGGAGGGGAAAAAGGCGCGGGCGAGCCGCCAGCGCGAGGTTTGTGGTGTCGCCGATGTCCCTTCGGGGTACTCTAGCGCAGCCGCCTGGCTACTTGACCCACTGCCACCAAACGTTTTAAATTCACCGAAAGCTTAGCTTCGAAGCAAAGCTCCGTTTCGCCGGTGAAGCAGGAAGCCTTCGCTGCAGGAACTGACCTTTACCTCTTGGAGCGGCTTCTGCAGAAAAATCCCCGGGCAGAGATTTGGGCGGAGTTTGCCTAGAACTAACGCGGAGCCAGCCGATCCCGGCCTACCCCGGGGCCAAGATTTCAGTGGCTTCCCTTTTTCCTAAACACTTCACGAGGGTCTGTTTCCGGGCTGTGCTCCCCGCCTAGAAGGAAAATTTTTAGGACCCTTGTTCGCGAAGAGGTGGTGTGCGGCTGAGACCCGCGTCCTCAGGACGGTTCCATCAGTGCCTCGATCCTGCCCCACTGGAGGAGGAAGGCAGCCCGAACAGCGCTCACCTAACTAACAGCTGCTGAGAGCTGGGTTCCGTGGCCATGCACCTGGGACTGCCTTGAGAAGCGTGGTACGGCCGTGTCCCCATGTGACCTTAGAGTCCCTTTCGAAACTGCTGTGCACAGTCGGTCACAATTTCAGACACTGGTGAGAAGGGTGGAGGAACCCTCTGGGGACAGCCAGGCAAGGTCGACCACCCATCACCTAAGGGTGGAGAAATTTAAGGGGTGAAGAGTCCCTTTTGCCTTTTCTGGATCCTGGTGATTCACCTAGTGTCTTCCCTAAGGAACTGAACCAACTCCTCCGCTGGCCTCTGGCAGCCCTCCAGGCGGTGCAGGATGGCGTGGGCCCGGTAGGAAGCTGCATGTAACCGCCCAGGGTCGGGAGGCCAGGAGGGCAGCTCCTCCTCTGACTTGAATATTGAAAACAACTTCGTCCTGCTTCTGAGCCCCTCTTAACCCATGACCCCCTAGCCCATTGGGGAGTAAATCTTAATTTACTCCTCTTCCTGAAAAAGGATCTTTAAAACAGGTAGCTTCAACTCAAGCTTTATAAAATAACAATATAGGGTTTCTCGGAACTGTATTTTTCTCAGCTGATGGTAACTGGACAGGTCTGTAGAAGGGTGTATGACCTGGGTTTGGCAGGTGGAAGAGGGCAAAGGATAAACCCCTCCTCCTGCAGCCCCATATTCTTGGCCAGGTGTATTGTTGTAAACCAGGAGAGAGTTTACTTCGGGGAGTATCCTGTTTTCCACTCAGTGAGGGCCAATGAAGAATGTCTAATTCCATAAGATGCTTTTGTTAAAATCGGAATGTTGCTGTCCTCGGTGGTTCTGCTGTTGGGACGGGACTGGCCTGAGCTGTGGGTGCTGTAGCAGGACAACCAGCTCACCTAAGGGCCTCCCAGTCTGGATTATCAATGGGTCAGTGCTGAACCTGGGCTAAAATATTGTTTTTTCCAATGATGTTGTCTTTCCCAAGCTCAGTGAAGCTAAATGTTTCACAGGCCTATGTCAATCTGATGTAACTTTCGTGGCCACCTCTCTCCTGTTAGCCTCTGACCAAGGTGGCACTGGATGGTTTCTGCCTGACCTTGGTGCCCCGTGGCAGCGACTGTGGGTCATGAAAGACATTCACTACGAGCCTGCTTCTGGAGTCCATCAGAAAACGGGATGCAACTTGCCTAAAATGAGGAGAGGAGGATGCTTTTAAGAAAAAGAAGAAGGAGGATTCACTACCAGCTCTGAAGGGTGGAAAAGAGATGATTCATCCGGATTGTGGAGAGGGTGGAATCTTGTTTAGGAGAGCGTTGGTTGTGGCAGGCAGGGTGTAACTATGAATCAGTGAAGACAATTCACATCCTGGGATGAAAAGAAGGCCATGGGCTCACAGGAGATTATCCACTGGCCTCTCCACATCCGCTTGCAGTAAGGAGTGTGGGACTCTCCCAAGCTTCAGCGCTGAACTGCAATGCAGTGACGTCGCTTAGCTGGGCCAGTAACCGAGGGAGTTGAATTTTCTGTCATTTTAAAATAATGTGTCTTTTAAGAAACACTTTGAAATTAAAACCACAGCCCACAATTATAATGCACTGTTGCAGCACTTATCAAAACAGATATGCTAACTGAGCCATCAGTGCCAGCCTGACAGTGAGGCCACCAAGCCATCCACAAAGCCTACACGAAAGTCTGTGCTCACAGTGGCTTTTCTCCATGAAGAGGGCATTCCTAACCTCTTCCTTTCACGTAGGAGGAAGCAAGGTCCTTTGTAAAATTTTAACTCGGGGTGCCTCAAATGTAAACTTAACCACTGGTAACAACAGTTTCACTGCTACATGCCACGTCTGTGAAAATTCATTCAAGACATTAAGGAAAGTGGCTCAGCAGAGAGACTAGACATCTTATCCTCACGGTTCTCCTGTACTTGGCCTCTCAGCCTTTGAGCAAGGTTGGCCCAAGCTAGTATCGGCCCCAGTGGTACAGCCAAAACTTGAGACTGCAAATGGATGCAGCTGTTGAACGCTGAGTAACTTCTGCAGAGTCAGGAAGACCCAAGGAAGCTCTGCAGAGGATGCAGGGGTACGGTCAGAACCCCTGAGTGCCTTTCAGCTAACGAGGACTTTATGACACTCCCCAGCACAGCAAATTTTTATGATGTGTTTAAAGATTGGGTGAATTACTCAGGTGAACAAGCTACTTTTTATCAGAGAACACCTAAAAACACGTTCAAGAGGGTTTGGGAACTATACATTTAATCCTATGACAAACTAAGTTGGTTCTGTCTTCACCTGTTTTGGTGAGGTTGTGTAAGAGTTGGTGTTTGCTCAGGAAGAGATTTAAGCATGCTTGCTTACCCAGACTCAGAGAAGTCTCCCTGTTCTGTCCTAGCTAGTGATTCCTGTGTTGTGTGCATTCGTCTTTTCCAGAGCAAACCGCCCAGAGTAGAAGATGGATTGGGGCACGCTGCAGACGATCCTGGGGGGTGTGAACAAACACTCCACCAGCATTGGAAAGATCTGGCTCACCGTCCTCTTCATTTTTCGCATTATGATCCTCGTTGTGGCTGCAAAGGAGGTGTGGGGAGATGAGCAGGCCGACTTTGTCTGCAACACCCTGCAGCCAGGCTGCAAGAACGTGTGCTACGATCACTACTTCCCCATCTCCCACATCCGGCTATGGGCCCTGCAGCTGATCTTCGTGTCCACGCCAGCGCTCCTAGTGGCCATGCACGTGGCCTACCGGAGACATGAGAAGAAGAGGAAGTTCATCAAGGGGGAGATAAAGAGTGAATTTAAGGACATCGAGGAGATCAAAACCCAGAAGGTCCGCATCGAAGGCTCCCTGTGGTGGACCTACACAAGCAGCATCTTCTTCCGGGTCATCTTCGAAGCCGCCTTCATGTACGTCTTCTATGTCATGTACGACGGCTTCTCCATGCAGCGGCTGGTGAAGTGCAACGCCTGGCCTTGTCCCAACACTGTGGACTGCTTTGTGTCCCGGCCCACGGAGAAGACTGTCTTCACAGTGTTCATGATTGCAGTGTCTGGAATTTGCATCCTGCTGAATGTCACTGAATTGTGTTATTTGCTAATTAGATATTGTTCTGGGAAGTCAAAAAAGCCAGTTTAACGCATTGCCCAGTTGTTAGATTAAGAAATAGACAGCATGAGAGGGATGAGGCAACCCGTGCTCAGCTGTCAAGGCTCAGTCGCTAGCATTTCCCAACACAAAGATTCTGACCTTAAATGCAACCATTTGAAACCCCTGTAGGCCTCAGGTGAAACTCCAGATGCCACAATGGAGCTCTGCTCCCCTAAAGCCTCAAAACAAAGGCCTAATTCTATGCCTGTCTTAATTTTCTTTCACTTAAGTTAGTTCCACTGAGACCCCAGGCTGTTAGGGGTTATTGGTGTAAGGTACTTTCATATTTTAAACAGAGGATATCGGCATTTGTTTCTTTCTCTGAGGACAAGAGAAAAAAGCCAGGTTCCACAGAGGACACAGAGAAGGTTTGGGTGTCCTCCTGGGGTTCTTTTTGCCAACTTTCCCCACGTTAAAGGTGAACATTGGTTCTTTCATTTGCTTTGGAAGTTTTAATCTCTAACAGTGGACAAAGTTACCAGTGCCTTAAACTCTGTTACACTTTTTGGAAGTGAAAACTTTGTAGTATGATAGGTTATTTTGATGTAAAGATGTTCTGGATACCATTATATGTTCCCCCTGTTTCAGAGGCTCAGATTGTAATATGTAAATGGTATGTCATTCGCTACTATGATTTAATTTGAAATATGGTCTTTTGGTTATGAATACTTTGCAGCACAGCTGAGAGGCTGTCTGTTGTATTCATTGTGGTCATAGCACCTAACAACATTGTAGCCTCAATCGAGTGAGACAGACTAGAAGTTCCTAGTGATGGCTTATGATAGCAAATGGCCTCATGTCAAATATTTAGATGTAATTTTGTGTAAGAAATACAGACTGGATGTACCACCAACTACTACCTGTAATGACAGGCCTGTCCAACACATCTCCCTTTTCCATGACTGTGGTAGCCAGCATCGGAAAGAACGCTGATTTAAAGAGGTCGCTTGGGAATTTTATTGACACAGTACCATTTAATGGGGAGGACAAAATGGGGCAGGGGAGGGAGAAGTTTCTGTCGTTAAAAACAGATTTGGAAAGACTGGACTCTAAAGTCTGTTGATTAAAGATGAGCTTTGTCTACTTCAAAAGTTTGTTTGCTTACCCCTTCAGCCTCCAATTTTTTAAGTGAAAATATAGCTAATAACATGTGAAAAGAATAGAAGCTAAGGTTTAGATAAATATTGAGCAGATCTATAGGAAGATTGAACCTGAATATTGCCATTATGCTTGACATGGTTTCCAAAAAATGGTACTCCACATATTTCAGTGAGGGTAAGTATTTTCCTGTTGTCAAGAATAGCATTGTAAAAGCATTTTGTAATAATAAAGAATAGCTTTAATGATATGCTTGTAACTAAAATAATTTTGTAATGTATCAAATACATTTAAAACATTAAAATATAATCTCTATAATAATTTAAAATCTAATATGGTTTTAATAGAACAGCAAATTTTAATTTCATCTATCACTTTTTATATAAATACATTAATGTTTTATATTTCATAACACCAATGGGTAAGTTGCCAGAGTGTCTGACCCCATTCTGCCCCAGTTACAGAAAAGCTTCTGTCACCAGAAAGTTTGGTGGGGAAGGAAGGGAGGAAGATGATTTCTACCTAACCCCGTGCCCACCTCTACCAGGTTTTTGAGGCATATCAGTCTATGGACAATGTGGTGTTTGGTCTGGAAACGTACCTTGGTGAATGCTGAGTTGGCTGGACATGACCCGTTTAGCTCCTGGATGAATCCCAGAAGTGGACCTTCAAAATGTTACTCATAGCATGACCTTGGCTCACTGCAACCTCTGCCTCCCAGGCTCAAGCGATCCTCCCACCTCAGCGTCCCAAGTAGCTGGGACCACTGGAGTGTGCCACCACACTCCACTAATTTTTTCATTTTTTGTAGAAACGAGGTCCCACTATATTGCCCAGTCTGGTCTCGAACTCCTGGGCTGAAGGGATCCCCCTGCCTCAGTCTCCTAAAGTGCAAGGATTACAGGCATGGGCCACCGCACCTGGCCTGAAACTGCTTTTTATTCCTCAGTGCCCACTTCCATGGGAAATAAGCCTGCCAGGTCAGCCTGTCCCCATGGGAGTGACTGCCTGCTACCCCCACAGGCTTGCCCGGCCCTCGTGAGCCTCTCCCAGAGACACCACCAACAGTTCTGTTCTTTCATGGTACAAGATTTCCATCCAAGGATTTCAAAGCATTTCACACATCAATAATTAGAAGTATTTTCATAGAGGACCATACACTTTTAAAATGGATTTCAAAGAACAAAAACCAGTCAACTATCACCCAGGTAATAGAAAATGGGAAATGGTTTCTACCTGACTTCCAAAATGCTCTGCACATAGACTGTGAAAATAGGATTTTTTAAGCTGGGTGCAGAGGCTTATACCTATAATCCCAACACTTTGGGAGGCTGAGACGAGAGGATCACTTGAGCCCAGGAGTTCAAAACCAGCCTGGGCAATATAGGGAGACATTGTTTCTATAAAAAATAAAAATGTTAGCCAGGCAGGCGTGGTAACATGTGCCTGTAGTCTCAGCTACTCAGGAGGCTGAGGTGGGAAGATTGCTTGAACCTGGGAGGTCCATGCTGCAGTGAGCTGAGATTGTGCCACTGCACTCCAGCCTAGGCGACAGCAAGATCCTGTCCCAAACAACAACAACATCAAAAAACACAGAACTTTTAAAATAAGTACATTCACTTCTACAAGCTATGTAGATTATTACTCTCAAGCTATTAAAAGACCAAGCCAAAATAATTATGGGCTACTCTCGACCACTTGTAGGAATGGATAGAGAGGTCTGGTCACATGCCTGGAAATTAGAGCTTGAGCTCTGAAAATGATAATCCTGACTATATCTCAAAGCATCAGTCTGCACTTTGTATGGAGCAAGAAAAAGCCTTGTGGAAGCGGCCTCCCACCCAGCCGAGCCCTCGGCGTGGACAAGCTCTGCTTTTTATGAGCAGTGGGTGCAGCCTCGCTGCTCCCTCCTCCTGTCAAAAGACAGTCACAGCTGGGGTGAGCAGATCGGGCCCACTTGGGAGGCCCCAAGGAATATGCTGCAGGGGTCGGGCCTGAGCCACCCCCACGGGTTGGTCTTTGACAACTAGAGAGCAGCTGAGAGGTGGGTAAAAGCTCACTCACTTACCCTGACCTCAGTGTCCTCATCTTAAAATGGGTTTCCTGAATCTTTCCCCGGCTTAGTGGCAATGAAATAAGATAATTTATGTAAACGTTCTCCACATAGTAAAGCACTAAGTAACATATGACTGTCATCTGTTTTCCACTAGACAGATCCCAACCTGGAAGAGTGACAGATGGTATTTCAGATACAAGTGACTCAAGCAAAGCTTGATAAACTGGGGGCTGGAAAAAAATGCACATTTACACAAAGCCTGGAGTAACTGCAGCACAGGCAGGTGAGTCTAGCCACATAAGCCGGGAGAGGAATGGCTGGGGGCAAATATAGCAGCAAAAAAGGATAAGGTGGTGACAGCTATGCGACTCTGTAATTAAAGAAAGGTCAACAGAGTAACGAAGAAGGCCATTGACTCATCTGGTCAGGGTCTCTACACTTTCCATACATCTCACCAAATGCTTTTCCCATATCACCTCATTTGCACCTCGCAGCAGTGCTCTGAAGTCCTAGGCTGTTAGTGTTATTCTTGCTGAGGGCAACAGGAAGGCACTGCTCAGAGAGGTAAGAGATCCTGCTCAGAGGCCAACAGCAGCTGGTCCTACCACACAGAGGATGTGGACCGCACTTCTACAATTCTCTAGTGCATTTGATTCCTGAAGCCGGTAACAAGCACAGTAGGAACACCCCAGCTGCCCCAGTGTTCACAGGGTCCAGGGGCAACCCCAACTTGGTGAGACGCTGTTCCATTTCTGCACATGGCTAATGATTCGTTTTCCCAGGCAATATTTACTGACTGCCACCAACTGTTAGGGGCTGGGGGCATAGCTGTGAACAGAACAAAACATCAGGCTTCACATTGAAGGAGGCCGACTCTCAACAGATCCCTGTAGGTGGTACCTGCTGCAGGTAATTTAAATGGAGGAAAATAAGACGTCATGAGGGAAACGGGAAATTGCAATGTAACTAACATAGGGTGGTCAGGAGATCCGGAGGATACAGGGCAGCAAACCACACGAGTCTCTTAGGGAAGCATCCCAGTGAGACGGAAAGGCCAGGATGCCAAAGAGTCAGGGCGAGAAAGGGGGAGATGGGGCCAAGGAGGGCGTGGCTGGGACAGATGGCGCAGGCCACGCAGGCCGCTGTAAGGATTCATGGTTTTAAGACGGAATTCTAGCATCTGCTCTCCAGCATTTGTTCTGCCCTCTGATGGACCCAAAGTCAGTCTATTTTCCACTTGAGAAAGCTTCGAATAGCTGAGAACAACAGGTCCAAGTTCAGACTTTATCCTCCTGCTCCACAGCCCCACATTCCTTCACACATTCAGCATTAAGCAACTACTGCATACCACCTTACTAGATACAGGCTGCCTTCAACTTCCCTAAGAAAACGCATGCTCTGACAGTCAAGCAGCAGTAACTGTGCTGGGAGACTCCTCCTCAAGGCAGGAACAATATTCCAGTCCACAGTGTCCTCCTAGAAGGCAGATGGCCCCCTGTCCTCAGTGCAGCCCCCGACATGGCTGAGCCATGGAACCACTGTTCTGGACATCACGTTATTGCTCAAGTGACTTAGCTTTTTAACAGCCCTGTCACTTTTGCTCATTTCAAAATGAAAAGGCAACCAATGTGATTTTTGTAATTATAGAATATATAAATACATTTTCACTTAAATAATACAGGAGTATACGAAGTCAAAAGTGAAAGTCTCATTTCACTCCCCTGCTTGGAAGTTTCAGTGTTAACATCTGGATTATATCCTTCCAGACTTTTCCCCTGTGCAATTGAATATACTCATACTTATATACATAGACACACAACACATACGTGACCATGTTGGTTTGCATTTCTTACATCATTTTTTCTATGATTGTTTCCCATTTAGTAATATGTCTTAGAAATCCTTCTAGGTCTGGCCAGGTGTGGTGGCTCACGCCTGTAATCCCAGCATTTTGGGAGGCCGAGGTGGATGGATCACTTGAGGTTAGGGGTTTGAGACCAGCCTGGCCAACATGGTGAAACCCCTTCTCTACTAAAAAAATACAAAAGTTAGCCAGGCATGGTGGTGCATGCCTGTGGTCCCAGCTACTTGGGAGACTGAGGCAGGAGAATCTCTTGAATCCAGGACGTGGAGGTTGCAGTCAGCCAAGACTGCACCATTGCACTCCAGCCTGAGCAACAGCGGGAGACTCCATCTCAAAAAAACACAACAAACAAAAAAACCCACAAACAAAAACAAAAAGGAAATCCTTTCATGTCACCATGTATAGAAATTTGTTCTTTTAACAATGTACAATGTCCCATCGAATGTTACTGAACCATCTCCTTGTTAAGTGATAGTAGCATTGTCTCCCATTTTTCACAAAGTCTACCCTTCCCCCCATTTTTCTTTCTTTTTTTTTGAGATGGAGTCTTGCTCTGTGGCCCAGGTGCCGCCCCCCCACCCCCATTTTTCTAACCTAAATTCAGGGCTTTGCATTGTCCCTGTTACATTTCATCTTGCTGGTTTGGGCTCATCCTTCTGGTCCATCCAGATCTTTTTGAACCCTGTCTTCAGTTTATTAGCAATTCATTCCAACTTTATGTCATCTGTCAGTTTCATGAGCGTGCTTTCTCTATGGTCACTTAAGCCAATAAAAATGTTGAATAAGGAATGCCACCAACAATTTCCTGCTAGCTTAACATCAGTTCACTTACCAACATGATTCAAGTTTGGAGTTTTATGGATAAAGTACTTAGCCACATCTCATTCACAAGTTTCCATTTCATAGTAGGGATATTATGGAAGGCTGTCAAGTGTTTCTGCAAAAATACCTAAGGGTATCCATTATTTGATTAGCCATTTCAAAAACACATTTACGGAGATCTTCATCTGGGCAGAGCATTATTCCAGGCCTCTGAAGAACCAAAGATGATTTTGAAAGGAGGTCACAGTGCAGACAGCAGGTGTGTATATAAGGTGGCTACTTTACAAAACAGGATATGGCAAGCTGGACATGACAGGCACAGCAAAGTCTCTGAACAGAGTTCGGGGCATGAAATTGTTTCTTTTGGGGGTCTTCAGGAACAATTTCATGAAAGCTAAATCATGAAAGATAGCAGGCTTTTGCCAGGAAAAAAAAAAACAAGACTAGTGATTAGTTTGGCGTTTTCGGTTTCTTTGAGAAGCGAAATAACTTATCAAGGACTCTTTTTGCCACTTGATGTTATAATTGGTTGATAGGTCTCTCAGAAGCCCTTTGTGCAAACTAGAACCTGCAGGGATGTGCAAAGCCTCTCTCTGCTGCCATCTGCTGTCTTACAAGAGGTAACTGCAAGAGGTTGAATCCTCCAATGCCCTGGGGATTCCCATTGCAGGGCAGGGGCAGCAGCCTGTGTTAATAACCACCCGAACAGCCACATGTACCCCTCCACAAAAGTGTCACTGTCTCCATTGCTCTGGAGTTTGTATTCCCAATTTGTAATCTTTGTTAGGGCACTCATAAAAAATTAAAAACAAAAATTCACACAAACATACACTACTTTCATTCATAAACAACACAATAACCAAACTGAGAACAATATCAGCAAACATCTATAATCTCGTGGTTGTAGTTAGTAGCTTTTTACAGGTCCTTATTTAGGTTTTTCTCAGGTTTCTCTAACTATTCTGATCCTTGGATTTTGAAATTTTACTATCTAGGACTATAAATGCTATGACGTCGGATTATTTCTTGACACTCATCCACGAGGGGAAAATCTCTTATTTAGAAAAATGTTTAAATCAACATCTAATGTAAACATGGAAGCTCTCTAAAGATTCAGCATCATTTTATTTTACTTCTTTTATATTCTTACGAAGGGAAATCACCTAACATATTTCACTCAAAATTTTCAGGATTTTTACTAATTGTGACATCTACTTTTCAAAAATAAGAAGTAGGTTTGGGAAATTTTGAGTCACAATAAATCAGGAAAGTATGATTTTTTTTTCACATTTGCCCTGCCTTTTCCAAAGGAGAGAGATCTCAATGTGAACAGATATTTGTACATCCATGTTCATTGCAGCTCTGTTCACAACAGCCAAGAGGTGGAAGGAGCCCAAGTGCCCATCAGCGAATGGACAGAGAAGCAAAATGTAGTCTATGCATGCAATGGAATGTTATTCAGCCTTAAAAAGGAAGGAATTTCTGACACATGCTACAACATGGATGAACCTTGAGGACATCATGCTAAGTTAAATAAGCCAGACACAAAGGACAAATATGTATAATTCCACTTAGATACTCACAGCAGTCCAATTCATAGAGGAAGAGAATGGAGTGGTTGCCAGGGGCTGGGAGGAGAGGGGATTGGGAGTTGTCTAATGAGTACAGCGTTTCTATTTGGGAAGTTGGAAATGTTCCCGGAGACGCTTGGTGGTAATGGTTGCACAGCAGTGTGAATGTACTTAATGCCACTGAACTGTGCACCTAAAAATAGTTAAGATGGTAAATTTTATGTTATGTGTGTGTGCACATGTGCATTTACTACAATTTTTAATGAAAAAAGTGAAAAAAGATCTTTTAACACAAGAGACAATGGATGGGCTGCATTGAAAGACATTGATTGCGATCAAGCATGTTAAGATGCGTTCTGAACTCAGACACACATCAAACCCTGTTAATGTCTCTATCCTATTTTATTAGCACTATAATGCACTGAAATAAACTCCTAAGCCCATGCACATTAACCATAAACATTAAACTAAGAGGACAGGTCTGAGCACACAGCTGGGCCTTGCCCTTCCTTGTGAAAAACAATCACATTCAAGTCTGGTCAAGTTATTTAGGGGAGAAGGACCAGAAAATTATTCTGCCTCAAATTCAAATGGCATGCTAGAACTGCCCTTTCCTAATCTTAAAAAAAAATTTATAGTACTCTCTATAGCCCATACTAGGTAGAATATTATGCATTAAAGTTATTCTCCAGAAAAATTAGCTGGGTGTGGTGGAACACACCTGTAGTCCTAGCTACTCAGGAGGCTGAGATGGGAGCATCACCTGAGCGGGGGGAGGTCAAGGCTGCAGTGACTGGTGATCGCACCACTGGACTCCAGTGTGGGAGACAGAGTGAGACTCTGTCTCAAGAAAAAAAAAATGTATTCTCAGGAATGGTAATAAAAGGAAGAGGCACCCATGTCAAGCTTTGAAAATCTCATATTTCTCTAAATCTAAATCTCTGTGTCGTTAAGCCCCTTGGCAACTTATTTCCCAAAGCTGGTATGAATTATAATTCATTTAGTAATCTAGTCTAGGAGTTTTCATCCGTATTCCAAACAGAAGTAGAAGTTTTAATAATACTCATCATCTATGTCCAGAAGCACATAAGAACTTGGAAGAATTTGTTCTCCCCAGCCAGCAAACTTCTAGTTGTAGAAATGGTAGGAAAAATTCAAAGTCACAAAGAGAGAATATTTTCATAGGATTTTCATCCTCCAGAGCCTTTGACAACCTTTGGGTTCCCAAAAACATACTCCAATGCTCTAGGAAGCAGCAAGCAAAATCAGTCCTTATGGGAAACACCTTGTTGCTGTTACTGTTTTAGTGATTTCTTCTTGGCTTACTCTGCTCATTCTGAATGGGAAAATAGCTATGTTTATGGGCCTGGGGGAGTGAAGATGTGGTCACAAAGGAGAAGGAAAGGCTAGAAATTACAAATGTCCAGCACTTTGACTCTATGTGTTAGTTATGTGTGGTCAGAATTTTGTAAAATGACTTAATTTTGTTCATCCAGAGAATAGCACAGGAAAGGCCAGAAGGTTTATGAGAAAACTCAGGTGAATTCAAGGATGGCCTAACTGAAAGAACACCACATAATTCCAGACTCACGAACTCAGTCCAGCGAGGCTCAAGGGGAGTTATAAAGTCCTCTGGAACTCGGTTCTGGGCTCTCAGACCTTGCAGGAGAGGACAGCAAAGGAAGGTAAGATAGCTCACATTGACGAGAGTGAGCGAAGGGCACACTCTTGAAAGGGAGAGAAGTCTCACTTACTGGGGGTGGAGCAAGGAAGGCCCCTAAGCAGAAAGAGAGAGGACAGAGTTTGCTTGCTGGATAATGAGAAGCCCTGGAGTGTTTCGCAGCTGGAAATCCACACAGTCAGAGCTGCGCTCCAGAAACATAACCCTGAGGCAGTACAGTAGCATGTAGCCAAATAAATTTGGTGGCAGAAATGGAAAAATACATATTAAATATCTTAATAACAATCATGGGCTTTGTAGCTGCCAATGCCCCCAGGATCCCCTGCCACCAGCCATGGTCAATTCTGCCATGTTTTATGACATTGCTGAGCCCTTAAGCCACATCTCTTCTGAGCTAGCTGCAGACAAAGTTCCAAACATAGCAGGAAACATTCATGCTGTGAGGTCTGGAGAGAATGGATTTGGCCATAAGGGCTCCTGCTTTCACAGAATTATTCCAGGGCTTATGTGCCAGGGTGGTGACTTCACACGCCATCATGACACTGGCAGCAAGTCCATCTATGGGCAGAAATTTGATGGTGAGAACTTCATCCTGAAGCATTCAGGTCCTGGCATCTTGTGCATGGCAAATGCTGGACCCGACACAAATGGTTCCCAGGTTTTCATCTGTACTGCCAAAACTGAGTGGTGGGCCAGCAGCCAGGTGGTCTTTGCAAGGTGCAAGGAGGCATGAATATCATGGAAGCCATGGAGCGCTTTGGGTCCAGGAAGAGCAAGACCAGCAAGATCACCATTGCCAAATGTGGACAACTCCAATAAATTTGATTTGTGTTTCTCTTAATCACCAGAGCATTCCTTCTGTAGCTCAGGAGAGCACACTTCCACCCATTTGTTCATAATATCCTATAATTTTCATGCTCTTGCTGAAGTTTTTGGAGCTTCCTTTTTTTAATTCTCCTCCACTTCTAGCCAGATTGAAGAGTTAAGTTTATGATTATGAAACAAAAACTAAATACAAAAAAAATCATGACTTGTCAATAGATAAGTAAAAAAGGGTGAGAGAGAGAGAGGAAAGACTCCAAGGTGACTATATTTTTATATCTGTGCAGTGGGAAATAAAAACAAGTAAGTCTCCAGACCGGGCACCATGGCTCATGCCTGTAATCTCAGTACTTTGGGAGGCTGAGGTGGGGGAATCACTCGAGCCTAGGAATTTGAGACCAGCCTGGGCAATATAGCGAAACTCCAGCTCTACAAAAATGGGTCCAGAAATCAGTCAGACATGATGTCTCATGCCTGTAGTCCCAGCTACTCAGGAGGCTGAGGTGGGAGGATCACCTGAGCCCAGGGAGATTGAGATTGAGGATGCAGTGAGCCATGATTGCGCCACTGCACTCCAGCCTGGGTGGCAGAGTGAAACTCTCTAAAAAAAAAAAAATAAGCCCCAGGGCAACGCATCTGTGTCATGAGGGGAGACAATAGTCTGATTTAAAACTTGCTGAGTAGGAGGCGGGAGGCACTTGCAAGGTGGGAAAATGAAGCAGGCTAGAAAGGCTTGTCTAAAACTCATGCCAAACGCAGGCTAGAAATATTCGTGTGGGCTATGTCCTTGCATCCCTGATGGCTGAGGTCACCAGAGGAGGCAAAGTACTCCAGGGAAGGAGCAGGGGGAGAGCCGGCATGGAAGACCTTCCAGGGTGCCAGGGTCGAGGAGCAGGGAGGGCCTCAAAGGAGCAGAGAGGAGGATTCGCCCATGAGGAGTCAGGGAAAGGCCACAGATGTAGACCTGGGCAGAACTGCATGCCTGCGTGCCAGCAACTTGGTGGAAGATGCAGTGAGCACTGGCAGGGAGCAGGGACGATCCAGGCGAGGGAGGTCTCGGATAAGGGGGCCTCATGAAGCCAGCTACAGTGGCTCCGTCCTGCAGGGAAGCTCGCAGGGAGGCCTTATGTGCCAGGGTGGTCACTCATGTGCCCATCCTAGCTGGAGCGCAGGGCGCGGCCGTGTCGTCAGGCCCGGGCTGGCAGGGCCGACCAGGCTCAAAGGCGCAGCCCCACGGAAGGGCAGGCGCTGCTGGGCAGCGAGGCCTGGGCACCGGTCACCGGGCCTTGGGGTGTTTCGGACAGAGCTTGGCAGCTTCTGCCGCACAAGGGATGAAATCAAAAGTGCAGCTGAGGAGGAGGCACAGCCGCCCTGTTAGGACCTGGGATCACCAGGGAGGTGCCGTAGAATCGGGGCGCGAGTGAGGGAGGCGGCGCGGTGGCCGCGGGGCGAAAAGAAACGGGGAGCACCAGAAGAGAGGGAGGACTGGGGAGGCGCGGCGCACGGGTGGCAGGCGGCGGTCCCTCCTCACCGCCCGGCTGTGCTCGGCGCCAGGGTCCCGTCTGCGCCCCTGCGGGAGGCGGCGCGGCGCCCACTGTTCTCTGGGCCGGGCCGGGGCTCTCGCTCTCCCCCGGCTCTTCCAGCCTGGGACTTTGCCGCCGGCACCGTCCTCCACGGCTCCAAGATGTGTCTCTGCTTCCGGCACGTGCCCGCGAGAGGGGGCCACATTGGGGCGTGTCTCCAGACAGGGGGTCTCCGAGGGGAGGGCGGCAACCAGGTGGCAAGTAAGACGGAGGCTCCCGAGACCTCCCGTCTCAGCCAGGCTTCCCCATGGGGCGCGTGCCCGCCCGCTCAGCGTCTTTCCTGAACCCTGAGCAGCAGTTTCTCAAAGGACTGGAAACATGACAAGACCTTCCCAGATCCCTGTCAGGTGCTTGAACCAGACAAAAGCCAGGTAACTGAACAATGGTCCGGCCTTGTGGCCTGAAAACAGCTGCTCTGAGAGCAGTAGCTGTCTACCCCAGAGCGCATCCGCCATGGAGTGATTGTTTTGGGCCAGGGTCTCTCGCTCAGTCTCCATCAGAGTTCAGATCGTTTGACGACATCTTCATTTTTTACTTTGCCGCCAAAAGCATGGTGGTTTTTGTACCTACACACATCTCTGTGTGGCCAAACACCATATTATTCACTGTCACATTAGGCCTGGACCTACTTCGTGCAACCTCAGCTTATCCAGTAGACAGGGCCAGCGGAGAGGGACCTGGGGGCCAGGATAAGGCAGGCCTTTGCAACAACACACGATGCTTTTCGGGGTCCTTCCTGAAGATAATGATGACCCCAGCAGCTGGAAAACAGGAAGCTCCTCTTCTCAGCTTCATTTGTTCCATGAGTGAGGCCCTCGGACTGGGGCGGATGGGGCTGGCTTTTCCTGAACATCCAAGGAGCAAAGTAGGTGAGGCAGTTTCGCACCAGCATTCCCTTTCCAGAATGTCACCTGCGTGGGCCCTCTCTCCTCCTTCTCCTCCTGCAAACGCTCTCCTCTTCCGTGGCTAGGAAGCCTCCCTGTGTACCAGGTCTCAGGTAGGCTGAAGCAATTCACAGTCTCTTGAGCTGACTTCACGTGGGAGAAACTATTCACAGCAGAATGAGAGTCACTTGAACAGTAACTTACTTCAGTTTCTTTCACAACGATTAGGATTCTTAAAAGATCCCAAAACATGTTTCGTCTTTAAAACAAACAAAAACCATAGAAAACCCTTATGCCTATTTCTGCAGACGAGAGCCCCACCTCCAGAGGATAGGAGGCAGCCCTGGAGAACTCGCTAACAGTGGTGATTTTGGCTCTGAGCCCTTTTTCAAATTGATAGTGTGATGTAATCAGAGGGTGTGTTTAAAGTCTGGAGCAGATAAAAGGAGACACAGATATCCTGGCACACCGTCATTAACTGTTGCTGCCCAGATTGGAAAGGCAGACCCCTTCAGGAAGATTGTACAGCTCATTGGCAAGCAGTGATTCGAGAAACGTATCATAGCCATCCATCATAATATCTAAGATCTGTAAACTGTTTTATAGCTTTCATCTGATACCTGCACCTCTATAGTTAATTCTGACAGCCACCCTTGGAGTTTGAAGGTGTTCTTTCAGGTTCACAGATAAAGAAACTGAGTTCAAAGAGATTAACTGACTTCCCCCAAGGTAATACAACCTAGATTAATAACCAAAATTTGCATAACTTATAAGTATTCAGATGAATTTTAGAAGATCCCAAGAAGAGAAAACATTTGGTGGAGTCATTGGCATATGGTAGGCTTCCGTAGATTTCATTGTCCTTTGGCTTTGCAAATGTTTTCATCTGCCAAACGCTGTTAAAACAGAGGGCCCCTACCCAGGGCGAACAAAGTATGCTTCAGAGGACCAGACAGCTTGTCCAAAGTCAGAGAGCTAACAGAGAGCTAATTGGGTCAGGATTTGAAAGACCTTAGCTTTGTGTGACCTTCAATTTTATCATTCAGCTTGAATATGTGCCCCAGAAAACCTTTATGTAATTCCCTAATATTTCAGTAACCAGCATGCAACATACGAGAAGCACATTCTTTGTTTTTAGAATGGTATCTGGCTGATGACTTTCACAACAGCTCACATGAGAGGGAAGTATTTTAGCAATCGGACTGAAGGAAAATCCAAAAACTCCACCATTGCAGGGTCAACAGTGCACGTGTTTGAATTCTGAAAGACGTAAGCCAAGGCAAATAGAAGGAAATGATCTTCCACTAATCCCGGCATTTACTTCCTCCTCTCTGGAGGGGACGGCCATGCACACAGAGCCCTGTGCTCTGAGTTCTCATGAAAGGGACACAGCTGGGCTCACTCAGCGTCACCTCGCCCCTGGGGTGTGTCCTGGTTTCAGATCTCGGGCTGGAGTGATTCACGTGTGGCAGGGAGGCCATCATTAATGAAAATGCGAGGGCGTCGCACGAGTGTTGATGACTCAGCAGGCCTTTCTACTTCTGTATGAGTCAGTGCCCATCACAGCCAAGCCTGGGGCACAACAGGTTTTCTTAAAAGAGCATGGGGGCCTCATCTTCAACAACCAATTAGGAAGCAGAAAAGTCCTCAGTGAGGAAGGAATAATGACATGTTGGAGCTAAGATGATGGTGCTCAAGCCCGAGAGACCCAGCCACCTTCCAGACGCCAGGCCCGCATGGATGAGGTGCGTCACTCCAGCTGAGGCCAGGGGGCAGCGGGGGCACCGAGTACAAGGTGGACCAGACCGCTGGGGCCAGGCCACGTGGAGCTTGAAGCCAGAAACAGCCCAGGCCATGAGGCCACGAGGAATTCCCTGGAGTAGGAGGAAAGCATGCCACCGTGCAGGTGCGAGGGTGGGGGACAGCCCTCCATTCCACCCTCACCCAAGCAGTCAGAGAGTGTGAAATCCAGGAGTCACCAAACCTAAGTTTTGGAAAGAGATGTCCTGTCCCCTTCCCATTCCACTTAAGCAAACAACACCTCCCAAGAACTTTCTGAGCCCCTCTTAAATGCTGGAGCACAAAAGCAAATATGGCAATTTTTACTGCTGGCAAAAGTGTACATTCAGATAAAAAAGAGACAGAAAAACAACCATTGTGCAATGTAAGGTGTGCCCCGGGAGGGGGTATCCCACCCCTGTTCTCATATTTCTATGAGGATGCCCCCTGGTCGAATTCCACCTCAGTGTGCCCTCTCTTTCTCTCTCTCATTCACTCCATCGTTTCCTCCTCTCTAGGGGAGTAGAGACATAATTCATCCATGAGTCTGGGGGATGGAATTGGCCCTTTGAGGGCCAATGCCCTCTGCCCTCCTCTCCAGTGTGGCACTGCCTGAAGGCCTGGGGGTGGTGGGGTGTCCTGGTTCACCCTTGGCTGCAGCCGAAGCTGCCTGGGGCAGGTTGTGCCACCAAGAAAGAGGCCAGCAGCTGTGAGCAGGTAGTTGATTCTGTCTAGTTTAGAAAGGGGTATCAAGTCACTTTATCCTGGCTTTTGAAGCTGACATTTTTATCTGCCTGTCCTGTCTTATTTCTTGTTTCATTCTGAACTGTGGAGGGGAGCTCGGGGGTGCCCCCAACCAAACCCCAACATAAACTCCATGAACACACAGGACATCTCGGTGCCCATCAGTGCCAGGTGTCTGTTGAATCTGCATCTGCAGAATCAAGAAAGGAGTGGTTTCCTCTGCCTCAGGTGGCGGGGAAAGCTCCTTGGTGGAGAGGACATTTGAAGGAAGCCTTGAGGGACACTGGGTGAGGACGAGTAGAATTCGCTGAGCAGGCAGCAGGGCAGGCTGAGGATGCCAGGCGGGAGCCAGGGTGCAAGTGAGTGTTGAGACTCGCGGCAGCCATGGGGGAGGAAGCCCAGAAGCAACAGAAGTTTCCCAGCCCACCACCCACGCACATGGGCCCTGAAATGAAGAGAGAATTAACTCATCTTCCCAGAAAGTGCTAGGACCATACAGTACTCCACTGCAACTATACCATTTTACATTTCCACTAACAGTACACAAAGCCTCCAGTTTCTCTACATCCTCATCAGCACTTGTTATTTTTGGTTTATTTGATAATAGCCATCTTGATGGGTGTAAGGTGGGCTGTCATAGCGGTTTTGATTTGCATTTCCCAAAGGATTAGTGATATTGGGCATTTCTTCATGTGCCTATGAGTCATTTGTCTATCTTTGGAGAAATGTCTACTGAAGTCTTTTGCCCACTTTTGAATCAGCTTGTTTTCTGTTGATACTGTTATTGTTCAGTTTTAGCAGTTCGCTATATATTCCAGATATTAATTCCTTATCAGATATGTGATTTGCAAATATTTTCTCCCATTCTGTGGATTGCTTTCTCACTCTCTTTAGTGTCCTTTGAAGCATAAAAGTTTTTGATTTTCATAAAATCCATTTGTCTATTTTTTCTTTTATTGCCTGTGGCTTTGGTGCCATAACCAGGAAATCATTTGCCAAATCCAAGTTTGTGAAGTTTTGCCCTTTGTTTTCTTCCACAAGTTGAATTATTTTGGGTCTAACATTGAGGTTTTTTACTCATTTTGAGTTTATTTTTGTATATGGTGGAAGATTAGGGTCCAACTTGATTGTTTTGCATGTGGATATCCAGCTTCCCCCACTATATGCTGAAAAACTGTCCTTTCCTCATTGAATGGTCTTGGCACCCTTGTGGAAGATGACCATACATGTAAGTGTTTATTTCTGGCCTCTGTGTTGTATTCCATTGGTCTATATGTCTGTCTTTATGCCAGTACTAAACTGTGTTGATTACTATCACTTTGTAGTATGTTTTGAAATCAGGAAGAGTGAGTCTTTAATTTTGTTCCTCCTTTTCAAGACTGTTTTGGCTATTTGGAGTCTCTTGGGATTCCACTTGAATTATAAAATGGATTTTTCACCCATTATCTTTTGCTTTTGGCCTTAGCTAGTGTTATGTCCCTTGTTTGGGCCTTCCTTTTCCACCTCAAATCATTCAAAATGCAGCTCAATTCCCACCTCCAATATTTCCCTGACTATCCCCACCATATTGATCTCCCTCCCCTGCGCCGCTGTTCACCTATCTCCTGCACCACCCATTGGAGACAGCATCCCACCAACTCTTCTCCCCTGTCCTTACCCTTCAAGCCTCAGCTGAAATGTCACTCATCCTAAAGCAGGGCTCTCTGTTGGGCTTTCTTGTAACATCTTTTCTATAAAGAACTCACCGTGATTAGTAATTAATTTACTTATAAGTTAATTCTTACACACACAGATTCTAAGACACACAATTCTTTCCCATTCTAACACCTGTGAAATAGAGAGCCGTGCTTTACAATTGGCGACATCCAACAATGACAGTCAGGCTTTTACTTCAGTGGTACATACATGGTGATATGTCTTATGATCAACCGTACTTTAGATGCAGTGAAACACAGTACATGTTTTCTTGTGCATTTACCTGTTTAATGCTCATCTTGTTGATTGTAAGTTGAGAGAGAATAGACCCCCAACTCAGCTCACCATCACACCCCAGCGCCTTTGGCATAGTTCATGTGCTTGTCAGCCATTTGATGGGTTGATGAATTATAAGTTCATCAATCATATTAATGAACTTATCAACATCAACTCATATTGATGGATTATAAGCTACTAAACACATTACGCTTTCCCAGGAGCCCCATAATTCCTAGAACAGTGCTACCTGCACTCAGATGCTTACCCAGTGCATATTTAAGCTAGATAACATCTATCACTCAGCTGCTCTGTGCTCTCTGGTAGAAATAAAAGGATTAATAATGCCTCATTCTTTTAGAGGAAGAAAGCCAAGTAAGTACTGTCGGAGAACCCAGTGGTTCCTGCTTTCTTTTCCTTGGCAAACAATAGGCCTGGCCTTTGTAAACTGAAATCTACACACTTCAAATATTTTATTTTGCTTTTGTGGCATCACACAGTGCCTTGGGGACATTACACAGGGGCCATATTAGAAAGTGATGTCAACTTTTTTTCAAGAGGGTTGGTGATCCTATCTGTTAAGAAAATGACACATTTCTACACTCTTAATAGCTGCTAACCATTTATAAACACATTGTCCCTACATATCAAATAAAACAAATCTTGGATAAGCAGGAAATTAAATTTGTCCTCTTGTGAGGGGACACTGAGTTCCTGGTCTGGGCTTGTCAAGGATGAAAACATGGAGGAGGCGCTTGGGCCAGATGAGCACAAGTTCTTCAGCACCTGCCCTGTGCTGACAAAGGGGCCCGCAGGGAGGCAAAAAGAAGCAAGAAGAGGCTTCATAGGAACCAGGTTGTTTCATTTCTGTTTGTTTATTCTCTCCCAAACTCAAAAGAGGAGGCCTATTTTGCGGTTGATTCTTGCACCATTTGAGAAATTCACTCGTTATGTAAATGTTTCTATTCGTAGTAAGTAGCTTTTGCAAAGAAGGGGAAATAATGACATTAGTAGTGAAAGATTTTTTCCCTAATCTCTTGAGGATCAAAACCTGTGTAAATTACAATATAAATGTCACAGCAATGGCAAACTGCTATACAAGTTTCTAAGTAATAATAACGGGTGCCATTTTTTGAGCACCAACTATGCACCAGCACTGGTTTAGGCTACTTCATACACTGGGTCATGTTGATTCATCTTCGTAACAATCCTACGTAATCTCCATGTACATAAGCTCATGAAACGGGGGCAGTGTGGGCAAGCCACTTACCCCAGGGCAGAGAGCTAATAAGGGCAGACCAGTGATGGAAACTCAGACTTTCTCTCAATTGTCCTGAAGAAATAGGTGTATTCTACTTATCTAGCAACGGCTGCTGGTGGCAGGGAGTCTGCTGGCAGGAACTGGCTGGTCCTGCACCATCTCTGCTCATTCCTCCCATCACAAGGGGTAAGGGTGGGGAGGAAGGAAGAGTAAAAAGGACACTGTGGTGGTGGGGGCTGGTTACTGATGGAGAAGAGCCATCAGCGATGGGGACTGAGGGGAGGGAAAGAAGAAATGATACCCAGTCACTCGATTAATGACAGAGGTACGTTCTGAGAATTGTGTCATTAGCCAATTTTGTTATTGTGGGAACATCATAGGGTGTACCCACACAAACCAATGGAATAGCCTACTGCACACCTAAGCTGTGTGGTGTAGCCTATCGCTCCGAGGCCACAAACCTGTACAGCATGTGACTGTACTGATTACTGAAGGCAACTGTAACATAATGGTAAGAATTTGCATATCTAAACATACCAAAGGTATGGTAAAAATATGGCATTATAATCTTATGGTACCACCGTTGGATATGCAGTTCATCATTGACAGAAATGTCTTTATGACTGCATTAGGCAAAAGTGAAATTAAAAGGAAAGGATAGGAAAGACAAGTGAGAAGAAAATGTAGCCAGTAGAAGCCAAGAAAGAAAAGAGCAAAGGAGGAATCAAAAAGGTAATCCATGGCTAGGCATGGTGCCTCACGCCTGTAATCCCAGCACTTTGGGAGGCCAAGGCAGGAGGATCACTTGAGGCCAGAATTCAAGACCAGCCTGGCCAACATGCCCATTTCTATGAAAAATTTAACAATTAGCCAGGTGTGGTGGTGCACGCCTGTGGTCACAGCTACTTGAGAGGCTGGGGCAGGAGGATCACTTGAGCCTCGGAGGTTGAGACTGCAGTGAGCTGTGTTGGCACCATTGCACTCCAGCCTGCGTGGAAAAAAAAAAAAAAAGTAATCCATGAACAAATCCTGTTCAACCAACACCAAAAGCAGCAAAGCCTCCCAGGCTCAGTTCCTGGGTTCTGTGGCACCATCTCTCCGTCTGTCCTCCCTGTAGGACACAGGTATTTTAAGGAGCTGGAGAAGGGAGCCCAGGGCACATCTGTTCCTCCTCAGTCTTCTTCAGTCCCAGCCTCCCAAGAGTTCGCAGGGCTAGTCGCCTCACAGTGTCGCCCACCAGCTGACTCCAAGACGCACCCTTCCCTGCTGCACTTTACATGGATGGCTCGCTTAACAAATTTCCAGCATCCACCAGGTCCTCCAAAGGGTTTTATCTAACACTTCTAACATCCAGCCTTAATTTAATCTGAACTCTTCTTCCCTTCCAGGAAGTTACTTCCCATCACCTCATAGATGCATTTCCTGGCCACCTTCTCAGAGACACACTCCACAGACATCCCACCCACTACCTTTGGAAACCACCACATCCTGAAGCCACTTCTTGACAACTCTAGTTGGGTATATGTAATGGGTTTAAGCAAAAGCTGTTCTCCAGGAACTTCTGCCCACAGGTCATGGTTGTCCTTTTGGTGGACATACAAAGCCAGCCTAAACTTTTTGACACACACAAATATATACACACACATACATACACATATGACTGTGTTTACACACACACACACACAGCTGGTTAAGAGCAAGGGCTTGGGGCCGCAGATTCATATTAACATCCTGACCCTGCCCCATTCTAGCTGTGTGGCCTTCGGCAAGTTAATTAACCTTCCTGAGCCTCCGTTTCTTCATATGACCCTCACTGGGCTGCTGTGAGGATTAAGTGAGCTAATATATGTAAGTGTCTTGGCCCAGTGTCTGGCATGTAACCAGTACTCATTAAATGGACAGGGGTCTTCTCTGAGTCCTTTCTCTTAGGGAAATATTCCCACTCCCTTCAACCCCTCTTTATAGTTTGTGGTTTTTCAGTCCTCTCTGTATCCTTTTAAATGGGCCAGTCACCTTTTAAATGGGTGATGTTCCATTGTTTAAATAGATTGGATTTTTCACTGGACTCTGTCCAAAACTAAACACACTCCTGGAAACGTGGCTGGCACAGCAACAGTGGAGAGCCACCTCCTCGCTGTGGACACAACCGCCAGCGGTCAATCCGCTTCCCTCAACACCGTCATGTCCACACAGGGACCTGGGCTGCTGGATTCCTAATCAGTGACACTGAGCTTTTATATAACATCAAAGAGGGATTTGTGCTTATACTTCTTAAAAGGCATGTTTTTGTGGTTTGACTGTCCTCCTAGCCTGACACAGTCTGAGCCTCCTCAGGCGGCCTCAGGGGTTGGGATAGAGTGGAGAATTCAGGCAAGAATGCCAACCCTAGCTCCAGGCCTGGGACCCACAGGCCTGGGGAAAAGAGTGGTTGCCCCGTCTTGAGACAGCCGAAAACTGTGTCCCCAGGATTGTTGGTTTCATAAAAGCAAGTAGCTAGGGAGGCCACATTTACAGGGGATCACAGAACACTTGGGTAGGGGCTTGCTGTAGGTGTCATCAGGGAAGTGGGGGACGGCAGGAGGGATGTGGCCCAGTACGCAGATGAAGACAGGTGATCATCCGCTGGGCCACACGTGGCAGGGATATGGGCAGAGTGAGCTTGGCTGGCCCCAGGCTCCAAAGCTGCCCAGCCCCCGCTGAAGGTGAGGCCTCAGCTGGTGGGAATGTCACCTTCCAGGTGACTGGCTGGCTCCAAAGGCCTTTGCATGATCTCCAGGAGTTTGGAGGGGAGAGGCCACATTCCAAATCCAGCTTGAAAAGTGCTCTGTATCACCCTCAGCACTGAGGGGGCCAGAGTCTAGGAGGAAGGAGGCACAGGGTTGGGGGGCAGCCCTGACCTGGTGGCCGCACCTGCCAGGTCCCGAGAGACAACCCATCTCACACACATTCAAAAACACACACCAGGGAGCACATGGCTAAACAAATCGCACTAAACGCCAGGAAGGCAGAGGGGCTGGAATGCAAAACACCCCCTGAAAAATAAATCTCTGCTGGGGCACATTTCGAAGTTTTGCCTTAATCGTTCAGGTCGCCCTCCTGTTCTTCTCACTTTACAACTTCAGCCTGAGACACATTGACCACCTTCCACCAAAGTAGACCATGCTCTTGAATAAGTCACATATCCTTTCTCTACTTGGTTTCTTTAATTTTTGTTTATTTTCTTTTTGTAAGACAGGGTCTCACTCTGTCACCTAGGCTGGAGTGCAGTGGCAGGATCATAGGTCACTGCAGCCTCAAAATCCTAGGCTCAAAGCAATCCTCCCACCTCAGCCTCCCCAGCAGCTGGGGCTATGGCACATGTTACTGCCTTCAGCTAACTTTTTTTATTTTTTGTAGAGACAGGGTCTTGCTTTGTTGTCCAGGCTGGTCTCAAACTCCTGGCCTCAAGCAATCCTCCTGCCTCCACCTCTCGAAGCGCTGGGATTACAGGCATGCACCACCACACTCTACCTGTTTTCTTAATTTTTAAAATGAGGGTAATAGTGTTAACACTTCCCCGGAAGATTACTTCCCCAGAAGAAATGATAAAGCACCACCTTTTCCCTCCCAATTTTCATGAAAATAAACTCCTTCAGCTTGTGAACACCACCAAATTTAAATTCTGTCATTTGAGATCCTCAGGCAAGGCAAATTCTCAGACCCTGTGAGGCTCACCAGGAGGCGAGGAGCTCTTCTTGTACCTAGGGGTGGTGAGGAGTGGATCATCTTGCCCAGTCGGGCTGGGCGCAGGCATGGGGATCCTCCAGGACCGTGGCCCATTCCCTCAGAACCACAGGCTGACGACTTCACATCACTGATGTTAGCCCTTTCTAGATGTTACCACGACTTTTACTGATTTATGGATGACTAAGTTCTTTTCCTAGTCAACCTCAGAAGTCTCACAGTGCTACACAGAAAGAACTAGGTTGATACCTGCAAGGTCAGAGCCCATACTCCCATAAGCTATTTACCAGCAGTGACACATGTCTGCAAACCATTTCACCTCCCCATCTCTCAACGTATTCCTCTGTGAAATGGGAAATGATCCCTGCCCTTCCTTCCTCACACGTTTGTTTTGAAGCTCAAATAAGATCAAGCACTTTGAAAACGTTAAAACACCAAGCAGTGGTGAAGGGTTATATTATTATTATCAGAAACAAGTCTGTTCTCAGCCAAGGCTGTCTTTATTTCTGAAGTACGTGAAATACCAGGACAAGGCTTGTTCTACCTGATGATAACTGACAATAACTGAGCAGACAAGGACTCTGACACTCTTGCTTGTCTATGGTTTATCAGTGGTTCTCCTACCTGCTTTAGGAATCACACTGACCCTCTTCCACATGAGGAGATCTAATTTTCTAATTCGGCTGCTGCCCAAGTGCTTTTTTGGTTTTTGTTTTTGTTTTTGTTTTTGTTTTTTTCGGAGAAGGTCTCGTTCTGGCTGGAGTACAGTGGCACGATCTCGGCTCACTGCAACCTCCACCTCCCAGGCTCAAGCGATCCTCTCACCTCAGCTTCCTGAGTAGCTGGGACTACAGACATGCGCCACCATGCCCGGCTAATTTTTGTATTTTTTGTAGACTCGGGGTTTTTCCATGTTGCCCAGGCTGGTCTTAAACTCCTGAGCTCAAGCAGTCTCCTAAATTGCTGGGATTACAGGTGTGAGCCACCACGCCCAGTCTCAAGTGCTCTTTCTCACCCTCCACCCTGCTGTCCTCATTCGTGTCAATGCACAGTTCCTGAGCCCCAGCACCATGGCTACTCTTTCTCCATAGCACCCTGCTCCTCCTGCCTTCTCTGGGCAGTTTTTCCAGTTTGGTCTTCCCAGCCCTTCTGACTAGCCAAGCAAGGATTTATGGATACTTAGAAAACATACATCAAAAGAAAGGAAGAACAGCATCAAAGGGACTTTCCAGCAGATTAACCTGAAATGTCTGGATACAACACACAACTTTCACCAAAGAGGATTTAGTTAATACGCTCTAAATGCTCCTATCAGTTGGATATAATCATTTGTGCAAGAATAATGCAATTCTTAAAGTATTCATGAAATTGTATGCTGCCGTAACATGATTAATCAACTCTGATTTATTTACCTTACAGTCATTATGTTTTCAAAGCAAACTCCCACGGGAGATGGAATCTCAAATTACTGGATTTAACTCTCTGCAAGAAAGAGAAAATATTCTTTATAATGCATACCACATTGCTAAATAAATGTTCTCATCCTAGCATTCTGGTTTGAAATTTTTTGCAACTTAAAATTTCTATGAAAACCCTATCTCAGTGTAATCCTCTATTCAGCCTAGTAGTTCTAGAAAGTCTGTACTTCTGACTACTTGCACTGATATCTCTGCCACCCTCCATTCTGACTACCCAATTTTCTGGAATTAAATAAATTATCCGACGAGAGTTGGATACAGGTTGTATTAACTGCACAGCCCAGAAAATTTCCACAGGGGACATTTCCAAGGCCTGCAGAGCCCATATGAGACATGCAAATCTCATTTTTCCACATGCGAGATAAGAAATAAACACTGCTTGTTTATATTTTTCTCCAAGTTGCAATCACTTCATAGAAATTATCCCATGGATTTTATTTTATTTTATTTATTTTTATTTTATTTTATTTTAGAGACAGGGCCTTGCTCTGTCACTCAGGCTGGAGTGGAGGGGCATGGCTCACTGCAGCCTCGACCTCCCAGGCTCAAGCAATCCTTCCACTTCAGCCTCCTGAGTAGCTGGGACTAAAGGCACGAGCCACCTTGCCAGGTTAATTTTTTAATATTTTTGTGGAGACTGGATGGGGGGTTGGGGTAGGGGAGCATCTCACTGTATTGCCCAGGCTAGTCTCGAACTCCTGGGCTCAAGCAATCCTCCTGCCTTGGCCTCTAAAAGTGCTGGAATTACAGGCATGATCCACCACACCCGCTAACTGTTTGTTAATTAATACTTTGTGATTCAGAAACAACAGATTGTAAAATCCTCCTGTGGACAAAAATTGGCACAGAGCTGGGCGCAATGAATTCTCTGAGTAGAGAAAGTGGAACCTTCCCATCCGTCAACACCCAGCCCAAGGCCTTGTATGAGGAGAAGTTCAATAAATAAAAGTTGGATTGCTGGAATTCGTTTTTTTTTTTTTTTTTTTTTTTTTTTTTGAGATGGAGTTTTGCTCTTGTTGCCCAGGCTGGAGCGCAGTGGCACGATCTCAGCTCACTGCAACCTCCACCTCCCAGGTTCAAGCAATTCTCCTGCCTCTGCCTCCCGAGTAGCTGGGATTACAGGTGCGCACCACCCCACCATGCCCGGCTAATTTTTTGTATTTTTAGTAGAAACAGAGTTTCATCATGTTGGCCAAGCTGGTCTCAAACTCCCGACCTCGGGTGATCCACCCGCCTCGGCCTCCTAAAGTGCTGGGATTACAGGCATGAGCTACCACACCCAGCTGGATTCATTTTTTTAAGTGCTATTAGAGCTATTTATAGCCCGCAGAGTAACTGAAATACTATACATTGTCAATCAGCATAGTAAGTAAGGAATAGTGACGGTCTATACAAGTAATTTTGTTTTTGTTTTTTTGTTTTTGTTTTGAGATGGAGTCTTGCTCTGTCACCCAGGCTGGAGTACAGTGGTGCAGTCTCAGCTCACTGCAACCTCCGCTTCCCCGGTTCAAGTGATTCTCCTGCCTCAGCCTCCTGAGTAGTTGGGATTACAGGCAGGTGCCGCCACACACGGCTAATTTTTGTATTTTTAGTAGCAACGGGGTTTCACCACGTTGGCCAGGCTGGTATCAAGCTCCCGACCTCATGTGATCCGCCCGCCTCGGCCTCCCAAAGTGCTGGGATTACAGGCGTGAGCCACCACCGTGCCTGGCTTATACAAGTAATTGTAAACGAAAAGGAAAAAATGGAGATACAGTTTTCTCGTGCATCTTAAACTTTGGTGCTTAAAAGCACCATTAAATTCTGCTTTCACATGAACACACACAAGATTACCACGTTTGCTCTGGGCTGCTGCGTATTGGAAGGACATACACATTCAACAAATATTTGTTGAACTTCCATTCTGTACACAAAGCACAAAGAAAGATTCGTTCACAGTCCGTGTGGGTACTGGAAAGCAGTTCCAGCCCTGCCTGCCAGGGGGCACCCCAGGCAAGCACATCTCAGTGGCTGCTAGAAAGTGAATTGAGGCTGAGTCTCTCCACACCCAAGTGTTAGGCGTTCTAGGCTCAGAAAGAGACAATGACAATGCGGGCAATTCTCTCTTCACTGTGTCCTCTTCTTTGCTAGAAATGTTATTAGAATATGGAAATGTGACATTCAGCACTAATCAGTTTGACATATGAATATATCTATACACATATTTCTCCCTGAAATTGGCCTAAATACTCTTTCTTGGAACCAAATGAGAAGCAAACAACCTTTACAACTAAACATTAAACCATAAGATGAACATCTTAGTTGTCTACCTAGAAATTGTACAGTATGACAAGTGTAAAGAAACTGCTAGCTTCTTAGTTGTGCTGGTCTTTACACAATACCACTTTAAAAATTGTTTTATGGTAGTAAAATATACATAACCTTTAATTTACCATTTAACCTTTCTTAATGTGTACAGTTCTGTGGCATTAAGTACATTCACATTGTTATGCAACCATTACCATCATCTGCTTCCAAAACTATTTCTATCTTCCCAAACTAAAACTCCGTACCTATGAAACTCTATCTTCCCGTTTCCCACTGCCCCAGCTGCTGGTAACCACACTTCTACTTTCCGTCTCTATGATTTTGACTGCTGTAGGTACCTCATGTAAATGGAATCATACAGTATTTGTGACTTTTGTGACTGGCTTATTTCATTTAGCATAATGTACTCAAGGTTCGTCCACGTTGTAGCATGTGATGGGGCTCTCCCTTTTTAAGGCTGAATAATATTCCACTGTAGGTATGCAATACATTTTGTTTATCCATTCATCCATTGATGGACACCTTTTGGCTATAGTAAATAATGCTTGTATGAACATATATGTAAAATATTTGTTCGAATTACATAATATAATTTAAAATCTATATTTTAATAAAAATTTTAAAATTATTACAATATTATATTTCCATTTTTATCCTCAGAATACCAATAATAGCATTTGGCAAACAGACTACAAATATTAACAATTCCTAGTGCTTTTGTGATCAACAAAAAAAAAAAAACTATTCCTGTGCTTCTCAGAGAAAATGTTTTAAATGAGAAAAATATTCAAGTATTTTAAGACCTTCAAAGGTAGCATTTTTCAATTAAAAATTAAAAACTAAGTCTCCGTAACTACTACCTACTCCATACATACACCGCAAAGTTCCCAAAGGGAGAAGATATTTTAGATGCGCCTTTAGGAGCTTAGTTTTTCCTCCTTGGGATAACTTTAAATTCAGATCTCAGCAGAACAAACGCATTTTTCAGGGCAAGCCAACTGCTAATCCGAGTAGATCTAAACGCTAACGAAGGCAGCCGACGGAAGCTGCTCCATGAAGACACGAAAACTATCAGACTTGCATTTTGCCACATTCCTGGAATAAACTTATTACTCATAAAGGTGATTTTGAAGCCATTTCAGCTTGTGGAATGATCACCGAAATGCAGTCCACCGATATTTGTTAATATCCCAGGCTGGTCAAACCCCACTCCAGACCTTGGGGGACGGGGAGGGGACCCGCGGCCTCTCTAGGCTGTGCCCAGACAGCAGACAAGGACGCGATGCCGCCCTCGGTCCGCGGCCTTCCGCGGTAGGCGTCCCTCTCAAGCGTGGTAAAACCACCCCGAAGGGAACAGAAAACGTTAAAATCTTCGTTGGGCGCCAGCAGGCAGGTTAGGCCTCGCCCTGGCATCTCGTCTCCAGGACCAGATGGAGCGAGTGACCCGCGGGGACACCTTCCCGGTCACCTCGAGCGCAATAAAACAAGTTCTTTTTTTAAAAATAAGCATCCGTGTGCCTGCCGGCTAAATTAAGTGTGTCTGAAGAGAAGCAGGATGGCGGCCGCTATTTATAACCTCCCGCCCCGCCCGGGCGCCACTCCTCGACAGCACCCACGCTGTGCCCGGCGGCGCTTCCGCGGGGACTTCCTGCTCGGTGGTCCCCGCCCCGCCCCGCGCCAGCCGTCCGGAACCCGCGTCCCCAGGCGGCTGCAGGCGGGCGAGACCTAGGTGCCCGACGCCCACGCGCCTCCGACCGTGGGAGCGCCCGGAGAGCAGCTACCTCGCCGGGCCTGCGAAGCCCAGGACAGGCGCGAGCGGGGCGCGGGCTGGCGCATCTGCGTGCGGTGGGCGCCCCGCAAGCGGGTCGGGCCCGCCCCAACAGCCCTCGGCTCTCCTCTCACGTCCCGCGCGGGCATGCCCCGGAGTGCGTAGGCGGCAGGGAAGAGCCCCCGCGTCCACATCCCCAGGGCCCGCGCAGGTGCGGGATGGGGATGCAGGCGCTAGGCATGGACGTGCGCGCGGGGTAGGGTGTGGAATGCGGACGCGGGCGAGTGCTGTGGCTGCGCGTACAGGGTAGGGATGCGGGGGCGGTAGGTGTGCGTGCTGGGAAGCGCGCGGGGCGGGGCTGTTCGGAGGCGGCGGGGGCGTGGCGCGGCGTCCTGAGCTGCAGCTTGGGGGCGTCGGGCGCAGCGCACACTGGGGCTGCAGGGATGGCGATCAGGGCGGGGAGGTCGGGCCCTGGCGCGGGGCGCACGCGTGAAGCAGCACCGCACGTGTGAAAGGAATTCTTTTCAGAGCGGCCGGGAGCCCTGCTCCGGAGGAACGCACCCGGGTCGCCGCCGCGGCAGAGCGGGGTAAGGCGGGCCGGGCGCCCCGGAGGCCAGGCACAGGGGCCGAGGGCAGCGCGGGGCGGGGACGGGCGGGTCGGCGGCGCAGCGGAGCTGCCGGGCGAGCCCAGCGGGCTGAGACTGCCGAGCTGGGAAGCCGAGCCCCGGCACGTGTGCGGCTCCCAGCCCCCTAGGATTCTTTCAGGATTCTTCAAAAAGTTGTGGGGAGCTCGGGAAATTTGTGAGAAACTTTTGGAATAATTGATCTTCCTCCTTTGCTCCTGGAGGTCTGGAGAGCAGCGCCTCGTTTGGCTTCCCTTGATGGACAGTCCAAGGCCGAGTTTAAGTTGTTTTCCTGGGGTTGTTTTCCCCCTCGGGTGGAGGAAGCCGGGCTGTCCCGGACCGTCAGGCTGTAGGGCTCCTAGCGATGCTGAAATGCTTGAAAACTCTAAGCAGATGTCACCGCGCCAGCTAACGGCGCGCACCCAGCCGTCCACGGGCATTCAGCATCGCCGTGCTCCTAAAAGTCCTGTTGGGATTGTTTAGAAACAAGGTTGGCTCGCCTACATTTTTTTCAGAAACTTTTTAAAACTTTTTATTTTTAAGAAACACTGTAGCTATTAATGCCACGACCAGATTTCTCGACCTGTATGTTTGTTATGATGTGTTCAACTATAAGGAATTTGCAGAGGAGTGGAAAAGCACTGTCCGAGCCCCTTCCCGTAGGAGACTTGAGAAAACAAACGGCAGTGACGCGGCTGCATTTGCTTTGTTGCCGACTCCACACTAGTGAGCAAAATTCATCCTACCATGTAGAGTTCTCGGTTCGTGAATATGTGACTGCAACTTTAGAACTCCAGTTTTTATTTTATCAAGATGTCTCCAAAACATGCCATTTAAAAATGATTCTATACAAACAGCTGACAAGCGAATTATGGGTCTCATCACCCAGGAATTAAAAACCATGGTGATTTATGATGTGCGCATCACTTCACTGGCGGTCCATCCATGTGCAAGACAAACATTAAAAGATTAAAGAGGAAAAAAGAGGGATTTATTTTCCGAATATCAGTGTGTTCAAAGTAAACATCAGCTAGTTTGGCACAGATTCCACCTGCTCAGCAGTTTGGTTCATATCGAGATAAGCATCTCATAAGGGCAATGCATGTGTTGCTGTAGTGGAAAGTAATTCACGAAACGGTACTACTCTAACAAATCAGACAGTACTGTTTCTTAACCAGGAACCGTTAACTGGCTGAAAGCTGTCTTAAAAGAATGGCGGGTAACAAAATTTTTTGCCAATAAGGAAAATATTTTTGACCCAGTTTTCTTGAATGTTACTCACATTTTAACTTATTATATTCATTTCTCTTAGCTAAAATAACGTGTACACACTACATTTGAAACGAAAAATTACGTTTATCGCAGCCTTTTTTTTTTTTTTTTTTTTTTTTTTTTTTGAGATGGAGTCTCGCTCTGTCACCCAGGCTGGAGTGCAGTGGTGCGATCTCGGCTCACTGCAACCTCCCGAGTAGCTGGGACTACAGGCGTCTACCACCATGCCTTCTTCCTCCCTCCGCTGGATGGTAGCTATTCCCAGTACTATGTAGTACTTACATTTTGATCTGTTTTTTGCCACTCTGCCTCTCTCATAGATTGCAAATGAATCTCCTGAGAGTGAGGACTGGATCTTAATTGTTTTGCTGTCCTCAGTGTGTGGCACAGTGCCACACACAATAGGTAATAATGTTTTATAATAATAATAAATGTTTACTGAATTGAGGAGGGAAAAAATCCAATATATGTGACAACAGCATATATGTCTCTAAAAAACAGTATGTTTCTGCAATTTCTGTATAATGCTTAAAGGCAATAAAAATAATAAAGTTTCATCTTAATTTTCATTCCTACAGTGGTGGAAAATTCCTCATGATAACTAGGTTAGTACTCTACTGCTTGCTTTTTTTCTTTTTCTTTTTCTTTTTTTTTTTTTTTTTTTTTTTTGAGAGTTTTGCTCTTGTCCAGGCTGGAGTGCAATGGCACAGTGGCACAGTCTTGGCTCATTGCGACTTCTGCCTCCCAGTTAAAGCGATTCTCCTGCCTCAGCCTCCCTTGTAGCTGGGATTACAGGCATGCGCCACCACGCCTGGCTAATTTTTGTATTTTTAGTAGAGACACAGTTTCACCATGTTGGACAGGCTGGTCTCAAACTCCTGACCTCAGGTGATCCACCCACCTCAGCCTCCCAAAGTGCTGGAATTACAGGCGTGAGCCACCGCGCCCAGCCTACTGCTTGCTTTTTTAAAACTCCTGTACATCTCCAAAAGTAATGGTTGATGTGAATAGTTTCCACACTCTTATGTGTCTTATTTAATTTGAAGAATTGGTTTGCTTTAAATTTACTGTTAACAAACTAATGATACTAGATATAAAAATTAATTAGCTTTTTACATTTAGACCTCCTGATTATCTCCATGGATTATTGCTTATTTATTCCTGAAACTCCATTTCCTGTTGATTTTAAAATAAATCTTTTATTCTAGAACATAGAAGCAATTTCTGGTTACACAGCAATAGAAGTAGATTTGAGTAAGAAAAGTGAAATCATACTAATACTATAGAAATTATTTCTGCAAAAAAATAGAAAATATTTTGACAGATGTAATTTTTATCAGTAATATCAGTGGAATAATAAAATACCATAATTATCAGGTTGTGGGATTTTGTTCACTAAGCAAGAGTAAAAATATCTGAATTTACTTTAAAAAGATAATTCTGACTGGGTGTGGTGGCTCATGCATGTAATCCCAGCACTTTTTGGGAGGCTGAGGCAGGAGGATCTCTTGAGCCCAGGAGTTTGAGACCAGCCCAGGCAATATAGTGAGATACAGTCACTTCAAAATATTTTTTATAAAATTAGCCCAGTGTGGTGGTACAAACCTATAGTCCCAGCTACTCAGGAGGCTGAGGCAGGAGGATCATTTGAGCCCAAGAGATTGAGGCTGCAGTAAGCCATAAGTGTGACAGAAAAAAAAAAAAAGATAATTCAAATTTGTGATGAAGTAATTGGGCTGTCCTTAGCATATCAGTAATATTTAACCATTTTTATAAAAGATAAAAATACCCCCCTTGAGACAGTCTGGACTGGAAAAAAAAAGTGAAAGCTTAACATGTACTCCAGCCCACATTTCTAAACATATGTATTCCAGTATGTTAGAATATAATAAAATGCAAAAGGCATGTAATACATAGTGTCATAAGCTGAACAGTCTGCCTGCTGCATCGCCCATGAAGTGGTGTGGGAGGGGAAGGGAAGTTGGGCCAGGAGTTGGAGGTTGGGCACTTCTGTGCTGGTGTCAGCACTGTGGGCTGTGCAACTTTAGGCAAGTCTCAGGACCCTCTCTGAGCTGCCATTTCCCAGTTTGTAAAATAAGGAGCATAAACTAGACCACTTCTAAGGTTCATCCCTTGCCAAAATGCTAAGATTCCATATTTCTTCTGTCGATAATGAGTAAGGTTCCTGAAGGATGTCATTTGGATTTATATGAGGAAATTGCCTTTTAACTGACTGCACTGTGTTTATGAGGTCAGTGTTTGGTCATCTGTTCAGACATCATGACTTGTGTTTTAGACATGACAAAAGCCTGTTCTGATCGCTGCTATGCTGAAGCACCCCTGTAATTTTCTCTATTACTTACCCTTGCCCCAAGCCACCCCTCAGAAAGTGGGGTACTGCTAAGTTCAATTTTACCTTAAGGAAGTCACTTTTTTTCATTATTCAATTTTTAAAACTTTGAGGACTAAAACATTGAAGGAAATACATTAACACATCACTAAAATGTCTGAATAAATGTTTGGATAAGTAAATAATTTCAGTGGAATTCTTAAGTGGTTCACAGAAGTTATTAAAACTTACAATGCCCTTTAATAATTGGCAGAAGAAACCAGAGGGCTCCACTGGGAGATGGAGCTGGGAGGTCTCTGGAGGGTTGAAAGGAACCCCAGTGGGGCGTCTTGGCAGGCAGTTGTTTCTAATTACGCTGCAACTCTTTACATTTTCCTGTCAATTGAATTGAAACTAAACCAGCTGTTAATTTTCTAGCTTAATGTTAGAACTCCCTGTGGAAATGGTGCTTTAGTGCTGATTTCTAGAGGGAATATTTATTCAAGTATTTCAAGAAGAAAGACTGTAGATAAATAGTATATTTTAAATTTTGCCATTCTCGAGTATAAAATATTGAAGACAATTTTTTAAATTAACACAGCTGTTTTAATTACTTCCAGTTTAAAATTAGCTCTCACTATGGCCAGGCTTGGTGGCTCATGCCTATGATCCCAACACTTTGGGAGGCCAGGGTGCACAGATCACCTGAGGTCAGGAGTTCAAGACCAGCCTGGCCAACATGGTGAAACCAGAAATATTTTTGTATTTTCTACCAAAAATTGGGTAGGTGTGGTGACACACGCCTGTAATCCCAGCTACTTGGGAGGATGAGGCCCGAGAATTGCTTGAACCTGGGAGGCAGAGGTTGCAGTGAGCCAAGATCATGCCACTCCACTCCAGCCTGGGAGTGCAGTGAGATTCTGTCATAAAATAAAATAAAATAAAATAAAATGCCCTCACTAAGATTTTAAGTTATAAAAGGTAAAAAAAGATTAGTTCCTCCCTTTGACTAGAGATGAAAACTGTTCACCATATTTACTTTAGCCAAATAAAGATTTAAGAGCATATGACTTTTCAGGTATGCATAAAAGATTGAAATCCCCACATGAAAAAGAAAATAAAAGAAATAATAATAATACATAGATGGCAGACACTGTCGTACATGCTTTCCATACATTCTTATTTCATAAGTACATTTAAAATATAAAAATGTATAATCCTAGCAATGACTTAGAACTATTAAAGAAGTTGAAAATTAAATTTATAATATTCCTAAATCAGTTGGCTCTGGATGAGAGTAATGTTTCCTGCAACAGCATTAGATTATTGAAACATCAAGAATAGAACCCACATATCTCTGCATGTAAATTAGAAATGGAAACCCCTGGAACTATACAATAACCACATAACTTTGAGATCAAGGATACTCTTAAACTGTATATGTGTATTTTATAGTAATGCCAACAAATACTAAAATCTTCATTATCTATTGAAAAGATCTATAGGACTCCTATAGATTTATTCTATATATTATGAATATGGCATACAAAATAGGACAAGGGAGAAAATAAAATAACCTGTCATTTTTAAAAGCATGTCAAAGTTGGTTCATTAACAAAAGATAAACTAGCAAGACTAATATTTTAAATCCCCAAATAAACAATATTTGGAACCAAAGGAATTTGACTACAAACACCATAGCGTTTCAAAATCATAAGAAAATGCCATGAATAATTTTATGCCAACAAATTTGAAACATAAAGTGGAAAATTTTCTAAAAAATGTAAGTGACCAAATTTGACTTAGTAAACAGTAAACCTACGTATGTTAGTAACAGTTAATGAAATTAAATTTGTAATTAAGTCTTCCCTCCTACCCCCCTAAAAAAAAAGACATTAGTCCCAAACTCTTCTATAGGAGATTCTTATATGAGCTTATTCAGATAATTTTAAAATTTTCATGTTAAAATAACTTTCATACCAAAATCTGATGATAGGACAGAAAAGCTGAAACCAGTCTTAAATATGAACATATAAGAATCGAAAATAAAGTAGTAGCAAATTGAATGTGCTAGGATATTAAAAATAAAATCATTGATAGGCGTGGTGGCTCACACTTGTAATCCCAGCACTTTGGGAGTCTGAGGCAGGAGGATGGCTTGAGGCCAGGAGTTTGAGACCAACCCTGGCAATATAGTGAGACCCCATCTTCACAAAATAAAAATGAAAATAAAAATTAATCGGCTGTGGTGGTGTGTGCCTGTAGTCTCAGCTAGTTGGGAAGCTGAGGCAGGAGGATTGCTTGAGCCCAGTAGTTCAAAGTTACAGTGAGCTGTAATCATGCCACTGTATTCCATCCTGAGTGACAGAGCAAGGCCTTGTCTCAAAAAAATAAGGTAATTAAATCATAACAAAGAGGACTTACCCTCTTTAGTGATTAACATCTAAAAAATCACAATAGATGGAGGAAAAAAGTGTTGCATTAAAACCAGTAGTCATTCATAGTTTAAAAAATTGAAAACAGAACAAACTTTTTAGCAAAGAAAGACTGGAAGGAAATGTCTTTAGTCTGATAAAAATTAAAACATCGTGCTCAATGATAAAACTTTAAAAGCATTCATATTAAAGTCAGAAACAAGAAAATATGTTACCACACCGTATTATGCTAGAAGTCCTGGCCAGCAAAGGGAAAACAAGAAAAAGAAATAACAGGTATTAGACTTAGGAAAGGAAGAGACAAATTTATCCTTAAGAGTAGATTATTTCTATGTCTACACAGAAAATCCAAAAGAATCTATTAGAACTAGAAAAGCCTTTGTAACAGGTTGCTGGATACAATATCAACATACAAAAGGAATGTTCCTAAGTACTAATAACAATCAAGCAGAAAATTTTAAAAACTCTTCAGAACAACTGTAAAGAAGTATGGAGGGATAAATCTAATAGATGTGTGAGAACTTCAGGGACAGCATCCTAAGGCTCAGGGCATTAAAGAAGTGTCGCAGCAGTGAAGCCATTGCACTTGCTAGTGGGAAATGAGTGTACAGAAGTAAATCTGATTCATCTCTAAACTTACTGCATTTCCAATCCAAACCCTATCTTGGATTTTTGTGGGTCTTGGAAAACTATACCTAAGTTTCCTGTGTTAGAAGTAAAAAGCCAAAAATTGTCGAAAGACACATTTGGAGAACAAGGTTGGGGGACTTGTCCTACCAGATACCAAGTGCTGTATATCTAGAACTGTTGCCATTGGGTGTCCTGCTGGTGTGGGTAACAGGGGTAGCCTTCTGTCATTTTCTTCCGGAGACGAAAACTAATATGTTCTGTCAGTGTGAAACTTCAGAGATTCAGGATTTTCCTCTTTCATGCTGGTCTGTGTAATTGAACTGTGGCACTAAATTATAAGTGACTCTAAACCAGCTTTTAAAGGCCTGCTTTTCTTTTTTTTTTTTAATTTAATTTTTTATTATTATTATACTTTAAGTTCTAGGGTACATGTGCACAATGTGCAGGTTTGTTACATATGTATACATGTGCCACGTTGGTGTGCTGCACCTGTTAACTTGTCATTTACATTAGGTATATCTCCTAATACTATCCCTTCCCCCTCCCCGCACCCCACAACAGGCCCCAGTGTGTGATGTTCCCCACCCTGTGTCCAAGTGTTCTCATTTTTCACTTCTCACCTATGAGTGAGAACATGTGGTGTTTGGTTTTCTGTCCTTGCGATGGTTTGCTCAGAATGATGGTTTCTAGCTTCATCCATGTCCCTACAAAGGACATGAACTCATCCTTTTTTATGGCTGCATAGTATTCCATGGTGTATATGTGCCACATTTTCTTAATCCAGTCTATCATTGATGGACATTTGGGTTGGTTCCAAGTCTTTGCTATTGTGAATAGTGCTGCAGTAAACATACATGTGCTTGTGTCTTTATGGCAGCATGATTTATAATCTAAAGACCTGCTTTTCCTCTTGCTTGAACAGTGCTAAATGTTGAAGTCAGCCATATAGAGTACAAGAAAAGGTCTTTTGTTCCTTTTGTTATTTTGACAGGTTTGTTTTGAATTCTGTATTTTTTAAAAAGTCAGATGAGAACTATGAAAAGGGTGGGACGATGTACCAAACACCATAGGCTAGGTCTTGTGGTATCTGGAAATTACAGTCTTTAGGTGCAAAAGCTTGAAATAGGCAAGGAATGAAAGAGGCTAATGGAAGACAGTCTTGCCGGTGGCTGAAAAGATGACTAACTAGATAAGCCCATTTTCATCATATAATATTTGTGACTTAATATTTGTGACAGCTCACCATGCCCTCGTAGAAATGTGCTTAAACCAGGAATGCAAAAATGAGCATCTGAACCACCATTGCCCTGTACCAAACCCTCACAGACATTAATAGTTAAACATAGAACTCTTTCTGGGTAAGCCTACTTGTGACCCTCAAAATCCTACTCATGAGTGTTCCAGGCAATCACAAACACTTAATACAAAATTAATTTACCTAGCTTTACTCCATATTATATTACCTCTAATTTGTAAACCAAGTAACAGTGTTGTAAATTGTCAGTATAGACTAGGCGTGGTAGCTCTCATCTGTACAGCACTTTGGGAGACCAAGGCAGGCAAATCACCTGAGGTCAGGAGTTCCAGACCAGCCTGGTCAACAGCCAAAACCCTGTCTCTACTAAAAATACAAAAATTAGCCAGGTGTGGTGGTGGGTGCCTGTAATCCCAGCTACTCATGAGGCTGAGGCACAAGAATCGCCTGAACCCACAAGACAGAGGTTGCAGTGAGCCGAGATTGTACCACTGCACTCCAGCCTGGGCAACAGAGGGAGACCCTGTCTCAAAAAAAAAATTTCTTTTTAATTGTCAATATGATATTATGAGAGGGAATCAAGTGTGGTACAAATTATACCTTTTGGCTGTGACTCGTTCCAGAGACTTAACTAAAACTTGCACTTGGTGGTGATCAGCTCCTCTGCAGGTGCCCGGCCCATCTGTGCTCACCCTCTGGATGCTGTTAGACCCCTGGGCTTTACTGTCGCCCCCGTTTCCTCCTCCCCTGCCCTTCAATGATCTAAATCCAGGGCCACTTGGTGACAACTCCCAGATGTGCACCTCCAGCTTCCACACTCACACGTCTCAGGCATTTTAAACTTAGCATGTCCCAGACAATTCATGATCGCCATTTTCTTCCCCAAACCTGGACCTCCTCTGGTCTCCCCATCTTGGTAAAAGGCAGTTCCATTACTCCCGTTCTGAGCACCAGTGCTGGTGCCCTCCCGACACCAGCCCAGGGGCATGCCGGGCCTTTTCTCACACCTCGACTGCTCACATCATTTCTCTGGATTGTGGTCCAGCCTCCTTCCTGGAGGCTGTGCGTTTGCCCCTGCCCCCATAGACTGTCCTAGGGTGGCCCTGTGAGCGTGGCTACTCTTCTGTTCCATCCCTCCAGTACTTTCCCAGCACACTGAAGTGAGAGCCCGGGTTCTCTTCCCATCTGCTGTGGCCTGTCTGCCTCCCCCGCCTCAGCTTGCTGAGCTCAAGTAATCCATCCTCGCCGTCCCTTGAGCCCACGAGGGATGCCCCTAACTGAGAGCCCCTTCTGGCCTGGATCACTCTGCCCTCATACCTGAGGCTCCCATGTCCTGGAGCCCCGGTCTGCTCTGGCCTGTGCACCCCCACTGATGCTCCTCCGCGGCTTTCCACTTCTCCGGGGTATCGGGAGTCTGACACATGGAACTTCTCTCGTGTTGTGTGACTTCCCGCCAGCATGGGGGCTGCACTGGGACAGGAGACCCTGTGTTTTGTTCTACGCCGTCCTGGGGCTGGAGGCACCCCTTTGGGGAGCACGCCTCAGCAACCCTTGTTGACTGCCTGCATCTCCTGTACGTGCAGAGGAATGGGTTGTGGGGTTGGGGGGCAGGAGCTGATCTCTTCCACATCCTCTCCAGTCCTTGCTATCAAGCTTCCTTATCTCCTGGAGGGCTGAGTCCTGCTCTTGCCTGAGGAGGTGACCTCCTCTTTGACCCCACTGACAAGAGTCTTGTCAGCACTCTGGAGACCTTCTGCCCACGCCTGCCCTCACTGACTGCCTCCTGGCCGGAAGGAGCCACCTTGCTCCCGCCCCACCCTCCCTCCAACACCCTCCTTCCTCTCTGATGTCCACCACCCACACCACCCCATCTGGGGTACCTCTGCTGGGCCCCGGGCCCCACTTTTGCCCATGCTCTCTCCTTTCCTGACGTTCTTGATGTACTGAGAACAGATGGAAGCCGATGGCACTACCCATCTGCACTGCATTGACCCCTCCCCCAGGACAGGACACTTGAGGACCACAGTGGTCTCCTGCCTTCCTGTGAGGTGGACAGGCCTTTCCCTACTCCATCCTTTGGGCCCTCTAAAGGGCACTGACGCAGAGTCACCCCTGCCTCAGAGGCCCCAGCTGAGCACCACGGGCCCTGGCTCTCCAGCCTCACCCATCGGAGGCAAGTGGCTGTCACAGCTGTGCCAGGCTCTGCGGGGCCTCAGGGGGCCTTCGCCCTCCAGCCCCGCCTGGGATCGCATCGAGGGTCCCACATTGTCTTGAGAGGTGGGAGGTCACTGCCTGTATTCCCGAGGTCAGAATTTTCTAAATGAACTTTCTCAGAAGACTAAGGGAAAACAGAACAGAGTTAAAAGGATAAAACAACTTCAAAGCACACCTTCCAAAAACCTAACACAATCTAAGCCTGTGGCCTTCTCTGGGGATGCTCGTCAGGCACAGACCGAGGGTGCCTTCCCCCACGCTGTGCAGGACGCGGTCCTCCCGGCCCAGTCTTAGTCCCCACACTGCCAGACCACCTTCACACACACACACACACACACACACACACCAGGAGCAGTGGTCTCCTGCCTCCCTCTTCATCTCTGTTCTTTGCTCCGTGGTCCTGCCTGAAAGGGGAAGCTGCAGTGCAGACCCTCCTCCTGACCCCTCCAGCCCCATGCCGCCAGCTGCCTCCTGATTGTCTTCGTTCCTGTCTCCACCACTGCTTTCACAGCCACCCCCTCACCTTTCTTCCAGCTCAGGTCAGCACTTGCCCCAACTTCTTCCTCTTTAAACGGTGCCATCATTTTCCCGGTCACCAGGGTTAGCCTCTGGTTCATAGCTTTTTTATTCCCTGACTCTAGTCAGACGCTGCGTTCTGCTTTATTTTTGTCTTCAGAATGTGTCTCCTTGCTGTCCCTTCTTTTTTCCATTCGTCTGCCTGTCACCCAGCCCAGGCCTTGGACACTCACTCCGAGATTACCACGCTGTTCCTGAGGCCCTGCCTCATTCGTGAAGAGCACTTCCAGCCTGTTGCTCCCTCTCAGCATTGTTGAGGGGCTCCCACTCTTTCATTCATCTGTCCTGCAAGTGTTTATTGAACGTCTGCTATGTGCAGAGTATGGCCACAGCCTGGCTCTGCTGTGCAGAAGCCACCTTTTAAAATCACTGCTTCCAACCCACAACCCCTGTTCCCACCTTCATGGAAACATTGCTCTCTTCTGGAAATGCATTCCCTTCTCCCACCTCTTATCCAAAACTGCAACTCCTAATCCCAGCTGAAATCCCACTTTTCCCCAACTGCCCATTTTAGTATGATACGAATATCCCTTTTCTCTGAAATCCCCTTGCATGTATATATTATGTAGCTCCCTAATTTGCTGAATTTTTCCACCTCCACAAATAGATTTTTAAGATAGAGACTATTCCTTAAACTATTTCTTTCTCTTTTTTTTAAGAGACAGGGTCCTGCTCTGTCACCCAGACTGGAACGCAGTGGCACAATCATGGCTCACTACAGCCTCAACTTCCCTGGCTCAATTGATCCTCCCACCACAGCCCCCCACGTAGCTGGTACTATAGGCATGCACCACCACACTTAGCTAATTTTTTGTACAGAGGAAGTCTCGCTATGTTGCCCAGGCTGCCCCTGAACTCCTGGGCTCAAGAGATCCTCCTGCTTGGCCTCCCAAAGTGCAGAGATTACAGGTGTGAGCTACTGCACCGAGATCATTCCTTAAACTTCTTGTGTGGCCATCAAAACCTGTGGCCCAGAATTGAGAGCAAGACTGTCACTGAGGAAATAGCCATTGATTTGTCTGAGGGAAAATGCAATGGATCTTGAAGGCCAAGGGGGAAACAATTTACCGTTGAAAGGAAAACGTAACTTTTCAAAGACTATGAAAGCAGCGTCATAAATTTTGAAACATAAGACCTGTTTGTTATTCAGACGACTAAGAATCAAGGTTTTCACTGAGGCAGAACCAAAAAGATTAAGGGCCATCTCATGGGAGATCATAAACACCCTGCCACACAGTGCTGTGTAACCCCCACAGTTTTTAGGTCAGTTCTCTAAAAAGGTTTCAACAACATGGGCTGTGGTATTCTGTCATTAGGTCGCGTGCACCTTGCAAGGTTAAGCGATCACACCGGGGGCCTCCCCGTGGGTGATGAGCGAAAGCCCGTCTTTTCCTCTGCCCAGCGGTACTCAGGACACATGGTTCAGCAGCGCCTTGCCTGACCTCAGCCTCTGTCAGTCCTGGCATACCTTCTCTCATCCTCTGCCTGTACTTAGCACAGAAGAGTCTTTCTGCGACACATGTGCAACTCTCTGCTGATTTCACTATCTAGTGATATTAGGAATATGATTACAAAGTGATATCAGGCTGGGCGCGGTGGCTCACACCTGTAATCCCAGCACTGTAGGAGGCCAAGGTAGGTGGATCACTTGAGGCCAGGAGTTCCAGACCAGCCTGGGCAACATCACAAGACCTCGTCTCTACAAAAACATGAAAATTAGCCCTGCATGATGGTGCATACCTGTAGTCCCAGCTACTTGGTAGGCTGAGGTGGGAGAATCACCGGAGCTCTGGGAATTTGAGGCTGCAGTGAGCTATGATCCGTGCCACTGCACCTTAGCCTGAGCGACAGAATGAGACTCTGTCTCAAAAAAAAAAAAAAAAAAAAAAGAACCATAGTATTGGTAAAATGCCCCCAGAGCCTCTGCATGTCATCCAGAGCCAACTAAAGTCTGACGGCGAAGGGAGGTGGATACCGCATCTGCTGGGGAGGCTTCCACGCAGGTCTGATCAGGATCCAGTTGTCAGTCTCCCAGATAGATTGTCTGTGTTCTGGTTAAATTTTCATTTATTCATGCATGTGTTTTACAAAACAAAACCCAAACTGTGAAGTGTAGTCGTGAGGCTCAGATGAGTGATGGGGACACAGACACCCTTGCCCTTGCTCACTTAGAGTCTGTTGGGGAAACTGCTTTCTCCAAACACTGCGCCTGATACGGGAGATTGCCAGGCAGGAAGATGGAATCCACTCTAAACTCTCGGTGATCCCACAGTCATTATCCTCTGACATTGGGCTAAGCGTGCAAAGTGTATTGTATCTGTTTGTGTGCTTACTACAGACATGATTAAAGCAATGAACAGAGTAGAAACCACAATGAAGGAACAATGAAAAAGGAGTCAGCTGATTTTTTCAAAAGCTACAACTGCGAAAAATGAAAGCTATGGTCATCTATCTTTTATGATGAGCAGTGTGATATGTTGTCATAGAAAATGCAGAGAACTGTGAAAAGAAAAATCACCCCATTCTCAGAAGCACCACTGTTAACATTTCAGTATCATTCTTCCTTTTTCTGTGTCCACGTAAGAGAGTGTATAAAATAGCTGGTATCAGACTGTTGTGTTGTCCTAAGTTCTTGTCATTTATCATAGCATCAGTAATTTTTCACGTCATTAATGTTCTGAAAAATTACATCTAATGGCTACTTTATATTTTAGTGGTTATAAATGAACCATAGCTTTTCATTTTTACCAGACTTTATTTCATAAGGCATTTAAGATAGTGTATCAGTTAGGGATTCTTTTTCACTTGCAAGCAACAGGAAACCTAATTTGAACAAATAAGGTTCTCCCCTCACATAAGAAATCTGGAAGTGGCTGATGGGGCTGATTCGGCATTTCCACAGTTCACAGCAGGTGACCTACGACTCTCTTAACCAATCCCCTGTGCTTATTGATTCATGCTTGCCAGGTGGCTGCCCAGCTCCAGCATCACATCTGTACTGTACGTGGAAAAGAAAGGGAAAGGACAGCACAAGTACCACCTGCCCTTTTCTTAGAAAACCAAAGCTTTCCCAGACATTCCCCAGCAGACATCTTACAACTCACTGGACAGAACTGCCTTTTCTATTCACCTCCAGCCACAAGGGAGGATGAAGAAGCAAACATTTCCCTTCCCAGTCACATTAGAGTCAGGCAAGGGAGAGAAGGATGGTAGTAGGAGCTGGGTTGGCCAGAGCACGGTGTCAGCCACGGCCAGCCAGCACTGCTCAGGGAACTGTTCATCCTCTACCAGACATTTCTGTTTCCAGTCATTCCTTATGGGTAACATCACAATATGCCATGCACACACATTTACCCAAGTCTCTGATTATTTCCTTAGTAGGATGTCCTGGAAGTAGAATTAGAGGTCAAAGGTATTGTTGGATTCATGTCTCTCATTCTTTTCCAGAAAGATCCACACAGATCCCTGGTGTGCTACAACACACAGTGCCTGAATGCTGGATGCTCCTGTTCAGGAAACACTGTGTCATCCTGTCTCTGGGACACAGCCTTGGCCCCTGATGGGGCACAAGCAAGGGTCTGGCTGGTGGCTGGTCATCATTCTTGTAGGTTGCACTCAGAGGTCGCAAGGCTCTTCCAAGGGCATATATTCCAGTGTTTTGCAGCCCCTGGGCCTAAAGGATCTGGAGCAGGCTCAGCTGCTGTGGTCAGCTTCCCCATCCTATCATCTGGTTTACCAGTTGAATAAGTAGTTATTTGGCCCCATGTTTCTCAACAGGTGCACGATAGGCATTTGGGGTGGGACAGTTCTTTCCCATGAGGTCACCCCAAACACGGCAGAACATTTTGCCTCCACTGGCCCCACAGGGAAACGCCAGTGGCATTGTCCAGTCTGTGACGGGCAGCAGACCCCTCCCTCATGGTGCTCTGTGCCATCAGCCGTGTGTGGGGAGCCAGCCAGGCCCCTGTCCCAGCACCTCGTGTAGACTGCCTTTTAGCAAGAACTGCTGGAGCAAGTATGAGGCTGCTGGAAGGGGTATGAACTACCCACAGCGGCCTTTCCTCGGAAGCCTCTGGAAAGCACATTACCCAGCTACTCTGCCGGTAGACAGGGAACAGGAAAGGATGCCCATGCCTGCCCCGTCCTCAGAGCCAGGCCTAGGGGAAAGGCACAGGGAGCAGGTGTACTCTAGAGCCCAGAGGCTGCTCTTGCCCGGGAAAGCTTGGCAGGTGGGGCTGTGGGAGGATGGAGGGAGCCTGCTGGAGCGGGATGGGGAGGGGGATGTTGGGAAGAGGTGACAGCCATTAAACCAGGGCATGGCAAGGGGGAGAGAGAACCCAGGGCACCGGTGTAGGCCTGAGATGGCCACCCCTGAGGGGACTGTGTAGGCAAGGGGCAGGTCAGCAGGCAGTGGCCGGACGGAGCGGGGCTTTAGGTTGGAGAAACAGCATGTACAGAGGCCTAAAGGTGGAGTTTCAGGCTTCAGCGTGGCTGGGCCCAGGTGCTGATGGGTCTTGCATGCTATCATGGTTTTGTCCTGTGCAGTGTCTGCCCAGACGCCTGGGCAGGTAGGGGCATAGATGCCATTGGGGGCCTGGTCCCAGCCCAGAGGGACACTTGGAGGAGAAGCAGGAAGTGACCCCAAATTGTTCCCAGACATCCCTCCTGGGGGTGACTGGGTGGTTTCAAGTGCAGTAATTAAGTTTCTAAAGTAAAACATCCTACCTCCTTAGAACACAAGAAAAGATGCCAGCCACAATAGGAGATGAGAGGCTGGGAGGATGCGTGAGTAGTCCGCTTTCTCTAAGAGCTCCAGGGGTCCAAGCAGAATGTTGGGAGTTTGTTCTAAGGGAGAGTTAACATTCGTCTGTTTCTTTAGATTGTTAATGAGTAGAGTTTTCTTTTGTTGATTTGCCTTTGAACCAATTCATAAAAATTAATATTTAAAAAAAAATTTTTTTGAGATGGACTGTTGCTCTGTCATCCAGGCTGGAGTACAGTGGCATGATCTCAGCCCACTGCAGCCTCTGCCTTCCAGGTTCAAGCAATTCTCCTGCCCTCAGCCTCCCAAGTAGCTGGGACTACAGGCACCCTCCACCATGCCTGGCTAACTTATGTATTATTAGTAGAGATGAGGTTTCACCATGTGGGCCAGGCTATTCTTGAACTCCTGACCTCAAGTGATCCTTCCGCCTTAGCCTCCCAAAGTGCTGGGATTACAGGCGTGAGCCACCGCGCCCAGCCTGAAATATTTTAAAATTGAAAATGACAAGTGTTTTCTTTGGTTCCACTGGAGACTGTGTCCTCACAGCTGAGACTGCTTTCCTCACTGCAAAGCATGGAGCTGTTTTTCTGTTCCCATTCCCAGCATCCAGCCTGTTGGGGCAGCAGCGACACGGGATGCCATCTCATCTTCATCCCGTGTCTGTGGGCACTGCTGCTTTCTTAGCAGGCTGGCAGTCTCACCTCCCTCCATCCCTGTGTATGACCGTGGTCCCTGTTGTACACAGGCTGAGAGAGGAAGCTGCCTGCCTGGGGATGTTTACCTAACACTTGCTGAATTGGGCCTGGGGGTGGGCCTGCAGCTGGTACCACCCCCTCCTTGGGCTGCCTTCTTCGGAGTCACACTTCTGGGGCAGGTAGGGCTGGTGAGCCCTGCCCAACACCCATGGGCACTCTGACCCAGAGGATCCATGCTATCTCCCACACTGGTTGGGCTCCACTCACTTGCACCCTGACTGAGTCTGGGCGTGCTGTTTCTACCCTCAGACATCTGGGTACCCACGAGTGCTGTTGAGTGACGGCCACTGAAGGCCCGGCTCTGCTGAGCTGGCCCCTGGTCCTCACAGGATCCTCAAGCTCGGTTCACCCCAAGTGCTTCCTCTGCCCCCATCCAGCACCCCTTCAGCTCTGCCTAGAATCCAGTGTGGGCATTCGGTCAGGTGAGGTGATTTCAGGTGGTCGTCAGTGGATGCTGAATCATGTGTGAGAAGATCATTCCTTTATCAATTCTGTTTCTATCCTAATAGTGGCCTTGGAGAGGGGCTTGGTTTGATACTAGTTTGTTTAACACCTCTCCAATACTCCTCATCTTCCTCTTTGTAACAAGAGAGCTTACATCCAGAGCTTTTGGCAAGCAATATCCCATAGACTGTATCAACTTCATTGTCATCAAGGAATTTATTCTTTTTTAAAAAAGGGGAGTAAGTCTTTATTTCCTTACTTCCAAAATAAAGCTGGCTGAGTTGGAATATATTTACTCTTAAAGCTACCATCCATTGAAGGTATTAGTGCCGATTTTCCATTGACAGTAGTAATGTAAACTTTCCTAGTTGAGATAAATTTAAGCATAAAGAGTTGATGTGAAGACAGAAAAAGCAAATAGTAGAAGAGGTATCAGATTAACATGGCAGAAGTTCTGAAGGTGGCATGGGCATGGGGATGGCAGCAATTTGGGAAGAGGTTGCTCTAATCCCACCTGAACAGAAAGGTCATGATTCAGAAGTGGCCTAAGGGGCCGCAGAGCCCCAGAGCTCCTGTAGGGTCAGCCTCAGGGAGAGGGCTTGAGCAGTCTGGAGGCCAGAGGAGGGCATTTTCTCTTCTGGCTCTGGCTTCCTCCTCTCTGAAATGAAGAGTTTAACCTGTGGTTCCTCATGGACGCTTGCACTTGTGTAGTGCCTGCTCGTCCAGGTCCTGGGGAGCTGCGATGCCTGTCCTGTGGAGAAGCTGCCCATCAGCCCCATCCCAGTACCATCCAGGCCGCTGCCGCCGCCCATGGGTGCGGACCCGGCACTCAGCCGTTGCAGCCCGGTGTTCATGAGCATTTTCCTCTTACAGGTTAGGAATCTGAAGCAATGGGCGACTGGAGCTTTCTGGGAAGACTCTTAGAAAATGCACAGGAGCACTCCACGGTCATCGGCAAGGTTTGGCTGACCGTGCTGTTCATCTTCCGCATCTTGGTGCTGGGGGCCGCGGCGGAGGACGTGTGGGGCGATGAGCAGTCAGACTTCACCTGCAACACCCAGCAGCCGGGCTGCGAGAACGTCTGCTACGACAGGGCCTTCCCCATCTCCCACATCCGCTTCTGGGCGCTGCAGATCATCTTCGTGTCCACGCCCACCCTCATCTACCTGGGCCACGTGCTGCACATCGTGCGCATGGAAGAGAAGAAGAAAGAGAGGGAGGAGGAGGAGCAGCTGAAGAGAGAGAGCCCCAGCCCCAAGGAGCCACCGCAGGACAATCCCTCGTCGCGGGACGACCGCGGCAGGGTGCGCATGGCCGGGGCGCTGCTGCGGACCTACGTCTTCAACATCATCTTCAAGACGCTGTTCGAGGTGGGCTTCATCGCCGGCCAGTACTTTCTGTACGGCTTCGAGCTGAAGCCGCTCTACCGCTGCGACCGCTGGCCCTGCCCCAACACGGTGGACTGCTTCATCTCCAGGCCCACGGAGAAGACCATCTTCATCATCTTCATGCTGGCGGTGGCCTGCGCGTCCCTGCTGCTCAACATGCTGGAGATCTACCACCTGGGCTGGAAGAAGCTCAAGCAGGGCGTGACCAGCCGCCTCGGCCCGGACGCCTCCGAGGCCCCGCTGGGGACAGCCGATCCCCCGCCCCTGCCCCCCAGCTCCCGGCCGCCCGCCGTTGCCATCGGGTTCCCACCCTACTATGCGCACACCGCTGCGCCCCTGGGACAGGCCCGCGCCGTGGGCTACCCCGGGGCCCCGCCACCAGCCGCGGACTTCAAACTGCTAGCCCTGACCGAGGCGCGCGGAAAGGGCCAGTCCGCCAAGCTCTACAACGGCCACCACCACCTGCTGATGACTGAGCAGAACTGGGCCAACCAGGCGGCCGAGCGGCAGCCCCCGGCGCTCAAGGCTTACCCGGCAGCGTCCACGCCTGCAGCCCCCAGCCCCGTCGGCAGCAGCTCCCCGCCACTCGCGCACGAGGCTGAGGCGGGCGCGGCGCCCCTGCTGCTGGATGGGAGCGGCAGCAGTCTGGAGGGGAGCGCCCTGGCAGGGACCCCCGAGGAGGAGGAGCAGGCCGTGACCACCGCGGCCCAGATGCACCAGCCGCCCTTGCCCCTCGGAGACCCAGGTCGGGCCAGCAAGGCCAGCAGGGCCAGCAGCGGGCGGGCCAGACCGGAGGACTTGGCCATCTAGTGCCCGGGTGCCTGCCTCCAGACAGCTGTGTAGTGATCTTTTTCTTAGAAACCAAAACCAAAGTGCACTTCCCACCAGCAGATAGAACCTGAAAGTCCCAGGAGGTGGGAGCGACTGGAGTCCCAGGAGGTGGACGATGGAGGAGAGATCAGGTTTCCGTGTTCAATGCTTGCTGTTCTTAGCACTGTGAGTTACAGTGGGGATAACTCCCACTTTCTGAGTTTGGGGGTGGCGGGGACAAGGGTTGTGGGCCTTTAAGATCTTCACAGCAGCCCAGAAATCTGGTCGCTGAGGGCTGTCTCTGGGGGTAACTGTTCTGTAGTGGTAAAGCAACAGGTATCCTGCAGTCCCTTTAGCTCCTGGGCAATTGGGTTTGCTATTCCTAAGCTCTCCAGAGCCTCTGGGCGGCCCAGAGGGTCTTAGCTCTGGGCCAGAGCACTTAGCTCTATCTCTTTGATACTTTTAACTTAGAGTTGAATTTCATTTGGGATATTTGCCAAACTGCACTAAAAAAAGATTTACAGCAAGTCTATGTAGTGTCATTTGAGTTTCCGAAATTGCATGTGAAGCCCAGGATATCAAGCTTCAGGCCTCATGACAAGTGACAAAGAGCAGTTGCCCTCCAGAGGCAGGCTCAGTGGGCAAGGGCCCCAGAGGTTGCTGGCAGAAGGCAGGTGGAAACGCAGCCACGCCTGAGGCCATTTTTAAACAGTTGAGGAAATTGACATAAAAGTGTGTCGGGTATGCCGTAGGTATTTATTTTCTAAATGATTATTTTGTGCTTTGAATGGTGCAGCTATGCCTATTTTCTCCCACTTTCTTTCAGGAAAAATGAAAGAAAAATAGTGTTTTTCTTTCTTTAAATACTGTTAGAATGATTGCTGACCAAGACAGTGCTAATTTGCCCTAATGCATGCTACTAGCATCTTTACTAAAGATTTTGAACTTTCTTGTAAAAGAAATTCTTTAATTTCATGAGTCACCTAATTATAATGAGAATGTATTATATAAAACAAAAGCAGGGGAAAGTTTTAAGTGCATTCAAATAGAAGTTCTGAAGATTTTGAATGGGAAGTGAAAAGTGAACTACTGTTGCCAGGAAAATTATTTATACAGATGAATCTATGACAATCTACACTTTTAAAAAGTACAGAATAAAACACTTCAAGCTTCCTAATCATTCTTTGTGGGCAGCCTGTTTGCTTTCTCCAGTGTAAATAATATAAGTGTCTGGGGATCCCTGCCTGGGGGAGGGCGCGTGCTCATGCAGGCTGTATGCCCCATTCTGCCTCCACACCAGAGCTGTCCTGACAGGGAAGGCTATTTATGTGTGTGGGCATGGCTGGAAGACGGCAGAATTTTCTGTCCTGCACACACAGCTGTAGTATCTTGGTCACCATTTGTTTATAAAATGAACGATGGTCATGTTGAGCCTGTTTCTACTCACACTTTTCACCTCCAACTTCTACTGAGTATCATTAGCCCTTGTTCAGCGAGACCAATGTAATACATTTCTTTTTATAAATTAACTTCTCGATGATGCATTTGGGACCACACTCCAAACATACTTTCTGTTTTCTATCATAAAGGGTGCTCCACTAACAATCTGATGAAAGGAATGCAATTTCCAAGTCTCAGATTCTTGCATGCAACTAGTTTTTCATGTCAGTCAAACACAAAGAATTTGTTAGTACATTCTGCTTGCTGTAGGATGCACTGGACAGGCTCCTAGGCTTGAAAAATGCTAACTTTTCCATACGTCTCCTCAGAGACTTTCTCAACCAGATTGACAAGAGAGAAATTAGCCCTTTGGAAAACTGTGAGTGACTTTCTCACTCCTCTCCAGGCTGGTGCATAACTACAGCCATTCTAGATGCATAACTTCTCTCCGAAGTTCACTCATTACATGCAGTGTATGCCATAGGCCTAGGGCAGCAGGACTTAGTTCTTGTGAGTGATAAGGGCTGCTAGAAGATCCTAGTGTGAGAAGCATTCCGATAAAAAGCTTTGGCCATTTTAGAAAATGCAATAGCAATCATCCAAGAGCACAAGTACAGCTCAAGTACAAGTGGATGTCAATACTTGGTTCTTTAAGTTCTACCATAATAAATGTTCATAACAGTAACAAGCTTCTTATTTACCCACAATTTGATTTTGAGTGGGGTTGGAGATGAGCATGAGAACTCAAATTGTATCTAGTTTTTACATTTTAAAATTGAATTTAGTCACAATATGTTTATGGAAATGCCAGTATTGTACCATTGACCATAGTCTAGTGGGTCCATTTAGAGTGGATAGGAGTGTAGAATTAGATTCACCTACTTGAAAATCACTAATCTATAAAGAAGTGAGGTTTTGCAATAGAACAGTGCCTGTGGTGTTTTTTCAGGTTAGCATACTGATTTCAGTTCATGTAAGAAATGAACGCATGTTTCACATCCTTTTGCTCTTTGAGGTATCCATGATTCTAAAGGCTGGGTCCTTCTCTCTCAGGCAGTGTGGAATTGTTCTCTACTCAACTAGTCCTTTAAGACATTGAAACATGCAATAAAAATAGAAATTGCCTCTCTCTGTGGGCAAGATTCCAGACCTATTTTTTTCTAGCCTGGAAATTTCACTGAAACTATTTTGTTCTTGATTCATTAGAAAGTTTTAAAAAATCTCTAAGCCTATTTTAAAACTCAAATGCTATACCTATAGCATTTGAGTATTATATTTACATACATGGTTTTTAAGCTGCTGTATACAATTACTTCTTATATCCCTGTTTTTATAAAATGTTAAACATCACTATAGTTACAGTACCAAAAATCATTTTTTAAATTCTAAAACTATTACTTATATTATCACTCACTTTCTCCTTTTTAAACTTTTAATGGTTATTCTTGTATTTTTTAATAAAATTGACACGAATAAATCCTTAAATTTACAAAAGAAAAATAGCAAGCCAGCATCTTTCTCATTTATCCTGGATTTCTTCGGCTCTGGACAAGTAAGTGGATAGGTCATAGAATTCCTACACAAGAATACCTGGACTAATAACTATGAATATAATTTAAACATCACTTTACAAAAAATTAATCCAATAGGGTTTAGGTCTCCTTTCACGTTAGGCTTTTTAAAAAGTATTATTAACACTTTCTTTATTTTGTATTACTGAATAAACTCCTTTTTTCTGAATTTTTTGAACTTCTGATATTTGTAACACTAATTCATGAATCTCCACCAAAATAAATACTTATAGAGAGTATTGCATGATTTAAGAGAGTAAATGTGTTTTCCAAAGATGAATAGAGTCCTGCCACCATCACCACCCGCCACCCCTACAAATTGAGGATATCCTAAATAACCTTTAATATAGCATATGGACATTGTACATTTAAGGTCAGGGAAGGCACTTTTCTTCCTAATTTTATATTACAGTGCAAATCTTGGGTTGACTCACTTTAAGGTTTCTGACTGCCCAAAATATTTTTTCCCCTTTACGTTACAGAACATTATAATAAGGCAAACAAGTTAGGGATTTGAATAACACTCAAAGCAACAAACTGTTTCCAGAAAGTACCATATTTGAAGCTGTTTGGTGTGTAAATGTTCATTTAGCTCATGTATTTACAAAACTCTTACTAAAACTTAATTTTTGTGCCATAACAGTGTCTTTCCTGGATTACATTGTAACTGGAAGTAAGCATTTTCTAAAATAATAAAAGTGCCCTTAAGTTTAAACCACTAGTTCTGCAGTTGGTTATTTTCATTGGCAGACTCCCTAAGCAGGTATTCAAAATCACACTTTTTGTTGTCTTAGATATCATAAGGAGGAAGACCTTTTTTCCTAACAGAAGCAATTTGAGAAGTCACTGCAGGGGCTGTCCCCTCTCTCACAGGCTTTCCCCAGAGCAAAAACACACATTCTCCCAGGGTTCAAGCATTGCTGATGCCTGCAGTGAGTTCTTCTGAAGAAATAATATAAAAGTTCACCTTCTTCCTGTCTCATTAAGTCCCCCCTTGAGCAGCGTTCTCTTAAGCTTCATGGGGCTTCAGAAGAGAGAGAGATCTTTGCTTTAGGAGGTTGGAGTCTGTGGTTCTTGGGAAGCTGTCCCGCATGGAATTCTACGTAAGGGGCCCGATGTATCTACCTCTGTGACACTGTTGGCAACACTGGAATGCCTCTGATTTTCAGCGCTTGATAAGGAACGCATTTCCCACCTGCAGCGTTCCTGCTTTATGAACCCAGGTGTGAGATGATTTCCAGGGACACAGTATAACACAAAGCAGCCGGCCTGGGGCCTTGGAAAGCTCTCAAAGCTCCACACCCAAAACTCAAAACTCAGCTCTTCCAAACACAAATTGGTGGGAGTTTCCCATATTGCCGACAAGTGCAAACACCTGTCCTGATGGACAGTTTGGGGAAGACAGTCGCGGCCTGTGGAGGGAAATGTTAAACAGTCCCGGGCCGCAGCCTATGGGTCCCTTGCTCACTGCGGGCCAGGGCGGCCCGGACCCTGGGGACAGTGCGCGGGTGGCACTGACGAGACGAGACGGGCCGTGGTAAGAAGGCACGAGTGCAGCCTGGGCAACACAAGGAGATCTCCTCTCTTCAAAAAAAAAAAAAAAAAAAAAAAAAAAATAGGCCGGGCACGGTGGCCCTCGCCTGCAATCCCAGCTACTTGGGAGGCTGAGTGGGAGGGTCGCTTGAGCCTGGGAGTTCCAGGCTGCAGTGAGCCATGATGGCGCCACTGCACTCCAGCCTGGACGACAGAGCAAGACCCTGTCGTCCAGGGTCTTAAAAAAAAAAAAAGCGTGGACACACGGATCAGGACCGTTTAAAGTCTTAAAAAAAAAAAAAAAAAGCCTGGACACACGCATCAGGACCGTTTCCCTCGGGGGAGCGTGGCGAGGAAACGGCGCAGACCTGAGTCTGAGCCTGGGTTGGCTGGGCCGCTGCGCAGGGCGCTGGCACACCTGGGAACAAGTGCGCTCCGCAAATCGCGGCGGGAGGCCCCGGAGGGACGCCGGGGAACCACAGCGCCTGCTGCTGGCGCCACAAAACCCAGGCTGGCCGAGCGTAGAAAGAGACGCTTTCTGTGGGCTTTATCGTCTGCACGGTCCTATCCATTAGAAGGGAGTCTCCTCACCAGGAACCCGTAACGATCCTGTACGGTGGACAGTTCCACGCCCGAGTCCAGGTGAGCCGTTGTGGTCATGGACAAGTGGCTGAATCCTGCACCTCTCTTCTCCCACAGCATGACTTTGGGAAAGTTATCTAACGCCTTTGACTTTATAGATGATGAGTTTTCTTGTCTGAAAAATTGAAGTAAAGTTGCAAGGAGTAAATAAGAATGAACTTAAAATGCTTTGCCTAGTCCTTAACCCATAGTGATGCTTAATAAACGCAAGCCTCAGGGTAAATAAAAATAATCCGCGGGCTGACCAAAATTTTCATCTGCCTACCCATTTTTATGGTTTACCTTTATTTCAAAACAAAACAGTTTTAGGCCAATTGGCTCACGCCCATAATCTCAACACTTTGGGAGGCTGAGGAAGGAGTGTTGCTTGAGGCCTGGCGTTTGAGACCAGTCTGGACAACACAGACACCCCTCTCTACAAATAATAATAATAATAATAATTAAATTAAATTAAAATTAGCCCGGCAGGCCAGGCGCAGTGGCTCACGCCTGTAATCCCAGCACTTTGGGATGCCGAGGCAGGTGGGTCACCTGAAGTCAAGAGTTCAAGACCAGCCTGGCCAACATGGTGAAACCCCGTTTCTATTAAAAATACAAAAGTTAGCCGGGCGTGGTGGCAGGCGCCTGTAATCCCAGCTACTCTGGAGGCTGAGGCAGGAGAATTGCTTGAACCCGGGAGGCAGAGGTTGCAGTGAGCCAAGATCGCACCACTGCACCCAGCCTGGGTGACAAGAGCGAAACTCTGTCTCAAAAAAAATAAGTAAGGGCCGGGCGCAGTGGCTCATGCCTGTAATCCCGGCACTTTGGGAGGCCGAGGTGGGTGGATCACCTGAGGTCAAGAGTTCCAGACCAGCCTGACCAACATGATGAAATCCCGTCTCTATTAAAAATACAAAAAATTAGCCGGACGTGGTGGTGGGTGCCTGTAATCCCAGCTACTTGAGAGACTGAAGCAGGAGAATTGCTTGAACCAAGGAGGCAGAGGTTGCAGTGAGCCAAGATCGTGCCACTGCACTCCAGCCTGGGCAACAAGAACGAAACTCTGTCTCAAAAAAATAAAAAATTTAAAAATAAATAAATAAATAAAAATTAGTTGGGCATAGTGGCACTCACATGTGGTCCCAGCTGCTCGGAAAGCTGAGGCAGGAGCACTGCTTGAGCCCAGGAATTCAAGGCTGTAGTGAGCTGTGATTGTGCCACTGCACTCCAGCCTGGGCGACAGAGAAAAAAAAAAAAATTTATATATACAATAGAATATTATACAGCTTTAAAAAGGAAGGAAATTCTGACACATGCTACAACATGGATGAAATTTGAGGACTTTATGCTGAGTGAAATAAGCCAGACACAAAAGAGCAAACACGATACAATTCCACCTGTACAAGATCCCTAGAGTGGTCACACTCATAAAGACAGAAACTAGAGTGAAAGCCACTAGGGGCTGTGGGGAGGGGAAGGGAGAGTTGCTTCCTGGGGACAGTTTCAGTTTGGGAAGATGGAAAACTTCTGGAAAAGGATGGTGGTGATGGTTGCACAACAGTGCGAATGTGTTCCATGACCCAGAACTGTACACCTAAAAATGGTTAAAACGGCAAATTTCGTGTTATGTGTATTTTACCACAATTAGAATTTTAAAATATATAGATTCAAGAAGCCCATAAGAATCCCATTTCAAATTGAACTAAAATATATAAGGAAAATGGTGCATGCCTACGCATACAGCTTAGTGGACCTGAACATACCTAGAGCAAGAGACAGAAAATGGCTTCCTCCCCAAAGCTGCCCTCTTTGTCCCCTGTTTATGTCACAACCGCCCACCCTTTCTCTTGTCATTATTCACACTAAAATTCCTCAGGGAAAAGCAGCAGGCCTTTGGGATGGGAGTTATGGGGGTGGAGGGGTTCGAAGGGCAGGTGTGGGAGGGCAGGTGCAGAAGAAGGCAAATGGCCTGGGTACAGTCACCCTCGGCTGTCCTCATCCTGGCGCTTGGTCCTGTGTCAGTTCGACAAGCCCTGAACTCAACACAGAATACTGTTATTGGCCCCGACGTGAATCTTCTTTGAACCATTTTATGAGTTTTCATTACATTTCTAGTGAGAAAAACAAAAGGTTTATAGTTCTTTAAAAAAAAAAAAAAAAATCTAGGCCGGGTGCGGTGGCTCACGCCTATAATTCCAGCACTTTGGGAGGCTGAGGTAGGCAGATCGCTTGAGCTCAGGAGTTCAAGACCAACCTGGGCAACATGGCGAAACCCCATCTCTACAAAAAATACAAAAATTAGCTGGGCATCATGGGGCATGCCTGTAGTCCCAGCTACTTGGTGGCTGAGGCAGGAGGATTGATTTGAGCCCTGGAGGTCAAGGCTGCAGTGAGCCATTTTCATGTCACTGCACTCCAGCCTGGGCGACAAAGTGATACCCTGTCTCAAAATTTAAAAAAAGGCCAGGCGCAGTGGCTCACGCCTGTAATCCCAACACTTTGGGAGGCCAAGGCAGGTGGATCACAAGGTCAGAGATCGAAACCATCCTGGCCAAAATGGTGAAACCCTGTCTCTACTAAAAATACAAAACTTAGCTGGGCGTGGTGGCGCATGCCTGTAGTCCCAGCTACTCTGGAGGCTGAGGCAGGAGAATCGCTTGACCCTGGGAGAGGGAGGCTGCAGTGAGCTGAGATTGTGCCATTGCACTCCAGCCTGTGTGACAGAGCCAGATTCCATCTCAAAAATAAATAAATAAATAATAAATAAATAAAAACAAAAATCTCTCCCAAAGGCAGTTTCTATGGATTTTTCAAAATAAATTGCTTTAGTCTTGGAAAGCAGTTTCATCACAAAAAGCCATGCAGGTCCCTGGGCTTGGAGGGGTGGCTGCCCCTCTGGGGTCCACCCTGGAAGGCCCCACACTCAGCTGGGTGTCCACTTCCAGAGGTTAATGTGTTTGCTAGGAAAAAGAAAAAACAATAATGCTTTCTTTCATTTCCCCAAAGAAAGTATGTGCCCACTTTTCCTAGTTTCTAGGCCAACAGACAACACATCTGTGGGTGCTAGAGGTGGCACCAGGGCAGAACCTAGGGCACCTGTTTGTCACTCTCAGTCACTGCCACCTAATGGAACTAAAAATCGTGTCACAGGGTTGCCTGAAGGGAGGATGGTAATGTGTTCACTGCATTCTCAGATGTTAAGACATATCCAATCATAAAAATCACCATTAAACACCATAAAATTACAAAAAAAGCGTAGTGTCATGAATATTAAGGGAGTCCCACACTTTGGAACCAGTAAGGTGTCGACCCAGGTCTGTCACATACTAGTTGAGTGACTTCTAGACAGTTTCCCTCTTTGGGCCTCAGTTTCCCCTTGGTGAAATGGAGATGACACCCCAGTCACTGTAAGGGGTAAGAATACTTCATGATGTCAGAATCAAATTGATATTATTCCAAGATCAGTCCAAGGGGGAGGGGGCCCCAGACTCCCCTCAGCTCCTTTCACGTTGGGGACGTCAGTGACTCATAGTTTGTCCCCACACACTCCCAGTGGGCCAGGCTCATGAAGGGGACCCAATCTGTGAAAAAAAACAAGGAGCATCACCCATAGTTACTGAAGGGCTATTCACAACAGCAAAAAGGTGGAAGCGACCCAATGTCCATCCACAGATGAGTGGAGAAACAACATGTGATCTGTCCATACAATAAATAGATTCAGCCTTAAAAAGGAAGGAAATTCTGACACATGCCACATCGATGAGCCTTGAAGACATGTTACTAAGTGAAATAAGCCAGGCACAAAAGGACAGAGACTATATGGTTCCCATTCATGAAGTATCTGGAGGGGTCAAAATCATAGAACAGAAAGCAGAATGGTGGTTGCCAGGGGCTGGGTGGAGGGGCAGGGTGGGGGAGTGTTTAACGGGGGCAGAGTTTCAGGCTGGGGAGATGGAAGAGTTCTGGAGATGGATGGTGATGATGGCTGCTCAACAGTGTGAATGCACTTAATGTTGGCAAATTTTATGTTATATGTTTTGATTCTGTTTACCACAATCAAAAATTTTTTAAATAAAAATAGAAATTGTTTAAAAAAAAAAAAAAAGGAAATGAGCTACAGTTTCTTTGCACCTCAGAGCCAGTGGGAATGAGGCTGCCATGCTACTATGTTTGTGCTACCTTGGAGGCACTTAGGACATAATAACTCTTATTTTTTTTGTCAGCTTGGCTGGTTGTTTTGCTGTATGTACTACTTTCCCAGTTCAGGGAGAAATTGTTTCTCTGTTGTGTGGACTGAAGACGCTCGTTTTTCAGGCTGGCTACACAGCGGGCCCGCTCACTATTGTCTCATCACTGCAGCTCACCTCCTTGGCAGCCCTGCCGGGATTCCCTCTCTGTGGATTCTGTAGAACACCTCATAGGGGCAGTAAGAAATTGTACCCAATGCTTGGAATGAGCTCTGGATTAGAGGCTTGCTGAGGGCAGCTTTTGTAGCCACATGAGGTACGCTGCAGGAGGTGGCTAGTCAGGCTTGAGCATGGCAGGAGAGGTCTCCCCCGACCCCACCAGGAATGTCAGGCGACCATCAGGTGATGGTCAGGCAGTTGTCACACTCTCTCTAAAATAATAACTGGTCACAGCCAGTGCCAGGGAAAGGCAGTCTCCCAATAAACAGAAACACCGGAAACTGGTGATCACAGCTTCCCAGTAAGCTCTCAGGAGTTGCGTGAGTAGCAACTTCTGTAAGGTTTTACATCAGAGAAGGAATTTTTCCAAGCCTTGTCAGCAAGGCCATCCCCAAAACACTCCGCACCCCCTTCCTCTAGAGAAAGTATGGATCACTTTCTCACAACCTGTTCTGTTGATCGTCTGCTTCCCCGCTCTAGCTTTGTGGCTTTTGTGTTTGCCTGGGTCGAACTCTAGGCACAATGCTGGCACGGAGTAGGTTCTCGATAAATATGTGCTGAATGAATGAATGAATGAATGCCTACCTGGTTAAACACTGTGGGAGTCAGACAGTCACATCCAGGCCACCAAATCACACACTTGCAACCTCTGCTCTACTAGGTTCTGATAGGGCTGATAATTCACTCAACAGACACAGGCGCCAATGAGCTGACCTTTCTCCAGAAAAGTTGGTACTTGTTCATCTACCTTTGTGCAGCATTCATGGGTGCGATGCACACAGAAGTGGACCTGACGCTTCCTGCTTCCCACAGAACTGCGGATTATGTTGTCCAGTAATGGGCTGGGGGAGAGGACCTGCAGCCTCAAAGGGCTTCACTGGGCTCCAAATACCAAATAAGGAAATAGAGACTTTTACAGAATATAGGAGGTGCCCTTCCTTACGATTTTTCTTGAAAGTTCAAAGCAAATTAAAGAGGGGAGGGGAGAATAACCCTCAAAAGTCAGTTATTCTCAAGCATGAGCTCAGCAAGCCGTGAGAAAGCTCTTAATCCTGGCTACAGCCTGAGTAGACAGGTACATTCCTGGCGCCTGGAGGAGGCTGGCAGAGGGGTGAGAGTGGAGAGGGAGCTGAGGCACAGCCCCCAGGTCCCCCAGCCGCAGCCTTAATGGGCCTGGCCTCCCCCACTTCCCCAGTGGCGCCTGTGGGCTGAGGGTGCTGAGGAACTATATACATGCACAGCGGGTCACTTGTGGCAGAACTGAACAGAGTGGTCTTAAAAGCAGCCCTGAGCTACAAATTTTCACTTTCAGGGTCTTCGAAAACCATACAGAAAGTGCAGTAATCAGAAAGCACATCCCACCTGCATTTTAGCATTTACCTCATGTGTGTGTGAGTGCCTGTATGTATATGTAAGTGTGTGTATCTGTGTCTGTATGTGTCCATGTGTGTGTGTGTTTGTATGTGTGAGTGTAAGCATGTGTCTGTGTGTATGTATATGTGTGTGTTTGAATGTTTCTGTATGTGTCGGTGTATGTGTTTACGTGTGTGTCTATATGAGTGTATGTCTGAGTGTATCTGTGTCTGTATGTGTATGTGAGTGGGTGTATCTGTGTGTCAGTGTATGTCAGTGTGTGTGACTGTCAATGTGTGTGTGAGTGTAAATGTGTGTGTGTGTGTCTATGTGTGTATCTGTGTGTGTTTGTATCTGTGTGTGTCTATGTGTATGTGAGTGGGTATGTGATATGGTTTGGCTGTGTCCCCACCCAAATCTCGTCTTGAATTGTAGCTCTCATAATTCCCACGTGTTGTGTGTGAGAGGGGCCTGGTGAGAGATAATTGAATCATGGGGGTGGTTTGCCCCATACTGTTCTCCTGGTAGTGAATAAGTTTCATGAGATCTGATGGTTTTATCAGGGGTTTCCCCTTTCGCTTGGCTCTCATTTTCCCTCTTTTCCTGCTGCCATGTAAGATGTGCCTTTTGCCTTCTGCCATGATTGTGAGACCTCCCCAGCCACGTGGAACTGTGAGTCCGTTAAACCTTTTTATTTATAAGTTACCCAGTCTCAGGTATGTATCAGCAGCATGAAAATAGACTAATACAGTGTGTCTGGGTGTATGTTAGTGTATCTGTATGACTGTGAGTATACATGTGAGTGTCTGTATGTGGGTGTGGGTGTATGAGTGTGAATCTGTGTCTGAGTGTGTGTGTGAATGGGTTTGTCTGTGAGTGTGTTAGTATATCTCTGAGTATGAGGGTGAATGTATCTGTATGAGTGTGTCTGTGTGTGTGTCTATGTGTCTGTGAATGTGTATGTGTGTGTATCTCTATGTCTGTACATGTGAATGTGTGTCTGTGTATGTTGATTGTGTCTGTATCTGAGTGTATGTGTGTGTGAGTGTATCTGTGAATGTGTGTGAGCCTGTGTATGTGAGTGGGTGTCTGTGAGGATGTTAGTGTATCCGTGTGTAAGTGTATGAGTGTATATGGGGGGTATGAGTGTTAGTATGTGAGTATAGGTGTTTAAATGTATGAGTGTGGGGGGGAGTCGAGTGTATGTGTGTGTGTGTACATATATGTGTGTGTGTGTGAATGTGTGTGGGTGTATTTGTGTACACACTCTGTTCCTTCTCATTGTACTCTCAGATTTGCTCTTAAAATATTTGGGGCTCAAGCCAGACAAAACATGAGGAAGATACGAAACCACAGAATGGCAGCGTGGTCTGGAAATGAAGAACTTTTGTTTGTTTTTTGTTTGTTTGTTTGTTTTTTGAGACGGAGTCTCGCTCTTGTCCCCCAGACTGGAGTGCAATGGCGCAATCTCGGCTCACTGCAACCTCTGCCTCCCGGGTTCAAGCGATTCTCCTGCCTCAGCCTCCAGAGTAGCTGGGATTACAGGCGCCCGCCACCACACCCGGCTAATTTTTGTATTTTTAGTAGAGACGGGGTTTCACCATGTTGGTCAGACTGGTCTCGAACTCCTGACCTCGTGACCCGCCAGCCTCGGCCTCCCAAAGTGCTGGGATTACAGGTATGAGCCACCGCGCCCGGCCGGAAGAACATTTTTCTTAAGAAAAATGAAAACTTAGCATCACCGATGGGAGCCCGAGTCTCAAGGCTTCTCTAACCACACGCACTCCAGGGGTAAGCTCCAGAGCCGCCTCCGTCCTCACCACCGCGATGGTGGCGGCTGCACAGGTATGGAGGTTTTTCAAAATTCACTAAACTGCATCATTAAAATAAATCTATATTGTTATATGTAAATTTTGTGCCAATAAAGTTGAGTTCAAAGGAAACATACATATTTGCGTGTGCATATATGTAAATATATATCGATGAATACAAACCCTAAACTTTACACAAAATCGTCGACTCTTCCGTTCCATATATTTCTCTCTCTTTGATTCTCAGCAAGGTTTTTATGGCCGAGCCGGTCTGCGGGCGGGAGGAACCCCGCAGGATGGGGAACCGGGCTGCTGCCAGGTGGCCGCCGCCGGGTAAAGGACCACAGCTGGAGGGGGTGGAGTGGTCCCGTGGCTGCTTTAACAAAATCCCACAGATGCGGTGGTTTACACGCCGCACAGTACAGCTGCATTCCCACAGAGTTCTGGGCGTCCGGAATCGGCGCCACCTGGCTGCAGTCAGGTGCGGGCAGGTCCCGGGCGCCGCGGTCCTCCAGCCTCTGCCCCCACGGTCGCCTCCTCTCCCTCTCCTACGAGGACACTTTGATGACATTTAGGGTCCGCCCGGATCATCCAGGACAATCTCCCTAACTCTGGACCCTTAGCCTGGCCACATCTGCAGAGCCCCGTGGGCGATAGAAAGTGATGTTTGCAGGGGCAGGGATCAGGGCCTGGGCACGGCAGCCCGCCACTGGGGGTGGGTATTCTGGGCTGGATGGCACTGTCACCCCCCGCCTTGAAAGTCTCGTCCTCCCCCACGCTTGGACTCGTGGCGCTGAGCAGAGACGCGGGCGCTCCTGGAATCGACGGGAAGCGCCCCGCTGACAGGCCTGCGGCGGGAGACCCGAGCCCCCAGCGCCACCCCAGGGCGGAGTCCCACCCACCCTGTCTACACAGAGATTCAGCTAAGAGCCTGCACTCGAGTCCAAAGTCAGGCCGCGTGAGAAGCCACGGCGGCCGCAGGGGCCCATGCGGTGAGGTCAGCGCCGGCCCCACAACCCGACCGCGGAACCCGGGCTCCCCCTCCGCCCGGGCCCTGGCCGGCCCCGCTGGCCCGCGGTGAGGAGACGGCCTTCTTGTGCCTGCGCGATTCAAACGCTGGAGCTACTCTAAACAAGGCCTGGCCACCCCGGACACGCCGAGGGAGCTGGCGGCGGTCAGGCTGAAGGAGAGGGGCCGTCACCGCCCCGCGGGAGGCCGCGGTCGCACACTGGCGGGCAGGGGACATGGGACACCCAGCTGCCGGGCAGCAAAGAGGGGCAAACTCGAGAGTGGGAAAGTAGGCGATGCTGACTTAGCGGCTGCGGGGGAGAACGGCCCAGCGGAGGGCGCCACGCCACGGCCGGTGCCGGGAAGCTCCTGTTCCGGGGCTGCTCTGTCGCCCGCCGGATGCGGACGCGCACGCTGGGCACCTCCCCTCGGCCACCAGACCTCACCTCACAGCTGACCTCACCCTCAGGGCCCCAGCATTGACCCTGAGGGACGCGCGGGCTGGCCCTGCTGCCCACTCGGGGTACGCCCCCGAGGGACACGCCCGCCTTCGCTCTCGCAGGGCAAGGTTGCTCAGCAACTTCCCCAGCCCCATGGACACCCGGGGCGGCATCCTGATGTTTCAGTTGGGAGGAACCAGAGAGAATCAAGACTTGGTCCAGGTCCTGCACATGGCTCACGCCTATAATCCCAGCACTTTGGGAGGCCGAAGTGTTAGGATCACTTGAGTGCAAAAGTTCAAGATCAGCCTGAGAAACACAGTGAGACCCCGCCTCCAAAACAAGTTTAAAAAAAAATTAGCCGGGCATGGTGATGCAACGCCTGTAGGTAGTCCCAACTACTAGTGAGGGTGAGGAGGGTGGGGGGTGTGGAGGCTGCAGTGAGCTATGATGGCGCCACTGCACTCCAGCCTGGGCAACAGAAGGAGACCCTGTCTAAAAAAAAAAAAAAAAAAAGAAAGAAAGAAAATAAATAAAAAATAAAAAAAGCTTTGGTCTGAAGGAAAAAACGTGGCCTAAAGACTTGCTTGAGGTCACACCAGGATGCAGAAAACATAAGCAGTGGCTCCGGGAAGGACTGTGGGTTAATAAGCACGGTTGGTAAATGGCAGACCCCCAGCTGAAGCCCAGGTCCTCAGATGCAAGCCCACAGCTCCTCCACTAAGCTGTGACTAACACTAGAGCCAAGGGAGCCGCAGGGGTACAGAAGCGATGCTTGCCATCAAGAAAGGAGGTTTGGGTGTGGTGAGAGGTAGAGGAGGGGGGTGAGAGGAGAGAAGGGAGGGGGTAGGGTCAGAAAGGCGGGTCGGCACCCCTACCTCCTCACTAACAGAGCAGGCAGAGCTCTCAGCCTGGGCATGGTGGGGCCCACTATGGTGAGATCCTGCTGAAAATACCCTGCGCTTTGAAAACAGCCGCATCCAGAAATCCAGGATCACTGGGAGGGGATTGCAGTCCAAAGAGATGACGCTGAGCAACGATGCTACCCACGTTTGTGTGAGCTGAGCACTTCCTAAAACTAGAGGCTCCGTTTCATAGTAGCCTACTGCTTCTCTAATTTTAGCTTACCCAAGAGTCACTTGGAGGCCTTGTTAAAAATAGATTCCTGGGGCCAGGCACAGTGGCTCACGCCTGTAACCCCAGCACTTTGGGAGGACGAGGCGGATGGATCATGTGAGGTCAGGAGTTTGAGACCAGCCTGGCTAACATGGTGAAACCCCATCTCTACTAAAAATACAAAAAAAAAAAAAAAAAATTAGCTGGGAGTAGTGGCAGGTGCCTGTAATCCCAGCTACATGGGAGGCTGAGGCAGGAGAATCACTTGAACCTGGGAGGCAGAGGTTGCAGTGAGCTGAGCTCGTGCCACTGCACTCCAGCCTGGGTAGCAGAGGGAGACTCCATCTCAAACAAACAAACAAACAAACAAAAATGACAGCCAATAATGTCCATTATTTACAAGGCAAAGACAGGCACGAATATACCTGCAACCTAGATAATTCCCAAAGTTACTTAACTGCTTCCTTTTTAGGTGGTTGGTCGTCTGACATTTTTGGCAAGATGACCACAGAAATGAAGTGTGCCCTTCTCAGTGCATCACACCAAGGGGTGCATGATACCATAGTGACTTTGTTAAGCACACCTTGGCTGTTTGGTTACGGGGCATCTTCCCAGTTTCTCTACTATAAAGCTAACAACTTGGGGAAATACTCTGAGATTATGCAAAGCCTGTCTCCTCACAATTTCCCCCTGGGTTTTAGCATCCATCAGTTGCTCTTGCCCACAGCATTTTTCCTGGGGGCTTTGCCCACGGCTGCTTTTCTGTTGCTCTCTTTCCTTCTGTGTCTGCTCACCGGACCACTCCTTCTCAGCTGCCTCTGTCTCCATGTGGGCTCACTATGGGCTTGTAGACAACGAAATCCCAGGACTTTTACTGATAAAATATCTAACATTTGTAAATGCACAGTTTACAAACTGCTCTCACTTACACTATCTCATTTGATTTCCTCACATGAACAGCTGCCCAGAAAAGCCTCTGCATTCTGGGACCCCTGCAATGGGCATTTTTCATCCAGCCTCAGTGGAACATCCAACACTGTCCTCGCTGAATCATCTTGTTAATTGGGTGCCAGCCCAACTAGTTGAGTCATTTACTGTATTAACTTGGCGTCACTGGAAAATGAAGTACATGGACTTTCTCTGTCATTATTCAAGTCATTGGTAAAAATATTGAACAGGACAGAGCTAAAAACCTGTAAATTTTTATTTTCAATAACACTTTACTATTAACTGGACTACCCAAAGAGATAAAGAAAACGAGTAGTAGGGAGTTAATGAATTATCTTACATGTATTGTTTCTTAGAAATTCTGAAGTCTATATTTAGCCAGATCACATGCTCTGTGACTGACAATAAATTCCTAACAACGGCAGAATTGTTTGTCTTCAGTTACTTTCTCTGGCAACTGTACTGGCTACCATGTGATAAATGAAACAAAAATCTCTTTGAAAATATGCATATATCACTATCCTTCATATAGAAAATAAGTGCATTATCTTACAACATCAGAGCAATTGTAGCCTACTGTGTGCCTGGTGAACAGTAGGTGTTCAATAAATATGTGTTGAAGTAACAAATGAATGGATGAATGAACAAATGAGTGAATGACTGTAAAACATAGAAGGTAAGAGGTTTAAAAGCACAGGTTTGTTTTTTATTTCTTTTTTTTTTTTTTTTTTTTTTTTTTTTTTTTTTTTTTTGAGATGGAGTCTCACACTGTTGCCCAGGCTGCAGTGCAGTGGCGCAATCTCAGCTCACTGCAACCTCTGCCTCCCAGGTTCAAGCAATTCTCCTGCCTCAGCCTCCTGAGTAGCTCAGATTACAGGCACTCACCACCACACCTGGCTAATTTTTTGTATTTTAGTAGAAACAGGATTTCACCATTTTGGCCAGGCTGGCCTCAAACTCTTGACCTCGGGTGATCCACCTGCCTCAGCCTCCCAAAGTGCTATGATTACAGGCATGAGCCACTGCCCCCAGCCAACCCCACAGTTTTAACTTGCAGCTCCTCCCCACCTTGTCCTCCTCTTCCCAGTGCCCTTTCCCCTACAGCATGTGGCATCATCTAGCACACTACAGATCTGGTTCATTTTGATTCCTGTCTTTAAATAGACCTTATGTATAAGACAAGGGCAGGAACCTTGAGCTGTTTTTTTCACTGTCCTCTCCCCGACACCATGGAGTGGCACATGCCCAGCACATAGTAGTCACTCAATAAGCATGCATTGAATAAATGAATGAATGAATCACACATTTTCACATGTATAAAATATTTTTGAGATCCTTAGATTGGAAACACTAAAAATTATCATGTCTAGTCCTGGGGCTAGCCAACACATATTAAATGTCTGTTTGGAAATAAGGGCTTTGCCTACACAAGACTTTACATTCCATTTAGTTTTTCTATTTTCTTCCTCTTGAACATCATTATTTCTTCTGATGAAACATCTCAGGCTGTACCAAATGGCTTTTCCTTGAAGTAAAGTTAAATGGGTAAATAAATAAATAACAAAATCAACACAACAGCAATCACAGAGAAAAGAATAAGTACAGGCTTGGTGCAGTGGCTTGTAATCCCAGCACTTTGGGAGGCTGAGGCAGGTGGATCACTTAAGGTCAGGAGTTCGAGACCAGCCTGGCCAACATGGTAAAACCCTGTCTCTACAAAGAAATACAAAAAAAAAAAAAAAAAATTAGCCGGGCATGGTGGCGGGTGCCTGTAATCCCAGGTACTCAGGAGGCTGAGGCTGAGGCAGGGGAATCGCTTGAGCCCAGGAGGCAGAAGTTGCAGTGAGCCAAGATCATGCCACTGCTCTCCAGCCTGGGCAACAGAGTAAGTCTCTGTCTCAAAAAAAAAAAAAAAAAAAAGAGCTTAAACTTATAACTATGAGCCTCCTTTTGGTTTTCCAATGTGGCCCTGTATAAAACCCCTGAAAATACAAAGATTAAATTGTGTGCTTTCCTAATGTTCTCTTTAAAAACCCTCCTGTCTGGGGATGCCCTGGATACACAGTTTCAAGTTGTGAGACCTTCCTGTGGATCTGGGCTGAATAACACTACTGAGAATAGGATAAGAGGGAAAATGTCCTACAATGTCCCTCTTCCAACACAGAATGTATTGAAAATAAATTTGGGTGTCTCCATTCTCCTCCACCCCAAGTGTGTTCGGCAAATGCTCCCTTCCAGTCTGGAAAGCATTTCATGAGTTAAGAGTCACAGAGGAGCTGGAAGGAGCCTTGGAGCTGGCCTCATCTAGTGGTCTTATTTTGTGGAACAGGGACAGCAGAGGCCTGGAAAGAGCACATCTCATTTTATCTATTTGTAACTAAACAAACACTTATGAAGACTCTATGTGCTAGGCACTCTTCTGGCACTGCAGATACAGGAGTGAACAAAACAAAGTCCCTGGGGAAAGGACAGTCTTTTCAACAAATAGTGTTAGGAAACTGGATATCCACACACAAAAGAATGTGGATGCCTCATACTATATGCAAAAATTAACTCAAAATGGATCAGGCCGGGCGCGGTGGCTCACGCCTGTAATCCCAGCACTTTGGAAGGCTGTGGGTGGATCATTTGAAGTCAAGAGTTCGAGACCAGCCTGGCCAACATGGTGAAACCCTGGCTCTACTAAAAATACAAAAATTAGCTGGGCATGGTGGCAGGTGCCTGGGAGGCTGAGGCAGAGGAATCTGTTGAACCTGGGAGGCAGAGATTGCAGTGAGCCGAGATGGCACCACTGCATTCCAACCTGGGCGACAGAGGGAGGATCTGTCTCAAAAAAAAAAAAAAAAATTAAAGGCCTAAATGTAGAAGCTAAAACTGTAAAACTCTTAGAATAAAACAAGGGGAAAGCTTTATGACACTGGATTTAGCATCAGTGGTTTCCTGGCTACAACACCAAAAGCACAAACAACAAGAAAAATAGACAAATCAATCAAAAGTAAAAACTGTTGTGTATCGAAGGACATTATCAACAGAGGGCAGCCCACAGAATGAGAGAAAATGTTTGTAAATCATATATCTGATAAGGGTTTAATATTCAGACTATATAAGCAACTCAACAACAACAACAAACCCTCAACTACAAAAAACAAAAAACTCCTAAACTCAATGACAAAAAAATAAACAACCCAATTTTTGTTTTTTTGGTTTTTTTCTTTTTTGAGACTGAGTTTCACTCTTGTCACTGGGGCTGGAGTGCAGTGGCACAGTCTCGGCTCACTGCAACCTCTGCCTCCCAGGTTCAAGCAATTCTCGAGCCTCAGCCTCCCGAGTAGCTGGGATTACAGGCACGTGCCACCATGCCCAGCTAATTTTCATATTTTTAGTAGAGACGGAGTTTCACCATGTTGGTCAGGATGGTTTCGATCTCTTGACCTCGTGATTCCCCCACCCCAGCCTCCCAAAGTGCTGGGATTACAGGCGTCTGCCACCATGCCCTGCTAATTTTTGTAATTTTAGTAGAGACGGGGTTTCACCATGTTGGCCAGGCTGGTCTTGAACTCCTGACCTCAGGTGATCTGCCCACCTCGGCCTCCTAAAATGCTGGGATTACAGGCAGGAGCCACCACGCACAACCCAAACAACCCAATTTTAAAATGGGCAAAGGACATGAATAAACAGTTCTCCAAAGAATACATACAAATTGCTAATAAGCACCAAAGATGCTGAATGTCAGTAATCACTGGGGAAAGGGCAAATCGAAACCACAATAAGATACCACCTTGAGCCCATTAGGATGATAGGGTACATTTAGAGAAATATATTTGGTCTTTGTCCCTGGTTCCTAGCACAGAGCCGCTAAAGCCCTTAGAATTTCCTGAGTGATAGTAGTGTCTTTTGTTATTCATAATGAAGCACCTATTGATCACATCTGAGTTTATGCTACTGAGGTGACTTAGGGTGAACCCTTAGATAGCTTCAGGATGGGGTTGGTCACCGGAAAGACCAGGTAAGTAGGAGGTTGGATCCTTCAGCCTCACCCCTAGACCTGTGAGAAGGGGAGGGGACTAGAAATCAAGCTCTAAAAAAGCTCTTGAACAAGCAGGTTGGAAGAGTTTCCAAGTTGTGGGAATGTGGTGCACCTGCAGCCCCCACCTCATACCTTGCCCTGCGCGTCTCTTCCCTCCAGCTGTTCTATGTACTTGAGCTCAGTCAATGAACACAAATTCCCTACAGTATTGGTCTCTGACACCAAAGAACAACATTTTGACAAATTGAGTTTTAAAGATTTAATTGACTCTTATTAGCAATGTATGAAACAGGCAGCCTCCAGACTACAAAACAGAAGGCACTCGGCTGGGTGTTGCAGAACAATCGGCTTTGGTAAGGCAGCTCAAGCAGGAATGAGGAAATCGTGTGGTGAGAAAAGTGCATTGGTTATCATTGGGTGACTTTCTGAGGCGGAGAATAGGGTCTGGAGGCAGGGAACCTAAGGCCGATTTCACGCTGACTTCCTAGAACTAAATCAAAAGGAAAACCCCAACTTTTCACACCTAAGTAACAAAAAAACCGGAGGTAGCCGGGCATGGTGGCTCACGCCTGTAATCCCAGCACTTTGGGAGGTCGAGGTGGGCGGATCACCTGAGGTCAGGAGTTTCAGCCCAGCCTGGCCAACGTGGTGAAACCCCGTCTCCACTAAAAATACAAAAATTAGTCTGGCGTGTTGGCGGGCGCCTGTAACCCCAGCTACTCGGGAGACTGAGGCAGGAGAATCGCTTGAACCCGGGCGGCGTAGGTTGCAGTGAGCGGAGATCGCGCCGTTGCACTGTAGCCTGAGCGACAAGAGTGAAACTCCGTCTCAAAAAAGAAAAAACAAACAAAAAACCGGAGGCTACTCCCTTTGCAAACCCCCACCCTTTTCTGCCTGGCAGATGGAAAATTGAAAGTGTCTCTGAGGGCAGCCAATCAGACGTTTACATAGGATTGTAACTTTGTAACTTCACTTCAGCCTCTGATTGGTCGCTTCCCACAACCAATCAGCTTGATTGTGGGCCAAGTCTTCCTTTGCATAGAACTGTAACTTTGTAACTTCACTTTGCAAACAGAGGCTTGCATCGGGTGTAACCTTTGTAACTTCACCTCAGCCTCTGGTTGCAGGTCACTACTTCATTTACATAGAGTGTACACCAGGTAACCAATGGGAAACCTCTAGAAGGTATTTAAACCCCAGAAAATTCTGTAAAAAGAGCCCCTATGCTCCAGCGGCTCCCACCCTGTGGAGCGTACTTTCATTTTCGATAAATCTCTCCTTTTGTTGCTTCCTTCTTTCCTTGCTTTGTTTGTGCGTTTTGTTCAATTCTTTGCTCAAAACGCCAACAACCTGGACCCCTCCACATTTCCTTGTATGAGTTTAAGCGGAGGAAACCTCTCTTATGCAGGCTCAAGTGGACTGGCCCCCTTTTGACTGGTTGCTGGTAGTCTCCTATTTTTTCAGGAAAACTGGCCCTGGTGGGGGATTTTCCTGTTTTGTTTAAGTTTCAGTTTGATTACGTGGCACTTAGCACAAGTGATTCCATTTTGGTCTGGCCTACTGGGGCCTAGTGCAGGAGCTCAGCCCAATTCAATGGCCTCCCATAAATCTTATTTAACACTTAGCACCACTGTGCACATGTGGAAGGTAAAACTCAGAGACGCTAAGTATCTGAGTGTGTCACAGAGCTAGTAAAAGGCAGAGCTGGGATCAGATACATTGATTCATTCACTCAAAAACCTTTTTTTATCGAGTGCATACTATGTATCAGCCTCTGGGTACTGAGCATGGGAGCAGAATCAGACACCCCGAACTGACAGGGCTCACAGACGAGAAGGGGAGACAGTTCTCAATCATAGAAATCACTTGTTCTCACAAACGGTGACACGTGCTATGAAGAAAAAGGCCTGAGAACTAGGAGGGCATCTAGAGGCGCCCTTTCTGGTCTAGGCGTCCTACAGGCAGCTGGAGGAAGACGTCTGAGCTGACATCAGATTCATGGGTAGGAGTCTACCAGGCCAGGGGGGTGAGTGCCTTCCAGTGCACAGAAAAGCTGTCCGGTTCCCGAAAGTTTCTTTTTCTTTCTCTCTCTGTGTGTGTGTGTGTGTGTGTGTGTGTGTGTGTGTGTGTGTGTTTGGGGGTCGGGGCAGGGTCTTGCTCTGTTGCCCAGGCTGGAGTAAAGTGAAACAATCGGCTTCACTGCAGCCTCGACTCGGGCACAAGCAATCCTCCTGTTTCGGCCTCCAGAGTAGCTGGGGCCACAGGAGCGCCACCGCGCCCCGCCTGAAGGTTTCTTCTCTCCATACTGGTAAAATCCTGAGCTGTGTTTGAGCCTCTCACAGGAGGAAGGTAACGTGACCTCCTCCAGCTCACTCACGTGACACTCGGTCCTCCTTGCGAACGGCTCTCTAAGAAGCTGTGGGAGTGACGCGCAGCCCCATTCCTCCACCCTTCTTGTGCCGGGTGTCCCCCACAGAAAAAAATGCGCCGGCCCCAGAGCTGCCGCCGACTGTTAAGGAAGGCCCTTTGCACCCAAGAATGGAAGCGGTGTGGGTCGGGGTGAGGGCCCCGAAAAGGGTGGTGAAGGCCCTGGCAGAGAGAACACTCAACGTTCTCTGCCAGCTGCTTCCCTGCTGGTCCCGGGAGCCCCAGCCTCCCTTCCACAGGGGCGGGGGAGGACACGGGGCGGGGGCGACACGCGTGGGGGTGGGGCGGACGTGGGCGGAGACACATGGGGGAGGGGCAGGCACCTGAAAGGAGGCGACACCGGGAGGAGGGGCACCCCGCGGGGAAGGGGTGGGGAGGGAAGCGAAGGGGCACCCCGCGGGGGAGGCGAGGGAAGGGGGCATCCCGCAGGGAAGGGGGTGGGGGAAGGGCACCCCCCGCGCGGGTCTGCCCTGGCTGGAGCATCCCGGGGTCCTCAGACTGCAGGAGCTGGGAGACCGAGACCAGCTCAGCTGCTCTTCCTCACTTCTGTGCCAAAAGGGAAAAGAAGTGCCGCGTTGGTGTGGCTGAGAAACGCCTCCTGGAAGAAGGGGCCTGACCCTGGAGCTGCCATGTTGGCACTTTTCTTCCAACCGCAGCCCGCCAGGCACAAACGCGAAGTCCCTGGAAGCGCAGCTCGAAAAGACAGGCGGCCCTCCAGGCTCCCTCCCTGGCGCTCCGGGCTCCACGCGGCCCTCGGCGCACTCGGAGCAGAGGGATGGGGACCCCGCCGAGGATCCAGGCCACCTGGGCAGGCCGGGTGCTCAGGACGCAGCCCGGGCTGTCCCATCGAAGGTGACAGCTCGCCCACCTCCCTGTGGCCTCGGGCGGGCCACGCTGTCATCCCTTGGAGGCTCCCCGCCAGGGGCCTGGCCTGAGCGCTAGGATGACAGGTGTGGGATGGTGAGGCTGCCTCCTCTGAGTTAGGTCAGATAGCCCAGAATATCTGCTTTGGAACGGAAAGGCCCCCCATTTATGTCACTGATGCTCGGCTGGTCAATAAAGCAGGACACAGAAGTTGTAGGAAAATTGATACTCCTCACCCCCGATTCAATAGAGCTATTTTCACTGGTAGTTCAAAAGAAAATGTGGCCAGGCGCAGTGGCTCACGCCTGTAATCCCAGCACTTTTGGGAGGCCGAGGTGGGTGGATCGCTTGAGGTCAGGAGTTCGAGACCAGCCTCGCCAACAAGGTGAAACCCCAACAAGGTGAAACCCCGTCTCTAATAAAAATACAAAAAGTAGCCGGGCGTGATGGCGGTTGCCTGTAATCCCAGCTACTCAGGAGGCTGGGGCAGGAGAATCGCTTGAACCCGGGAAGCAGAGGTTGCAGTGAGGTGAGATGGTGATGGTGCCACTGCACTCCAGCCTGGGTGACAGAGTGCAACTCTGCCTCAAAAAAAAAAAAAAAAAGAATATGTGGGCATATTTTAAAACCACCACAGCTAGTAATAGTCATAACAAAGAATTATATCATTTATTCATTTATTTGCAAGACTATCATATTTTAAATGCTGCTCCTCCTGATGTTAGAAAGTGTCTGGTTTTTTTTTTGTTTTTTTTTTTTACCATATTTGACAATAACATAAGTCTATTGGAGAAATTTTTACTGTAGTGTATTTATTTTTTTGAGAAGGTCTTGCTGTGTTACCCAGGCTGGAGTGAGTGAAGCAGTCACAGCTCACTGCAGCCTCAGCCTCCCAAGCTCAAACCATTCTCCCATCTCAGCCTCCCCCACATCAGCCTCCCTACTAACTGGGACTACAGGCAAGCACCACTGTGCTTGGCAATTTATTTTATTATTTTATTTTATTTTATAATTTTTTGTAGAGACAAGGTCTCACTATGTTGCCCAGGCTGGTCTTGAACTCCTGGGCTTATGCAATCCTCCGCTTCAGCCTCCCAAAGTGCTGAGATTACAGATGTGAGCATACACCATATCTATTAAAATTAAATAGTGTATTTAATAATTTCTTTTTATGAAGTTAAAAACAATAGTCCTCAAAAGAAAGAGTTTCTTAAAAACTCATTTAATTAAAGAATTAAGCTTTACGCAAAACAGATTATATCCACCGATGGTTACAAACATCAAAATTATTCAAAAGTCCCCCCAAACACTTCATCCTGGAATTTTAACTAATGCCTGAAATTAACTAATGCAGGAAACTTTAACTTAAGAACTTTCCTGATTCTTTAAACCAAATGTAGAGTTACTCTATGGGGCTTCAAGCCCCTACCTTCTTTATTTGGTCCTTTACAGTCTAAACCCTTTGGACATCACTAACTTAAAGGTTACTTTGATTTCAACTATCTTCTTTATACTCATCTCTATTTTCTGATTTTTCTAAAGTGAGTTTATGTTGTTTTCATAATTTTTATAAAAGTTATTTTCATTTTTAAAATTAACTTCAACTCTAAGAAATTTTTCAGGTCACATTTAAAAAATAGAAAAATGGGAGTTTTTAATGGCTTTATTAGATTTGTGTGTATGGATTACATGTCAATAAAAAGTTTACTCAAAAAACAAACCAGTTGTCATTGTGTACACCTGTAGTTCCAGCTACTTGGGGAGGCTGAGGAGGGAGGATCACTAGAGCCCAGGAGGTTGAGGCTGCAGTGAGCTACGATCATGCCACACTGCACTTCAGCCTGTGTAACAGAGCAAGATCTTGTCTCTAAAAAGGAAGAAGAAAAAGTACCCCACAAAAGTCTCAAACTGAAGGCTCATGGGCCAAATCCAGCCTCAGGGGACTTTCTCGGGCCTTGTTGACTTAGTTACCAAAATACAGGACAGTCCTCCGACACCACTAGGGGCTCCACTATCCGCCTGAACTGTGGCGGCCCTACCCACCCCAGGAGCCCTGGCAGGGAGCAAAGGGAGCTGCCCACTCTGTCCCCCCTTCTGACAGTCCCTGCACTGTCCCTGTGGTCTCTAGATGACCGGTGAGTAATCTCTTCATTAAGCTCTGCTTCAGTTATTCAAAGGTGGAGTGTTGTCCTTGCTGCTAGTTCCCCAAGCAGATTTCACAGGGTTGATGTGAAAAGCCAGACAGGTAGGGACAACATGGTTATAGATCCTAAAGAAAGACTAGAATGAAGTGACAATGATTATTTCTGGAATTACAGATGATTCTTATTTATTTTACCTTCTTTTTTTTTTTTTTAAAGAGACAAAGTCTCTCTCTGTCATCCAGGCTGGAGTGCAGTGGCCCCATCATAGTTCACTACAGCCTTGACCTCCTGGGTTCAAGCCATCCTCCCACCTCAGCCTCCAGAGTAGCTGGGACTATTTTTTTTTTTGTAGAGATGGGATCTCGCTATGTTGCCCAGGCTGCTCTTGACCTCCTGACCTCAAGCTATCCTCCTGCCTTGACTTCCCAAAGTGCTGGGATTACAGACATGAGCCACAGTTCTTAGTCCTTTATTTTATTTTCTATGGTCTCTATAATGCACTATTTTTTTATAACCATACCCGATATAAAGGGGCAAATGCCATTAATAGTATACATATTTATAATTAAAAATGAGGCCGGGCGCAGTGGTTCATGCCTGTAATCCCAGCACTTTGGGAGGCCAAGGCAGGTGGATCATCTGAGATCAAGAGTTCAAGACCACCCTGGCCAACATGGCAAAACACCATCCCTACTAAAAATACAAAAATTAGCCAGGTGTGGTGGTGAGCGCCTGTAATCCCAGCTACCCAGGAGGCTGAGGCAGGAGAATCGCTGGAACCCAGGAGGCAGAGGCTGCAGTGAGCTGAGATCACGCCACTGCACTCCAGCCTGGGCAATAGAGCAAGATTCCATCTCAAAAAAATAAAAATAAAAAATAAAAAAATAAGGCCAGGAGTAGCCCCAGAGGGAGTGTCTTGTGAGACGAGGATGCAATGCTAGTGTAGGGACATTGTCACAATAACCTAAATAGGACTGTAACCCCAGCACCATCCAGTAATGATTTTTCTGTTTTCAGGAGAAGTGGGTGGTTAACGGACCATAAATGCTGCTTGTTAAGCAAGTCAGCTACAGTGCTGTGGGCCCATTGGAGAAAAGATGCTTTGCATATCCATAAACTTCTAACACTGCAATTCTCCTGCCTACAATTTGCTTTCTTTAGGAAGCCTGTTTTCCTGAATATATATATATGTACGTATATATGTATGTGTATATGTATATATTAATATACATATATATATGAGATAATTTTCTTCTCCGTTTTCTTTTTTTTTTTTTTTGAGATGGAGTCTTGCTCTGTTGCCCAGGCTGGAGTGCAGTGGTGCCATCTCAGCCCACTACAACCTCCACCTCCCAGGTTCAAGTGATTCTCCTACCCCAGCCTCCCGAGTAGCTGGGACTACAGGCACCTGCCACCATGCCCAGCTAATTTTGTTTTTTGTATTTTTGGTAGAGATGTGGTTTTTCCATGTTGGCCAGGCTGGTCTTGAACTCCTGACCTCAGGTGATCTGCCCACCTCGGCCTCCCAAAGGGCTGGGATTACAGGCATGAGCAACAGTGCCTGGTCCTGTTTTCTTCTCTATCTGTTGTCATGGGCAGTCTGCATGGGACCACTGTCTCCCTCCCACCCACTCCCTTCCACCTCCCACAGAAGGGTTGAATTTGAACCTGTGAGGCATGTGCATCAGGCCTCTCACTTGCCTGGGCTCCTTCCAAGGCCTTCCAAGGCCTTCCAAGGGGTTGGTCAGGTGTTTCTGGAAAATTTGCAAGAGCGAAGTACCTCACAGCCCTCGGCCCAACTTGAGTCCCCTGCCACTCAGTCTCAGTGCATTCCCCTTTCTGTAGATGGAGTACCAGAGGGAAGTCTCTGCATTCAATTCTGAATCAATATTTACATTCATACCTAACTCGATATTTGTACTTGTGCATTTTTTCCCTTCAAGAGCTTCAGGCCTCACAAAACCAGGCTCTCCCCCACGCCCCCAACCGGTGCCACTGCCGCCTCTGTAGGTTGCTCTGAGCTGGCCTTGGGTCTGGGCAGAGCAGAGCTCCTCTGGGTCTGCTGCATGGCAGAGGAGCCTCCGCACCAGGACTCAGTCTAGAGCTGCTTGGACTCTGAGAACACACGGTTGGCAGAGGTGGAAAGCAGTGAGTGGAATCCAGTGGTTGCTTGACGATGCTCCTGACACGGAGTAAGGGAAGATGAAAGGCAGAGGTCCTGAAAACTGTCCCTCCCTTTGCCATCTCTGTGAGTTGTCTGTGCTGTTGTAACAAGTCACTGCCAATGCAGCGGCGTCAAACAACACGAGCCAATTCGCCTACAGTTCTAGAGGTTAGATGTCCAAAATGAGTATCGCTGGGCTTGTGGCATCATGTGACCTGCATTCCTGCCTCTCTCGTCCACTTTTAAGAACACTTGTGATCCCGTTGGGCCCACACGGAGAATCTCCCCATCTTAAAGTCAGCTGGTCAGAGAACTTAATTCCATATGCAACTTAATCCCCAGTTTGCCAAGTAACCTAACATAGCCACAGGTTCTGGGGGTTAGGTCGTAGACATTTTTGGGGGGACATTATTCTGCCTACCCCAGCATCCAAAGAACCAAAGCAAAGGCCCACAAAAGCGCAAGGGAGGCCGCCTTAATTTCTACAGCCCCCAAACTACACCGGCTCTTCCCAGAAAGCTGGCTCCCTGCTTCGCTTTGCTCAGCTGCTGTTTGGCCCTCCTCTCTGTTCTGGATCCCTGGACGGCAGGTGTAGGAAGCACTATTATTAGTAATACAGATGTTGGGCCCTTTCTCATGCTCTGATCTGCTTTCTAGGCTGATTTAGAATACAGATGTGCATTCCATTGTCCCCCCTCACCAGCCGCTCAGGTCTTCCAAGAACAGTGTTTTCTCCAGGGTGGGCCCAGGGGCTGTGCAGGTAGAGGCCTTGCTGCTCCTGTGTCCTCTCTCCCTGCCTCTGTCTCTCCCTCTTCCTTCCCTTCTCCTGTTCCTAGCTTTCTGTCAACTCTTCTGCTCCCATCATCAGAGTTGAGATGCAGTGCGGTAGAGTCCAGGAACATGGGCTTCGGACCTGAAAGCCCCACATTTGAATTCGAGCTCTTGGACGTGATCTAACGTCTCCAGGTTTTGTTTTTTCCTCATAAAATGCACAGGGATAATAACCGCACCTGCTGGGGTGTCACGGGAACCAAATGCCCCAACACCTGCGAAGGTGGGGGCAGAGCCGCCTCATGTTTAAGGGCCCCCTCCATCCTGGCTCTCCGCTTACTCAGTGTGTGGACTTGGACGTGACATTGAAAAGTTCTGTGTTTCCCTTCCTTCAGCTGTCAACTAGAGTTTCATACTTCATGACGGTGTGGTGAGATTGGTACTCAGAAAACATGCAAAATGGTGATACAAATTATATAAAATACAAACACAAATTATAAAAAATACAAATGATACAAATCAAAAATGCACAGACAAGATATAGTTTCAGGTTTAGCCAGACACAGTGGCTCACACCTGTAATCCCAGCACTTTGGGAGGCCAAGGCAGACGGATCACTTGAGGTCAGGAGTTCGAGACCAGCCTGGCCAACACAGCAAAACCCTGTCTGTACTAAAAATACAAAAATTAGTTGGGTGTAGTGGCAGGTGTCTGTAATCCCAGCTACTCGGGAGGCTGAGGAAGGAGAATCGCTTGAACCTGGGAGGCAGAGGTTGTGGTAAGCGGAGATCGCGCCATCGCACTCCAGCCTGGGCAACAAGAGCGAAACTCTGTCTCAAAAAACAAACAAACAACAACAACAACAACAACAACCACCAAGAATTTCCCAAGTTCTAACACCAGTGCCTCTTCTGACTTGCCATGTTATTTTCAGAGTCAGCCACTTCACATGGCAGGATCTCATTTCCATAAATGGTGGGGATTGGGAGGACGGGGAATGTTGGCTTTACTGCCTACAGGTGGAAAGGGGACCTAGCGAAGACCTCCATGCCCATCTGTGCTCCAGGTAGGCTGGGACTGAATCTGCCTGGACCACGGCTTACCATGCAGTAGGCACTTAATGGTGATCAAATGCATGAATGAATGAATGAATGAAACATTGGATTCTGGCTGAAACTTCATCTGACACAGATTGGAGCATCAGAGAAAAGTTTAGTCCTTTGCCAGGGCTGGAGAATTCTGTTTTTTTTTTAATTATTTTTTATTTATTTATTTATTTATGAGCCAGGGTCTCACTCTGTCATCCAGGCTGGACTGCAGTGGTGCTACCATGGCTCACTGCAACCTCCCGGGCTCAACGGATCCCCCCACCTCAGCCTCCCGAGTAGCTGATACCACAGGTGCGTGCCACCGTGCCCGGCTAATTTTTCGTATTTTTGGTAGAGATGAGGTTTGCCATGTTGCCCAAGCTTGTCTCAAACTCCTGAGCTCAAGCGATCCACCCACCATGGACTCCCAAAGTGCTGGGATTACAGGTGTGAGCCACCGTACACGGCCATTTTTTTTTTTTTTTTTTAAGAGACAAGGTCTCTCTCTGTCACCCAGGCTGGATTGCAGCGGCACGATCACTGCAGCCTTGACCTCCTGGGCAAAAACAATCCTCCTGCCTGGAACTCTCAAGTAGTTGGGACTACAGGCGTGTGTCCTGAATTCCTGGTTTTAAGTGATCCTCCCACCTTGGCCTCCCAAGTTTTGGGATTACTTGGTGTGAGCCCCTGTGCTTGGCTTCTTGTTTTTCTTTTTCTTTTCTTCTCTCTCTCTCTTTTTTTTTTTTTTTTTACTTTTCCCACATTTGTATGCCAAATGTGTATGTAGTCATTACCACAATCAAATCAAGAACATTTCTGTCACCCCGAAAGTTTCCCTGTGCTCCTTGTCAATTCTCCTTCACTGTCAGGCCCAGGCAATCACTGACCTGCTTTTGGGCACTATCACCTTTTTGGAACCTCATGTAAGTGGGACTATACTGTATGGACTCCTCTGTGGCTGCCTTTTTCACTCAACTCATGTTTCCAAGATTTATCTCTGCCGCCGCAGGCTGCAGTCCTGTGTCCCTTTTCATTGCTGGGAGTCCCATTGTGTGCACATTCACCTGCTCACGAGCTTTTGGGTAGTACATTACTCAGGGCTCTCCAGAGAACAGGATTAATAGGATGCAGCTGGGTAGGTGGCTAGACGGAGATTTATTCTAAGGAAGTGGCTCATGTGATTATGGAGGCTGGAGACCCAGGAGAGCCAATGTTGTCATTCTAGTCCGAAGGCCGGTAGGCTTCAAACCCAGGAAGACCTGATATTTCAGCTGGAATCTGAAATCAGGGAAAAAACCACTGTCCCTGCTTGAAGGCAGTCAGGCTGGAGGAATTTCCTCTTGCTGGCAGGAAGGCCAGGCCAGCCTTCGATCTCTTCAGGCCTTCAGCTGACTGGCAGGGTGGGGTCACGTCAGGGAGGCCGTCTGCTTCACACACCTGACCTCAGATCCAAATGTTCATCTCATCCAGAGACACCCACACACACACCCAGGATCAGGTTCCAACAAATGTCTGGGCACCCCTTGGCCCAGTTGAGTTGACACATAACATTGGCCATCACAATTTGGACCAGCGTGAGCATTTTTACAAGACTGTGGAGACGCATGTTGTCAGGTCTAAGAGTGCAGTGATTGAGCTGTATGGCAAGTGCATATGTAACTTTTTAAGTAAACTGTAAACTGTTTGCCAGACGGGGTTGTACCGTTTTACACTCCCATCAGCAGAGTAGGAGAGTTTCAGGTAGAACTGCCTAATTCTTGGCAAACAAATAAATGTGGAAGATAAATATTTTTATTGAAAATAAAATCCGAGCTTCGCACAGTGGCTCTCACCTGTAATCCCAACATTTTGGGAGGCTGAGGTAGACAGATGGCTTGAGCCCAGGAGTTCCAGACCAGCCTGGGAAACATAGCAAGACCCCATCTATGCAAAAAATAAAAAATTAGCTGGGTGTGTGGTACACATCTGTGGTCCCAACTACTCAGGAGGCTGAGGCAGGAGGATCGCTTGAATCCAGGAGTCCAAGGCTGCAGTGAGCCGTGATCACACTATGGCACTCCAGACTGGGTGACAAAACAAGACCCTGCCTCTTTTAAGAAAAAAACAAAAAAAAAAAAGGAGGCCAGGCATGGTGGCTCACACCTGCAATCTCAGCACTTTGGGAGGCTGAGGTGGGTGGATCGCGAGGTCAGGAGTTCAAGACCAGCCTGGCCAAGATGGTGAAACCCTGTCTGTACTAAAAATACAAAAATTAGCTGGGTGTGGTGGTGGGTGCTTGTAATCCCAGCCACTCAGGAGGCTGAGGCAGAGAACTGCTTGTACCCAGGAGGCGGAGGTTGCAGTGAGCCGAGATGGCACCACTGCAGATCTGTCCAGCCTGGGCGACAGAGCGACACTCCGTCTCAAAAAAAAAAAGGAAAGAAAAGAAGACCCCAGCTGAGTAGGCCTCACTGTGAAAGCAACATTGGAGGAAAGCCTTGAAGGAGGTGAGGTATATGTGGTGAAGAGTGAGGCCTGCATGGCCCAGGAGACATCAGGAGGTGACCCAGCATGCACACGTGAGCGAGGGACAGTGGGGGCTACCAAGGCTGGAGAGGGGAGGTGGTGGGGGGGCCCTGCTCACAGGTCACTCTGTAAAACTTTGTGTTTGCCTTAAGTGAAATGAGGAAGCTCCCAGGGATTTGGGCAGAGAAGTGGTATCATCTGATTTATGAAAGGGCCACTCTTGCTGCTGTGCTGAGGGCAGACTATGAGAGGGCAGGGAAGGAGCATGGAGGCTGCTTAGGAGGCTGGCACAGCCATCTAGGCTGGGCATAGTGGTGGCCCAGCATGCAGGTAGCAGTTGAGGTGGCAGTTGAGGTGGTGTGAAGGGGTCAAAAGCTGGATATAAATGGAAGATGGGGCCTGTAGGATATCCTGTCATGGTCACGGTGCAACATGGAGAAAAAGAAAGGAGTTGAGGATGAATTTGAGCTTCAGTTTTCATGGCCCTGTGAGACACAGTGGTCAAGGGTAAAGTCCAGGGTTTACCCAAAGAGTCTACTAGGCAAAAGTTGACATCCCAGAAGACTGTGTACTCGGCTTAAAAATTAGAGAAAAAAAGAAAAGAATTAGTAATCACTCCCTTCTAAGACTGCAAGAAACTTTGCCTGTTTAATCCATGGTATTCAGTGGAAAGGGGTCATCCTGCCCCAGATAACTTATAACCATAAGCTAGTTCCCAGGCATATTTTTAGTCTGAGCTCACAGAACTAGTTGGACAAAATCCCTTCAAGGTGACAGCTGGGTTTAAGGTGTCTCCAACCTGGGAGAAGCACCTGCCAATCCTCCTGGGAGGAATCATCTCCATCCTATGTCTCAAAGAAGCCCCACAAGATCTTCCAGTGAGTAGCTATTGAAGGAGTAATGGTCTTTTTCCCTTTTTGCAGCAAGAAAAAAGTCATTTTTAAAATGTTCCCTTACACAGCTTACAGATAAAAACTCATTACATGCACAAAGCAATGAGGCCCTATGAGAGAGAATAAACAGAAACAAGAGTCAGTGGAAATAGACCTACAAAGACTTCAGATTTTAGAATTATCAGACACAGAATGTAAACATTTAAAGAACAAAAAAATCAAGATTAGAAATATGTGAGGTAAATAAGAAATAAATAATGACCAAATAGAAGTTCTAGAAATTAAAAAATAGTAATAATAATTGAAATTTAAAACTCAACGGATGGATTTAACACATAGCTGAAGAAAGAATAGGTGAACTAAAAAATATAGCTAAAGAGGCCAGGTGTGGTGGCTCATGGCTGTAATCCCAGCACTTTGGGAGGCTGAGGCAGACGGATCACCTGAGGTCAGGAGTTCAAGAACCAACCTGGCCAACCTGGTGAAACCCTGTCTCTACTAAAAATACAAAAATTAGCTGGGCATGGTGGCAGGTACCTGTAATCCCAGCTACTGGGGAGGCTGGGGCACGAGAATCACTTGAACCCAGGAGGCAGAGGTTGCAGTGAGCCGAGATTGCACCACTACATACCAGCCTGGGTGATAGAGAGAGACTCCATCTCAAAAAATAAGTAAATAAATTATATATACACACACACACACACACACACACACAAACACACACACACACACACGAAGAAATTATCCAGAATGCAGCATGGAGAGTCAAAGAAATGACAGGTATGAAAAAGAGATTCAGAGACATGAAGAATGGCGAGAGGTCTCACATGTGTCTAATCAACATATTAGAAGTAAAGGAGACAGAGAGGGAGCAAAGACAATATCTGAAAAGAGTATAGCTGAGAATTTGTGAGAATTGACAAAAGATCCTATCCATAGATTCAGAAGTCCAAGAAATCTCAAGTCAAGGAAAAAAAAAAAACCACCAAGTCAAGACACATTAGACACTGAAACATGAAGATGAGTTCTACGGATTTGCATCTGACTGCACACACCTCTGCTAACATTTTGATTTCTTTTATTTGAGGTATTTTCTAAGTGTATGCTTATATGAAATTTGGATCATGCTGTATATTTATCCTGATTTTTAAAACTTAATATATTATGAAAATTTCTCCACATTGTTTTCTTCAAAATCATGGTTTTAAAGGCTTCATGACATTCCACCCTATATATGCATGACATTTTGTTTAAGCAGAACCCAGTTGTTGAACACTGTTGGACACTTAAGTTATTTCCACTTTGGGGCTATGTTAAATAATGCTTGTTGTACATAACTGTTCTCCACATCTCTGGTTATTTCTTTAGGGTGGACTCCTAGGAGCGGGATGGCTGGGTGAAGGATATGAACTCTGTTAAGGGTTTTGATGCATATTGCCAAACCACTTTCCAAAAAGCCCGTGATGATTCCTCCCCGATCGGCAGCTCACAGGTGCACCTTTCCCCACGCAGGAGGACTTCTCACCTAACTTTACTCAGGTAAATTCATGATAGGTTGGTGGACTCACCCCCCAAATGTTAATTGACTTTCATTTGTGCATCTCTCCCAAATCAAATGGCCCTGCTATTCATATGCTAATAAAAAGGAAACCACTTCACATCTCACTTCAGAACAAAAGTAACGAAAATCCCTTAGGAACATACACATGTGAAAACTTGAAAACCCTTTCAGCTATTAAGCTTTGCTTCCTTGTTTTCCAAAATGACTATGCTTCATTTACTTGAACACGTTTTAAAATGCAGTTGTCATCCATTCCATGTCTCCCAAAGCTGGACAGTTTGTTTTATGATAAATGGTGGCCTTAGCTCATATCACGTGATTAGAGGGAATTCAGCACACGTCCCAGCCTCTAATCACAGCTCTAATCTCGTTTTCACATTTTGCTCTGGTTATCCTACTTGACTCTGCTGACTGAGGCACTTTCATTGTGCTGGTTAAAAGGACAGGGATTGAGCAGAAACAAGAGTGAGGTCTGAGAACTGTTTTTATACCATGTGCCCATCCAGCTCTACAGCCAAATGAATCAAAAAGATCTGGAGTATAGCCAAAGCCACTTGACAGAAAACTCCGACTTCCAAAAAGTATTCTTGGTGCTTTTTAAAAACACTGTAATTTGCCCAGGTTGAAAGAAAAAGGCCTGTTTGTTCACAGTAAAGGCACAGCTAGTTAGCGAGCCAGCGTATGATCCAGAACTCTGCAAACCCTTTCTGTAAAGGGCTGGATAGTAAATATTTTGGATATTGTGAGACAAATAGTGTCCGATGCTACTGCTAAATTTGACAACTGTCACACAAAAGCAGCCACGGTTATTAAGTGGACCCATGGGTGTGGCTGTGTACTAGCACTTTTTTTTTTTTTTTGAGACAGAGTCTCGCTCTGTGGCCCAGGCTGGAGTGCAGTGGCGTGATCTCGGCTCACTGAAACCTCTGCCTCCCGGGTTCAAGCAATTCTCGTGCCTCAGTCTCCTGAGTAGCTGGAATTACAGGTGTTCACCACCACACCTGGCTGATTTTTCTATTTTTAGTAGAGAAAGGGTTTCACCATGTTAACCAGGCTGGGCTGGAACTCCTGACCTCAGGTGATCTGCCCACCTCGGCCTCCCAAAGTGCTGGGATTACAGGTGTGAGCCACCACACCCAGCCACCGGTACTTCTTTACCCAAAAAGGGCAGTGGCGGGATGGCCTGCAGGCAGTAGTTTTGGCAATCCCTGTTATATAATCTAAGTTACCTCTAAGACTCCTTCCAACTCTGGGATTCTTTCAATCTGTTACCTTTGGGGTGTGTGGCATTTTGGATTTAAGTTGCTCAATGTTGGCTGATGTTAGGGATGGCAGTGGAGGGGAAGGAGGTTCCGCTAACACCCAGAGGCAAACAGGACCAGCGCAGTGGCCAGCCCCAGCTGGAGGAGGCTGGACTCAGGGTTGTGTCCTTTTCTCTTTTGCCTTAGGCGTTAACATCTGAGCTTTTTCTGACTCAATTCCTGTTAAATGTCTATAACTGCGGGGGAGTCTTCCAGTTCTACAGATGCATGGAATCTGCGTTGTGTGGTGAGGAGAGGCAGCTGATGGACCCACCCTGCCTGGAAGAACAGCACCGTGGGGAAGCGCAAAGGGCTGGGCGCCAGTGACCCCTCCACAGACTATTTTGGAAGAAATATGGGTCCAAATGAACTGCCCTGTGACAACTGAAGTGCCAGCTTCTAGGACAGCCTCAAAAGGGAAATCGAGTTGTCACCACTCTTCTCCCTTTCACCAGCAAAGTTCTCAGAAGGGGGCACCGTTTCTTCCTCGAGCTCCTGGTCTGTGTTTTGAACTCAGCGTCAAGGTTGGCCCCAGTGCACCTGACACAGGCACCCCCTCATTGTCCCCCGACCTCACGGCAGTGCATTTACCGACCTCCAGGCCCTGGCAGTGCCTTCTTTGTCTCTTCCTCTTTTGCTTCTCCTTCAGTGTGGGCACTCCCAGAAGTTCTGTCCTTTGTTCTTTCCCCTTTAGGCATCGTCCTTCAGAGATCCTGTCCACCTCTGGGTCCGCGTCTCTTTGTGATCAACTCCAGCCTCTTCCCTCCTTCCCATGAGCTCTGCATTGCACCTGGGTCCACCTGGACCCCAGCCACGGTGAGCAGCTGGACTGAGGACGGGCCACACCCTGGGCCTGCTCCTGACCATGCTCCTTCCATTTGTGGGATATTTCATCACCCCAAACTCAAAACCCCAGAATAACCCGTGCACTTCTCCCTTGTCTGCTGTCCCAAATCCCTTTGTTCTTCCATCCTAGCACCTCCTCCAGTGGCCCTTCCTTTCAGTTTCTGCCACCGGCTCCCTGGGCTGTCCCCTGCACTCTCTGGGCAGGCTGGCCCCCACTCAGCCTATCTTGAACACAACTGCTCAGACTCATGCTTTAAAGCCCCCTCTTGAAGTCACTCACCTAATTGAAAGCCACCTGTGAGTTCCTGCTTAAGCAAAGTTGCGAGGCCTTCCATGAAGGGCTTTGAGCAGCGGGCCTGCCCCATTGCCTGGCCACCCCTTACTCTGCAGCCAGCCTGTGGGGGGCTGCTCACTGTTCTTCCCACATGCCCAGTGGTTCCCTTCCTCGGTGACTTCACTTCTTTCATCCCTGACAATAAAATGCCTTCTTTTTCTCTATCTGTTCCCCAACTCCAATTTAAAGTCCCTGCACAATATTTTCCCAGGTCACCGTGGCTGAACTCGATTCTTTGTCCTCTGTACCCTGTGGAACTTAGTCTGTGTCCCTCCCGCCACGTCGCCTGATGCTGTATGTGGGAGCCGTCTTCCTGGTGGACAGTGAGCTCCCTGGGCAGGCACTGAGTGTCCCTATGGTATCCCTTGTAGGGTACACCTTGAGGATACACCTCACCCACTGTAGGTATCCAAGTAACATTTGATCCAGTGAATAAGTATGAATGAATGAAGGATATTGTTAAGTATGAATGAACGAAGGATATTGTTTTCCCCGTTTCTGGAGAAAAAAATCCACAAAAGCCTGTTTGTCTTGGTGTTGCTTTTTTTGTACCCTTTAACCCATTCCACAGATTAGCAACAACATGTATTTCATTGGTGGTTCTTAATAAACATTAAATTAGGCCAGGTGCAGTGGCTCACACCTGTATTCCCAGCACTTTGGGAGGCAGAGGAGGGAGGATCACTTGAGCCCAGGAGTTCAAGACCAGCAAGGGCAACATAGTGAGACCCCTGTCTCTAAAAAATATTTTTAAAAATTTGCTGGGCACGGTGGCACACACTTGTAGTCCCAGTTACTCAGGACATTGAGGCCTGAAGATCGCTTAAGCCCAGGAGTTGGAGGTCACAGCAGTGAGTTATGATCAAGCCACTGTACTCCAGCCTGGGTGAGTAAGACCGTCTCAGTCAACCAATATCAAATTAATCTTGGTGACTTTAACAAAGGGAGGGAAATAGAATGGCAGTACCTTCCTTTAGGCTTTAAAAATGTTTTAAAGGGCATGATAGTAAAGTGTAGAAATATTTCATATAATATTTAATATAATCAAAACTCCTCAGAGGAAGTGTGTAAAACACTTCCGATATACCAGAGGAAAGGTGGAAGATAAAAATGCTTTTGTTTACGTACAAATAATATGGATATATAGAGGACTAGATGGGGGGAATACTGATATGCTTAGGGGGTCAAATTTCAGATATATTTGCTGTATTAAAATATTTCCTCTTTATGGTTACCATTTTATATTCTTTACTGCTTTTACAAAATAATATGACTCCAGGCCAGGCACAGTGGCTCACGTCTGTAATCCCAGCATTTTAGGAAGCTGAGGTGGGCAGATCATTTGAGGTCAGGAGTTTGGGACCAGCCTGGCCAACATGGTGAAACACTGTCTATACTAAAAATACAAAAATTAGCCAGGTGCGGTGGTGAGTGCCTGTAATACCAGCTACTTGGGAGGCTGAGGCACAAGAATCACTTTAACCCGGGGGCAGAGGTTGCTGAGAGCCGAGATTGCACCACTGCACTCCAACCTGTGCGATAAAGTACAAATAATGATAATAAGACTCCAAATATTAAATAACCTAAAGCAGGATCTTTTACTGATAAGAATCTGAATTTTCCAGAAAGCTGTGATTTAGAAATCCAAACTCCAAAAAGTAATTAAGGAGTTTCTGCTATCTCTGACACAAAACTCTTTAACATCTTTTTTGCCTCGTGTCTCTAACTTCCTGCATTTCACTAGAATGTGTTCCCGTCTGCCTTTCCTGATGCAGTGCCAGTCTGTGGCTGCAGCTCTTTTTGGGTGTTAACTGAACGCTTGCCCACGTGATGTTCTCATTAGATTCAATAGGACGGAGAAGCTTCTGGTGCGCACCATCAGACTTGGGGAGAGAAGGGGAAAGAAGAATGAGAATTTAAACAACAATCTCTCATTTCAGAAGGTTTCCTTTTTCCCAGAAAAGTCTTTGAGTAAAACTCACTTAGATGTTGAGAGCTTCTAGAATGTACCACAGAGCTGGGCTTTCAGTGATAAAATCAACCCCTTCTCTCTTGGTGAGTGCTCCTCCATGTCACTAGCCAGCAACGTTCCTCAAACAGGAGAATCTGTCAGACACTGCCAAAGAGAAAAATCCTCTCCCTCCTTCACACGCTGAGGATTAAAGGAGTTGTAACTGATGCTGACAAGTATACACAGGCATTCCATGTGGGGACCTGAGGCTGCTAGACTTCCTCACCCACTTAAGTCAAAACGCTGCCTTCTTACCAAAAGGAGCAAGTTCAGGTAGATCCAGATGGGCTCAGGAGACAACAAATACTACTTCTGTTATAGAATTTTTTCCCTTCAAGTGCAGGATCAATACCATGATTGCAGAGTGCATTTGGTGTAAAGGGAGTGCAGCCCCTTTGCTCTCTGGCTCTCTGGAGGCACTCCCGTGCCCTTCTGCCTCCCGTTGCCGGATGAGCCATCTCCAGATGCCGACCCCTTGATATTGGATTTCCCAGCCTCCAGAAGTGTGAGCAATACATTTATTTTCTTTATAAGCTAGCCAGTCTGTGGTATTCTATTATAGCAGCACAAAACAGAATGAAACACTGCCCAACCCCCAGTACATTCCCACAAGCACCCATTTGGACACTTTGTCCTCTTGGGTAAAAAGTCTTTGCTGATAAGATCTGTCACCCCAGTGAGACTGAGTGCCTTGAAAATGTCCCGAGACACTGAGTGCTTCCTCCAGCCTCCAGTACGGGAAAGATCCTCAGAGAAAGCATTTAATGCAGTCCCTATTAATCCAAATCACACAGCACAGCATGGAAATGCAATTTGGAGAGCAACTAATCTGCAGTAACGACAGATATGGAAGCAGGAATATGGGGCAGGTGTTCAAAGGATGGTGGGCAGCCTCAGCTTCACCCTGGTTCCTGTGGCTGTACGACAAACCGTCACTCGCCTTTGAAGACCTCATCCCCGCGCTCTGTAGTGCTGGCCCCAAGCTCCTCTCTACCAAGCTGAGAGGTGCTCTCCTCATCCTGTTGTGTCCTCTGCCCACTGTTTGCTCACCTTGGATGCCATGAGATCACAGGCCCTTTCTTCCTTCCTGTCTCTCCTATTATATTGTGGGAGATACTTTAAGGAAATATTATTTGTCTCTGTTTACCCTGTGCCTCACAGGGCTGACATGTAGTAGGTCCTCAAATCCTCTCTGAATGAAATCTGACACCTCCTTTCAGCAAGTCAATGAATGTCATATTGAAAACTACTCTTTGATGCTCAAGTATTTTTCTCTGGTATAAATAATGCTTGAAATAATGGAGGCAAGGTAGTGGCCATTTACTACATAAGGCAAAGTTAGAGAGGAATAAATTAAATTAAATAATAAATAGAATGAAATTCCCAAAATACCTTTTTCAAGCTAATGCTTACTTTACAGATGATAATACTGCAAGTATCAGGCATGAATTAATGTTCTTTGTAGCTGAGACCTGTATTTCCAATGCACTGATTTTATTAAATTCAACTTTCCTTACTGTGGTAAAACAAACATAAAATTCAACATTTTAACCATTTTTAAGTGTACAGCTCAGTGATATTAAGTATATTCACATTGTCGTGCAACCATCACCACTATCCATCTGCAGATTTTTTTATCTTCCCAAACTGAAATTCTGCACCCATTCAACAGTCATTCCGCATCTTCCGCTCTCCAGCTCCTGCAACCACCGCTGTGGTTTCTGCCTCTATGAATTTACCTACCCTAGTACCTCTTTTTTTTTTCTTTTTTTGCCACAGAGTCTCACTCTGTCACCCAGGCTGGAGTGCAGTGGCAGGATCTCAGCTCACTGCAACCTCTGCCTCCCGGGTTTGAGCAATTCTCCTGACTTAGCCTTCTGAGTTGCTAGGACTACATGCGCCCACCACCACGCCTGCCTCATTTTTGTACTTTTAGTAGAGATGAGGTTTCACCCTGTTGGCCAGGCTGATCTGGAACTCCTGACCTCAAGTGATCCTCCCGCCTCAGCCTCCCAAAGTGCTGGGCTTACAGGTGTAAGCCACCATGCCCCGCCCCTAGTACCTCTTATAAGTGAAATCATACAATATTTATCCTTTTGTGACTGGCTCATTTCACTTAGCATAATGTTTTCAAGGTTCATCCATGTTATAGCATGTGACAGGATTTCCCTCCTTTTTAAGGTTGAAAAATATTCCATTATATGGATAGGCCACATTTTGCTCATCCATTCATCTGTTGATGGACATTTGAGCTGTTTCCATATTTTAGCTCTCATGAATAAACTAAATTAAAAGATGAAGTAATACATTAAACAATTTAAAAGTAAAGAAGTCATCCCCCCTATTGGCTGTTTTGCTTTCTGGAGCCTCAAAATAGTAAATGGAAAATTCTGGAGATAAACAATTATCTGAGGTAAGAGTGCACAGCCGCCTTTTTAGTGGCGTGATGAAGTCCTGTGCCGTCCCAAGCCGTCTCACCCTTTGACGCAAGTCATCCCTTTGACCAGTGTCTCCACACTGTACTTGCTGCCCACCTGTCAGTCACTTAGTAGCCATCTAGATTATCAGACCAAAACATAGTATATATAGGGTTTGGTGCTATCCGTGGTTTCTGACATCCACTGGGGGGTCTTGAACCATATCCCCCGAGGAGAAGGGGGGCTGCTATAGCATTGAGAGACATATAATAAAAACCAGCAGCGCCCTGCCCTCTCCAGATTCCTCTCCTGTTGCTCTCCAAAGGCAGCACCTTTCCTAACACTGTGCTCTTTCTCCTGGTCACTGCAGCCATATTTCTAAACATACTTCAGTGCATGCTTTTGTTTTAGTTTTTAAATTTTCATGTAATCTGCTGACTTCTCACCAAGAAGAGCTGGCTCTTCTACATACATAACCCCTCACATATCCATCCATACCTATGTCCCCTTTCCATCATCCCAAGGCCACCACAGCATACATCTTGATAGAATAATGTTTCAGTGTTTATAGTACTATGTATATCAGTCGGGATTGTCTGGAGACAGAATCCACACCAGTAATACTAACAGGGAAAATTTAACATAAAGAATTATTAACTAGTAAGTAAGGAATGAACTTCTGAGAAGCATGAAGTGAACACTAGAGAATGCAGGAACAGCAGGCGTACAGGGCAGCTGCTGCCGCTAGGATGGAGGGAGGGCACTAAGGCAAGACCAAGGCTGAGGCTGTGGCCTATGGGGTGGTGGTAGAGTCAATGAGGTGCTGAGGCTGGGCCGATGGGCGGAAGTCACCACTGATCTGCCAATGAAACTCACAGGAAAACTGCCCCCTGGGGTTCTGCTGGCAGCCTCTCCACGAAAACAAGAAAAACAAGGCCTGAGCCCCAAGAAAACCCTTCCCTCTTGCAATGTCTTCCCGTGCCCTTTACTGACAAGGCTTGCCATTGCGACGGCCGGCAAAGGGGAAATACTTACAGGGTCCAGCTCCAGTAGCACAAAGAACGGCAGAAGGGTGGATTTAGAGCCAAGAGGCAATAAAGTGACAACTGGGGCACGATGATATGTCACATAGTTGCCTGAAAGCTTGTCACCATCCTTCAGCGCCTCTCATCTGGGCTGCAGCTCCTGTTTCCTGGATCCCCTCTCCTCATTCATAATCTCATTTCGGCGGAACAGAACCACTTCTTGACAACCACATCTAAGAGGTAAACTTTCTAAGAACTTGCTTATCTGAAAATGCCCTTCCTCCACCTGATAGCTTGGCTAGACATAGAATTCCAGGTTGGAAATAATTTCTCTTCAGAATTTTAAAGGCTTTATAGCACTGTTTTAAAACTTCCAGCACTGCTGTTAAAAAGTCAGATCATTTTCTGATTCCAGATATTTTGTATGTAATCTGCTTTTTGGATTTTTTTTCTCCCTCTGTGGCACCTTTTAGAATCTTTGCTTCACATCCCATTTTTTGAAATTTCACGATGATGTGTCTTGGTCTGAGACTTTTTAAATTAATTATCCTGGGCACCCTGTGCCCTTTCATCGTGGATAATCTCGTTTTCCCATTCTAGAAACTTTTCCCATATTATCTCTTTGCCATTTTCTTCCCCTGCACTTTCTCCATTCTCTCTCTCTCTCTGGAAGTTGTAGTTGTTTGATGGTGGACCTTCTGGGTTAAATCTATAGGATTTTAAAAAAATCTTTTCTCTTTCTTACTTTGCCCTTCTTTATCTTTCTGCTCCACTTTGAGATTTTCTTAAATTTGTTATCCAATCTTTTGACTGAATATTTTATTTCTGCTATCATATTTTGAATTTTCCCAAGTCTTTCTTAATATTCCTTTTACATAGCCTCTGATTCTTACTTCCTGGATATGTTTATCTTTTTTTTAATCGAATTAAAGTTTTCCTTTGCTTCCTACATCGTAGCACTTTTTTCCCCATTTCCTTCTTGTTTTGATTCTTTTTCATGTTGAAAGCTTTCTTCAAATGTCTAAGTAGTCCATGCTTACTTAGAGTGCAAACCCCTGAAAGGGAGCTCTGTGGACCTGAGGAGGGTTTTCTGACAGCTGGCATTCACTGTAAGGTCATTGTGCAGAATCGTGATGTCAGCAGCTGTGGGTATCACTGTCATTTGTCCTGGGCTGGTTTAACTCCCCAGAGAGGAATCGTCAGATCTTCTGCAAGCCTGGCCTCAAGCATCCTGGGTGCCAAGCAGTAGGGCTCTCACTTTCAGCTGTAGACTGGCATGCAACCCGCCAGCCTCAGTCTTGCCTGGCCTCTCTGAGTCCCAGGTTTCTCCACCGCACTTTTTCCAGAGACTAAACCTCAACTCCTAGGTGTAGGGAAATGACTGCTAAGGCTGGGGGGAGGATCTCGGAAAGGACTACATGGTTTTTCTGGCAGACTTTTAAACAATCGCCTATATCTGATCTTTAGAGTGTCTGATGCTTCCAATTCCTAAGACTTTTTGGCGTTCTGGGGCATAAATTGCTAGCTTTTGGTTAGCTTTCCTTTTTACCGAAACGTATTTTGACTTTCTAAGCAGTGTGGCGATTAGGCACACAGACTTGGAGCCCAGACTGCCTGTTGGAACCCTCGTTTCATTTGCTAGCTGATGAGTGTGGGCAAGTTATTTGAACTCTGTGCCTCAGTGTCTCCATATGTAAAACGGGGATAATAACACACTACTCTGTAATAGCTTATGGCAGGGGTCAGCACACCACAGCCATCAGTGCAAATCTGGCCCATGGCCTGTTTATGTATGGCCTATGAGCTAAGAATGGTTTTCACATTTTAAACGGTTGTAAAGCATGCAAAAAAACTCATAAAAGAACATGCAACAAAATGTTAGTAAGAGGTGAAGCCAGCTGGGCTTCTGGGTCGGGTGGGGACTTGGAGAACTTTCGTGTCTAGCTGAAGGATTGTAAATGTACCAATCAGCATCTGTGTCTAGCTAAAGGATTGTAACTGCACCAATCAGCAGTCTGTAAAATGGACCAATCAGCACTCTGTAAAGTGGACCAGTCAGCACTCTGCAAAATGGACCAATCAGTGCTCTGTAAAATGGACCAATCAGCAGGACATGGGCAGAGCCAAATAAGGGAATAAAAGCTGGCCACCCCCCCCCACCCACCGCCCACCTGCCTGCCCCCCCACCCCCACCCCCACCCGCCGCAACTTCTCGGGTCCATTTCCATGGTGTGGAATCATAGTTCTTTTCCTCTTCACAATAAATCTTACTGGTGCTTACCCTTTGGGTCCTTACTACCTTTATGAGCTGTAACACGCACCACCAGGGTCTAGGGCTTCACTCCTGAAGTCAGCGAGACTGCGAACTCACCGGAAAGAAGAAACTCCGGACACATCTGAACATTTGAAGGCATAAACTCGGATGCGCCACCTTTAAGAGCTGTAACACTAACCACGAGGTCTGCGGCTTCATTCTTGAAGTCAGCGAGACCAAAAACCCACCAGAAGGAATTCGGGGCACATTAGGAAGCTCACAAAGCCTCAAATAGTTACTCTCTGGCCCTTAATAGAAAGGTTTTCTGCCCTTTGGCTTACAGGGTAGTTGTACTAACTGAGTTAATACAGCTAAAACACTAGAACAAAATAAGGTCATTATTCATCTATTCCCGAAGTTGGAGATATACAGTCAATACATGTAGTAGAGTTTTCAGTGTATTGGTGGCTTTTAAAGCCGTTGAGACTACCTAAGAACCCCAAAGATTTAAGTTAGATAAGAGGCTCAAGAACTGAGCTCTGGACATCCTGACTTTAAAAGGTTAGGGGCTAAGGATGGTATTAGCAAAGAATACTGAGAAGAGCCATATGAAGTAGGAGAAAAATCAGGAGACCATAGAATACAGGCAACTAAGTTTAAAAATATGTTTCATAAAGGAAGTCATGCGCTGCAGTTTAAAATGCTAAGTAATACGATGATTAAGAATTACCTATGGGGCGGGGCATGGTGGTTCACTCCTGTAAGCCCAGCACTTTGGGAGGCTGAGGTAGGAGGATTGCTGGAGCTCAGGAGTTCAAGACCAGCCTGGGAAACATGGTGAAACCCCTTTTCTACAAAAAATACAAAAATTAGCCAAGCATGGTGGAGTGCACCTGTTAGTCCTAGCTACTCAGAAGGCTGAGGCAGGAGGATCGCTTGAGTCTCGGAGGTCCAGGCTGCGCACTACTGCACTCCAGCCTGGGTGAGTGACACAGCAAAACACTGTCTCAAAAAACAACAAAAAAAGAATTACCCACTGGATTTAACATGGAGGTCATGAGTGGCATTTGTAAGAGTAGTCAGTGGGATTTGGGACAAAAACCTTCTTGATATCTGAGAGAAAACAGGAATTACCATAAGGCTAGACAACTTTTGAGGAATTCTGCTCTAAAGGAAAGCAAAGAAATGAAGTGGAGGGAAGTAGAGTTAAAAAAGGGTTGTTTTAAAGATGATCAGATCAACAGCAGCTTTTGTGCTAAAGCGAACAATCAGTATGCTTGCAGGTGGGTAGAAGTGATGGTGGGATCAATGGAAGTCTCTTTTGATTGCTTTAAAATTGTACTTAGGCTGGGCACGGTGGCTCACGCCTGTAATCCCAGCACTTTGGGAAGCCGAGGAAGGCCGATCAGTTGAGGTCACGAGGTCAAGACCAGCCTGGCCAACATGGTGAAACCCTGTCTCTACTAAAAATACAAAAATTAGCCAGGCGTGGTGACACGTGCCTGTCATCCCAGCTACTCAGGACACTGAGGCATGAGAATTGCTTGAACCCCGGAGGCAGAAGTTGCAGCGAGCCGAGATTGCGCCACTACACCCCAACCAGGGCGACAGAGCAAGACTCAGTCTCAAAAATAAATAAATAAAATTGCATTTAAAAGAAATTGAAGTAGAAAGCAAGGTTAGCAACTTAAGTAGGAATTGGCAAGCTTCAGACTGCAGACCAAGTCTTACCTACGACCCATTTCTACGAGGCACACTAGCTAAGGATGGTTTATGCATTTTTTAATGGAGACATTTTAAAAAATATTTTGTGGCATGTAACATTCAAATATTTCCATGAATAAGGCTGTATTAAAACACAGGCACACTTTTTCACTTATTTATGGCCTTTGGTGGCTATTTTGCTACAAGGACAAGGCTGAGGAGCTATGACGGAGCAGCCTGTGGCACTCTCACCTCTGTGCTGCTGCTTAGCCCACTGCAGTGAGGGCTTCACATCACTGTTTCCAGTGTCATGCACATTGCCACACCAACAACTTATTTTCACAGTGCGAACTCACCATGTCAAAGCAATTAAAGTGTTCTCTGGGTGTCCCACTGTTAATGCACAGTGGAGTTGGATTCTGCTATTGAATTAGCTGGTTTTGTGTTTCTTGTGAAATGACATGATAGCGATGCTAAAGAACAGTGTCCATCAACATGACCAGACTGAGCCCTCCTCACGGTATGTCCAACTCACAGGAGAGCAGCGGTCAGAAAAATTAGAAAATTTAAAACAGAACCTCTCATTCCAGTACAATTTCCTCAAAAAATAAAAAATTCAAATGAGGCTGCAACCAAAGTAAGTTTCCAGCGGCTCATTTGTTAGCCAAACAAGGAAAACCGCTTCCCAATAGTAATTAAATTGCATTTGATTGCAGCAGCCAAAGAAATGTATCCAGAGAAAATAAGCTTGTTTAAGAATACTGGCCTTTTGGCAAAAAGACTTGCTTGAAAACTTGAAGAGTCATTTAAAATTTTGAAAACAAGGTAGATGTTTTCAAGTGTTTTTCTTTGCTCTTGATTTTTTTTACCGACACTGCTTAGGTGTCTTTTCAATGTGTCTCATTCCAAGTTTGAAGTGACTGAAGAATTATTAGCATCTATGAGTTGATCTGTAGGTAAAGTGGAGAAAACTTGAAAATAGAATTGGCTGAGTGCAACTAATGGTGGCAAAATTATGAAGCAGAAAAAGTCTTAGTTGAAATGTAAATATTTAAAGCCTAAAGTTGTTCATGGTATTATCAGCAGTGCTTTGCAGTAAATACGTGAATTGATCACGTGTTACTGAACCAGTAGTGTCAAGGGCGAACTTCATTCACTTTCATGGATTTAACCATCGTCAATTCCGTGAACATCTGTCAGACAGCACAGCTGAATATCCTGACTTGCCCTACCACACAGCAGGTCAACGGCTTAGCAGCAATCAAATTTTATTGTGATGTTTTGAGCTCAGGGCAAAGACTGCAATTGTTCTGAATGAGATAAACCACACTCAACCACTACTATTCAACACTGAATAGCTTTGGAAGTTATTTTGTTGCAAGCTTGATAATGTTTCTTGATGAATTCACCCTAAAATTACAAGGCAAAACAGTGCTTAAATGCAAAACATACTGCAGTAAGGTTCAGTGAATAATGACAACTAATGTTGCTTGAATCACAAGTAACATCAAGCTGCTTATGCAGTTCTCATGCTGTCAAAAGTTACAAGCAATGGCATTCCCATCCCCACACATTGAGAGCAGACACACTGCCAGTCTCAAACTAGAGTTCCAGCAGTGTTTTTCAGAGCTCAATGCAAGTGTGAAGGCAATTTCTGTACTACAAAATCCATTTAATTGTGAAACTGAGGAGATCACATCTAACCTTTAACTGAATGTGATTAATCTGCAACACAGTAACATGCTGAAAGGTAAGTATCAAGAGAACAATCTAGTAGAATTGTACAAATGCTTTCTAAGTGATGAATATGTTTGACTAAAATCATACGCACATGGACTGATATCAGTGTTTGGCAGTATCTACTGCTTGAAAAGACCTTTTTTTTTTTTTTTTGAGACGGAGTCTAGCTCTGACCTCGTGATCTGCCCACCTCGGCCTCCCAAAATGCAGGGATTACAGGCGTCAGCCACCGCGCCCGGCCTGAAAAGACATTTTCAAAGATGAAATACATTAAAACCTAACAGATGAACATTTGCAATCAATTTTGATCATAGCCAACTACTTACTTTGAACTCCAATTAAGTGAAACAGTCCCCTAAAAAGCATTCTATCCCTCTCATTAATAGACTCCATTAAGAAAAGTTGTACTCAATTATTTCAAATTTTGTCAATTAAAAAATAATATGGACACTCCTCTCTTTTAAGTACTTACAGAATATCCTCAATGCTGCCTCTTGGTGTCCAAGACCTAAAATACTGACTCTCTGGGCCTTTACAGAAAAAGCTGACCAACCCCTGAGTGTAAAGAATGGAGAAGTGTTCATGTGTGGCCGGAAAGGTATGGGACAGCAATCCAGCTGCCAGGTGTGTTCCTCTCGGCACTCAGCTGCCGATGTGCAGTTGGGGCAAGCAGGGCAAGTGTACAGAGCAAGGCTGGGACTGGCTCTGCTAAGTTCCTTTCCATGTATCCATCTGCTATCTTCCACAATTTTGCTGCAGGCTCACCTATTATTTTTGTCTCGGCATATGCTTACTAAACATTTGCTCTACCAGTTGAGAAGAGGTTCGTGGATGATTGGGGTAGCCTGGAAGAACTACCTATTTCAGTCTGTCACAGAAATGAATGGCCAAGTAGTTTAGAGCACACGTGGGCTTTTAGACACAAAGACCTAATGTGGATCACAGCTCTGCCACTTCCTAGTTGTGTGACCTTAGGCATTGGCTCATCTTTAAACTGGGGATAATAATGCCAACAATACATCATGGGTTGGCACACAGAAAAGCACTCCAAGAACTATTGCTTTTATTCTCACAGTAACTCTAGGAAAAAAAAAGTCTTGCCTCAAACTTATGGCAAACGAGTAGAGAAACGGATGTTTCAAATACTACACCACACTACCTTTGACTAGCCACTTACCTATTACAACGAAATGAAAAGCAAATGTCCCCACAGTTCACAACTTTCTGGAGTTCAGTGTAGATAAACGTTGACATCCGAAAACAAAATGGGAGGAGCAGACTAACACCAAATCCTTCTGTATGTAGTGTGGAGTTGCTCTTAGTTAAGTCTTCTAGGGGAAGGCTTTCACACTTTGAAAACCATAGAAGTGTTTTACATTTGCCAACCAATGCACACGAGTGTAAAATAAAGTGCATGAAGAAAATGCCTTTATTATGTTCTATTCCATGCAATTCTATTTAATTTTTTAAAATGTAGATGGACCACTTTTTAGACTGTAGGTCTTTGGGTTTTTAGCCAAGGTGTTTAAAATGCAACTCTCTGGGAGACTTGCACCCAGACTTACTAAACCCATCTCCAGTGGGCAGACCAGAAACCTCCAGTTTAACGAAATTCACAAGTGATTTTTAAGTGTTACTATTTTGAGCAGTACTACAAACCATCAAGTCCTACATCTTCATCTCCTTGGCTCTCACAAATGGAAGGTTACAGGAACTCAAGCGATACTAGTATGCTGAGCAAATCAGAAAAGACACACGACCACACACAAACGCAAGGGAAGTGCTCAAAGACACACCAAAAAACAGGTATTTCTTCCTTGATCACAGGTCGTATTTCCAATGGTTCCTTTATTTTCAAAATTCTTAAAAGTACTTGTAATCACTGATTCATTCAACAATCATTTATTAACACCTAATAGGTGCTAGGAACTTTTCTAGGTGCTAGGGATCCAACAGGGAAAAATTCCCTACATTACATTCCAGCCAATTATGTTCTGCTCTTAACAGCAAGGTGACTGGTTAAAAATTGAACGAACAAACACTGATTAATAACCTCTAAAGATCGAGAGCCTTCCATCTGGTTCACTGCTATTTTTCAATTTGCTAATCTCTGCCCCCTAAGAGCTGATACCTCTCCCTTTCCAGAATGGGAATAGACTGGTGTAATGGTGAAGTCTGGAACCGCGGTCAGGAGACGGAGCTGTGTCACAAAAAGTAGCTTCTTGGTAAATTACTTGATCAGGGTATTTTACTTCAAAATACAAGTGTGATCATGCTCAATAAGGCCTAAGTGCCCATCTTATTCTGACATTCCAGCCCATTCCCGTTTCTCCCAAACTACGCGAAGTCCTTGAGAGGAAGGGCTGGGTCTTAATTCTGTGTTCCCAGCACCTGAAATTGTGTGTGGAAGACTAACCTATTTGTTGAATGAATAAATGCCTGGCTCCATGACATGACTGCAGCTCTTCATAAACGTTTATTTACGTGGAATACTTGTAATGCTACAAGTATTGAGGCAAGATGAAAAGTAAAAGAAAGCAATTGTTAAGTGTTTCAAAATTCCGTAATGGCTCTAGAATTGCCATTTGTATTTATGCCTGTCCTAACAATTTCATGCATTTTTCTTAAAATCTAACACACGAATTCTAAAGAAAGCCTTCAGTTACCTCTACCAAAGCTAAGCAATTTAAAAAGGGGGAAAATGACTACGTATTTCATTAGAAGGAAAATTCTAGACCTGACACCAGTTTCCTTACAGAGGTCAGCAATCCCTAATCACGAATTCTGAGATCCAAAAAATTTCTAAAAACCTAGTTTTTCCATAAGTTTGTGACAAAAATTGACCTAAACTATGTAAGGCAGGTAGCTTACTGCCTTACATAGTTAATCCCAGTTACTATGAATGTACTAATGTTTGATTATGGGGTGTTGCCCCAGGCCCCATTGAGGGTGTTATGTAATCTACATTATATATATTCTCTCTGAAAAGGGGAAAATTCTGAATTCTAAAACCCTAAGGGTTTCAGATGAAGGATTATAGTATACTTATAAACAAAGAAATAAAAGCAATGGAAGGCTCATGCTGTATACTATTTGTATACTATTGCCATCTGCTGATGTCGATATAGAACTACAAATATGTAATCCAAATGGGAAGATTTCATCTCACAGGGTTAAGAGCAGCACACTCATAACTTGGAAAATAGTTGAGATTTTATTTTCAAAAGTAATTATTATAAAAAAATCCTTAGTGGATGAAGTTTAAAAAAACCTCTACAATGTTTGCAAGAATTTGTGTGCTCCATCCATCCTACATAACATAGAAGTTGGATTACTCATCTTGATTCAATGTACTTGAACACCTTTTAGATTTATCTTTAGTGCATGGTGAGGGTGCTCTAGCTACCCCTTTTGGGTGCTATTTTTAACTCCTCTTGTATTAAGTTGGGCTGAAAGCCACAGAAAAGGACTGATGCCATCAACACCGTACCATCAAAATATTCAGAAATTGCTCTACTGACCATTTCCAACAGAGCTAAAAGCAATGTCCAGGTTACAAAATCTCATGTTTCATATACCATATAATCACAGGTGGTAGTAATCCTCTCTATGAAACCTATTCTAGACCATAATGGCCTTTTGGGGTACTTGTGTGTGTCCACAATCATCTCTTTCTATCCTACCATAAATATTCTAAGTTCCCTAGGAGTTAAATGTACTATATGTCTTGTTTACCCCCAAAGATGTAAGTTTTTGAACACTAATGTCTTTTACTTTCTCTTCCTCCCTAACTACCATGGTTAGCAGCAGCCTTTTAGCACAGAGGAAACATATTAACAAATATTAAGTTTTGTGATAATGAATTTTAGTGTGCTGCATTTACTTCTGAGGAGTTATCTGAATTGGACTTTTAAAATTAGGCCTAATATGTTCTCAGTGTTAAGGCTATTTTAGAGAAGATCTTTCTCCTCTCCAGGAAAAATGTGTCTTTAAATAAATCACAAGGATTCGATGTAAGCCATCCAGAAAGAATAAAAGACCTAAGATGCCCAAAAGAGCTACGATTGTTCTTTTCATTGCACAAGAGAAAATATGCTGTTAAGATTGATACCTCTTAACAACTAATGGTCTGTGGCCCTCTCTTTGGTTCTATTCTTAACATTTACAGGTTAAATCTTACATTCTCTTTCTTTCCCAAAAGGCCTAAATTCATGAACTTGTTTTAACTCAGTAACTAATTAGGACACCACTTGCCCAGATTTTTAGGGACCCTCTCTTTTCCACTTCATTACAAGGCAGGGGATCACAGTCACTTATTTGAGGTGTCCCTCTGACATCTAACTTCCGAGTAAAGAAAAAAAAGTACAAATTGGGACAGCACTGTAGGTTGTTTCTATTCTCAGAACTGATACAGATAACCTGTTCTGGACATCAACTTCTAAATTGATATAATCCTCAGAACACAGTAGAATGGAATAAATGAAATTCAAAATCTTCTCTAAACATGAGTAAGGGGCTTATTAAGGGGGAAATCCAAAAGTATGTAATTTAAAGAAATTTATTCTTTAAAAATATTTTCATGTACACTTTCATGACTATTTTGAGGGGAACAAGGAGATTATCCTACAGTCAATATTAGCTTAAAAACATAAGTGACATGTATAACAATACATTTTGGAAATAACTGGCATAATAAAAATGCAAATGTTTGTAGTGATTTAAGGCTGCAAGATATTTAAGATCTCAGATTAAATGAACCCACATTAGAGTAATGCAAACCAAAACTTGCAATTTTATGATTTCTTCATACTATAACCCTTAATACTATGCATAAAGAAGTTACCCCATTCCCAAGTCATAACTAGAAAGGACAAAGGGAAAGTCTGTCAGAAAAAACAGTGATAAATTTGAATGCATAGTACAATATGCATCCTCCTCCTACTTCAATGTTTAACATACTGACAACAACCCCATTTAATAAAAGAAAACCATGAGTTACTATTTAAGCAAAAATTATTTTTATGGAAAAAAAAAGTTGAGCTTCTTGCCTAGAAAAATCCTTTAATATCTATGTTACCTAATACAGTAAAGCCTTTTAAAATGTGTTAATGAAGATTCAATTTGCATGGGAAATCCACTTTCTTCAATGTGGATAAATATTTTTCACTGGATCATTTTAAATGGCAAAATCTTCAGAAAACAGAACAGAAAAATATAGCATCTTCAATAAACATTTCAAGACAATAAAGTTATATTTACAGGATGCTATCTATAATCAGAGATCACCTAGAAGCAAAAGGAAATTGCTATCATTTCATTGTCCTTTTCTCAGCAGTCAACTATGACCACATAAACTAAGATCCAAGAATCAATGAAATGTGTTCTAGGTGAAGTGAGTTTCACAGAACAAACAATTCTCATAAAATAAGTTTTTCTTTTCCCCCTGAGAATCAAGTTAATCTATCGTTGGATTGCAATCAAGACAAAGACAAGAGCTCTAAATCCTCAATCATGTCAAGATCAAAATTATGTAGACATTTCCACTTAGAAAAGCTAAAAATATACAAATGAAGAAACTGTAAATAGCAAGACAAGGTGCTTGATAGTAGTACTATGGCAGAAATTCATGGTATTTGGTAACATATACAATAAGTGACACCTGGGAAAAACTTTATTGCTCTTGATGGAATATAGCACCACTTTGAAGACTAAAAGATGGTTAGAATTAACCACCTTTTAATCAACAATAGGCATTAATAGGAAAAGTGCTTAAAGAAGTAGTTCTGGAAAAAGGTAAGTTAGAGAAAATTTTTGTATTATATATTTTAAATGTTACCCACTTGTCTTCGTTAAATAGACAATCAGCAATCTATTTTAGTAATGTATGATCAGATTTGCTACTATCAGTCTGATTATCACTCAACAATATAAAATCAAGGGACTGAAAAGTCATTCAACTTATAAAACAAGTTAGAACATTATAATTTTTTATGCCAAAACATTCAGATAATTATTGCTTAGATATACAATAATGACACCTGTGAAATTTTCCAAATCAGAATTGAGAAAATTTCTTTTGTGTGCTGTAACATTTATCCTATGGGAGAGAGGAGTATCTAAGGATGTGTAGCAATTGCTAGCCACTATGGAAAATAGCTCAATTTTCCCCTGAACAATTTCTAAACACTAATGCTACCATGGTCATTCAGGAATCAGAAGAAAACATGATTACACACATGCTAGAAAAGAGCCAAATGATTTCAAGATAATTTGCAGCTAGCACTTTGTTCAGTCTTTAGAAAGTAGATTTTAAGTTTCCTTATTCTAAAAGAAAAGGTCTGAATGGATAAATTGCTATGCAGAAGCACAAAGTTGTTTTTTTTTTTAATGCAATCTTCTATAAGAAGTAATTTCAAAAGCCAAACAATCTAACATTAAATGGGATTTCCTCTGAGACTGACTTTCTCTATTAGTTTCTTTGTTTGTTCCTCAATCATTTGCAATATCAGAATTACTACACTGGTAATCTTCATTATAAAATGTGATCCTATCTTATTTAACATAGCTTGACTTTCTGTAACTATTTCAGGAGTGGAATTTCTAAAAACAATTTTATCCAATGTAAACAGGCACAAGAATTCTGATAAAATTGCTAAGTTTTAGAGTACTACACAGCTAACATTGCAGCATGATCTGTATCCTTAAGAGGGAAAAAAAGAAATAAAAATCAAACCTCTATAAATGAAGAGGATTTCAGATACTTATGGCTGGCATAGAAGAAAACAGAATTTTATACTTTCACCAGACATTTTTACAAAGGAAATGTCTTGATGATCTTGTTTTCAACTTACAATCATTTATATATATATATATATATATATATATACACACACACATACATACATATATATACATATATATATTTGTTTTTTATTGATTGGGTGATGCAGAAAGCCACAAATGAGAAAAGGACACTAAGGTTTTAATAAGGGGAACAAAAAATTGTTTTCACCAGCATAGATTCACATTACAGTACACCAATATTGACAGCATTCTCTTGTCTATTTTTGGTACAGAAGATGGTATCTCTCTACATAACCTTGTAAGGCTTCAGTAACTAAAATGTAAAACCAAACAAAACAAAACCCCAAAACAAAACAAAAACCCCAGCCTATTAGTTTACAGTTTATTTTAAAAATTCCGAAAGACACTGCAAGTTCTAAACTTTTAGTAGTGCTACCCATACACAACCATCTGGTTAAGAACCCAGTAAAAGAGCCCCCTTCCAAGGAAGCTTTGCAACAGTAGAGTTGTGCAATATGGATGTTTCTTACTACAAGAAAAAAATTATACATGGCACATTCTCATTCATATTCTGTAATGTAAAAAGTTACAAACATACCTAATCAAATAAATAATAATAAAAAAAGAATTTGAATGTATTTGTTAAGTATCCTAAAACCACTACATAGAATAATGGCAACTTTCACTCACAGATTATTTACATGGTAATACCCAGCGTGGGTACACTGCTACAAAACTCAAAACAGAAGGAGTAAACTTGAAATGTTTTCCATAATAAAGATCTAGCAGCATGACTATCTAATGCTGTTTTATCCCGATTGCTTCTGCAACGTTCCTTTTTAGTCTGTGTCTTCATCCAGTTCATAATTGTCTTTATCATAAATATCTTTTACTAGAAGAACCCGTACAAGCATATTTTCCAAGGTGTTTCGGTCCAGTGAAGTAGACGTATACCAGACAGGGCTATCTGTAGAACTAGAGCATTCTGGTTGCAAATAAAAAACATCCATCCTCTGATTAAGATTCTGTGGACTTTGGAGGCGGGAGGAAAAAGAGAAAAAGTCAATTTCACAAAATTTCCACAACTTTTTCTTTTTTCAAGAATAATTCAGACCCCATTAATCACGTTATATGACCAGACCCCCTATGCCCCACTGTCTCCATTATTCTGTCATTAAAATATTCTCAAAGTTATTTTCTGAGATAGAGATTATTTCCCACAATTTTAATTCTACTTCACTAAATCCAAGACACTATCAATAGACACACCACTCATTATTTTAATGCTACCATTAAGCAAGTGAAACACTGCCAATTATGATTTCAAGATGCAACAATTTAAACTGTGCATCCCAGTTTCAGAAATAGTGAAATGTGAAAATGTCTTAGAATTGATGAAATATGTATGGCAGCACATAAAATTAAAAAATTCTTACAGCACTACATAATAGAAACTCAATTTTTAAAATACCAACAAGGTAATAGTGAGATAGGAATTTCCTACTAACAAATAGTTACTACCAACTGAAGACCCTGACACTACTGCAGCCAAATAGGACCACCCTAAACCATGGTGAGAAATACAGGCTGAGCATCCCTAATTCAAAAATCCAAAATCTGAAACTCTTTGCCAAAATGACACCAAAAGTGGAAAGTTCCACACCTGACCTCATGTGAGGAGTTCGCGCCCAAAACACAGGCACATAACACACAGGTTATTCAGCAACCCCAAGGGGAAAATAAAATCACCTTCAGGCTATGCATAAATAAAATTATCTTCAGGCTACATGTATAAGGTGTATATGAAATATAAATGAATTTCATGTTTAGAGTTGGGTCCCAGCCCTAAGACATCTTATAATGTATATGCAAATATTCCAAAATCCGAAAAAATCTGAAATCTAAAACACTTCTGGTCAGAAGCATTTTGGATAAGGCGCATTCAACTTGTACTAATATCATCCTATACATGATACTATTGTTTTTACAAGTCCTTGAGGGCCATCCTGGGGACCTGTGATTTATAAATTTGTTTAAACAGGGAAGTACATTTTGAATTCATGCTGACCTTCTGAAAATTAGAGAGTGCTTACTTAAAACAACAGGCAAGCATAAAATAATCTATGGTCTCTAAACGTTTTATTGGCTTAAACTTTTTAAAATGCCTGTTGGTCTGAGATTGAGGGGAAAAAAAATTCCAGAACATGATTCCATTTTTCATACCTGCTTGACTGTTTTCTCTTAAATGTAAATACTTCACTTACATTTCCACCTATCTATACTACCTTTGAGCATACCTTTACACCGGGCATTGGCAAACTACAGCCAGCCACCTGCTTATGTGAAGTTTTATTATAACACAGCCACATGCCATGAATTTATATATAGTATATGGCTGCTTTCTAGTCACAAGAGAACCGATTAGTTACAATAGTGATTCCATAGGCCCAAAAGCCTAAAATATTTACCATCTGACCGTTTAAGAAAAAGTTTGTGTCCCTTGCTTTGCTGTCATTGGAATTGCTGTAATTTAAAAGACAATGACAGGCGCAATGGCTCATGCCTGTAATTCCAGCACTTTGGGAGGCTGAGGCACGAGGATGGCTTGAGGTCAGGAGTTCAAGACCAGCCTGGGCAACACAGTGAGATCCTGTCTCTACAAAAAATACAAAAATTAGCCAGCTATGGAGGCACATGCCTGCAGTCCCAGCAACTCAGGAGGCAGAGGGTGGGAGGATGGCTTAAGCCCAGGAGTTTGAGGTTGCAATGAGCTATGATCACGTGCCACTGTACTCCAGCCTCGGTGAGAGAGCAAGACCCCATCTCCAAAAGAAAATGACAGCAGTAGAAATTTCATTAGTAGAGAGAGATTTCTTAACACATGCTTAAACTCTAAGTATGATGTATAAACTGGGTATTTCAAAATAAAAGATTATAACTGAATGAACTTGGGTATAACTGAGAGAGAAGAAATCTGAGAAAGAATCCATCTAAAAAAGTCACTTCTTGGTAATGTTAAATTTAAACCAGCCAACTTCTACCAACATTTTTAAAAGTTAAGTATCATTAACACTCACCTTTTAGACAAGTAGCATTCAAACATTTTCACAGGACATCTGGAAGGATTGGCTGTGTTTTCAATTTGTTCAAATACTGGCTCATCATCTTCATGTTTTCTTTTTCCAGTAGTAATTTTATCTTAAAAAATAAAAGTGAAATAAACCTCCTAAACTAATCTTGAAGAAAGATATAAACATCACTCCTAGTGTCTGTTATACCAAAGAATAGGACCAGGTGCCCCTTGGAGTTTTAAGTTATGGCTTCTGGTAATGTACAATTTTTCAAACAAAAGGAACTGAGACATCTTAAGACATAGGTTGTCTTATTTTATAAAACTGACAGTCCTTAGGTTCTTAACAAGTGACCCAGGTGGTCTTTAGTAAGGCAAGGTTTGGATATCCCTACCATAGACAATCCCAAAATAGAAATCTGGGCCATGCGTGGTGGCTCACGCCTGTAATCCCAGCACTTTGGGAGGCTGAGGTGGGCAGATCACCTGAGGTCGGGAGTTCGAGACCAGCCTCACCAACATGGAGAAACCCTGTCTCTACTAAAAATACAAAGTTAGCCAGGCATGGTGGCGCCTGCCTGTAATCCCAGCCACTCAGGAGGCTGAGGGAGGAGAATTGCTTGAACCCAGGAGGTAGAGGTTGCGGTGAGCCGAGACTGCACCACTGCACTCCAGCCTGGGCAACAAGAGTGAAACTCTGTCTCAAAAAAAATTTAAAAATAAAAATAAAAATAGAAATCTGTTACACTACCTTCATTATCTGTTCCACACAAGGAAGACACTTGGTATCGAAGACACGCTTTGTTTTCCATCGTTAAAGGATTTTTTTTCCAATGCCTAAACACAGTGCCAAAGGAAAGTCTTAAGTGTTGTTCCACTGTTTTCAGGCCAAAATACTTAGTGTTAAAGTAGAACAGTGTATTCAGAAGAGCTACTGGAGAGTGTGATCCTAGTTGTTTTATCCTCCAGAGATAGTCTTCTTCAACTCGAGAGAATATTGACCCTTAAATAGAGAGAACTATTTTAAAAGAATTATAATAAATAAAAGTTTTCATTTAACCATCTAGAAGCAGACACAGTTAATTTAAGGACAAATCTATACCAATTCTCCTTTCATATTAGATCAACTAGAATAATTCTAGAATTACCTATGCAGCTCTTTAACAATACAGAGGCTACTATGGAACTATTATCTATGGAATAAGGGACTGGATGTTTGCTTCTGTTCTTCAGTAGGACAAGCAAACAGTGGTCAGAAAACAGTGTAAATCCTTTTAAAATTAAAATTCAGGAATTTAAATTCCTGAAAAAAATTGATGACTCCACATACATACACATTTTCTTCACGGACTGAAAACAGTGGTTTAAGAGAAATTTACATCAGAAGCTCCACTGGAAGGCTTAAGACATGAACATCCAGTCTCGTACTCCAGAGAAAGTAGATTACATTTCTTACAAAGTTCTTCATAAACACTAGTTATTGACCACATTTGTTTCTAATTCAACAAGAGATGAAAGGCAGATGAGCTCGAGTAAGTGTTCAGAAAATGTTATCTAATTTAAGTGACTTAATTATAATATTTTCAAACATACTCTGTAAAAATAACAATCCTAATATCAAGAGAGCAACACCTTTAGTGAAAATAGCATTACCATCTGGAAGTATGCTTGGTTGCCAGCTTCGCAGTATTTTATTCAATTCTTGCTCAAATGTTTGGTATCCAGGATCAATAAATATGTTGTCTTTTCGATTACTTCCACACAAATACTATAAAAAAAAAAAAAGCCCCACAAACTTTCTTGAAAGAAAATCAGCTAATTATAGTAAACATATTACACTCCGTATTTCTTAAGAAAAAAATAAAGCTTTATGTCTTTGAAATGCATACTAAAACATGACTGATTTTATGTATGCACCTAGAAATTATAAAGAATCATAAATTATCAACAAATCTGTTGCTTGAAACACTCAAAGCTGAAATACACACCCCAGAATCAAGAATGTAAAAACTGGATGACAATCTTCAGTCTGTCAGACAGAAAAAAAAAAGAATATTTGACTCCCGTGTTTATTATATAGTGCATGAAGAAAAATGTAAATTTTAAAATAAAAGTGTTTTTTTCTTTTTAGTTTTTTTTCTTATAAAGTAAGAGTTATAATTAAGGTAATGACTAAAGAAAAACACTGAGTGGTAAGAATGAGAGGAAATGTTATCTGTAGCTATTGAAAGCTCTCTTCTAGCACTCTGACTTTGTCAGGCTAACGCTTTTTTCTTATTGTCTCTATATTCCTAATTCTCCACCTGTAAAACAGTGCAAATTTATGAATCTTGTAACTTACTGTCACAAACCTAGAAAAATCTTAACAGTGAGGGTGGTTACAGAATCATTTAAAGTATAAACATTAGTGGGGCTTAAAGAGAAAATAACATAAAATTATATGATAACAGCACAAAGAATGGAAGGCAAGAATTGGGAGTACACTGTTCTAAGGCTCTTAAACTACATGTGAAGTAATATAATATTATTTGAATGCAGACATGTTAATTAAAGATGCAGATTGTAAACCTAAGGTAACAAGTAAAACTTAAGAGGTACAAATAATAAACCAATAGTGGAAATAAAGTGGAATCACAAAACATATTAATTCAAAGGAAGGCAGAAAAAGATGGAAAAACAAAGAACAGATAGAATACAAAACAACCAGAAGGATAACAGATTTTAATTCAATGACAGCAGTGATCATATTACACTAAGCCAAGGTTAGGAAACTAGAGTCCTGGAGCCATATCTGGCCCATGCCTATTTTTATAAAGTGTTCTTGGAATACAGACATACTGGTTCATTTGCATACTGTACAGCAGCTTTCATGTTACAGCATAGTTGAATGTCTGCATGACATACAAGCATGACCTGTAACCATGTACCATTTGGTCCTTTATTTAAAAAGTCTGTTGGTCCCTGGTCTAAACAGCAATTAAAAGACAGATACTGGGGTGGGAGTGGTGGCTCACACCTATAATCTCAGCACTTTGGGAGGCCAAGCCAAGCAGACAGCTTGAGCTCAGGAGTTCAAGACCAGCCTGGGCAAGATGGTGAAACCCCGTCTCTACAAAAAATACAAAAATTAGCCAGGCGTGGTGGCATGTGCCTGTAGCTCCAGCGACTTGACGGGCTGAGGCAGGAGAATCACTTGAGCCTGGGAGGTCAAAGCTGCAGTGAGCCATGAGATCACACCACTGCACTCTAGCCTGGGACAGACCGAGGCCCAGTCTCAAGGAAAAAAAAAAAAGAGACAGATATTGTCGGATTCAATTTTTTTAAAGGCAAGGTTCGACAATATGCTGTCTACAAAAAGCCTATTTTAAATAAAAGAACAGATAAGTGAAAAGTAAAAGAAAAAATGTACACCATGTATACACTAATCAAAACATAAGAATGCCATCATCTGAGTTGATCCAATGTTATTCAAACTAGTCAAAGGAATATTAGTCAGCAAAATTCTAAAATAGTAGAACAAAAACTCCTAATTAATGTCTTTCAAATACAATGATAGACCAACTGATAAAAGCCTGGCAAATCAAGAAAGTGACAATGCTAGGTTTCTCCCCTGCTTTTGGGTTAGTTAAAGGGTTGATGCTCTAAAAATAGCATTTCCTAAACTACCTGGAGATCCTCATTGTTATGAATGAGAACAGCAGTGATTGCTTAAAATATAACATCATGATTCCAGCTATTTAACGGGACTATAAACTTTTGCATTGTTTCTGGATTTCTAAATATACAAACTTAGTTGGGTATTACATAAAACAATCACTAAAGTAAAATCCCCAAGTTTAGAATAGCAATTTATATTTTTTGCTTTTATCATAAAGCAACATGTGTAATAAAAAATGAGGGAAATGATTCTGAAATAATTATTTTCATCTGTAAATCTAGTACAAAGAGAAAATTTCTATGTAACATTTAGAACCTTAGCAATAATAAACCAAAAACTAAGTTCCCAACTCAGCTCTACTAAAAGCAGTTCCTAAATGAAGTGCGAACACTTAATCCTCCTGAAAAGGTTTCTCTAGGCAATCCATGATAAATGATCTGCTGTTCTTGTTACAGAATGAATTACAAAATGTTTTATTACTTATTGTGGTAGTATGGGAAGCAATGCCATATTATTGTTGCTGTTATTTTCCACCATAGGCAGTCACAACTTACAAACATCTAATCTATACACATATGGCTCCCTTAGCACCAAAGCCCTTGCAACCAATGAGAATCTACAGAAGAAATCCTGTGTGTGGTTTCAGGAACAGAGGCAAAGGAGAAGCTGCGAAGAAGAGCAGCAACTTATAGATAGAATAGGCCTGTCTGAAGAGTAGATTTCTTAAAAAAAAATCATCACAGAAAGTCTTCAATTATGGGATTTGAATTCATTAAGTATCCTTTTTTTTTTTTTTTTTTTTTTTTTTTGAGACAGAGTCTTACTCTGTTGCCAGGCTGGAATGCAGTGGCGCAATCCCGGCTCATGCAACCTCTGCCTCCAGGGTTCAAGCGATTCTCCTGCCTCAGCCTCCCGAGTAGCTGAGATTACAGGCACGTGCCACCACACCCGGCTAATTTTTGTATTTTTAGTAGAGACGGGGTTTCACTATGTTGGCCAGGATGGTCTCCATCTCTTGACGTTGTGATCTGCCTGCCTCAGCCTCCCAAAGTGCTGGGATTACAGGCATGAGACACCGCGCCCAGCCAATAAAAGTATCTTTTTTTTTTTTAAATATAAATTCCTTTTTTAAGAGTTACTGGTCTCTCATTTCACTTAGATTTCTTTGGGACTATACATGAGAAAACTAGAGTTCCCTAAATAATTTTGGAACATCTGTAAAGAGCAGTACTGAATGATAAAAATGTAACATGTTATACATTTAACTTTATTCTAGTAGCCACATTTTAAAAGTTAAAAAGTATAATATTTTACTTAACCCAATATATCCAAAACATGTAATCCCAACATATAATATAAAAATATTTAACATTTTAAAAATACCAATTCTTTGAAATCTTGTATATATTTTATACTCAGAACACTTCTCATTTCAGACTACCCACATTTCAAAGGCCCTGTTTCTTATGGATAAAAAATGCTTTGTAGGGCAAAGCAGCACGTTGACAGATATCTACTTAAACAGAAATTATGGTACTAGTACTTGAGAAGCAAAATGAAAATCTCATAAAACACAGCTAACAGAGAGTTGAAAAGCATGTATTTTAGATATGTTCAGACTATTGGCATGTTTGTTCAGACAAGTATTGTCACTAATATGACAAACATATGGTCAAATGTTTCGGAGAGCTAGCTAAAGCAAGAAACACTGTGTGCAAACAATATACATAACAATTTATAAAATTAAATATTGGGAATATAAGACATTCATAATTTGAGGGCTATTAGATAGATTCTACTTCTAAGTCTCTCAAATCAGTTGTTTTATTAAACGTTATATGAATAAAGCTTCATTAATAATAATATAAAATAATCCACCATTAATTTAAGCTATCAATCAGTAGTTCTGCACAATAATTTGTGTTTCAATGAAAATATTCCAGCTTTCAGATGCTACGCCCAAGAAAAAAAAAATTTCAAGTATCATCTTTAAAAATACTTAAAACTGGCCAGGTGCAGTGGGGCTCACGTCTGTAATCCCAGCACTGTGGGAGGCCGAGGCGGGTGGATCATGAGGTCAGGAGATCGAGACCATCCTGGCTAACACAGTGAAACCCCGTCTCTACTAAAAATACAAAAAATTAGCCGGGCGTGGTGGCGGGCGCCTGTAGTCCCAGCTATTCGGGAGGCTGAGGCAGGAGAATGGCGTGAACCCAGATCACACCACTGCACTCCAGCCTGGGTGACAGAGCAAGACTCCCTCTCAAAAAAAAAAAAAGAAAAAAACTTAAAACCTTTTCATGTTTCTCCCTGGATAAAGATGAAATCTAAACATTTTATCAAGGAATAGAGGCCTTTGTGGTATGACTCTTACTTACCGCAGCCCTCAGCCTCAATACCCCAAAGCTTTCTCCACTTCACATTATACATTCCAGCCAGGCTAAGTAGTTCCTGGTAAACTGTGCCCTTGTACTGCCATTGTCCCTCTCTCATCCCTTTGCTGAATAAATTTCTATATGTACTTCAAAACTCAATTTAAAATTTAAAACTCAATGTCATCTAAATTCCTATACTTTTTCATTGTATATACTTAGGTAGAATTAATTAGTCCCAATTCTGTGTTACCAAGTCTGTATACAACACGAGCATAACATTATTTAAATATTATTTGTCTGTGTATTTCAACTCTTTCAGTGGAACATATTGTAATGGCTTTTAATTCAAACTGCTCACCAGATTCAAAATTTATGAGCTGTGTAACTTGGGCAAGTAACTTTACTTCCTCATAAAAAAATGCTGATAATTATAGTAAAGTTGTTGAGAGGACTGAATGACACATCAAGCACGTAGCATAGTATGTGGAAAGCAGTAAACAGTCAGTAAATGTAAGTTGTCAACATGCTTATCTCAGTCTCCAAAGCCTACTCCAATGTCCAGTATCCAGCATACAACAGCACTTAATGTTTGCTAAATTAACCAATGAAAGAAGGTTTCAAATAGCCTGAATCAACCTCATCACTGCTATTAAAAAATAAAGAGGCCAGGCGTGGTGGCTCACGCCTGTAATCAAGAGAACGAGACAAACCTGGCCAACACGGTGAAACCCTGTCTCTACTAAAAACACAAAAATTAGCTGGGCATGGTGGCCTGTAGTCCCAGGTACTCGGGAGGCTGAGGCAGGAGAATCACTTGAACCTGGGAGGCGGAGATGCGGTGTGCCGAGATCGCACCACTGCACTCCAGCCTGGGTGACAGAGTGAAACTCCGTCTCAAAAAAAATAAAATAAAATAAAAAATAAATCTTAAATTCCTCTGAATAAGGATTAAATAAGCTTAGAAATCCTCTATGTATTTTAATAGAATTTAATTATTTGAAAACTACCCATTTACATACAAATTAAATTAACAAGCCACACTGTGAGTTTACTATATTTTTTAATTTAGTAAATAAAGTTCTTTCTTCTTAAAAAACACATCCCTCCATATAAAAGACTTAACATGTAGAAAGTAAAAAATAAAAATTCTGGAGAAAAATTTGGAAAAATGACAAAGACTTACTGTCTATAATAAACAAGAAACTCACAAACTAAAAAAGATAAACGATGGGGCAATTCACAGAAAAGCAAATGGTCAATAAACACAAAAAGATCCTCAAACATTTTGGGAAAGAAATCTGTTAATATCTTTAAAAATAAAAAATATACTTTTCTTGAGATCCAATAATACCCCTTCTGGAATCATATCTCAGAAACAAATGCATCAGTTCTTTAGGATAATTATAGAAGATTTGTGTGGGGCAGGAGGGGAGCAGAGGAGGAAGGAAAGTATACACTGTCTATAACAGCAAAATTTCATAAAACAAAGAGAATGCTCATCATTGTGGAAATTACTAAATTAATTGTGATATAGCACACAATGAGATACATACATAGTTAGGCCTGTTCCTGCTGACTTAGAGGGACTGCCACAATTTACTGGGAAGTAGATGAAGAGAAAGTAAGATGTAGAAGTATATAATATGGTCTAGTGTTCCTAGCTGACAAAACTATCTCTTTCATCACATTCATGAAAAACAGAAATATACACATCTAGCTAACAGTGATAAGGTGGGGAGATTAAAGAAAAAAAAGTGGCTGGCATGGTGGCTCATGCCTGTAATCCTAGAACTTTGGGAGGCTGAGGTGGGGGGATCACCTGAGATCAGGCGTTTGAGACCAGCCTGGCCAACATGGCGAAACCTCGTCTCTACGGGATGGGGGGGAAAAAAAACCCAACTAGCCAGGAATGGTGGCTCATTCCTGTAATCCCAGCTACTTGGGAGGAGGCTGAGGCAGAAGAATTGCTTAAACCCAGGAAGCGGAGATTGCATTAAGCCGAGATGGCGCCACTGCACTCCAGCCTGGGCGATAGAGACTCTGTCTCCAAAAAAAAAAAAAAAAAAAAAAAAAAAAAAAAGGTGTCTATAGTTCTATTCATAATAAATTTAGTATGACGGATATGTGTTCACATATGTAAAACAGTGTATGAAAGAATGATCATGAAATGTTAATGATGGTTATCGTAGGATTTCCTATCATTTTCCTTCTTCCTCAAACATTTTCATATTATGTGAACATTTAACAATAACCACCGTTCCTTATACAAAATCAGTGGAGGAAAGTCAGTTACTTTGAGAAAGAGTAAGAAAAACAAACAAACAAACAAAACAAGAAAAAATAAGGCCGAGCTCCCCTTTCATACAGTACCAGCTATTTACAATTATGTTTAATTTTTCAATGTACAAAACAGAAGTGACTACTTACTTCAGTATACATTCATAAGACTTAGTCCTTACAAAAAAAGATACTGTTTCTTCCATAGACATACGGAAGAAAATCATACTTCCTGTCAACTGTATCTTTATTGTCAGCTGTGAGCAAAACTAATGAATCCAACAGACAGAAAAATATGCACACTTTTCCAAAAATAGCTTCTATTTCTGTACACATCTTGAACTAATATTAAACAGCACTGATTTCTGGAAAGTTTACTTTAGTTATCTTATCTTTACACTGAGTTTCAGGATTACTTTTAAAGCTGCTTATAAATACCACAGTCTTTGAAAACAAGTCTGTGAAAATGTATCCAATAATAAAAATAGATATTCCACAATTTTTAAAAATTTTGGTAAACTGTAGAACAAAAAAATTACCATCTTAACCATTTTTAAATGTGCAGTTTAGTAGTAAAACAACTTTTTGATAAAGCATTCATCAATACATAAGGAACCTATTTTAAAAAGGAAGGAAGGCCGGGCGCAGTGGCTCACACCTGTAATCCCAACACTTTGGGAGGCCAAGGCAGGCGGATCACGAGGTCAGGAGATCGAGACCGTCCCGGCTAACACGGTGAAACCTCGTCTCTACTAAAAATACAAAAAATTAGCCGGGCGTGGTTGCAGGCGCCTGTAGTGCCAGCTACTCGGGAGGCTGAGGCAGGAGAATGGCGTGAACCCAGGAGGCGGAGCTTGCAGTGAGCTGAGATCGCGCCACTGCACTCCAGCCTGGGCGACAGAGTAAGACTCCGTCTCAAAAAAAAAAAAAGGAAGGAAGCCGGGCACAGTGGCTCATGCCTGTTAATTCCAGCACTTTGGGAGGCTGAGGAAGGTGGATTGCTTGGGCCCAGGAGTTCGAGACCAGACTGGTCAACATGGCGAAACCCCATCTCTACAAAAAATAGAGAAGTTAGTTAGCCAGGTATGGTGGTACGTGCCCACATTCCCAGCCACCTAAAGGGCTGAGGCAGGAGGATCACTTGAGCCTGGGAGGTTGAGGGTATACTAAGCAAAGTTCATGCCACTGGACTCCAGCCTGGGCGCCAGAGTGAGACCCTGTCTCTCTGTCTCTCTCACACACACACACACACACACACACACACACACACACACACAAATTCTGACATATGCTACACAACACAGATGAACCTTGAGTATATTATGCTACATGAAATAAGCCAGACTAAAAAGGACAAATACTGCATGATTCCACTTATATGAGGTGCCTATGGTAGTCAAAATCATAGAGATAGAAAGTAGAAAAGTGGCTTACAGGGCTCAGTAGAGAAGGAAATGGAGAGTTATTATTTAATGAGTACAGAGTTTCAGTTCTGCAAGATGAAAAGAGTTCTAGAGATAGATGGTGATGCTGGTTGCACAACAATGTGAATGTACTTAATGCCACTGCACCGCACCCTTAAAAATGCTTAAAACCGTAAATTTTATGTTATGTATATTTTACTACAACAAAAACTGAGAGAAAAAAAAACTATTTAAGACATACTTCATAATTTATTACACAATCCACTTAGCTCTCAAAACCTCTTAACGGTATTGAAGTCCTAATTATTTAAATAATCATTTAATAAAAGGCAATCCAGAGATTCAACTTCCTGTGATAGCATTTTCCTTAAGTCAAGGAAAATTAAAACACAACATATAAAAATTCGTGATGTAAGTAAACTAGTTTTAGAGAAAATTTTAGTTTTAAATGCTTTCCTGAAAAAGAAGAAACACTAAAATCAATTATCTAAGCTTACATCTTAAGAAACTGGATAAAAAGAGAGCAAATTAAGAAAGGAAATAATACAACTCAGACTCAATACAAGAGAAAAATTAAAATGATACACCTTTAGCTACATGAGTGTCTAGGCCAACTATACAGACCTAGCTAGCTCCATGGGCCCAATCCCACAAACCTATGAGCTAAGGATTGTTTTTTATTCTTTTATAAATGGTTACAACTTAAAGCAGTTATATATAAGTAGCTATATTACAGTCTAAATTTTTACCTCTTGGTCTGCAAGGCCTAAATTATTTACTATCTTGCCCTTTACGAAAAAGTTGGCTGATTCCTGAGCTGGATTGTTCAAGATACAAAAAGAGGCTGGGCATGGTGGCTCACACCTGTAATCCCAGCACTTTGGAAAACTGGGGCAGGCGGATCACTTGAGGTCTGGAATTCAAGACCAGCCTGGCCAACGTGGTGAAGTCCTGTCTCTACTAAAAATACAAAAATTAGCCAGATGTGGTGGCAGGCACCTGTAATCCCAGCTACTTGGGAGGCTGAGGCAGGGATTCACTTGAATCTGGGAGGCAGAGGTTGCAGTGAGCCAAAATCACACCACTGCACACCAGCCTGTGCGACAAAGTGAGACTTTGTCTCAAAAAAAAAAAAGAACTAAGAAACAAAAAGAAGGCACAGATTACCAGTATCAGGAATGAAAGGATAATAAGAAAATATTACCAAACTTAGGCTAACAAATTTGACGACTTTGATGAAATGCATCATTTCTTGAAAGACAAAATTGCTAAAAGTGGTACAAGAAGAAACAGGAAATCTAAACAGTTGATATCAACTAAAGGAACTGATTAAGTGATTAAAAACCACACCCATCCACACCCTGCCACCCCCACCACAAAAAGTAATCCTAAGCCTATATGGCTTCACTGGTGAATTCTATTGCATATTTAAGGAAGAATGCCAATTCTCACAAATTCTTTCAGAAAATAGGAGGAAGGAATATTTCCCAACTCTTTTTTAAAAATTATTATTTATTTATTTATTTTTGAGATGGAGTTTTGCTCTTGCTGCCCAGGCTGGAGTGCAATGGCGTGATCTCAGCTCACTGCAACCTCCGCCTCCCAGGTTCAAGCAATTCTCCAGCCTCAGCCTCCCAAGTAGCTGGGACTACAGGTGCTCGCCACTACACCCAGCTAATTTTTGTATTTTTAGTAGAGACAGCATTTCACCATGTCGGCCAGGCTGGTCTAGAACTCCTGAACCTCAGGCGATCCACCTGCCTTGGCCTCCCAAAGTGTTGGGATTACAGGCGTGAACCCTCGTGCCCAGCCCCAACTCATTTTATGAAGCCACTACTACCCTCAAACCAAAGCCAGGTAAAGACAAGAGAACTTTCAAGTTTATTTCCAGCTCCACCAGAAGCAATTTGAAAATGGTGTCTTCCTCTCTGAACCGGCCAGAAAGGGGGCTGGAAACAGTGAATTTCATAACCAGAAGCGGAAGCTGAAGAGACCAAGATGAATCGGAATTCCTTACTGTTCCTGATGGTTGGAAGGAAACAGCTCTTTCCAAAGAGGACAATCCCAGAGGACTCTTAAAGGAAAGCAATTATATAACTTTGTTCCCAAAATACAGAGAAGCTTACTAGAAAGTGCTGGCCATTGGTGCAGAAAGCCTTGAACGAACATCAATGTTAACGCAACCCTGCACTGGATCCAGGGCAGCATGACTGTTTGAACTGAGGCAGAAAGATGGGGTCTGGAGGCAGAGAAATTAAAGTCATTCATGGTGAATCAAGGGAAAACACCTGGGGGCAGGGAACTTAAGGCCAATTAATGCCAACTTCCTAAAGCTGAACCAGAAAGGAAAACCCCATCTCCCCATGCCCACATAGCAAAGGCTACTCTCCCTACAATCCTCTCCCTTCTGCCAGGTCTCAGGTGGAAAGAGAGAGTGCCCTGGACTGGCCACGGGCCAAGCAGGGACCATCCCTTCATCTGCACAGGGGGCCAATTCACCTCAGCCTTTTATTAGTATTAGACCAAATCCTTCATCCAGATAAGGGGCAACCAATAAGGACCTCAAAAGGAGTACTTAAAACCAAGAAGACTTTGTAACTCAGCCCTAGAGCCACTTGCTCAGGCCCATTCCCACCCTATTCAGTGCTTTCTTGCTTTAACAAATTTCTGCTTTCGCTGCTTCGTTCCTTTGTTGTTTACGCATTTTGTCCAATCCTTTGTTCAAAACGCCAAGAACCTGGACAATTAACACTCAAGACTTTCCTTCCGTTAACAGAAGTACAAAGACTTGTACTAAAAAATACAAAAAATTAGCTGGGCATGATGGTGGGCACCTGTAATGCCAGCCTCCTCAGGAGAATTGCTTGAACCCGGAGGCAGAGGTTGCAGTGAGCCAAGATGGTGCCACTGCACTCCAGCCTGGATGACAGAGCAAGACTCTCAAAAAAAAACCAGAAGACTTTTGATTCATATATGATCATTGGGACCAGAGATCTAGAACTGTTAGCAAGGACTGTTTCATTTGAACAGGCAGTGCAAGTTCTTCCAGATGATGTTGCATGTAACATCATTAAAATAGGTTATTTAGTAAGAAATAAAGAGATTTGTAAAAAGACAATGGCTTATTGGTCTCAAAGGATCTACACTGAAGAACTCTTAATGTACTTGCTCCATTATGATGCAGGGAAACACAGTTTCAGCCACTGGACCTTTTAGTGACTTAAAAAAGAGGTTTGAAACTGGCTGGGCGCAGTGGCTCACGCATGTAATCCCAGCACTTAGGGAGGCTGAGATGGGTGGATCACGAGGTCGGGAGATCAAGACCATCCTGGCCAACATGGTGAAACCTCGTCTCTACTAAAATATAAAAAATTAGCCGGGCGTGGTGGTGTGCACCTGTAGTCCCAGCTACTTGGGACTGAGGCAGAGGAATTGCTTGAACCCGGGAGGCGGAGGTTGCAGTGAGCCAACATCGCGCCACTGGGCTCCAGCCTGGTGACAGAGCGAGACTCCATCTCAAAAAAATAAAAAAAAGGTTTGAAAAGTAGTCCTATATACTATGAAGAATATGCATCCTATTTATAATATTAAAACCTTAATGACTAAAAGAGTTGGCAAAAGACTCTGAATTTCAACCACAAAGTTGGGAGAGATTTTTGCCACAATTCAAACATACAAATATGAATAAATGCAAGGAACCAAAGAAAAAAAAATGTTAAGAAAGAATATACACCATTCCCACCACCACAGCCAGAAAGTCAGATTGATAACGAACTGGCTAGTGGTGAATACTTTTCGAAGGCAAATCAGAAGCAGTAGCAGCAAATGGAAGCAATAAAGGCTAAACAAGCAGAAGCCCTCGGTAAGAGATGAGCAAAGAAGCAAAACTTTAATTCCATCTAAAGAAAAACCAGATGTGAAACCTAAGGAAGCTTCTACTGAAACTAAAATTCATGTGGCCAGCATCAAACAAAAAGTTAAGTAAGCAAAGAATAAGCAAGTGGGAGGTCTTACAGCTGAAGAAATTATGCTTAAGATGGAAGCAGATGAAAAGAAAAACAAAGTAACATAAAAGAAAAAAAAAGTAACATACCAAAAACCCCTTGACTAGATCTTATGAAGCTATCTCCTTTTGTAAAGGATTTTGAGATACCAGGGCATTAGTTGCCTTATTTGTGATAAATAATACTCTGATCACTTTTTTTTTTCTGAGTTTTTGTTGTTGTTGTTCATAGAACAATGTTCTTTATAAATATAAATTATCGTTAAAAAAAGAAAACTCTGAACTACTTATCCTTATGAACATCTGCAAAAATCATCACCAATATATCTGCACATCTAATCTGGCAATATATAAAAAGGATAACATTATCAATTGGAGTCTATCCCAAGAATGCTAGGCTGGTTTAATGTCTGAAAATTAATTTATATTCATACCATTATTAATAGGAGAAGAAAAATCCGTATCTTAATAGATGCAGAAAAAGGCGTTGACAAAATTCAATAAGCATTTATAATTAAAAAAAAAACAACTCTCAGCAACAAAATAAAAAGTTGAAAAAATTCTCAGTCAACTAAGAATGGAAGAAAAGTTCCTCAACTTGGTAACAGGGAGCTACCAAAAAAAAAACCCTAAAGGGTGCATCGTACTTAATGGTCAAAGACAAAATACTTTCCTCTAAGATCAGGAACTAGGCAAGAGTTTCTGCTATCACTAATTCCATTCAACACTGTACTAGGACTAGGGTTTGGGTGGCAGGAGAGAAAAATGGGGGAAGGTTTCAAGCAATGTAGTAAAGCAAAGCAAAGAAAGATCAGAAAGAGGTAAAACTGTCCTTATTCATAGGTGACATGATTGTGTATATAGAAAATTCTAAGATATATTTAAAAAATAACAAAACAAGACCACCTACTAGAATAGTGAACTGATGAATATATAAAAATCAGTTATATTTTGCAAGTAATGCCAGGGGAAATAGCTAAAAGAGCAAAAAGCACGTCCTTAGGGAGAGGAACTAGGTAGACTAGAGATCAGTGGGGCAGAGAACCCCTTATTTTGTTGTTTTTATTGATTTTAAAAGTTTTATTATCTAAATATGTTTTTAAGCCTTGTTTCTACCAGAAATGAAATTTCTAAATGAAATTCCATACATAACCCCAAAACACAGCCCCCAAAAGTAGGAATGAATTAAAACAAGAGGAGCCTAGAACTCAAACTCTCTTCCTGCTGAGTTGATATGGCACAACGCTAGTGCTCTCTACAGCACTTTAAAAAATAATTGATCTAGATAACAGAATTATTTCTAAAATATAAATGTTCTCCTTAAATAAATTGTTCTGAAACTAGAGGACCAAGACAATTTCATCTACACCTGGTACAGTATAAATGCTACTCCTAGTCTCCCCCTCCCTCCTAGGTATAATAAAAGAAGAGGAGGGAAAATACACACATGGATCTTCAACCCCTCAGCCAGAACCACTGGAGTCACATGTTTTGGAATTCATCATTGTTTGGATTTTACAGGGGAAACAGGGCATGTACATAATTATAATACATTAATATTCCTAGAGTGGTGTGGGTAAACACTCTGTACTTGTTTAGAAACATTAACAATTCTATAGTAAATTCTATGGTTAATGTTCTATGGACGAATATTAACACCAAGAGTAATAAAGACAACAACAGCTTCACAATCCTTTAAGTTAGGTTTTACTGTTTACTGTGTTTTCATGAAAAAAATTCTGCTTTTCAGAGGTTTGTGGAATGGTGGACCTATATTATCATCTAAGCATGAGGCTCAAAGTACATGTAAACCTATAAAACGAGAATAAGAAAAAAGTAAACCTATTCACGTATCTTTTAGGTTGCTACTGCAAGATATATGATGGTCCTTGAATACAGTGATTTATAGCCATGCACTATATATCTGCACCACCACTTACAGAATCTTAAGCAAATTTCTATCCTAAAGAAAAAGTAAAAAAAACACAAATTAAGACAATTCTAGTTTTCTTCAGTGATTTACTTCATTATCTAACACCTGTTAGCAGAATAAAATGAATTTTTAGGCCTACAAACAAAACTCTGAAGAGATCTCCCCTGTCATCTACCATATTTCAAAATACATAGAATGTCAAGTTGGAGATTCTTTCTGACTTCTGGGCACAAATCTGTGGAATCTGTTCAGAACTAGAGGTCATTATTTAAAGTTGATCTCCATGTTTACTGTAGAAAACAAATTCATAGACATGTGGATGAAGTTTATCTTTACCCCTAAAGAATGATCTCTTTTTATGAAATAGCCAAAGAATTAATGAGTAGTTATACTATTTAACAAGTTAGAAACACATCAGAAGCATACAGTGAAACAGACCTATTTACAGAGTTATGACATTTTTCTGTTTACATGTAGATCAGCATGGATCTATAGCCAGATGTGGCTACATATCATGCCTTATAATGTGAATTCACTTATCTGCAATGGGTAAGGAAAGAATGTCATCCTGATTATCATTTATATATAAATGGCAGCAAACATACAACTTTGTAGATGTGTTTCTTGGTAAGTCAATAAAGGTTCCATAATGCTACAGAAACAAGAACTACCACAACTTTTCTTATTAATGTTATACTTGAAAGCAGCCATCAAATTACTAACCTCCTGTATTCCAAGGCAAAGGTAATAGATGCTGTCAGGTGCATAATTCTCTCCATTTGGCCGTCGGATCTCATTGACAAAATGAGCTAACCCATAGTTAAGCTCAGCTGTGGTGTGAGAGAGTAGATCCTCTTTTAACTTTACTGATTTAGCTAAAAATACATAAAATAAAAAATAATTGTTATTATTTAGCGTCTTATTAAGGTTAAGAAACTTTCTGACGTTATTCTTTGTAAGAGCTCTGAAGTAAAATAAAATGCATTCTTACAGGTATTTTAAGTTACATTTATGTTTTTTAAATTTAAAGGTACTCAATAACAGAAATCTTGATTTTAAATAGGACTTAGGAGAAACAAAATTAAAACACTTACAAGATTTTAACTCATCTAATACCAGAAGATCTTCATCAAGTTGCCTAGTTTTGACCCAGTGTTTCCATGCATTTACGCCATACGTATATTTGAAAGGAAAGCTGCATTCTGAATTGTCAGAACTATCATCATGAGACTGGTATCCTGATACAGCCTTTCTCTTGGCTCCCTATTAGTAAAAAACACCATAATAATATCTTTTTTAAAGCCTACATTATTTCATTACTTTATACAAGCCATCTCTCAACAAAGGCAAATTACAATTGACCCTTGAGCAACATGGGTTTGAACTGCAGGGGTCCACTTGGACACGTATGTTTTTCTGTGTGCCTGCCTCTCCAACCTCCTTCTACCTCTTCCAATCGTGCCACCTGAGACAGCAAGATCAACCTCTCTCCTCTTCCTCCTCAGCCTACTCAACTTGAAGACAATGAGGATGATCTATTTCCACCTAATGAATCGTAAATATATTTTCTCTCCCATATGATTCTCTTGATAACATTTTCTCTAGCTAACTTTATTATAAAAATACAGTATGTAGCATATAAAATATGTGTTAATCAACTGTTATCAGCAAGGCTTCCAGTCAACAGTAGGCTACTAGTAGTTAGCTTTTTAGGGAGTCAAAAGTAATACATGAATTTTTGACTGTGCAGGGGGGCTCAGTGAAGAGTAGGCTACTAGTACTTAACTTTTTAGGGAGTCAAAAGTTATACACAAATTTGTGACTGTGCAGGGGGGATCAGAGCCCAACCACTGCATTGTACAACGGTCATCTGTAATTACAAATATAGTTATCTGTTTAATCTGTCATAAAAATATAGTTATTTGTTTAATGTGTCATGAAATTAGAAAAGAAAAAATGAAATATAGGTATTTGCTTTGAACTGACTGGTATTCCTGAATCTGACAACAGTCAATTAATATTCCAGGAAATGTGATGTTTCTACATAAATCACTTTGTGCAACAAAATCATATTAAATTCTGTGGTGAGAGTCACCAATGATGAGAAAATAAATATAAGACAATAAACTAATAATCTAAATATTACTGTAACAGAAACTGAAGAACTTTTCAACAACTCCACCTTATAGAGAGTGACACTTAAGTACTTTTCACTTTTTTATTTTATTGTTTTATTTTTGTTTTTTTAAGACAGGGCCTTGCTCTGTCACCCATGCTAGAGTTTTGTAATCACGGTATCTCCCCTGCCAGGTAAGTATCCATGCTGGAGTTCTGTTTTGAGGAGAGGTCTTGCTCTGTTGCCCAAGCTGGAGTGCAGTGGCACGATCATAGCTCACTGCAGCCTCGATCCTCCTCCTGGGTAGCTGGGACTGCAGGCACGTGCCACCATGCCTGGCTGGTTTTTATTTTTTAGTTTTTGTAGAGGTCTCACTATGTTGCCCAGGCTGGTCTCAAACTCTTGGGCTCCACCAATCTTCCCGCCTCAGCCTTCCTGAGTGCTGTAAGTGCTGGGATTACAGGTGCCACTGTGCCTGGCCCCCTTTTCACTTTCCTGATGGCACTGTTTGCAATGCAAAAGTTTTTAATTTTGATGTAGTCCAGTTTATTTATTTATTTTTCCTTTTCTTCCCTGTGCGTTTGGTATCTTACCTAAGAAACTGCCTAACATAAGGCCATTAAGATTTAGGCCTATGTTTTCTTCTAAGAGTTTTATATTGTTAGCTCTTACATTTAGGTCTATGGCTCATTTTGAGTTAATTGTTGTGTTTGGTGTCAAGCAGAAGTCCACCTTCATTCCACTCCAAGTATTCTCTCCCTTTTCCGGTTTTTTTTCTTTCTTTTGGGGACAATTTGTGAAAGCTATCTTTCTTAAGGTATTTTTAAAACCTGCTTTATGTTGGAAGTCAGAAACACAGAAAGTTGACAGAATATTATAACAATTACACTTGTTAATGCATGTAGATTTGGTCTACCTGAATGATCAAACTGTCCAGCATGTCTTTCTATGTGTGTTGGTATGCCTAAAAGAGACCAGAAATAATAAACTGTGTACTTCAACCCCACTGATCATCTCATCAGAAATAATCGTGGAAAAAACAGCTCCCTAGAAAACAGTCTAAATTTTTGTCAAATAATTGAACTTACTACTTTAGCAACTGTTTTCTATTTTGACCTTGTATCAATACAAGTTTAGTTGAGGTATCAACTAAATCTGAGATATTTTTATTACTTAGAAACAGTAATAAATTATTACTAGAAATAAATTATTACTACTATTATTACTAGAAATAGTAATAATTACTATTTCTATACAAATAGAAATAGTAATAAATAATAGTAATAAATAGCAGTAATATATTATTACTATATTCTATATAAATAGAAAATAAATTATTTTCCAACCTAGAAAACAAAATATGTTCCCATATTCTCAGGCACACTAAAAGAACACTGTATCCTTGTTTGCCTATAGAGAAATATTGTTATATAGGCTATTAAGTGAATGTACCTTTTTTTTAGATCGAGGTCTGGGCTGTTCCTCATATTCTTCGCCAAAAACAGGTGGTAATAAAAATTCATTTTCCATATCAAGCTCCTCAGCAGCTGACAACCAAATCAGAACTTTTATTTTAAATGAAATAGCACAGGGTTACATAAACACAGCCAACAAAGAACTAACCACAGGATGTAAACCAGCATTCATACATGGGGACAATCTAGGCTGGGCTGGGGAGTAAATGACTCATTGTACCTAACATGGTTTGTGAATTCTGACAAACACTGTTCAAACTCCTAAAAACATATATAAAATGAATATCAACATAAAATTTTCATGAAAATGTATGATACCAGAAAAATTATTATAGTCTGAAATCCAATTACAAGATCTAAATGGTCTTGGTACAAATCTGATTCAATCTATTAAATGTTTTTTCCAAAAACTAATGTTTTACATTCTACTCAGTGTGCTCATTAGCCATCCATGGATTAAGAAAATAATGAAAAATGGGGCACACTTATTTTACAAAAGACCTGAAAATAATTTTTCCTTTGAAGGTGAACTTAATTTTCAAAGGATCTTAAAAAAAAGCTAACTATATATATTATATATATAAAAACTATATAATATATATAAAATATATATTATATATAAAATTATATTTATATTATATATTGTATATATTTATATATTATATACATCATGATGTATATAATATATAAAATTATATTTATGTATTATATATATTATATATTTTTTATATATATATATTTTTTGAGACAGAGTTTTGCTCTTGTTGCCTAGGTTGGAGTGCAATGGTGCAGTCTTGGCTCACTGCAACCTCCGCCTCCTGAGTTCAAGCAATTCTGCCTCAGCCTCCCCAGTAGCTGGGATTACAGGCACTCACCACCACGCCCAGCTAATTTTTGTATTTTCAGTAGAGACGGGGTTTCACGACGTTGGCCAGGCTGGTCTCAAACTCCTGACCTCAGGTGATCCACCCACCTCGGCCTCCCAAAGTGCTGGGATTACAGGCATAAGCCACCGCACCCAGATGCTAACAACATTTTTAAATTAAAAAGGACACAAACACTTCTTTAAACTTTCTATAATGAATTACTTCTAGAATTTTTTTTTTTTTTTTTTTTTTTAAAGACAGGGTCTCACTCTGCTGCCCAAGCTGGAGTGCAGTAGCACAATCTCGGCTCACTGCAACCTCTACCTCCTGGGCTCAAGCAATCCTCCTGCCTCAGCCTCCCGAGTAGCTGGGATTACAGGCATGCACCACCACGCCTGGCTAATTTTTATATTTTTAGTAGAGACAGTGTTTCACCACATTGCCCAGGCTGGTCTTGAACTCCTGGACTCAAGTGATCTCATTCCAGAAGTTAACTGTTAAGGTGGGTTTTTAAAAAAAAACAACAACAAAATATGAAGTTAACTCTTAAGGTGAGTTTAAAAAATAACAAGAATAAAAAATATGAACACTGCTAAAAGGCAATGACACAAACATCAAATGGTAAATGATCATAACCACAGTTGACTCCATAACTAAATTCCATAGTCATAAAGGTTTTGAGTACCTCTGGGAAAATCTATTTCGATATCCAAATCTGGTTCATATGGTACATCAGGCATGCTGGACTGTGTCTCTGGGTCAGAGTTCTTCAAAAGGTCTGAACCAATTATATCTGTTTCAATAATTACACCTGAAATCAATCCATATTATCATTAGGAATCAAAACAGAAAACCCCAATGGTATCTGTATTTAATCTGGCAAAAGCAAGTCATTTAATTTTAAATGCAATATAAAAAAATACGTATAATGTCACAAAAGAAAAGGGCATATTATATATATAACTATCTCAAAATGTAAACCACTATAAACCTCATAATTAGTCACAAGCACATGAAAACTTTTAATCCTATAAATTTTACAGGAGGACTCCCTTCAAAAGCTAATAGGTATGCTTTGATAGTAAAACAACTTCAACAAGTAAAGTATTTCTAAAAGCAACTTTTTGTCAAAAATAAACTAATGAGGGTAGACAACTGTAGTTTTCAATACTCTTTGAATTTTGACCCAGGTTTCTCAGATTGTTCAATATATGCATATTAACAACTGCCTTTTAATGGTTCGATCAGTTGCTTTCAAGTGTTTTTGTGTTGTAATCATGGCAAGAAATGCATTTTATCCAGCACATACTGCAAGGTGATGGTGGGGAACAGAAAGACATCTGTATACACACTGGTTTCACAAAATAATACTTACCCTTTCTATGAGGGATTCACACTGTCATTTCTCTTACCCTATTCCACTTAGCTTTTTCTTTTCTTAAACAAAAACACTGGTTGCAACCCACTAATTTCACAACTCCTTACCACAGTGCTTCAAAAACACTGTCTCATTATTAAATCCAGAGAAAATTATAGTATTTTGATTGTCCTCTAGGGTAAGGGTAAGAATTAGCTCAAGGTTGAAATAGGACTTTGGGTATCAAGAGAGGGTTAAGGGTGGAAAATAAATATTCTAAGTGACTTAGAACCATCCACAACACACTCATCACGTTATACCATGTAGCGCAAGCACTGCCCTAACAGAGGTTAAGATAAACTCTGGTTTAGATAATGCAAATTATTTTATTAGTATAAGCAATAAAAGAAAACTAGGGGCTGGGTGTGGTAGCTCACACCTGTAATACCAGCACTTTGGGAAGCAGGTGGATCACCTGAGGTCAGGAGTTTGAGATCAGCCTGGCCAACATAGGGAAGCCCTGTCTCTACTAAAAAGACAAAAATTGGCTGGGCGTGGTGGCACGTGCCTGTAATTCCAGCTACTCAGGAGGCTGAGGCAGAAGCATAGCTTGAACCCAGGAGGCAGAGATCTCAGTGAACCGGGATCATGCTACTACACTCCACCCTGGGCAACAGAGCAAGAGTTCATCTAAAAAAAAAAACAAAACAAAACAAAAAACTAGGGATAACTATTACAAAATAAGAGTTTTGATCATCATTAGAGTCTACTACAAGTTATTATAGTTTTGCATCAGCACTACTCCATTAACAAGAATAATTTTGAGTTGATTTTACAAGTCAAATCCTGCTTAAAACAGAGACCAAAGACCAAATTCCTGCTTCGGATATCTGTCTGAGGGCACCTGGCTAAATACAGTGTAGATCTCTTAATATAAAAAACATTTTTGTTACAATGCTTTCCTCACCCCCACATAAGTTGAAACAAAATGATATGCCCTGGAAAGTACTGTAACAATACTTATAAATAACCAATGTTAACACTTATTCGCAAGGTATAATTTAGTGTAGCTCACTGTTGATGTTGGTTGTCTCTGTTTTCCCCTCGTCTTCACTCATCATATCCGTCATTGTAAGCAACTCTGTATCAAGAGCATCTGAAGAAACCTTGCTTTTTAGCTCCTCAATTGCTGCAGGAATCTTCTCACTGCTGTCCAATGGAGCAGGCAGAAAAACAGGAACTGGCACCTAATTAACCAAATCATTTTGAGTTAGGTTTACTAAACATTAAAAGGTATTTTTCCAAATTAAAAATTACTCTGACACATGATCTACTTTGTAATATCACACTGGATAAAAGCTTTGAAAAGAACACATACAAAACTAAGATGTTAACTGTGATAAGAAAGCCTAGAATACAAGCATCTACTTTTTGGAATTCAAATTAAAGAAAAAGAATTTTTGAAGTATTTCTGTCCCCCAGGGGACTATAATAGCCAAGCCCTGACACAGTGTTCTTCTAAGTACTGCAAGTGATTTGGGATAAAATAATATTTTATATGAAATTCTATGTTTCAGTTCTAAACCTTATGGCTTCACAAATATTTTTCTTTTTTTTTTTTGAGATGGAATTTCACTCTTGTTGCCCAGGCTGGAGTGCAATGGCGCTATCTCAGTTCACTGCAACCTCCGCCTCCCGGGTTCAAGCGATTCTCCTGCCTCAGCCTCCCCAGCAGCTGGGATTACAGGCATGTGCCACCATGCCCAACTAATTTTGTATTTTTAGTAGAGAGGGGGTTTCACCATGTTGGCCAGTCTGGTCTTGAACTCCTGACCTCAGGTGATCTGCCCATGTCAGCCTCCTAAAGTGCTGGGATTACAGGCGTGAGCCACTGCACATGGCCCACAAATATTCCTTTTGAAAATGAACCCAAATATAAACTTAATATGCACAGAGCAGGCACAGACATCCGCGAAATGTCACTCTCGAGGATGAACATATACATACTATACACAAAGCAATCAATCATGACAACAGAGATTCAACCAAATCTAAGTTAACTGTCGAAGAAAGGTAAAGATGGTTTTATTAGCTTCATTAAACTAGTAACTGCAACTAGAGTTATCCTCAGTATTCTAGGGGATTGGTTCCAGGACCACCTGTGGATGGATACCAAAGTCTATGCATACTCAAGTTCCACACCCCTACAGTCAGCCTTCTACACAGATTTCACATCCTCAAATAATTTTTTATTTTCATTTTTTTTGAGATAAGGACTTGCTTTGTAGACCAGGCTGCAGTGCAGTGGTGCAATCACGGCTCATTGCAGCCTCCATCTCCCAAGCTCAAGCAATCTTCCTACCTCAGCCTCCCAAGTAGCTGGGATTACAGGTATATGCCACTGTGCCTGGCTAATTTTTACATTTTTAGTAGAGACAGGGTGTCACCATGTTGCCCAGGCTGGTCTTGAACTCCTGGGCTGAAGATACGCCTACCTTAGCCTCCCAAAGTGCTGGGATTACAGGCAGAATACTGTATTTTCAGTCTGTGTTTGGTCACGGATGTGGAACCTGCCAATATAGAGGGCCGCCCATATTTATTGGGGAAAAAAAAAAATCATCCACATATGTGGATGCATGGAGTTCAAACTCTTGTTGTTCAAGGGTCAACTGTACACTGTTTTCCCAACTGTGTCTGCTAAATCTCAAAATGAGAAAGAACTTAAAATGTGACTTACAGGAACAGGAACTGTAGTAGGAACAGGAATATTCTGACTGTACATGTGCATAGGAACTGGGATATACACAGGCACAGGGATAGGCACTGGAACATATTCTGTCCTCCAAGTATCATCTAAAAACACAAAACATATTTAAGGAGCAATGTTAACTAACACTTATATACAGGTGCTCAATGTTAAAATAATTTGATAAAGAAAAATTTAACTACCTCAGTACCTTTTTTTTTTTAATTCCCAGTTTTTTTAAGTTAGGTAACTTAAAAAGAACAGGACAAAAAAGAAAGCAGCAGCTGTTCTAACTTACAGAAAATACAAATAGAATTTAGGGATTTTTTTTTTTTAAGAAAGAAAACATCCTTTAAAAACACTATGTAGTTCCAGATACCCTACCATACTCTCCTCAACAACCTCCCCAAAGGCTTATTTAATCAAATAATTAGAATACACAGGTAACACTGTAAATTTCATAAAAAATACATATTTGAACAATTTCACCTCATTCTGACAGGAAGGAAACAGAACTGTTACCATTACAAACCACATGCAAAGAGATGATTTTCTCAGAGGAAGCATTATAATTTTAGTAGTCTTATCCCCAAGGAAATTTTCGAGATAGTATTTTTTCACTTTTGACATAATTTGTATTCTAGGCCTTTATCAGAGATTGATCATAATGATTTAAAATGAGATGCTGTATTCTCCAGGTAATATCTAAAATTACGTAAGCAAAATCAACAGAAAATGACAAATTGACCAAATGAATCTATCCTGGAGGTGTCATTCAAGAAAAGCATGTATTTCATTAGGTGAGATGAAGGTATGGGGAAGTATGTAAGTCACATTGTCCTAAGTTACCTGTCTGACAAGATTTGGTCTGCATGTGAGGTTTACAGTAAGTAGCTTTTGTCATTGTTAAAGGTTTGCAAAGAACTGCTTTGTTCTTCATCTCTTTGTTAGGTGTTGGAGAAGGGGGTGGTGCTGAACCCTATGGAGAAGCAAAGAGAAACATTTTTATTTTTATGTCTAATTTTCAATACTTCCTAGTGTCAATGAAGGATTTTCAGTCCTAAGAAGGGAACACACAAAAGCAGAAGAGGATAACCAAATTATGCTATTATCCCTATGTTCACCATACTCTTAATCTATAAGGATCAATATGAATCTATCCTAACTACTAGCAAAGTGGTAGCAATTATTCATTCTATAGATTTATATCACCTTCAAAGGATACCATCAGAATGATTTTAGAAAAATATAAAAAGACAATCTAACTTTTAAGTACAAAATCAAGGTTGCAAACCTGAACTATGAAAATACTTGGGTACTTTTAAATTTATTTCAGAAAAAGAAGATCCAACAGTTATTATGGCTCTCTGATACTCTCACTCCCTCTGCTGGATAAATGGCTTTAAATATGATTATAAATTTGAAAAGAAAAATGAAAACAATTACCAAAGATATCCTCAAACTTTAAGTTGTGTATTTCCTGCGGCCCAGCAATGGCAATTTCTGAAACCTATTCTACAGATGCAGTCTCTCAGATATTTCACACTAAGTTCACTGCAGCATTATTTGCATTGCAAACAAGACAAAACCCCACATAAATAAAATCTGAAATAAGTGGAAGATATGAGCGTAAGGGAGTAAAAATAAGGTACTCTCCACATCATCTATTGATACGGAGAAAATGTAGGTACATAATTCGGAATAGTTATGTTCTATACGGTTGCCCCAAACAATGACTACTGAACCACTGCTGCAATGGGAAATACAAGATTAGGTTCCTGTGAGCCTCTGGTCGCAATGTTTTCATCAACTGATAAATACATAATTTTGTTAACGATACTTCATACAGTATTTTTTAATAATAAAACAATATTTCATTAGAGAATATTTGTGTAATACACTACTGTACTGAAATCAACTCACAGTACAGATATAATGCACACGCATACTGTACAGCACTCACACAGCACATGCACACTGTACAGTACTCCACACATATTGTACAGTAATCACATAGAGTAAACAACACTGTGAACACATACTGTTTACTGTACCCTTATGCATATAAAATCCTAAAAAATATTAAACAAAAATTAAGCAAAGTTTTACAAAAGCTGGCCGGGGGCATTGGCTCACATGTGTAATCCCAGAACTCTGGGAGGCCGGGACAGGCGGATCACCTAAGGTCAGGAGTTCGAAACCAGCCTGGCCAACATGGTGAAACTCCATCTCTACTAAAAATACAAAAATAAATAAATAAATAAAAATAAAAATAAATAAATAATTAGCCGGACATGGTGGCGCCCACCTCTAGTCCCAGCTACTCTAGAGGCTGAGGCAGGAGAATCTCTTGACCCTGGGAGGCAGAGGTTGCAATGAGCCAAGATATTGCCACTGCACTCTAGCCTGGATGACAGAGTTAGACTTTGTCTCAAGAACAAAGCAAAAACAAAACAAACATTAATAAAATTTCACTGTGGATGGAGCTGCAGAATGTGTGATGAGGTACTGCGCTGTGTGGTCTGACCTCTCAACCTTTGATGTGCCCCATGAAAACCGAGGTTGTAGAACTGGCTCTTGTGCCTTGTTGACAGTGTCAGTGATTTTCTTACCCAAAGTGGCTCCAAAAATTGTGTCAGCCTTGGCAGCTTAGCTTTTAACCTCAGATCCTTTAAGCATCTCAAGGCATGTTCTCAGTAGCGCTTAAAATTGAGACTGTGCTCAAGCATAGGGCCACATTTTTCTGTTTTATTGACAATTTTTCCCAAGACAGAATTCCATTCTGATATCACCTTCCTTCATGTTGCCAAAGCCTTCTATGCTCATTTGCTGTGTGATGCACATTATGTTTTTAACATTGTTCTTTATAATTTCTTTAACACCTTTTCAGTCTGATCAAACATCTTCCCAACAGTTATCAATGGACTGCTTTATACTGCCCCCAGGTTGTGTCGCCATAATCAAGAAGATGCATATTGTGACTGCTTCCAGGAGTCTATCCATGGTGGTTTCCTTGTCGGCATTGAGAGCCTCACAAGCCTTGTTACAAAGCTCCCTCATGTGGTACACCGTGAAAGCCTTTAAAATGCCCTGTCTGAGGGGCTGGAGAAGAGACTAGTATTTGGGGGCATGAAAAGAACTCCTACATTGGGATGGGCACTTCCAAGTTCTTCACAGCAATGAACTGGGGCATTATCCAGTAATAAAACTTTGAAGGCTAAGTTTTCACCCTGAAGATAGTGTTCAACTTCTAGGATGAAGCAATGAAACCAATCCCAGAATATTTTGGGTATCATCCATGCTTTTTTGTCCCACCTCCAATGGAAATGATACACACTTCTGGTTTTCCCCTGCAAGTGCTCAAGAATTTTGAGCTCTGTGTATCAAGAGTTTGCATTTAAAGGTGCCCTTGGCATTGGTATACAATAACAAGCTTGCACACTCTTTGGATGAATTAAGGCCAAGGGCATTTCAAAGGTTCATATGCCAATGACCTCGTAAAAATAAGCCAGTCCCATTAGTGTTGAAAAGTAGCTCTTCCATATAACCTTTTCCCTGTATAACACTTCGTAGGTATTCTTCCATAGTATCTTGATCTGCAAAACTCGCCTCAACTTCAACACTTTTCATACCACATTGCCTTAAAATGTGTAAGCCAGCTAGCTCTCACATAGCCAAGAACGTTTTAACATTTTCCTAACCCCGATTAACCTGTTGTGAGCTGAAAGCTGTTCAGTATGCTTTAAAAAAAAAAAATTGGTCATAATCTCATGAATCCGTAAGTTTAGTCATTATTGTATCTTTTCCTTAGCTGTACCACAAACTAGAGATGTTACTATAGCACTCGGGTAGACTGGCAAATTTCCTCTTCCTTTTTCTAGATGTACGATAATGTTGATTCATTAATACTGAACTTACACCAAGAACATTATAACTTCATGCCTAAATGAAACTTTTCTAACAGTATTTTCTCCATAAGGTACATCACAGCTTTCTTGCTCTTAGTGACACTAGACAGCACTTCAACACCACACTTGCTGGCCCTTCTAAACAACAAAAATCATCAACAGAAAACACAAAAATGCAAACAACAAAAACAAAACACCCTGACACTAATTAGACTAAGAAAAGGACACTTGTTTACAGTATGAGAGCTGAAACAAAAAGGCACAGCATTGCTTTGTTCTACTTCAACTGGGAACATGCACATTGGATAACTCAAATTTTTCACCACTCTGCACATCTACAAATGCCTGTGAAAGCACTTAAGTATCGATTAAGGGGTTACAAATAAATTTTGGTGGGTAGGCAAATTTGAAATCCATGAATGAGGACTGACTGCACAATTATCTCTCAGTATATGTGGAGGACTGGTTCTAGGACCACCACCATCCACCAATGCCCCTACCCCTACTCCTCATACCAGAATCTGCATACACAACTCCCACAGTCAGCCTTTATAGAACTCACCCATATGAAAAGTATGCTCTCAAACTCGCATCCTGCAAATCCTTTATTTTCCATCCAAGTTTGGTTGGGGGAAAAAAAAAAAAAAAACAACCCCATGTGGAAGTAGACAAATGCAGTTCAAATCCATGTTGTTCAAGGGTCAACTATACTTAAAGCCACTGCTGTGTGACGTCAGGCAAGTCACTCAATCTCTTATGCCTCAATTTCCACCATTGCATAATGGAAAGAATAACTTAGCAAACAGTATCTGTTACATACCAGGCATTAGGAAAGTTCGCTCTTAACTGGAATCCCAGAAGAGAGGATCTAAAGTCATAGATGTCCTGGGATTGCTCAATGTTGCACTTCTTGCCATTCTGCAAATACTACTTTATGTCAATTAACTATGCCACTTGGTGAAAATCTACACTTGAACCAAACTTGTTTTTTAGAATGTTTTTTACTTTTTTAGTCAATAGGCAGGATACACAGTTATCTGTGTATGCTGAAGTAGGACCCAAAAGAATAAAAATTATAATGACAAAAGCCACCATCTGTTGAGTATTTGCTAGATGCCAGGGACTATGAAAAGCACCAAATCTTATTGCATACTCCTACCACCACAAAAGGTAGGACTTTTTATCACTCCCATTTTACATAGGAGGAAACTGAGGCTCAGAAGTGATATAACCTGGCAACAGGCACTGAGCTAAAAGTTCTGAAATCAGGATTCAAGTAAGACTCATCTGATGTCAAAGTTTATGTTCTTTACTATACATACTGCCTCTATGAAGTCTGGAACAAAACAGTTACACCACGTTTAGTATTCAACATGAGGTAGGTACTATATTCATCTTGATTTTACAAATAAAGAAACTCACAAAAAGAACAGTGAAGTAACTTGCCCAAAATTATACAGCTAAGCTCCTATCCTTTGAAGTTTATGGGTGGAGAATTAGAAGATTCCAAAAGCTTACAAAGAAAAGATGGGAGAGGACTTTATATGACAAAAGGCAACAGCTGCAATGGCAGCCTTACTTATCCTTCCCTATTAATAATGCTCCCTCTATCCCTCTGTCATATAGTTTGGTTCAAGTGCTGTAGGAGGAGAAAAATATTTAATATCGTGCTAATAGTTGCCTTATAAATATAAAATAGGGAGTAGTCATCTTTCATACCCTCAGCATGGATAAAAGTGTCTGGTATTAAAATCAGATAATTCAAGTGAATACTTTACGTACTTCCAAATTATCTGATTTTAAAATGTTATTTCCATAAGGGGGGGTATGGAAAAAGTATTCTTACTTTTCTAGGATTCTGTCCAACTATTAACATCAAAAACAAACACTGAATAGAATAAATGTAAAAATACCAATTTTCATCTATATCAGTGATTCTCATGTCTGGTTACATATCAGCATCCTAAATAACTTTTTTTTGTTGTTGTTAATGGAGATGGAGTTTCACTCTTATTACCCAGGCTGGAGTGCAGTGGCGCGATCTTGGCTCACTGCAACCTCTGCCTCCCGGGTTCAAGCGATTCTCCTGCCTCAGCCTCCTGAGTAGCTGGGATTACAGGTGCCCACCACCACGCCCGGCTAATTTTTTGTATTTTTAGTAGAGATGGAGATTCACCATGTTGGCCAGGCTGGTCTCGAACTTCTGACCTCAGGTGATCCACTTGCCTTGTTGCAGGGATTACAGGCGTGAGCCATCGTGCCCAGCCAGAACTTTTTAAAAATACAGAATTTTTGGGTTGAAACCCAGGCACTGGAAGGTTTTGAAAAGTTGCCAGGTGATTCTAATGAGTAGTCAGAGCTAGGAACCACTAATCTGTTCTTTTGTAACACAACAAGAACTAGCCCAGAGACTTTATTGCCAATAAATGACTCCCAAAGAGCTTCCCTCGGATAAGGATGCCAGAAATAGCAGGATCCACCACTGGTGACTGCTGTAAGATGCAGCATGCCAAGGCCAGGCAGTGGCAAAAGCACTGCCTCTTATCTTTAGTAGTCATTAGTAACATCAATGGCCACTTTCAACCTATAAAACTCTTAAAATGCTAACAAAAGTGTAGAATTTGATGTATTACACCAAAAGAAAAATAAATTGGAGGAAAAAAAATCCAGGACACACTGTGTATTTCCCAAATTGTTAAACTCAAAAAATTCTAGCCACCAACATATATCTTCAGATCTCTACTTGAAAAATAAATGCATAAAGCCATTAATAATCTGCCTCAGCCTATTCCTTCAGCCTCATTTTCCATTATTCCACCAAAGATCCCCTTCAGGCTTGGCTCTAGTAAGTAGTTCTGCCAAATACACGTGCTTAGTACTTTATTATTCTCCTACTTTTCATGCCTATCTGGCAATCTTCTACTCAACTGTTTACAGTCAGCTTATTCGTATCTTTCAGAACAAATACAGTCATTTCAAACATACTATTGCCATTGTCTTAATTTCAAACATACTATTGCCATTGTCTTAATTTCAAACATACTATTGCCATTGTCTTAAAGATGCATCTATTATGGAAACATCCGTCAACTCAAATATCACTTATGTCTATCGCCCCATTGTGAGTAGAGGCTATAATTAATTCTCCTTTATATTCTTTAGCATGCATGACAGTCTCTGGTATTAATATAATTCAGCTGAATACTCCACCGTCTCAGTAAAGCAAAAAAAAAACCAAAAAAATTACTATTATGATCACATTAAATTGGCCTAATTATTTTTTACCCCATATTACAAAAATCACAATTCAGCACTCCATTTCACCAATACTTACTGTCATTTTGGTTCGAGATGTCTGACAACCCTGATCTAAAAAACACAAAAAAATTTAAAATAAGACAAATACTCTTTCTTCAGAATGTTCTAAATCCCTATTTCTCATTAAATTTCACCAATTTAAAATGTGACTAAAGAAAATATTTTAGACTATTTTAAGGAAAGAATTTCAAATTTGTATAAAGTATAGAAATATACAGGTAAATAAATGAAATTAATCCTTTTCTCCTTTCGTCCCCTCTGAAAGTATACACTGCTTTCGGGGAAATACTATTATATATTCTTAGATTTATATCTTAAATGATATTTTTTTTAAAAAAATTACAGCTTCTAAACGGTTTTTGTTCTTCCTCCCAACCTACTCCCTAGCAATACGATTTGCTAAAAATAATTTTCATTTAAAATTGCAGATGACACGATAGTTAGATGTCTATTCTTTTTAAAATTTGTGTTATAGCACTGTTTAGCTTCTCCTCACTCTCAACTATGCCTTTTCTCAATTAGCATGAAATTTCAAAAAGACAATAAAACTAAAAGCAATACATTTATAAAAACAACATACAAGGGTACTTCGACCCAGAGAATCTACGGAATTTAAGTTGCTGTTAAGCTATCTCCAAAATCAACTATTCATTATCAGTGCTTTGGATTCAAAACTACGTAAAGACTGATGTACAGGGTTTTCAAGTTATCACCTAAATCATTACATACCATAATGTAAGTTTTCAGGTCCTTTCTGAGTTGTCATGTTGGGCTCATTTTGTTGACAGTAGAAACGCAGTAAGCAATGTTGATCACAGAAATGTTTCATTTCCCCACGCCACTGAACTCGCTCTTTAAGAGTTCCTTGAGATTTACAACAGTCACACCTTGCAGCCTTAATTTAAAAAGGAAGGTTTCAGATATTGCAAATTATTTTTGAAGATTTCCAGAAGTTTATCAGTGATTATTGCCAAATGTGATAAAACCGTGACTGATACAGAAAAAGTAGAACTATAATATAAATCATTTGTAAACAGTAAAATCTACAATAAATGAAAAAAAAAAAAAAAAATACAATTTCACAGTTGACAAAGTCCATCCTATACTTACCAGAAGTCAAAGACCAGCATTACAAAAGTAGGATAACTAAATATATATTGGTAGACCAAATGAATGTATTTTAATGTTTTTAAATAATTTTGAGGGCCATATAATGTACTGGTAGAATTGTCTCCTACAATCATTACATTGAACATTTATGAGTAATGAACGGATTTCCCAGGTTAGTTGTACAAGACAAAGGTAATTTTGAAGCAAGCTCTTATGATGGGAAATTTATGGATGTTAACTTGAAAATTTTGAGTTTTTCAACAGTTTAATATAAATTTGAAAAGCTTTAATAAATACATTTATTTAATTTTAATAACAACTTTATGTTCTAAAACACTCAATGTTTAAATGTTCTGAAAACCAATAATATCTATAAGACAAGCAATTTGACCCACATCTAGGAAAACAATCAGCCCAATGGGTCCACAACTTAACTTGCAATACCAAAAAACGATACAAGAACAACAAATTAAAATTCATAGAATGTACTTTATTTTGGTGAATCAATAATCTTGAGACAGATTTTTCTTTTTTAGAGATCCTAATTTCCCTAGATTTTGCCCATTTTCACTATTTCTTAACGTCTTGACCAATGAGTTTAACGAAAATATAAGTGATGTATCTTCAAATACAGAAAAACGATGTAATTTCAAATACAGTTCTTTTCATAATTTAAGTTTCTGATCTAGAAATGAACTATTATTATTTTTTTCAATTACCCTTTGGCTTAACAGCTTAGAAATTCTGATAAAGTAATAACTGTTAAGTATTTTGTAGTTCGTAGTAACTGTGGCCATGGCTTTTCCTTTATTACTCTAATCTAGAGTTTTACACTGTGGATTTTGAAATTTCTCACGTTGTATTTCAAGAGGAATTCTACAAATGCCATGTCAAAATTCCTGGTCAGGAATGTTAACAAATGACTGTGTTGACAAACAGGTCTTACATAACAAACATACCCCAAGGTTAGAACACAGGCTTTTTTTTTTCTCCAGGTCAGGTATTTCTCCTGCTGAATAAATGTTAAATGAAGATTTATAGTATAAATTATGACTACTAAGTGATGCAATATCACAACTCTTGTCCAAAAACTTGTGAATCCAAATTTTATACTGCTGATAGTATTATGTGATCATCTCAGTAACAATAGCACTTAATATCAACCAAGATCATATTTTCACTCAATAATAAAAAAGTCCCTTTGTTAAATTCTCACCAGCGAGACTGTTCTTCGAAATAACCATAGAATTGTTCCAGGGTTTCTTTTCTTTCTTTCAGTTTCTTTTTCCCTTTTTATAATTTATGCTCAAAGAAAAGACAAAGCATAAAGGAAGGAAATGGAAGCTTAATACTTTATTCACTGATTCCGAACAATGCAGGAACCAAAAGTAGAGTTACAGCCTGACTACCTTGTTCACTGAGAACCTGAAATAAAAGCCAAACCCATTGTATCTACTCTCTATAAACCTTCACAACAGCCCTGCAAAATGGGTACTGCAAACTAAGATCTAGAAAGATTAAATGACTTGACTAAGGTCAAATATTAAAAATGCAGAGATAGGATTCAAAAGGCAGACAACCAATTCAAAACCTAGGCTTTAGCCTGTACCCTAAGCAATAAAGACAAAATGAGTTACTATAAATGAGCAGAGAATAAATACCCTAACACAATACAAATAAAATGCTACAAGAAGATTCTCAATTTAACATTTAAAACAGAAATCTGTATTAATTCAAATCATTACATGTACTATGCTGACTCTTAGTAGTAGTATTTCCGTTTATACAATAATTTGGAAGATCAAGGGCATAAAATTAAACACATTCCACCTCAAGAATTTGAACAATGGAATCACTTCATCGTTCTACAATTAGACACTTGGTTTTTATAGAATCAACACTTGAAGCTCCCTTCTTCTTTTAAAGGTTCAAAACAAATTTAGATAATTTCCCTCTACCCAAAGAAAAAAGGGGCAAGATTAATACCAATTTACAAATGTAAACAAAATAGGCATGTATTTTTTCAGCATGAAAAAACAGTAAGTGAGAACTCAATACTAATAATTCCAACTTTAATGCCATAATCAAAATTTTGGAGGTTGTGAACTTTTGTTTCTTTGACATCCACTCATGCAAACTCCTAGTGAAGTGTTTGGAATTCAGCTAAAATATGGTGGCCAATTTAAAAAGATCATTAATGACCATCATTCCTTACCAACACCAACACAACTCCACTCTAAGCCGCATTCCCTAGCCATTTGCAAAAAAGAACTATTAAGACATCATAAAAAATGAAATAAATGGGACACAAGTCTCTGGTTTTAAAAATACTGCATCATCTATTTTGTGGTTTTCTTGTCATTGTGAAATCAAGGATAGCAAACTAAGAGGGAGGGGGAAAAAAAAAAAAAAACAAGTCACAGGTTCAAACAAATCTAAGTAACAGCCAGGTACTAAACTCTGACTCAAAAACCTTAATCCAACCTATCAGCTAAACAGAAATTTCATTTTCAATAACTGGCAAAAGGTCATTCAGCCTATCCTGACCCAGTCCCTTTCATGTCTTGGATAGTTTCAACTTTTCATTTTTGACTGATATATACATCTTTTTAAACTTTCCTATCCATTTGCTCCCTATTTCACCAAACAAACCTAATTTTCCAGGGGAGAACCATGAATACGAAAAAGATAGGGGTATTTTACAGACATTTTAAGCAGAAATCCTTTATGACTTCTCAATACAGCTTTCTGAGCACAATGGAGTGATTCGCTACAAATTTTTTTTAAAAAAGAATGCAGGGATAAAAGGTGATTGGGTACTATGCAAAGCATAGGAATTCTCCGGTGACCAAAAATATATATTTAAGGCAATATTTGAATATTAAATATTATTTTCCTAAAAATAATTTCAAAAAAATTTTAAAAAAAATGGATATAGCTGTTTATAAAGAAAAATTATACAAGTCTAATATTATTAATTTAAAGCCCATAAATCATACTGTTAAGACTATTAGAGGGCATTTGTATTAAGAATTTAATATTGCCACCATTCATTACTTCTTTGGAAAACAAATCAAAGCCTGTGTTAAAAAACTGTGCAATCGAAAAGTAATACAGTTTAAGAAAAGCTCAGGTCTTAATAGAGATACTCTTGGGAAACAGTGGACCTTTTGAAATATTATCTTTACCAATTTATCAAACACCTTCTAGCTATTATTGTATTACAATACTAAATTCTTTTTCTTAAAAACTTTTAAACTTACAAAGATCAAAAGAACTATCAGGTTTTTCATTACGCCTGGAAACATTTACTTGAGGAAAAGTAAAATCTACTTCTTTCTAAAAAGGTATCTGGGAGAAGAAAAATACGTTAATTTTATTTTCAGCATTTTTTGGTTGCATGATGTCACAGATTTCTTATTCCAATTTAGAAGAGAAAGAATTTAATAAATCTCTATTTTAAATCTAGAAGCAAACCATGATATAGACCAGAAAACACAGCTCATTCAGTGTCTTGTCAAGTAAAACAATTTTTAAAGCATAAAACTAAATTTAAATAAACAAAAAAGTAGAAGTTATTTATACTATAGGTAGTTGTCTCTCAATCTAAAGTGCAAAGGTAAGAGAAGGTAAAAATACAATGTGTGTGTACTACCATTTAAGAAATGTTCATGGCTAAACATGAAATAATAGCCAGATTGGCTAGCTGTTGATTTTTAAGTTTCTGTGATGAAGCACTTTTTTTCCTTTGGCTTGAAGCTTATTTTTCTGATAAGCCGGAATGATTTGTAAGGGTCATAGGTTTTAATGTACTAATATATAAACTTGTGAGTATTTAAATAAAAAAAGATAAACCATAAAAGGGGGGGACCCCATAATTAGTTTACCACATTTTCAAGATGATACCATGGCAACAGTGAATAGAAGGAATGCATGGGGGGGTATAAGAAAATACAGTCTGACTCAAGTAGAAAGCACAGAGAATAAAGTTACCATTTGATTACAATAATGGCTGCAGGCAGCAAAACCAAGGATGAATGAAGAGAGACAACTCTTCACACTTCAAAGATTGTGCTGCATATTGATCGTACAGAAACATCAGCATTGCTACTTGCTTTATAAATTTCTACCATCTAACAAAAATATTCTTACCTTTATTCCTCAGATTAGTATAATATATAACCTATTATGTATATTATACAAAGATCTGTTTAAAATAAGGCATGAATATATAATGTATTTAAGGTACAGAATACTGACATTAAACATAACTAGATGATTGTAACCCGGTATTTGACTAAAGTATTTCTTGTATATTCTGAAATGCACTGCTTCATTAAATCCTCATCACTGAATTCTGCATAAATGAAAACAGAAATAACTATCTTTTAAAAAACATAGCAAGGTGGAACACACGACATCTACAATAACATGGTCTTTTGTCAAAGAACGTACCTTTGCTTCCCAAAAAAAGGGAAACAAATCCCAAACTTCCCTATTCTTTAATATATATATACACACACACACATATATACATATATACACACATATATATACACACATATACATATGTACACATATATATACACATATATATACACATATATATACACACACACACACACACACACACACATATATATATATATATATTTTTTTTTTTAGAGACAAAGTCTTACTGTGTCCCCCAGGCCAGAGTGCAGTGGTGTGATCAGAGCTCACTGTCACCTCAAAAACCTGAACTCAAGTGATCCTTCCACTTCAGCCTCCCAAGGAGCCAGGACTACAGGCATGCACCACCATGCCTGGCTAATTTTTTTTATTTTTATTTTTTGTAGAGATGGGGTCTTGCTGTATTGCCCAGGCTGGACTAGAACTCCCAACTTCAAACAACCCTCTCACCTCAGCCTCCCAAAGGGCAGAGATTAAAGATGTGAGCCACCGCTCTCAGTAATTTTTTGTTTTCCTTTTTGAGACAGGGTCTTGCTCTGTCACCCAGGCTTAAGTGCAGTGGTGTAATCATAGCTCACCTCGAACTCCTGGGCTCAAGCAATTCTCTTGCCTCAGCCTGCTGAGTATCTGGGACTATAGGGGTATGAAATCACACCTGGCTAATTTTTAACTTTTTTTTTTTTTTTTGCAGAGATGGGCTCTCACTATGTTCCCCAGGCTGGTCTTGAACTTCTTGCCTCAAGTGATTCTCCCACCTCATACTCCCAAAGTGCTGGGATTACAAGCATAAGCCACTGCACCCAGCCCCAGTAATATTTTTTAAAGCTGGGAGATCATTCATTCAAAGAAAGAAGCCAAACAGAGAAATACATTCAGTATCTGCTGTGAACAACAACAAAAAAATCCTCCAAGAAAGATTATTATACAATATTAAAATTTTATATTCATAATTTTACAATTAGGCAGATATTTGTACAGTAAAACAACAGGGAAATCATCATCACATGGTAACAATTTCTGTCTCAAACAATAAGATAAACAATGAAAATAGATATAAAAATAAAATGGGATTTCCAAATTTGTACTCACTAAATGCCTTTATTGTTTTGAGATTATCCAAAAGAAAATTTTAAAAATAAAACCTCCTAAACAATGGGTATAAAAGTGCACTTGTATGTGCTAAACTAACATCAAGCATTGCAAGGCCATGAAGTAACATTTTCTGAGTGATTTCTCAAAAACACTAATATCCATAAACAAAACATTTGTTTAGACTGAAATAAACACGTTTTAGAGTGTATGTTTGTCCTCTGTGTATTTCTAAAATTTGAGCCTTAATTTTTAAAGTTTACATCATATAGAAGCAACAGTAAAGTAATGAAGTAACTTTTTTTAGTACATCAAACCTCTTAGTCTCAATTACTTCACAGCTCTTAACAACTTGGGAATTACTTTACAGCTCTTAACTTGGAAAGCATCTTCCTTTTTTTATTTACAATATGCTAGTTAACATGGTGAATTGCAGATATTAAAGAACTGCCCCAGAACTCCTGCAATTCTCCTAGTAGTATCATTTTAATACCAATACCTTGATAAAGTAAACTAAATACTGTTCTCCATATTCGACTATTTCATTTGTTTCTTTAGAGGCCTTAACAAATTTGAAGTCATGATAATGTCTGTCTTCACATGCTTTTTTTTTTTTTTTTTTTTTTTGACACAGAGTCTTGCTCTGTCGCCCGGGCTGGAGTGTAGTGGTGCCATCTTACCTCACTGCAACCTCCGCCTCCCGGGTTCAAGTGATTTTCCTGCCTCAGCCTCCCGAGTAGCTGAGATTACAGGCATGCACCACCATGCATGGCTAATTTTTGTATTTTTAGTAGAGACGGGGTTTTACCATGTTGGCCAGGCTGGTCTTGAACTCCTGACCTCAAGTGATCTGCCCGCCTTGGCCTCCCAAAGTGCTGGGATTACAGGAGTGAGCCGCCGCGCCTGGCCTGTCTTCACATGCTTTACAACTGTACCCACAATGAAGTTTCAGCATTGAGATGGTTTTCCATGTTATCAACATAGGAATTAATGCTCTTTTCTTGTAATCTTTCTGACTACCCACAAGTCCAAATTTACACTCATTTTCTTATCTAGGAAGAAACTGATGCAATGTGTGAAAAGAGACTGACTTTATAAAAGTAGATGTTGGGGCAAGATGGCTGACTAGACGCAGCCAGGTAGAAGAGCTGCCCCGGAGGGACTGAGAGTACTGGTGCACTCCTAAGAGATCTTCAGAGGGAAAGCACCAAGAGTAGAGGAGGGAAGACAGAGAGAAGCTTGGCTTAAGGAGAAGGAATCTGGGAACGCTGCATGGGGCTACCACACACTGGGACTTGTTCTTGACCCCTAATATGCTGAGGGCACAAGTTAGGTGAACTGGCAGAGAGCAACCTGCTCTGGGCACAGGCCTCTGGAATCTCAGCAGGAGGAAACCCTTCAGCCAGCAGGGACACTTGAGTTGGCAGGGAAAGCTGCTTAAAGAAGTTGTAGGGGCAGCAAGCCAGCTGATCTGGAGCCCACAGGGTTTGGTGCAGGGGCCTCTGTAGTGGAGCACAGCCAAGGATGACCATCCACCTAGAATCAACTTGCTCCCATAGGAGACTTTAACCCTAGGGCAACTGTCAGATCTGAACTCTGCGGGGAGGTCTTGCCCATAAGAAGAGGCCAGTCTGACCTGAGCATCCCTTAATCTGTTGGCCTCTTGCAGGGTCCCAGTGTGAAAGTACCTGCTTTCAGGTCAGCCTCGAGTGTCCTAGAAGCCCCCATCATAGCTTCTACCCTGGCAGACGGAACTTGACCACTGGAGACCCCCAGTGGGGTGGCCCCCACAGACACGCAGCAGTGCCACCCATTCCCTCCCCACACTGCAGCTTCCCCTGGGGCCCATGGATACTTCCCACATCCCTTTGCCATGTGCAGGCAGGTTTTGCTTGCCTCACCCAGCCAGCACCCACGTGTGTGTGTGCACCCTGCCCTGCCACTCATGCAGCAGGAGTGCACTTCACCCCCACCTTGCCCCACCAACGACACTGCAGTTGGAGCCTTAGCAGTCAGCCCCGCCCCCACCACAACCTGGCCCTTTCAGCAACACTGCCCAGAGCAAAACTAGGCACACAGAACAGTGGACACTCCACCTCCCTGAGCGACCAAGAGCCCTCTGAGAATGCACAAAGACCTGCACCTGCCAGCGCCCTGCCACCACCACCACCACCAGTGCAACCACAGGCACAGTAGCCAACAGGGGTTCCCCACTCCACCCCCTAGCCACATTGCATCCACCACTGTGGCAAGTGCAGGCTGGGAGGCAGGCACCCCAGCACCAACTAGCACCCTACCACAGCCAACAAGTGTGCACCCCATCACGCTGCACTGCTGCTGGCACATGCCAATGAGGATGGATCCTGCTGTCACCGCACTACCAAATGCTGTGACTGACACCATCCATCAAGTGTAGTGATCAGCGGCCCCAAACACGTCAGTCTCCCCAGCACAGTGGATACCTGCGCTCCAGGAGACAGAATCAAGTTGAGACTGATATAAGTACCCCGGAGTTAAAGCACACAGTCCAGGAGTTAGGAACTTAGCACCGGTCCCTTAAAACCTTCCAGAACACAGTCACTTGGCTGAATCCACCTTATTCCACAGTTAAACCCTCAAGGTCATCAAATATAGGATACAAGAAAAAAAAATTGGCTGGGCACAGTGGTCCATGTCTGTAATTCCAGCACTTTGGGAGGCAGAGGCAGGTGGATCACTTAAGGTCAGGAGTTCGAGACCAGTTTGGCCAACATGGTGAAACCCCATCTCTACTAGAAATACAAAAATGAGCTGGGTGTTGTGGCATGTGCCTGTAATCCCAACTACTCAGGAAGCTGAGGCAGGACAATCACTTGAACCTGGCAGGTGGACGCTGCAGTAAGCCAAGATCATGCCACGGCACTCCAGTCTGGGCAACATAGCAAGACCCTATCTCAAAAAAATAAAAAAAAATAATAATAATAAAAAGCAAAGGTCAGCAACTTCAAAGGTTGAAGGAATGTAAGCCCACAAAGATGAAAAAGAACTCGCACAAGAACCCTGACAACTCAAAAAGCCAGAGTGCCTTCTTTCTTCCAAATAACTGTACTACCTCTCCAGTAAGGGTTCTGAATCAGGCAGAGATGGCTGAAATAACAGAAATAGAATTCAGAATATGGAAAGGCATGAAGATCACTGAGAAGCAGGAGCACACTGAAACTCAATCCAAGGAACAAGGTAAGCAGGAGCTTACAGACAAAATACCCAGTATAGAAAAGAATGTAACTGACCTGATAGAGCTGAAAAACACACTACGAGAATTTCATAAGGCAATCATAAGTATTAATAGCAAAATAGACCAAGCGGAAGAAAGACTCTCAGAGCTGGTAGACTGGCCTTGTGAAATAAGACAGACAAGAATACAGAGAAAAAGAATAAAAAGGAACGAGCAAAACCTCCAGGAAATATGGCATTACGTAAAGAGACCAAATCTATAACTCAACTGGTGTCCCTGAAAGAGATGGGGAGAGTATAAGCAACTTGGAAAACATATTTCTGGATATCATCCATGAGAACTTCCCAACCTAGCTAGAGAGGCCAACATTCAAATTCAGGAAATGTAGAGAACCCCAGTATGATACTTCATAAAAAGATCATTCTCAAGGCACATAATCATCAGATACTCCAAGGTTGAAATGAAAGAAAAAATGTTAAAAGGCAGCTAGAGAGAAAGGTCAGGTCACCTACAAACGGAAACTCATCGGACTAATAGCAGATCTCTCAGCAGAAACCCTATAAGCCAGAAGAGATTGGGGGCCAATATTCAACCCTTTTTTTTTAATTTAACACCAGTGCCACCTGCCAACCAGAATTCCATATCCCACCAAACTAAGCATCATTAAGTAAAGCAGAAATAAGATCCTTTTCAGACAAGCAAAATCTGAAGGTATTTGTTACCACCAGACCTGCTTTATAAGAGCTCTTGAAGGAAGCACTAAATATGGAAAGACCATTAACAACCACTACAAAAACACACTTAAGTACACAGACAAGTGACACTATAAAGCAACCACATAAACAAGTCTGCAAAATAACCAGCTAACATCATGATGACAGGATCAAACCCACACATATCAATACTAACCTTAAATGTAAACAGGCTAAATGCCCCAATTAAAAGGTACACAGTGGCTTGGATAAGGAAACAAGACCCATTGGTATGCTATCTTCAAGAGACTCATCTCACATGCAATGACACACATAGGCTCAAAATAAAGGGATGGAGAAAAATCTACCAAGCAAATGGAAACCAGAGAAAAGCAGGGGTTGCCTCAGACAAAACAGACTTTAAACCAACAAAGATCAAAAAAGACAAAGAAGGTCATTACATAATGGTAAAGGGTTCAATTGAACCATCAGACCTAACTATCCTAAATATAAATGCACCCAACACAGGAGCACCCAGATTCATAAAGGAAGTTCTTAGAGATGTACAAAGAGACTTAGACTCCTAGACAATGCTCCAATAACAGTATCAGACAGATCATCAAAGCAGATAATTAATAAAGATATTCAGGACCTGAACTCAGCATAGAATCAAATGGACACCCCAAAACAACAGAATATACATTCTTCTCACTGTCACATGGCACATACTCTTAAAATTGATCACATAATCACATATAAAACATTCCTCAGTAAATGCAAAAGGACTGAAATCATAACCAAAAGTCTCTTGGATCACAGTACAATCAAATTAGAAGTCAAGACTAAGAAATCCATTCAAAACCTTACAATTACATGGGAATTGAATAACCTGTTCTGAACAACTTTTGGGTAAATAATGAGATTAAGGCAGAAACCAGTTAATTCTTTGAAACCAATAAGAACAAAGATACAACGTACCAGAATTTCTGGTACACAGCTAAGGCAGTGTTGAGAGGGAAATTTATAGCACTAAATGCCCACATCAAAAAGTTAGAAAGATCTCAATTTAACAACCTAACATCACAACTAAAAGAACTAGAGAACCAAGAGAAAACCAATCCCAAAGCTAGCAGAAGACAAGAAATAACCAAAATTAGAGCTGAACTGAAGGAGACTGAGACATGAAAAACCATTCAATAGATCAATAAATCCAGGAGTGTTTTTTTATTTTTTTGCGTGCAGGGGTGGGCGGGATTAATAGACAGACTGCTAGCTAGACTAATAAAGAAAAGAGAGAAGACCCAAATAAACACAATTAGAAACAATAAAGGGGATATTATTACCACTACCCTCACAGAAATACAAATAACCACCAGAGATTGTAATGAACACCTCTGTGCACATGAACTAGAAAATCTAGAAGAAATGGACAAATTCCTGGACACATACACCCTCCCAAGACTGAGCCAGGAAAAAACTGAAGCCCTGAACAAACCAACAATGAGCTCCGAAATTGAATCAGTAATAAATACCCTACCAACCAAAAAAAGTCCAGGACCAGATGGATTCACAACACAATTCTACCAGATGTACAAAGAAGAGCTGGTATCATTCCTACTGAAACTATTCCAAAAAATTGAGGAGGGGGGACTTCTCCCTAACTCATTCTATGAGGCCAGCATCATCCTGATACCAAAACCTGGCAGAGACACAACCAGAAAAGAAAACTTCAAGTCAATATCCTTAATGAACATCAACGCCAAAATCCTCAACAAAATACTGCCAAACCAAATCCAGCAGCACATCGAAAAGGCTTATTCACCATGATCAAGTAGGCTCTATCACTGGGATGGCAAGTTTGGTTCAATATACGCAAATCAATAAATGTGATTCATCACATAAACAGAACTAAAGACAAAAACCACATGATTATCTCAATAGATGCAGAAAAGGCTTTCAATAAAATTCAACATCCTTCATGTTAAAAACTCAATAGGCTGGGGACGGTGGCTCACGCCTGTAATCCCAGCACTTTAGGAGGCTGAGATGGGCAGATCACAAGATCAGGGAATCGAGACCATCCTGGCTAACATGGTGAAATCCCATCTCTACTAAAAACACACAAAAAAATTAGCTGGGCATGGTGGCGGGCGCCTGCAGTCCCAGCTACTCGGGAGGGTGAGGCAGGAGAATGACGTGAACCTGGGAGGCGGAGCTTGCAGTGAGCCAAGATGGCGCCACTGCACTCCAGCCTGGGCAACAGAGAGAGACACCATGTCAAAAAAAAAAAAAAAAAACTCTCAATAAACTAGGTATTGAAGAAATATACCTCAAAATAATAAAGAGTCATCTATGACAAACACACAGCGAACATCATACTGCACAGGCAAAAGCTGGAAGCATGCATTCCCCTTGAAAACTGGTGTAAGACAAGGATGCCCTCTCTCACCACTCCTGTTCAACACAGTATTGGAAGTCCTGGCCAGAGCAATCACGAAAGAGAAAGAAATAAAGGGCATCCAAATAGGAAGAGAGGATGTCAAACTTTCCCTGTTCACAAATGACATGATCCTATATCTAGAAAACTCCATAGGCTCAGCCCAAAAGTTCCCTCAGCTGATAAACCACTTCAGCAAAGGGTACAAAATCAATGTACAAAAATCACTAGCTTTTCTGTATGCCAACAACAATCAAGCTGAGGGCCAAATTAGATACACAATCTCATTGAAAATTGCCACAAAAAGAATAAAATGCCTGGGAATACAGCCAATCAGGGAGGTGAAAAATCTCTACAAGAACTACAAAATACTGCTCAAAGAAATCAGAGATGACACAAACAAATGGAAAAACATTCCATGCTCATGGATAAAAAGAATCAATATCATTAACATAGCCATACTGCCCAAAGCCATTTACAGATTCAATGCTATTCCCATTAAACTACCAATGACATTCTTCACAGAACAAAAAAAAAAAAAACTTTTAAAATCCTATGGAACCAAAAAAGAGCCCAAATAGCCAAGGCCATCCTAAGCAAAATGCAAAAAGAACAAAGCTGGAGGAATCATGCCACCTGACTTCAAACTATACTACAGGGATACAGTAACCACAACAGCATGGTACCGGTACAAAAGCAGACACATAGACCAATGGAACAGAATAGAGAGCCCAGAAATGAGGCCGCACACCTACAACTATCTGATCTTCAACAAACCTGACAAAAACAAGCAATGAGAAAAGGATTCCCTATTCAATCAACGGTGCTGGGATAACTGGCTAACCATATGGAGAAGACTGAAACTGGACCCCTTCCTTACACCATATACAAAAATTAACTCAGGATGGATTAATAAATGTAAAACCCAAAACTATAAAAACCCCTGAAGCCAACCTAGGCAATACCATTCTGGACATAGGAACCAGCAAAGATTAAGATGCCAAAAGCAACTGCAACAAAAGCAAAAACTGACAAATGGGGTTTAATTAAAGAGCTTCTGCACAGAAAAAGCATGCACACATATGTTCATTGCAGCACTATTCACAACAGCAAACACCTAGAGTCATCCTAAATGCCTACCAATAGTAGAGTGGATAAAGAAAATGTGGTTCATATATACCATGGAATACTATGCAGCAATAAAAAAGAGATTATATACCCTGCAGGAACATGGATAGGACTGGAGGCCATTATCCTTAGCAAACTAACACAGGAAAAGAAAAGCAAATACTGCATGTTTTCACTTATATGTGGGAGCTAAATGATGAGAACACAAACACATACAGGGGAACAACAGACACTGGGGCCTATGAAAGAGTGGAGGGTGGGAGGAGGGAAAGAATCAGGAAAAATAACTAATGGGTACTAGGCTTAATATCTGGGTGATAAAATAATCAGTACAACATGACCCAAATTTTTACTTTGGTAAATTTGGGTCATGTTTGGTCATTTACCCATCATTTACCATGACCTAAATTTACCTATATAAAAAACCTGCACATGTACCCCTGAACCTAAAAGTTAAATTTTTAAAGTGGGTTTAGTATGACACATACACATACACACATTTATGGTTTCAAATTAAATGTTTCTGGTCTCTACTTAGTGTTCTTTTCAATTTTAAAGTCCCCCAAAACTCACAATTAAAAAGGCAAAAAGCCAAAAAAGAGCAAGATGTTTTTAAAATATATCTCAAGTATCCAAAACAATTACCTGCTAACATTCAACACTGATAACATAGTTGAAAGTATTTCTATTTAGCTGGGCATTGGTGGCTCACGCCTGTAATCTCAGCACTTTGGGGCTGAGGCGGGCAGATCACCTGAGGTCAGGAGTTCGAGACCAACCTGGCCAACACGGTGAAACCCTGTCTCTACTAAAAGAATAAAAATTAGCTGGGCGTGGTGGCACGCGCCTGTAATCCCAGCTACTTGGGAGGCTGAGGCACAAGAATTGCCTGAACCTGGGAGGTGGAGGCTGCAGTGAGCCGAGATGGTGCCACTGCACTCTAGCCTGGGCGACAGAGATTTCATCTCAAAAAAAAAAAAAAAAAAAAAAAATTCTACTTAGTGAAATAAAGACACAACAAATTTTAGAAAAACAATCCATTTTGTTAAACTACAATGCTGAAAATATAGGTATATCCTAATCTTTTGGTAATGCTTAAGTTATTAAAAAAAGAGATAAAAATGCTACTTCAAACAAGCAGAAATGACAAGACAATTTTAATGAATAGTATTATCAGGGCTGGGCCTTAAGTGTGTACATTTTTAAAATAAATGAGTTGCCAGATTTGTAATGGTAACAGCTACAACGTTTTTTAAGACTGGTTAAAGTAGCTGCTGTAATAAAGGAGTTACTCGCCTTGTAGTACCAATCCTGAAATTTTTTACAGCAATCTTCACTGCAGAAATCTCTCACAACACCATCGAGTTCTTTAGTTGCTCCCTTCTTACATAGCTGAGAACAATAGTTGCAAGTAACACATCTCAATCCTAAACGTCTGGCAAAATCCTGTTTGTATAATAATTTGCAGCCTGAAAAATATAAGATTTATATATTAAAACAAAAAAACACATGAAAACTAATTATTGAGCAGAGACAGATCTTAATTGGTCAAGATTTTTCCTCTCCTGATCAAAACTATAAAATCTACTGTAATCAATATCAACCTATAAAAATTAGAACAGAATATGGGATATTTTATTAGATAACATATTATCTAACATGTGGGTTAAAATAATGTTTCAAGATATTAAAATCTAGTAATGTCTCAGAATTATTTTATTTGTTCTATTTAAACAGAATCTTGCTTGGGCCTGGGAAATAGACAGATAGAATCTTAAGTATCAAACTAAGCATACCACAAATAGGCATTTTAGAAAAAGGAACAATGTAGACTACTGAGAGGCTCTGAGTAAATTTATAGAGATATTCAACTTAAGTGGGCATTTTAGCTAATTTTTCAAGCTTACCTCTCTTACATGGACCTTCAGAAAAAAAAACAGATTTATTGACTTGCCCAGAGAAAATACTTTTGTTATCTAGTCCTTTAACGAAGTATGTCTTTTTTCTACTACATAAACGCATTAAGTATTTTTACATATCCTTATTTATTCCCTATAACACCTCTACGAGGATCACATAATACTCTATACTTATACTGTGCTATGTAAGTAGAATGACTTACATGTTATCTACTAAAATCCTATTCATCCTTTCATAAGGACCTCAAATTATCCCCCTACCACAAATGCTGCCCACGATCAACCTAGTTTAAAATGACATTTCCTGTCTGCAAACAGGAACTGCAATTGTTTTCTATAAAATTTATTTAGCAATCATTTATGTACTATCCTATGACTTCTGTTACCTTGAACTATATTTTAAAATATTCTTTAAAATTTACCTTTATTAGCTTTATCTAACTAGAGTTTGATGGTCGTACTAGGTATTATGTGTTTTGTTATTTCTGACAGGTTCTAGCAGAGAACTAGGTGCAGTAAGAGAAAGCAAAAAATATGTCATTTAACAGGAAAAAAACCCACACATTCTTTTTCAACATGCTATTACCGATCTGAATGTATAAATCCCTCCAACTGAAAATTATCTTCTTGAATGTCAATTACCTATTTGCTGCTAATTGTCTATTCATTTTAGTAAAGTCCATATAATCCAAATGGTAGACAATTAATGACATATATGAGCAATCAACATCAGCATGTTCAGATTTATGAATCAGTAAGAATGTCATTGCACAACTCAAATGTAAAAAGACTAATTCAGAATCAATCTTTTCAATGAAACATTGTAAGATTTGTCATTTTTCATTATAGCTTTACTCTTAAATAACAGCGAAACATGGTTACTTTCCATTCCAGGTGAAATGTACAAAATTAAATTTAAATAGGAATGCCTTGTTTTATAAGCAAGCAGCACCCTCTTACGGACATGACTTTACATTACATGTTAAGACTGTAAATGAACGCACTAGTTGAACGAACTGATAAATCTTTTTATTTTGCTGTCATTCTCTACTGCTGACATTTAGGATTTTCCCACCTTTCTCTTACTCCAAACTAGCAGTCAGGAATCCATAGAAAAAGCAGATCCAGAAAAAAATATTCCTCATTAAAAAATTATAGGTGAAGATAGCAGACAGGAAAGCTGGGAGTTCAGTGCCATGGACCAAAGAAAGATAGAAAGTGAAAGCCAGCTTAGAGCAAGAATGTCACATTGGGAACAGGAATAACACAACCCCAAAACCCATAGCTACAATCCTAGTTCCTATCTCTGGATAAGTAGATTTAGAATTTGAATTCATCTGTATAATCTGCTGCCTGGCACCAGAGCAGCAAAAGTGTAGATAAGAGGAAAGGGAATTCTTGAACATACTAAAACAGAACCCAGTGTCTCCCTGGCACCCCAAATTGAATACCTAAAAGTATCTTCCCATTTTAGTACTGCCATATGTGATTTTCTTTCTGGTATACATATTGAAAACCTTTGCAGGTTAGGTAGTAAGCTGGGCAGGGAAAATGGAGCTAATGGAAAACAATTTTAAACCACTTGGAAAACCAACTTTCAGACCACAACATGTAGGTTTAGAAATAACATGGCATGAAAATGCTTTTATTTTATTCTAAAACTTTAATGAAATAAGAGGTTACCAAATTTTTAGAGATAAAACCATCTTGAAGCCCAGATCTACAAACACATATAAAATAACGAAACAAGTCAGTAGAAACGTAAACTCAATTTTTTTTGTTCAGCTACATTAAAATTGTGCAGCCACTCTGGATATATTATTTTGGCAAAAAACATTAAATATCAATAAATGTTATGAACAACACTGTATATGCAACTTGCCTTCACTACAGAAAGGTCTCTTAACGCCAGAGAAATTTACTGTTTCATGAAGAGTCTTCTCCTCTTGACAGTATTCGCAATATGTAACTATGCAATGCAACTTCTTATAGTCATCTGAACAAGTTTTGCTGCAGAACTGATGCACTTTGTTCTAAATGCACAATGGGAACCTTGGTAAGTATATGACGACAAGCTTAAGAAATAAACACGCCACTTTTACAGAAGCAAAGTTAAATCATTTACCTATTTAATGTTAAGACCCTTGGGGATAGATTTCCTACAGGCCATGGATGCCTAGTTTAACCAATTCACTGCCAAATTTAAACATAGCTCCACAAAATTCAGTGCCATTAGCTACCCTAAAATTACTTAATGGAAGTAAAAGTATCACTAAATAAGATGATAGACTGGTGTTGCTAACATAATTGGAGAAATGGGAAGAAAATGATGGAAAATACAGCATAGGTAAACTAAAGAAAGATAAAAATTATGGCACTAATAATATTTTCAGTCAAAAAGAAAAATTCTTTGTTGAGTATAAACAAGTAGGCTCCATCACATTCCTACCACACACCTTAATAGTAACAGATGTATCATGGATGAAGTATTCAATTTGGTGCCATCACACAGCGTGCTGCTGAACCTGAGACTGAGTTGTTTCCCTTGAATGGAACATGATTAGTAATAATTTGTTTCTCCTGGGCCCAAACCCACAATAGCCAGAGCTACTTTTCAAATATTAACCCAAGCAGGTATGAACAAGTTAAAACTTCCAGGGAGGCAGCTTTTCTCTCATTATTGAGCAGGCTACAGACTAAGTCTAAACCATTTACTTTACAGTTAGCAAAGACATGTGAAGACCAGAATAAGGAAGGTGAGGGAGTCTGGGAATCAACTCAAGTAGTAAGGCAATCATTAGTGGAAAGTTGCCCCATTATGACTATGTAATTTATAGAAGGAGGAAGGCAACAAAGAAGCCACATGGAGTGAGGAGAAAGAGACCACTGAATTCTCAATCTCCCAGGGGGACACGCTCAACTCTCATTCAGTGTGGCAGTGTCTCTTAACTGCTTCTAACACTTAACCTCCATGTAAATAAAAGCAATACACCAAAACAACTACAGAAGTGGAGTAGCATTGACATAAATGCAGTGAAAAGGACCTCATTTTGATCTAGTATCAAAATTCAGTGTATGCAGGATCTTCATTTTCTATATGACACTATTATTCTGTATGCTTGCTAATGGATTTCTTTCTTCATTCCCTCATCACTCCTTTATTACCTCTTACTGGGCCTTCATTCTTACTGCTGTTACTTAAAGGTTATCAGTCACTAAAAATCATCACTGGATGCCAACAACAGTCTCAAATAGGGATTGGTTTAAATGATCTGGAGACAGCACCAAAGCAAATAATAAACTAAAAAATGTTCCAGTCATTAAACTGTTAAAATGAAATTTCAGGTTTCCAAAGTACTTTAGAAATCATGTAATCCAGGCTGGGTGCGGTGGCTCACGCCTGTGATCCCAGCACTTTGGGAGGCTGAGGCGGGCGGATTGCCTGAGGCCAGGAGATCAAGACCAGCCTGGCCAACATGGTGAAACCCCATCTCTACTAAAAATACAAAAATTAGCCAGGCGTGGTGGCAGGCATCTGTAATCCCAGCTACTTGGGAAACTGAGGCAGGAGAATCGCTTGAACCTGGGAGGTGGAGGTTGAAGTGAGCCAAGATCACGCCATTGTACTCCAGCCTGGGCAACAGAGCGAGACTCCATCTCAAAAAAAAAAAAAAAAAAAAAAAAAAAGACAGAAAAAAAATCATGTAATCCAGTTCTGGGTACCACCTTTCACTTAAGACTTAGTTACTGAATGACTCACCAACAGCTCCTAATAAATTTTGGCTCAAGAACAGTGTTAATACTACATCTTCTAAATCTTGTATACCATTTTATCATATACTCCATGCACTACCTCCCACCCTGCCCCACCCCTAAAGCAGTGAAAAGAAACAATGGCCAAAGGCAAGCATTGCTCAAGAAAGCAATGGGCAGCCTGGGCAGTCTTGGCCATGTATCCATCTATTACTGCCCCCTTATGAAATAAAAGTCAATCATCAGCGTTATTGCTAATGGAGACATGTCAAAGCAAATCAGTAAACTAATGAAAAAAGGGAAAAGAAAATAAACTTGTAGTGGGATTCATAGGCCACTATTGTTTTATTAAAACACAATTATGGCCGGGCATGGTGGCTCATGCCTGTAATCCCAGCACTTTGGGAGGCTGAGGTGGGCGGATCAGTTGAGGTCTGGAGATCGAGACCAGCCTGGCCAACATGGTGAAACCCCGTCTCTACTAAAAATACAAAAATTAGCTGGGCATGGTGGTGCCCACCCGTATTCCCAGCTACTTGGGACGCTGAGGCAGGAGAATCACCTCAACTGAGGAGACAGAGATTGCAGTGAGCCGAGATCGTGCCACTGCACTCCAGCCTGGGCAACACAGCAAGACTCTGAGAAAAAAAGAAAAAAAAAAAAAAAAACAATTACAGAATTGTATCATTTTATAAATGACAATGTGGTATATGACTGATACATTCTAATATGTACAGGTACTGAGTGATAGAAAATATCGTTCTCAGATAATACAGGACAGGGAGAAACATGGGACAAAAAAAGGAAAGACAATTGCTCTAGGTACGTAGCTAAACAAAGTGACATTCTGTACACTATTATGAACTTATACAATATATCAGGAATATGACTTCAGTAATTTTTCTTGGACCTAAAAAGACATAGATCCTTTGTTGGTTTTCCACTCCCACATGAGAATAAATAATCCAATCATAAAAAAAAATCTGAAAAGCATATTTTTATCTACCAAGAAATAGGTTTCCAGATGGAAATACAACACTTATTTTACTAGACTTTCTTTTTAGCATTAGATAACACACATTACAAAATACAACTTGCCTCCCATTCCAGGATTTCTGGTTTTGAACAAAAGGAATTTTTGCAGTAGTTGCATTTCAACTGAATATCACTTGGCGCTACAAACTGGCCATTTGGAGATGACTGCATACTTAGAGCCTAAAACAAAGAACAAAAGATACTAAGCCTGACATGTATGTTTGAATTTCTATTTGTGATTACTGTCATATATCTACGATGTCCAGAAAGTAATATACATCTTGCTTAGATATCTTTTCAGCACATAAAACTCATTTCCAAATTTTGTCCTTAAAAATTATAGTATATGTTAGTTTTATAAAATTGAAATTAAATTTAATTTTTAACCACAGAATTATTATTTACCTAAAATAAGAAAAAATCATACATTCAATCATCATCTGTTCACTTAAGAAAATGTAAGGAAGTAACAGTAAGCAAATAATAGTGAGGTTAAGTTGCCCACGTTCTGAACTAACAGAAGTTTAAAAAAACAAAAAGAACAAAAACCTAGTTCTTATTGCTATCTCCAATAATCATCAAATATCTAATTTACTAATGTTTTGTGCCACTGCATCCCTACTATAATTTTCATTCCAAGTCTACCAGTGAAATAGGCCTATGTTGGCCAGGCGCAGTGGCTCACATCTGTAATTCTAGCACTTTGGGAGGTCAAGGCGGGCAGATCACCCAAGGTCAGGAGTTCGAGACCAGCCTGGTCAACATGGCAAAACCCCGTCTCTACTAAAACTACAAAAATTAGGCCAGGCGTGGTGGCTCATGCCTGTAATCCCGGCACTTTGGGAGGCCAAGGCGGGCGGATCACGAAGTCAGGAGATCGAGACCATCCTGGCTAACACGGTAAAACCCCGTCTCTACTAAAAATACAAAAAATTAGCTGGGGGTGGTGGCAGGTGCCTGTAGTACCAGCTACTCAGGAGGTTGAGGCAGGAGAATGGCGTGAACCCAGGAGGTGGAGCTTGCAGTGAGCCGAGATCACGCCACTGCACTCCAGCCTGGGCGACAGAGCGAGACTCCGTCTCAAAAAAAAAAAAAAAAAATTAGCTGAGCATGGTGGCGCACGCCTGTAATCCCAGCTACTTGGGAGGCTGAGGCAGGGGAAATCACTTGAACCCAGGAGGCGGAGGTTGCAGTGAGCCGAGATCACACCACTGCACTCTAGCCTGGGTGACAGAGCGAGACTCCATCTGGAAAAAAAAAAAAAAAGAGGAAAAGAAATCGGCCTATGTTACATTTAAAAATTGATCACTTCTTCTTCAAAGTTAGGAGAAAAAAGATTTACACACTGGTATTCATAAGAGGAATTTTACTATTCCTTTTTTTTTAAAGTTAAAACAATTTACAGACTGGACGTCATAGCTCACACCTGTAATCCCAGTACTTTGGGAGGCAGAGGCAGGCGGATCGCTGGAAGTCAGGAGTTCGAGACCAGCCTGGCCAATGTGGCGAAAGTCCGTCTCTACTAAAAATACAAAAATTAGCTAGGCATGGTGGCAGGTGCCTGTAATCCCAGCTACTTGGGAAGCTGAGGCAGAATCACTTGAACCCAGGAGGCAGAGATTGCAGCGAGCCGAGATCATGCCACTGCACCCCAGCCTGGGCAACAGAGTGAGATTCTGTCTCCAAAAAAAAAAAAATTTACAGAATAAGACACAATATAAGCATACATGGACACTGACAGATTTTTTCTAATTCCTAATCTGAATGGTGAGGACACTGGTATTTAATTATCATTTTTTAAACCATATTACTCATATATTACATATAATCTTAATGCATGAAACGGTTAATAAAAATTAGCCATTCAATGTACAGCGGAAGGAGAAAAAACTACCATTTTTAAAACTTCTGCATACACTGTACAACACTAAGTTTGTGAAAAATAAAATATACAGATTTAAGACTATGAGATGAATAAATTTAAAAAATAAAAGCCAACATTACTCTTAGCGTTTCCAAAAAATTTGAGCCCCATTAAAGTTAACTAGTCTTTCAAAACAAATGGAATATGCTACAGTCTGAATGTTGGTGTTCCCCCACAAATTCATAGGCTGAAATCCTAAACCCCAAGGTGACAGTATTAGAAGAGGTAGGGGCTTTGAAAAGGTGATCAGACCATTAGAGCTCCACCCTCGTGATCTAATCAGTCAGTACTCTCATAACAGAAGCCTGAGGGAGCTCATTCGCTACCTTCACCATGTGAGGACACAGCAAGAAGGTACCATCTATGAGGAATAGACCTTCAACGGACAACAAATTGCCAGTGCCTTATCTTGGACTTACTAACCTCCGGACTATGAGAAACAAACTTCTATTTATAAGCTACCAGTCTAAGGTATTCTGTAATAGCAGTCTGAATGGACTAAGTGGGAATACTATCCTGTTATCTTACTTTTAAAAGGAAAATATCTAATGAAGATATAAAGTTCAAAATATATGGTTTGCTTTATGATAAAGGGAAAAATGTTGCTTTTCTGTCAATTTTGTATTATTTATATGCAGAGAGATGAAGCTGCCTGTAGGCCTATCTGGATGTATTCCTCAAAGTAAGAGCCTAAATTAAGTACAGTCGGTCCTACATATCCATGGATTCAACCAACAGAGGATCAAAAATTAAAAAAAAAAAAAAAGATGATTGCATGTGTATGGACATGTACAGTCATTTTCTTCTTGTCATTATTGCCTAAACAATACAGTATAACAACTCTTTACATAGCATTTACATGGCATTAGATATTAAGGGTAATCTAGATGTGATTTAAAGTACACAGGAAGACTTGCACTGTAGGTTACATGCAAATACTATGCCATATTATATAAGGGATTTGGGCATCCTGGAATTTTATATCTGCAGGAGGTCCTGGTACCACTTGCCCATGGATATCAAGGGGTAACTGTATATCTTAAAATATACAATGTACATATACAGAGGATCTTATCAAATCATGGGTGATACAAGTTTCAATTAAATGAAAAGGGTAGTTACAACATTTTCAATTATCAGTTTAGTTTATCCAACAATATCAAAAAACAAAGTTCAAGATCTGACAAGTAGCATGCTATAGACACTGTCTTCCTCTCTTCTAATTAATAATTATTCCTTAATTTCTAGTTTAAGAAAAGCCAACAAGGCAAAAGCAATATCTACCACTGTAAGGATGTATCAATGGCCATGATCCCAACTTCTGAAATAACAAGTTAAGTCTTAAACGTGGTTTATCACCTAAGCTCAGTGAGAATATTACTATTAACAAAAACTGACATTCATTTGAATTCAAAAACACCTCAATTTAAATACTAATAAGTGATATAGTAACTATTATACTTAAGAAACTATATTTGCAGTTTAAATAAATTAACATAGAGCACAGTACCTGGAATAAAGCAGAATTGTTGGATGAATTAACTCATGAAGCATGGCTTTATGCACGGGTTTGAACCTTTGGGTAATACCCTGAAATTTTCACACACAACAGGTAAACCTAATCGTATCACCTAACTAATGCTTGAATTCCCTCTAAACTATTCCTTCCTAGTGGTCAACCAGGTTAAGTTTGAACGCTTCCAAGAATCTATCTTCTGAGACTATCCATACTCCAAATTTGAAAAACTATGTTAGCAAGTCTTTCTTTACATTTACCAAAATGAAAAATGTCTCCCTAAACTGATCTTGTATTAAATTAAGGCCTAGTGTAAAAAATCTAATTCCCTCTTTACATGGTCCATTTCTAACATATGAAGAAAGCAAGTATTCTTATCACTTCTAGGCTAAATACATCTAGGTCCTCTATCCGTTTGTCACATAACAGTTCCCCTTACGGTTCACATTTTATTCAAACTATCTAATAAGAAAAAACTACACATCAGCACTGAACTATATTAAAATTTCTTTTCCTTCAAAATCTGTATCAGAGTAATAATTATAATCTCAATTAGACTATCCAGGCTAAAATAGAAAACTGGTACAGCCACATATTCTGTGACTAGGATATCCACCTTCCAATTTGACCCTCAACAAGCTACGTAAAAATTAAGATAAAATAAAGCATATTATATTACACTGATTATTTTCTATGTGTATTTTATTGGGGGCATGGGTTATGCAAAATAAACGACAAACCTGAAATTTAGCCACACAACTGGAATTGCAAAAGTTGTACAGTTTTCCATCAGGCATTGTGGCTTGGTATTGAGGTAAAGAGTTTCGCTTACAAAAATGGCAAATAATTCCCAAACCTAGGAAAGAAAAGGTACATATCTGATTTGTTTATAAAGTAATAAAAAAGTTTTTTTATCTTAACTACTGAGATCATAGAAGTTTCTGTTAAAAAATAAACTATTATTATTTGCACCTTCAATACTGAAGATTATGTGCACTTTTAAAATATTGTCATAACGGACTCTGATATTATGCCACTAAAACATACATAGATATAGAGAAAAAACTCAGTTTTGGGTAATTTTTTAGATGGAGTAACAATTTTAGTTAAGAACATAGACATGAAGAGAACTAAAAAAGTAGTACAGAATAATCAAAATAATTAGAACAGTTTTCAAAAAGATTAATATAAAATAAAAAGCTGTTAAAAACAAGCATAAAAACATCAAATGAGTATTTATGCAAAAATTAATTACGTTGTAAAGTTTTTTTAACTGTCCAAATATGTGAAACTTACTTTGTGATTTTGCATATTTTGTCTTGTGACTGTTCATACAAGCAGTTGAACAATATGGCTCCATATATCCATTAGGACCTATACACTGAGTCATATCAAAAAACCTGCACTGTGTTCGGCAACCAGTACAAGTTGTCAGTTTTCCATATTTCTAAAATTTGAAACATAAAAAGATAATTTTTAAGACTACAACTTAACTAGAAAAGAATTACCAATTTTTCATTACACTTTTTGCCTCTGCAAAACAATCCTGTTAATCTCTAAACAGGTTTAGAGTCATGAGTCTTCATCTACATACAAACTATTAACTATGCAACAACTGCTAAGGTCCAAACAAAGCAATGATCATCAGCTAAGTCGCCTTCAAAAACAGAATGTTTTTCTCTCTATTATATTTAGTTTAACAGAATCCCTACATAGAGTTAAGTAAAACCTGAAAAATTTAGGAAAGGCACAGTGCTTTTTGTTTATAATGAGGACATACTTCTTTGTCATTTGACAAAATCAATTAAATGGAGCTATGAAATATAAGCCTTAATAATAAAAAGTATGGTGAAGAATGAATTTGAAGATTTTAAATCCTTTTCCCACTGAGCTGCTATTGTTCCAAGCACTCTTGGAACTTCTCTTAAAAATGATTTATCACCTATCTACTACATTTGAAATCTCATTAAACCACAATAAAATAAAAAAATTTTTTTGAATTAAAAAAATTTAAACCACATTCAAAATGACTTCTGGCTATAAAATGAAGTAAATAATTCATCAATAGATAATAATAAAGTTAATCCTCCTGCCAAAAGTGAATACAGTAATGTGCCAAATAACGATGTTTCACTCAGTGATTGTAATGCCATATTTCTACTGTACCTTTTCTATGTTTAGATATATGTAGATACACAAATACTTACCATTGTGTTACAACTGCCTGCAGTATTCATTACAGTAACATGCTGTACAGGCTTATAGCCTAGCAGCAATAAGCTATACCATTTAGGTTTGTTTGAGTACACTCTGTGATGTTCACAAAACAAACTTGTCTAACGATGCATTTTTCAGAACGTATTCTTGTCATTAAGCAATGAATGACTATATGTGCCAACAACAACAACAACAACAAAAGGAGATAAAGAATATGAGGGCAGGGTGTGGCTCACACCTGTAAACCCAGCACACCGGGAAGCCTAGGGAGGTGGAATGCTTGAGCCCAGGAGTTTGAGACCAGCCTGGGTTCAAGCAATTGCCTGGCTATTTTTTTTGGTGGGGGTGTATTTTTTTTGTAGAGAACTGCTTGAGCCCAGGAGTTCAAGAACAGCCTGGGCAACACAGCAAGACCCCATCTTCCACAAAAAGAAAAAAAAGGTAGAAATAAAAACGAAAGGCTAGCCTTCAAGTGCAAGTTGTTTTGATCCTCTGAGTGGTTGCAGAACTCTGTCATAGTCAAGTTAAATCAAATATCACAAATCACGTTGCAAAATAATTGTATCCATTTTCCACCTCATGTTGCAATTAAATCCGTCTTCATACCCACGAGCATCTATACAATATGAAAATATAAGAAGGCTTCGAAATGTTCCATGGATAGCATAAATAATAGGTGTTATAGATAACAATCAGGCCAAAAATAACAACTGAAATGAATACACTGCATGGAAAAATGTCACAAATACCACAGGGTTTCAGAAAATGAAGGTAATAAATGGAAGGTAAAAATAAAAAAATACAATCAACATCAAGAAAAAGGTCTTTCAGCTTGAAACGAATAGAAAAAGTATAAGAAAACATAGCTGTTTATGTGCCAGGAATGCATGTTCATTATCATCTTATTAAAACCACTTACGCTGCCTACTTCCTCATTTACTGAAATATCAACTAAAGGAAGCCCTCAACTTTGCTTTTCAAAGTGGAAATGAACTCATTCTTTAATGATAGGTCCTCCTTCAAAAATATTTGTCAACTGCAAAAGAATGGTGACAAGGAAAAAATAAAAATGGCTGCAAACATACTATATCTCACTATGATGTGTAAATATAATAGAAGAGAATGCTCTGCTTTTTTTTTTGTTTGTTTCCTGAGGTCTATTTGATGACTTAAATTTCTATACTGGAAAAGGGACAAAAACAAAGCAAATCAATGAAACAGAATATAAAATGTTTAAAACTTGAAACTACAGTACAAATTAGTAATGCTATAAAATATTCGGGACAACTGCCACTATGTTGCAAGTTTGCAAGACAGAAAAATCAGCTCCCACTAGGTGTCTGTAGAAGGCCTCCATGTATCAGCACCTACAAAGAATTCTTTTACTCATATAAATTAAGTTCCACCATCTAATCAAATCATGGATTTGATTTCTATTTGAAACATTCTTCAAACTGACCGAGTGAGTCTATTCCTTGGATTTGTGATCCCAACGCTGATTTTATTGGCAGAATGATTAAATAATTAGTAACAGTTTTAAGACATCAAGTAAACATGGAGTTAGGCAACTGTTTCATACAGACAAATAATTTTATCTAAAGAGAATGAAGGCCGGGTGCAGTGGCTCACACCTGTAATCCCAGCACTTTGGGAGGCTGAGGTGGGCAGATCATGAGGTTGGGAGTTCGAGACCAGCCTGGCCAACATGGCAAAACCCCGTCTCTACTAAAAATACAAAAGTTAGCCAGGCGTGGTGGTGCATGCCTGTAGTCCCAGCTATTCAAGAGGCTGAGGCACAAGAATCACTTGAACCTGGGAGGCAGAGGCTGCAGTGAACCAAGATCGTGCCACTACACTCCAGCCTGGGCAACAGAGTGAGACTGCCTCCAAAAAAAAAAAAAGAAGAAGAAAAAGAAAATGAGAAAGTACTATCAGAATGACAGAATCACTGAGAATATTTCAATACTGCCACTTGCACAGCTACCGCTGCCTCAAAGAACCAATTAATGAAAGAACATTAGCCAAAAGGGAAATATAATTTTATGCCATGTTTACTCAGCTTTATATGTAAGCAATCAAAATAATCATATTTAAATTTCATACAAATTTATATGCGTCCTATAAACACACATTTAGTGATGTAAAGTTTTGTGGAATAAATTCAGAATTAAAATATTCCCTTTTTGGGCATGGGGAAAAATAAGCCTACGTATAATTTCAGTGAAAAAGAATGAGATAGAACCAAGTGAAACAAGATATGGATAAGGTAAAACGTAGATATGATGGGTAAGTTTATGACAAACTGGCTCATTTTCAGTCTACTCATTTAAAAGATGTACCTTATATTTTAATTTTAACCAATTTCACGTGAATGTCAAAACTGTCACGATTTTACAACTTCTCCCAAATTTTCCTTCTACATATAGGAAGTATATTTCATTTGGTACATTTGGACCAATCAAGTAGACCACATGGGAAGGTAATCAAGAAAGAATGGCTTGATGTACCTGCTGCTGCAAATCTAATTTAGGAAATGGCGCCCCAAGATATAGGCTGCATATTATCTACTTTCCTAGCCACATTCAAATACAATATAAACTTTAGTCTGTGACATCGCACAGTAAAGAAATTACCTTTATATTTACTAACCTCTAACTGAAATTTAACATTCTCTTTCACTCTGATTGGAGGCAACAAACTTACTTCATTAGTTTAATAGGGCCTATGACTGTCAAAAATAAAAATTCCCAATTTTTATATCATTCTTAGTATCCCTTAATATATCAATTACATTCAACTTTACTTCAAAATTATAGTTATTAACCACTGGATTTTATTCCTAAATACATTAAAATAAAGCAGCACATTTCAAAAATTTAAAAAATATTTTGGTAACTGTATTTTGATATAATTGGTTGTCTTTGTAATCATAGGTATTTTATGCATTTAATAACATTCTGAGAATGAATCTGTCCTTATTACCAAAGGAATCCAAAGCACTGAAATAGTGAAGAACCTTGATTAGAAGAAGTGGCAATAAAACTCAAACAATGACATAATATTGTAATATTTATTATACTAAATAAGATAATTTCAAGTAAAAATTACAATTCATTTATTCAATAAAACCTGGAAATCATCTCTTCATATTGCAAGATTTGTCTGTGCAGAGAAAAAACGGTTTAAAAATGTATATACCATCATGTTTTACTTTTCTCTATTACTGTTTAATTTACAATTTTTCTTTTAGCAGACTTATTCTAACTTTGTAATTTAAGGATTTTTTTCTAATTGACAACAGATGCTAAAAATAGTGGGTGAAAAGTTTGCTTAACTTAAACAGATACAGAGGGAAAAATAGCAACTTTACCCTGGAGAAACCTGACAGACATCCCCTTAAACAAGTTAACACACAATAATGGAAAACATAGACATCATGTGCTTCCTGATGTGCACGAAGAGGGACACAACACCGCTTATGAGGTATTCATGCCAAAAATGCATTACCTCAATCTAATCTTGAGGAACTATCAAACAAACACGAATTGAGGGATGCTCTCCAAAGTGGTATTCAAAATGTCAAGTCATAAAAGACAAACAAAAACTAGGGAACTATTTAGATTAAAGCAGAGGTAACTTCCACTCCCAACTAACAGAAATTAGATTTAAACCTCCCACCCACCTTTAACAACTAGAAAATTAGACACACACACAAAAAAACAATGGTTTTCAAACTCTACACACAAGGTAGCACAGAACTGTATACCTAACAAAAGGGAAACAAATCAAGTGAGTCCTGTGGCTGCCAAAGCTTGAGGCCTAGAAGTAGCTGGGGGAAGGGGAGGTTAACAGAGCCTACTTACTAGTTTCACTGAGTTGAGGAAACACAAGTCTTTCAAGGCAGCTAGAATTTGGGAAACAGAGTACTGATGATGATGGAGCTGCACAAAAAAGCTCTGATCTTAAAAATACATCTACCGACGTATTTTGGCTGAAAACTGATCTGTGATCTTAAAACTACATCTACAGACATATTTTGGCTGAAAACTGATCTGTGCATTCATGAGAAGAAAGCACCTGTGGCCAGAGAAAGAACCCCAGAACCACAAGAAAGCATTAGGCTAACAATTCCCAAAGAACACACATGGCCAGGAGTACTCTGTATTGCTACCTGTTCAAGAGTAGGATGACCTTGTAATACGGGGGATGATTCAGATCTCTCCAGGTATCACCGCGGTAGTATGAATAAATAGCCCCAGGCTAAAGTTTGCTCTACCAAAGTCTTTTCAAAAACTTAAAAGCAAGCCTCAAAAGGATCCAAATAATTCGAGGTTAATTTGACAGGATGCCAGAACAAAGTCCAACAAAACATTTAAAATAATACAACAAAATCCAGCAACCAATAATGTGAAATTCACAATATTCTGAATCAAACTTAAAAATGACAGGCATTTTGTCAAAAAAAAAAAAAAAAGCAGGAAAACATGACTCATTACCCAGAAGAAGAAAAAAAAAGAAAATCAAACTATAGAAACAGATCTAGAAATGGCAGATATGAAAACAGTAAGGCCGGGCGCAGTGGCTCACGCCTGTAATTCCAGCACTTTGGGAGGCCGAGGCAGGCGGATCATGAGGTCAGGAGATCGAGACCATCCTGGCTAACACGGTGAAACCCCGCCTCTACTAAAAATACAAAAAATTAGCCGGGCATGGTGGCGGGCACCTGCAGTCCCAGCTACTAGGGAGGCTGAGGCAGGAGAATGGCGTTAACCTGGAAGGCAGAGCTTGCAGTGAGCAGAGATCACGCCACTGCACTCCAGCCTGGGTGACAGAGCAAGGCTCCATCTCAAAAAAAAAAAAAGTAAACAGTAGGCAAAGATGTTAAAAGAACTATTATAAATATGCTAATATATTAAAATATTAGTAGAGGAAAACATGAACATAATTAGGCAGGAAATAGAAGATACAAAAGAGACAAATGGAACTTTTAGAGACGAAAAACATAACATCTGAAAAAATATGCTGCATGGTATTCACAGGTGATTTTAAAAGATCAGCAAACTTAAAGATACAGCAATAGAAACTTTCCAAAATGGAGTACAGAAGGAAAAAAAGACTAGGGAAAAACAATACAAATACAAACCACAATGCAAAATAAATACAAAACAGTACAAAAACAATACAAAACAATACCAAAAAACAAAAAACAAAAAACAAGCCTCAGTGACTGTGGGAAAGTGGCAGGAATTATCTGGAATTGGGGTCTCAGAAGAAGAGAGTTGGGAAAAGGCCTAAAAACTATATTTAAAGAAATAATGGGCCGGGCGCGGTGGCTCACGCCTGTAACGCCAACACTTGGGAGGCCGAGGCAGGTGGATCACCTGAGGTCAGGAGCCTGACCGACATGGAGAAACCCTATCTCTACTAAAAAAATACAAAATTAGCCGGGTGTGGTGGTGCATGACTGTAATCCCAGCTACTTGGGAGGCTGAGGCAGGAGAATCGCTTGAACCCAGGGGGCGGAGGTTGCGGTGAGCCGAGATGGTGCCGTTGCACTCCAGCCTGGGCAACAAGAGCGAAACTCTGTCTCAAAAAAAAAAAAAAAAAGAAGAGGAATAATAATAGCCTATGATCCTGTACTGGATTCTAGACAAGAAATAATTGTTTTTCATTTGCTGTAAGGGACATTAACAGACAAAATTTGAATACGCTCTATTGACTAACCTGACAATAATAGTTTACTGATGTAAATTTCATTATCTTGATAACTGTACTACAGTTAAAAGTCTTCCTAATTTTAAACACTTATTACTCATTACTAATTCATTTATCTGGATTAACAGGAACACAGACTTAGAAATTTTTTTGAAAGAAAGGGTTTTTTTTTTAACTTTTCAGGTAGGCACAAAAGAGAGGATTTTTATATCCCTTTATTAAATGCCTACTGTGTACAAGGTATTGTGCACTAAAAAAATCTGAAAATAATTTCCTAAGAACATAAATAACTAAAGACAAATGAGCATATCACAAGAAAATACATGTAAAATTAGTGAAATTAGAAATCTATGTCTCAGAGATAAAACATTCATCATTTGATACAATTTAAGTTTGGAAATTTTAATATATTTCAAATTGGACAAGATTTTTCAGATACATATTAATGACAGTAGTAGCAGTGCTCAAAAATGTTAAGGCCTTGAACTCCATTTACATTCCTGCTTACCTCAGGCTGCATTAAGAAAGAGTCCTGCATGTGATCTCGAACCTCCTTCAGGAAGCTTGGATGGCTACCTACCTAAAAAAAGATTTTAAAAGACTTTATAAACACACATAAAGAATAGCTGCTACATTGAAAGGTAAATAAGCATTATGTAAAAGTTGCTTCTCAATTATATTTTGTGACTTACAAACTCATTCCAACTTTTAAAAATGTCTGCCTGTCCTGTCCCCACTACTGTTGCCCAACTTAAAGAATTATCAAATAATTTTATCTTAGAAAAAATGGTATGATGATAAAACAGTAATAATGGGCTAAGGAATTAAAGATAGATACTTAGATCTGACTCACCTCTAATTTCTGAGTAAAATCACTTCTAATTTGGAGTGTTCTAAGATCTCTTTAAAAACTGTTAACACTTATAATGAAACTCGAAGCTTTCTAAATTAAGTCATTTGGAGATTATACAGCTACAATTTCCACCATATGCAAAATGGATTGAGAAATTGTTTTTTTTTGTTGTTGTTGTTGTTTTTTTTTTTTTGAGATGGAGTTTTTGCTTTGTCACCCACGCTGAATTGCAGTGGCATGATTTTGGCTCACTGCAACCTCCACCTCCTGGGTTCAAGCGATTCTCCCACCTCAACCTCCTGAGTAGCTGGGATTACAGGCGCCTGCCACTACGCCTGGCTAGTTTTTGTATTTTTAGTAGAGACAGGGTTTCACCATGTTGGCCAGGCTGGTCTCCAACTCCTGACCTCAAGTGATCGGCCCACCTGGGCCTCCCAAAGTGCTGCGATTACAGTCGTGAGCCACCGTGTCTGGCATGTTTGAGAAATTCTTTTGAAAGCACATATGACAGTTTCCAGCATATAATACGAATACATATCCTTACTCCTTGCACAAAAGTTTTAAAAGATATGCTTCCTGCTTTCCATGAAAGTCAAAATACTATGCTAGAAAAGGAAAACTACTGAAAGGCACAGGACAAGCATTATACAGTCTCCACTGCCAGGATCTAGATTATTAACTAAGTGTATCAATACACTTCAGAAACTAAGTGAGCAATGAGAGCACAGATAAACAACAAAAGGCAGCTAAGTTAAATATAACAGACAAAGGACAAAGGGGGTGAGAGGAAAGTAAGGAAGGATTATGATACAATTTTAGCTCCCAGGTTGCAGAGAAAGAAGACATTCACTATAGCATCTCATGTAGTTGTCTCCAAACACATCCAATTGGGTCTCTTTATCAGTAAAATAGTAAGGCATGGACTCCCACCTATTTATTTAACTAATGAATTATGAACATATAGTATGTAATTACAAAACATGCAAGTAATTTTAAAGAATAAAAGAAACACTATTTTAAATAATTTTTATTTATGTAATAATAGTACTAAGAACATTTTCTCTATCCACTGAAGAAGAATCATTTGGTGTCAGTAGAGATTATGTGGGGAACAGTATAAGGAACTCCTACTCCTCTAGTCAGGGTGGTATCAGCTAATGTCCAGAAAGGAGCCAGAACTCCCATATCCACTCAGCAATAACAAGAAGCTGCTTCTCCCTCACAGATGTAGAGAGGCCAAGTAGAGAGGCCGACCTTTTAACTCCACTTGGCAATACCATAGTACTCAAAATGTTCAAGTTTCAAATAAAAAAATCATTTATCATGCCAAACACCAGGAAAACTAGAATTTAAATAGAAAAGGACAATCAACAGATGCCAACACCAAAATTACAGAGATATTGGAAATACCTGACAAAGATTTTAAAGCAGTCATCATAAAAGTGCTCCAATAACCAATACACATGCACTTAAAAAACAAATGAAAACACAGAAACTTCTAGAAAAGAAATAGAAGATATACAGAAGAATAAAATGGAAAGAATCAGTGAACTGGAAGACAGAATAATAAAAAGTACCCAACCCGAAAAACAGACTGGGTGGGGGGAAAAGTAAAACAGAGCCTTAGGGATCTGTAGGCTTGTAACAAAAAAAAAAAAGTAACATTCATGTCACTGGAGTCCCAAAAGGAAAGGAAAAAGAGGACAGAGTTAGAAAAGTCCTCCAAAAACACTACTGTTTGAAATGTCTCAAATTTGGCAAAAGACATAAATCTACAGATAGAAGGTTAGCAAACACTAGGAAGGATAAAACCCAAAGAAACACCAAGATACACCAAATTCAAATTTCTGAAAACCAAAGACAAAGAAAAAAATCTTGAATCTGGCAAGAGAAATGACACACCTGTAGGTGAAATACAGTTGAAATAGCAGCCTAGAGAAACAGTAAGACAACAGCTCCTCTACTCCACAGACCCTAATCCCATTCACACAAGAAAAGGCCAATTAGCCTAGACTTCCACCCTGGCCGGGCTACAATGTGATGCCTCACCCCAGCACCCTAGCCATGGTAAAGTCAGAGAAGGCCAAGTAGGAAACTTGAACTTCCACCCCACTGGGTGGTAATTAGACACCTTAACCACCTCTACCCTAACTGAGGTGGTCTGACCCAGCAGAAAGTCAGAGCTTTTACCAACAATTTGCAGTAAAGAGGCCAAGACTGATGTAACAGAACCTGAGGAGCAGTAAAGGAAAGAATGAAGTAAAGTAAGCAAAAGCCTAAGGGGCCCATGGAATAAGATCAAATAGACCAACATGAACTTTCTGAGAGTTTCAGAAGAAGAGAAAGGGGCAAAAGATTATCTGAAAAATTAATGGCTAAAAACTTGCCATATTTGATAACAGACACAAATCTACAAATCTAATAAACACAACAAATTACATGTAGGATAAACTCAGAGACACACAATAAGACACTTTATAATCAAACCGTTAAAAGACAAAGAAAATACGGAAAGAAGCAAAACAGAAATGGTTCAGCACAAGAAATTCTCAATAAGATTAACCATCAATTTCACAAAAGAAACAACCATGGAGGCCAAAAGGCAGTGGAATAACATTTAAAATAATAGAGAAAAAAAAGCTTTCAAACAAGAATACTATGTCCAGCAAAACTATCATCCAAAACTGAAGGAAAAATAAAGACACACAGATAAAAGGTGGAGGGAGTTTGTTGCCACTAAATCTACCCTACAAAACAAATGCTAAAAGGAGTCAAAGCTTTTTATTGAAATGGAAGGAATACACTTGACCCAATCTTTAGTAAATATATGGGAGAATACAAAACAAGTATAATTGTATTTTTGCTTTATAAATCCACTTTTTATTTCCTACATGATTTTAAAGACAAATATGCACACAAAATTGTAAATCTATATTACTGGGAATACAATGCTTAAAAATGTAATCTATAACAAAAAGAGGGAACAGATATATAGGAGCAGCATTTTTAAAAGCTGATTAACTTGTTATAAATTCACATTAGATTGAATTATAGGATGTTATATGTAAAGCCTCCCCCACAGTAACCACAAATAATATATTTAAAAACAATACAAAGACAATGAGAAGGAAATCAAAACAGTGCACTACAATCAACTAAACATAAAAGCCATAATGCAGGAAATGAGATACCAAAAAAAAGGTATAGAATATACCGAAAAAAAATAGAAAAATGGCAGAAATAAATCCTTCCTTATTGGTAATTATGTTAAATGTACATGGATCAAATTATCCAATCAAAAGGCATCATTTTTTTCCTATTCTGTCAATTTCTGCTTTTTGATCGGATAATTTGATCCATGTACATTTAATGTAATTACTGATAAGGAAGGATTTATTTATCCAAAGATACAAACAGGTCAAAAGTAAAAGGATGGAAAAAGATACTCCACACAAATAAACAGTAACTAAGAGAGTTGGGGTTGCCATATTAATATAAGGCAAAAAGAGCCTATATGTGAAAAACTGACACAAGAGACAGAAAAATACATACTGAACAAAGGGTCTACTTACCAAGAAGATATAACAAATATAAACATATACATACCAAGTATCAAAACCCCCAAAATACACTTAAATAAATTAACAGACGTAAAAGGAGAAATAGACAATAACTGAGGTAGAAGCAGATAATTGTACAATAATAGCTGGAGACATCAATACACCATTTACAATAGTGGACAAACCATCTAGACAGAATTTCAACTAAGTAAAGACAAATCTTGAACAACAATATAAACTAGAGTTATTAATAACAAACATATATTGAGTATTCTTGCCAACAACAGTAGAATAAACATTCTTCTCAAATGCACATGGAGCAATTTCCAGAATGAACTATGTTAGGCCACAAAAAAGTCTCAATAAATTTTTGAAGACTGAAATCACACAGAGTATCTTTCCAATGAGCAATGGAATAGAACTAGAAATCAGTAATAGAAGGAACACTTAGAAAATTCACAAATATGGGGATATTAAACTACACACTCTTAAACATGGCTCAAAGAAGAAATCACAGGAAATTTTTAAATACTTAGAGATGAGTGAAAACAAAACTAAAAGAATACCAAAAGTTATGAGATGCAACTTAAATACTAATCAGAGAAAAATTTATTTAAAATTTTAAATGCTTATGTTAAAAAGAAAGAAAGTAAGTCCAGGCACGGTGGCTCACACCTATAATCCCAGCACTTTGGAAGGCTGAGGCGAGCAGATCACCTGAGGTCAGGAGTTCAAGACCAGTCTAACACGGTGAAACCCCATCTCTACTAAAAATACAAAAATTAGCCAGGTGTGGTGGCACATGCCTGTAATCCCGGCTACTCAGGAGGCGGATGCAGGATAATCGCTTGAACCTGGGAGGTGAGGGTGCAGTGAGCTAAGATCATGCCACTGCGTTCCAGCCTGGGCAATAGAGTGAGACTTTGTCCCCAAAAAAAAAAAAAAAAAAAACCTAAAGTAAATAACCTAACTTCTCACCACCTTGAGGAAAAAGACGAGATCACTAAACCCAAAGCCAGCAGAAGAAAGGAAATAATAAAGATTAGAGCAGGAAAAATAAAACAGAACAGAAAAAGTGAGAGAAACAAACCCAAAAGTTGGTCATTTTAAAATACCAAGAGAATAGACACAAAGAATAAAATATAGGAGACATTACTACCAGCATTCCTGAAGTAAAAAGTAGTACAAGAAAATGCTATGAACAATAGTACATTAACTAATTACACAGCCTAGATGAAATGCACAAATTCCTAAAAACACACAAACCACCAAAACTGACACAAGAAGACATAGAAAACGTGAACAGACCTGTAACAATAGACTCAGTCATCAAAAATGTCCTGGCCGGGTGCAGTGGATCATGCCTATAATCCCAACATTTTGGGAGGCTGAGGCGGGTGGATCATGAGGTCTGGAGATCGAGACCATTCTGGCCAACATGGTGAAACCCCATCTCTACTAAAAATTCAAAAATTAGCTGGGCGTGGTGGCAGGCGCCTGTAGTCCCAGCTACTCAGGAAGCTGAGGCAGGAGAATTGCTTGAACCCGGGAGGCGGGGGTTGCAGTGAGCCAAGATCACGCCACTGCACTCCAGCCTGGGTGACACAGTGAGACTCTGTCTCACAAACAAACAAACAAACAAAAAGTCCCAAAAAAGAGAAGGCCAAGATCAGATGACTTCACAGGTAAATTCTACCAAACATTTAAAGAATTAACACCAATTCCCACGCTTCCAAAAATCAGAAGATACAAGATGTCTCACCCACCCCATTCTATAAGGCCAGCATTACCCTCATTTGAAAGACAGATAAAGACATCAAAAGAAAGAAAATCAGAGACCAGTATCCCACAAGAATATAGATGCAAAGATCCTCAACAAAGTACTACTAAACTGAATTCAATATATTAAAAGGATTATACACCATAATCAAGTAGGGATTTATCCCAATAAAAGTGTGGTTCAACATAAAGAAATCAATCCATGTAACGTACCACATAAATAAGAGCAAAGATAAAGACCACATGATCATCTCAAAGGATGTAGAAAAAGCATTTGAAAAATTCAACACCTTTTTATGATTAAAAAAACTGAATAAAAAAAGTAATACAAAGAAACTACTTCAACATACTAAAAGCCATGCATATGAACAACCCATTCTAACATCAGACTCAATGGTAAAAAAATTATTTTCCTCTAAGATCAGCAACAAGGACGCCCACTTTCACCACATCTATTTGACACAGTATTGAAAATTATAGCCACAACCATTAGTTAAGAAATAAAATGCATCCGAATTGGAAAAAAGTAGAACTATCTCTATTCACAGATGACATGAAACTCATAAAGAGAAAAATACCAAGAAACTCATAAAGCTAGTAGAGCTAACATTCAGTAAACTTGCACAGTACATGATCAATGTACAAAAATCAGATGTTTCTATATACTAGTAATGTACAATCTGAAAAGGAAATTAATAAAGCAAATCCACTAGAAATAGCATTAAAAGAATAAACAGGAATAAATGCAGCAAAGGAGGTGAAGACTTGTACACTAAAAACCACAAAAGACTGCTGAAAGAAATTAAAGACATAAATAAATGGTATGTCTTCATAAATAAATGCCATTTTCACAGACAGAATAACTTACTATTGCTAAGATGTCAATACTACCCAAAGCAATCTACAGATTCAATGCAATTTATATAAAAATTCCAACAAACTCTTCTGCAGAAATAGAAAAGCCAATCTTCAAATTCATATAAAATTAGAATGGGTCCAGAATATTCAAACAATCTTGACAAAAAACAAAGTTGGAGAACTCACATTTCCTGATTTCAAAACTTACTACAAAGATACAGTAATCAAAATAGTGCAGCACATACATAAGATCACACATGTAGATCAGTGGAACATAGAAATGATCTCTGGCCAATTAATATTTGACAAGTGTGATAAGTCCATTCCACAGAGAAAGAATAATCCCTTCATCAACAGGTGGTGGTGGTGGGAAAACTGGAATTCCAGTACAAAACAATGAAGTTGGACCCCTGCCTCACATAATAAACAAAAAGTAAATTAAAATGGATCAAATACCTAATTAAGAGCTAAACTCATACAACTCTTAGAGGAAACTGTAGAGGAAAACCATGACCTGGCATTTGGCAACAGATTCTTAAATGACACCGAAAGCACGACCAAAAGAAAACAATGGGTAAATCAAAATTTAAGACTTCCAGCTGGGCGTGGTGGCTCACACCTGTAATCCCAGCACTTTGAGAGGCTGAGAAGGACAGATCACTTGAAGTCAGGAGTTTCAGGTCAGCCTTGCCAACCTGGTGAAACCCCAACTCTACTAAAAAAAAATACAAAAATTAGTGGGACATGGTGGCCTATGCCTATAGTCCTAGCTACTTGGGAGGCTGACGCAGAAGAATCGCTTGGACCCAGGAGGCGGAGGCTGCAGTGAGCTGAGATCGCACTACCGCACTCCAGCCTGGGCTACAGACCGAGACCCATCTCAAAAAAAAAAGACCAGGGGCGGAGGCTCACGCCTGTAATTTCACACTTTGGGAGGCCAAGGCAGGAGGATCACTGAAGGTCAGGAGTTCGAGACCAGCCTGGCCAACATGGTGGAACCCCATCTCTACTAAAAATACAAGTATTAGCCCAGGCGCTGTGGCTCACGCCTGTAATCCTAGCACTTTGGGAGGTCGAGGCAGGTGGCTCACTTGACATCAGGAGTTTGAAACCAGCTTGGCCATCAAGGTGAAACCCCGTCTCTACTAAAAATACAAAAAAATAGCTGGGCATGGTGGTGTGCGCCTGTAATCCCAGCTACTCGGGAGGCTGAGGCAGGATAATTGCTTGAACGCGGGAGGTGGAGGTTGCATGAGCAGAGACTGTGCCACCGCACTCCAGCCTGAGCAACAGAGCAAGACTCCATCTCAAAAAAGAAAAAAAAAAAACAAAAATTAGGCATGGTGGCACACACCTGTAATCCCAGCTACTTGGGAGGCTGAGGCAAGAGAATCGCTTGAACCAAGGAGGCAGAGGTTGCACTGAGCCAAGATCGTGCCATTGCACTCCAGCCTGGGTGACAGAGCAAGACTCCTTCACCCCTCAAAAAAAAAAAAAATAAAACAAAAAAATAAAAACTTCTGCACATCAAAGGACATTATTGAGAAAGTAAAACAAAAACGTACATAATGGAAGACAGTATTTGCAAAACATATACAGAATGAGCAACGCAAATGCAAAAAATCTGAAATGCTCTAAAACCCAAAACTTTTCAATTACCAACATGATGCTCAAAGGAAATGCTCATTGAAGCATTTTGCATTTTGGATTTTTCAGATGTGGATTGTTTGAATGTAAGTATAATGTAAATATTCTAAAGTTTGAAAAACCTAAAATCTGAAACACTTTGGGTCCCAAGCATTTCAGATAAGGGATACTCAAACTGTACAAGATATAAAGAACTTCTTCAACTCCGGAACAAAAGTACGAAGGGATACAAAATTATAGCTATATAGGAGGAGTAAGTTCTATTGTTCCATAGCACTATAGAATGAATACAGTTAACAATTATTATTGGATAGATTCAAAAGGCTAAAAGAGAGAATTTCGAATGTTCCCAACATAAAAAAATAATTTTGGGGTGATGGCTATCCTAATTACCCTGATTTGAACATTCCACATTTTATACATGTATAAAAACATCACTCTGTATCCCCTACGTATATACAAGTATTACATATCAACTAAAAATAAAAGAGGGCCAGGCGCAGTGGCTCATGCCTATAATCCCAGCACTTGGGGAGGCCGAGGCGGGCAGATTACGATGTCAGGAGTTTGAGACCAGCCTCACCAACATGGTGAAACCCCGTCTCTATTAAAAATACAAAAATTAGCCAGGTGTGGTGGCACGCACCTGTACTCCTAGCTACTCAGGAGGCTGAGGCAGGAGAATCACTTGAACCCAGGAGGCAGAGGCTACAGTGAGCCAAGATCTCGCTGCTGCACTCCAGCCTGGGCAACAGAGGGAGACTCCATCTCAAAAACAAACAAACAAACAAACAGACAAACAAAAAACAAAAAGAGAAAAAAGAACTGAACTACAAAACCCAATTCAAAAACAGAGACAGGACTTGAATAGATACTTCTCCAAAGATGATACACAAATGGCCAACAAGCAAATGAAAAATTGCTCACTGGCCAGGTACGGTGGCTCACACTGTAATCCTAGCACTTTGGAAGGCCAAGGCAGGCAGATGGCTTGAGCTTAGGAGTTCGAGACCAGGCCTGAACAACATGGCGAATGAAACCCTATGTCTCCAAAAAAATACAAAAAATTAGACAGGCGTAGTGGCCCGTGCCTGTGGTCCCAGCTACTCGGGAGGCTGAGACAGAAGAATCCCTTGAGCCCAGGAAGCAGAGGTTGCAGTGAGCCAAGATTGTGCACCTGCACTCCAACCTGGGTAACAGAGCGAGACTCTGTCTCAAAAATAAAAAAAACAACAACAACAAAGAAAAATTGTTCATTGTCATTAGTCATTAGGGAAATGCAAATCAAAACCATGAGATACCACCGCACATGCACTAAGATATCTACAAGAAAAATCAAAAGCTTAAAACATGGAAAATAACAAGTGTTGGCAAAGATATAGAGAAAACAGAAGCCTTGTACATTGCTGCTGAGAACATAAAATGGTACGGTTGTGTAAAATAGTTTGACAATTCTTCAAAAGGTAAAACACAGAATTACCCTATGACTGAGCAAATCCACACTCATCCAAAAGAATGGAAAACCAGGATACTTATATCAAATTTATACACCAATATTCACTGCAGCATTATTCACAATAGTCAAAGGTGGCAACAAAGCAACATCTATCATAGGGACAACAAATCGATAAACAGAATGTGGCATATACATATAATGAATACTATTCAGCCATAAAAAGTAATGATGTTCTGATCGTGGCTATACTATGGATGAAACTGAAAGCATTATGTTTCAGCTTTCAGGTAAAATAACCCAGATGCAAAAAGACAAATATTATATAATTTCACTTACATGAATATCTAGAATATACGAATTCATAGAGACAGAAAGTACTAAGTTACCAAGGACTGGGATAGAAAAAAATGGGAGTTATTGGCTAATGTCAGTTTTTGTATGGCATGATGAAAAAGTTTCAGAAATAGAGTCAACGGTAGCACAACACTGTAAATGTAACTAATGCCACTCACTTATATACTTAAAAATACTTAAAACTGCAAATTTTATGTTACATATAGTCTACCACAATGTTTAAAAACCTTATGAGTTACTTTCCGTCCTTTTTATGCTCTGGAATTGTTTAAATAGCACTGAGATTTTCTTGTTTAAATTTGATGGAATTCCCCTATGAAAACATCAGAGCCTAGTCCTTGTTGTGGGGTAGTACTTTAATAATTATCTCTATTTCATCTATAGAAATTTGTCCACTTAATTTTGTCTGCGCTGAAGTCCAGTTGGGGAAATTATATTTTCACAGGAAATTAATCTAGGTTCAACATTTTTATATAGGGCTAAATAAACTGGTTCTTATGACTGATTTTTGTCAAGTTCTTTTGTTTTGATCTTCATATCTACCTTGTCATTTCTTATTTTACGTATTTCTGTTTTTAAACCTCTTTTCCTGATTAACAATTGGGTATTTTTTCCCTGGTTTTTGAAGACCTGATTTTTCAAAGAGGCAACATTCTGAACAATGTTAATACTATTTTAAAATTCCTAATTAGTTTATCCTTTTATCTTTATTTCCTTTCTTCTGTTTCAGTTTATTTTTCTTTTTCCAGGTTTTTCAGTTGACTATTTAATTCATTTATTTTCATTTTTACTGCTTTAAGTATATGAGGAAATGAATTTTCCTCTGGACATTTTTATAAAGCAAATGTAACACTGATACCTTAAAGAATGCACAAAAAAAAAGGACATTACAGACCAATCTTACTTATAAATATCAATGCAAAAGTACCAAATAAAGTATTAGCCATCAGAATGTATGCACATTTTTGAAAAAATAATTATCTGGCATAGTTTATTCTAGGAATACAAGGATGGCTCAATAGATTAGGAAATCTACTAATATGGCAGTGCCACCTCTTATCCTTGAGAGATACATTCTGAGGCTCCCAGTGGATGCCTGAAACCTTTGATACTATGTCGTTTCCCATAGACACATACCTATGATAAAGTTTAATTTCTAATTAGCCACAGCAAGAGATTAACAACAATTGGGCGGGAATGATGGCTCACGCCTGTAATCCCAGCACTTTGGAAGGCCGAGGTGGGCAAATCACTTGAGGTCAGGAGTTTGAGACCAGCATGGACAACATGGTGAAACCCAATCGCTACCAAAAATACAAAAATTAGTCGGGCATGGTGGCATGTGCCTGTAATCCCAGCCACTCAGGAGGCTGAAGCAAGGAGAATCATTTGAACCCAGGAAAAGTAGACTGCAGTGAGCTGAGATTGCACCACTGCACTCCAGCTTGGGCAACAGAGCAAGACCCTGTCTCAAAACAAAACAAAAAACAACAACAATTATAGTTAGTTATAATTAATCTCTCTCAAATTATCTTAATTGTAGTCTACTCACCTATAATTAATTACTTTCTGAAATTATCTTATTGTAGTCTGCTCACCTATTTGGAAACTGCAGCTGACTGTGAGTAATTGAAACCACAAAAAACAAAACTTTGCGTGAGAAAGGACTACTATATAACTCACACCTTAATAAATCTAAGGCCAGGTGTGGTAGCTCATGCCTGTAATCCCAGCACTTTGGGAGGCCGAGGCACGGAGACCACTTGAGCTCAGGAGTGTGAGACCAGCCTGGCCAACATGGTGAATCCCCATCTCTAGTAAAAACACAAAAATTAGCTCAGCGTGGTGGTGCACGCCTGTAATCCCAGCTACTCAGGAGGCTGAGGCAGGAGAATCACTTGAACCCAGGAGGTGGAAGTTGCAGTGAGCCAAAATTACGCCAATGCACTCCAGCCTGGGCAACAGAGCGAAACTTGTCTTTAAAAAAAAAAAAAAAAAACTAAAGAGGGAGAAAGTTCATATAACCTTCTCCACAGACAACAAAAAGATCTTTAAAGCAATAATAATTTCTGATAAAACATTTAATAAATAAATTTATGAAGATTGAAATCACACAGACTACCTTTCCAATGAGCAATGGAATAAAACTAGAAATCAAAAAGTCCTTAAAATAACATTAACCTGGACGGGTGCAGTGGTTCACGCCTGTAATCCCACCACTTTGGGAGGCTGAGGCAGGTGGATCACCTGGGGTCAGGAGTTCGAGACCAGCCTGGCTAACACGGTGAAACCCCGTTTCTACTAAAAATACAAAAAATTAGCCGGGTGTGGTGGCGCATGCCTGTAATCCCAGCTACTTGGGAGGCTGAGGCAGGAGAATCACTTGAACCTGGGAGGCGGAGGTTGCAGTGAGCTGAGATCACGCCAACGCACTCCAGCTTGGGAAACAAGAGCAAAACTCCGTCTCAAAAAAAAAATGATAACAACATTAACCTTAAAATTTAAATATAAACAATACGACCACTTCAAGCCGAGGTTTAAAAGTTTGAAATATTTGCAGCCCCTCTCCAACTCCCAAAGAGGAAATAAATTCAAAAGAGGAATCATTCTGATAGCATTTACCATTATATGTAAAATCTTAAATTTACTGCCAATAATCTACATACACAGATGTTCCCTAAGAATGGAGTTACATCCTGATAAACCCATTCTAAGTTGAAAATACCTAGGTCAAAGGTGCATTCTAAGACATTTCCAACTTACAACGGGTTTACCCAGACTTAACTCCATCATTATATCACGGAAATGACCTACCTCAAATGAATAAATACAGATGGTCCCTGACTTACGATGGTTCAGCTTTAATGGTACAAAGCACTATGCATTCAGTATGCTCCATGATATGACAACAATAATGGAATTAAATGAAATTCTAAGATAAAGCCAGTTAATAAACACTGTTAGAGTAAAAGTATTACAACACTTTCAAGAACATTCTAAAGAATGCCCAATTTTGATTAGAACATGAATTACCTGTTTGTATTCACTGACACAACTTTGACAGCAAAATCTTTTCTGTTGACCATCAATCACCAGAACATTATTTCCAGCACCTTTACTGGGCAAGTACTCTCCACACTGTTCACAGCAATTCATTATTAAACCATTGGCCATTCTATATCTATTAAAGCAGTGGTCACTGCACAGCTTATGAGTCATATTTTTAAAGCTGACTTCATGGCGAATCTAAAAGAAAAATAAACAAAATCTTACAAAACAGATCAATCTGACAAGTAGCTAAATAATAAAGCATTCTGAACAGAAATAAAGATGTCCTAATAAGGCTTGTTTGGAGAAAAGGAAAAAAAAAATTTTTTTTTTTTTTTTAAAGACAGGGTCTCACTCATTACCCAGGCTAAAGTACAGTGGCACCATCAAAGCTGACTGCAGCCTCAATCCCCTGGGCTCAAGCAATCCTCCTACCTCAGCCTCCCGAGTAGCTGAGACTATAGACACACACAACCACGCCTAACTAATGTTTTTTCTTTTAGGTAGGGATAGGGTCCCACTATGCTTCCCAGGCTGATTTCAAACTCCTGGCCTCAAGTGATCCTCCCACCTTGGCTTCCCAAAGTGCTAGGATTATATAGGTGTGAGCTACTGAGCCTGGCCCCATTTTCATAATTATTTAAATTGTTTTTATACACACAGGAACACATGTATGGCACTGAAAAAAGAAAAAAACCCATCAGTGACATCACTACAAACTTCTCTAGAGGTATCAGAAGATGACAGAAAACCAAGTTTGGGTAGTGGTGATATTAAACTTCATAGAGTAAAAATCTTTAGACCAATTTTTAAAAACTATAAATAAAGTACATTTCTCTAGAAAAATGAGGAGGGGAGAACCATTATAAATCATTCAAATGACTTATATATAAACAGATTACTTTTTATTTAACACAATATTAATAATGTGAGGTTATCAAAAAATATTCCAATCGTTCTACTTCTCAGCAAAATTATTTGTAGTATTTCTTGTGTAGTCTGCCTGCTTGTTTAAATAAATATATTACTAGACAAAAATCAACCTCAACACTATGGTTTTGTCTGTGAGTGTTCCCAACCTCAGGGAAAAACAAGGCAATTAACACAATGATTTTTCCGAAATCATCCTCTGGGAGAATCAGATTATATAAAAGGATATTTATAAGATAAGATCCTATGGGAGAATCAGATTACATAATAGGATATTTATAAGATAGTCTTTATATATATTCATTTTTAAGGAACTGATAAAAGATTATCTAATAGTTCTTAAATGAAGTTTAAAATATTCCTATTTGTTAGAATTAAATGATAAAGAAAAAAAATACAAACCTCAGTTAGTTTACCACAGATTGTACATCTTGATTTATTTAGAGCTCCTTTAGTAGGATTCTGTTTGTCTTCATAGAGAGATAAACAAGATGTACTACAGAATTCCTGGAAGGACTCACTTGAATCCACTTGAGCAACAATGGTTCCTTTCATTGTAGTTATATCTCTGAAAAATAAGTGGTACATATTAAAATTCCATTTTAAAAGAAATCAAATATAAGAGTCATAAGTGACATTTTTCATTTCTATAGACTAAGTCCTGCAAATCAAACATCATTCTTGGATCTAATAAATCATTTTTATTAGACATTCCTAATAAAATATGTTTGGAAATAAAGACTTTTGAGAAGCAAAAATATTTTATACTATTAAATCTTTGCCGCTACTCAATTTATCTTTAAATTCACTAAAAAGGATTTCAAATATTGGGAAAACTAAAAAAAGAAAAGCTGTTATTAGTTATATGGAATTAATGTTAAGGATTAATTTACTGAGGTATAACCTGTTCAATTCCCTCCCCTGGATAAGTAGAAAGTAAGAGGTATCTGGGTTATGGGGAATATGGTATACGTTCTAGAGGGATAACTGAACTTAAATATACCCACACACCCCATCCCCAAATAACCTCACCCACTATTAACATGGCTCTCCAACAGTAAATAGAAATATTAGAAAATGACAATACTGCTGAGCGCAGTGGCTCACGCCTGTAATCCCAGCACTTTGGGAGGCTGAGGCGGGTGGATCACGAGGTCAGGAGATCGAGACCATCCTGGCTAACATGGTGAAACCCCGTCTCTACTAAAAACACAAAAAATTAGCCAGGCATGGTGGCAGGCACCTGTAGTCCCAGCTACTCAGGAGGCTGAGGCAGGAGAACGGCATGAACCCAGGAGACGGAGCTTGCAGTGAGCGGAGATCAGCGCCACTGCACTCCAGCCAGGGCGACAGAGCGAGAATCCGTCTCAAAAAAAAACAAAACAAAACAAAACTGACAATACTGATGACCTTTGAAGTTTTCCTTTTATTCTGATTTTCAAGATCCTACACTGTAGTATTTAAGTTTACTACTGCAAAGCAATCTGTGTAACAATTGTTTCAGTATTTGAATTTATTAAACATGTAGAGAACACTAAGCTCTTTGTAAAATTCAAGATCTAAATATAGCTTCGGAGAATTGAGCTGCTCCAAGATATGGTACAGAAAGGCCACCAGGCTTTACCTTGCATATAACATACCATATTCCAGCTATTTTTAACCAGTGAAGCTAGATCAAAAAACAGCAGAAGAGGGCTGGGCATGGTGGCTCACGCCTATAATCCCAGCACTTTGGGAGGCTGAGGTGGGCAGATCACCTGAGGTCAGGAGCTGAAGACCAGTCTGGACAATATGCTGAAACCTCATCTGTACTAAAAATACAAAAATTAGCTGGGCATGGTGGCGAAAGCCTGTAATCCTAACTACTCGGGAGGCTGAGGCAGGATAACTGCTTGAACCCAGGAGGTGGAGGACCCAGGAGGTGGAGGCTGCAGTGAGCTGAGATCGCACCATTGCACTCCAGCCTGGGCTACAGAATGAGACTCTGCCTAAAAAAAAAAAAAGAAAAGAAAAAGAAAAAGAAAAAAACAGTAGAAGAGAGGATCCTGCCTTTCTAAGGCTGGCTAAAAATTGGTACCTGAGTCTTGAAATACTATTTCTAATGACTTAATGTTCAAAACAAACACATATAAAATCCAAAGACTTGCCAATTTTATAATCTTGATCTGAAGACAGGGTAAAATTTAACCAATTTTAACACAGAATCACGCATAAACTGCTTAGCATTTTTATTTGGCTATAAGAACTAATTTCTTCTCATTAATCATGTAAATAAGTATGTATTGTTACAAAATCAAAGAGTCCAATGGAGATTACAGACAAAATTAATTATAAGGACCTATCTAAATCAACTCCAATGCCATCCAAACAGGAAGCCTTTTATCCATATGCCACCTGGACTTGATAGGGAAGTTTCCAAAGGTATTACAAATCTGTTTCACTTTTCTTAAAATTTTACAACTCCAAAATTCAACTATATGTAATTATGTTGAAAGGTAAACCTTACTTTTTACACATAACACAGAGTTTCTTTGGAGCAGGCTTGTGGGAGAAGGAAGAAAGGCAGGTGGTAGAACAAAAGAGGTGAGCTGATCCTTTTCGTTGATAAGCTGTCTGGCCCTTCTGTAAAGGTTTTTTGCAGTTTGCACAAGTGACTTTAACTGGTTTAGTAGGCTGCTGTTGGACAGACGGCTGGAAAATCTGTTTAGGAAGTGAGGCCACTGGTGATAAAGAGTCCACCCCTGGTTGTTTCTGATTACGGGGAAATGAAGCTGACTGGGAGATCCAAGAATCTTAAAAACAAAATGCACAAGAAAGAATAATGAAACAAGTGTTTGTTTATACATATTAAAATTTATATCAGAGAAATATTAACTTCCCATTTTGTACAATTTTAAGATGTTAATGGAACAGCAACATAGCAGAGAGGTATATAGCACAAGTTTTGGAGTAAGAATGTCACGGTAACAATGCACTACATTCTTTAAAATAGTTAACATTAGATTTTAAGTGTTCTCAGCACAAAAAAAGGGTATGTCGGGTAACTCAGAGCTCAATCTAGCCATTCCCACAATGTATATCTACTTCAAAGCAACATGTTGTACACAATAAATAAATATACAAGTTTTGTCAATTTTTTAAAAAATTAATTAAAAGAAAAAAGAATGGTTCACATTCTAGCTCCATCGCTTACAAGATTGGGAAGCTACTTAAACTGTGCCTTACTCTTCAGAGCGCCTGAAATGGTATCAACCTCATGCTAATGGTAAACATTAAATGAGGTAAGACATATAATAAAGCATAATAACTGGCATATAGGAAGTATTAAAAAATGTCACTAGTTATTAAGCAGGAAGTATTCACGTATTTATAAAATATCACTTTAGGCAAGGAACACATATATCAACATTAAATAATAATAAAATCCTAACTAGAACCTTTGACAAATGTAATGCAAGTCTAATAAAGTTTATAATTATTTCCAAGACATATTTTAAGAACAGCTTTTCCATATATGTTTAGTTTCATGGCCTTTAAATGTAACACATAATCTCATAGAAAGAGTGTTACACAGAAATGATGGAATTAAACCAATGTATACAGGCATATCTCAGAAATATTTCTGGTTCAGCTCCAGATCACTGCAATAAAGCTAATACTGCAATAAAGCAAGACATGGGAATTTTTTTGGTTTCACAAAAAATGTTATGTTTACACTATAATGTAGTCTATTAAGTGTACAATAGTATTATATCTTTTTAAAATCTACATCTTAATTTAAAAATACTTTATTGCTAAAAAACACTAATCATGTGAGCTTTCATCAAGCTGTAATCTTTCTGCTGGTGGAGGGCCCTGCCTCAATGCTGATAGCTGCTGACTGATCACGATGGTGGCTGCCAATTGGCTGTGGCAATTTCTTAAAATAAGATAACAATGATCTTTACCCCATCAATGAACTCTTCTGCTGTATGACAGCAGTTTACCCACACTAGAGCTTCTTTCAAAATCAGAGTCAATCTTCTCAAACCCTGCAACTCCTTTATCAACTAAGTTTACGTAATACTCTAAATCCTTTGTTGTCATTTCAACAACATTCACAGTATCTTCACCAGGAATAGATTCATCTCAAGAAACCACTCTATTTGCTCAACCATAAAAAGCAACTCCTCATCTGTGCAAGTTTTATCACGAGATTGCAGCAATTCAATCTCATCTTCGGGCTCTACTTTTTTTTTTTTTTTTTTCTTTTGAGACAGTCTCTCTCTGTAGCCCAGGCTGGAGAGCAGTGGAGCAGTCTTAGCCCACTGCAACCTCTACCTCCTGGGATCAAGCAATTCTCATGCCTCAGTCTCCCAAGCAGCTGGGATTACAGGTGTGTGCCACCACACCTAGCTGATTTTTATATTTTTAGTAAAGACAGGGTTTCACCATGTTGGCCAGGCTGGTCTTGAACTCCTGGCCTCAACCGATCCATTTGCCTCAGTCACCCAAAGTGCTGGGATTACAGGCATGAGCCTCCATGCCCAGCCTCATTCAGGTTCCACTACTAATTCTAGTTCTCATGCTATTTCCACCACATCTACAATTACTTCCTCCACTAAAGTCTTGAACCCTTCACCATCATTCATGAGGGTTGAAATCAACTTCTTCCAAACTCTGGTTAATAATGCTGTTTTGACCTTCTCCCATGAATTACAAATGTTCATAAGGGCACTGAGAATGGCGAATCCTTTCCAGAAGGCTTTTAATTTACTTTGCCTAGATCCATCAGAGGAATCACTATCTATGGCAGTTATAGCCTTACAAAATGTATTTCTTAAATAGTAAGACTTAAAAGTCAAAATTACTCCTTGATCCACAGGCTACAGAATGAATATTGTGGTAGCAGGTATGAAAACAACACTCATCTCCTTGTACATCTCCATCAGAGCTCTTGGATGACCAGGTGTACTGGGCAGTAATAGTTTAAAAGGAATCATTTCTGCTGAACAAAAGGTCTCAACACTAGTTTAAACTATTCAGTAAACCATGCTGTAAACACACATGCTGTCATCGGGGCTTTGTTGTTCCACTGATAAAGCACAGGCAGAGTACATTTATCATCATTCTTAAGGACCCTACAATTTTCAGAATGGTAAATGAGCACTGGCTTCAACTTACAGTCACTAAGTATATTAACCTCTAACAAGAGAGCCATCAGTTGTTTTGTCTACACTGAAAATCCGTTGTTTCATGTTGCCACCTACATCAATTATCTTAGATCTTCTGGAGAACTTGCTACAACTTCTACGTCAGCACTTGCAGCTTCACCTTGCACGTTTATGTTATGGAGATGACTTATTTCCTTAAACCTCATGAACCAACCTTTACTAGCTTCAAACTTTTCTTTTGTTTCCTTATCTCTCTCAGTTCTCATAAAACTGAAAAAGAGTTAGCGCCTAACTCTGGATTAAGCTTTGGCTTAAGGAAATGTCATAGTTGGTTTGATCTTCTATCCAGACCACTTAAACTTTCTCCACATCAGCAATAAGGCTGTTTTGTGGCTGGGCACGGTGGCTCACACTTGTAATCCCAGCACTTTGGGGGTCTGAAGCAGGTGGATTGCTTGAGCAGTTTGAGAGCAGCCTGGGCAACATAGCGAAACCCTGTCTCCACAAAAAATATTTTTTAAAAATTAACCAGGCATGGTGGCACATTCTTATGGTCCTAGATACTCGGGAGGCTGAGATGGGAGGATCTCTTGAGCCTGTGAGGCAGAGGCTGCAGTGAGCCAAGTTCAAACCACTGCACTCCAGACTGGGTAAGAGTGAGACTCTGTCTCAAAAAAAGGCTATTTCACTTTGTTATCATTCCTGTGTTCACTGGAGTAGCAGTTTTAATTTCCTTCAAGAACTTTTCCTTTGCATTTACAATTTGGCTGTTTGGTTCAAGAGGCCTAGCTCTCAGCCTTTCTAGGCTTTTCAACATGCATTCCTCACTAAGCCTAAACAGGTCTAACTTTTGATTTAAAGCAAGAAATGTAAGGTTTTCTTTCACTTGAACACTTAGCAACCATTATAGGGTTATTAACTGACCTAATTTAAATATTGCTGTGTCTCAAGGAACAGGGAGGTCCAAGGAGAGGGAGAGTTAGAACACACACAACATTTATCAATTAGGTTCACTCTCATATGGGTATGGTTTGTGGCATCCAAAACAATTACAATAGTAACATCAAAGATCACTGATCACAGATCACCGTAACAGATATAATAACAATGAAAAGGCCTGAAATATTGTGAGAATTACCAAAATGTGAAACAGAGACACGAAGTGACCACATGATGTTGGAAGTGTGGCGCCAAAAGACTTACTCGGCTCAATGTTGCCACAAACCTTCAATTTGTGTAAAATGCAATTATCTGTGAAGTGCAATAAACAAAGTACTATAAAATGAGGTATGCCTGTACTGACCAATCCAATGTCAAATTCCTCTACCACTGCAAAGGTTCAGCACAGCACAGTACTGAGGTGTGGTAACTATTAATGCTAGAGGACATATTTTCTCTTTTGTGCTAAGCTTCTTTAGTGTTTAGTAGAAGTCTCCAGTTTGCTGCACTAGTTGCTGTTCTGCAGGCCTCCCATGGCACTACCAATACCATAACCTATCTTCATTTTGAAACTTTTCAGGTTACCACTTCTAATTTCTACTACTCTGGTCTCTCATAAATTTCTTTTTCCTTTCTAGTTTCTCCGTATTTTGAACTTCCATACATAAAAGCTGCCCTTCCACAGGAAAAAAATTATTTTCCTTGCGGTACAAAATACAACCAGAGCTTGGGAAAACTTCTTTACTACCAAAACTTTAAAAAGGATGATTTTTTGGTTCTGACCCATTCCATCAACCTAATGGTTTCGAGGGGCTATTCAGATCTTACCTGACTGTATTCATACCCCTTAGTTGGAGAAACAAAAACAAGAACACACCAAACTTATTAGAATAAAGAGTGCATTCTGGAATTCTGTTATTTAACTATCATCACAGTAACTGACCAGTTTCAATAAATGGGTAAAAATCTAATCAACGAGAAAGAAAGTCACTAGAAGAACTGGTAATTCCATCTTAAGAAAGGAAAAAAGGCCTCCAATCAAAAATTATGCTTGAACATATCTAAAAGAAACAGCTCTTGCCCACACAAATAGTGGCTCCTCGGGGTGTTCTATTTTGTAGGCTTGTCACTTGAATACATAGTTAAAAGAGCCTATCAAAACTTAAGGGCATCTATTGCCTTGACACTGAAAAAAATGGTGCTTCTCTATTTTCAATTTACATTTGCCCTAGTTTTACATTTTTATTTCCTCCAACATCAAAAAAATTTTTTAGGAATAGAAAAGGCCTAATCATTTTGTCTAAACCTTCAATTTCATACAAGGGATTTCATGAAAGGATAGCTGGTAAATTTTCCCAATTAACAATTAGTCCAAGAACCAATATAAATAGCCAAGATTTTATAGCTCTTCATCCATTATTCTCTATTACAAATAAAATCAGCATATAAATGCAAGACCCAATTCATATGTCTCTTTGTGTACAGTTTTTCTGATGACGAGTTTACAGAGTTTGAGTAAACAGGAACACAATTCTTATGTTACGGTCTCTTTGATCCAGCAATATTCCTAAAGAAGTAAGTATCCCAAGATGTATACACAAGAATATTCTTAAAAATAATTATCTAAGTAGGAAAAACTGGAACCAAGCTAAATACAAAATAGACAAATTTCACACGCATATATTGACATGAACAAAATTTCAAGATCTACTGCTAGGTATTAAAAGGAATGGCAGGAATGGTTGCAAAACTGTACCTATGCTATGATCTCAGGTTAGAATTACATGTACTATTAATTAATTGATTCTCAGCGGTAAGACAACATTATTTTCTTTATATTTTTACATATAAGAAAGAAAAAATAGCTATTTTAAAACTAATTTGAGCACATTTAAGCGGCAAGGTTACAATGAAAGACTAACATACAGTTCATGACAGTATAAATTGCTAAGAGCTTTCTAAAAAGCATTATTACAATGTATTTCTGTAAGTTAAAAATGCTCATACAAACACACACATACACCCATACACACATACACACACTTCTACCTACCTACAAGGAGTTTTAGAAGTAACAAGAAATTTCAAAACTGAGTAAAAAAGAGCATATTTATTTTAACACTACTATATACCAGGTATGTATTTTTAAACCAAAAATCGTTAGGGGCATGGGAGTAATCATAATATTTAGCCCAGTAACTTCACTTGTAGGAATATACTCTAAGGAAATAATCAGGAATGTGAACAAATATTTCATCATAGACCTACAACAGCAAAATATGGGAAACAATGCAAAAGCCAAATATGGGAATGTTACATCAATACCCATTGTGTAGCCATTAAAACTTATATAAATAGTTAATGGTATGAGAAAATGCAGTGGAGGAAAAAACAGACAACAAAACTACACAGATCTGCATTTCCACTAGGTTAACAAAATACAAAAAAAGACTAAAAGACAACCACCCAAAGCATTGATAGTGGTCATCTTTACTCAGGAGGACTATGATTGGGTCTCACTGTGTTGCGCAGGCTGCTGTGTGCTGGCTATTAACACGCACCAGCACAGAGCACTACAGTCTCCAACTCCCAGCTTCAAGGGATCCTCATATCTCAACAGCTCCACACCCCACACCTTCATGCTCAGCTTTCTTTATTTGTTTTAGACAATGTCTCACTCTGCTGCCTGGGCTAGAGTGTAGTGGCACAATCATAGCTCACTGCAGCCTTGATCTCCCAGACTTAAAACAACCTTCCAGCTTCAGCCTCCCAAGTAGCTGAGGCTACAGGTGTGCACCACCATGCCTGGCTAGTTTTTTTTGTTTTGTTTTTTGAGACAGAGTCTCAGTCTGTCGCCCAGGCTGGAGTGCAGTGGTGCAATCTCTGCTCACTGCAACCTCCGCCTCCCAGGTTCAACAAATTATCGTGCCTCAGCCTCCCGAGCAGCTGGCATGCACCACCATGCCCCACTAATTTTTGTATTTTAGTTGAGATGGGGTTTCACCATGTTGGCCAGGCTGGTCTCAAACTCCTGACCTCAGATGATCCGTCCACCTTGACCTCCCAAAATGCTGAGATTACAGGCTTGAGCCACCGCAACCAGCCCTGGCTAGTTTTTTTTTTATCTTTAGTAGAGACAAGGTCTTGCTCTGTTGCCCAGAGGCTGGTCTGAAACTCCTGAGCTCAAGTGATCCTCCTGCCTTGGTCTCCCAAAGTGCTGGGATGACAGGCATGAGCCACCATGCTTGGCACCAGCTCTTGTTTTAAATTATAGATTTTCTAAGCAGTCTTCAATAATCAGACATTACTCGACAAATAAGAAAAATAACTAGCAATTCATATAGCATTCTACATTGCCTAGATTTTAGTTACTTCACATTATTCTCCACAATCCCTAGGATAATGAGCCTAAAATGATGACAGAATGGGTCAGAGAGAGGCATGTGAGAGAGAAACGCCGATAGACACACACACACAGAGGAATTGGGGGAGAGGTTAAAGAGAGAGAGAGACATCCACAGACATGTCATGAAAAAGTCACAGAGTTTGTTTTGTTTTTGAGACAGGGTCTCACTTTGTCACCCAGGCTGGAATACAGTGGTGCAATCCTGGCTCACTGCAACCTCTGCCTATGGGGCTCAAGGAATCCTCCCACCTCAGCCCCCCAAGTAGCTGGGACCACAGGTGTGCACCACTATGCCTAGCTAACTTTTCATATTTTCAGTATTTTGTATTTTTTCACCACGTTGTCCAGGCTGGCACAGAGTTCTTATCACTTCCATATTTTAAAGTTTTCACAGAACAAGGCTGCTCACAGAAAACAATTTCAAATAGTCAAGAAAACTATCAACCTTCAAAAAAAAAGGTGGGGGGCTGGGTACAGTGGCTCACACCTGTAATCCCAGAACTTTGAGAGGCCAAGGCAGATGGATCACTTGAGGCCACGAGTTCAAGACCAATCTGGCCAACATGGTGAAACCCCGTCTCTACTAAAAATACAAAAATTAGCTGGGTATGGTGGCACACATTTATAATTCCAGCTACTAGGGAGGCAGAGGCTGCAGTCAGCCGAGATTGCACCACTGCACTCCAGCCTGGGCGATACAGCAAGACTCTGTCAATAAACAAATAAATAAGAAAAAAAAGTATTGCTTATTTATGCCCTTGAAAAATAAAAATAATTTTTAAAAATTTTTTAGTAGTAAAATGCTAACTAAAAGCTAAAGATACGTGGTCAAAAATAAACACGGCATTATCGAGTTGTAGACATTAAATATATACAGCCTTTTGCATGTCAATCATAACTTTAAAGTAGTTTTAGAAAAGAAAAAAAGGATGATATGTTTGGCTTTCTTCAAATGTGAGAAAAATAAAACCTTAGCCAACTCTTAATAAAAAATAAAATGGCTGGGCATGGTGGCTCATACCTAGAATCCCAGTACTTTAGGAGGCCAAGGCAGAAGGAATGTTTGAGCCCAGGAGTATAAGACCAGCCTGGGCAACACAGTAAGACTCCGTCTCTACAAATAATTTTTTTTTTTTTTTTTAATTTAGCCAGGCATGGTGGCTCACACCTGTGGTCCCAGCTACTCTGGAGGCTGCGATGGAAGGATCACCTGAGCTCAAGAAGTCGAGGTTGCAGTGAGCTGAGATTGTGCCACTCTACTCCACTCTGGGCGACAGAGAGAGACCCTGTCCCAAAAAATTAACTAATTAATTAAATTAAATAAGCACAGGGAAAGTAGAAATAAATCTAAATGCGGCCAGGTGCAGTGACTCACGCCTGTAATCCCAGCATTTTGGGAGGCTGAGGTGGGCAGATCACCTGAGGTCAGGAGTTTGAGACCAGCCTGGCCTGGCCAACATGATAAAACCCCATACAAAATACAAAAATTAGCCATGCGTGGTGGTGGACGCCTATAATCCCAGCTGCTTGAAAGGCTGAGGGAGGAGAATCGCTTGAACACAGGAGGCGGAGATTGCAGTGAGCCAAGATTGCGCCACTGCACTCCAGCCTGGGTGACAGAGCAAGACTCCATCTCAAAAAAAAATCTAAATGCAACTACTGTACAATATTACACTGTTCTTTAAGTGTGCTATTATATTAATCTTTTGGTTCTCTAATTTATATACTAAAACACTAGTAAAAATTCTATTAGCAAAAAGTAATGCATGACAAACAAGATATTAAATTATCACACTTCATTCTTTTGTTTGTTTTGCTTTTTAAATTTAGAGATGGCGTCTCGCTATGTGGCCTAGACTGGTCTCGAACTCCTGGGCTCAAGCAATCCACCCACCTTGGCCTCCCAAAGTGCTGGGATTACAGGTGTGAGCCGCCGTGCCCGGCCAAATTATCAGACTTTGGTGATGAATGTAAAGAGTATTTTTTTCTTAAATCCTTTAAATATAAAACTACTTTATGATTAACTTTTTAGTAATCCACAGAAAAATACTATACATGGTTTTACAATTCTTATTAAAATACCAAACTTAAGATAAAATTCAATATAATTCACATATTTCACATGATGAAACTAAACAAGGTAATACCAGTTACTACAATGAAAAAAGCAGCAGCCAAAAGTTTAAATTCATTTACATGAAGTAGAGTATCTCTTACTGCTTACCAGGATTATGATGAGTTGCAGATTCTCCATTCTGAAAAACGTCTCCTGCCACATTCATTCTACCAGGATTAAAAGGTCCTACTCCAGTCTTGGTCTGTGAAGTTAAAGATGGGGTGTATGTTTGTATATTAACACCAAAATTACTTGACTGCAGTCCGTTAGAGACATCTCCCAAGTTGGTATTCTGCAGTGATGTTACATGTGTAATCATTAAGTTCATATCTCGCCCGTCAGTATTTTCTAATTGGCCATCATTCACAGAGCTTACACCTGTTTCTAAAGTTGTAACATTAGCAATCTGAATTTCAGAGTCTGGTTCTGTGGTGATACCACTATTACCCATTCCTGCATTTACCTTACTTCTTGAAAAACTGGAAGTGGAGAAATCCACATCATTGGTTCTGTTTTTAGTCTCAGGAGGTCTTCGTTCAATAAAATTGGAGGAATTTTTCTCTTGCCCTTGATTTGTTTCCATGTCCTCTTCATCATCAATGACAATTGTCTCACTTACACTTCCCTTCTGAGATGCCAACTCTTTTGAGGAAGGAGTAATTTTGGAATCATTTCCTTGTAGTTCTTCATTTTTTGATGATGTAAATGTTATGGTTCTTTGATCAGCTACCACTGGTACAGAAGGTGGGGGAGGTTGTACAGGTTCGATAAAAACAACATCATCATCATCTTCCACTGACGAGTTCTGAAACTTATTAGATCTAGACACTAAAGGATTAGCTGGACCACTAAATGAGTTTCCTACATTCGTGAGACTAGTTGCCATGGCCGTACTCCCTAATAAAACAGGAGTCTGATCAGTCAATTCTAATCCTCCCACTGAACTTGTGTCCATGCCAAAGAACCTGTTAGGAAGATAGAAAAAAGAATTAAAATGTCAGTATGACTTTTTATGTTACTCTAACTGAAACCATTGATTTAAAGGGTACTTTTATTTTATTTTTATTCTAAATGAAGTGATTCTTGTCTAACATTCAGGAAAATATGTGATATCCATTCATTAATCATTTCATATAGTTTACATGTTAACTTTTGCAGGATAACAAGGAAGGCAATTATCCAATTTTTATTGGATAATTAATCATATGCAATATATTCATGGTAATCATATGCAATATATTCCTACCACCACCACCACCTCCTTTCAGGGGTACACTATTTACTCCATAAAATTTATCACTAAAAATATGGATAAATCCTCCCACACATCTGAACAGGAAAAAAAAAAAATCAAAATCTGACAAAAAATAATTACTTCATTATACACTTATCCCATTTATTCACTGTATCATATAAAGTCACATGCTATAATCCTTTCCCTTACCTCATCTTTTTTGGGGGGTGGGGAAGGACAGGGTCTCGTTCTGTCACCCAGGCTGGAGTGCAGCGTTGTGACCATGGCTCACTACAGCCTTGACCTCCCAGGTTAAGGCGATCCTCCCACCTCCAAGTAGCTGGGACTACAGGCCATCGCCACCACACCTGGCTAATTTATTTATTTATTTATTTAGGTAGAGACGAGGTCTCACTATGTTGCCCTGGCTGGTCTCAAAATTCCTAGGCTCAAGAGATCCCCTGAACTCGGCCTCAGCCTCCCAAAGTGCTGGGATTACAGGCATGGGCCATTGTGCCTGGCCATCTCATCTTTTTTTAACCCACTTTTCTCATATTCTCTGGCTCCCATTAATTGTACAATTAAATCTTTCTGAAAATTTTAATCTTTTTTGACCCTATCCAGAAAGCATAAATTGTTTTTTTTGCCAGGCACTATGCTGTGTGCTTTATATCCCAGTAGCAGGCTGAATAAAGGTCACCAAAGATATCAGGTCCCCATTCCTGGAACCTACAAATGTTAACCTTACATGGAAAAAGGGACTTTGCAGATATGATTAATGTTAAGGATTTTCAAGTGAGATTATATGGGATTACCTGAGTGGGTCACAAATGTACTCACAAGTACCCTTATAAAAGACATGCAGAGGGAGACTACAAGTAAAAGAGAAGGCAGTGTGACCATTGGGAGGCTGAGGTGGGCAGATCACTTGAGCCCAGGAGTTTGAGACCAGCCTGGGCAACATGACAAAACCCCATCTCTACAAAAAATACAAAAATTAGCCGGGCATGTTAGCACATGCCTGTAGTCCCAACTACTCAGGAGACTGAAGAGGAGAATCATCTGAGGCCGGGAGTTTGAGGCTGATGTCAGCCATGATTGTGCCCTTGCACTCCAGCCTGAGCTACAGAGTGAGAACCTGTCTCAAAATGGGAAAAAAAAAAAAAAAAGAAAAAGAAAAGAAAAGAAATTCTGGCTTACAGATGCTAACTCTCTTGCCCAAGTCACACAGCTAGGTTGAATACCCAGGTCTCTAAAACTCAAGAGTTCAAAACTCATCATTCTGCTATATTCAACTAATATTTTCTAAGCACCTCCTATATGCCAGGTTGTGCTGAAGTCAAAGAAAATAGCAGAGTTAAGAAGATAACCTCAGGCCAGACACAATGGCTCATACCTGTAATCCTAGCATTTTGGGAGGCTGAGGTGGGAGGACTGCTTGAGCCCAGGAGTTCGAGACCAGCCTGAGCAACATAACAAGACCTCAAATCTACTAAATACTAAAATTTAAAAGTCAGCCAGTCATGGTGGCGCACATCTGTAGTCCTGGCTACTTAGGAGGCTGAGGCAGGAAGATCACTTGAGCCCAGGAGTTCGAGGTTGCAGTGAGCTACGATTGTGCCACTATATTCCAGCCTGGGCAACAGAGCAAACCCTGTCTCAAAAGAAAACACATACGTACACACACACACACACACACACACACACACACACAGAAAATACATACGTACACACACACACACACAGAGAGAAAATTTCTAGGACAAAGTTACTGAGCAAATGGAGATGAGACAGATCATGGGCTCAGGTGGTAATATCACTAACTCTGAACAAGAACCATTTTGATCTCACAGATCAAACTTGGGGGGCAAAATGCAAGGGGAACCAACTAGAAGAGGTAAAACTGAAGGGCAAGTATAGACTATAGATTAAATTGTAGATAGGATGAATGGGAAGTTGAAGTGGCTTATATACAGTGGTTTGGCCTAATTTTCATAGTGTATTATCTGAAAAGATGAGGAGATACTGGCTATATAGTTCTTAAAGACTGGTTTAAAAACACTTCATTTAAAGAGCCTCTGAAAGGATAAAAAAGAGACTAATATGTATTGCTTTGATTTACAGATGACAGTGGTAGAGGCATTTTTCACTGTACGTCTTGTAGCATTTTCTTAATTTTGGGCCACGTGATTTATCACTTTTTTTTAAACTAAATTTAAAAACTTTTAAACAGAATAACAGAAGGTGAAGAGATAACTAGTTTGGTGATCAGAGAACATCTCTTTAAGCAAGTGACATTTACACTGAAATACGAAATGATAAGATTCAGCTGTGAGAAAACTGGGGACAGGATATTCCAGGCAAAGAAAACAGCTTCTGCAAAGCCTAGAGGGAATGAAGTTGGCCAATCCAAGCAGCAGAATAAAGCCAATGTGGCAGATCAAAGTAAGAAGCAAAGAGGAGGATAAAATGAGATAAACAGGCAGAGAATAACACATCAAGGCCAACTAGCTAATTCATTAATTACATTTAACAGATTTACAGAGCACCTAGTATGCACAAGATACTTTCTAGGCACATGGCAAAAATCAGTAATCAAAACAGGTAAACAGCCCTGCCTAAGCTTAGAAAGCATTAATTCTAACTAAAGGTGAAAGTTTGGATTTTACTGGAACAGGAAACACTGCCATGTTTCCAGCAAAGAGGTGATACAATCTCAGGTTTTAAATAGATCACTGTGGCTGCTATGTGGGAACAAGAGGGAAAAACTGGAAGCAAAGAAACAAACTAGATGGCCATTGAAATGGTCCAAGTGAGAGATGACAGTGGCTGAAAAAGGGTGGTGATGGGAGATGAGAAAAAGTGAACAGATTAGGGTATTTTAAAAGCAAGATCTCTTACTGACATGAAAAAAAATCTACAAGGTATACTGATGACTTTTAAAAGTTACAGAACACTCATGGAGATAGAGTAGAAGGATGCTTAGCAAAGGCTGAGAAGGGTAGTGGCGAGGTGGGGGTTAATGGGCACAGAAAAACAGAATAAGACCTATTATTTGATAGCACAACAGGGTGACTATAGTCAATAATAATCTAATTGTACATTTTAAAATAAGAGTATAACTGGATTATTTGCAACACAAAGGATAAATAGTTGAAGGGATATTCCATTCTCCATGATGTGATTATCACACAATGCATGCCTGTATCAGAACATCTCATGTAGACGGGCAGAGGCTGAGGCAGGCAGATCACTTGAGGTCCGGAGTTAGAGACCAGTCTGGCCTACATGGTGAAACCCCATCTCTACTAAAAATACAAAAATTAGCTGGGCATGGTAGCATGCACCTGTAATTCCAGCTACTCAGGAGGCTGAGGCACGAAAATCGCTTGAACCTGGGACATGGAGGTTGCAGGGAGCAGAGACTGCACCACTGCACTCCAGCCTGGGTGATGGGGTGAGACTCTGTCTCAAAAAGAAAACAAAAACAAAAACAATCTCATGTAACTCATAAATACACCTACAGTGTACCCACAAAAACACCTACAAAGTACCCACAAAAATTAAAAATTAAAAAGTTAGAGAACACAAAGAAAATTACTACTGTGATGTTATGCATATCCCAAAAACCTATATATACGATATTTTCCCTGAAGTATATATATTTGTACATAAATTCATGGGGGGAAAAAAACTCTTGAGAGAATCACATCATACTGACAGAAGTAGTTTGCTAGGAAGGGCAGAAGTTTACGCAGGGGAGGGTGAGTGGTCAACCAGATGCACTTTGGATTCTGCTTTAATCTAGAGTTTCATGCAGCTAAGCATCTGACTGAATAAAGGAAGGAAAAGGAGTCATCTTAGCGGAAGATGATATACAGTTGACAAAATTCTAGTCAAAGATGCAATCTCCAGATACAAAAAGAGATGCAGAATAAGCACTTTTCACAGACATCAAATATGGGTATACTAACTTTTTAATGAATCATTAATTTGTCTTTTCTTTTTTTTTGAGATGGAGTCTCTGTCACCCAGGCTGGAATGCAGTGGCGCAATCGATCTTGCTCACCGCAACCTCCACCTCCTGGGTTCAAGCACTTCTCCTGCCTCAGCCTCCTGAGTAGCTGAGACCATAGGCATGCGCCACCACGCCCAGCTAATTTTTTGTGTTTTCAGTAGAGACGGGGTTTCACCACGTTGGCCAGGATGGTCTTGATCTCTTGACCTCGTGATCCACCCGCCTCAGCCTCCCAAAGTGCTGGAATTACAGGCGTGAGTGAGCCACCATGCCCGGCCGTAACTCGTCTTTTCACTGAATCTCTAAGACCTAACACAATGCTTGAGCACAGAGTAGACAATTGTCCCAAATATTTGAGGAAAGATCAGAAACCAAAGCCAATTATGTTCACTTTAACTATCAAAGTTATTTTTAAGTAACAGCATTATTTAATTATCCAAGTATACACTCTAGCCCTTTAGTTTATATATACTGTATTATTCTCTGACCATAAACCAAGTTCTAGTGTCAGAAGAGCACTGTTCTACCACTCAACAAAGTAAGAAAATGAAATATTTTCAAAAACATACAGTATTTTACAGAATACCAAGGTCTTATTTTATTCTCACATAACTGTGACAACCCCTTTGAGTTAAAAGAAAACAGAATTTTTTTCTATAATAAAACAGCAGCTCACACATTAATTAAAACTGCCCAAGGTCCCAAGACAGTAAAGGATTCAAACACTATACACAGAGCTCGGTTTCAAAACCAGTCTCTATTCCTCTCAGAGAAAGAGCTGTGTGTCTATCTGCTGTCAGATGAAAGACATGCTGAGACTGGAAAATCGCAAAAGATACATTTATTACTGCTTTAAAGAAAATGGGCTGAGGGCAGTGGCTCACGCCTGTAATCCCAACACTTTGGGAGGCTGAGGCAAGAAGATTGAGCTCTGGAGTTCAAGCCCAGCCTGGACAACATGGTGAAACCCTGTCTCTACTAAAATACAAAAATTAGGCTGGGCACGGTGGCTCACGCCTGTAACCCTAGCACTTTGAGAGGCTGAGGCGGGCAGATTGTCTGAGCTCAGGAGTTCGAGACCAGCCTGGCCAACATGACAAAACCCCATCTTTCCTATACACACACACACACACACACACACACACACACACACACGACAAAACCCCATCTTTCCTATACACACACACACACACACACACACACGTAGCGGGGCGCCCGGGTGCGGTGCCTCACGCCTGTAATCCCAGCACTTTGGGAGGCCCAGGTGGGCAGATCACGAGGTCATGAGTTTGAGACCAGCCTGGCCAAAACAGTGAAACCCCATCTCTACCAAAAATACAAAAAATTAGCCAGGCGTGGTGACAGGCGCCTTTAATCCCAGCTACTCGGGAGGCTGAGGCAGGAGAATCGCTTGAACCAAGGAGGTGGATTCTGCCGTGAGCCGAGATTGCGCCACTGCACTCCAGCCTGGGCGACGGTGAGAGACTCTGTCTCAAGAAAAAAAAAATAAGAGCTGCATTGTTTATTTACATTATTAATATTTAATTTCATTTTGCTTAATAGCTGTGAATATTTAAATCCTGACCTCTACCATTTTCTTGCTGTGGTTTTAAGCAGCTTACTTAACTGCTGAAATTTTTTTTTTTTTTTTTTTTTTTTTTTTTGAGACGGAGCCTTGCTCTCTTGCCCAGGCTGCAGGCTGGAGTGCAGTGGCACGATCACAGCTCACTGCAACCTCCACCTCCCAGGTTCAAGCAATTTTCCTGCCTCAGCCTCCTGAGTAGCTGGGATTACAGGCATGAGCCACCATGACCGGCTAATTTTTTTGTATTTTTAGTAGAGACGGGGTTTCACCATGTTGGCCAGACTGGTCTCGAACTCCTGACTTCAAGTGATCCACCTGCCTCGGCCTTCCAAAGTGCTGTGATTACAGGTGTGAGCCACCGTGCCCCGCTGAGGATTTTTTTTTAATCTGTGCAATTGATATAATAATGATTCTACTTTAAGGGGCTGCTATAGTGTTTGACATGAATATTTGGTCCATAATAACCATTAAAAGAATGTTAGTTATTACTGATGACAGTACTTGTATTTAAAAAATTTTAATTGAATTAGTTATGACAATTTTGAATGAAAATGTTATTCAGTATATTTCAATTTTTAAAACTTTCTGTAATAGAAATGTTAAAAATTTTTTTTTCAAATTTATTTAAAAGTAACTAAAGGACTTATCTGAAACTTTCTCCTTAGTATATCTTATTTTTGCTATAAACAAGCTTTCCTTATTAAGGAACTGCCTTAGAGTAATGATGTTTATATTTTAATTTCTGAAATGTCTTAGGATATGAAGTAGTAATTTATAGGTCTTTGGGTAAAGTAAATAATCACCCTTCTTTTTTTTTTTGTTTTTGTTTGTTTTTTCTGAGATGGCGATCTTTCTATGTTGCCCATGCTGGACTCCTGGGCTCAAGTGCTCCTCCTGCCTGTGTAGCTAGGACTATAGGTGTGTGCTAGGTTAAGCTTTTAAACAGAATTATCCCTTCTTTTTGTTTGTTTGTTTTGTTTGTTTGTTTGTTTTTTTGAGAGAGTCTGGCTCTATTGCCTAGGCTGGAGAGCAGTGGTGCGATCTAGGCTCACTGCAACACTGCAACCTCCAACTCCTGGACTCAACGGATCCTCCTGTCTCAGACTCCTGAGTAACGGGGACCACAGGCACACGCCACACGCCAGGCTGATTTTTTTGTATTTTTTTGCAGAGACAGGGTTTTGCCATGTTGCCCTGACCTGGTCTCGAACTCCCAAGCTCAAGCAACCTGCCTGCCTCAACCTCCTGAGTAGCTGGGATTTATAGGCGCACGTTATCACACCCGGCTTTTTTACTTATTTATTTATTTATTTTTGAGACAGAGTCTCACTCTGTTGCCCAGGCTGTAGTATAGTGGTGCAATCTCAGTTCACTGCAACCTCCACCTCCAGGGTTCAAGTAATTCTTGTGCCTCAGCCTCCCGAGTAGCTGGGACTACAGGCACGTGCCACCACGCCCGGCCAAATTTTTCTTTTTTTTTTTCCTTTTTGAGACCAAGTCTCGCCCTGTTGCCCAGGCTGGAGTGCCGTGGCATGATCTCGGCTCACTGCAACCTCTGTCTCCTGGATTCAAGCAATTCTCTGCCTCAGCCTCCTGAGTAGCTGGGATTACAGGCGCCACTGTGCCTGGCCACAGCTCTTATTGTTTTTAAAAAAAACACAACCATTCAATAAAATAACCAAATCAATATTCAAAATACACAAGCTTCAAAAGAAACAGCAAGCCCAAAGTACCAACCTACAATGGGATTTAAAAAACAATGAATGGGGCCAGGCATGGTAGCTCACACCTGTGATCCCAGTACTTTAGGAGACAGAGGCAGGCAGATCACTTGTGTCTAGGAGTTAGAGACCAGCCCTGGTGACTCAGTGAAATCCTGACTCTACAAAAAATACAAAAATTAGCTGGGCATGGTGGTGCACATCTGTAGTCCCAGCTACTTCGGGGGCTGAGGTGGGAGGATCGCTTGAGCCAGGGAAGCAGAGGTTGCTGTAAGCAGAGATCATGCCACTACACTCCAGCCTGGGCAACAGAGTGAAACCCCGTCTCAACAACAACAAAAAACACAATGAAGCTGAATTTGCGGTTAACATTCACTTGTCATAAGGAAAGTACCTGATCAACATAATGATTTTCACAGAAATGAGATAACAGCTCAGCCCAAATCTACAGATGTTATAAAATGTGTAGGCTTTTAATATATAAGTTATTTGGCTCCTTTGTTTTGGCATACTTAAAACAGAAGAAAACCACTTCTGGGGCAGAAAAGCTAGAACTGATATCACAGTTCCCTCTGGTGGCTGCTATGTGTCAATTCGATCTCCTTAGAAGAAAATAGTGTAGCCTAAAATAGGTCTTTCTTTACCACAGTTAGATCCCTGCAGCAATCTACTTCTCGAAACAGAATAACCATTCAACTATGACAGCTATCTTAAAATCATAGACTGTAAATAATATTGGTCACTTCTACATATCATAGAAATAATGTTTCAACCAGAAAACATCTACTTAGTCCTTTAAAGAAAGACAATCCAATTAGAAGTTGACCACTTCTCCATTATCAAAGTAAAATCTACTCCATGTAGCCGCCACTCTTCTACCTCCAGTCAATTCTAACTATTTAAGACTAAACAAATAACTTATCTGAGTTTCCATTTTACTACAGTAAATGGTATAAAAATAGTTCACATGGCTTTTCTTCTAATTCAAAGGTATAACTGGATGTGAAAACCACTTAGCACACTCCTAAATACTTACCTAACTCCTAAACAATTACCAGACAACTGGTGCTTGTACCTCAGAATTTCAGTAAGTTTCCAATTAATTTTTAAGCTGCCTTGTGATACTCCACATTATAAATCATAAATGCTTTCAGTTCTATTTGGTCTTTATTTTGATTCAGTGAGAATTAATTAACACAACAGTTGATGTTGTCATGAAAAAACAATGAAAAGGTAATAGTTAAAATATAAATATTCATATATTTGTATCAAGAAAATATTAGTGCTTGCTGAAAAAGGCTGAACCTTCAAAAAACAAAATCACAAAGAAAGCACTTCAAAGTGCTTCAACAAAAGTATTCATCATCTTCTCCCTTATAAGCCTATCTAAACGCTTTCTAAGTATCGTTAAAGAATTACAAAGAAAGCTAAGGTGAACTCTTTTTTACAGCAAAGAGTATTATAAGTCAGTATGTATTCATGGCACTTATAATAGTTCTGAGTTAATATGATAGATTTAAAATGTTAAGAATAAAAATTCCTGGCCAGGCACAGTGGCTCACGCCTGTAATCCCAGCACTTTAGGAGGCCATGGCGGGCAGATCTCTTGAGCCCGCAGTTGGAGACCAGCCTGGGCAACATGGAGAAACCCCAACTCTACAAAAAATAGGAAAATTAGATGGGCATAGTGATGCACGCCTGTGGTCCCAGCTACTTATGGGACTGAGGCGGGAGGATCACTTGAGCCCAGGAGGTCGAGGCTGCAGTGAGCTAAGATTGCACCACTGCAAACTAGCCTGGGCAAGAGAGCGAGACTCTATCTTAAAAAAGAAAAAAATAATAAAATAAAAATTCCTAATAAAATAGGAAGAAGGAATTATAGGAAGAAAGAATTATTAAAAGCATTATCATTAAAGTCAAGAATAAGACAAGAACATTCTTCTACTATTACCATATAGCACTGTTATAGAAGTAACAGCCAATGTGATTACACAAAAAAGAAATGAAGAAATATAAAAATGTGAGGCCGGGCACGGTGGCTCATGCCTGTAATCCCAGCACTTTGGGAGGCCGAGGGAGGCGGATCATCTGAGGTCAGGAGTTTGAGACCAGCCTGGCCAACACGGCAAAACCCCATCTCTACTAAAAATACAAAAATTAGCCGTGCCATGATGGCACACACCTGTAATTCCAGCTACTCCGGAGGCTGAGGCAGGAGAACTGCTTGAATGTGGGAGGCAAAGGTTGCAGTGAGCCAAGATTGTGCCACTGTACTCCAACCTGGGCAACAGAATGAGACTCCGTCTCAAAAAAAAAAAAAAAGTGAAAGTGGGGAAAATATTATATACAAATTATACAATTCTTTACCCCCAAAGACCCGGAAGATTTACCTGAAAAACTATTATAGACAGTGAGTTTATATAGTAAAATAATTGTATCTACATAACAAATTAATATGTAGAAATCAGTCAACTGAACGGCCATAAAATTTTGCTTCCATCCAAAGGTCAACTAAACCTACAGTAAGGGTTTTTTTAAAAAAAACGACAAACCTACAAGGAAGGGAAGATAGGAGAGAATTCAAGTGCACTAAAATTTTGGAAGAGGGAAGGCAGATAAGCATGGATTAGTTGTATCTGACTTAGCAGGCCTGAAAAAGGTAAACACTGAATCCACAGGAAGCAAAGTTTTGAAATGAACAAATTACAAATGAAACTGCAGTTAACATTCACTTGTCAAGGTAGGAACTATCTTCATCAACATAACAATTTGCAGAGGAATGAGGCAACAGTTCAAAATAGAATACTCAACAGGTTCAGGAACCACTGAAAGTAATGGCAAAAACTGCAATTACTTTTGCACCAACCTAATAGCAGCATCTCTTCTCCAAAGGGGATGACGTACTTAGGGCAGCTAATGTTTGGGAGGCCGAGGCAGGTAGATCACTTCAGGTCAGGAGTTCGAGACCAGCCTGGCCAAGATGGTGAAACCCCATCTCTACTAAAAATACAAGAATTAGCCAGGCATGGTGGCGCACACCTGTAATCTCGGCTACTCAGGAGGCTGAGGCATAAGAATCACCTGAACCTGGGAGGCGGAGGTAGCAGTGAGCCAAGATCAGGCCACTGCACTCCAGTCTAAGTGACAGAGCGAGACTCTGTCTCCAAAAAAAAAAAAAAAAAAAAAAAGACAGCTAATAGACAACTCAGTGAAAACTACTGAAAAGCAATTAGAAACCTACATTTCCTTTCCCATCCAAATAAATCCACAAGTTTAATCTTTGGAGAAAGTAAAAGATTGACTTTGGACAGGAAGATTTAAGGCACAGTTCAGGTGCAAGCTCTTTATTTCAGTTGAATCTGAGGTATAAAATAAACTGATACATACTCAGGACTGGTGCTGAGACCTAACCTCCACCTAAAACTGCAAGTCACACATCTCCCCATTCAGGAAATTGGAAGGCTCTTTCTGGAAACATGATTTCATAAAAAGATACCCAAGAATGGAGATTTCCCAACAAACATCCACCCAGATCATCCCTTAATGAAATGTGACATCGACAGTGTACTGTGACCCTCAACGGCTTAGAGTGTCCACACAGCTTTTAGACATGCACCACGAACAGACAACCAAGGACTACCTGACAGCTGAGTAAAGATATGAAAGATATCTTCATGATGAAAACAAATGGGATGAAAAACTCAAGTTGGTAGAAACAGTAACTATCTAAGGGGAGAAAACATTTTAAGAAAATAATATATTCAGAGAGAAAAGAAAAGATATCCACAAAAATGAACGGAATGCTAGGAAAAAATTCGTATTTACAGGAGGAAAAAGGTACTTCTCCATGTTAAAAATATGAGTGCAGAAACTTAAAATCCAATAGATGAAAATACCATTTCCCACCTACTGAAACCAGGGCTCCTTGGAGAAATGGTATATTGCAGGTCAGAGGCAGGAAATGTGTAAGATTAGCCCAAAACACTTGCTTATAGTAGATAGCAAGAAAGCTACTGAAGACTAATGGAGTTAAAAGGACTCCAGAGCCAACATGAATAGGCTCCAACTGGCCAAAGATAGGACAATTTGAACATGAATAAAAATCACTGCAATTAATTAAAACACATCAAATATGTGGTTTGGGGTTTGTTTTTTGTTTTTTTTTTTGTTTGTTTGTTTTTTGTTTTTTCTGTTTTTTAGAGGCAGGGTCTCACTGGCAACCTAGGCTGGAATGCAATGGCATCATCATAGCTCACTGCAGCCTTGAACATCTGGACTCAAGTGATTCTCCCACCTCAGCCTCCTGAGAAGCTAGAGCTACAGGAATGTGCCGCCATGCCTAGCTAATTGTTTTATTTCTTGTAGAGATGAGGTCTCCCTATGTTGCTCAGGCTAGTCTTGAACTCCTGGCCCTAAGTGATCTTCCCACCTCAGCCTCTCAAAGCACTGGGATTACAGGCATGAGCCACCATGCCCGGCCTCAAATATGCTTAAATCCGTGAATTCATCACGGTACTAATACCAACAAAAACAAACCTAATTCCAAAGCAAGATTCAATAACATAAAGATATCAATTTTCCCTAAATTATCTGCAAACTTACTTTGATCTCAATAAAAATACTAACAGAATTTTTAATTAGATAAACTGAATCTCAAATTTATATGAAAAAATAAGCAAGAACAGGAAAATTCTTTTTTTTTTTTTTTTTTTTTTTTGAGATGGAGTCTCGCTCTGTCACCCAGGCTGGAGTGCAGTGACACAATCTTGGCTCACTGCAAACTTCACCTCCTGGGTTCAAGTGATTCTTGTCCCTCAGCCTCCCAAGTAGCTAGGATTACAGGCGCCTGCCACCATGCCCAGCTAACTTTTTGTATTTTTAGTAGAGACAGGGTTTCACCATGTTGGCCAGGCTGGTCTCCAACTCCTGACCTCAAGTGATCTGCCTGCCTTGGCGTCCCAAAGTGCTGGGATTGTAAGCGTGAGCCATGACGCCCAGCCAAGAACAGGAAAATTCTAAAAAGAGATGAGTAACAGAAGAAACTGGCATATTATGAAGCTACAATAAATAAAACAGTGAGGTAGGGAATAAGAAAAGACGGACCAAACAGACAAAAAAAGTCTGAAACAGACCCAATATATCAAGGAATTTAGTATACAATGAAATTTCAATAGGGTATATAAATTTTTCAGAAAAGTAGTATAAAACAACTGGGAAGCAACTGAGAAATATTACTTTGAATTCTTGTCTCACACCGAAAGAAATTCCAACATAAAAATAAAAATTTGGGGAGCCACCTACCCCTCATCATACATAAACGTTAATACAAGATAAAGTCTTAAATTTAAAAATTATTTAATAAAAAATTTAATGTAAAAATAAATTACAAGAATACCGAACATTTATTTTTATAATTTTAAAGTTACAAGATCCTTGTAAATCTGACATAAAAAAAACAGATGAAATAACAAATTTTTAAAAAAGAAAAAATACAGATGAAGACAGAGACTTTAGGCGAAATGGTGTGGCAAGAAGTTCTAGGTATAAGTACTTCCACCCAAGCAACCATTGAGTGGGAAAAAATGATTGAAACCAACTACTTTGGATCTCTAGAACCTGACTGTACACCTAAAACAAATACAGGAGCAATCCAGGGAGACGCTGGTGATCATTCATAAGTGAATAGTACAAACCAGCCACTATCCCTCATTCCTCATCCCAACTCAGCTTTGGGAATAGCATACTATGTTCTTGGCACAGCTGGCTGTACACAGGGCTGATAGGAACTTTTACCAAAATTTGGGATTGTGTGTTTGGGCTGGTCTGGAGCAGACACTTCCTTGGTTTCAGCCTTCTGGGCAGGAGCAGCTTTCCCTGTAGCATCTATCACAGATTTACTGAGACATGACCATTTTCTCTTTTCTCTGCAGACATTTAAGGAAATTTTTGTCAGGTCAGTACCTCACCACACAGATAATGGAAGAGAAACTCCAGTGCCTACAAACAAGAAACATAAACTGGGCAAAAAAAAAAAAAAAAAAGTGCAGAAAAAGTCACGTGAACAGCTCTATCCCTCAACAAGTAAAAAATCTGCGATCTATAAAGACTGGGGGAATCAGATTTCCAAAGTTAACAAAACATTTGAAGAAACAATGGCTGAAAACTGCCCTAATATGATGATGATAAATATACATATCCAAGAAGCTCAACAAACTCCAAAAGCAGGATAAACTCAAAGATATCCATGTCAAGACACATTGTGGACCTCAAAGAGAGCAGAAATTTTGAAAGCAGCAAAAAAGAAGAGACTCATCTGGTTCAAGGAATCCTCATTAGATTATTTAGATTATCATTATCAGCATTTTTTCATCAGAAACTATAGAAGCCAGAAGTCAGTGGGATGACATATTTAAAGTGCTAACAGAAAGAGGGGGGAAAAAAATCTGTCAGCCAAGAATTCTATACGCAGCAAAACATCCCTCCAAAAATAAGGTGAAACTAAGATATTTCCAAATAAGCAAAAGCAGAAAGAAGTTCATTTCCTGCAGACCTGCCCGACATGAAATGCTGAAGAGAGTTCTTCCAGCAAAAATGATAAAACACTGAAGAGTAACTCAACATGGTAAGAAGAAATAAAGCATATGAGTGAAGGTAACTAAAGAGATAAAACAGAAAAGTCAGCGGTAATGTACTTTAGGTTTATAATTAATTTTTTTATATGATATAAAAGATAAAGGCACAAAACAGTAATTTTAGGCTGGGAACGGTGGCTCACACCTGTAATCCCAGCACTTTGGGAGGCCAAGGAAGGCAGATCACCTGAGGTCGGGAGTTTCAGACCAGCCTGACCAACATGAAGAAACCCCGTCTCTACTAAAAATACAAAATTAGCTGGCGTGGTGGCACATGCCTGTAATCCCAGCTACTCGGCAGGCTGAGGCAGGAGAATCACTTGAACCCAGGAGGCGGACGTTGTGGTGAGCCAAGATTGCACCATTGCCCTCCAGCCTGGGCAACAAGAGCAAAACTTCGTCTCAAAAAAAAAACCCAAAAAACAGTAATTTTAAATTTATATTAATGAGCACACAATATATACAGATGTAATCTATGACAATAATATTACAAAGGAAGAGGACAGAGAAGTACAGCAGTAGAGTGTTTGTATACTTCTGAAACCAAGTTATTTGCAATATGTTATTATAAATTTAGTCTTCTGTTTGGTGGTTCTATCCATTTTTGGAAGGGTATATGGCTATTTTAATCCCCAAGGTAACCATTTAAAAAATACTTTTAGGCTGGGTGCAGTGGCTCACACCTGTAATCCCAGAACTTTGGGAGGCCAAGGTGGGAGGATCACTAGGTCAGGAGTTCAAGACCATCCTGCCTGACTCGATGAAACCCCGTCTCTACTAAAAATACAAAAACATTAGCCAGGCGTGGTGGTGGGCACCTGTAGTCACAGCTGCTCAGGAGGCTGAGGCAGGATAATGGCATGAACCCGGGAGGCGGGGCTTGCAGTGAGCCGAGATTGTGCCACTGCACTCCAGCCTGGGCGACACAGCAAGACCCCGTCTCAAAAAAAAAAAAAACTTTTAAAATATATAGAAAAGAAGGGAATCAAATGGTACACTAGAGAAAAATTTAACATAAAAAGCAATAATAGAAGAAATGGAAAGGGTTGGCTGGGCGCGGTGGCTCATGACTGTAATCCCAGCACTTTGGGAGGCTGAGGTGGGTGGACCACAAGGTCAGGAGATCGAGACCATCCTGGCTAACACAGTGAAACCCCGTCTCTACTAAGAATACAAAAAAATTAGCCAGGCGTGGTGGCGGACGGTAGTCCCAGCTACTGAGGAGGCTGAGGCAGGAGAATGGCGTGAACCCGGGAGGCAGGGCTTGCAGTGAGCCGAGATCGCGCCACTGCACTCCAGCCCGGGTGACAAAGAAAGACTCCGTCTCAAAAAAAAAAAAAAGAAATGGAAAGGAAAAAACATAAGACATGCAGAAAACAGCAAAATGGCAGAGGTAAATCCTTATGAAGACTTACCTTAGACATAAATAGATTAAATTATAATAAAAGATACACTGGCAGACTGAATTTTTTAAAACACGATCCATCTATATGCTGTCTACAAAAGATTCACTTTAGGGCCGGGCACCATGGTTCATGCCTGTAATCCCAACACTTTGGGAGCCGAAAGCAGCAGGATCACCTGAGCCCAGGAGTTTGAGACCAACCTAGGCAACAAAGTGAGATCCCATCTCAATTTAAAGAAAAAGAAAAAGATTCACTTCAGATACAAAGATACAGAATAGCTGAGTACTATTTTCTGTTAGGATAGAAAACCTAATATATGCAAATATTAACCAAATGAGAATTGGAGTGGCTATACTAATCAGAAATTAACTTTAAATCAAAAAAGGTTATAAGAGACAAAGGACATTATATATTGATGAAAGGTTCGTTCTAGCAAGAAGATACAGCAGTTCTAAACATACAGATACTTAACAACTAAGCATCAAAATATATTAAAGCAAAAATTACCAGAATTAAAAGGAGAGATAGACACAAAACTCTATGATAATAGCTGAAGACTTCATTATACCCTTCCAAAAATGGATAGAACGACCAAACGGAAAATCAGTAAGGAAATGGAAGGGGCTTAAACAACACTATAAACTACTCAGACCTAAAAGACATATACATACAATAGACTTCTAAAAGGAAGAAAATTCTGACACACGCTATAACGTAGAACCATGAGGACATCATGCTACCTGAAAACAGCCAGTCACAAAAAGACAAATACTGCAGGATTCCACTTATGTGAAGTATCTAAAGTAGTCAAATTCATAAACAGAAAGTAAAATGGTGGTTACCAGGGGCCGGAGGAAGAGATAATTGGGGAACTGTTGTTTAATACGTAGAGTTCTGGTTTTATAAAATAAAAAAGGTCTGGAGATCTCCTGTGTGACAATGTGAATATACCGACTAATATTGAGCTGAACACTTAAAAGTCGTAAAAATAGTAAATTTTATGTTGTTTTTTTACAATTTAAAATAAAAAAGAAAAAAAAAGTACCATTTCACACGCACTAGGATTGCTATTTTTCTTTCTTTCTTTCTTTCTTTTTTTTTTTTTGAGGTGCAGTCTCACTCTGTCGCCAGGCTGGAGTGCAGTGGCATGATCCTGGCTCACTGCAACCTCTGCCTCCCAGGTTCAAGTGATTCTCCTGCCTCAGCCTCCCAAGTAGCTGGGACTACAGGCACGCGCCAGCACACCCAGTTAATTTTTGTATTTTTACAAAAAATGTTTACCACGTTGGGCAGGATGGTCTCGATTTCTTGACCTCGTGATCTGCCCGCTTCGGCCTCCCAAAGTGCTGGGATTACAGGCATGAGCTACCGTGCCCGGCCTAGGATTGCTGTTTTTCTAAAAAAGGAGGTCAGGCGTGGTGGTGCTCACACCTGTAATCCCAATGCTTTGGAAGGCCAAGGTGAAAGAATCAATTGAGGCCAGGAGTTCAAGACCAGGCTGGGCAACATAGCAAGACTCCAGCTCTACATACATACATACATACATACATACATACATACATACATACATTTTAAAAATGGAGGAAAAATTTTAAAAAAAGAAAAGTGCTGATAAAGACTTTCAGAAATTGGAACTCTTCTGTATTGCTGGTAAAAATGTAAAATGGTACCACACTGTGGAAAACAGTTTAATGGTTCCCCAAAGTCACATGTGGATATTAATCTATGACCCATCAATTTCATTGTGAGATATAAACCCAAAATAACTGAAAGCAATGACTCAAATAGATACCTGTACAACAATGATCACAGAAGCATTTTCACAACGGCCAAAAGGTGAAAACAACCTAAGTGTCCAACAGAGTGAACGGCTAAATAAAATGTTGGTAAACATACACAGGGGAATATTATACAGCTTTAACAATGAATAAAACTCTGATACATACTACAACATAGATGAACTTTGAAAACATTATGCTAAGTGAAGTAGGCCAGACACAAAAGGACAAATATTGTGATTCCATTCATGAGGTAGTTCGATACAGAAGGTAGAACAGAAGTTACCAGGGGCTTGAGGAAGGGGAGACAAGGAATGCTAATGAGTATGGTTTCTATTTGGGATGATGAAAACATTCTGGCAATGGATAATGTTGATTTTTACAAGAAACTGTGAATGTACTTAATGTCACAAAATTGTGTACCCTTAAAAATGGTAAAAAATGGTCTTATGTTACTATACTTTTTTTTTTTTTTTTAAGAAAAGAAGACACCATATGGGGGAAAAAAATACCAAAAACAATGATATCCTATGAAAAGAAAATTTTTGTCATATCGTAATAAAATGAAGGCAAAGAGCTCCTACAATCAATGAGATAAACCACAATCAAATAGAATAAATGACAAAAAATAAACAGTTCACACACAAAAATCACTCTTAAATATGTATCTACAAAAATACTACTTAAATTCTGAAAGGCCACCAATTTTCTCTTATATTAACAAAGGCCCACCAAGTCTTAACAATATCCCATGCAGCAAGACTCCTATTCTGTTAATTGGTACAGTCTCTATAGAGGGCAACTAAAAAAACATTTCTTTGACCAAGCAATTCCACTTTTAGGCATCCATCCAACAGATATATTATCTCATATTTTAAAGAACAGGCCAGGCACAGTGGCTCACGCCTGTAATCCCAGCACTTCGGGAGGCTGAGGTGGGTGGATCACGAGGTCAGGAGTTAGAGATCAGCCTGGCCCACATGGTGAAACCCCATCTCTACTAAAAATACAAAAATCAGCCGGGTGTGGTGGCGGGTGCCTGTAATCCTAGCTACTCAGGAGGCTGAGGCAGGAGAATTGCTTGAACCCGGAAGAGACTGCAGAGAGCCGAGATCACACCACTGCACTCCAGCCTGGGCAACAGAGCAAGAGTCTGTCTCAAAAAAAAAAAAAAAGTAGAAGGATATTCATGGTAAAATCAAAAGATTTAAACAATCCAAATGTCTCAACACACAATGGATAAAATTAATGATGACAAAGACATACAACAAAACACCATGCAGCACTTCAAAACAATGAAGCAACTCTAAATGGACTTACATGCTAATAAGGATCAACCACAAATATAAATTAAGTGTAAACAGCAAGGTATAAAACAATGCATAAACGCACCACACACAGTATCTCTCGATAAACGCCCAAGAAAATGACAACAGTGGTTTGCCTCTAGGGAAGAGAATTGTGTAGATGAATCAGAGGAAGAAGAGTGAGTTTTCCTTCTCACTGTTTACCCTCTTCTACCTTTTAAAGTTGGTATCATATGCAAATATACTGGGATTTGATTAGGGTTTCACTGAATTTAAGAGATTAATCTGGAGACAAACTAAACATTTTTACATTATGGAAGTCTTCCCATTCAGACACTGGCACATCTTTCCATTTAAAGTTTTCTTATATGCCCTATGGTAAGGGTACCCAACCTTTTGGCTTCCCTGGGCCATATTGAAAGAACTGTCTTGGGCCACACATAAAATACACTAACACTAATGATAACTGATGAGCTAACAACAACTAAAATCCAAAAAAAAAATCTCACAATGTTTTAAGAAGGTTTACAAATTTGTGTTGAGCCACACTCAAAAGACCTCCTAGGCAGCACGGGACCTGCGGGCCGCGGATTGGACAAGCTTGCCCTATGGTATTGTGTTGGGTTTTTTTTCTGTTTTTTGTTTTGTTTTTTGGTGTTTTTTTTTTTTTTTTTTTGAGATGGAGTTTCGCTCTGTCACCCAGCCTGGAGTGCAGTGGCATGATCTTGGATCACTGCAACCTCTGCCTCCCGGGTTCAGGCAATTCTTCTGCCTCAGCCTCTCAAGTAGCTGGGACTACAGGCGCACACCACCACGCCCTGCTAATTTTTGTACTTTCAGTAGAAACGGGGTTTCACCATGTTGGCCAGGCTGGTCTTGAACTCTTGACCTCAGGAGATCCACCTGCCTTGGCCTCCCAAAGTGCTGGGATTACAGGCAGAAACCACCACGCCCGGCCCCTCTATGGTACTGTTTTATAGTTTCCTTCATTAAAGTCTTGCATACTTCCTGTTATAGTTATTCCTATTTCTTACAAGAATAAAATGGATTTCTCCATTACATGAAAAAATTTATATAGCAAACAAAGATACCATAAATATATATACTTGTAGCTGGGCGCAGTGGCTAATGCCTGTAATCTCAGCACTTTGGGAGGCTGAGGTGGGCGGATCACCTGAGGTCAGGAGTTTGAGACTAGCCTGGCCAACACAGTGAAACCCCATCTCTACTAAAAATACAAAACTTAGCCAAGCCTGGTGGCGGGCACCTGTAATCCCAGCTACTCGGGAGGCTGAGGCAGGAGAATCGCTTGAACCCTGGAGGTAGAGGTTGCAGTGAGCCGAGATCGCACCACTGCACTCCAGCCTGGGTGATAAGAGCGAGACTCCATCTCAAAAAAAAAACAAAAAAACATATATACATATATATATCTATATATGTATATATATAATTTGTAACAGCTATAACAAAAAATCGATACTTGTACTTCAGAGGGAACACATTAAATTTAGCTATTTGATAATATACAGTGTTGGGAAGAATGTGGAAGAAGTGGTGGAAATGCAGTTGGTATAGAAGAATAACGGAGGGCAATTTGGCAGTTATCTATTAAAATATATAATATGCATATACTCTGACTCAGGAATTCCTATTCTCAGAATCTTCCCTATAGAAAACACTCATAAATCTGAAGAAAATGCAAGTATATTCCTTGCAGCATTATCTACAATAGCAAAAAATTGGAAACAGACTGTCCATCAAAAGAATGTCTAAGCTGTATTATATCCATGCCATTAAATACTTCACGACAGTTAAAATGGAGATCTTTCTGTATTAACTCTTAAAGACAGCTAAGACATACCACTAAGTGAAAAAAAAAATTGCAAAAAGATATTTATACTATACATGTTTTTAAAAGGCATACACAAGATTACTAGATAATTCTTAAGGGTAAATGTAATACATACTAAAGTGATATTCTTAACCTTTGCAGAATGGAGACAGGGACCAGAAAACCAAAGACAGATAACATAAATTATGTATTCACATTGCTTACAATTTAGCCACAAATCTGTTGAACATATCTCTATTAGATACCTAAAACAAAGGTAGTCTGGCTTTAGAAAATGATAGGAACCATTTAATTCATGTACTCAGCTACTAAAAATCCATTCAAGGGTTATGACAGAGTCTAAACAAAAATCCCTTTGATCTAATAAATACATGAATAAATCAATTATTTCATTCAGGGATCTCTAGGGTGTAGAATTTCTAGAGGTAAGAAATAATTTCTTCTCTCCTATAGGACCAAAATTTAACTACAAGGTACTTTCAAGTAATTTTAACTTTCTTTGGGGATCTCATCCATTCCCATGATTTAAAATAATACCCTAATACCCCTAAACTCCTTAATTTATCTCAATCAAGATGTTTCAAAACGCCAAACTGCCTACTCTCTACATCTAGTTTTTTTTTTAACTTGCTCTATCCCCTTTTATCTGTACCTCTTCCAGTTTTTGCCATTTCACGATGTTTTATGTCTAGTGACTCAATAATAGAAATCTGGAGATCATTCTTAATTTTTTCTCCTTTCTTCCCCTACAGCCTGCAATCATCAAATGCTTTTCCTACTTCCAAAATAAATCTCGAAATTGTCCACTTTTACCCATCTCTACTACTATCCTTCTTGCCTGAGAAGTCCACCATTTTTCTGCTGGAATACTGATATTACTTACTATATTCCCCAGAATATCTAAAGAACTTCTTAAAAATGAATCGGCTGGGCATGGTGACTCATGCCTGTAATCCCAACACCTTGTGAGGCTGAGGCGGGTGGATCACCTGAGATCAGGAGTTCGAGACCAGCCTGACCAACATGGAGAAACCCCGTCTCTACTAAAACTACAAAATTAACCTGGTGTGGTGGCACATGTCTGTAATCCCAGCTACTTGGGAGGCTGAGATAGGAGATTAGCTTCAACCCCGGAGGCAGAGGTGGTGGTGAGCCGAGATCACACCACTGTACTCCAGCCTGGGCAACAAGAGTGAAACTCCATCTCAAGGAAAAAAAAAAAAAAAAAAAAATATATATATATATATATACACACACACACACACATATATATAAACTAAAAATGAAATCAGACTACAACATTCACTTCTTACGTGGCTTTTCAGTATACTTAGGAGAAAGCCTACAATTCTTCCCCTTACCTGTATGTAATATTTCCGTCTGCTTTGATCCCTACCTACAATCTAGGTTCACTTTCAGCCCTACTCTTCCCCACCTTGCTCATTAAGCTTCAGCTAAACTAAACTAAGCCTTCTTTCAGGCTGTGGAAGAGTTCAAGCTCCTCATCTCAGGATCTTCCTCTGCCTGAAAAGACTCCTTTTCACGCTTCCGTCTATTCTCTGCTTAAATGTCTCTCTTTCAAAGAAAAGATCCTCCTGCATCAAACACTCCACTAATCCATCGCTGGTCTCAACTAGGTGTCTCCTGCTACAATCTCAGATCATACTCATTTCCTCAGCTGCATTTATCCAATTTGTAGTTATGTTTGTTGATTTGTAATCTGTAACCCCCAGAAGACTGCAAGGTCCATGAGGGAAAAGACCTATGCTCTTATTGCCTTACTATAACCTTGAACTTAATAAAAGCCTGGCCAATAAATATTTACTGAATGAATATTTTTCTTTAACAAATAACCTTTCTGAGAGGATGCCCTTTTTTTTTTTTTTTTTTTTTTGGTTTGGGGTTTTTTCACTCCTCCCTGACCCACACTGAATTCTGGCTCTCTCTCTTCTTGTGTGCATAGGACAATCACTTCACCCCCAAGCCCATTTCCCTGTTAAAAATGGAAAATTAGAATAACTTCCTCAAAAGATGAAACAAGCTAAAATATAATTTATCTCTATCCTTTGTCTTTGGTCCTAATTTTTTTTACTTCTATATTCATCTGCGTAATTACAGTTAGTAACATGACCTGATTTTAGTCCCTAATGAAAGGTTATCATACCCTATCCCTGTGATCCCCTTTACCAAAGAAGGTAAATAAACCCATACTTCCTTCTCCAAACATAGTTTAAAAACTACAACAGCATAAATAAACTTCAACTACACACGTTAATTTGGAAACAAATCATCAAACATTCATTTATTCTTATGACCACTTGTTGGTGTTCCAAATCTATGATCTAGTGTAATGACTGTTTTTGATAACAAATTTTCCATAATGTTTAAACAGATGGAGTAGAGGGCTTTTAAAAAAACATTACCTTCTTTACGTGACTTCAAATGTTCCATGATTAAGACCTCATCTAACCTAAAGAAACAACAATACTTGCATCAATAAGCAAATGAGACCAGAGATCCAATAAGGTAGACTTCAGGTACTAAGAATCTATTTCTCTAATACAGACTATTACTAAGTAAAAATCTCTTGCCTCTGTTTCATAAGACTCAAAACTCTTTTTTAACCAGCATTTTTTTCTTGAGATGTTCAAATGTTTCAGATTGCTTTAAAAAAGAAAAAAAAAAAGTCAAAGGAATACAGAGCATAGAGTATCAGAATTTCCTTATTAGACAAATTTCAGAAAATAAAAAATCTTATCACTTACAATTCAATAGCTTTTTATTTTTTAAATTATCTAGTAAATAAAGTGAGCCTGAAGCAAAGAAGGCAACCCTCAATAAATCTTAACTAAAGAAAGCAGTCCTCAGTAAGTCTTATTTTGCTGATCTCTTTTATTCAATCCCTTCCTTCATATCTTGAGTTATACTTTTGCCTCTGAATTTCATCATACATCTAACACAATAACTACCAATTATGAAAAACATGCTTGACAGCACTCTCATCACAAGTTCCTTGAAAAGACCTTATACTATATTACGACCCCACTTTGCAGTTGAGTAAATTACTCTGTACAATCAAGTAAATCTCCTACGGCACACAGCTGTAGGTGGCACATGCAAAGTTTGTACCTAAAAAGTCCACATACCTTTCATTATACCACATTATCTTCCCATCAGCTAGAACTAAGACTAGTGAACTGGCCTAATAAACTGATCACTAGAATTCAAACAATCAGCTAAAGACTTCTGCAACATAAGGATAGGGAACGGAAAATAAGGATGTCAGACTGCGATGAATACGTCCATTGTTGATAGTAACAGTATATATGCAAATTATTAGTGTGATGACCAGGTGGAAAAATCATAAGAATACATTTTAAAGTTTAAACACTGGGTCTCAAGGGGAATGGAATTATGCAGGAACTCTCATTTTCTATGTCACATATATTTCTTACTGCATAAAGATATTAAGGGAATGTTTTGTTTTTATAACCAAAATATTCTTTAAGAAGTGTCCTTTGTGATATGCATATAATTATTCATTTCTGTTTATTACCTATTACACTTTGTTTATATTTACTCATTTATATGACTACCTCTCTGAACTGAACAGTGAGAACTTACATGAAAAACACACATAACACACTTCCTACTTGATTTTTTCTTTTTAAAAGGGTTTTTAAGTCCAGGCTTAATTTTTATTTTGTTTCACATGCCAACAGAAATTTCTCAAGTTTTTGCAAAATGAGCAATGTCATCAGACTGAGCTTTAGGAAAAATTAATCTGGCTACAATGGAGTCAAGAATAGGAAGAAACTGCCTTGTAAATAATTCCGTTTTCTAACAGACTAAGGTGAAAGTTAAAAGCATAGTAAGAGCTAAAGATGACAGTAAAGGACACTTAAAGGTCTCAACATTAGTCTAGTGAGGGGAGGTCTGGTGCGGTGGCTCACGCCTGTAATCCCAGCACTTTGGGAGGCCAAGGTGGGCAGATCACCTGAGGTCAGGAGTTCGAGACCAGCCTAGCTAACATGGTTAAACCCCATTTCTACTAAAAATACAAAAAAATTAGCCAGGGACAGTGGCGCGCACCTGTAATCCCAGTGCACCTGTAGTCCCAGCTACTCGGGAGGTTGAGGCAGGAGAATCGCTTGAACCCGGGAGGCGGAGGTTGCAGTGGACCGAGATCACACCATTGCGCTCCAGCTTGAGCAAGAAGAGCAAAACTCTGGCTCAAAAAAAGGAAAGTCTAGCGAGGGGAAGTGAAGGAGGTGGTCATAACTATGAGACCACATTAAGCCCCAGAAGCAAAAATTTTAAATGTTACAGAATTAAGACAAAAAGAAGCAGTTAAAAGATTTGGCAATTAGGTCACTAGCGACCTCAGAAGAGATTTGTTATAGTGTTGACAGTGCAGATCAGACAGTGGATTTCTTTCTAAAAGTATAGGGAAAAGAAGAAATCGTTAGAAAAAGATGCAGAGATTCTGGAGGATAAAGCATTTTTATCTCGATGGAGGATAAAGCACTGCAGACTAATGAAAAAGCCAGAAGAGGGAAGTCGGTGAAGAGAAACATAGAAATTCTTCTAGTCATTACCAGATAAGCACACACTAAGTTTACCATACCAGGTGGTGGCAGCAAATTCATTATGTTTGGTCCATATAAACAGACAGTTTAAGAATTGCAGCTGCTATTAACTGAGCACCTACTATTGGCCAGCTGCATACCCTGTATTATTTTTAGTCCTCACCTCAACAATCTCAGGAAACCAGGCATTACCATACTCATTTGTTAACTGACTGAACTACAGCTCAGATGTTACATGACTTGCCTGATATCGCAAACTGGTAAATACTGGAGCAAAATTGTTTTTAATAGTTATATTAAAGCATAATGTACGTGTAGTAAAATTTACTTATTTTAAGTGAAAGATTTGATAAATGTATTAAATGTATATACTTCTGCAACAATCACCACAATCCAGTTTTATATAACACTCTATCACCCCAAAACTCCCTTCATGAGCAGGGCAGATTTAAGCCTGAATCTGTATGACTCCAACTCATGTCATGCTACAATGAGAAAAATGGCTTTTTTTGGCAGAAAATCTGCAAAATTAAGTCGTTACCCTTCCAATCTTCTCTTAGTACTCACTAGTTCCCTTTCCATGTGAGGCCCTCATATATCTCTAGAACCATACTCACATATCATGATCTCACCAAATTCACGAGTTTACTGTAATTTGGAAACATACCCCCTAAAAGGACAGTATAATCAGACTTTTATATAGGATGCTATTACAGATACTGTGCTCTTTTTTTAAAAAAAGCAAAAGGAGTTAGGAAAAGGAAAGACAAATGAACAGGTAAGTCCAGGAGGAAGACTGAATGAAAACAGAAGAGTAAGGTCCTTGAAAAAGGAAAATGTGATATACAAATAAAGAAAACATGAAATAACAGAAGTCAGGAGTCTGTGTCATGGAAGAGAGACTAACTGGAACAGAAGCTTCTCTTCCATAAGCAATGTAAAACCGTACAGAGACATAGGATGGAATGACTTCCTAGGCAGGAGTTAACACTTATTTGGCTAAGAAACAGGACTATACAATAATAAGACAGACAAAAATCAAAATAAAGTGAGACAATATTCATAGTAAAGTTATAAAGCTAAAACTTGTTAAATTTTATAATCATGATTTTCCTATAACTAATTAAAACAAGTGCAAATTTTTCTTTAGGTAAAAAAACAAGCAGGCTGGGCGCGGTGGCTCACGACCATAATCCCAGCACTTTGGGAGGCCAAGGCAGGCAGATCACCTGAGGTCAGGAGTTCAAGACCAGGCTGACCAACATGGAGAAACCCCGTCTATACTAAAAATACAAAATCAGCCCGGCGTGGTGGCACATGCCTGTAATCCCAGCTACGCAGGAGAAACGCTTGAAACCAGGAGGTAGGGGCTGCGGTGAGCCCTGATCACACCATTGCACTCCAACCTAGGCAACAAGAGCAAAACTCTGTATCCAAAAAAAAAAAAAGAATTATAGACATATAAGAATTCAGGCCTGGTGCAGTGGTTCACATCTGTAATCCCAGCACTTTGGGAGGCTTAGGCAGGTAGATAACCTGAGGTCGGGAGTTCAAGACCAGCCTCACCAACATGTAGAAACCCCATCTCTACTAAAAATACAAAATTAGCCAGGCGTGGCGGCTCATGCCTGCAATCCAAGCTACTCAGGAGGCTGAGGCAGGAGAATCACTTGAACCCGGGAGGCGGAGGTTGCGTTGAGCCGAGATTGCACCATTGCACTCCAGCCTGGGCAACAAGAGAGAAACTCTGTCTCAAAACAAAACAAAACAAAACAAAAACAAAAAAAAAAACAAGCAAATATAGAATTATAAATATATAAGAATTCAGGCCTGGTGCGGTGGCTCACACCTGTAATCCCAGCACTTTGGGAGGCCCAGGCAGGTGGATCACCTGAGTTCAGGAGTTCAAAACCAGCTGGCCAACACGGTGAAACCCTGTCTCTATTAAAAATACAAAAATTAGCCAGGTGTGGTGGTGCACACTTGTAATCCCAGCTACACAGGAGGCTGAGGCAGGAGAATTGCTTCAAGTTGAACCCAGGAGGCGGAGGTTGCAGTGAGCTGAGATCATGCCATTGCACTCTGGTCTAGGCAACACAGCAAGACTCCGTCTCAAAAAAAAAAAAAAAAAAAAGAATTCAGATACCATATCAGGGCCAGAAATAATTAAAATGATTAAAATAAGATATGACAAGCCTGGAACGAAAAAAAGTACAAATCTAAACAGGAGGATAAAATAAAATTTTCATTTAACTTATATTTTCACTTCCACCCAAACCTTTCCTTAGTTCTATAGAACTAGAAACACAATTCACTAAGTCTAGATGAAATGCTCTTCCAAGCAGAGCCAAAGAAACTGCTAGCCCATAATTAACAGAACACATATTTTATGACTATCTAATATATAACAGGTGTTGTAATATCCAATTTGTTAAATCAGTCCCCTGATTATTACCCTGAACACTCTGTCTAGTCCAACTTGATATTCCAAGAAACACTATTCTTCCTAGGAAAAAGACATACCTCTTTGAAATGAATGATTATAAAACTGTTCCAGTATTAGAAGAGAAGTCATTTTTTAATGTTAAGTAACAAAACCCAAAAATTTAGTTGTCAATTCTTACACTAGTAAGTCCAGAGATGGTATCCAGGTGACTACGGCAGAGAGTAATATACACATGTATGGCTATAAAGTAAAAAGAATTTGTCTCACTGTATTATAGTCACATTTTACAAACATTATTCTGTCTGCAACTTCTAACTGTGCATCCCAATGTTACTTAGAATAGCTATGTAAGTATTTTTCTTTTTTTTTTTTTATTATACTTTAAGTTTTAGGGTACATGTGCACATTGTGCAGGTTAGTTACATATGTATACATGTGCCATGCTGGTGCGCTGCACCCACTAACTTAAGTATTTTTCTTATCCAACCTAAATGCATGGTTAGAGACAAATAAGTTTAATGCAAGAGTTTTAACAGATCTTTCCCAACATTTGCATATGAAGTTGCAACAATTAGTTATATTCCTAGCAAATTTATCCTGATTACAATTTAACATTAACTTGTAATATAAAAAAACATTTTTATGGATAAATTTTTAAAAACTCTTTAGACTAACTTATAAATTCACAAAAACTAATCTGACCTTGAAATTCACTAGGAACACTTAGAGAGAAAAAAAAAAATCTGGAACCCTCTGAAAAAGAGAGAAAAACCTAATCCTTGGCAGCCTACTGACATTAAAGAGAACGGTCTAAATTAAGAATAAACAAAAACAAGATGATAACTTATACTAATAAAACATAAACGTGCAAAAGTTTTTAAAAACCCAACCTACTGGCTGGGCATGGTGGCTCACGCCTGAAATCCCAACACTTTGGGAGGCCAAGGTGGGAAGATCGCTTGAGTCCAGCAGTTTGAGAGCAGTGTGGACAACAAAGTGGGTCCCTGTCTCTACAAAAAACCGACCTATTAAACATGCATTATCTATTTCTGTGAATAATCACTTTATTTTTTTTTTTATTTTTGAGACGGTCTCTCACTCTATTGCCCAGGCTGGAGTGCAGTGGTGCAATCTTGGCTAACTGCAACCTCCACCTCCCAGTTTCAGGTGATTCTCCTACCTCAGCCTCCTGAGTAGCTGGCATGACGGGTGCCTACCACCATGCCTGACTAATCTTTGTATTTTAGTAGAGACAGGGTTTCACCACATTGGCCAGGCTGGTCTCGAACTCTTGACCTCAGGTGATCCACCCGCCTCAGTCTCCCAAAGCTAAGATTACAGGCGTGAGCCACTGAGCCCGGCCAACCAGTTTACTCTTATGTCATTTCTTGAAATAGCAAACATGAATATTTACAGAACATTAATCAAATCAGTAAAACTAAAACCCAACAGCTATACCCTTCTTTCAAATTAAAGAGCATTGATTTTTCTTAAAATTTATTACTTCTAATTTTCAATGGACTGTTATAAAGTTAAAAATAAAACAGGACTAAGAACAAATCCCAAAGTCATACTAATCAAGTGATTTTGCTAACCTCTCTGCACATCTTTTTAAACTCTTAAAAAGAGTTTAAAAAATGTTTACGAAAATTCATTCTGCAGCTCCACAGAAGTGCTTCAAGTATTGTGTAAAGCTTGATCCAAAAAAAATTAATATATCTTAAATATGCACAAAAACAACAGATATGTTCAAATGTGTTATAATCCAAATTTTAACACATTTTAAAATGACCAACTCATCTTGTTGCCAAGCATTTGGTGATGACCATAAAGACCCTTTTCATATGTCTATTTTAGTAAGAGACATCAAAGACTACGAAGTGATTTGTTTAAAAAACCAGGTTGTAAATATAAAAATGTGCAACTCCAACTACATAAAAAAAAAAATTCTTGCTGGTATACAACCAAAATAAAATATGAAAATAAGCTGCAACTGTTACTCAGATTGCTGCACTCAAATTCATGGATTTATCCAACAGCAATTTTTCTCATTGACAACTTTGTAAGTGTTATATATTGGAGACCTGCATTAGAACTTTTTGATCTGAATACTTCAAAAGTCCTGTTCACTTCTATGCTTTGACAGGAATATAAGAAAATTAACCAACTGAAGTGTTTTTAAAGGAGCAAAACGCAGGGAGTCAAAGCAATTTATTTCTTCCCTAAATTGAAATGCCCTACATAAAATACTATTTGTGAATCCAATGAGAGAAAACACTTGAGTTTGGGCTCTCCTTGCATTCGCTAAAAAAATCACATGCAGGCCGGCACGGTGGCTCACGCCTGTAATCTCAGCACTCTGGAAGGTTGAGGCGGGCAGATCACCGGAGCTCAGGAGTTCGAGACCAGTCTGGCCAACATGGTGAAACCTTGTCTCTACTAAAAATCCCCATCTCTACTAAAAATACAAAACTAGCCAGGTGTAGTGGCACGTGCCTGTAGTCCCAGCTACTTGGGAAGCTGAGGCAGGAGAATGCTTGAACCCTGGAGGCGGAGGCTGCAGTGAGCAGACATCACGCCACTGCACTCCAGCCTGGATGACAGAGACTCTGTCTCAAAAAAAAAAAAAAAAAAATGGCTGGGCAAGGTGGCTTACGCCTGTAATCTCAGCACTTTGGGAGGCTGAGGCAGGCGAATAACTTGAGGCCAGGAGTTCGAGATCAGCCTGACCAACATGGTGAAATCCTGTTTCTACTAAAAATACAAAATTGGTCAGGCACAGTGGCGCATGCCTGTAATCCCAACTACTTGGGAGGCTGAGGCAGGAGAATCACTTGAACCCAGGAGGCAGAGGTTGCAGTGAGCCAAGATCACATCACTGCACTCCAGCCTGGGCAACAAGAGTGAAACTCCATCTCAAAAAAAAAAAAAAAAAAAAAAAAAATATATATATATATATATATCCCATGCAATTTGAATAGCCCAGTCTTCTCATAATCAACGACATTTATTATGATATATATTAATAATATTGTCAAATGGTATAGAGACATATTAATGCTAGAGAGACAGGAAATATAACAATTCTAATTATACCATGCCTTTTGACACCAGGGTTTCAGCATTTCATACCCATTCTTCCCATCACATTAATACCAGAGCATCTGACTGAAGGTAAAGATTCACTTTGTCTCAAATGCATTAATATTAAATTTGTACACTTCTGTACCTCAAACAAGGGCAAAATACAATAAAACTGAAAAAATAAAAACTGTTGTTCAAAGATAATATAAGCTCTATATCCACACAGAAGTTAAAAATGTTCATATGTCAGCATATATGTCATACTTGAGTGATTCAGGATTGTCTCACCACATGAGATACAAAAGCCCAGCCCATGGAAAAGTAGGGACCACTTTATATCTTCCTCCCAACAATTTAAAAGGATAGGTGGGAGGGAACAGATATTAGAAAGGATGCACTAAAGAAATATGCCATAAATATGCAAAGTATTTTTAACTGTCAAAATACTTTGTAAATGGATCTAAAAGCATTTACATATGTTCCTACTGTATAATAAAAGTACTTATTTAGTCAAGGCCAATTAAAAATCATCAGGTTATCTTCATCTTACTGTCTAGCACATAGCAGCATCACTAGTTGCTGTTTTTAAGTAAAGAAATGTTCAACTCTAAGCTAAATCGTTAAGCAAAACAAGAACCATTCTGGTATTACGTAAAAGCAGCACTGCTTTCCGTTAGTATACATATGTTGACATTACAGAAAAGTACTGATTTTGCATTTTTTATGTTCCTCATCTCCAAATATCTACTAAACACAACCAATTATCAAGCTTCCCCTATCAACATAACTAAGAACAAAGAAAAAAAATCCTAGAAAGATAAATCTTTTGTGAAAATATGTGGCGATAAGCATCATCCATCTATTTGAAAGATCTAACCCTTGATTCATTATTGAATGATCTGATGCCTGAGATGAACTTCAAACTCATTAGAGATGTTATATTCATTCAAGTTAGCAATATTTAGAAAACAATTACAGACTGTAAATTGTACAGACATATTGAAAAAGAGACTATGTTAATTCTGATCCAAACAGCCCGTTAGTTTTGAAACAAGGCAGTATAAAAATCTAATTGATAACTGTGGTTATCAACATCACTGGGTTTTCGTGATAATTAAATTACTTAACACATGTTAAAAACTAGTGTGGGCACGTATTGATAATTTTAGAATGTGAATGATGGGTACATGGAGGTTCAGTACACTATTCTTACTAGTAAAATTTAAAGTTTCCATAATAAACTTAAAAAAAAAAAAAAAACCTTAGAATTGGGCTAGCATACAATAAGGGCTCAATACACGCCATAGGTATTACCCTGTGGGCTACTTGCTAAGATTAAAGGAAAGTGTCCTGGACTGTGCCTAGAACGGTGTATATTTAATGTAAGTTACTATTCTCACATCATCCTTCACAATGTATATTCAGCAAATGCTTATCAATTCACTATTTTTTGAACCATGTGGACTGAATACTTAAGCGTAAATAACTCATCTCTGACTCTGACAGAGATCTACAAGTTACCACATCAACTGTCAATGGGCTCCAGAGACATAATGTGTCCAGAGTGCTGACTTCAGATACTTTTAGTTTCAATTGCCTGAAGGAAAATATGACTGGCTATCTTCATCTTCCTCTCTAGCACATTACATAGTTGCCTTAAAACCAACAAATTAAATAATTCTCTGGTAACACATTCAAAAATGATCGTTAAGTTAAAGATGATCAACATGGAAGATGGGGAACGAAGAAATTAACTAGATCAGTACACTGGACTGATCAGCATACTACTTGGTGAACAAGATAGTACTAGAGGAGTTGACTCCCTTTCCTAAGCAAATACATGAAAAAGATCTAGCAACTCATGAGCCATAAGTGTCAAAATATGTGTTTCCAGCAGACATAAACAAAAATATAAATGATTATTTCTATGTTTCCAATTCCTTCAATCAATTAGCCATTGTTTAAGGAAGAAAAAATGTTCAGGTTGCATGCACAGCATTCAACAAGAAATAACTTTAATTCCCATTTTGGAACTCTAGAGGGCACCAGAAATATGCCCTCCTTCGCACCACCCCTCCTCCCGGGTAACGTGAGCAGCTGCAGAAGCCCGTCGTCTGGTTGCTGAGGTTGGTATTGCAGCAGCAGGAGCGATGTCTGCAGCGGTGGAAACAGCAGCGCCCACTCCCAGCTGCCTCACCAGCCATTACCCAGGCTTCGCCCTGGGGGCAGCTGCCACCCAAGGGAAAGCTCCTCCCCCTCAAAACAACGGGGAGGGCCAGGTCCCATAGCTTAACCCCTACAACCTGACAATGTCCTCTATTAGCAACAAATTAGGGGCAAAGGACTCACAATGGGGGTGTTTTCCTCCTCACTTTCTGCCAAGGATGCACCAGACAGGGCTGAAGGCGATTCTTGGTCCTGGGATAGGAGGAAAAAAGAAAAATGTATCAAAAACACACAACCTGGTGGGAGAACCCAACCCTTTCTGCCAGAAGGAGGCAGAGAAGGGAATAAGAGGTCAAGGAGGTTCGGTCCTTCTATTATTACCCCCACCATGCGCACAACAGCCCCCTCCTGCGTAAGTGGGGCAAAACAGCGCAAAATACATATTTGGGGCCAAAACCCATGTGAAAGGCAAAATCTGGAAGGGAGGGGGCCTAAGGACACCGAGCCTGCTCCCGGGAAGGGAGGGGGGAAGGGAAAACGTTGCCTCGACGCCAGCAAGGGATTTGTATTCCCTCCTAAATTTGCCCACCCAGCGTCATCCCCGTCACTCCAAGTACCAATTCAGAGGTAAGGGGCGGCTCACGTCACTGCTGGGCCGATATCGCCCACATTTGCCCCAAGCAGTTGCCCTGGGCCTGAGGTTTGCCCCCCCCTGCAGTCGGCGACCGGCAGCGCTGCCTCCCCGTCCGCCATTAGAGACCCAGCCAAACAATACGTGCGGAGCAAGAGCCGCGCAGCGCAGCGCCGAGGAAAAGAAGAGCGAAGGAGGGGACCCGGCGGAGCAGAGGCAGCAGCCCTCACCCCGAAAAACTTGGGGACCTCGGCTCCGGTGGACAGGGTGGGAGCGCTGCCCCGAGAGCGGAGACCCAGCCGGGGCGCCCCTCCCCCGCCCCCCGCCGGAGAGAAAGGAAAATGCCCCGCGACCTCCCCGGGCGGCCGGCACCCCCGCCCCGCCGTCCCGCCGTCCCGCCGCCCCGCCGGCCCCGCGACCCCCGCCGCTGGCGGCCGCCTCACCCAGCCCTCCCGGCCTCGCCCGCACTCTCCCAGCCCCTCGGGCCGCACGCAAAGGCGCCTGTGACATGAGCGCAGCCCCGAGCTGCCCCCGAGGCCCCGACGCGGCAGCGGCGACGGCGGCCGCGCCGCGGGGTATTAATCCCGGGTCGGTGGGAGGCTCCGGAGGCTGCCCTCACCCATCTCCGCCTCCCTAGTCGCCTCCGCCTCCGCCTCCTCCTCCGGAGGCTGCGCTGCTCCCAGCCACCCCCACTCTCGGCGGCCCTGGACTGGAAAGACAGCGGGGATAAGCCTCACCCGGTTCTGGCTGGGGCTCCGCGGAACGAACCTCCCCTCCCCCGGCCCACCCCCCTTCGGCGACACGCACAACTCCGCTCGGTCCAGTCCCGGCTTTAGCGCTGGTGAGGAGGAGGAGGCGGAGGAGGCGGCGGCGCGGCCGAGCCCGGGGAGGCCCCGCCCTCCGCGCGCTCATTGGCTGACGGGGAAGGCTGGCCGGAGCGCTTCGGGCACGCCCATTGGCTCCGACGGCCGTCCTTCAGGGCCCCCCCTCGGTAGGGTGGTCCGAAGGGCTGTCCGTCAGGTGCGGGCCACTCCCCCGGCCCTGCCGTTCCACTCCCGCCTCCGCCGGCCCTCGACTCCTGGCCGGGTCCCCTCCCCGCCGGTCCCCCGCCCCCACCCACCGGGTCTGCCAGGGTCAGGAGCCCGAGATTCGCTGCCCGCCGTACCGAACCCGCTTCGGCTCCTCGGGGCCCGGGGCTCTCCGGGACCTACACAGCCCGGGAGACTCCGGCGGGGCCGCCTGCCCTCGCCCGAGCCCGGGCGCCCAGGCCGCGGCAGCGGCTCCCAACGCCTCTGCCCGAGGAGAGCCGCGGCCTCGATGCCCCAACGCCCTCCCTGTCCAGTTGCTTGAAGGCCCCTGCGAGGGGCGAGGCCGGGGAGGCGCTGGAGCGGGTCCGAGTGGGCTTTCGGGACCGCGGGTGAACTGGAATCCCGACCGCGCTGGGGGCAGTGGAGGCCCTTCCACCCTCGCCGCGCCCCGTGGGGAATAGTCCCCCACCTCCCGCCATGGCTGCAGCAGGAGGAGACGACGTCCTCCATTTTGTCGGAACGACTGTGGGAACTTGGGACCCCCTAAAAACCAAACCCCGTGGGGCCGGGAAACTTGTCCTCGGGAAGCCCCAACTGGACTCTGCCATTCGGCCAAGGGAACAACCCCGGCTGCTGGCGTCTGCGTCCGCGGGGCCACAGGGGACGGGCACGACGGTGGAGAGACCCAGACGCAGCTCCCCGCCTCCATCAACCAAGATGGAGGGAGCTGCGGGCTCCCCTGGAGCTGGGCTCCCACCGGTTGGAGGGGCTGAGGCCTGCCCTGGGGCGTCCTTGGGCGCCGCCGTCCTGTGCTCCGCAGCCCGGGGCGCTGGCCCTGCCCAGGCCTCTCTACCGCCTGCCACCGTCTCCTGGTCCTCAATGGTTGATGGAGACTCCATGGAGGCTCCCTCCACAGCCCGCTGCATCGCGGGGCGCACTCGCTGCGGCCGCCGGGGGGAGCGGAGTCAGGGACAGACGACGACAGGCGCCCGAGGAGGGCGGGCCCCACAGGCCACCTCCACGAGGGGTCTTCTCTTTTGTTCCTCGTCTACACCTACGTCTTCGGCGGACGTCATGGTGCTGAACCATTTCCAAGACTCACGTAAAGATGGAAGCGATGTCGCTTTCGTCTCGCCCTGGCGGTTCTTAGTGGGATTACAACTGAGGATGTTGGTTATTTTCCCACCCAAATGGATGGGCGACTTCTCAATTTCACGATTATCTGACACCATTGCCTATTAATAAACATATATGATAATACAGTTTCAAGTTCAACACAATATTGATGAACATGAAGTTTTTAGTGAGGTTAATCACCCGTGAAAGACTGATGTGTAAACTAATAGACGCAACTTACAGAGGATAATCTAGTAGAAGTTGAATTCATTCACTCATTAAAAAAAATAAATCAAGTAGGCTTTCCACCTTGTACTAAATACCTTGAATACACTGTTCTCTTTTATTGAAAAAAATTAATAAAATGTACTTGAACCAGCTTTTCAAAAAGTATCACTAATTTTTAGGAAACTTTGTAACTAAAATTTTTTAGTTTTAAATACACTAAAATAGCCTCTTAAGATTTCATATTACACAGTACTGGTTTAGACTGAAAAACTATCATCACAACAGAAACATCACAACAAAAACAGCCACTATCATCAAAACAAACATCCTCTACTACCAAATTGTAATAATTTGGTGAAAACTTACATCATTCCTTTTCTGCTGCCAGGTCCTATTGAAGTAGCTTCAGCTCATTGAATTTACATTTAGAAGACTAAAGTAGACTAATACTTCCAAATAAGCTCTGTGATAAATGATAGATTGGGTTGCCACGTACTGTTCAGTTGGAGCTCTATACTGCTACTAATTCCCTAGTGTTATTGCTGTTTTATATAACTAATGAGCAACTGTGCTAATTATAGTATTTATTATTTACTTTTTAAATTCATTCAGGTACATCTGTCCATGCAACTGTTCATTGGTTTGCTGGTCTGATATCAGGGAGAATTTTTCGTTGAGAATTTAGAACTGGGAAGAAAGTATTTGTCATAATGTTAAAAAGCAGACAATTTTACATAAAAGTAATTTTAAAAATAAATGTTTGAATGTTCATAACAGCATTATTCATAATTTCCAACATCCCTGAAATGTCCATCAACTGATGAATGGATAAACAAAATGTGGTACATCCATACAATGGAATATTATTCAGACCTAAAGAGGAGTGAAGTTCTGATATACACTACAACATGGACAAACCTTAAAGACATTATGCTAAGTGAATAAACAAGACACAAAAGACCACTGAATATTTTATTCCATTTACGAGAAATGTCTATAATAGGCAAATCTGTAGAGACAGAAAGTAGATTACTGGTTGCCCAGAACTGGAGAAGTGGGGAGTAGAAAATGGTAGCTAAAAGTTACGAGGTTTTTTAATGGAGTGACTCAAGTGTTCTAAAATTGACTGAAATGATTGCACAACTGTGAATGTGCTAAAAACCTCTGAACAGCATACCTTAAATGTGTGAATTGCATGATATGTCAATTATATCTCAATAAATCCACAACTAAAACTGTGTGTGTGTGTATTAATCTATTCTGTACCTGTCAAAAAGCATACCAGACATCCAAGAGGCAGCTGCAAGACGTGAGCAAAAGACTTGTATTTCAAATATCTGGCCACTCAAAACCTCAGAAACTTACCTTCTCTCTGAGTCCATTTCCTTATTTGTAAAGTAAAGTAATAAACAGTTGTTGTGGCTGGGCATGGTGGCACCCGCCTGTAGTACCAGCTACTCAGGAGGCTGAGGCAGGAGAATCGCTTGAACCCAGGAGGCGGAGGTTGCAGTGAGCCGAGAGCGCACCACTGCACTCCAGCCTGGGCAACAGAGCAAGACTCCATCTCAAAAAAAAAGAGTTGTTATAAGGACCAAGTAACTTCTGTGAAAGTGATATAAAAGTGTTAGGTTTAATTGCATTTCGAAGACCAAGAGCTCACCGTTAATTGAGATGTAGTAAAACTGACTCTGAGCACAGCTTAAAGAGCCAGACTGCCCCCATCTGAATTCTGGCATTACCCACAACTAGCAACTAGCTAGATGCTTTTAGTCATGTGTAAGCTTCTCTAAGCCTCTGATCGTTTCATCATGTGTGAAATGTAGATAATAATTCCTCTTTCATAGAGTTTTTTAGGGGGTGAAACGAGCATACATGTATAAAACTTGCACCTTGCACCTCACTTAATATAGACCTCAGTAAATTTTAGTTGTTTTTATCATTCATACTTGACTCAATGAAATATTAGAAAAAAATTATAATATTCTACTAGGACCATATTGATATCTCTACCACCAATACTATGCTACCGCATAATCCAAATAATAATAATAATAATAATAATAATAATTGCAGTAACTAAATCAAGTAGTCTTGGGGCCGGGCGCAGTGGCTCATGTCTGTAATCCCAGCACTTTGGGAGGCCAAGGCAGGTGGATCACTTGAGATCGGGAGTTTGAGACCATCCTGGCCAACATGGTAAAACCCCATCTCTACCAAAAAATACAAAAACTAGCCGGGCAGCGTGGTGCATGCTTGTAGTCCCAGCTACTCAGGAGGCTAAGGTGGGAGAGTTGCTTGAACCCGGCAGGCAGAGGTTGTATTGAGCTAAGATTGTGTCACTGCACTCCAGCCTGGGCAAAGAGTGAGACCCTGTCTCAAAAAGAAAAAAAAAACAACAATATTTTAACAATGGAAACACTGAAGAAAATTTTCTATGAAAGAAGGAACAAAGACTGAAACAAGTTTAATATTACTTATTGATATATAAACATAGTACTCCTGGGTAGGATGCTTCTCATAGGATTCAAAAATAAGAATTTTAAATAAAAATTGTTAGTTTTAAGTTGACATTTATAATTTGCTTATACTGAATGATGTTTGGTATTATAGCAACCAAAAATCCATAATTTTGCTTTATTGTTGTGGAGAAAGGGTGAAGTTCCTTGGCCCTAGGATTCTTGGCTCCAGAATCCATGCTATTAACCACCTCATTATACAGCCTCTCTAGATAGCTTTCTCTTCATTCTTAAATTTTAACTCTTAAACATGTCATCTTAAAAAATTTTAAACAGGCCAGGCGCGGTGGCTCATGCCTGTAATCCCAGCACTTTGGGAGGCCGAGGCGGGCGGATCACAAGGTCAGGAGATCGAGACCACGGTGAAACCCCGTCTCTACTAAAAATACAAAAAATTAGCCAGGCATGGTGGTGGGCGCCTGTAGTCCCAGCTACTTGGGAGGCTGAGGCAGGAGGATGACGTGAACCCGGAAGGCGGAGCTTGCAGTGAGCCGAGATTGTGCCACCGCACTCCAGCCTGGGCGACAGAGTGAGACTCCGTCTAAAAAAAAAAAAAAAAAAAAATTAAACATAGCACTAAATAATGCATTTTAGATCAGTGGCTTATAAACTTTTTTTTGACCATGACAACCACTGGGATATGCATTGTACATCAGCACCCGGTACAAACGCCTACTAGGTACATGACTATATAACTGAAACACAGGATTCATGGAATAATTATCTTTCACTGTCTTAGATGCATTTTAATATTATCCATTCTAGTATATTTAAATCTAGTCTATACAGTTTTAGCCCTTCTTTTTAAATAAATAAATAATAGTTGCAACACACCAAGTTCATTTCATGGTTTACAAACTGTGGTTTGAAAAATATTACTCTGGAGAAAGCAAGTCATGGACAAATTTAAGTTCTAAATCAGCTGGAAAAACACAAGATGATATCAGAAACTGAGAGTAATCTCAAATGAACCATAGGTGGAATTTTTTTTTTTTTTTTTTTTTTTTTGAGACAGAGTCTTGCTCTGTCGCCAGGCTGGAGTGCAGTGGTGCAATCTCAGCTCACTGCAACCTCTGCCTCCTGGATTTAAGCAATTCTTCTGCCTCAGCCTCCTGAGTAGCTGGGACTACAGGCAAGCGCCACCACGCCCAGCTAATTTTTGTGTTCTTTAGCAGAGACAGGGTTTCACCATGTTGGCCAGGATGGTCTCGATCTCTTGACCTCGTGATCCACCCGCCTCAGCCTCCCAAAGTGCTCGGATTACAGGCGTGAGCCACCGTGCCCAGCCTATAGGTTGAAATTTTAAAAATAGAGATTTAAGTTGCCATTCTTTCTAAATATATGAAATACTTATTCTTTCCTATCAACATGTTTTACACTTTATGAAAGAGTAATGAAGCTTATTAACAATGCCTGGAAAAGTATGCAGAGGTGAAGTTAATGCTAATTCCACTACTTGTTAGCTTTGTGACTGTCTTAGTTCATTTAGTGCTTCTACAACAGAATACCTAAGACTGGGTAATTTATCAATAACAGAAATTTACTGACTCACCATTCTGGAGGCAGGGAAGTCCAATATCAAGGTGCTGGCATCTGTCATGGGCCTTCTTGCTATGTCATAACATCAAGGAAAGCATCACATGTCTGAAAGGCTGAGAGAGGATGAGAGTAAGAGCAAGAAGGGACAAGCCCAGTCCTACAATAAGGAAACCTACTTCCCTGATGATAACATTAATCTATTCATGAGGGCTCACATCTCTTAAAGGTCTCACTTCTTGATACCATCACAATAGCAATTACATTTCAACATGAGCTGTGGAGGGGACAAATATTCAAACCATAGTAGTGACCCTCCACTTTTTGAGCCTCAGTTTCTTCAGTGAACTGAGGGAATTGTACATCCTAGACCCTTAAAGGAAAATCCCTTCTTCTCTCCTTATAATCTTCTCATCCTTTGGGATCCCAATGCCTCCAACCAACCCCATATCATTTTTCCAGTTTATTGTAAATATTCCTTTCCTCTGAGTTCCTGTGGCTTTATTATTGAGTAATAAAAAGTGTTTGCAACTATAGTCTTAACAAAGATTGCCCTTCACTCTTCCTTACCAGTTCACATTGGAATAAGGGTCCCATCATGTTTCTCTTTTTAAATCAAATGTATTTATTTTAATTGGCAAAAAATTGAATATATTTAGTGTATACAACATGATGTTTTGAAATATATATACATTGTGCAGTGACTAAATAATATAGGCACAACCTCACATACTTATTATTTTTTGTGGTAGAAACACTTAAAATCTACTCTCGGCTATTTTCAATAATACAATATACTGTTATTGATTTTAAACACCATGTTGCACAATATGGTGTACAGTCTCTTGAACTTCCTCCTATGTAGCTAAAACTTCTATCTTTTGACCCATATCCTCTAAATTCCACCAAACTCTCATGCCACCACCCCAGCCCCTGGTAATCACCATTCTATGCTCTGCTTCTATGAGTTCAACTTGTTTAAGATTCCATATGTGAGATTATGTGGTATTTGTCTTTCTGTGCCTGGCTTATTTCATTTAACATAATGTCCTTCAGGTTCATCCATGTTGTCACAAACAACAGGATTTTCTTCTTTTTAAGGCTGAATAATATTCCGTTGTGTATATATGCCACATTTTCTTTATCCATTCATCTGTTGATGGACACTTACATATACTCCATATCCTGGCTATTGTGAATAATACTGCAATGAACATGAGAGTGTAGGCACCACCTGAAGGAACTGATTTCATTTCCTTTGGGTATATACTCACTAGCGGGATTACTGGATCACATGGTAGTCAATTTTTTTATTTTTTGAGAAACCATCATACTGTTTTCCATCATCGCTGTATTAATTTACATTCCTAGCAACAGTGTGCAAGGGTTCCCTTTCTTCCACATCATTAACAGCATGTGTATTCTTTTGTCTGTCTTATTGTATTTTATTTTTGAGATAGAGTCTAGCTCTGTCACCCAGGCTGGTGTGCAGTGGCCCCATCTCAGCTCACTGCAACACCCACCTCCCAGGTTCAAGCGATCCTCCTGCCTCAATCTCTTGAGTAGCTGGAATTACATGCGCACACCACGACCCCCGGTAAATTTTTTTTTTTTTTTTTTTTTTTTTAGTAGAGATGGGGTTTCACCGTGTTGACCAGGCTGGTCTCGAGCTCCTGACTTCAACTAATCCACCTGCCTCAGCCTCCCAAAGCGCTGGGATTACAGGAGTAAGCCACCGCATCTGGCCCGTTTGCCTATTTTTAAATCAGGTTGCTTTCTTCCTATTGAGTTATTTGAGTTCCTATTGTGGATAGTAACCTCTTATCAGACATATGGTTTGTAAATAAAGTCTCTCATTTCATAGGTTGTCTCTTCACTCTGTTGATTGTTTCCTTTACGATACAGAAGCTTTTTAATGTATCTCATTTGTCTGCTTTTGCTGTTGGTACCTGTGCTTTCTTGTTATTCATTTATCTCCCAGGCATCATAGCCCACCAAGTTCCATCTAAGCTTTAGAGCGTGGGTGTCCAATCTTTTGGCTTCCCTGGCCCACACTGGAAGAATTATTGTCTTGGGCCACACATAAAATACACTAATGATAACTGACGAGCCAAAATAAATAAATTAAAAAATCACACACAAAAAAATCTTACGTTTTAAGAAAGTTTACAAAATTTGTGTTGGACCACATGCATTCAAAGCCATTCTGGGCTACATGCCACCTCCTGGCCACTGGTTGGACAAGCTTGCTTTAGAGGTACTCACTGCAAAACAGAAGCAAATTTTAAAGGGAAAGATTAGATTATTTCCAAGATCCTTCCCATCAATAAATTCTATGATTTTATAAAATAATAAGCTGAAAGGACTCCTTATATTGTCAACCGTTATTTAGTGAATTTCTGTACTGAGTAGTGTTAAAACCAAAACTTTAGACAAATTAAATTTAACAGTTTAATTGAGCAAAGAATGATTTGCTAATTGGGCAGGACCCGGAACCAGAAGAGGTTCAGAACGACTTTGCAGCTGCTACGTGGTCAGAGAGGATTATGGGTAGAAAAAGTAAAGTTAAAGAAAACAGAAATGAGGCCCAGAAACATCCTGATTGGTTAGAGCTTAGCGTTTGCCTTATTTGAACATGGTTTGAAGAGCTGGCCGCCTATGACTGGCCAAAACTCCGTGACTAGTACAAAAAATAGGTTACATTCTGTTTACATATCCAGTTGGGTTGCAGTTCACCCTGTAAGGGGAAACTTTTAGGCCAAACTTAAAATATGTAAGCAGGTGGTTTTCGGCTAAACTTAATTTACCAGTAGCTATTCACTAAAATATTAAAATCTAAAATTAAGCAGGTCTGAAAGTTGTGAATCATTACATCTTATGTTTTTCATACTTTTTCCTACTTCCAAAGGTAATAAATACACAATGATTTTACTTTTTTTTAATTTTTAAAAATTATTTATTTATTTATTTCAGCCTCCTAAGTAGCTGGGACCACAGGCACGTGCCACCATACCCAGCTGAATTTTGTTATTGTTTATTTTGTAGAGAAGGGGTCTCACTATGTTAACAGTCCAGGCTGGTCTCCAACTCCCGGGTTTAAGTAATCCTCCCACCTAAATCTCCCAAAGTGTTGGAATTACGGGTGTGAGCTGCCACGTCTTTCTTTCTTTTTCTTCCTTTCTTTCTCTTCTTTCTTTCCTTCCTTTCTTCCTTCTTTTTTTCTCTCTCGCTCCTTCCTTCCCTTCCTTTTCTTTTCTTTTTTTTTTTTTTGACAAAGTCTCGCTCTGTCACCCAGGCTTGAGTGCAGTGGCGTGATCTCGACTTGCTGCAATCTCGTTCTCCCAGGTTCAAGCGAGTCTTCTGCCTCAGCCTCCCAAGTAGCTGGGACTACAGGCACCCGCCACCACGCCCAGCTAATTTTTGCACTTTTAGTAGAAACGGCGTTTCACCATATTGGCCAGGCTGGTCTCGAACTCCTGATCTCATGATCTGCCCGTCTTGGCCTCCCAAAGTGCTGGGATTACAGGAGTGAGCCACCTCGCCCAGCCTATTTTTTCTTTCTTTCAACAGGGTCTTACTCTGTTGCCTAGGCTGGAGTCAGTAGAATGATCATGGCTCACTGCAGCCTCCACCTCCTGGGCTGAAGCGATTCTCCTATCTCAGCTTCCCGACTGCTAGGACTACAGGTACCTGTCACCACATCCAGCTAATTTTTGTTTTCTGTTTTTGTTTTTTGTTTTTGAGACAGAGTCTCGCTCTGTAGCCCAAGCTGAAGTGCAGTGGCGTGATCTCGGCTCACAGCAACCTCCACCTCCCAGGTCCCGGTTCAAGCAATGCTACTGCCTCAGCCTCCGGAATAGCTAGGATTACAGGCATGCCCCACCATGCCCAGCTAATTTTTGTATGTAGCAGAGATGGGGTTTCACCATGTTGACCAGGCTGGTCTCGAACTCCTGACCTCAGGTGATTCATTCGCCTCGGCCTCCCAAAGTGCTGGGATTAGAGGCGTGAGCCACAGTGCCCAGCCTTAATTTTTGTAGTTTTTTTTTTTGTGAAGATAAGGTTTTGCCATGTTACCCAGGCTGGTCTTGAACTCAGCTCAAGCAATCCTCCTGCCTCGGCCTCCCAAAGAGCTGGGATTATGAACTGGCCCTGCCCTCAGTGATTTAAAAAACAAAACAAAACAAAACAAAAACACATACACACAAACCACAACTTGGAATACCTGAAAAGTACGAAGGGGGGGAAAATGACCAATAACCCTTGCATGTAAGGATAATTGTTAACATTCTTAATTGACTTCATTTTTTAAAACAGTTTTAGGTTCACAGAAAATTTGAGCAGAAAATTCAGAGAGTTCCCACACACCCCATTCCACACCTGCATAGCCTTCCCCACTAGCAACTCCCCCACCAGAGTGGTACGTTTTGTTACAACTTACGAACCTATATGAACACATTATTATTACTCAAAGTCCATAGTTTAATATATTAGAGTTTACCCTTGGTTTTACATCTTGGTGTTGTTCATCCCTTCCTATCTCTCTCCCTGCCCTATAACCCGTAGTAACCATTGATCTTTCTGCTGTCTCCATGATTTTGCCATTACCAGAATGTCTTACAGTTAGCCTCATACAGTATTCAGACTTTTCAGATCAGCTTATTTCCCTTAGCAATATGCCTTTAAGTTTCCTCCGTGTCCTTTCATGGCTTGGTAGTTCATTCATTTCTTTTTAAGCGCTGAATAATATTGTGTTGCCTGGATGTACCACAGTTCATTTATCCATTTACCTACTGACGGATATCTTGGTTGCATTCAAGTTTTGACAATTATGAATAATGCTTCTATAAATACCCATGTGCAAGGGTTTTGTGTGGACATAACTTTTCAACTCGTTTGGGCAAATGCCAAGGAGAGCGGTAAACTGGATCATATGGTAGGAGTATGTTTAGTTTTGTAAGAAACTGTCAACTGTCTTCTCGAGTGGAATTTTACATTCCCACCAGTAATGGATGAGAGTTCCTGTCGTTCCACATCTTTGTTAGCATTTGGTATTGTCAGTATTTGGGATTTTCACCTTCTGATAGGTATATAGTGGTATCTCATTTTTGTTTTCTTTATAATCATGTTGATGTAACTTTTTTTTTTTTTTTTACTTACAGGATGTTTTAAAAACATTTCTGTCATCCCACAAGAATTAGGTCTTGCTAATTTTTTTTATTACATGGCATAGAGTGAAGAAGAGATGCTGTAAAGAACTGGTGATATCTAGAAAAATGAAATTGTCATTGAGAATAGAGCGGTCATCTTCATTTTGCTGTTGTAGGATAGGTAAACGGATTTTTAAAAGAGATACATAGCGGCCGGGCGCAGTGGCTCACACCTGTAATCCCAGCACTCTGGGAAGCCGAGGCCGATGGATCACCTGAAGTTAGGAATTCGAGACAATTCGAGACAATTCGAGACTAGCCTAGCCTAGCCTAGCCTAGCCAACATGGTGAAACCCCGTCTCTACTAAAAATACAAAAATTAGCTGGGCGTGGTGGCGTGTGCCTGTAATCCCAGCTACCCGCGAGGCTGAGGCAGGAGAATCGCTCGAACCCAGAGGCGGAAGTTGCAGTGAGCCAAGATCATGCATTGCACTCCAGCCTGGGCAACAAGAGCAAGACTCTGTCTCAAGGAAAAAAGAAAAAAAAAAAAAAAGACGAAGAAGAAGAAGCGATACATAACCTGTGGAGTAATACGTGCCTACATCAAGAATTGTACTCTGGCTTCCTTCTATTCCTAAAACATTGGGCTGGGCGTGGTGGCTCACGCCTGTAATCCCAGCACTTTGGGAGGCTGAGGCTGACAGATCATGAGGTCAGAAGATCGAGACCATCCTGGCTAATACGGTGAAACCCCGTCTTTACTAAAAATACAAAAAATTAGCCGGGCGTGGTGGCGGGCACCTCTAGTCCCAGCTACTCAGGAGGCTGAGGCAGGAGAATAGCGTGGAGGCAGGAGAATGGCGTGAACCCAGGAGGCGGAGCTTGCAGTGAGCCGAGATCGCGCCACTGCACTCCAGCCTGGGCGACAGAGCGAGACTCTGTCTCAAAATAAATAAATAAATAAATAAAAATAAAAATAAAATAAAAAATTGATAACAAATCAAAGCTAAGGATCCAACCCTGGAAAAGTGACATTCTTGAGAGAGGCAGCACACTGATAACAGGTAGGGAGATGAAGATATTAGACACACTTTTTAATTACTTGATGGGATATAAAATGCTTTTAAGACACCACATCTATAATTGTTTAATTGTAAGAAACTAATTTTGGATCTAATAATCATTCTTTAAATGTACACTTTGTGGTGGTAACAAAAATTAGTCATTATTATAAACATACTATGGAACTTTTACTAAGATCTTTGTTGTTCATTCATTCCACAAATGTTAACTGGGAGTCTAAGTTAGGCCAAACAGTAGGGTAAGTGCTAGGGATACAACAGTGAATCACACGGATGTAGTTCCTACCCTCATGGGATGTATACTCTCTACTAGACCAGACAGCCAATAAACAGAAAGTAAACAAAATGAATAAAGTAAGTGCGATCGAGAGCTAGATGGAATCAGAGTTCTGCTATACAGAATAACGATGAGGACCATCGCTAATGATTATAGAACACTTTTCTGAAGAAGTAACATTTAAACCACTGTTTAGAAGAACCAGAGAAGTAATGCTCTGAACAGCAGGAAAATCAAGAATTAAACTTCTCCTAAGAAATGGAAGACAATCAGTTGGGTGGGGAAGAGTCATGGGAAAGGAGAGTCAAGAGCAGGCGGGGTGGCCCCTGGAAGGCCTTGGAGGCCACACTAAGGAGACAGGATGTTACTGTAGTGCATGGAAAAGCCATAAATAGAGGATTTCAGTGGGAAAATGACACAATGTAATGTTAAACCTTAAGCATATAACCCTGGCCACTTTGTGGGGAATTGTCGTAGGGTAGCAAGCGTAGAATTTTGGAAGCTGTTGAGTTGTCTGAGCAAGAATTGACATTGGTAGCCTCAAATAGGGTGGTGGCGATGCAGGTAAAAGAAGTGAGTTGATGATAGTTAATGATGGGAAGATGTGGGGTACAGAGAGGCATTTCTAAAATTTGGGAACTAATTTAAAATTCAGACACAAAAAACTTCTCTTTTTTTTTTTTTTTTTTTTTTTCTGAGACGGAGTTTCTCTCTTGTTGCCCAGGCTGGAGTGCAATGGCACGATCTTGGCTCACCACAACCTCTGCCTCCCAAGTTCAAGCAATTCTCCTGCCTCGGCCTCCCAAGTAGCTGAGATTACAGGTATGCGTAACCATGCACGGCTAATTTTTTTGTATTTTTTTTTAGTAGAGACAGGGTTTCTCCATGTTGGTCAGGCTGGTGAAAAAACTTTTCTAATTATTAAATAATATTAAACTCTTAGCAAATCTGATAAATTTTGTACAAACAAAAGATGAGAAGCTTCACAAAAGGTAGAAGCTAATCTTCAAGAATGATAGCTAAAAGGAGTTATACTAAGTAGACCAATAAATTAATACTACTTTGAATTGACTGAATTTTTGAAAGAAATTAGTCTAAAATTACAGTGGTTCACACCTGTAATCCCAGCACTTTGGGAGGCTGAGGCAGGTGGATCACTTGAGGCCAGGAGTTCAAGACCAGCCAGGGTAACATGGTGAAACCCCGTCTCTACTAAAAATAGGAAAATTAGCCAGGAGTGTTAATGCACACCTGTAGTTCCAGCTACTTGGGAGGCTAAGGCACGATAATTGCTTGAACCCGGGAGGCAGAGGTTGTAGTGAGCCGAGATCGTGACACTGCAGTCCAGCCTGGGTGACAGAGTGAGATTCTGTCCCCCTGCCCAAACCCCCAAAAATGAAATTAGTCTAAAATGTATAACATTGCTGAGTATTCTACTTATTATTGCTTTTTACTTCTTTTTCAACAAACTTGGAAAAATAGTTGAATATAAATAAATAACGATTGATTTGTAACCAACTTCAAATTTAGTTCTGTTTTTAAATTATATCACTATAATACTATGGTAGTTCTTTATAATAGTCTCAGAGGTGTTGGGTTTTGGTTTTGTTTTTCTTTTTTTCATTTTGACCTTGTTTTGTGTTTTTAATTTGTTTTCTTCAAAATAAAAAATAGGGGCCGGGCGCAGTGGTTCACACCTGTAATCCCAGCACTTTGGGAGGCTGAGGTGGGAGGATCACCTGAAGTCAGGAGTTTGAGACCAGCCTGGCCAATATAGCAAAACCCCATCTCTACTAAAAGTACAAAAATTAGCCAGGTGTGGTGGTGGGTGCCTGTAATCCCAGCTACATGGGAGGCTGAGGCAGGGAGAATTGCTTGATTCTGGGAGGCGGAGGTTGAAGTGAGCTGAGATCGCGCCACTGCCCTCCAGCCTGGGCAACAGAGTGAGACTCCATCTCTAAATAAATAAATAGGACATGGAAGGAGAGGTGATTGAAGAAGAAATTCACAGTGAGGAGTAAGACTCCCCCTACCTGCTCAAGTAGCCTCCAGCCTTCCTATCTGCCTCTCCAGAGACAACCACTGTTACCAGTTCCTTCTAACATTTTCCAGAAACATCTCTCATGTAAAAGTATGTATTCTTTTTCTACAACTTTTTTTTTAATTCAACATTGTATCTTAAAGCTGAGTTCACATCAACATGCATAGATACAGCCCATTCTTTTTCAGGACTGTATAATATTCAATTGAACTATAATTTATTTAAACTGTATTACTCATTAACAGAGTCAGATTACAGTGACCCTCAGTCGTTTCATTATCCTGTCCTTAATATCTAATTCTCATAATAAGAGGTTATTTTCACATTAACTGCTACTTTTAAAAATTGAAGTCCCCAAAAATACCTTTTTAGAATTATTTTATCCTGAGCAAGGGGTAATGTTTTGATTGCTAAGTAACTGTCTCTGTGGCAATTGTTCTTGTTTCTTTCCTAATATTGTTTTAAATACCTACAGAGTCCTTCTAGATATGCACAGCAAAAGAGAAGTAGCTAAAAGAGGTCTGTGTCTACCAAGGCTGCCTACTAGGCCCCCATTGCCTAAAGAATCAATTCTAGAGTTCTTTCTACAGCCCCGCATATTTTACAATGACTCCCACCAATGCAGCCCCATCTCCCTTCTCATTCCCCTCAAACAGCCTACACACTAGACACATTGGATAATTTACTCTACCCCAACAATTCTGCATGCTTTTAACAGACTGCCTTTGTGCGATTTCCTCAAACTAGTAAAAACCTGGCTTCCACTCAGTCTGGTGAACTACTTCATCTTTAAGGCAGAAAATTTCACACTTGGGCACATATACCAACTGCGTACGGGGCAAGAGCAGTTTTAGAATAATCCATTTCCAGATCCTCAAATTCAGTTGTACACGTACCTAAAATAGATCTGCCCCATTCCCATCCACCCTTCTCCCACTGAAAAACAAAAAGCAGGTATCTCACCCCAGAATTGCATTAAGGCGAGGTGCCTCCTGGTGAAAAAGACTTCAAAATGCCCAGCGAGAGGACAATTTGAAGTACTGGTATAAATTTGAATGTAAATAAATGACTCTCATGACTGGATGACAGATTATTTTTGAACATCAGGTGGTTTTCAATTCTTTATTTTCAAGAAAATTGAATGAAGAGCTAATTGGGATGTCGGCTAATCTTATAAAACACACATGCCTGGTGTTGTGAGTTTAATTGTGTCCCACCCCCAAAAATACATGTTGAAGTCCTTATTTCCCAGTACTTTGGAATGTAATCTTATTTGGAAATGGAGTCTTTATAGAGATAATCAAATTAAAATGTTGTCATTAGGAAGAGCCCTAATCCAATATGACTGATCTCTTTATGAAAAGGAGAAATTTGGACACAGAGGCAAGACACATACAGAGGGAAGAAAACCTGAGAAACTTGGGGAGAAGACGGCCATATGACTGTAATGTTGCATCTACAAGCCAAGGAACTCTAAGGATTGCCAGCAAAAAACAAAAGCTAGAAGAGCAGGAAGCCGTTCACCTCTAGAGCTGTCGGTCGGTATGGCCCAGCTAACACCTTGATTTCAGATTTCTAGCCTCCAGAGCAGTAAAAGAATAAATCTGTGCTGTTTTAAGCCACCCGGTTTGCAGTATAATGTGATGGCAGCCCTACGAACCTAATTTCTATATAGCTTTTAGCATGTAATTCCCCAAGAATTAAAAATAATTGAGATGGCATTACACAAAACTTAGATTTTTGTCTATTTATTTGTTAACCAGTTTTCTCATCACGTACATCCATAAAACTGAAAAGGGGGGTAATAAAACCTGTCCCATTTCAGCAAAAATAAAATTTCATTAAAAAATTATGAGCTATTTCAAAAATTACTTTTTATTGATTGATTTTTTTTTGAGACAAGATCTCTCCCTGTAGCTCAGGCTGGGATGCAGTGGCAGGATTATGGCCCACTGCAGCTTCAACCTCCCAGGCTCAGGAAATCCTCCCACCTCAGCCTCCCAAGTAGCTGGGACTACAGTCATGTGCCACCATGCCAGGCTAATTTTCTTTTTTTTTTTTTTTTGTAGAGACGGTATCTCCCTATGTTGCCCAGGCTGATCTCAAACTCCTGTACTCAAGCAATCCTCCCACATCAGTAAAAATATGTTATTGACTTGGCACTTACCATCATTCCTTTAAAAAGTACACAGATGATAAATTCTTTAGTATAGGACATTTTATGTGGTTCCTTTTTCTCATTCACATTTGTATTTCCATTCCACTTCCCCCATAGAATTGTATCCTAGTATAATATGTATAATAAATACATACTAAAATTAAAAATTTTAGTGATCATCCTACTATATTACTCTGCAGTAAAATTATGTAATAAATTAAAATTCAAAATTTGTAACTTTCTAGACCATAAAGCTGTGTTGAAAATTTCTTACACATGAAGCTATTATTTATATTAAATATTTGATTGAATTAACATAATGCATTATATACTCGGTTTGGTAATTATGAAAAGTAGAATTATATAGAAATATATCACTTGATGATATAGAAAGTAATTTTTGGCCAGGTGCAGGGGCTAATGCCTGTAATCCAGCACTTTGGGAGGCTAAAGCAGCAGGATCACTTGAGCTCAGGAGATTGAGACCAGCCTGGGCAACTGGCAAGATCCCATCTCTACAAAAAATAAATAAATTAGCCAGGTGTGGTGGCACACACCTGGCGTCCCAACCACTCAGAAGGCTGAGGTGGGAGGATCGGCTTAGCCCAGGTCAAGGCTGTAGTGAGCACTTATGGTGCCACCACATGGCAGCTTGATTGACAGAGTGAGATCCTGTCCCCACCCCCACGCTCAGCCCTCTGCCAAAAAAAAAAAAAAAAAAAAAAAGCAGAAAGCCATTTGCCCGGAGTTGTTTCTGTACCCAGAACCCTTATACAAGTAAATCAAAACATAACTTAGAGGCATTCCTTGCATCTGATTAATTTTGAATTGAGCTTTAACCAATCACAGAAAGCCAACTAGCCAATTGGTTATAAAATTAGGGACCTCAAACTATACCCAAATAAGGAAAACACCTAGCTGTAGTCAATCAAGTAATGTCTTTACTGTGCTTCCATCTTCAGCCTATAAAAGCTCCCTGCTCACACTATTAGGATAGAGATCTCTGAACCTCTTCCAGTTTTGGGTGTTGCCCAATTAATGAATCCTTTAATGCTCAAATAAACTCTGTTAACTTTATTTCGCCTAAAGTTTTTCTTTTCTTTCTTGCTTTCTTTTTTTTTTTTGTTTTTTTGTTTGTTTGTTCTGTTTTCCGCTCTGTCACCCAGGCTGGAGTGCAGCGGCACAATCTCCACTCATTGCAACCTCTGCCTCCTGGGTTGAAGCGATTCTCTACTTCACCCTCCCAAGTAGCTGGGACCACAGGCACAAACCACAACACCCAGCTAATTTTTGTATTTTTTATAGAGACAGGGTTTCACCATGTTAACCAGGCTGGTCTTGAACTCCTGGCCTCAAGTGATCCACCTGCCTCAGTCTCCTAAAGTGCTGGATTACAGGAGTGAGCCACCACACCCTGCCAAGTTTTTGTCTTAACTACTACAGCATGTAAAATATTGTAATATAGGCTTAAATAATACAAGTTTAGTTGTTTATAGCTCTATCTCTCTAGTCTCTTGGAGGGCAGTAATAATGTGTTATTTACCTTTGCATTCCCATGCCTGGCATAACTATAGGTGTACAGCATATATTTACTAATTTATTTCTGTTACATAGTTTACAAAATTTTTCTTATGTACCTCCTGTCCTAGAGTTTACAGTAGGAATAGGTTATAGCATTTCCTTAGAAAAATATACATTTTCATCCCGTAGTGCACTGAGAAAATGTCTGGTTCTACCTAGAGAAATTGAATTGTAGTCAAGGAAATGGCTGAACGCCATTTGAAATACAGTCTAGTGGGTTTAGTTTGATCTCTCCTACAGAAACCCTGGGAAAGGAAATGAAAGATTTTAGAGAGTTGTTTGAGACTAGTTTACTTAAGAAACAAACTTTTTCATTGTTGTTGTTTTCAGGAAAAATCCTGAAGGCTAATATAGCAATCTCTGAAAGTAGAGAACGGAAAAGAAGTTGTGTGGCAGTTACCAATTTGTAGTGTAGTAAATATCATGTAATCAAGATATTTGGGGAAAATGTAGTGATTTTGTTTAAATAGACTCTGAATTAACTGTAAACTATGGGAAAGAGTTTGCATTGAATGCTTCCACATTCCAAACAGATTAAGAACCCTTTTGTCCTCCATCCCTGGGTGGAAGAAAAGAACTGCTTAATGTATTCCCTAGCCCCATATTCTGGCTCACCATTAAGGAAGAACTCTATTTCATTTCTTTATTCTACCACTTTCTTTTCATGCTTCCTTTTCTTTCTTTCTTTTAAAATTAGGTATTAGACATCAATGGGAGCCTTCCTCATAACTTTTCCAATTTCAGGCTATTAATGAAATATCATTCTATATTTGATTCTATACTTAGATATGTTTTCATAAACACCTGCATTTTAAAAACATAAAATTGAATAGTATTGTGTTATTCTCACATTTTGATTTCTCGGTTAACAATACGTTATCGACATTGTTCCAGATCGGTACAACTAGAACCGCCTAATTCCTTTTCACTGTTGTGTAGTAGTCCACAGAGTGACATATCATGCTGCCTTGAGTCCTTTATTTGCAAGATAGATATAAACAATAGTACCTACCACATAGGACTGTAATGAGAATAAAATGTGTTAAAATGTGTAAAGTGCTTACTATAGTTCTGGTACATTGGAAGCACTATATAAGAGCTTGGGGAAATAATATATCCTCATTTCATTCTTTTTCATGGCTAATAGTAAATGTTCCACAATAGATATATTTCCTAACTTGTAATTATTTGTATATGTATTGATGTTTAAAGTATTTTCAATTTTTTGCTGTCACAAATTGAGCTACATAAGTATCCTAAAACAAAAATTAAAGTGTGTTACACTTATTAAATAGCCAAAAATGGAAAAGTTGTTAGCAACCAATGCAGATGAAACACAAAATAGGTTACTTTCATTTATTGACAGTTGAAGTATAAATTAGTAGAATTATCTATTAAAATATAAAAGTAAATCATATACTATGGCCTATTATTCAACATTAGAACTCCAATATACAGAAACATATATATAACATAATATTATACTTTTTTTTAAATTTAGATAAGTATTAGATTTTATGAACTGTCAAAAGACAAAATTACGGCTGGGTGCGGTGGCTCACACCTGTAATCCCAGCACTTTGGGAGGCCGAGGTGGGTGGATCACTTGAGGTCAGGAGTTCAAGACCAGCCTGGGCAACATGGTGAAACCCTGTCTCTACTAAAAATACAAAAATTAGCTGGGCGTGGTGGCAGGCACCTGTAATCCCAGTTACTCGGGAGCCTGAGGCACGAGAATCACTTGAACCCAGGAGGCGGAGGTTGCAGTGAGCCGAGATCACGCCATTGCACTCCACCCTGGGTGACAGAGCGAGACTCCATCTCAAAAAAAAAAAAAAAAAAAAATTACAACAAAGTTAGTTATACATCTAATTGGCTTTTTTGAGATCTAATTGGCTTTTATTCATGATTCATGAATTGAGGCAGTTTCCTTTGTACAAAAAAGAATGAGAGTTCCCACTGGGCAATGGCAAAACAGTGGGATTTGTAAGGTAGGAACAAGGAAACAAAAACAATATGAAAAAATTGATTGATTAACATCAGGTTACTCCAGGTTATCTTTTTGTAAGGATTAAAGCAAAGGGAACTCCTGTATTAAGCTGACTCAGGCTGGAATCTCCTGTTTTCAGAAAAAAAAAAAAAGGTCTATTTTGGGATCTCTCTGCTTCCCTAACATTTCAGTTTCTTCATGTGGCATTTAGTGTGAGTGACTGTTTTGCTTGGTCTAGTCTATCTATCAGAGCCTAGTACAGGAGCTCAATCCAAAATAATGGCCCCCTCCATAATTTTATTTAACACTACTAAGTTAAAAAATTACAAGAAAACTTTTCAAAGTGAATCCAAATACTTATTTACTTATTTATTTATTGAAATGGAGTCTTGCTCTGTCGCCCAGGCTGGAGTGCAGTGGTGCAATCTCGGCTCACTGCAACGTTGGCCTCCCAGGTTCAAGTGATTCTCCTGCCTCACCCTCCTGTGTTAGGTGCGCACCATCACGCCCGGCTAATTTTTTTGTATTTTTAGTAGAGACAGGGTTTCACCATGTTGGCCAGGCTGGTTTCAAACTCCTGACCTCAGGTGATCCGCCCACCTCAGCCTCCCAAAGTGCTGGGATTATAGGTGTGAGCCAACACACCTGGCCATCTTTATTTCAGGGATCTAGAACTAGAAATACCGTTTGACCCAGCCATCCCATTACTGGGTATATACCCAAAGGATTATAAATCATGCTGCTATAAAGACACATGCACACATATGTGTATTGCAGCACTATTCACAATGGCAAAGACTTGGAACCAACCCAAATGTCCAACAACGATAGACTGGATTAAGAAAATGTGGCACATATACACCATGGAATACTATGCAGCACATATACACCATGGAATAATATGATGAGTTCATGTCCTTTGTAGGGTCATGGATGAAACTGGAAACCATCATTCTCAGCAAACTATCGCAAGGACAAAAAACCAAACACCACATGTTCTCACTCATAGGTGGGAATTGAACAATGAGAACACGTGGACACAGAAAGGGGAACATCACACACCAGGGACTGTTGTGAGGTGGGGGGCGGGGGGAGGGATAGCACTAGGAGATATACCTAATGCTAAATGACGAGTTAATGGGTGCAGCACACCAACATGGCACATGTATACTTATGTAACAAACCTGCACGTTGTGCACATGTACCTTAAAACATAAAGTATAATAATAATAAAATAAAATATAAAAAAAATAATTTAAAAATAAATATTCCATATTTCTAAAAAAAAAAAGCAGAATACAGGAGAATCACTTGAACTCAGGAGGTGGAGGTTGCAGTGAGCTGAGATCACGCCACTGCACTCAAGCTTGAGCGACATAACGAGACTGAGACTCTGTCTCAAAAAAAAAAAAAAAAAAAGAGGAATACTAGGCCGGTAGGCCGGGCGCAGTGGCTCATGCCTGTAATCCCAATACTTTGGGAGGCTGAGGCGGGCGGATCACGAGGTCAGGAGTTCAAGACCAGCCTGACCAACATGGTGAAACCCCTTCTCTACTAAAAAAAATACAAAAATTAGCTGGGCATGGTGGCGCTGGCGTGCTCCTGTAATCCCAGCTGCTACTTGGCTTGAGCCAAGGAGGCGGAGGTTGTAGTGGGCCAAGATAGTGCCATTGCACTCCAGCCTGGGCGACAAGAACAAAACTATCTTAAGAAAAAAAAAAAAGTAGAATACTAACAGGTCATTTAATGTCATATATTTTTAAAATTTTTTTTAAGAGGTTGATTTTTTAAATTTAATTATATTTAATATTACTGAAGCTGCGTACTAATTTAAAATATAGCAACTTATTAAAACACTTGAAAAATCATTTAAATTAGAAAATCTTAACAATGTTAATAACATTCTCCAAATGAAAATCAAACTCTAAGTCAGTTCACTTGTAATCTAGTATAGTGTGAAAACTAAAATCCAGAATTAGTCTATTTTCTAATAGGACATTCATCAACTCATTTGGTATATTTTAGTAAATCTATGAAATTGTAGAAATTAGTAGTTAATAGGAAAGAAACTGAAGGAAAACCTCTCCTAATTGGCTACTAATTGATTTTTTTAAGTGTTGTTCTCTTGTATATATTTATTTATTTATTTATTTTTGAGACATAGTTTCACTCTTTGCCCAGGCTGGAGTGCAGTGGTGTGATCTCAGCTCACTGCAACCTCCGCCTCCTGGGTTCAAGTGATTCTCCTGCCTCAGCCTCTCGAGTAGCTGGGATTACAGGTGCCTGCCACCAGGCCCGGCTAATTTTTGTATTTTTAGTAGAGACAGGGTTTCGCCATGTTGTCCAGGCTGGTCTCAAACTCCTGACCTCAAGTAATCTGCCTGCCTCAGTCTCCTATAGTGCTGGGATTACAGGCAAGAGCCACCATGCCCGGCCTGTTCTCTTCTTTTGAAAAAATTACGTACCTCTTCCTAATCTCTAAAAACAAGCTTCCTCATCTTTAAAAATATGTTTACAAATAATGCCATCCATGGCTAAGTGAGCAGACAGGAGTAAAATAGTTTATGTAGCAAAGCCTCAAAATGCAGTCTCTAAGGGCCATGCTATGAGATTATTTTATGGGAAAAATCACCATATAACACAGACCTTTAATTCTGGAAAAGTCTGAAATGAACCCTCTTCATGACAAAGTCTACTCTTTAGAAAATAGTATTATAGAAAAGGTTCACATATTATACCATTTACATGCTGAACTTTGAAAATTAATTAAAAGGCCTAGGAGAGACTAAGATTTTCAAAACCTTTATTGTTGCTAGTTAGATATTCCGTGATTCCAGCTAACAAGTGCAAGTCATGGTTAGAATTTTAAAGACTGTTTTGAAACGCTCCTATGATTACTAGCATAACGTTTTCTGATTACTAGCATAGAAGCTGAAAAGGCTTACAGAGAGGTTAAAACTCTTGCAGTTCACACAGCTCATTGGTTTTTGCTTATCCACTCTAAGAGAGTCATTATTTATTTCCAGAAAAAGAAACCCTAGAACAGATAATTGAGACTTGTGGCTTATTTGATAACCCTTCCCAGGATATTACTCTGTATCCTATAAGGGGAAAAGGCAGGAGAACTGTTTGAACCTAGGAGGCGGAGGTTGCAATGAGTTGAGATCTCGCCACTGCACCCCACCCTGGGTGAGAGTGGAATCCTGTCTCAAAAGAAAAAAAAAAGGAAAATGCAAATTAATCCACACTGAGATTCTACCTCAGACCCATTAGGATGGCTACTATCCAAAAAACAAACAAACAAACAAACAAAAAAGACAAGTGATAGCAAGTATGTGGAAAAATTGGAACGCTTTTGCACTATTGGTGTGATTGTAAAATGGTGCAACTACTTGGAAACTAGCATGGTGTTTCCTCAACAAATTAAAAATGAAACACCAGCTGTGCGTGGTGGCTCACGCCTGTAATCCCAACACTTTGGGAGGCTGAGGCAGGCGGATCACTTGAGGTCAGGAGTTCAAGACCAGCCTGGCCAATATGGTGAGACCCCTGTCTCTATTAAAAATACAAAAAAATCATCTGGGTGTGGTGGCATGCACCAGTAGTCCCAGCCACTCAGGAGGCTGGGGCAGGAGAATCTCTTGAACCTGGAGGCAGGTATTGCAGTGAGCCAAAATAGCACCACTGCACTCCAGCCTGGGCTACAGAGTGGAACTCTGTCTCAAAAATAAATAAATAAATAAAATAATATCAGACATACAAGTTTCAAAATGTTACCAAACACAAAATCACATTGAAAATGCTCTTTGGACTGGGCATGGTGGCTTGCACCTGTAATCCCAGCACTTTGGGAGGCCGAGGTGGGCAGATCACTTGAGATCAGGAGTTCGAGACCAGCCTGGCCAACATGGTGAAACCTCGTCTCTACTAAAAATACAAAAATTAGCCAGGCGTGGTGTTAAGCCCCTGTAATCCCAGCTATTCAGGAGACTGAGGCAGGAGAATCGCTTGAACCTGGGAGGCGGAGATGGCAGTGAGCCAAGATGGTGCCACTGGACTCCAGCGTGGGCAACAGAGAGAGACTCCATCTCAAAAAAAAAAAAAGAAAGAAAGAAAGAAAAAAGAAAATGCTCTTTGAAGGAGTATTCAAATAAAGAGAGAGAGAAATCTTGTAAGAATTCTAATAAGAGTCATTTGACACCTTAGTAAACATTATTGGGTAAAAGAAGAGCTAGCACCAAAAGAAGGAAAAAGAGAAAATATATCCATAAAACTCCAAACTAAAATTATAGATAATGATAAAAATTTTAAAGGGATGGAGCTAAGTCTAGAGACAAACAGACATGCTAACAAGCTTGTATTATTATGAGGAATATAGATATCAAATTGACGAATTTAAGAAATTGAAAATTATTTAAAGCCAGGTTTGGTGGCTCATGCTTGCAATCCCAGCACTTTGGGAGGCCGAGGTGGGCAAATCACAAGGTCAGGAGTTCAAGACCAGCCTGACCAATATGGGTAACCCCGTCTCTACTAAAAATACAAAAATTAGCCAGGCATGGTGGTGGATGCCTGTAGTCCCAGCTACTCAGGAGGCTGAGGCAGGAGAATTGCTTGAACCCAGGAGGCAGAGGTTGCAGTGAGCTGAGATCACACCACTGCACTCCAGCCTGGGCAAGAGATCGAGACTACGTCTCAAAAAAAAATTATTTAAAACAAAATACGAGTATGAATTCTAAAGACAACTACCATAAAAAATAAGTAAAATGTATGACATTTAAATCCTTCTAATACAAGTCCTATAGAAAGCGGGAAAAGTGGGGTACGGAAGAAAATTCAATAAATATAAAAAAATAAAATGTGGTGATAGAGAAAAAAGTCCTAATATGAAAGTAATTACAATAATTGTAAATGGGTTAAATGCACTGATAAAGATTTTCAGTATAGTGGATACTGTGATTGCTGACCAGAACAGAAGCACTGACTCTCCCAGATGCTAGGAATTTGGAGACCAAAAGTTCTCCAGAAACTTACTCTGTCTGAAGAGAGTCAGTTTCTTCAATGTCACAACTCCTTATTCCTTCCATAATGTGTGGCCCACATCTAACAACTGTCATTGACGGACAATAAAGGCCCAGTGCCCTCATCCCAATTAAGGATGACTCTGAAGGGCCAGGACAGCTCCAGAATTCTACATAGGATCATCTGAGGTCTCTGTTTATTGCTTGGCGATGCAATATTTCCTTCTGATCACTCTTGCTTCCTTTGCATCTTAACAGGTGTTGATCCCCAAAATACTAATTAATAAATTTTCTGCATGCCAATCTCTATCTCAGGCAACAATTGAGCAAATATGAACAAAAATCAGTCAGGCTAGATATCTTATCTGATTAAAAAACTTAAACTAAAATAAAAAATTATAAGAGGTGTAAGGATGTGATATAATAATAGAATAATAAACACAAGACATACAGTTAATATACAGATATTTGTATCTAATAATATAGACTTGAAATAAGTTACAACAACAACAACACTGATAGTACTATAAGGAGAAATAACCAAAAAATCATATTTAAAAATTTCTGGACCTTATTCCCAGAAGCTGATACATCAAAGAAAACAGGCTGGGCACTTTGGTTCTCACCTGTAATCCCAGCACTTTGGAGGCCAATGTGGGAGGATCACTTGAGCCCAGGAGTTCAAGACCAGCATGGGCAACATAGTGAGACCCCACCTCTAAAATAAATAAAAAATAAATTAGCTGACAGTGGTGGTGCATGCCTGTAGTCTCAATTATTTGGGAATCTGAGGCAGGAGGATCACTTGAGCCCAGGTGTTCAAGGCTGCAGTGAACTATGATTGCACCACTGCACTCCAGTCTGGGTGACAGAATGAGACCTGTCTCTAAAAATAAAAATTTAAATTTAAAAAGAGAAAAGAAGCTGAGTGTCTTAGTCAGCTCAGACTGCCATGAAAAACAAACAAACAAAACATACAAACAAACAAACAAACAAAAACACCATGACTGGGTGGTTTAAACAACAAAAATATTTTCTTACAGTTCCAGAGGATATAAAGTCAAGATACGGTGCCAGCATGGTTTTAGTTTCTGGTGAGAACTCTTTTCCTGACTTGTAGACAGCCACCTTCTTGCTGGATCTTCACATGTTCACATGGGAGGGACTAAGAGTGAGCAAGCTCTCTGGTGTCTATTCTTTTTTTTTTTGGAGATGAATTCTCGCTCTGTCACCCAGGCTGGAGTGCAATGCTATGATCTTGACTCACTGCAACCTCCACCTCCCAGGCTGAAGCAATTCTGCCTCAGCCTCCCGAGTAGCTGGGATTACAGGCGCGCACCACCACCACCTGGCTAATTTTTGTATTTTTAGTAGAGACAAGGTTTAACCATATTGACCAGGCTGGTCTTGAACTCCTGACCTCAAATGTTCCACCTGCCACAGCCTCCCAAAGTGCTGGGATTACAGGCATGAGCCACCATGCCCGGCCTCTGGTGTCTATTCTTATAAGTGCGCTAATCGGATCATGGGCTTCTCACCCTCCTGACTTCCTCTAAACCTCATTACCTCCCAAAAGCCCCATGGCCAAATACCATCACATTGGGGCTAGGGCTTTAACATAGAATTTTGGGGGAAACACAATTCAGTTCATAGCACTAAGATATCAGAGAGATGAGTTATACAAATATAAGCTTAAACTGTTGAATATATTTAGAAAGAATTTTTCTAGCATATGGGACATTTCCAAAAAATAGACTGAGTTATTAAACCATTAAGGAATTCTTAATAGAGTCTAAATAATCAACACGTTATCACTTGCAATATCTGGCCCTAAGGTAATGAGAATAAAAATTAACAATAAAGGATAACTTTTAAGTACTACCTTTTTGGAAATTAAATATTAAGTCCTTGAGTTAAAAAGGAAATAAGGAACTGGGTGTAGTGGCTTACGACTGTAATCCCAGGACTTTGGGAGTCCAAGGCCGGAGGATCACTTGAGCCCAGGAGTTGGGAGCAGCCTGGGCAACATAGTGAGACCTTCTCTACAAAAAAATGTTTTAAAAATTAGCCAGGTATTTTGGCGTGCGCCTCTAGTCCCAACTACTTTGTAGGCTGAGGTGGGAGCATCACTTGAGCCTGGGAAGTCAAGGCTGCAGTGAGCCATGATTGCACGACTGCACTCCAGCCTGGGCAACAGAGAAAGACCTTGTCTCTAAAGAAAACAAAAAAGAAAACTTTGGTGCATATTGCTAAGTGAAAGAAGCCAATCTGAAAAAGAAATATACTGTATGATTCCAACTATATGACATTCTGGAAAGGAGCAAAACTATGAAGACAGTAAAAGGATCGTGGTTGCCAGGGGTTGGGAGAGGGAGGGACGGATAGGTGAAACACGGAGAATTTTTAGGACGGTGAAATCCAAAATCAATAATTAAGCTATTATTATTTAGAAAGTTCAACAAGGTTGTTAGATGCGAGATAAACTCTCAAAAACCAATAATATCTCTATATGAACAATAGTTAGCTAGAAAGAAGGGATGAGTTGTATGTTCAACTGAAGATGATGGGGGGAAAAATACTGAATAAACGCCATAGAAAATGGAAGGAAAAAATAAGAGCCCAAATCAATAAAATAGAAAGCACACAATAGAGAATATTAACAAACTAAAATGTCCTTGTTTAAATTATTATTATTATTATTATTATTTTTTTTTTTGAGAGAGAGTCTCGCTCTTTCACCCAGGCCGGAGTGCTGTGGCGCCATCTCGGCTCACTGCAAGCTCCGCCTCCTGGGTTCACGCCATTCTCCTGCCTCAGCCCCCCAAGTAGCTAGGACTACAGGCGCCCGCCACCGCGCCTGGCTAATTTTTTGTATTTTTAGTAGAGATGGGGTTTCACCATATTAGCCAGGATGGTCTCGATCTCCTGACCTCTTGATCTGCCCGCCTCGGCCTCCCAAAGTGCTGGGATTACAGGCATGAGCCACCGCGCCCGGCCTTAAATTATTAATAAAAGGGTCCAGGTGAGGTGGCTCACACCTGTAATCCCAGCACTTTGGAAAACCGAGGCAGGCAGATCACCTGAGGTCAGGAGTTCGAGACCAGCCTGGCCAATATGGAAAACCCCATCTCTACTAAAAATACATAAATTAGCAGGGCCTGGTGGCGGTCGTCTGTAATCCCAGCTATTCTCAGGAAGCTGAGGCAGGAGAATCTCTTGAACCTGGGAGGCAGAGGCTGCAGTGAGCCAAGATCGCGCCACTGCACTCCAGCCTGGGCCACAGAGTGAGACTCCATCTCAAAACAAATAAATAGATAAATAAGAGGGACAAACATTTACAAATTAATAATATTAGAAACAGAACAGGGCACAACCACAAGTACTTCAGAAATTGTAAAGATAATTTTAAAAATAATAGGTTTAAAATTATTTATTTACTTATTTTTTGAGATGGAGGATGGAGTCTTGCTCTGTGGCCCAGGCTGGAGTGCAGTGGCGTGATCTCAGCTCACTGAAACCTTCGCCTCCTGGGTTCAAGCGATTCTAATGCCTCAGCCTCCTGAGTAGCCGGGATTACAGGTGTTCACCACCATGCCCGGCTAATTCTTGTATTTTTAGTAGAAATGGGGTTTCACCATGTTGGCCAGGCTGGCCTTGAACTCCTGACCTCAGGTGATCCTCCTGCCTCAGCCTCCCAAAGTGCTGGTATTACAGGCGTGAGCCACCGTGCCTGACAAATAAAATACTGTTTATTTATTTTGTAGAGATGAGGTCTTGCCATGTTGCCCAGGTTGGTCTCAAACTCTTGGGCTCAGGCAATCCTCCTGCCTAGCCTCCCAAAGTGCTATGATTACAGGCATGAACTACCATCCCAGACTTTAAAAGCTTTATGCCAGTGTATTATTAAAACAACACATGGATTATAAAACTAATTTGAGGCCAGGAAGACTGAGTAGATCTATAACTATTCAAGAAATTGAAATACATAAAATATTCCCATAGAAAATATTACAGGTTCATACGGTTTACAAGTAAATTAACCTAATCTTAAACACAGTCTTCCAGAGGATAGGAGAGAAATAAATATGCTCCAAACCATCATTCTATGAGGCAAGTAACCACTGATAGTAAAATTAGAAAATAGAAGTCTGAGATGGAAAATTAAAAGACCAAAGTCACCCATGAGCATGATAAATCCAAACACTTTTAAAAAGACATTGTACCATGCCAAATTTTGGTTTGTGCAGAAATCCTAGAATGGCTCAAGACTGGAAAAATCTCTAAATATTAATCACCACATTAAGGATAAAAGGAGAAGGCTGGGCGCGGTGGCTCACGCATGTAATCCCGGCACTTTGGGAGGTCGAGGCGGGCAGATCAAGAGGTCAGGAGATCGAGACCATCCTGGCTAACTTGGTGAAACCCCATCTCTACTAAAAATACAAAAAATTAGCCTGGCGTGGCGGCAGGCGCCTGTAGTCCCAGCTACTCGGGAGGCTGAGGCAGGAGAATGGCGTGAACCCAGGAGGCGCAGTTTGCAGTGAGCCGAGATTGCACCACTGCACTCCAACCTGGGCGACAGAGTGAGCCTCCATCTCAAAAAAAAGGAGAAAAGGAGAAAAAAATACATAATGTTATCTGAACAATAAAAATAAAAGACATTAAAAATTGGAAAGAAAGAAACAAAGCTATCATTATTTATAGATATATGATTATCTACCTAGAATACCTAGAAGAATCTAAAGGCACATTAGTATAAATAACAAAAATATTTCACAAAGTGACTGACTATAACATCAGTATAAAACATCAGTCGCATTTTTATATACTAGCAATAGTTGGATATAATTTTTAAAGACATTTACAGTCTCAACCAAAGCTATAAATTGCCCAGATTAAATGTAACAAAAGGCTAGGCCTGCTGGCTCACACCTGTAATCCCACCACTTTGGGAGGCCGAGGTGGGTGGAACGCCTGAGGTCAGGAGTTCGACACCAACCTGGCCAACATGGTGAAACCCTGTCTCTACTAAGACGGGTTTTTGTTTTTTTTTTTTTTGAGACAGAGTCTCACTCTATCACCCAGGCTGGAGTGCAGTGGCTTCATCATAGCTCACTGCAACCTCTGCCTCCCAGGTTCAAGCCATTGTCCTGCCTCAGCCTCCCAAGTAGCTAGGACTACAGGCATGTGCCACCATGCCCAGCTAATTTTTATATTTTTAGTAGAGACAAGGTTTTGCCACGTTGGCCAGGCTGGTCTCAAACTTGGGACCCCAGGTGATCCACCCATCTCAACCTCCCAAAGTGCCAGGATTACAGGCATGAGCCCCCGCACCCAGCCTGGTATGGTTGTTTAAACAAGACACAAAGAATGATAACGATAGAAAAAGATTGATAACATCAACTCTATTAGTTTCTTTTTTTTAATTGCACTTAGCGAAAAGACTCAATAACAAAAACACAAATCACAATCTGATGGAAGATATTTTTGACACACTTACCTGACACAGGAATGCATTTTAAATATTCCTACAAATCAATAAAAAAAAGGCAGGTCAGGTGCATTAGCTCACGCCTATAATCCCAGCACTTTGGGAGACTGAGGGAGGCTCGCTTGAGCCAAGAGTTGGAGGACAGTGGGCAAGATGGTGGACCTCGCCTCTACAAAGAAATAAAAGGGAAATTAGCTGGGCATGGTAGTGAGTGCCCGTAGTCCCAGCTACACGAGAAGCTGAGGTGGGAGGATGGCTTGAGCCTGGAAAGTCGAGGCTGCAGCGAGCCATGATCTTGCCACTGCACTCCAGCCTGGCCAACAAAGCAAGACCTTGTCTCTAAAACATGAATAAATAAATAAATAAGAAAAAGGCACACACCCCAACTGACAAAGGGGCAAAAATATGAACAGAGTTCATGAAGATGGCCAATAAATATATTAAATATATTTAAAAGATGCTCAATTTTATTACTAGTCAGGAAAATGTGAATTCAGACTATAGTGAAATATTATGTTAATCCCATTAGGATGAGAAATTTAAGTTATTCAACAATATAAAATGTTAGGAGAAGATTTGGAGCAGAGAGACTATCTATACATGGCTCCCTGAAGTATAAATGAGTCCAACCACATCGGAAATTATTTGGCATTCTCTCAAAGCTAAGTGTTCACATATCTATAGCCAAGCAATCTCATTCCTAATACAAACTTGAGAAACACATGCATTTATGAACACAAGGAAAGACTACAAGAATATTCAAGGCAGCCACATCCTTAACAGCAAATAACTGGAAATGACCCAACATCCATCAACAAAAGAGCTGATAAATAATTGTGGTATATTCACACAACAGACTGGAAAATGAACACAGCAGGGATCACGGAAGCATTATATTTAGTGAAAATAGGAAGTCTCAGAAGACCACATAGAGTATCATAACTTTTTTAGAATTCAATAGCTAATAAAAGTAAGCAATCAACTACGTGTGTGTGTGTTGTCTCTGTGATTAAAGTATATTTGTTAAGATTTCAAGATAATGGCTACCTCTAGTGGGCAAATTGGGATATGGGACAAGGAAAGTAAATACAGGTAAATGCATGTTATCGGCAATGGTCTAGATCTTGATTTGAGAGGGTGGATCACAAGGATTTGTTATGTTACAATTTTTTTAATAACAAATACATGTTATCAAGAAAAAGAGAGAAACTAAATAAATACATGAAAAAGATATAACTACAAATATACTAGAAGTCTTAGGAAAGGGAATATCACTTTTGCCAATGGATTTGAAATTTTAAACAGGAACTGTCTAGAGAATAGAAGTTATCAAAACTAGTTCAAGAAGAAATAGAAAATTTTAGTAGTTTAATAAAGAAATAGAATAAGTAGTCCTGGCTGGGAGTGGTGGCTCACGCCTGTAATCCAAGCACTTTGGGAGACTGAAGCAGGCAAATTGCTTGAGCTCAGGAGTTTGAGACCAGACTGGCCAATATGGTGAAACCCTGTCTCTACAAAAAATACAAAAATTAGCCAGGCGTAGTGATGTGTGCCTGTGGTCCCAGATGTTTGGGAGGCTGAGATGGGAGGATCACTTGAGCACAGGAGGCAGAGATTGCAGTGAGCAGGGATTGCGCCACTGAACTCCAGCCTGTGTGAAAGAGTGGGACCCTGTCTTGAAAACTAAAAATAAAAATAGAGACTGGGTGCAGTGGCTCACGCCTGTAATCCCAGCGCTTTGGGAGGCCGAGGTGGGTGGATCACTTGAGGACAGGAGTTCAAGACCAGCCTGGCCGACATGGAGAAACCTCTTCTCTACTAAAAATGCAAAAATTAGTTGGGCTTGGGGGCCCATGCCCGTAATCCCAGCTACTCAGGAGGCTAAGGCAGGAGAATCACTTGAACCCTGAAGGTGGGGGCTGCGGTGAGCCGAGATGGCACCACTGAACTCCAGCCTGGGCGACAGAATGAGACTCTTACTAAAAAAAAAAAAAAAAAAAAAATAAGTAGTCCTAACTCCACCCACTCACCCCCGCAAAAAACAATACATCCTTTATTGTTTGAAGCGAATTGGAGAAGCCCTTTTAAAAAATGATAACCCTTGGTCAGGCGCAGTGACTCATGCCTGTAATCACAGCACTTTGGGAGGCCGAGGTGGGTGGAACACCTGAGGTCAGGAGTTCGAGACCAGCCTGGCCAACATGGTGAAACCCCATCTCTACTAAAAATAAAAAAATTAGCCAGGCTTGGTGACGGGCACCTGTAATCCCAGCTACTCGGGAGGCTGAGAGGGGAGAATTGCTTGAACCCAGGAGGCCGAGGTTGTGGTGAGCCAAGATTGTTCCACTACACTCTAGCCTGGGCGACAGAGCAAGACTCCGTCTCAAAAAAAAAAAGATAATTTTCATCTTCTACAAATTTGTGCAGAAAATAGATGAGAATAAAATCCCCAACCCCTGTTATGAGAGTATTATAACTTTTTTTTTTTTTTTTGAGATGGAGTCTTGCTCTGTCGCCTGGGTTGGAGTGCAGAGGCACAATCTCGGCTCACTGCAACCTCTGCCTCCCGGGTTCAAGCAATTTTCCTGCCTCAGCCTCCCGAGTAACTGGGAATACAGGTGCGTGCTACATGCCCAGCTAATTTTTGTATTTTAGTGTAGATGGGGTTTCACCACATTGGCCAGGCCGGTCTGGAACTCCTGACCTCAAGTGATCCACCCGCCTCATCCTCCTAAAGTGCTGGGATTACAGGCATGAGCCACCGCACCTGGCCAGTATTACACCTTTGATACAAAAATGGGACGAGAAGAATATAAAAAACAAAAAGTACTTCAAATACAGCAACATATTTTAAAAATACACAAACATATCATAACTACTTGAGATTACCTCAGAAATTAAAAAATGTTTAATATTTAAAATCTATTACTATAATTAAATACATAATACATTTAAGGGAAAAAAGCATATTAAAATCTATAATCTCAATAAATGTGGAAGAAGCACTTGATAACATTTAAGACCTACCCCAGATAAAGAAAAGATTAGCAGCTAAGCTATAAAAGAAGTCCTTTAACCAAATAAAGGGAATTTACTAAAAAGCTATAGCAAATAGCACTGTTGGTGGGAATATAAAACAGCACAGCCACTATAGAAAACAGTATGAAAGTTTCAATAAATTGCCGGGCACGGTGGCTCATGCCTGTAATCCCAGCACTTTGGGAGGCCAAGGCAGGCAGATCACCTGAGGTTGGGAGTTTGAGACCAGCCTGACCAACATGGAGAAACCCTGTCTCTACTGAAAATACAAAATTAGCCTGGTGTGGTGGCACATGCCTGTAATCCCAGCTACTCAGGAGACTGAGGCAGGAGAATCACTTGAACCTGGGAGGCCGAGGTTGCAGTGAGCCAAGATCACGGCCATTGCACTCCAACCTGTGCAACAAGAGCAAAACTCCATCTCAAAACAAAAAAAAAAAAAAAAAGTTTCAATAAATTAAAAATAAAATTACTATATGATCCAGCAATTCCATTTCTGAGTATATATCCAGAAGAATTGAAACCCAGTTATCACAGAGATATTTGCACACTCATCTTCATAGAAGCGTTATTCACAATAGCCAAGAGGTGGACACAACCCAAATCTCCATCCATAGACGAACAGATAAATAAAATGTAGGATATATGTACAATGGAATGGTATTCAGCCTTGAAAGGGAAGGAAATTCTGACATATGCTACAACATAGAGCAGCCTTGAGGACATTCTGCTAAGTGAAATAAAGCAGTCACAAAAAGACAAACCCTTTTTTTGGAGAGGAGTGGCTGGAGTGCAGTGGTGCTATCTGAGCTCACTGCAGCCTCCGCCTCCTGCACTCAAGCGATCCTTTCACCTCAGCCTCCCAAGTAGCTGAGACTACAGGCACACACTACCACACCCAGCTAATTTTTAGATTTTTTTTTGTAAAGATGAGGTCTCACTATGTTGCCCCACAGTGGTGTCGAACTCCTGGGCTCAAGCGATCCACCTGCTTCAGCTCCCAACGTGCTGGGATTACAGGCGTGAGCCACCGTGCCTGGCCGGAAAAGACAACTACTATGATTCCACTTATATGAAGTATTTAATGTAGTCAAATTCATAGAAAGAGAAAGTGGAGTGGTGATAACCAGGAGCTGAAGGGAGGGGAAAATGTGGGTTGTTCAATGAACATAGAATTTCAGTTTTGCAAGATTAAAAAGTTCTAAAGATCTGCTATACGACAATATAAATATAGTTAACCTTATGGAACACCTGAAAATGTTATGATAGTTACAAAGTGAGAGAGAGAGAGATGATTAAGGTCCCATGGTCGGGCACAGGGATAGGTCAATGGCACACCATAAAAATGTCCCATGGCCAGGCACGGTAGCTTACTCCTGTAATCCCATCACTTTGTGAGGCCGAGGTGGGTGGATCACCTGAGGTCAGGAGTTTGAGACCAGCCTGGCCAACATGGCGAAACCCTGTCTATACCAAAAATACAAAAATTAGCTGGGCATGGTGACTCCTACCTGTAATCCCAGCTACTCAGGAGGCTGAGGCAGGAGAATCGCTTAAACCCGGGAGGCAGAGGTTGAAGTGAGCCAAGATCATGCCACTGCACTCCAGCCTGGGCAACAGAGCGAGACTCCATCAAAAAAAAAAAAAAAAAAAAAAAAAAAGTCCCTACAGGGTATTGTGGTTCACACTTGTAATCCTGACTACTTAGGAAGTTGGGGTGTAAGGATCGCTTAAGCCCAGGAATTTGAGACCAGGCTGGGTGATATAGGGAAACCCCGTCTCTTATAAAAAAAAAAAGACCCCAAACAGATACAAATAGATATAGATATATATAGATATAGATATGCAGCTTTGATACATTGTAGAAAAGGAATTACAAATCAATGAATAAAGGATAAGCAATTCACTGGAAAGCACTGAGACCACTGACTTTTTTTCTCCTTTTTTTTTTTTTTTTTTTTTTTTTTTGCGACGGAGTCTCGCTGTGTCGCCCAGGCTGGAGTGCAGTGGCGCGATCTCGGCTCACTGCAACCTCCACCTCCTGGGTTCAAGGGATTCTCCTGCCTCAGCCTCCCGAATAGCTGGGACTACAGGCGCCCGCCATCAGGCCTGGTTAATTTTTTTTTTTTTTTTGTATATTTAGTAGAGACGGGGTTTCACCATGTTGGCCATGTTCAAGTTGTTCTCGAACTCCTGACCTCAGGCGATCCCCCCGCCTCGGCCTCCCAAAGTGCTGGGATTACAGGCGTGAGCCATCACATCCGGCCCTGACTTTTCTTTGTTTCTTTTTTTTTTTTTTTTTGAGATGGAGTCTCGCTCTTGTTGCCTAGGCTGGAGTGCAGTGGTACAGTCTTGGCTCACTGCAACCTCCACCTCCCAGGTTCCAGAGATTCTCCTGCTTCAGCCTCCCGAGTAACTAGGATTACAGGCATGCGCCACCTCGCTCAGCTAATTTTGTATTTTTGTTTTGTTTTGTTTTTTGAGACGGAGTCTCGCTCTGTCTCCCAGGCTGGAGTGCAGTGGTGGGATCTCGGCTCACTGTAAGCTCTGCCTCCCGGGTTCTCGCCATTCTCCTGCCTCAGCCTCCCGAATAGCTGGGACTACAGGCGCCCACCACCACGCCTGGCTAATTTTTTGTATTTTTAGTAGAGACGGGGTTTCACCGTGTTAGCCAGGATGGTCTCGATCTCCTGACCTCGTGATCCACCCGCCTCGGCCTCCCAAAGTGCTGGGATTACAGGCGTGAGCCACGACATCCGGCCAACCACTGGCTTTTCATATGGAGAAAAAAAATTCAAAAGTGATTGAGAAAAGAGCTCTTATCTGAGGAATGTGAATCCCAGAGAGACGTTAAAATGAGACAGCAATCACATTCCACTTCCCCCTAGAAGCATGTATGACGTCTTTTGAAACTGCTTGCTATTGCCACAAGTAGTTATAAATTAACCAAATAATGCCGCGCAGGACACTATAACTCTCACCCTATAGCTTAACCATGTAGAGCCAATCATTAATCAATGTTATTTTTGTAAACCAATGAGAATTCCTGACAAGCAACTTTGTATCCGCCCACTCCCTGCCCCTTTTTCCCCCTTTAAAAATCCACCTGTGGCCAGGCCTGGTGGCTCACGCCTATAATCCTAGCACTTTGGGAGGCCGAGGCAGGCGGATCACCTGAGGTCAGGAGTTTGAGACCAGCCTGACCAACGTAGTGAAACCTCGTCTCTACTAAAAATACAAAAAATAAGGTGAGCGTGGTGGTGCGTGCCTGTGATCCCAGTTACTCAGGAGGCTGAGGCAGGAGAAACACTTGAACCCGGGAGGCAGAGGTTGCAGTAAGCCGAGATCGCACCACTGCACTCCAGCCTGGGCGACAAAGTGAGATTCCATCTCAAAAAAAGGAAAAAAAAAATACTTGTAACTGCTGCTCATCAGCGTGTGTGTCGAAAGCAACTTGAATTTATACTTCCAGGTTGCAGTCCTCAAGCTTGGCCCAAATAAACTCTCCACTTATATTAATTTTGCCTCAGCTTCTTTCTTGTAGGTCAACAAGATTAACTATTTCACACCACATACAAAATTTGGTCAAGTTGTGTTAAAGACCTAAATTTGAAAAGAAAAACATTAAAGTTATTTGAAGAACCATAGTGAGATATTGAAGAATATGTTTATAATTTTGAGGTGGGAACAATTTTTTTAAAAAATAAGTGTATACATATTTTTTTAATCAATAGCGAATATCACAGCTTAACGACAAAATTTAAAAAGCATATTAAGTATATTCATAAGCAAGACAAGACTCACCAATAATGTTTCTAATCAATATTGTACTGGAATGGCTAGCCAATGAAAAAGCAAAGCAAAACAAAACAAAAAGAAAAACAAGTTTGGGCGCCGTGGTTCACGCCTATAATCCTAGCATTTTAGGAGGCCCAAGCAGGCAGATCACTTGAGGTCAGGAGTTCAAGACCAGCCTGACCAACATGGTGAAACCCTGTTTCTACCAAAAATACAAAAATTAGCCGGGTGTGGTGGCTCATGTCTGTAACCCCAGCTACTCCAGTGGCCAAGGCAGGAGAATCGCTTGAACCTGGGAGGTGGAGGTTGCAGTGATCAGAGATTATGCCATTGCACTCCAGCCTGGGCAATAGAGCAAGACTCCGTCTCAAAATAAAATTAAATAAATAAATAAATAAATATCTAACCTAAGAACACATCTCAGATGGTTCACAGTATTTTTACTAAAGGAAGGGAAAGGCTGAGTGCAGTGGCTCACGCCTGTAATCCCAGCACTTTGGGAGGCCAAAGTGGGCGGAACATGAGGTCAAGGGATGGAGACCATCCTGGCCAACACAGAGAAACTCCATATCTCCTAAAAAAAAAAAAATACAAAAATTAGCTGGGCATGGTGGCATGCACCTGTAATCCCAGCTACTCGGGAGGCTGAGGCAGGAGAATTGCTTGAATCCAGGAGGTAGAGGCTGCAGTGAGCCAAGATCATGTCATTGCACTCCAGCCTGGAGACAGAGCGAGACACAGTCTCAAAAATACATACATACATACATACATACATACATACATACATACACACATAAATGAAGGGACATGTATACACTAGTTTTTTAATGAACTCCCCTCCTCAGCCCCTTCCTCTTTCCCTAGGCATGTGGTCTTTTTCCTTTCTCTTTGCTCCCCTCCCGACTCTCCTTCTCTCCCCTCAGTGTTCTTCTCCTCCTCTTTCCCCTTAATCACCTCCTCCTTCACAGTCTCCCCTCCCCATCCTCTCCTTCCCGTCTCTCTTTTTCCCCTCCCCTTCCCTCATCTTCTCCCTTCCTCCCTTTTACCCTCACTCTGAATTGAGTGATACAAAACTCTGCCTGCTTACACCTGCCTTCCCTTGAAGAAATAGCACCAATCTTTCCACAGAGCAAGAGATGACAAACTAACGCTCACAAGCCAAATCGGGTCTGAGACTTGTTTCTGTACTGCCTTAGAGCTAAAAATGGTTTTTACATTTTTAGAGAGGCTGTTTAAAAAAAAATGTTTTTTTTGACAGACACCATATGTGGCCTGCAAGCCTACAATATTTACTATCTGGCCCTTTACAGAGAAAGTTTGTCCATCTCTGTCCTAGAGGATTAGTACTTGAAAAGGTTAATTTAGGGATCATAAATACATGATGCCTACATAGATACATAACTTTAAAAATATACGTTGGCCAGCTTCACTGGCTCACAATGGTAATCCCAGCACATTGGGAGACCAAGGCTAGAGGATTGCTTGAGCCCAGGAGTTCGAGACCAGACTGGACAACATAGCAGGATCCAGTCCCTACAAAGAATTAAATAATTTGGCCAGGTGCAGTGGCTCTCACCTGTACTCCCAGCACTTTGGGAGGCTGAGGCAGGCAGATCACGAGGTCAGGAGTTCAAAACCAGACTGGCCAACATGGTGAAACTCCGTCTCTACTAAAAATACAAAAATCGGCCAGGTGTGGTGCATGCCTGTAATCCCAGCTACTCAGGAGGCTGAGGCAGGAGAACTGCTTGAACCTGGGAGGTGAAGGTTGCAGTGAGCTGAGATCGCACCATTGCACTTCAGCCTGGGCAACAAGAGCAAAACTCCATTTCAAAAAAAAAAAAAAGAAAAAGAAAAAAAACATATAAAGAGACATTTCACCAAAGAAAATACATGGATGGCAATAAGCACATGAAAAGTGTTCAACATCACTAGCCATCAGAGTAATGCAGACTAAAACCACAATGAGATATCAATACACATGCATTAGAACCACTAAAAAAAATGGTAAAAATACCCTATGATGGTGAGAAGGCAGAGAAAATAGATCTCTCATTTATTGCTGGTGGGAATGTAAAAGGGTGCAGCCACTCTGGAAAATAGTTTGGCAGCTTCTTAAAACACTAAATATACACTTACCATACAACTTAACAATGGCACCCCAGGCATTTATCCCAGAGAAATGAAAACTTATGTCTACAAAAAACCTGTACAAGTGGTCCATTGTAATATCTTTATTTGTAAAAGCCAAAAGCTGGAAACAAAAAAATTTTCTTCAATAGGGTTAAACTGGTGCATCCAGAAATGAAACTCAGCAATAGAAAGGAACAAACTCTTCATATGCACGACTTGGATGGATCGCAAAGGCATATGCTAAGTGAAAAAAAAAAAAAGCCAGTCTCAAAAGGTTACAGACTGTATTATTCCATTTATATAGAATTCTCAAAATGACAAAATTATAGAGGTGGAAAACAGATTTGCCAAGAATTAGGGAAAGGCGGTAGAGAGGAGTGAGTGTGACTATAAAGAGGGAACACATGGGACATCTTTGAGGTGATAGAACAGTTCAATGTTTCAGCTGCTGCACTGGTTACATTAATCTGCAGATATGACAAAATAACACAGAACTAAGCAGGCACAATGTACCGATACCAATTTTCTGGTCAGCAGTAAACTTGAAAAAAATGCCTCCTTTAGTTCTATGACTATTTGAAAATAAGAGGTTTTTGGCCAGGTGTGGTGGCTCACGCCTCTAATCCCTGCACTTTGGGAGGCCGAGGTGGGTGTATCACCCAAGGTCAGGAGTTCGAGACCAGCCTGACCTATATGATGAAACCTGTCTCTACTAAAAATACAAAAAATTAGCTGGGCGTGGTGGCAGGCGCCTGTAATCCCAGCTACTCAGGAGGCTGGGGCAGGAGAATCGCTTGAACCCGGGTGGCAGAGGTTGCAGTGAGCCAAGATCATGCCACTGCACTCCAGCATGTACAAGAGCAAAAGCTCCGTCTCAAAAAAAAAAAAAAAAAAAAAAGAAAGAAAGAAAAAGAAAAGAAAGGATTTTTTTTTTGGTTGTTTGTTTTTTGAGGCAGAGTTTTGCTCTGTTGCCCAGGCTGGAATGCAGTGGTGCGATCTCGGCTCACTGGAGCCTCCACCTCCCAGGCTCAAGCGATTCTCCTGCCTCAGCTTCCCAAGTATCTGGGACTATAGGCGCCTGCCATCACGCCCAGCTAATTTTTGAATTTTTAGTAGAGACAGGGTTTCACCATGTTGGCCCGGCTGGTCTCGAACTCCTGACCTCAGGTAATCCACCCACCTTGGCCTCCCAAAGTGCTGGGATTACAGGCGTGAGCCACTACATGCGGCCAATAAAAAGGTTTTAAAATTTATTAATGAAAATATAAATTTCCAGGGTGTGGAGATATTATCACCTTTATATTTAGAATGTTCTTTTTCTTTTTCTTTTGTTTTTTGAGACAGGGTCTCCCTCTGACGCCCAGGCTGGAGTGCAGTGGCACGATCTTGACTCACTGCAACTTCCATCTCCCGGACTCAAGTGATCCTCCCACCTCAGCCTCCTGAGTAGCTGGGACTACAGGCAAGCCACCATGCCCAGCTAATCTTTGTATTTTTTGTGGAGATGGGATTTCACTATATTGGCCAGGCTGGTCTCAAACTCCTAGACTCAAGCTATCCACCTGCCTCGGCCTCTAAAAGTGCTAGGGCAGGCATGAGCCAAGACATCTGGCCTAGAATGTTATTTTTCATACTATATTCATGAATAGTGACTTAGGAGAGCACAGTGGAGACAACTATCTGGTCCATATGTATTAAGTTAAATACCACATTAATCCTGCTGAAAAATAACATTGGAAAGTTGACGTAATAAGCAATCACTTTGTGATAACTAACTTCTTTTTTTTTTTTTTTTTTAAATTTGAGATGGAGTTTCGCTCTTGTTGCTCAGGCTGGAGTGCAGTGGTGCAATCTCGGCTCACTGCAACCTCTGCCTCCTGGGTTCAAGCAATTCTCCTGCCTCAGCCTCCCAAGTAGCTGGGATTACAGGCGTGCACCACCACACCCAGCTAATTTTTTGTATTTTTGGTAGAGATGGGGCTTCATCATATCGGCCAGGCTGGTCTCGAACTCCTGACCTCAGGTGATCCACCCACCTCTGCCCCTCAAAGTGCAGGGATTACAGGCGTGAGCCACTGCACCCGGCCGTGATAGCTAACTTCTATGACACCTGTTATTAATTCTAGCCTTCAAGCCGGGCGTGGTGGCTCATGCCTGTAATCCCAGCACTTTGGGAGGCCAAGGCGGGCGGATCACGAGGTCAGGAGATTGAGACCATCCTGGCTAACACAGTGAAACCCTGTCTCTACTAAAAATACAAAAAATTAGCCGGGCGTCGTGGCGGGCGCCTGTAGTCCCAGCTACTCCGGAGACTGAAGCAAGAGAATGGCGTGAACCCGGGAGGCAGAGTTTGCAGCGAGCGGAGATCGCTCCACTGGACTCCAACCTGGGCGACAGAGCGAGACTCCGTCTCAAAATAAATAAATAAATAAATAAAACTCTAGGCTTCAAATCGCAAAATGCATGTTTGTAAAGCATTCAAGCAAATAATATGAAGGTAATTTTAAAAGTGTTATTTTTATATATTTTTTAATGATACTTTAAGTTCTAGGGTACATGTGCACAACGTGCAGGTTTGTTACATATGTATACATGCGCCCTGTTGGTTTGCCGCACCCATCAACTCGTCATTTACATTAGGTATTTCTCCGAATGCTATCCCTCCCCCAGCCCCCCACCCCCCGACAAGCCCCGGTGTGTGATGTTCCCTGCCCTGTGTCCAAGTGGTCTCATTGTTTAATTCCCACCTATGAGTGAGAACATGCAGTGTTTTGTTTTCTGTCCTTGTGATAGTTTGCTGAGAATGATGGTTTCCAGCTTCATCCATGTCCCTGCAAAGGACATGAACTCATCCTTTTCTATGGTTGCATAGTATTTCATTGTGTATATGTGCCACATTTTCTTAATCCAGTCTACCATTGATGGGCATTTGGGTTGGTTCCAAGTCTTTGCTATTGTGAATAATGCCGCAATAAACATACGTGTGCATGTGTCTTTATAGCAGCATGATTTATAATCCTTTGGGCATATACCCAGTAATGGGATCACTGGGTCAAATGGTATTTCTAGTTCTAGATCCTTGAGGAATCGCCACACTGTCTTCCACAATGGTTGAACTAATTTACACTCCCACCAACAGTGTAAAAGCGTTCCTATTTCTCCACATCCTCTCCAGCATCTGTTTCCTGACTTTTTAATGATCGCCATTCTAACTGGCGTAAAAGTGTTATCTCGGGTGGGTGCGGTGGCTTACACCTGTAATCCCAGCAATTTGGGAGGCTGAGGTGGGCGCATCATGAGGTCAGGAGATAGAGACCAACCTGGCTAACACGGTGAAACCTCATCTCTGCTAAAAAAATAGAAAAAATTAGCCGGGTGTGGTGGCGGGCCCCTGTAGTCCCAGCTACTCGGGAGGCTGAGGCAGGAGAATGGCGTGAACCCGGGAGGCGGAGCTTGCAGTGAGCCGAGATCGTGCCACTGTACTCCAGCCTGGGCAACAGAGTGAGACTCCACCTCAAAAAAAAAAAAAGTGTCATTTCATAATATAATATGACAATAATAAAATACTATTAGAAAATAGAACTGGAGCAGACCAGGTGCAGTGGCTCATGCCTGTAATCCTAGCACTTTGGGAGGGCGAGGCGGTTGGATCACTTAAGGTCAGGAGTTCGAAACCAGCCTGGCCAACATGGCAAAACTCTGTCTCTACTAAAAATACAAAAATTAGCTGGGCGTGGTGGTGGGCACCTATAATCCCAGCTACTAGGGAGGTTGAGGAGGGAGAATTGCTTGAACCCGGGGGGCGGATGTTGCTTTGAGCTGAGATTATGCCATTTGACTCCAGCCTCGGAGAAAGAACAAAACTCCATCTCAAAAAAAGAAAAAAGAAAGTAGAACTGGAGCAAAAAAGCAAGAATACCAACATCATGAAAGTAAGAGAAAGAAAGAAAGGAAGAAAGAAAGAAAGAAAGAAAGAAAAAGCAAGCAAGCAAGCCAAGCATGCAGGCATGGTGGCTCATGCCTGTCATTCTAGCACTTTGGGAGGCTGAGGTGCAAAGATCGCTTGAGACCAGGTGTTCAAGACCAACCTGGCCAACATAGTGAGATCTATCTCTTTTAAAATTTTTTTAAAAGCCTGGGCATGGTGGCTCATGCCTGTAATCCCAGCACTTTGGGAGGCTGAGGCAGGTGGACCACCTGAGGTCGGGAGTTCGACACCAGCCTGACCAACATGGAGAAACCCCATCTCTACTGAAAATACAAAATTAGCCAGGTATGGTGGCACATGCCTGTAGTCTCAGCTACTCGGGAGGCTGAAGCAGAAGAATCACTTGAACCCGGGAGGCTAAAGTTTTGGTAGTAGATCACAAGGGGTAATAGTGAGTGGTGCCATTCCCATTTCCACCCTTTGATACTTGGACCCAAAAATCCTGGCTATGGGAGAAATAGCACCCTATATTTGGACACTGATTCAGAGTATATACAGCCTCTTGGGGAACCTTGCCCCAGCTGGAAAGTATCGCCACTTAGATGACACTGTAACTGAGTCTGCAAAAGGCCATTCCACAGTTCTATCAAGCCACCTGCTTCAGGATGGTAGAGAACACCATAAGACCAGTGAATTCCATGATTAGGGACCCATCACCACTCTTCATCTGCTGTAAATTGAGTTCCTTGATCAGAAGCAATGCTTTGTGGAATACCATGGTGGTGGATAAGACACTACGTAAATGCACAGATGGTAGTTTTGGCAGAAGCATTTCTTGCAAGGAAGACCAATTTGTACCCAGAGTAAGTGTCTATTCCAGTAAGAACAAAGCAATGCTGCTTCCATGGTGAAAGGAATCCATTCAGGTAGTTGGCTGATCACCCTGGGGAATGGTGCCATATCAGGGACTCAGTGTTGGTCTCTGCTGCTGGCAGATTGGGCACTCAGTGGTGGCCTTAGCCAAGTCAGCCTTGGAGAGTGGAAGTTCATGTTGCTGAGCTCATGCCTAAACTCCATCCCTGCCACCATGACCACTAAGTTCATGAGCCCAATGGACAACAACAGCAGTAGCTTGAGAAAGAAGCAAACTGGTGTCCACAGAATGAGTAATCTTATCCACTTGATTATTAAAATACTCCTCTGCTGGGAGGTCACTCTTTAGTGAGCATTCACATGAGACACAAATATCTTCACATTTTTTGCCCATTCAGAGATCTATTCACATGCCTCTTCCCCAGACTTCCTTGTCACCAATTTTCCAATCATGTTCCTTCCAAGTCCCTTACCATCCAGCCAAACCACTGGCCACGGCCCAGGAATTGGTACATAATTATACATCTGGCCATTTCTCCTTCTAACAAAATGAACAACCTATTCCTTGTCCCAAGTTTTGCCTACTGGTAATTCTGCCCACTGGAAGTTCTTTACTGCTGTCCTTCAGGGCTGTCCTAGAAAGGGCTGCAGTACTGCAACTGTTCACTTCCAGGCGGTGTCTGCATATCATGGACCTGAGTCTTCCCTTCCTCTATCAACATAGATGCAGGCAGGGAAAGAGAAGGCGATGTAGTAGGAATGGCTATCATGGGCATTCAGGCGAATGCTTCATGTAAGTTACTTGGTGTTTTTGTTTGTTTGTTTTTTGGTTTTTGTTGTGGTTGCTTTTGTTTTTGTTTTTGAGACAGAGTCTTATTCTGTTGGCCAGGCCCAGGCTGGCATGCAGTGGCGAGATCTTGGCTTACTGCAGCCTCCGCCTCCCAGGTTCAAGTGATTCTCATGCCTCAGCCTCCTGAGTAGCTGGGATTACAGACATCCACCACCATGCCTGGCTAGGTTTTGTATTTTTAGTAGAGACGGGGTCTCACCATGTTGACCAGGATGGTCTTGAACTTCTGGCCTCAAGTGATCCGCCCACCTTGGCCTCCCAAAGTGCTGGGATTACACGTGTGAGCCACTGTGCCTGGCCAATGTAAGTTACTTGTGTTTCAGGGCCTAATCTAGTAAGCACCATTTCCATTTGATGATGGAATGCTGCTGTACACGCCCAACTTTATGGCTTGGTGGGTCAGAGAACACCTAATTCATAATGGATAGCTCAAGTCAAATGATAACTTGGTGGCCCGTGGTTAAGGATTCAGTCTCAAGAAAGGCCCAGTAGCAGCCCAGAAGGTCTTTCTCAGAAAGAGAGTAGTTATCTGCTGAGCATGGCAGAGCTTTCCTTCAAAATCCTATGAGCTTGCTCTGCGATTCACCTATAGGGGCCCGCCAAAGGCTCCAGATAACATCCCTGTCTTCCACTGACACTTCAGGCAGCATTGGATCTGCTAGATCACACAGCCCAGTGGCAGCTTTGACCTGTTACAGACCCGTCTCTTGCTCTAGGTGCCACTCAATACTAGCAACTTTTTTGTTCACTTGACTAATGGTCTGGAGTAGTACACCCAAATGCAAAAGATATTGCCTCCAAAATCCAAACAGATCCACTAGGTGTTATGCCTCTATTTTGGTTATAGTTGGGGGCAGGTGTAACACTTATCCTTCACCTTAGAAGAGATATCTCCACATACCCCACACAACTAGAAATTACACTGAGATAGAAGCCCCCTGAGTTTTTGTCATATTTATTTCCATTCTCTAATATGTAAGTGGCTTACCAGTAACTCTAAAGTAGTTTCAACTTCTTGCTCTCTAGTTCCAATCAACATGGTACCATCAATGTAATGGACCAATGTAATATCCTGTTGTAAGGGAAAGATGATCAAGATTCCTGTGATGGGCCAGGCTCAGTGGCTCATGCCTGTAATCCCAGCCCTTTGGGAGGTCAAGGTGGGTGGATCACTTAAGCCCAGGAGTTCAATACCAGCCTGGACAACTTAGTGAGACTCCATGTCTACAAGAAATACAAAAAAGTAGCTGGATGTGGTGGTGAACACCTGTAGTCCCAGCTACTCTTGAGGCTGAGGTGGGAGGATCACCTGAGCCCAGGATGTTGAGGCTGCAGTGAGCTGTGATTGGGCCACTGCACTCCAGCCTGGGTGACAGAGTGAGACCCTGTCTCAAAAAAACAAAAAACAAAAAAAACAAAAACAAAAGCAAAAAAAAAAAAAAAAAAAAAACCCAAAAAACAGATCCCTGTGAAAATTATAACATAGGACTGGAGGGTTGATGTATCTCTGATGTAGCACAGTGAGAGTGTATTACTGGCCTTGCCAGCTAGAAGCAAACTACTTCTGGTGGACCTTACGGACAGTGTGGAGAAGAAAGCATTTGCCAACTCAATAGCTGCATACCAGTTACCAGGAGATGTGTCAATTTGCTCAAGCAATGAAACCACATCTGGTACAACGTTGCAATTGGAGTCATCACCTGGTTAAGCTAATGACAACCCATGGTCATTCTCCAAGATCCTCTGTCTTCTGGCACAGGGGCCAAATAGATGAGTTGAATGGAGGTGTGGTGGGAATCACCACCCCTGCATCTTTCAAGGTCTCGACAGTGATATTAATCCCTGCAGTCACTCCAGGAATGTGTTTTTGCTTTTGCTTTATGATTTTTCTAGATTGAGACAGGTCTAGTGGCTTCTACTTGGCCTTTCCCACAGAATAGCCCTAACTCCGCAGGTCAGGGAACCAATGTGGGCCTTCTGCCAGTATGCTGAGTATGTCTATTGCAAATATGCATGCTGGAACTAGGGGAAGAACCATCAAATGGGTTTGGGTACAACCTATGCCCACTGTGAGATGATGGACTTCAGCTAAAACTCTATTGACCAAATGCCCACAATTTGACTGGCAGGCCACAGTGACCTTTTGGGTCTTCTGAGATTTGACAGTCAGTGTCCAGTAAACCCCAAAAGGCTGATTATTTCCTTTTCCCCAATACATAGTCACCCCGATAAAAAGCTAAAGGTCCCTTCGGGAAAGGCTAAAAGAAAGCGTAACAATTGTATAAATGTTTGACAGTGTACCAAGTTTCTTCCTCAAGGTGACCCAACCTTTCTTTCATTCCTAGGGTTCTAGGTTTGTAAATTGTGTCAAGACTGAGAACTGGGGCCGAAGATGGTGGCTCACACCTGTAATCCCAGCACTTTGGGAGGCTGAGGCCAGTGGATCACTTGAGGTCAGGAGTTCCAGACCAACCTGGCCAACATGGTGAAATCTCATCTCTACTAAAAATACAAAAAAATTAGCCAAGCATGGTGGTGCATGCCTATATTTTCAGCTACTTGGGAGGCTGAGGCACAAGAATTGCTTGAACCTGGGAGGTGGAGTTTGCAGTGAGCCGAGATCCCACCACTGCACTCCAGCCAAAATTAGCTGGACAACAGAGTGAGACTCTGTCTCAAAAAAAAAAAAAAAAAAAAAGACTGGGAACTGACTAAAGGGCTACGATTCTGTTTTTATGATTCAGGTTAGGCATGTGTTCATCTGACTTAGAGCTTTTCTGCGTCTACAGACCAAGTCAAAATTTGGTAACCATCCTATCTATGTCACTCCTAGAACACTGTGGTTAACTTGCCGACACCACAGGTCTCCCAGAGTTAGACTACTTGGATTGCCACTTTGACTCTGCTGTCCATTACAGTAACCACATCCACCTTGCACCTGCCACCCTGGGGTTCAACTATTCTCATTGTATTTAGGTTTCCCAATTTAGTGGCAGTAATTTCCCAGTATAATTTCTGGCCTAAAGAGAAGAGTGATCGCAGGGTTGGGGCTCCCCTCAGATATTTGTTTTCTCAGAGTCATGATGAAAGGTGTGTCCTAGGCTGGGCACGGTGGTTCACGCCCGGGAGGAGGAAGTTCCAGTGAGCCAAGATCACACCACTGCACTCAGCCTGGGTGACAGCGAGACTGTCTCAAAAAAAAAAAAAAGAGAGAGAGAGAAAGAAAGGTGTGTCCACAGGGCCCTCCCAGGATGGATGAGTAAGTCTTGAATGACAAATCCACTCTAACATTCCAATCTTTCTAAGCTTTTGAATCCTTTCCCTTCAGTAAACCGAGATAGGTCTGGCATTTCAAGTTCATTTACTGTGGGCCACTTTATAGTCCATGTGTCAGCCAACCAACCTAACTAACTGTTAGAACCCTTTCTAATTCCCAAAGCTGCAACACTAAATGCAGAATCTCTGCTTAATGGGTTCATAACAATAAATTTGGCCTAATACAACTTTTTTTTTTTTAAGACAGAGTTTCGCTCCATTGCCCAGGCTGGAGTGCAGTGGCGCAATCTCGGCTCACTGCAAGCTCCGCCTCCCGGGTTCACGCCATTCTCCTGCCTCAGCCTCCCGAGTAGCTGGGACTACAGGCACCCGCCACCACGCTCAGCTAATTTTTTGTATTTTTTTTTTTTTTTTACTAGAGATGGGGGTTTCACCATGTTGGCCAGGATGGTCTCGATCTCCTGACCTCGTGATCCGCCCGCCTCGGCCTTCCAAAGTGCTGGGATTACAGGCGTGAGCCACCATGCCCGGCCTTGGCCTAGTACAACTTTATGTTTTCTTCCACTCTTCTCTCAGGCCCTTCATATTCATTCCTACACATGTTCCCCAGATTTTTGTCTGTATAAATTAGAAACACGAGAAGTTATTTTGAAGTGTAGTGCACCTCCTCCTGGGTTGCACTTTAGAGGTCTGTGGAAACTGGAAACAGCAAGTTCTGAAAAAGGCAGAGAAATAGCTGAGCACGGTGGCTCATGCCTGTAATCCCAGCACTTTGGGAGGCCAAGGCAGGCGGATCACCTGAGGTCAGGAGTTCCAGACCAGCCTGGGAAAAGTGGTGAAACCTTGTCTCTACTAAAATTACAAAAATTAGCCAGGTGTGGTGTCACGTGCCTGTAATCCTGGCTACTCAGGAGGCTGAGGCGGGAGAATCGCTTGAAACTGGGAGGTGGAGGTTGCAGTGAGCCAAGACTGCTCCATTGCACTCCAGCCTGCACGACAAGAGTGAAACTCTTGTCTCAAAAAAAAAAAAAAAAACGAAAAAGGCAGAGAAAGAAGAAAAAATGAGGAGGGGTAGGCAACCAGACAACAGCCAGAAGGAAAGTTACTGGTTTTCTTTATTTGTAATACCTCCAATTAAACAAAATCATGAGAAAGTCATCACTGAATTCCAGTGGCAGGTCTTTTCCAACAATTGGAAAGATTTTTAAGTAATTAACATAGATTGAGCATCTCCTAATGCATATATTTTCATGCATATAAAACAAGGATAGAGTAAATTTTCAGACAGAAACATTAAGCAATTAAAATGTTAGGAAAAAAATTATATAAACATAAAATCCAGAAATGACAACATTGATCACTGAAGTTTTCCATATTAAAAACGAACGTTAAAATCCATCATCATTACCAGTAAACATTGACTGAGTCTTTACATCAGATACTGCTGTCTGGGATAATAGTAAAGTATACTTTATGAATTGAGACCCTGTGCCTTTATAGTTCTCACAATGTGTTCTAGAATCCTTGAGAATCCCCTTCCATTGGGGATCCTCAAGGTCAAAGCTTTCTGTAATAACAGTAAGACTTTATTTGCCTTTTCACTGACATTCTCTCTGGGTAGTCAGTGCCACAGTTACTCAGAGGCTACATGACATGTGGTATCACAAACTATTTAATGCAGAAATAGCCATGAAATGTAGCTTTCTTATATTGAGCCAGACCTAAAGAGACTTGCAAAAATGTAAATTAATGCCACTCTTCTCACTAATTGTTTTTGTTTGGGGAAATATAGCACTTAGTGAAATAATAAATCCAGGCAATAAACACTTAGTGAAATAATAAAAGGCAATGATCAGCAACTATTAGGTAATACTAAGCCATTAGATGGAAAGCAGACGGGGAACTTTACAATGGATGAAGCAGGCTGACTATACCTAAATGCAGTGATCAATCTTAATTTCACAGCCAGAGCAACAACTGAACATGATGTGCCTCTTGTACAAAATACCACCATCCAAGCAATCTTCATTTATTTTAGAGACAGGGTATCTTTATGTTGCCCAGGCTGGTCTCAAACTCCTGAGTTCCTAATGCTTCAGCCTCCCTAGTAAGAGGGACTCCACTGCACCTGGCTCACCGTGAAACCATCAAATAATGGTTTTTGTTTGTTTGTTTGTTTGAGACAGAATCTCACTTTGTCACCCAGGCTGGAGTGCAGTGGTCCAATCTCGGCTCACTGCAACCTCCGCTTCCTGGGTTCAAGAGATTCTCCTGCCTCAGCCTCTTGAGTAGCTGGGAATACAGGCATGCACCACCATACCTGGCTAATTTTTGTATTTTTTGCAGAGACAGGGTTTTGCCATGTTGCCCAGGCTACTCTCAAACTCCTGAGCTCAAGTGATCCACCTGCCTTGGCCTCACATAGTGCTGGGATTACTGGCGTGAGCCACCACGGCTGGCTGCAAAATTCTTAAGAGAAAGTATACTGCAAAATGTCCTGTTTTCTGTAACAAATCAAGTGTGAAGAAAGAGAGGGAGTTTACCCATGAAACAAGCAAATGCAATGTGTAAACTTCTCAGCCCTATTAGACCTAATGTTCTCTTTTCGTATAAAGTCTTAAAAATAGACTTTACCTTTTTTTCGTTCTCTTTTCGTATAAAGTCTTAAAAATAGACTTTACCTTTTTTTTTTTTTTTTTTTTTTTGAGACAGAGTCTCATTCCATTGCCCAGGCTGGAGTGCAGTGGCACAATCTCGGCTCACTGCAACCTCCGATTCCCGGGTTCAAGCAATTCTCCTGCCTCAGCCTCCCGAGTAACTGGGATTACAGGCACCTGCCACCACACCTGGCTAATTTTTTTGTATTTTTAGTAGAGACAGGGTTTCACCATGTTGGCCAGGCTGGTTTCAAACTCCTGACCTCAAGTGATCTGCCTATCTTGGCCTCCCAAAGTGCTAGGATTACAGGCCTAGCCTAGACTTTACTTTTTAGAGCAGTTTTTGGTTCACAGTAAATTTGAGTGGAAAGTACAGATAGTTCCCATATACTCCCTGCCCTGACACAGCCTTCTCTGGTATCAACATCACACATCAAAGCAGCACATTTGTTATAACTGATGAACCCATACTGCCATATCATCTCATACAAACATTTTGACATTTCTTTTATTGTCCGGATAAAAGATTCATAGAATATATGATTGATCCAGAATCATAGTTTTAAAAAACAGGCAATATAATTCCATGACTAGAATAAAAAGACAAAATTAAAATAAAGTAATTTATAAGTTTTTAAATGCAACTCAATATGTAAGTAATCAAGGAATACTACTTCGGGAGATAATAGATAGATGTTTCTACCTACTTAAAATGAATAAGTGGGTATTTAAAATTAGTAAGAAGAAGCCATTATGAACAAGAGGTAAAAGAAACAAAATTGCAGTCCAGGTGTGGTGGCTCATGCCTGTAATCCCAGCATTTTGGGATGCCAAGGCAGTCAGATTGTTTAAGGCCAGGAGTTTGAGACCAGCCTGGGCAACATAATGAGACCCCATCCCTTAAAAACATACATACAAAATTGCAGAGAAACAGATAAAAACTAGAGTTAGGGCTGTTCACAGTAGCTCAAGCCTGTAATCCCAAAACTAGGAGGGGAAGGTGGGAGGATTGCTTGAGCCTGCAAGTTCAAGACCAGCCTTGGCAACATAGTGAGACCCCATCTCTACAAAAAAATTTAAAAATTAGCTAGGTATGATGGTTCAGCCTTGGAAGGCTGAAGCAGAAGGCTCGCTTAAGCCCAGGAGGCCAAGGCTGCAGTGAGCTGTGATCATGCCACTGCACCACAGTCTGGGCAACACAGTTGAGTGGCATGATTTCTTAGACAGATCTTAATCCCTGTCTAAGAAAAAGAAAAAGAAAACAAAAAAAATATATATATATATATGTGTGATATATAGAAAACAAATAGCAAAATGGTAGACGTTAGTTCTTCATTATCAGTAATTATTTCAAATGTAAATAGTTTAAATTCTCCAATTAAAAGACAGCTAGCAAACGGCATATATATATACACACATACATATATATACACATATATATATACATATATATATACACACACATATATATACACATACATACAACATATATATATATATATATATATATATATATATATATATACTTTTTTTTGAGACAGAGTTTCACACTTGTTGCCCAGACTGGAGTGCAATGGTGCGATTTCTGTTCCCTGTAACCTCCACCTCCCAGGTTCAAGCGATTCTCCTGCCTCAGCCTCCCAAATAGCTGGTATTACAGGCATGTGCCACCACGCCCGGCTAATTTTTTGTATTTAGTAGAGACAGGGTTTCACCATGTTAGTCAGGCTGGTCTCCAACTCCTGACCTCAGGTGATCCGACTGCCTCAGCCTCCCAAAGTGCTGGGATTACAGGTGTCACCACCACGCCCGGCCCATTTATTTTATATTAAAAAATAGAGATGGGGTCTTGCCATGTTGCCCAGGCTGGTCTCAAACTCCTGGGAGGCAATCCTCCCACTGTGGCCTCCCAAAGTGCTGGGATTACAGGCATGAGCCGCCATGCCCAGCCCAAGTTTTATTCTTGTTCAGGTACATGAGGCCAATGGATCAAGAGGCAATTGCAATAAAAAAGATAGTTTGTTACTCACAGTCCCAAAAGGACAGAGCACACAATGCCACACCACACAGAGGCCACGCAGGGAAACAGCAAGGTAGGTCAGAAGGCAGAGGGAAGGAGGGGAAAACATGGGTGAGAACCTCCACTGTGGTTTCCAAGGGAAGGAACAGGCAAGGCAGGGTAAGCAGGTTTAGGGTTGGCTAGTGAGAATAATTTCAGCAGGCTCTCTGGGGCACAAGGGCTGTCTCTCCTGCTCCGGTATCTGGCCCTGGAGTGAGTTAAGACAGGGGAAGAGCAGTGAGAAGTGTGACAGCCTGATAATTAAGTTGGTTGGGGTGTGGGCTCTGGATTGGTTGGTTTCCACATACAAGGCACACTTCCAGGTGAGTTCTTCACTATCTCTAGGCGTTGCCTAACCTGGATGGTTGTGCCTGGATGGTTGTGCCTCCAGGATCAGGAAGGCTCCCAATGGCAAAGCATCAGAAATAGAAAAAAATAGGCCAGGCGCAGTGGCTCACGCCTGTAATCCCAATATTTTGGGAGGCCGAGTTGGGCAGATCACTTGAGGTCAGGAGTTCCAGACCAGCCTCAGCAACTTGGTGAAACCCCATCTCTACTAAAAATACAAAAATTAACTGGAGCGTGGTGGTGCATGACTGTAGTCTCAGCTACTTGGGAGGCTGAGACAGGAGAATCACCTGAACCTGGGAGGCGAAGGTTGCAGTGAGCCGAGATCGTGCCACTGCACTCCAGCCTGGGAGACAGAGTGAGTCTCAGTCTCACCAAAAAAAAAAAAAAAAAAAATTGAAAGCAAGAACTCAAATGGATATTTGTTCATAACAGCATTATTCACTATGGCCAAAAGTAGGACCCAACACAAGCGTCCACTGACAGATGAATGGATAAACAAATTGTGGTGGATATTATTCTGCTTAAAAAGGAATTAAATTCTGTACATGATACAACATGGGTGAGACTTGAAAACATTATGTTTAGTGAAATAAGCCAGTCACAAAAGGACAAATATTTTATGATATCACTTTGCATAATTTGAGCTAATTTATGTGGAAGAGTGTATATAAAGAGATATCCAGGAAAAGAGAGATATCCAGATGTTTGTTTGCCAAAATGTTGACAATGCTCATATATGATTAGTTGAATGACAGGTAATTTTTACAAATGTTGCTATACCTTTTGGTTTGCTCAATTTGTTAACAGAACAATATTATTATTATTAAAAAAAATTTTTTTTGAGATGGAGTTTCACTCTTGTTGCCCAGGCTGGAGTGCAATGGCGCCATCTCAGCTCACAGCAACCTCCGCCTCCTGCATTCAAGCAATTCTCCTGCCTCAGCCCCCCAAGTAGCTGGAATTACAGGTGCCTGCCACCACGCCCGGCTAACGTTTTGTATTTTTAGTAGAGACGGAGTTTCACCATGTTAGCCAGGCTGGTCGCGAACTCCGGACCTCATGTGATCCACCCGCCTCGGCCTCCCAAAGTGCTGGGATTACAGGCATGAGCCACCACGCCCGGCCAACAGTATTATTTTTTAAAAAACCAGTGACATAGGTTTGATATTCACTTGGCAGTAATATCATAAAGATGATTAAAAAAAAAATGTGTTGAACTACATAAATCCACCTCTGAGATAAATTCCATGATTCTATAAATTCCAATCTCTTATCCTCAGATATGAGTTTTAGGCCTCAATGTATGGATCAGCCTTTTTAATGGGAAGGCAAAGGGTTCAGGGATCTGTTAAACATATGTTCTTCTCTTGGGTCCTCTAGGTCTTCTCTAGGCTTCCAGAACCTAAGGAATGATTCTACCAGTAGGTAAGACTCACATACAAAGAGACAAAAAGTTCCTAGAGCCCAGAAAGTTCAACACCACCCCCAAAAAACCTCCCTAAACACTGTTCTTTTATTAATATTATTATTTAATTTTCTTAATTTTTTTTTTTGAGACAGGGTCTCACTCTCACCCAGGCTGAAGTGCAGTGGCATGATCATGGCTCACTGCAGCCTTGACTTTCTGGGCTCAAGTGATCCTCCCATCTCAGCCTCCCAAGTAGCTGGGAACCACAGGAGCAAGCCATCATGCCTGGCTAACATGGTTTCCCCATGTTGCCCGGCTAGTCTTGAACTCCTGAGCTCAAGTGATCCACACTGGCCTCAGCCTCCCAAAGTGCTAGGATTATAGGTATGAGCCATCACACTTCGGCCTCTTTTTTGTTTTTAATTGGGCTAAAATATACATAACATAAAATTTACCATTGGAAGTTTTTCATTGTTCTTAAATTTTCTTTTTTTTTTTTTTTTTTTTTGTATTTTTAGTGGAGATGGGGTTTCACCATGTTGGCCAGGCTGGTCTCGAACTCCTAACCTCGTGATCCGCCCGCCTCAGCCTCCCAAAGTTCTGAAATTACAGGCGTGAGCCACTGCGCCCAGCCAAATTTTTTTATTTTTATTTATTTATTTAGAGACAAGGTATCATTCTGTCACCTAGGCTGGAGTGCAGTGTTGCAATCATGGCTCACTGCAGCCTTGACCTCCTGGGCTCAATCCTCCCACCTCAGCCTCCTGAGCAGTTGGGAACACAGGTGCATGCCACCATGCCCAGCTAATTTATTTATTTGTTTATTATTATTGTTGAGACCGAGTTTCACTCTTGTTGCCCAGGCTAGAGTGCAATGACACCATCTCAGCTCACTGCAACCTCCACCTCCTGGGTTCAATCAATTATCCTGCCTCGGCCTCCCAAGTAGCTGGAATTACAGGCGTGCACCACCATGCCTGGCTAATTTTGTATTTTCAGTAGAGATGGGGTTTCACCATGTTGGTCAGGCTGGTCTCAAACTCCTGACCTCAAGTGATCCACCCACCTCAGCCTCCCAAAGTGTTGGGATTACAGGCGTGAGCCACCGTGCCTGGCTTGGACTAATTTATTTTTATTTTCTGTAGAGACGATGTCTCCCTATTGTTGTCCAGGCTGGTCTCAAACTCATGGATTCAAGGGATCCTCACACCTCAGCCTCCCAAAGTGCTGGGATTATGGGTGTCACCCATCGTATTTGGCTAATTTTTAATTGTGGCAAAAAAACACATAATATAAAACTTCATATTTTAACCATTTTAAGTGTATAATTCAGTAGTGTTAACTATATTCACATTGTTTGTTTGTTTGTTTTTTTGAGACAGAGTTTTCCTCTTGTTGCCCAGGCTGGAGTGCAATGGCACGATCTCGGCTCACTGCAAGCTCTGCCTCCCGGGTTCAAGCAATTCTCCTGCCTCAGCCTCCCGAGTAGCTGGGATTACAGGCATGGGTCACCACACCCAACTAATTTTGTATTTTTAGTAGAGATGGGGTTTCTCCATGTTGGTCAGGCTGGTCTCGAACTCCCGACTTCAGGTGATCCGCCCACCTTGGCCTCCCAAAGTGCTGGGATTACAGGCGTGAGCCACCGCGCCCAGCATATTCACATTGTTTTGTAACAGATCTCTAGAATGTTTTCATTTCAAAAAACGGAAGCTATGCCCATTAAACCAAAACTCCCCATTCCCCATTTTACTTAATCACTGGCAATCATCATTCTATTTTCTATCTCTATGAATTTCACTCCTATAGATACCTTGGATAGGTGGAGTCATGGAGTCATACAGTATTTGTCTTTTTGTGACTGGCTTCTTTCGCTTAGCATATTATTGTTAAGGTTCATTCAGGCCAGTGCCAGGACTCATGGCTGTAATCCCAATACCTTTGGGAGGCTGAGGCAGGAAGATCGCTTGAGGCAAGGCATTTGAGACCAGCCTGGGCAACACAACAAGACCCTCTATCTAAAAAATTTTAAAGTTAGCCAGGCATAATGGTGCATGCCTATAGTGCTAGCTACTTGAGAGGTAGGATGGGAGGATCACTTGAGCTAGGAGTTTGAGGTTGCAGTGAGCCATGATCACACCACTGCACTGCAGCCTGGGTAACAGAATGAGCACAGTGAGCAGATTGAGACCCCAGCTCCTTTTTTAAAAAAAGTTGGGCCAGGCGCGGTAGCTCATGCCTGTAATCCCAGCACTTTGGGAGGCCGAGGTGGGTGGATCACGAGGTCAGGAGTTCAAGACCAGCCTGGCCAAGATGGTGAAACCCCGTCTCTACTAAAAATACAAAAATTAGCCAGGCACCACGCCTGTAATCCCCGCTACTCGGGAGGCTGAGACAGAGAACTGCTTGAACCTGGGAGGCGGAGGTTGCAGTGAGCTGAGATGGCGCCACTGGGCGACAGAGCCAGACTCCATCTCAAAAAAAAAAAAGAAAAGTTAGTGGGGGAGAGGTCATCCATATACACACATCAGTGCTTCCTTCCTTTTCTGGCTAAATTAGATTCCAGCATGTATATACCACATTTTGCTTATCAATTCATCTATCAGTGGACGCTTGGGTTGCTTCTACCTTTTGACTATTGTGAAAAATCTGCTATGAACATGAATGCACTAATATCTCTTTGAGTTACTGCTTTCAATTCCTTTGGGTATATACCCAGAAGTGGGACTGCTGGGTCATATGGTGTTATGGGTTGAATGTTTGTGTCTACCCAAAGTTCATATGTTGAAGCTCTAGTCCCCAATGTAATGGTATTTGAAGTGGGAACTTTGGGAGGTGGAATCCTCTTGTGGCATTGATGCCCTTATAAGAGTGAGAGAAAGAAATTTCTCTCTCTCTCTCCCTGCCACCTGCTTTCTGTCTCTCTGTATGAATGCACCAAGGAAAGGCTACATGAAGACATTTTGAGAAGAGAATAGCTGTCTGCAAACCAAGACCAATTTATCTGTTTTGTTTTATTGCCTGTGCTTTTGATATCACATTCAAGAAATCCATGCCTCAGCCTCACGAGTAGCTGGGACTACAGGCGCCCGCCACCACGCCTGACAATTTTTTGTATTTTTAGTGGAGACGGGGTTTTACCGTGTTAGCCAGGATGATCTCAATCTCCTGACCTCGTGATCTGCCCGCCTCGGCCTCCCAAAGCGTATAGTCCTTTTAATGTGTTGTTGAATTCTGTTTTGTAGTACTTTGTTGGGATTTTATTATTATTATTATTATTTACCAAGCACAGTGACACTACATCAAGTTGAGGATTTTTGTATCAATATTCATCAGGCATATTGAGCTATAGTTTTCTTGCATTGCCTTTGTCTGATATCAGAGTAATGGTGGCCCCATAAAATCAATTCAGAAGTGCTCCCTCCTCTTTAATTCCTTGGAAGAGTTTATCAAGTATTGGTATTTGTTAATTCTTCGATAAATATAATGTTTGGTAGAATTTACCCGTGAACCCATCTAGTACTAGGCTTTTTGAAGTTTTAAATTACTGATTCAATCTCCTTCCTAGTAATAGGCCTGTTCAGATACGCTATTTTGTTATGATTCATTCTTGGTAGGTTAAGTGTTTCTAGTAATTTATCCATTTTATATCGGTTATCTATTTTGTTGTTGTACAACTGTTTTTGTTTTTGAGACAGTCTCACTGGCTCTGTCACTCAGGCTGGAGTGCAGTGGCACAATCTTGGCTCACTGCAACCTCCGCCTCCTGGGTTCAAGTGATTCTCATGCCTCAGCCTCCTGAGTAGCTGGGATTACACTCACACCACCACACCCGGCTAATTTTTGTATTTTTAGTAGAGATGGGGTTTCGCCATGTTGGCTGGTCTCGAACTCCTGGCCTCAAGCAATGTGCCCACCTCAGCCTCCCAAAGTGCTGGCATTACAGGTGTGAGCCATCTCACCTGGCCTGTACAATTGTTAATAATACTCTCTTATAATTATTTTTGGCTGTAATGTCCTCTCCTTTATTTCTAAGTTTAGTTATTTGAGTCTTCTTTTTTTTTCAGAGTCAATGTACTTAAAGATTAATCAATTTTGTTGATCTTTTCAAAGAACTCATTCTTGGTTTTATTGATTTCCTCTACTGTTTTCCTTTTTTTTTTTTTTTTTTTTTTGAGTCAGAGTCCTGGTCTGTCGCCCAGGCTGAAGTGCAGTGGCACAATCTTGGCTCACTGCAACCTCTCCCTCCCGGGTTCAAGTGATTCTCCTGCCTCAGCCTCCCGAGTAGCTGGGATTACAGGTGCCTGCCACCATGCCCCGATAATTTTTTGTATTTTTAGTAGAGACAGAGTTTCCCCATGTTGGCCAGGCTGGTCACAAACTCCTGACCTAGTGATCCACCCACCTCAGCCTCCCAAAGTGCTGGGATTATAGGCATGAGTCACCGAGCCCAGCCTTTCCTCTACTGCTTTTCTATTCTTTATTTTGTTTATCTCTATCCTAATCCTTATTATTTCCTTCCTTTTGCTAGCTTTGGTTTTAGTTGTTCTTTTTCTAGTTCCTTAATGTGTAAAGTTTAATTATTGGTTTGAGATCTTTCTTCTCTTTAACTGTAAAAAAGGAGCTTTTACAGCTGTAAATTTCTCTTTTAGCACTGCTTTTACTGAATTTCATAAGTTTTACAAAATTGTTTATCTATTTATCTATTTATTTATTTATTTATTTCAGAAGTGGGGTCTTGCACCAGGCGTGGTGGCTCACGCTTGTAATCCCCAGCACTTTGGGAGGCAGAGGCAGGCAGATCACAAGGTCAGAAGTTCGAGACCAGCCTGGCCAACATGATGAAACCCGTCTCTACTAAAAATACAAAAATTACCCCCGTGTGGTGGCACGCGCCTGTAATCCCAGCTCTTGGGGAGGCTGAGGCAAGAGAATTGCTTAAACCCGGGAGGCGGAGGCTGCAGTGAGCTGAGATCAAGCGAGGATTGTGCCTGGACTGCACTCCAGCCTGGGCGACAGAGTGAGACTCTGTCTAAAAAGGAAAAAAAAAAAAAAAAAAGAAGTGGGGTCTTGCTCTGTCACCTAGTCTAAAGAGCAGTGGCGTGATCATGGCTCACTATAGTCTCTAGCCTCAAATTCCTGGGATCAAGCAATCTGATGCCTCAGCATCCTGAATAGCTGGGACTACAGTTACACACCATTGCATCTGGCTAATTTTTTTTTATTTTTGTAGAGACAGGGTCTTGCCTTGTTGCCCAGACTGGTCTCAAACTCCTGGGCTCAAATAATCCTCCCATGCTGGCCTCCCAAAGTCCTGGGATTACAAGCTTGAACCACCACACCTGGCCTGAATCCCATAAATTTTGGTACTGTGTGCTTTTGTTTAATTTGTTACAATATATTTTATAATATCTCTGTGTTTTCTTCCTTGACCCACAGATTGTTTAAGGTGTGTTCTTGGCTGGGTGCGGTGGCTCACGCCTGTAATCCCAGCACTTTGGGAGGCTGAGGTGGGTGGATCACGAGGTCAGGAGATCGAGACCATCCTGGCTAACACAGTGAAACCCCGTCTCTACTAAAAATACAAAAAAATTAGCTGGGCATGGTGGCGGGCGCCTGTAGTCCCAGCTACTCGGGAGGCTGAGGCAGGAGAATGGTGTGAACCCAGGAGGCAGAGCTTGCAGTGAGCCAAGATCGTGCCACTGCACTCCAGCCTGGGCGACACAGTGAGACTCTGTCTCAAAAAAAAAAAAAGAGTGTGTTCTTTAATTCCATATATATATTTTTTTACTTTTCTACTTTTCTTTCTTCTAGTTCTGTTTCCATTTCTTTGTGATTGGAAAAAAATACTTTGTATGATTTCTATCTTTTAAAATGTAGCAAGACATGTTTTGTGAACTAACATGTTGCCTATCCTTGGAGAATTTCCCATGTGTACCTGAGAAAAATGGGTATTCTGCTGTTGTTGAGCAGAGTGTTCTGTAAATATCTGTTAGGTCTGATTGTTCCATAGTGTTGTTTCAGTCTTCTGTTTCCCTAATGATTTTCATTCGTTGTTCTATCAATTGTTGAAAGGGGAGTATTGAAGTTTCCTACAATTACTGTTGAGCTTTTTCTCACCTCAATTCTGTTAAGTTTACTTCATATAAGGTCTGATGTTCGATGCATATATATTTATAATTGGTATAATTTTGTTGGTAAGTTGATGATTTTATATGGTCAATTACATATATAATATATACACATATCATAAATATGGTCATTTTATATATTTATATATAATGTTCTTTTTTGTCTCTTGTAACAGTTTTTGACTTAAACTCTATTTTGTCCGGTATTAGTATAGTCACCCTTGCTCTCTTTTTATTCTTGTTTGCATGAAATATATTTTTTCATCCATCCTTTTACTTTCTTTTTCTTTTTCTTTTTTTTTTTAATATTGTGCGACCTGGGCTTCTGCCCTGACCATAGGCCACGGCGCCTGCCCACTTACCCGCCTGTTGCTGCCTGCTCCTGGCCTGCCCAGGGGCCCAGCAGGCACGAGGGACATGCTTTCACGTTTATCCTCTGCATGTCCTTATATCAAAAGTGAGTCTCCTGTAATCAGGATATATTTGGATCCTCTTTATTTTTTGTAAATTCTGCCAATCTATCTCTTTTTAGAAGTGGGTGTAAATTAAAGACTAGGGACTTTAATCTATTTATATTTAAAGCAATTACTAATAGAGAAGGACGTACTATTGCCTTTTGTTGTTTTCTGTGTGTTTTATAACTTTTTTTGTCTCTAATTTCTTCCCATTCCTACTTCTGTGTTTAGTTGATTTTTCCATATTTACTCCTATCCCCAATCCCTAGCAATCATCATTCTACTTCCTATCTCTATGAATATGAATATGCTAAGCACTTTTTTTTTTTTTTTGAGGCAGAGTCTCTCTCTGTTGCCCAGGCTGGAGTGCAATGGTGTGATCTCCGATCACTGCAACCTCCACCTCCCAGGTTCAAGCAATTCTCCTGCCTCAGCCTCCTGAGTAGCTGGGATTACAGGCGCCTGCCACCACGCCCAGCTAATTTTTGTATTTTTAGTAGAGACGTGGTTTCACCATGTTGGTCAGGCTGGTCTCGAACTCCTGATGAGGTGATCCACCCGCCTCGGCCTCCCCAAGTGCTGGGATTATATGCATGAGACAACACCCAGTGGATTCCATTCTTTTTTTTTCTTTTTTTTTTTTTTGAGATGGAGTCTTGCTCTGTCACTCTGTCAGGCTGGAGTGCAGTGGCACAATCTTGGCTCACTGCAAGCTCTGCCTCCCAGGTTCTCGCCATCCTCCTGCCTCAGCCTCCTGAGTAGCTGGGACTACAGGCGCCCTCCACCACGCCCAGCTAATTTTTTCTATTTTTTAGTAGAGACGGGGTTTCACAGTGTTAGCCAGGATGGTCTCGATCTCCTGACCTTGTGATCTGCCCACCTCAGCCTCCCAAAGTGCTGGGATTACAGGCGTGAGCCACCACGCTCAGCCAAGGATTCCATTCTTATAAGGAGTACTTAGAGGCTGGGTGCAGTGGCTCACGCCTGTAATCCCAACACTTTGTGAGGCTGAGGCGGGCGGATCACCTGAGGTCAGGAGTTCGAGACCAGCCTGGTCAACATAGTGAAACCCCGTCTCTACTAAAAATACAAAAATTAGCCAGGCGTGATGGCATGCAATTGTAGTCCCAGCTACTCAGGAGGCTGAGACAGGAGAATTGCTTGAACCCAGGGGTCGGAGCTTGCAGTGAGCCAAGATCGTGCCACTGCACTCCAGCCTGGGCAACAGAGGGGACATTCAAACTTCAACATACCCGAAAGAATTAAAAGCAAGGACACAAAGGTATTTTTATAGTCATGTTGATTGCACATTATTATTCACAATAGCTAAAATGTGGGAACAACCCAAGCAAGACTCTCTCAAAAAAAAAAATGGAATCAGAATATTTTTCCTTTTGTGACTGGCTTATTTCACTCAGTATAACATCTTCAAGGTTCATTAATGTTGTAGATCAGTTAGAATTTCCTTCCTTTTAAGGCTGAATAAAATGTTTCATTGTCCATTAATTTACAATATTTATTAATTAATCAATTTACACTTGGATTGTTCCCACATTTTAGCTATTGTGAATAGTAATGTGCAATAAACATGACTATAAAAATACCTTTGTGTCCTTGCTTTTAATTCTTTTGGGTATGCTGAGGTTTGAATGTACCCTCCAAAATTCAGGTTGAAATTTAATCCCTAATGTGATAGTATTGAGAGGTGGGGCCTTTAAGGGGTAATTGCATCACGTAGGCTCTGCCCTCATGAATGGATTCATCTATCCATGGATTACTGGAATAAGGGGTTAGTGGATTAACGGGTTATCATGGGAAGGGAACTGGCAGCTTTATAAGAAGAGAAAGAGACCAGAGCTAGCTCCCTCACCATGTGATGCCCTGCATCACCTTGAGACACTTCAGAGAGTCCCCACAGCGGGAAGGCCCTCATGAGATGCCCCTACCTCTACCTTGGACTTCTCAACCTCCATAATTATGATAAATAAATTTCTTTTCTTTATGAATTACCGTAAATTCCTTTTCTTTATAAATCACCCAGTTTAAGATATTCTGTTATAAGCAACAGAAAACAGATTAAGACAGGGAATATATCCAGAACTGGAATTACTGGATGATATGATGATATGGTAATTTTATTTGTAATTTTTGGAGGAACTAACATACTGTTTTCCATAGCTGCTGCATCATTTCACATTCCTACAATCAAGGCACAACAGTTCCAGTTTCTCCACATGCACATCAACATTTGTTATTTTCTGTTTTATATATACAGACAGTCCCCTATTTTTAGAATATGTTAATTTTCTTTTTTTTTTTTTTTTTTTTTGAGATGGAGTTTCGCTCTTTCGCCCAGTCTGGAGTGAAGTGGCAAGATCTCGGCTCACTGCAACCTCCGCCCCTTGGTATCAAGTGATTCTCCTGCCTCAGCCTCCCGAGTAGGCGCCCATGACCATGCCTGGCTAATTTTTTATTTTTATAGAGACAGGGTTTTGCCATGTTGGCCAGGCTGATCTAAAACTCCTAACCTCAAGTGATCTACCCACCTCAGCCTCCCGAAGTGCTAGGATTACAGGCGTGAGCCACTGCGTCCGTCCTAAAATTTTTAATACAATTAAAAATTACACTATAATTTGTCAACTTTATCATGCTGCAAAGGCAATACACATTCAATAGAAACCATATTTTTGAATACCCATACAACCATTCTGTCTTTCACTTTCAGTACAGTAGTTAATAAATTATATTATATATCCAGTACTTTGGCTGGGCCAAGGTGGCTCACGCCTGTCCAACGATTTGGGAGGCCAAGGCAGGTGGATCACTTGAGGTCAGGAATTCAAGACCAGCCTGACTAACATGGTGAAAACCCATCTCTACTGAAAATACAAAATTAGCTGGGCGTGGTGGCAGGCACCTGTAATTCCAGCTACTTGGGAGGTTGAGGCAGAAGAATCATTCGAACCCGGGAGGCAGAAGTTGCAGTGAGCTGAGATTGTGCCATTGCATTCCAGCCTTGGCAACAAGAGTGAAACTCTGTCTCAAAAAAAAAAAAAACAAGATATCCAGTATTTTATTATAAAATAGGCCTTGCAGTAGATGATTTTGCCCAACTTCAGGCTAATGTAAACAATCTGAGCATATTTAAAGTAGGCTAGGTAAAGCTATGATGTTAAGTAGGTTAAGTGTACTGGTGTAGTAAATGCATTTTCAGCTTACAATATTTTTATCTTATGATGGGTTTATCAAGACGTAACCCCATCGTAAGTTGAGAAGCATCTGAGTGTGTGTGTGTGTATGTGTGTTCCATCCTAATGGGCATGAGGTTATACCTTATTGTGGTTTTGATTTACAACAATTTATTTTAATCTGAAACAATTTAACTTTACTCACATATAGAAACTCTACTCCACTACAGCTCCACCACTCCCTACATTATATTATTGAATTCAGAAATTATGTCTTGAAGCCAAACGTGGTGGTGTGTGCCTGTAGGACCAGCTGCTTGGGAGAGCTTGAGCCCAGGAGTCCAGTGTAGGCAGCATAGCAAGACCTCATCTCTTTAAAAAAGATATATTTTTATTGTGTATCCATTAGCATAGATTTATATTATGTTTATACTTTTGTGTTTTATTTATTTATTTATTTTTTACTTATTTAGTTTTTGAGACAGAGTCTCACTCTGTCGCCCAGGCTAGACTGCAGTCGTGTCATCTTGACTCACTGCAACCTCCGTCTCCCAGGTTCAAGCAATTCTCCTGCCTCAGCCTCCCAAGTAGCTGGGATTACAGGCACCCGCCACCACGCCTGGCTAATGTTTTTGTATTTTTAGCAGAGATGGGGCTTCACTATGCTGGCCCGGCTGATTTCTAACTCCTGACCTCAAGTGATCCACCCGCCTTGGCCTCCCAAAGTGTTAGGATTACAGGCGTGAGCCACCGTGCCTGGACTATATTTGTGTGTTAAATGTTATAAAAGAATTTAAAGTTATAAACCCAAATGACAGTAATACAAGTTTTTATGTTTGTCCATATATTTAACTCTACCAGAGAACTTTGTATTTTCATGTCTTCAAATTACTAACACTCTTTTCTTTTTTTTAATTAGTTTATGTTTCTTCTTAGTCTACTGATACAAGCTATCAAGAACAGGCAAATTCAGAGGCAGAAGTTACCAAGAGCTCCTGACCTCATGATCGGCCCACCTCGGCCTCCCAAAGTGCTGGGATTACAGGCGTGAGCCACCATGTGCAGCCCTATTTTAACCATTTTTAAGTGTACAGTTCAGTGGCATTAATTACATCTACATTATTATGTAGAAACAAACACTATACAACTATAAATATTTTTATTATCCCAAACAGAAACTTCATTCTCATTTAAAAATAACTCCCGGCCAGGCATGGTGGCTCACACCTGTAATCCCAGCACTTTGGGAGGCTGAGGTGGGCGGAACACGAGGTCATGAGTTCAAGACCAGCCTGGCCAACATGGTGAAACCCCGTCTCTACTAAAAATACAAAAATTAGCTGGGCGCGGTGGCGCGTGCCTGTAGTCCCAGCTACTCAGGAGGCTGAGGCAGGAGAATCGCTTGAACCCAGGACACGGAGGTTGCAGTGAGCTGACATTACACCACTGCAACCCAGCCCGGGTGACACAGCGAAATTCTGACAAAAAAAAAAAAGGTTAAAATAAAAAATTTTTATGTTAAATATATTTTACTATGATTTCTTAAAGGACAAAAAATCCCTCTACTTCTCAAATTGGTAAAAATGTAATTCCCACAAAAACAGTCCAGAACACATGTCAAAATTTTATTTAAATCATTAGTGGGACAGGCGCGGTGGCTCATGCCTGTAATCCCAGCATTTTGGAAGGCCAAGGCAGGCGGATCACAAGGTCAGGAGATGGAGACCATCCTATCTAACATGGTGAAATCCCATCTCTACTAAAAATACAAAAAAAAAATTAGCTGGGCGTGGCGGTGGGCGCCTGTAGTCCCGGCTACTTGGGAGGCTGAGGCAGGAGAATGGCGTGAACCCAGGAGGCGGAGCTTGCAGTGAGCCGAGATTGCGCCACTGCACTCCAGCCTGGGCGACAGAGTGAGACTCCGTCTCAAAAAATAAATAAATAAATAAATAAAAATAAATAAATCATTAATGAAGTCTGAGAGTGGTGGCTCACACTCGTAATCCCAGCACTTTGGGAAACCGAGGTGGGAGGATCACTTGAGCCCAGGAGTTTGAGACCCGCCTGGGAAACACAGGGAGACTTCATTTCTACAAAAAAAATTTAAAAATTAGCTGGGTGTGCTAGCTCACGCCTGTGGTCCCAGCAACTCAGGAGGCTAAGGTGGGAGGATGCTTGAGCCTGGGAGGTCAAGGCTGCAGTGAGCCATGATCATGCCACTGCACTCCAGCCTGAGTGATACAGTGAGACCCTGCCTTAATGAGGAAACCAGCAGAATGACAACAGTGATTCAATAGGATATGAGAAACCTGGATTTATACAAAGTGATAAAATAAATATGGTAATAAGCCTGCTATTTTAAATATAAAATCAGTCAGTGTCCTACAGGGAAATAAAATCATAACCTTAGGGTTATATTATTGATTTATTTATTTTTTTTAGAGGGAGGATCTTGAGCTGTTGCCCAGGCTGGAGTACAGTGGTGCAATCACAGCTCATTGCAGCCTCAAACTCCTGGGCTCAAGTGAACCTCCACCTCAGCCTCTCCAGCAGGTAGGAGTACAGGTACATGCCACCATGCCTAGCTAATTTTTTTTTTTTTTTTTTGTAAAGGTGATCTTGCTTTGTTGCCCGGGCTGGTCTCAAACTCCTGGGCTCAAGTGATCCTCCTCCCTTGGCCTCTCAAACTGCTGGGATTACAGGCATGCATCACTATACCTGGTTAGGGTTATATCCTTTTCTAAAGAGGAAAAAAAAAAAAACTGTCACACGGTATTAGCTCTGGGTGCCATATTAGAATACCACAGACTGGGTGGCTTTAACAATAGAAATTCGTTTTCTCATAGCTCTGGAAGCTGGGAAGTTTAAGGTCAAGGTGCCATCAAGGTTGATATCTGGTGAGGCCATTCTTCGTGGTTTACAGATGGTCACACTCTCACTGTGTCCTCACGCGGCCTCTTCTCCATGTGCATGCAAAGAAAGGGAAAGCTCTCTTATATCTCTTCCTCTTCTTAGTAGGACACCAGTCCTAGTCTAGTCCTATTAGAGTGAAGACCACCCTTATGACTTCACTTAACCTTAATTACCTCCTTATGCAGGCCCCATCCCTGTATAAAGTCACATTGGGTGTCAGGGCTTCAACGTAAACATTTTGGGGGAGATACAATCCATAAATGCACACCTTACATCATGTTTTCTACAATTCAATCTCCAATTTTACAAAGTAGTAAAATGCCTAGGCTCTAACCACTTATAAACAGTAAATCAAGTTATAATCCCAAGAGAACCAGAAGACCTTCAGCCTAATTTACTAAAAAATGCTGTAGCTGAATTTTTTTTTTTTTTTGAAATGGAGTCTTGCTCTGTTGCCCAGGCTGGAGTGCAATGGCACAATCTCGGCTCACCGCAAGCTCCGCCTCTCGGGTTCACGACATTCTCCTGCCTCAGCCTCCCAAGTAGCTGGGACTACAGGCACCTGCCACCATGCCTGGCTAATTTTTTTTTAATTTTTAGTAGAGACAGGGTTTTACCATATTAGCCAGGATGGTCTTGATCTCCTGACCTCGTGATCTGCCCGCCTCAGCCTCCCAAAGTGTCTAATTCATTTTAGTAACTACATAATCAACCCAGAGATACGTGTTCTACAAATAATCTAATCGTTCCCCAATTACGAACAGACAGGGTTTTTTCCCAACTTTTTTTTTTTTTTTTTACAAAAGCACTACAAACAATGTTGCTTTAATATCTTAGGGCAGTGAACTATGGCTCATGCCCTTAATCCTAACACTTTAGGAGGCCGAGGCAGGAGGATTGCTTGAGCCCAGGAGTTCAAGACCAGCCTGGGCAAAAAAGTGAGACCCTGTCTCTATAAAAAAATTTTTAAAAAGTTAGCCAGGCGTGGTGGTCTCAAGTAGTCCCAGCTACTCAAGAGCTTGAGGTGGGAGGATCACTTGAGCCTGGGAGGTGGAGACTGCATGAGCTGAGCTCACACCACTGCATTCCAGCCTGGGTAACAGAGCAAGACTCTGTCTCAAAAACAAACGAACAAAACAAAACGAAACAACTCTTTGGATATACGTTTCTCGATACAAATGCTTCTATTCCTATAAGATGGAGTCTCAAAAACAGGGATATCTAAATCAAAGGAATAGATATTCTAATCTAACATGCCCTTTTATGAGTTTTGGCAGTTTGAGGTGTAGTCCTGTGTGTATTTCCAATCTAGTTAGGTCAAAACAATCCTACCAAGATTGAAAATACTAATACGCTTGAGCTATCAGCATCCCATAAGAAGATGAGAAGTGTTATTTTATGCCAGAAACTTAATGACAATGACTGCTCAATAGCTAAATACAAAAAAAAAATACTTATTGGTTCAAAAATGTTATTTTTCAGTTAAAAAACAAAACTGATACAGAACAGCTAGGATGGAAAAAACAAAAATCCTTGAATGATATCTACAACCAAACTAGATGGTACAGCAATCCCTGGAACTCCAAAACACCAGCAGGTACCACCAAAGCACTAAAAGGCACAAGAGATAAATGGTATCAGCATCTGTGCAGGAGGAAGCAGAAGGAAGAAACAGGGCACCAGACGTAAAAATTCCAAAAGAGGCCGGGCACAGTGGCTCACTTTGGGAGGCTGAGGCGGGCGGATCTCCTGAGGTCAGGAGTTTGAGACCAACCTGGCCAACATGGTGAAACCCTGTCTCTACTAAAAATACAAAAATTAGCCAGGTGTGGTGGCGGGAGCCTGTAACCCCAGCTACTTGGGAGGCTGAGGCAGGAGAATTCGCTTGAACCCGGGAGGCAGAGGTTGCAGTGAGCCAAGATTGCGCCATTGGGCTCCAGCCTGGGCGACAAGAACGAAACTCTGTCTAAAAGTAAAATAAAATAAAATAAAATAAATTCCAAAACAACCAATAGGCACTCACTGGGACACTCAGATGGCCAATTTGAAAATGATATCGGAAACCCCAAGGGTTTTGGCGCAAGGTATCTCCAGTAAGATATGAATAGGCTGGGAGAGATCTCCCCATAAGCTCTCAAAACTAACCAGCTAAATCTCTTCCCAGGAGTGTTGAGGATTTAAGTAGTTTTTGAACAAAGGGCACAAAGGAAAGATAAGGGTTCCAATAAAACAGAGGGGCCAACAGAGATGCAGTCGGATCTCAGAAAGTAGGATGCCCTATATTTAAACTCCTCATAAAAACAACAGAAGGTGGCACTATAGATCTGTAAAATTAGAAGGACAATATTAAATTACTCCTTCCTTCTTAAAAGTTTGAGAACCTAATTTAAAGTCAAAATAAATAATAGGCCAGGCACAGTGGCTCACGCCTGTAATCCCAGCCTTTGGGAGGCCGTGGCGGGTGGATCACTCCAGGTCAGGAGTTTGAGACCAGCCTGGCCAAAATGCTGAAACCCCATCTCTACTAAAAACACAAAATTAGCTGAGTGTGGTGGCATGCACCTGTAATCCCAGCGACTCAGGAGGCCAAGGCAGGAGAATCTCTTGAAATCAGGAGACAGAGGTTGCAATGAGCTGAAATCACACCATTACACTGCAGCCTGGGGAACAAGAGGCAAACTCTGTCCCAAAAATAAATAAATAAACAAATAAATAAATGAAGAGGATCCACATTAAATCTCATACAAAGTTAATAGTTTTTAAAAGGAAAAATAAAATAAAATAACAGATCAGTTTCCTATATAAAATAAAAGCACAGCTGAGCAAGGTGGCTCATGCCTGTATTGCCAGCACTTTGGGATGCCAAGGCAGGAGGATCATTTGAGCCTAGGAGTTTGAGACCAGCCTGGGCAACATGGCAAGACCCAGTCTCTATCAGAAATTTTAAAAATTAGCCCGCCATGGTGGTGCATACCTGTAGTCCTAGCTACTTGGGGGCTGACATGGGAGAACTGCGTGAGCCCAGGAGGTCGAGACTGCGGTGAGTTGTGATCACATCACTGCACTCCAGCTTGGGCAACAGAGTGAGACACTGTCTCAAAAAAAACAAAACCAAAACTATAATTTAGCCAGGCGCGATGGAGCATGCCTGTAATCCCAGCACTTTGGGAGGTCAAGCTAGGAGGATCACTTGAGCCCAGGAGTTTGGGACCAAGCTGGGAACATGGAGAAATTCCGTCTCTACATAAAAGACAACAATTAGCCAAGCACGGTGGCACACCTGTAGTCCCAGCTACTCGGGAGGCTGAGGCAGGAGAATCGCTTGAACCCGGAAGGCGGAGGTTGCAGTGAGCTAGAGATCATAGCACTGCTCTCCAGCCTGGGTGACAAAGTGAGACTCCATCTCAAAAAAAAAAAAAAATTACTTGAAGGCCAATTGAAGAGTTTCCCACTAAATAAAGATGAGGCAGTTCGAGCAAGAAATAAAGAAAATAATTGCATTAGACTAAAACACATCAGAGATGTTTAAAACGATGAGCTAATAAATGATGTTGCTTGCAAAAAGAATTGGTCACCTTTGGTGAAAACAAGAAAATAATCTCTTCATTTCAATAACTTAAATAAAGAGAAAAATGTGTGTATTTATCTTGCCTTTCCTAACAACTCTACCACTGAGTAACCAGATCAAAAATCACGAGGTTTCTTATTAAATAAGTATTCCAACAAATAAATGAAGAAAATAATGATATATATATTATATTGTATTTTTTTTTTTTTATACCAAGTCTCATTCTGTCTCCCAGGCTGGAGTGCAGTGGCACTATCTCGGCTCACTGCAACCTCCGCCTCCTGGGTTCGAATGATTCTCCTGCCTCAGCCTCCCATGTAGCTGGGATTACAGGCGCCCGCCACCACGCCCAGCTAATTTTTATATTTTTAATAGAGATGAGGTTTCACCATGTTGGCCAGGCTGGTCTGGAACTCCTGACCTTGGGTGATCCACCCGCCTCCGCCTCCCAAAGTGCTGGGATTACATACGTGAGCCACCACTCCCAGCTATGATATAATTTGAATATTACCATTTTGCAGCCTCTAATGAATAAAGAATCTAAGCATTAGCAATGGCTACTAATAATGAGAAAAGAAAGACAATCTGATGTTATATGCCACTTAATGAAAAAACAAGCCACCACTCTTTAAGTAGTCTTCCCCCTAAATTACATCGTAATATGATTAAACCTCTAGATGCAATTACCAATTTGCAGGAAATTCAGAGGACAGAGGAAAATGTTAATTTACACCAGGGGAATGCAGTCAGCAAAATTAAAACTGAGTGAAATTTTGGCCGGGCATGGTGGCTCATGTCTGTAATCCCATCACTTTGGGAGGCGAAGGCGGGCACATCACATGAGGCCAAGAGTCCGAGACCAGCCATGGTCAACACAGTGAAACCCCGTCTCTATTAAAAATTAAAAATTAAAAAAAAAATTAACCGGGCATGGTGGTGAATGTCTGTAATCCCAGCTACTCAAGAGGCTGAGGCAGGAGAATCACTTGAACCTGGGAGGGAGAGGTTGCAGTGAGCTGAGATCTCACCTGGGCAACTCCAGCCTGGGTGACAGAATGAGACCCTGTCTCAAAAACAAACAAAACAAAACAACAACAACAAAAAAACCTGAGTGAAATTCTATAGACAAATTGTCCAGCTTCTTCAATAAATCGTGAAAAACAAGGCTGGCTTCATGGGTGTATGACAGGGCAGTGGTACAGGGCTCCACGCTTAGAAGACCTGTACTATGTTTAATGCTCTGCTGTCACTATCTTGAAAATATTAATCGTTTTCGCTGGGCGCAGTGGCTCACACCTGTAAACCCAGCACTTTGGGAGGCCGAGGCAGGCAGATCACCGAGGTCGGGAGTTTGAGACCAGCCTGACCAACATGGAGAAACCCCACCTCTACTAAAAATACAAACTTAGCCGGGTGTGGTGGTGTACGCCTGTAATCCCAGCTACTTGGGAGGCTGAGGCAGGAGAATCGCTTGAACCCAGGAGGCGGAAGTTGCGATGAGCCGAGATTGCGCCATCGCACTCCAGCTTGGGCAACAAGAGTGAAACTCTGTCTCAAAAAAAAAAAAAAAAAAAGAAAGAAAGAAAAGAAAAAAGAAGGTATTAGCAGTTTTTGAACAGGGTCATAAATTATGCAGCTTCTTTTGCAAAGGTAGATAAAAGATGGATATAGAACCTAGAGATTCCTATAGATTAAAAATACCAGGCCGGTATTTTAAATCTAAACTATATATATACACATATATATGTGTATATACATATATATGTGTATACACATATATATGTGTATATACATATATATGTGTATACACATATATATGTGTATATACATATATATGTGTATACACATATATATGTGTATATACATATATATATTTTTTTTTTTTTTTTGAGACAGAGTTTCACTCTTGTTGCCCAGGCTGGAGTGCAGTATTGCTATCTCTTCTCACTGCAACCTCTGCCTCCTGGGTTCAAGAGATTCTCCTGCCTCAGCCTCCTGAGTAGCTGGGATTAAAGCAAGCGAAAACATGTCCAGCTAAATTTTGTAAATTTTGTATTTTTAGTAGAGAGGGGTTTCACCATGTTGACCAGGACTCTTTCGAACTCCTGACCTCAATTGATCCACCCGCCTCGGCCTCCCAAAGTGCTGGGATTATAGGCGTGAGCCACTGCACCCAGCCTAAAATACATATTTTTAAGACAAATAAATAAAACAGTACTCAAAGCCCACTTTCTGTAAACACTGTTGTAATCCTGAATGGCAATTAAGCAGCTAAGTTCCTTATCTCAGTAATGGAGAGAAAAATAATGCACACTAGAACCAATCTTCAGTAAAGAAAGATGGGACAGTGCACAATCCTATGGCATGGATCCTCTTATCCTAGCTTAAGAAACCCAAACAAGCAACACTGCTTAAGCACTTTTCAGGCATCAAATAAAGACTTGTTTCTTTAAACTTTTTTTTAAGACAGGGTCTCACTCCGTGGCCCAGGATGGAATGCAGTGGCACAATCATGGCTCACTACAGCCTGGACCTCCTGGGCTGCAGCGATTCTCCCACGTCAGCCTTCTGAGTTTCTGGGACTACAGATACACACTGACAGGTGAAGCCAGCTGGGCCCTCTGGGTCGGGTGGGGACTTGGAGAACTTTTCCGTCTAGCTAGAGGATTGTATATGCACCAATCAGCACTCTGTGTCTAGCTAAAGGATTATAAATATACCAATCAGCATTCTGTAAAAATGGACCAATCAGCACTCTGTAAAATATACCAATCAGCACTCTGTAAAATGGGCCAATCAGCACTCTGTAAAATGGACCAATCGGCAGGACATGGGCCGGGCCAAATAAGGGAATAAAAGCCGGCCACCCGCACCCGCAATTGTGATGTGCTCAGGTTTTCTTTTACTGCTGGAATGTTTGTTGTATGGCTTGTTGAAGATTTTGTTTTTCTGTCTTGGGGGCGTCGGCACTATGTTGAAGAGCTGTAACATTTATCGCGAGAGTTTGTGTCTTTTTTTCTGGACCAGGAATCCGCCGCAAGGAACGAAGTCCGGACGTGCTACTTTTAAGAACTATGGCACACCGGAAGGACCAAACTAAGTACGTGTCACCTTTAACAGCTGTAATACTCACCGTGAGGACCACGGCTTTTTTTTTCTTTTTGATACAGGTTTCCTTCTCTGTTGCCCGGGCTGGAGTGCAGTGGCGCGATCTTGGCTCACTGCAAGCCTTTCGGGTTCACGCTATTTTCCTGCCTCGGCCTCCCGAGTAGCTGGGACCACGGCCGCCCGCCGCCACGTCTGGCTTATTTTTTTGTATCGTTAGTCATAGATGGGGGTTATACTGTGTTAGCCCGGGCCGTCTCGATCTACTGACGTCGTGCTTTTTCTGCCAGGGCCTTTCAAAGTGCGGGGGTATAACAAGCGGCAGCCACAGCACCCCGCCACTGGCGTCAGCGAGACCGAGAACCTACCAGAAGGGATAAATACTGGACACAACCCTACTGTGCTTGGCTAATTTTTAAATTTTTTTGAGAGCTGGGGATCTCGGTATGGTTTCCTGGCTGTTGTAAAACTCATAAGCTCAAGCAATCCTGCCTCAGCCTTCCAAGGTGCTAGGATTACAGGCTTGTGCCAGTTTACCCTGCAGAAACTTAACTTTTAAAGAATTTTATATATAGGCCACGCCCGGGGGCTCATGCCTGTGATCCCAGCGCTTTTGGAGGTCAAACCGGGCGGATCACTTGGAGGTGAAGAGTTTGAGACCATTCTGCGCAACATGGTGAAACCCCGTCTGTACTAAAAATACAGAAATTAGCCAGATGTGGGGGTGGGCCCTTGTAATCCCAGCTACGCGGGAGGCGGAGGCAGGAGAGTTACTCAAACTTGGGAGGTGGGGGTTGCCGTGAGGCGAGATCGTGCCCGTGCGCTCCAGCCTGGGCAACAGAATTAAAAGATTCCAGCTCAAAAAAATATATATATATATACCATGAGAATATTACAAACATCTTGAAGTAAGAGTCTGTCTTACACATGTTTAATTCATAGGGCCTAATATACTGCTTCAGCACATAGTAAAGCACTCAGAAATTGAAAAGACAAAAAGGAAAGATTTTTAAAGCTGGTTTTAACCCAAACTAAATAAACATAGCCTGGGCTTAGAATTTGTTAAGAATGCCCAAAATTCACTACTGGGGCAATTAAATAATCATCTCACAACTATGAATGTGCTAAGCTCAGCCTTTTATTTTACACGTTGTCTAATTCTCTGTCAGATATCCCGAAGTTTTCGCGTCAAAGATGTGCTTCATTCTTTTTTAAAAAAATTAAGGTGAAATTCACATAAAATTAGACATTTCTAAGTTGTACAATTCAGTGACATTTAGTATATTCACAATTTTGTGCAACCACCACCTTTATCAAGTTATAAAACATTTTCATCATCCCAAAAGAAAATCCAGTACCCATTAAATAGTCAATACCCATTCTTCACTTTTCCACCCCCTGGAAACCACCTATCTGGTTCCTGTCTCTATAGGTTTACTTATTTGAGATACTTTCTATAAATGAAGCCATACAGTATAAGATCTATTGTGTCTGGCTTCTTTCACTCACCATATTTTTGAGGTTCATTCATGTTGTAGCATACATAAATACTTCATTACTTTTTAACAATAATATTCCATTGTATGTATAGACCACATTTTGTTTATCCTTTCGTCCATTAATGGATATGCAGGTTGTTTCCATCTTTTGTCTACTGTGAATAGTACTGTATAAAAATTGATGTATAAGTATTTATTTGAACATCTGTTTTCAATTATTTTGAGCATAAACCCAGGAATGAATTGCTGGGTCAAAAGATAATTAATGTTTATCTTTTGAAGAACCACTAGTTTTCCACAGTAGTTGCTCCATTTTATATTCCCACTGGCAATTTGGATGTGAAGTGGCGCACGTCATTGTGGTTTTCGTGTTCTTTTTTGTTTTTGAGACAGGGTCTTACCCTGTCGCTTAGGCTGGAATGCAGTGGTACAATCACAGCTCACTACAGTTTTGACCTACTGGGCTCAGGTGATCCTCCCACCTCAGGCTCCTGAGTAGTTGGGATGACAGGCGCATGACACCATGCCCTGCGAATTTTTGTATTTTTGGTAGAGACTGGGTCTCACCTTGTTGCCCAGGCTGGTCTCAAACTCCTGGGCTCAAGTGATCCACCCACCTTAGTCTCCCAAAATGCTAGGATTACAGGTGTGAGCTACCACCACGCCCAGCCAATTGTGGTTTTAATACTCATTTTTCTAATGACTAATGAAGTTGAACATCTTTTCATGTGCTAGTTGGCCATGTTTTGGAGACATGTCTATTCAAGTCCTTAATCCATTTTTAATTGAGTTGTTTGCCTTTTTGTCATTGAGTTGTAAGAGTTCTTTATACATTCTGGATACTAAACTTTATCAGATACATTATTTGCAAATATATTCTCCCATTATGAAGGTTGTCTTTTCACTTTCTTAGTAATTCCCTGGGATGCACAAAAGTTTTTAATATTGATGAAGTCTGATTTATTATTTCACTGCTCGGCTTTTGTATCTAAGAAAACATAGGCACATCCAAGGTCATGAAGATTTGCTTCTGTGTTTTCATCTAAGAATTGATTTTAGCTCTTATATCTAAGTCCTTAATCGACTTTGAGTTCATTTTTGTATATATAATTTTGGTAAAAATATACAAATTTTTTTTTTTTTTTTTTTTTTGGATACAGAGTCTCACTCTTGCCCAGACTGGGGTGCAGTGGTGCAATCTTGGCTCACTGCAGCTGCTGCCTCCCAAGTTCAAGCGATTCTCTTGCCTCGGCCTCCCAAGTAGCTGGGATTACAGGCGTGCAACCACACCCAGCTGATTTTTTATTTAGAATAGAGACGGGGTTTCACCGTGGTGGCCAGTGTGGTCTTGAACTCCTGATCTCAAAGTGATCCACCTGCCTCGGCCATCAAAGTGCTGGGGTTACAGGCATGAGCCACAGCGCCTGACCAAATTTCATTTTTTTCTACTTGGATATTCATTGTCCTACTCTCATTTGTTTTATTTTATTTTTTATTTTTTATTTTTTATTGAGACTGAGTCTCACTCTGTTGCCCAGGCTGGAGTGCAGTGGCAACATCTCAGCTCACTGCAACCTCCTCCTCCTGGGTTCAAGGAATTCTGCCACCTCAGTCTCTCGAGTAGCTGGGATTACAGGCGCATGCCACCACACCCAGCTAATTTTTTTATTTTTGATAGAGATGGGTTTTTGCCATGTTGGCTAGGCTGTTCTCAAACTCCTGACCTCAAGTGATCCGCCCACCTCAGCCTCCCAGAGTGCTGGGATTACAGATGTGAGCCACCGCACCAGGCCCCCTCCCCCATTTGTTGAAGATATTTTTTTTCCCCAATTTGCCAGAGCAATTAAGCAAGAAAAAGTAATAAAGGGCATTCAAGTTGTAAAGATACAAATAAATTATCGTTTTCCATAGATGAAAATTTATATGTACAAAACTTTAAGATTCCTGGCCAGGCACAGTGGCTCACGCCTTTAATCCCAGCACTTTGGGAGGCTGAGGAGGGCAGATCACGAGGTCAGGAGTTCGAGACCAGCCTGACCAACATGGTGAAATGCCCTCTCTACTAAAAATACAAAAATTAGCTGGGCGTGGTGGCACGTGCCTGTAATCCCAGCTACTAGGGAGGCTGAGGCAGGAGAATTGCTTGAACCTGGGAGGTGGACGTTGCAGTGAGCAGAGATCATGCCATGGCACTCCAGCCTGGGTAATGAAGCGAGACTGTCTCAAAAAAAAAACAAAAAACAAAACAAAAACAAAAAAACTTTAAGATTCCTTGAAAAACTGTTAGAACTAATAAGTAAATTCAGCAAAGAAGCCGGACGAAAAGTCAACATGCAAAAGTCAGTTGCATTTCTACACACTAACAGTGAACAATCCAAAAAGAAAATTAAGAAAACAATTCCAACAGCTGGGTGCGGGGCTCATGCCTGCAATCCCAGGACTTTGGGAGTCCAAGGCGGGTGGATCGCCTGAGCTCAGGAGTTCAAGACCAGCCTGGGCAACATGGTGAAACCCCATCTCTATTAAAATACAAAAAATTAGCCGGGCGTGGCGGCATGCACCTGTAACCCCAGCTACTTGGGAGGCTGAGGCAGAAGAATTGCTTGAACCCAGGAGGCGGAGGTTGTGGTGAGCCGAGATCGCGGCACTGCACTTCTGCCTGGGTGACAGAGTGAGACTCCATCTCAAAAAAAGAAAAAAAATTCAGTTACAAGAAAATCAAAAAGAATAAATATATAGGAATTAAATTAACGAAGAAGGTGGAATATTTGTACAATCAAAACTACAAAAACCTTGCTGAAAGAAATAAAACACGAATGGAAAGACATTCCGTGTTCATGAACTGAAAGACTTAATATTGCAAGATGTCCGTATTAGCCAGAGAAATAGAGCCAATAGGATATACATGGATATATGAGTGTCTTTATTATAGGAATTAGCTCACCTGCTTATGGGGGCCAAGAAGTCCCACAGTATGCTGTCTGAAAGCTGGGGAACTAGGAAAGCTGATGGTGTAATTCAGTCATGGTAGGAAGTCCTGTGAACTGGAGGTGGTGGAGAGGGTACCCTGCTGGTCCTAGAGTCTAAAGGCGCAAGACCAAGAGCTCCAATTTCTAAGGGCAGGAGATGATGGTTGTCCCAGACCCAGGAGGGAAAAGAAAGAGAGGAAATATGCCTTTCCTTAATCATTTTGTTTTATTAAGGCCTCCAACAGATTGCAGAATGCTTACGCACATTAGTGAGGGCCGATAATCTTTACTCAATCTCCTGACTCAAATGCTAATCTCTTCTGGAAAGACCCTCAAAGACCCATCTGGAAATAATGTTTTACCAGCTATCTGGGCATCCTTCAGCCCAGTCAAAGTGGCACAAAAAGTTGGCCATCACAATATCAATACTACCCAAAGGAATCTGCAGATTTTATGCAATGTCTCTCAAAATCCCAATTACGTCTTTTGTAGAAATAGAAAAGCCCACTCTAAAATTTATATGAAATCTCAAGGGATGCTGAATAGCCAAAACAATCTTTAAAAGGAACAAAATGGAAAGACTCGCTTCCTGCTTTCAAACTTACTATAGAGCTACAATAATCAAAGAAGTATGGTACTGACATAACAGACACATAGATCAATGGAACAGAATAGAGAGCCCACAAGTAAACGTTTGTGGCTATGGTCAAATTATTTTCTTTTTTCTTAAATTCTGTATTTTTTGTAGAAAAATACAAAATGGTTTTGCCATGTTGCCCACACTGGCCTCAAATTCCTGAGTTCAAGCAATTTGCCCACCTCAGCCTCCAAAAGTGTTGGGATTACAAGCATGAGCCACCATGCCCACCCTCAAATGATTTTCAACAAGAGTACTATACCATTCAAAGAGGAAAGGACAGTCTTTTCAACGAATGATACTGGGAAAATTGGATATTCACATGCAGAAGAATGAAGTTGGGACTCTTACCTTATAATACACACAAAAATTAACTCAAAATGAATCAAAGACTTAAATGTAAGTGCTAAGCTATAAAACTCTTAGAAGAAAACAAAAGAAAACATTCATTACATTGGATTTGGTAATGATCTCTTAGTTCTGACAGTAAAGGTACAGTCAACAGGAGAAAAAATTGACAAATTGGACTTTGCAAAAATTAAAAATTTTTTTGCATGGAAAGATGCTGTCAGCAGAGTAAAAAGGCAACCCACAGAATAGGAGAAAATATTTGTAAAACACATATCTGATAAGAGATTGATTTCCAGTCTATATATATAACTCCTAAAATTCAACAGCAAAGAAACAAATAACCTGATTCAAAAATGGGCAAAGGGCTGGGCACAGTGCCTCATGCCTGCACTTTGGGAGTCCGAGGTAGGTGGATCACCCGATGTCAGGAGTTCAAGACCAGCCTGACCAACATGGTGAAACCCCGTCTCTACTAAAAATATAAAAATTAGCCAGGCATGGTGGTGAGTGCCTGTAATCCCAGCTACTTGGGAGGCTGAGGCAGGAGAATCACTTGAACCCGGGAGGCAGAGGTTGCAGTGAGCCGAGATGGTGCCACTGTACTCCAGCCTGAGTGACAAGAGCGAAACTCCATCTCAAAAAAAAAAAAAAAAAAAAAGGGCAAAGGAATTGAATAGACATTTCTCCAAACAAGATACATGAATGCCAGTAAGCACATGAAAAGATGCTCGACATCTCTAATAATCAGAGAAATGCAAATCAGAACCACAATTGGATACCACCTTACATCAATTAGAATAACTACTATCAAAAAGCTACTACCGGCCAGGTGTAGTGGCTTGCGCCTGTAATCCCAGTACCTTGGGAGGCTGAGGCAGGCAGATCACTTGAGGTCAGGAGTTCGAGACCAGCCTGGCCAACATGGTGAAACCCTGTATCTACTAAAAATACAAAAATTAGCTGGGTGTGGTGGTGCACGCCTGTAGTCCCAGCTACTCGGGCAGCTGACGCAGGAGAATCGATTGAACCCAGGAGGCTGAGGTTGCAGTGAGCTGAGATCATGCCATTGCACTCCAGCCTGGGCAACAGAGCAAGACTCCATCTCAAAAAAAAAAAAAAGTAATCAAAAAGTAATCAGTGTTGGCAAGAATGTGAAGAAATTGGAACCCTTGTGCACTGTTGGTGGGAATGTAAAATGGTACAGATGCTGTGGAAAACAGCCAAAAATTTAAAATGTAATTACTATATAATCCAGTGATTTCACTTCGGTGTATATAGTCAAAAAAATGAAAACAGGGTCTTCAAGATATCTTTGTATACCCACATTTATAGCAGCATCATTCACAGTAGCTAAAATGTGGAAGCAACCTTAGTGTCCATCGGCAGAAGTGGATAAGCAAGATGTGGTACATACATACAGTGGAATATTGTTTAGTCTTAAAAAGGAAGGAAATTTGGACATATGCTGCCACATGGATGAACCTTAAGGATATTACATTAAGTGAAATAAGGCAGTCACAAAATGAAAAATACATAATATTCCACTTACATAATGCTATGGTTTGGATATTGTCTCCACCAAAACTCATGTTGAAATCTGTTCCCCAATGTAGTAGTGTTGAAAGACAGAGCCTAGTGGGAAGTATCTGGGCTTGGGGATGGATCCCTCATGAATAGCTGAATGCCTTCCCAAGGAGGCAGGTTCTTACTCTCACAGGAATGGGTTGGTTCCCATGAGAGTAGGTAGGTAAAAGGAGTCTGGCTTCATTGGGTTTTTCTCTCTCTTGCTTTCTCTCTTTCTTTGTGATCTCTTTACACATGTCTACTCCCTTTCCACTTTCTGACATGAGTGCAGCATGAGGTTCTCACCAGAAGTGAAGCAGATGCAGGCACCATGCCCCTTCAACTTCTCAGCTTGCAGAACCATAAGCTAAATAAACTTCTTTGTTTTTTTTTTTTTTTTTGAGACGGAGTCTCGCTCTGTCGCCCAGGCTGGAGTGCAGTGGCACAATCTCGGCTTACTGCAAGCTCCGCCTCCCGGGTTCACGCCATTCTCCTGACTCACCCTCCTGAGTAGCTGGGATTACAGGCGCCCGCCACTGCGCCCAGCTAATTTTTTGTATTTTTAGTAGAGACGGGGTTTCACCATGGTCTCGATCTCCTGACCTCGTGATCCGCCCGCCTCGGCCTCCCAAAGTGCTGGGATTACAGGCGTGAGCCACCGCCTGGCCAATAAACTTCTTTTTAAAAGAAATTATCCAGTCTCAGGTATTCTGTTTAGCAACACAAAATAGACTAAGACACATAAGGTACCTTGAGCAGTCAAATTCATACATACAGAAAGTAGAATGCTGGTTGTCAGGGGAAATGGGGAGTTATTGTCTAATAGGTACAGAGCTTCACTTTTTGCAAGATAAGAAAAGTTCTGAAAATGGGTGATGGTGATGGTTACACAACAATATGAATGAAGTTAGTACCATCGAACTGTACACTTAAAAATAGTTAATAGGGTAAATTTTATATGTATTTTATCATACTTTTTGAAAAATTTTAGGCCAGGCGAGGTGGCTCACGCCTGTAATCCTAGCACTTTGGGAGGTCAGGGCAGGCAGATCACTTGAGGTCAGGAGTCTGGGACCAGCCTGACCAAAATGGTGAAACCCCGTCTCTACCAAAAATATAAAAACTTAGCCAGTGTAGTGGCACGTGCCTGTAGTCGCAGCTACTCAGGAGGTTGAGGCAGGAGAATCACTTGAACCTGGGAGGCGGAGGTTGCAGTGAGCCGAGATCGTGCCACTGCATTCCGGCCTGGGTGACAGAGGGAGACTCCATCTCAAAAAAGTAAAAGAGCCAGGCGTAGTGGCTCACGCATGTAATCCCAGCACTTTGGGAGGCCAAAGGCGGGCGGATCACCGGAGGTCAGGAGTTTGAGACCAGCCTGGCCAACATGGTGAAACCTCGTCTCCACTAAAAATACAAAAATTAGTGGGGCATGGTGGTGGGTGCCTGTAATCCCAGCTACTCGGGAGGCTGAGGCAGGAGAATGGCGTGAACCCGGGAGGTGGAGATTGCAGTGAGCCAAGATCACACCATTGCACTCCAGCCTGGGTGACAAGAGCAAGACTCCGACTCAAAAAAAAAAAAAATTTAAGAACAAAGGACACTGGAGCCAATTTTATTTATTTATTTTTAATTTCAGATTCAGTGGGTACATGTTTAGGTTTGTTTCATTTAGGATATTTTGTGTGATGCTGAAGTTTTGAGCTTCTATTGAACCTTCACGTCACCCAAATAGTGAACATAGTACTCAATAGGTAGTTTTTCAACCCTTTTCCCCTCTTTTCCTCCCCGCTTTTTAGAGTCCCCAGAGTCTATTGTTCCTATCTTTATATCCATGTGTACTCAATGTTTAGCTCTCATAAGGGAGAACACGCAGTATTTGGTTTTCTGTTTTGGTGTTAATTCACCTAGGATAATGGCCTCCAGCTGCTTCCATGTTGCTGCAAAGGAAACAATAACATAATTTTTTTTTTTTTTTTTTTTTTTTTTGCGATGGAGTCTTGCTCTGTTGCCAGGCTGGAGTGCAGTGGTGTGATCTTGGCTCACTGCAAGCTCCGCCTCCCGGGTTCAAGCGATTCTCCTGCCTCAGCTTCCCGAATAGCTGGCACTATAGGCGCGCACCTCCACACCCAGCTAATTTTTGTATTTTTAGTAGACACAGGGTTTCACCATGTTGGCCAGGATGGTCTCCATCTCTTGACCTCGTGATCTGCCTGCCTCAGCCTCCCTAAGTGCTGGGATTACAGGTGTGAGCCGCTGCGCCCAGCAATAGTGTCATTATTTTTTATGGCTGCATAATATTCCATGGTACATATGTACCAGATTTTTTTTTTCAGTAATGTGCTGATGTCATAACAAGGTTTGCGGGTGGCACATCTCACACATGCGGGTGAACACCCAGTTCTCACACTCATGAACTCCAAAAGGATCCCAGATTGTCTCTATCCAATCTGCTGGTAGAGGGCACCTAGGCTGATAACTTTGCTGTGATGAGCATACTAGTGCAGACGTCTTTTTGGTAGAACAATTTATTTTCCTTTGGGTATATACCCAGTAATGGGACTGCTGGCTCAGGTGGCAATTCTATTTTTAGTTCTTTGAGAAATCTCCAAACTACTTTCCACAGGGGCTGAACTAATTTACATTCCCACCAACAGTGTATGAGTGTTCCCTTTTTTCCATAGCCTCACCCACATCTGTTATATTTTGACTTTTTAATAATAGCCATTCTGACTGGTATCTCATCATGATGTTAATTTGTGTTTCTCTGATTATTAGTGATGATGAGTATTTTTTCATATGTTTATTTGGAGCCAACTTTAATAGCTCTCACTAGCTGTAGTAGGCTTAATAATGGACCCCAAAGCTATCAGGTCCTACTCCCTAAAATCTGTATATCTTTTCTTACATGGCAAACATTGGCAAATATGATTAAATTAAGGATTATGAGTTAGGGAAAGTGTGGAATAATCAGCATGTGCTCTAAAAGCAATCACATATATTCCTACAAGAGGGATGCCAAGAGAGATTTGACATCCAGAAGAGGAGAAAGCAATGTGACCATGGAAGTGAAGATTGGAATGAGCCGGGCAATGTGGATCACATCTCTAATCCCAGCTACTTGAAAAGCTGAAGTGGGAGGATCTCCTGAGCCCAGGAGTTAGAGACCAGCCTGGGCAACATAGCGAGACCCTCCATCTCTAAAAATAAATAAATACATAAATAAATATTAGCTGGGTGTGGTGGTGCACACCTGAAGTCCCAGCCACTTAGAAGACTGAGGTGGGAGGATCCCTTGAGTTCAGGAGTTTGAGGTTGCAGTGAGCTGTGATCACGCTACTGCACTCCAGCCTTGGCGACAGAGCAAGACTCTGTCTCAAAAAGAAAAAGAAAAAGAAATAAAGAAAATCAAGTCCCAGGTTCCGCCTCATAGGTGATTCATAAGTATTTGATGAATGAGGCACTGACTTGGGAGACCTAAGACAGTTAATCCAGCTCCTGGAGTGGGAGGAAAGAGGTCCTTTTGAGAGGCAACAACCAAAGCTGCAAGAGCCTTTAAAGATCACCTAGTTCCACCCACTCTCCACCCAAAAACCAAGATTCACAGATGGGAGAAGTGATCCTGGAAAGGTGAAGTCCTTGCCCAACGCACTCTGTGGCACAGATGGGCTGGAAACCTGGTCTATATAACAACCAAGTCAAGTTTTTATTGAGTATCTATTGGGTGCCAGGCATGGGGTTGGGTGTGGGAGGCCCAGATGAGTATGGGGTGAGCCCAGCTGTACCTTTCTGCCTTCCTGAGAGCAGCAGGAAAGAATGGTTCAGACAGGAAGACGCCTCTGACGTGGTGGTTCTCAAACTGGAGAGAATAACAGCATCACCAGAGGAACATGTTTAAAATCGACTCTGGGCTGGGCGTGGTGGCTCACGCCTGTAATCCCAACACTTTGGGAGGCCAAGGTGGGTGGATCACAAGGTCAGGAGTTCGAGACTAGCCTGACCAACATGGCAAAACCCCGTCTCTACTAAAAATACAAAAATTAGCTGGGCGTGGTGACACATGCCTGTAATCACAGCTATTCAGGAGGCTGAGGCAGGAGAATCACTTGAACCTGGGAGGCGGAGGTTGCAGTGAGCCAAGATCGCGCCACTGCACTCCAGCCTGGGCGACAGAGCAAGACTCTGCCTCAATAAATAAATAAATAAATAAATAAATAAATAAATAAATAAATAAAATTGACTCTGTCTGGAAACCACTGGCCTGGGCTCTTCAAAACTGTCAGTGTCATGAGAGAGGGAAAGGCCGAGGGGCCATTCCAGATTGAAGGAGACCTAAGAGACACGGCAAGTAAATGCAACACCTGTTCCTGGACCAGATCCTGGTCAGGGGAGGAGGATCGTCCACAATGGAAAATATTGGGACCATTGATACAATCTGAGTACTAGATAATATTATTCTATCAGTATGAGTGATACTTGCTCTGTCATTATGGCTGCAATGCTCTTGTTCTTTAACACATGCTGAGGATTTAAAGATAAAGAGACATTATGCCTGAAACTATCTCCAAAATTAAGTATGTGCCTATAAAAGGGATTTTATTTATTTATTTTTTTTTGGGGTAGAGTCTCACTCTGTCACCCTGGCTGGAGTGCAGTGGCGTGATCTTGGCTCACTGCAACCTCTGGCCTCCTGGGTTCAAGTGATTCTTATGCCTCAGCCTCCCAAATAACTGTGATTCCAGGCATGCACCACCATGCCCAGCTAATTTTTGTATTTTAGGCAGACGGGGTGTTTCGTCATATTACCCAGGCTGGTCTCAAACTCCTGGCCTCAAGTGATCTACCCGACTCAGCCTCCCAAAGTGCTGGGATTACAGTCATGAGCAACCGCGCCTGGTCTATAAAAGGGATTTTAAAGCAGATGTAACAAAACGTTAGCAATCAGAGAATCTGAATGAAAGCGTAGACATAATTATTCATATTGTCTTAAATACAACTCTGTAAGTTTGAAATTTCTCCTTTGACCTTGAATTGTTTTGAAGTCCACTTTTTTATTTTTTATTTTTGAGATGGGGTCTCACTCTGTTGCCCAGCCTGGAGTGCAGTGGCCCGATCTTGGCTCACTGCAACCTCCACCTCCTGGGTTCAAGGAATTCTCTTGCCTCAGCCTCCCAAGTACCTAGGATTACAGGCACCCACCACCATGCCTGGCTAATTTTTGTATTTTCAGTAGAGACAGAGTTTCACCATGTTGGTCAGGCTGGTCTTGAACTCCTGGCCTCAACTGATCTGCCCGCCTCAGCTTCCCAAGTGCTGGGATTACAGGCATGAGCCACCGTGCCTAGCCATAGAGTCCACTTTTAAAATTAATAAACAAATCAGAGGATGGGCACTGTGGATCACTTGAGTTCAGGAGTTCACAGCCAGCCTGGGCAACATGGCAAAACCTCGTTTTTATTTAAAAAAAAAAAAAAAGAACTTAGCCAGACATGGTGGCTTACACCTGTAATCCCAGCTACTCTAGAAGCTGAGGTGGGAGGATCACCTGAACCCAGGAGGTCAAGGATGCAATGAGCTGTGATTATACCATTGCACCCCAGCCAGGGTAACAGAGTGAGACCATCTCAAAAAATAAAAATAAAATAATAATAATAATAAATACATGAGTCTGCTTAAAATTTTCTACACATGTGCATTTTAAAATTTCTCCAAATATTACTTTCCGATTTTTTATTATTAACTTTCCTTTGTGCATTGCAGTCAGGGAATGCCATGTGTACATGATCCATTCTTTAATATTTGTTGAGAAATCCCTTATGATCCAGTTAGTATTCAGTTTGTGTAAATGTTTCACATATTGAAAAATTAGTCATTTCCTCATTATTGGGTGCAGATCAATTTTTTACATTTAGTATAAATTAGAGCCATATATGTGCTAAAGAGATTTTTTTTCTGCATGACTTTATGAAAGTGTAGCATAATTATGGATTTTTCAGTTTCACCATATAGTTATGAATGATTCCATATGTAAGGTGCATGCAGTTTCTAAACTGAGCTGGGCATGGTGGCACGTGCTTGTAGTCCCAGCTACTCAGGAGGCTGAGGTGGGAAGACTGCTTGAGCACAGGAGTTGGCTACTGTACTCCAGCCTGGGCGATAGAGCATGACCCCATGCTCTATCAATGAAAATAAAAATAAAAATAAAATAAAAACAAAACCCTTAGAATTCTCTAGTTAATTGTTCTTTTTTTATCAATAAGTAATCGTTCTTTTGCCTAGTAATGCACTTTGCAAAAATGTCTATTTTATACATTATTGTTGTTTCACTTTCTTTTGCTTAATATTTCTCTAGTATACATTTTTTATCTCTTTACTTTCTGTGTTATTATAATTTGCAGCATATCATAAACCATACATTGCTACCATTTTAAAAAATCCAATCTTCAAGTATTTCTCTTTCAATAGGCAAGCATAATGTCTATTCATATTCGTTTTTAGCATTTTATTTTGTTTTCTATTTTTGTTTTGCTTATTTTTTTTCTCCTTTCTGCCTGTGACAGTTTTAACATATGTCCACATATTCTCTGGTACTTTTCCATTTAATTTTTACTGCCCAATTCCCCTCTGCTTGACTGTGGGAAGCACTTAGTGACTTGCTTCTAATGACTTCAATAGAAATGACAGTGTAAGGCCAGGCGCAGTGGTTCAAGCCTGTAATCCCAGCGCTTTGGGAGGCCGAAGTGGGTGGATCACCTGAGGTCGGGAGTCGGAGACCAGCCTGGCCAACATGGTGAAACCCCGTCTCTACTAAAAATACAAAAATTAGCCAGGTGTGGTGGCTCATGCCTGTAATCCCAGCTACTAGGGAGGCTGAGGCACAAGAATCGCTTGAACCCGGGTGGCAGAGGCTGCAGTGAGCCGAGATCGCACTACTGTGATCTGTGCACTGTGCCACTGCACACCAGCCTGGGCAATAGAGCGAGACTCTGTCTCAAAAAAGAAGGAAAGAAAGAAAGAAAGGAAGGAAGGAAGGAAAGGAAAGAAGGAAGGAAGGAAGGAAGGAAGAAAGAAAGAAAGAGAAAGAAAGAAAGAGAGAAAGAGGGAGGGAGGGAGGGAAGGGAAGGGAAAGGAGGGGAAGGAAGGAAGGAAAGAAGAGAGAAAGAGAAATGACAGTGTATGGTCAGGCGCAGTGGTGCACACCTGTAATCCCAGCACTTTGGGAAGCCAAGGCAGGTGGATTGCTTGAGCTCAGGAGTTTGAGACCAGCCTGGGCAACTACAAAAAATACAAAAATTAGCTGGGTATGGTGGTACATACCTGTAGTCTCAGCTACTTGGGAGGCTGAGGCAAGAGGATTGCTGGAGCCCAGGAGGCGGAAGTTGCAGTGAGCTGTGACTGCACTGCTGCACTCCAGCCTGGGAGACAGAGAAAGACCCTGTCTTGAAAATAAATAAATAAAAAAGGCAGTGTACCACTTTGGAGACAACTAGAGAAGAGCTGAAGCCTCGTGCTAATAGCCACATGAGTGGGCTTATAAGCAGATCCATCAGCCCCTGTCAGGCCTTCATACGACTGCAGCCCTGGCCTACGTGTGGACTGCAACCTCATGAGAGACCCTGAGTCAGGGCCACCCAGGTGAGCTTCTTCCCAGTTCTTGACCTACAATAACAGACACGATAAGTATTTGTTATTTTAACCCACTAAGTTTTTAGGTAATTTGTTAGGCAGTAATAGACTATTATCCTGCCTCCTGTGTGATTGTTCAAGTTTTCTTTTTCCCATCACTACTAATTATTCTTTTTTATTTATTTATTTATTTTTTTGGTTTGAGACAGCATCTCCCTTTGTTGCCTAGGCTGGAATGCAGTGGCACAATGACAGCCCACTGCAGCCTCAACCTTCCGGGCTCAAGCGATCCTCAGCCCCTCACTCCTGAATAGCTGGGAATACAGACATGTACCACCAAGCCCAGGTAATTTTGTTGTTTTTTTGTAGAGACAGGATTTTGCCATGTTGCCCAGGCTGGTCTGAAACTCTTGGGCTCAAGTGATCCACCTGCCTCGGCCTCCCAAAGTGCTAGGATTATAGGCATGAGCCACCACGCCCAGCCAGTACTAATTTTTTATTCTTTTAGTAGCTATGCTTATATAGCTAATATATATTTGATTTTAAAATACCTATTTACATACATGCCCTTCTCTTACAAAATATAAGAACGTCAGAATATCTTAACACTGATTTCTTTTTCCCATACTCCATGTTAATATTTCATATACTTATAGAACATAATTTAAGTTAAAAAAAGAAATCAATAAAAATAGAAAGTAAAATGAAACAAGTAAAACTTGTGTATCCAGTTGGCAGCATAACCATCTAGCAAGAAACACCATCTGACTTTACACACTTCAAATTACTGTGCATAGTAAGTTGGAATTTCTCTAAGGAAAAAAGTAACTGTAAACTAAGTTTAAATTATTTTTATTAATTGTATTGTGGGTGGTATTTGTATGTATTTTTATTCTGTGATAGTGGCATCTGTGTAGGATAAAGCAAATAAGATTTATGGGCCGGGTGCGGTGGCTCACGCCTGTAATCCCAGCACTTAGGGAGGCTGAGGAGGGTGGATCACTTGAGGTCAGGAGTTCAAGACCAGCCTGGGCAATGTGGTGAAACCCCGTCTCTACTAAAAATACAAAAATTAGCCAGGCATGGTGGCAGGCGCCTGTAATCCCAGCTACTCCAGAGGCTGAGGCCTGAGAATAGCTGAAACCCAGGAGGTGGAAGTTGCAGTGAGCCGATATTGTGCCACTGCACTCCAGCCTGGGCAACAGAATAAGATTCTGTCTCAAAAATAATAATAATAATAATAATTTGGTTCTATTTTTGAGAACTGGACTATTTGGCATGAGACAAAAGAAATGCAAATGTAAGATCAGTGAGTTTCAGAAAAAACCGTGTGTTTCAGTATGAATTCATGTTATAATGCTAATATAACATATTCATTCCTAGCTCTGTTCCCTGAAAAGCCTATAAACAATGACCACGTAGAGCAATAAATACTCCTAGCTTCTAGATTTTGCTCCTTAACTACTATGTCCCACTAAAAGAAAACAATGGTTTGAAAAAATGACAGATTCAGGTGTGGGTCAAGAAATGTAGGCAACGATGGAACATCTCATTATAACAGAAAGCAAGGAAATATGAAAGATGACTCAGATCATATCAAAAGGGCTCAGAAGCAAAGTTGAAATGACCGAAGTTGAAACACTATGACTATCAATAGAATACCTAGGATAGATTAAAAGCAAAAGCTACTACATAAGCTTTAATCTCTGACTGTGCTCATCATAGTAAAATAATTGATCCCTTTGAAAGGTATTTGTAAAACAACTGTTGATATAAAAATAAAAATGTAGAGATGAAACTCTAACATTTTATTTGGAGAGAAAGAATTGCAGCTGGGGGCATATACACAGATCAGGTGGTTTTCTTCATGTCTGAGGAACAAAGAGAAGGTTGGGGGTTTTATGAAAAAGAGAAATGTTACCTATTGCTTGTTGAGAAAGCTCTCTGGCACTAGTAAGGTTCTGGGGAGCTGGCAAGCTCCAAATGGTGAGCAACGGCAGTGGCCAAAATTAATCCTAAAGTTGCAGCAAGCCATCTCAGCAGTCTTAGATAAAACTGGTTTCAGGCTGGGTGCAGTGGCTTACGCCTGTAATCCCAGTACTCTGGGAGGCTGAGGTGGGCAGATCACTTGAGGTCAGGAGTTCGAGACCAGCCTGGCCAACATGGTGAAACCACATCTCTACTAAAAATACAAAAATTAGCTGGACGTGGTGGCGCATGCCTGTAATGCCAGCTACTCTAGAGTCTGAGGCAGGAGAATCATTCGAACCCGGGAGGCGGAGGTTGCAGTGATCCAAGACTGCGCCACTGCACTCCAGCCTGGGCAACAGAGCAAGACTCCATCTCAAAGAAAAAAAAAAGCATCCTACTGATTCTAGAGATCTTTTTAAAAATATAGCAACCAGTCATCTCATGCTTTTTCAATCTTAGATTCTGTTCCTTCTCTTCTAATAAATTTTCATTATTTATTGCTTAAAATAGCTTTTCACTGGTTTGTCCAAGATAAGCATTAATTCCCTCAGTCTCTTTTCTCTCTTCCCCACCCCAGTTGTTTTTGATCTATGTTTCTAATATCCCTATGAATTACTTGGGATGACAATTTAAGAATATTGTAAGACAACACTTTTTTTTTTTTTTTTGAGATGGAGTTTCGCTCTTGTCGCCCAGGCTGGAGTGCGATGGCGCGATCTCTGCTCACGGCAACCTCCGCCTCCCAAGTTCAAGCAATTCTGCCTCAGCCTCCCAAGTAGCTGGGATTACAGGCATGTGCCACCACGCCTGGCTAATTTTTGTATTTTTAGCAGAGACGGGGTTTCTCCATGTTGGTCAGGCTGGTCTCGAACTCCCGACCTCAGGTGATCCACCCGCCTCAGCTTCCCAAAGTGCTGGGATTACAGGCGTGAGCCACCGCGCCTGGCTGTACTAAGCCACTTTCAAAGAATAAATAAATTTTGGTTCCAATTACATTTCCTCTACGGTTTATTTTACATATTAACTCCAAGAATTAAATATTTTCATATTACAATAGTAAGAAAGTGCTGATGTTACTTTAATAAGTCATTAAATTATTATAAACAACTTTTTTTTTTGTTTTTGAGACAGGGTCTCACTCTGCACCCAGATGCTGGAGTGCAGTGGCACAATCATGGCTCACTGCAGCTTTGACCTCCTGGGCTCAAGTGATCCTCCCACCTCGGCCTCCTGAGTAGCTGGGACTACAGGCATGCACCACTTCTGGCTAATTTTTAAAATTTTTTGTAGAGACTGGGTCCCACTATGTTACCTAGGCTGGAAGAATTTTTTCCTATTTATTTAGTTAGTTTTTGAGACGGAGTTTCGCCCTTGTTGCCCAGTCTGGGGTGCAATGGTGCAATCTCGGCTCACCGCAACCCCACCTCCCAGGTACAAGTGATTCTCCTGCCTCAGCCTCCCGAGTATCTGGAATTACAGGCATGCGCCACCACGCCCGGCTACTTTTGTACTTTTAGTAGGGACGGGGTTTCGCCATGTTGGTCAAGCTGGTCTCAAACTCCTGACCTCAGGTGATCTGCCCGTCTCGGCCTTCCAAAGTGCTGGGATTACAAGTGTGAGCCACCGCACCGGGCCAGAATTTTTTTTTTAGTGTACCACTGTGCTGATTGGGAATTAACAATGACAGGCAAAATTTACAAGCTTTTATTAATTAATGTGCCAGGTGCAATTCTAAGTGTCATATGTGTGATAATTTATTTAATTCTTTTTTTGCTTGTTTTTTGTTTTTCTTTTTTTGAGATACAGTCTTGCTGTGTTGCCCAGACTGGAGTGCAGTGATGCAGTCTCGGCTCACTGCAACCTCCACCTCCTGGGTTCAAGTGATTCTCCTGCCTCAGCCTCCCAAATAGCTGGGATTACAGGCGTGGGCCATTGTGCCCGGCCAATTCATTTAATTCTCAAAAAAAAAAAATCTTAAGTATTTGTTACATTTTTTAAATGATAAAAGTGAGGCTGAGTTTAAGTAACTTATCTGTTAAGATGATCACACAGCTACTAGTAATAAAGTACGATTCAAAGGCAGGCTATCTGGCCCCTTTGTGTAGACTTGGTCATAATGCTGTGACTTTGTATTAGCCGGGAGTCCTGAATTATCAAAAGATTTACAATAAATGACACTATCTTGTTGAACAATGAAGACTTTTTTTTCCTAAATTTTCGACAACCCTCGAAATCATGGCAGCATACTGAGGTGAGCGTTTTCATTGGGACATGAACCTGTCATTCCTGCCACTATCAGGAAAAAGAAATGTTACCCAATTTTAATCTTTGAACAGTATCAATGCCAAAAAATTGTGAAAAAGATAATCAGAAAATAGATGACAAGTGGCTACTGAGCTTACCATTTAAAGTTTCTGTCAGACCTTCAAATTTTCTCTATGGAGCCCTTCTCCACGAACTCAGGGTAGTCAGTGCTTGTAATTTACAGCAGTCATTAAAATGATGACATTACATGTAATTCACTTATTTCCAAAGAGTAACTGAGGACCTAAAAAATGTAGGTGATATTAGGCATATCCATGACATACAGCACTATGCAATATGCAAAGGCTTACACAGAACTCTCATCAATCCGTGAACATGCTTTTGTCTTAGATCAAGCTTGTCCAACCTGCAGCCCTTGGGGGTTGCATGCGGCCCAGGACGGCTTTGAATGCAGCCCAACACATATTTGTAAATTTTCTTAAAACGTTATGAGATTTTTTTGGCGTTTTGGTTTTTTCGTTTGTTTTAGCTCATCAGCTATTGTTACTGTTAGCGTATTTTATGTGTGGCCCAAGCCAATTCTTCCAATGTGGCCCCGGGAAGCCAAAAGATTGGCCACCCCTGCATTAGATGGTTAACGTCTGATTTTCATTGAATAAACCTGTGCCTTTACCATACCACAGAAGTAAAACGGGGCTCAATGTGTTTTTTAAAAATCACATTATCTGTATTTCCAGACATAAGGTAAGTATTTCACCAACTTTCATCCAAACTAACATCCTCAATTGTAATCCCACTAAGAACCGCCAGGGCGAGACGAAAGCGGAATCGCTTCCATCTTTACGTGGAGTCCGGGAAATGGTTCAGCACCATGACATCCGCCGAAGACGTAGGTGTAGACGAGGAACAAAAGAGAAGACCCCTCGTGGAGGTGGCCTGTGGGGCCCGCCCTCACCGGGCGCCATCTGTCCCTGATTCTGCTCCCCGCAGGGGCCGCAGCGGGTGCGCCCCGCGATAGAGCGGGCTGTGGAGGGAGCCTCCATGGAGTCTCCATCAACCATTCCGGACCAGGAGACGGTGGCAGGCAGTAAAAAGGCCTAGGCAGGGCCAGCGCCCCGGGCTGCTAGCACAGGACGGCGGCGCCCAGGGACGCCCCAGGGCAGGCCTCAGCCCCTCCAACCCGCGAGAGCCCAGCTCCAAGGGAGCCTGCAGCTCCCTCCATCTTGGTTGATGGAGGCGGGGAGCTGCGTCTGGGTGTCTCCACCGTCGCGCCCGACCAGTACTGCCCCGCGGACGCAGACGCCGGCAGCTGGGGCTGTTCCCTTGTCCGAATGGCAGAGCCCAGTCGGGGCTTCCGGGACAAGTCCTGGCCCCACGGGGTTTGGTTTTGAGGGGTCCCAAGTTCCCACAGTTGTCCCGACAAAATGGAGGACGTCGTCTCCTCCTGCTGCAGCCATGGCGGGAGGTGGGGGACTATTCCCCACGGGGCGCGGCGAGGGTGGAAGGGCCTCCACTGACCGCAGCGCACTCAAGACTCCAGTTCAACCGCGGCCCCGAAAGCTCACTTGGCCCCGCTCCAGCACCTCCCCGGCCTCGCCCCTCTTGGGGGCCTTCAAGGAACTGGACAGGGAGGGCGCTGGGGCATCCAGGCCGCCGCTCTCCTCGAGCAGAGGCGTTGGGAGCCGCTGCCGCAGCTTGGGCCCCCGGGCTCGGGCGAGGGCAGGCAGCCCCGCCGGAGTCTCCCGGGCTGTGTAGGTCCCGGAGAGCCCCGGGCCCCGAGGGGCCGAAGCGGGCCGCTACGACGGGCGGCGAATCTCGGGCTCCTGACCCTGGCGGACCCGGTAGCTGGGGGCGGGAGACCGGCGGGGAGACAACCCGACCGGGAGTTGAGGGCTGGCAGGCGGGAGTGGAACTGCAGGGCCGCGGGTGTGGCCCGCACCTGACGGACAGCTCTTCGGCCACCCCACCGAGGGGGCGCCCTGAAGGACGGCCGTCGGAGCCAATGGGCGTGCCCAAGGCGCCCAGGCTCGTCTCCCTCGCCAGCCAACGAGCGCACGGAGGGTGGGGCCTCCTCGGGCTCTGCTGCGCCGTCCCCTGCTTCTCCGCCTCCTCACCAGCGCGAAAAGCCGGGACTGGACCTCGCGGAGTTGTGCTTGTCGCCGAAGCGGGGTGGGCTTGTTCGTTCCGCGCAGCCGCAGCCAGAACCGGGTGACGCTTATCCCCGCTGTCTTTCCAGTCCAGGGCCGCTGAGAGTGGGGGTGGCTGGGAGCAGCGCAGCCTCCGGAGGAGGAGGCGGAGGCCGAGGTGAGTGGGGAGGCGGAGATGGGTGAGAGCAGCCTCCGGAGGCTCCCACCGACCCGGGATTAATACCCCGCGGCGCGGCCGCCGTCGCCGTTGCCGCTTCGGGGCCTCGAGGGCAGCTCGGGGCTGCCCTCCTGTCACCGGCGCTTTTGCGTCCGGCCTGAGGGGCTGGGAGAGTGCGAGCGAGGCCGGGAGGGTTGGGTGAGGCGGTCGCCAGCGGCGGAGGTCGCGGGGCCGGCGGGGAGGCGGGGTGGCGGGGCGGGTTGCCGGCCGCCCGGGGAGGTCGCGGGGCATTTTTCTTTCTCTCCTGCCGCATAGTGGCGGGGGGCGGGTTGGGCGAGGGAGGGGCGCCCCGGCCGGGTCTTCGCTGTCAGGACCGCGCTGCCACCCTGCCGCCGGAGCCGAGGTCCCCAGGTTTTTCGGGCGAGGGCTTCTGCCTCTGCCCCGCTGGGTCCCCTCCTTCGCTCATCTTTTCCCAGGCGCTGCGCGGCTTTTACTCTTTGCTGCTGATCTGGGCGAGTTTAATGGCGGATCTGGGGCCCTGTCGTCGACTGCTGGGGCCCCAGGGCAACTTCTTGAGGCAACTGTGGGCCCAGAGGTGATGCGCGCCGCCCGTTACCTCTGAAATGGTGCTTGGAGTGACAGAGATGACGCTGGGTGGGCAAATTTAGGAGGGAATACAAATCCCTTGCTGGCGTCGAGACGACGTTTACCCTTCCCTCTCCCGTCCTGGGAGCAGGCCTCGGATCCCCGAGCCCACTGCATCCCCAGTACTGCAGTTGGACGAAGCACTTTTAGCTTTGTCTCGTCGTTGCGGTTCCTATAGTTCTTTTTTTTCAACTTAGTTTCTCGGTAACATTAGGGTGGGGGAGGGTAGCAGAGCCCAGGAACTCCTTGGCCTCTTACCCCTTTGCCACCTCACGGTGTTGAGTTGGTTGTGCATCCAGATTGGTTGTACCGAAATTGGTTTTCAATTCTCATTCTAGGACCAGGAATCACCTTCAAGCCTATGTCGTGAGGCTTTGGCAGAAATTAAGAAGGAAATATCTCCATTGTGAGTTGTTTTTTTTTTTTTACCCCGCTTTGCTGTCTAATATAATTAGTGCAGTAGTAGGGTGTTCTTCCTGAGGGATTTGCCTTTGTGTTATCTTGAAGGCCTTGGCCTTCAAGCTAATTGCTTGGGTGCCCCTGTCCCCAGAGCCAAGCCATGGTAGTCCCTGGGAAGGCACGGGGAGTGCTGACATTTATACCACTGGAACTCTCTCAAGTTCCAGAACAAGATTTAAAGTTAGCTCTCTTTTAAGTGCCTTGAATTTAACAATTTTTTCTTTTCCAGTAGATTGGAAAAACTTTTTTACTGTTGGATTAAAAAGAAACACTACTGAATAATCTGTTGTTTTGACGTTGATATTTGCCTTGTATTTGAGGAAGACTGTTATTTATGTACCCTGACAGTCCTCCAGCTAGCATCACACGAGGAGATAACATAAACTAGTTGTCAAACTATTCCTAATTCTAAGATTGACCACCGAATCTGAGTGGCCTGATCTCTCTCTGTTAGGAAGTTAATGTTTGTTTTTGTTTTTTCGGGTTTTTTTTTTTTGCTACTAGACAGTGATCTATGTGTTCATTTTGGTACAGTACAAATGCCCTTTCTCTGTCAGCTATTCACTTAATGCTTTTAACACCAATCCTTGTGTGAATAATTTCATTAGGAGTGACAAAATGATTTTTTTTTCTTTAACAAGCTTTACTTCTATTTTTATTATCTGGGATTCAGTTCTTGCCAATTTTGTCCTTTCAACCCTGATCAAACAGTTTTCCATTGCTCATCAAAAACAAACTTGTGATTAGCTTATCTCCCATAGTAGTATTCCTGCCTTCCTTTTACCCTAGTTGCTTTCTACTAACTTATTTGCTCTTATTTTCTTACATTTCACAGCATATCTCTTTAATTAGTTAAACTTAGGACTGTGGCAGGATGTGGTAGGTAGGTAAAGTGGCTGGGCACAGTGGCTCATGCCTGTCATCCAACCACTTTGGGAGGCTGAGGTGGGTGGATAGCTTGAGAGCTTGAGCCCAGGAGTTCCAGTGTGGACAACATGGCAAAACTCTTTCTCTACAAAAAATACAAAAATTAGCTGAGCATGGTGGCACATGCCTGTAGTCCCAGCTACTCAGAAAGCTGAGGTGGGAGGATCGCTTGAGTTCAGGAGGTTGAAGCTGCAGTGAGCAGTGATCACACCACTATACTCCAGCCTGGGCAACAAAGAGAGAGTCTGTCTCAAAAAAAATGGGTAAAGTGGCTCTGGGCACTGTGACTCACTCCTGTAATCCCAGCACTCTGAGAGGCCAAGCTGGGAGGATTGTTTGAGCCCAGGGGGTTGAGTCTGCAGTGAACTGTGTTTGTGCCATAGCATTCCAGGCTGGGCGACAGAGCCATACCCTGTCTTAAGAAAAAAAAAAAAGCCTGGTCCATAAGGTTTGAGACACACACACACACACACACACACACACGTGCGCATATACATGCATATAGTTAGTGGGAGATACAATTCCCCCCCCCCCACCTGAGATATAATCCTTATCCTCTTTATTTTTTCCTTTATTTCTTGAGATTTTTCTCAGCTTTATCTTTCAATTCTTATTGCTGAATTTTTCCTTTTTGCCACTAAGCTTTTAATTTCCAGCAGTTCTTTTTATATTAGAAGTGTTGGCTGGGCATGGTGGCTCACACCTGTAATCCCAGCACTTTGGGAGGCCGAGGTGGGTGGATCACCTGAGGTCAGAAGTTCGAGACTAGCCTGGTCAACATGGTGAAACCCCGTCTCTACTAAAAATACAAAAATGGGCTGGGCATGGTGACTCACACCTGGAATCTCAGTACTTTGGGAGGCCAAGGCAGGCAGATCACCTGAGGTCGAGAGTTCAAGACCAGCCTGACCAACATGGAGAAACCCTGTCACTACAAAAAAAAAAATACACACACACACACACACACACATACACACACACACACACAAAATTAGCCGGGCCTGGTGGCACATGCCTGTAATACCAGCTACTTGAGAGGCAGAGGTTATGGTGAGCCGAGATTGTGCCATTGCACTCCAGTCTGGGCAACAAGAGCAAAACTCTGTCTCAAAAAAAAAAAAAAAAATTAAACGGGTGTGCTGGTGGGTGCCTGTCATTCCAACTACTCAGGAGGCTGAGCCAGGAGAATCACTTGAACCCAGGAGGCGGAGGTTGCAGTGAGCCAAGATCACACCACTGCACTCCAGCCTGGGCGACAGAGTGAGACTCCATCTATAATTCTTTTTTTTTCCTCTTTTTTTTTTTTTTTTTTTTTTTGAGACAGTCTTGCCCTGTCACCCAGGCTGGAGTGCAATGGCGTGATCTAGGCTCACTGCAACCTCTGCCTCCTGGGCTCAAGCGATTCTTGTGCCTCAGCCTCCTGAGTAGCTGAGACTATAGGTACATGCCACCACGTTGGCTAATTGTTGTATTTTTAGTAGAGACAAGGGACTGACCATGTTGGCCAGGCTGGTCTCGAACTCCTGACCTAAGTGATCCGCCCGCCTTGGCCTCCCAAAGTGCTGGGATGATAGGCACCCACTACCACACCCGGCCTGTGTAATTAGTTTTTTAAAAATTTTTATTTAAAATTTTTGTGGGTACATAGTAGGTGTTACATATATTGCATAATTCTTGACTGTTTTATTTATGATTAAGAATTGGGAACTAAAGGCCGGGCACAGTAGCTCACACCTGTAATCCCAGCACTTTGGGAGGCCAAGGTGGGCAGATCATGAGGTCAGGAGATTGAGACCATCCTGGCTAACACGGTGAAACCCCATCTTTACAAAAAATACAAAAAAAAAAATCAGCTGGGCATGGTGGCAGGTGCCTGTAGTCCCAGCTACTCAGGAGGCTGAGGCAGGAGGATGGCGTGAACCTGGGAGGTGGAGCTTGCAGTGAGCCAAGATCGCGCCACTGCACTCCAGCCTGGGTGACAGAGCGAGACTCCGTCTCAAAAACAAACAAACAAACAAACAAACAAAAAACGGGAACTAAAAAGCAAATTGGAAGAGTGAGAGTGGGGTTTCCAACTTGAAGCTTGCGGGTGATCTTCTGGCCAATTGATGGGGAACCCCATAGGTTAATATTTTTAGGACTTTCCTTTTTTGCTGATTCTTAGTTCCGCAGGGAAGAGTCTTGCTCAGAAAGAAAGCCTCCAGAAAAGAGTTTGCTGCCTGGAAAATAGAAGTCTGGATGCCAGCTCTCTGGGAATCAAGTAGGAGAGGGGACATTTTTTTTTTTGAGATGGAGTTTTGCTCTTGTTGCCCAGGCTGGAATGCAGTGGCGTGATCTCGGCTCACTGCAACCTCTGCCTCCTGGGTTCAAGCAATGGAGAGGAGATATTTCATGGTATTGAAACATTCCCCAGTGCTTGGTGAACCCAAGACTTAGATCTTATGTTCTATCTTATCAAAGAAAAAATTTTTAGAATCTGTGCTAGGATGGGGAAAGGCCTGTCACCATCAACTTGATGGGAGGGAAGATATCTCTCAACCTCTTTTCTTAGCATCTGCCCATTCTGTTCCAGGGATATGTGGTGCTACAGATTTCTGAGCCTACAGTGGAAATCAGAATGTTTCTTGGCTTTTTATTCACTGTTTTAGACTCTGGCTATCTCAGGTTGGCAGTTAACCATTCATCCATCTGTTCTTTGGCTTATAAAATCATATTGCTTTTGTTTCTTATTCTTCCTTTCCTTGTGGTAGTCCTGTTTAGGGGAGTTTTGGAAGGGAACGAAGTTAGTTGTATGTGATCAATCGGCCATCTTTTTTTTTTTTTTTTTTTTTTTGAAACAGCGTCTCTCAGTCTGTCACCCAGGCTGGAGTGCAGTGGCCCATCTCGGCTCACTGCAGCCTCTATCTCCCAGGCTCAAACAAGCTGCCTGCCTCAGTTTCCCAAGTAGCTGGGACCACAACCATGTGCCACTATGCCTGGCTAATTTTTGTATTTTTTGTAGAGACAAGGTTTCGCCATGTTGCCTAGGCTGGTCTTGAACTCCTGGACTCAAGCGATCCACCTGCCTAGGCCTCCCAAAGCGCTGGGATTACAGGGGCATTATACTGCACCTGGCCCACTTTACTGTCTTAATCCCTGCTGGGCTAGTGATTTCTAGGCAGAGTTGTTTTTTCTGTTTGTTTTTTGTCTTTGTGGTTTTTTTGTTTTTTTTTTTTAATTTTTAGAGACAGGTCTAACTCTGTTGCCCAGACTTTAGTGCTGTGGTGTGGTCATAGCTCACTGCAGCCCTGAACTCCTGGGCTCAAGTGATTCTCCTGCCTCAGTCTCCCAAGTAGCTGGGGATTACAGGCGTGCACCACCATGCCCAGCTAATTATTTTATTTTATTATATTTATTTTTTATTTTTGAGACAGGGTCTTGCTCTGTTGCCCAGGCTGGAGTGCAGTGGTGTGATCATGGCTCACTGCAACTTTGACCCCCTGGGCTCAAGCCATCCTTCCACCTCAGCCTCCCAAGTAGCAGCGACTACAGGCGTATGCCACCATGTTGGACTTTTTAAATTTTTGTAGAGAGGGGTCTCTCTGCATTGCCCAGGCTGGTCTTGAACTCCTGGGCTCAAGCTATCCTCCCATCTTATTCAGCCTCCCAAAGTGCTCAGATTATAGGCATGAGCCACTGTACCTGGCCTTTATTTTTTTGTAGAGATGAGTTCTCAGTTTGTTGCCCAAGTTGGTCTTGAACTCCTGGCCTCAAGTGATCCTCCTGCCTTGGCCTCCCTAAGTGTTAGGATTATAGGTGTGAGGCACCAGGCCCAATTTAGATAGTAATTTTGTACCTAGTTCCTGCAGTAATTCTCTTGCTATTTGTGGTAGTAGTTCAGTTGACTCTTCTTTTTTCTGATCTCATTACTTTTGTGAGTACCTTCAGAGTCATGGTACACCTTTATATCTGATTTTAAATAGGTGTGCTTATATACTCAACTGTGAAGTGTCTCTGAAAGTAGTCTACAAGAAGAGCTAAATAGGTCAAAGTACATTTATTCATTTCTTTGTTTTATGTTAACCCTTATCTTTACACCTAAATATCCCGTTAAATTTACGTTGTTTCCCATTCTCTAGAGATAGTTTACATGTAAGCATTTTGCTAGTGTTATAATTTGTGTATGAATAAGATACCACAAGAAGACTAGTTAAATGTTTAAAATTAGACAGTTGCTGAAATCCCAGCATGTAGCAATGTAGCATAGTATTTGCCTAAATACCTTTTTATGGTAAGGGATTTTTTGTTTTTGTTTTTGTTTTTGTTTTCGTTTTGAGACGGAGTCTCGCTCTGTCGCCCAGGCTGGAGTGCAGTGGCGGGATCTCGGCTCACTGCAAGCTCCGCCTCCCGGGTTCACGCCATTCTCCTGCCTCAGCCTCCCGAGTAGCTGGGACTACAGGCGCCCACCACCACACCCGGCTAATTTTTTGTATTTTTAGTAGAGGCGGGGTTTCACTGTGTTAGCCAGGCTGGTCTCGATCTCCTGACCTCATGATCTGCCCGCCTCTGCCTCCCAAAGTGCTGGGATTACAGGCGTGAGCCACTGCGCCCGGCCTTTTTGTTTGTTTTCGAGACAGAGTCTCATTTTGTTACCCAGGTTGGAGTGCAGTGGCATGGTCTCAACTCACTGCAACTTCTACCTCCCGGGTTCAAGCGATTCTCTTGCCTCAGTCTCCTGAGTGGCTGGGACTCCAGGTGCATGCCACCACGCGTGAATCAATTTTTTTTTTTTTTCTTCTGAGACAGAGTTTCGCCCTTGTTGCCCAGGCTGGAGTTTAATGGCATGATCTCAGGTCACCTCAACCTCTGCCTCCCGGGTTCAGGCGATTCTCCTGTCTCAGCCTCCTGAGTAGCTGGGATTACGGGCATGCATCACCACGCTTGGCTAATTTTGTATTTTTAGTAGAGGTGGGGTTTCTCCATGTTGGTCAGGCTGGTCTCGAACTCCCAACCTCAGGTGATCCACCTGCCTCAGCCTCCCAAAGTGCTGGGATTACAGACATGAGCCATCTGGCCGGTCATAATTTGATGTTTTTTGCACTCTCTGATATGGACCAGGCCATATGCCAGGGATTTGCATGTCCACTCACCTCATTAAAAAGCTTAAAGCTATATGTTATCCCTGTTCACAGTTTAGGAAACTAAAACTCAGGTGACATAATTTGCCCACTGCCACATAGCTAATTGGCTATACAGCATCTTTTTCTCTGTTTTTAGACAATATTTTAGAAATATTCAAAATTTTCTTATGGTCTTGTGTTTTTAGAATTAAAGTTTTTCATGGTTAAGTTATAAACACAATGGCTTTTAGTAGTTTTGTTGTTGTTGTTGTTTGTTTGTTTTTTGTTTTTTTTTTGTTTTTGAGATGGAATCTCGCTCTGTCTCCCAGGCTGGAGTGTGCAGTGGCGCCATCTCTGCTCATTGCAAGCTCCGCCTCCTGGGTTCACACCATTCTCCTGCCTCAGCCTCCCGAGTAGCTGGGATTACAGGTTCCTGCCACCATGCCCGGCTAATTTTTTTTTGTATTTTTTTAGTAGAGATGGGTTTTCACCGTGTTAGCCAGGATGGTCTCAATCTCCTGACCTCATGATCCACCCACCTTGGCCCCCCAAAGTGCTGGGATTACAGGCATGAGCCACTGCACCTGGCCTTTAGTAGTGTTTTAACTTATTTATAATCTGGGATTTAAGCATCAGTGAATACTTAATCTTTTTTTAAAGGTAGATGACTGCAGTGAACTGAGTATAAAGAGTATGCTGTGTATTATTTTCTGTGAGAAAAGTAAAATAGAACCTAGCAGACATAAGAAGATACTGTGGGCCGGGCGCGGTGGCTCATGCCTGTAATCCCAGCACTTTGAGAGGCCCAGGCGGGTGGATCACAAAGTCAGGAGATTGAGACCATCCTGGCTAACACGGTGAAACCCCGTCTCTACTAAAAATACAAAAAATTAGCCAGGTGTGGTGACAGGCACCTGTAGTCCCAGCTACTTGGGAGGCTGAGGAAGGAGAATGGCGTGAACCTGGCAGGCGGAGCTTGCAGTAAGCCTAGATTGTGCCACTGCACTCCAGCCTGGGCGACAGAGCGAGACTCCATCTTAAAAAAAAAAAAGAAGATACTGTGGAGTCAGTTATAACTCTTTTCCAGAAATTATTTTCCTTTTTTATCATTATTTTTAAACATTTTTAGTAGAGATGGAATCTCACCATGTTGCCCAGGCTGGTCTCAAACTCCTGGGCTCAAGCAATTCTCCCACTTGGCCCCCAAAAGTGCTGGGATTAGCAGGCATGAGCCAACATTCCTGGCCCCCAATCTTTTTCATTTCTTTACAAACCTTATTTTAAACTGGTTCCTTAAATTTGTTATTTATCTTTGAAACAGCCTTATGTAAATGTTAATTTTGTTATTGTAATGAATTGGCTCATCTTAATAAAAGATAAGTAATTTTTAACAATTGTTTTCCACATGCATTGCATATAATATACTGGCTAAGAAATAGGTTTTAGAGTCAGATTTCTTGGATTTGAATCCTGACTACCTTTTTCAGCAATGGTGAGTTAGGCAGGTTACTTATCTCCTGGCTCTTAATTTCCTAATTGGCAAAATGGGAAAAGTAATAGTTCCTTCCTCACTTAAGTAATCATTAACTGAGTTAATATATATAATAGCATAATACATATTAAGAATAAATGTTACCTATTTCATGACTATATGGATTATAGATTACATTGAGGTTTTTTTTTTTTTTTTTTGAGACGAAGTCTTATTGTGTTGCCCAGGCTAGAGTGCAGTGGCACAATCTCAGCTCACTGTAACCTCCTCTGCCTCCCGGGTTCAAGCGATTCTCTTGCCTCAGACTCCTGAGTAGCTGGGATTACAGGCGCCTGCCACCACGACTGACTAATTTTTGTATTTTTAGTAGAGATGGGGTTTCACCACGTTGACCAGGCTGATCTCAAACTCCTGACCTCAAGTGATCTGCCCACCTCAGCCTCTCAAAGTACTGGGATTACAGGTGTGAGCCACCACGCCCAGCAGGGAAATTTTTAGAGTAAAAATGTTAGCATATTTTGGCCGGGCGCAGTGGCTTACACCTCTTATCCCAGCACTTTGGGAGGCCGAGGTGGGTGGATCACGAGGTCAAGAGATCAAGACCATGCTGGCCAACTTGGTGAAACCCCGTATCTACTAAAAATACAAAAATTAGCTGGGCATGGTGGCGCACGCCTGTACTCCCAGCTACTTGGGAGGCTGAGGCAGAAGAATCACTGGAACCCAGGAGGCGGAGGTTGCAGTGAGCCGAGGTTGCACCACTGCACTCTGGCCTGGCGATAGAGTGAGACTCTGTCTCCAATAAAAAAGCATGTTTCAATATGAGATGTTTAAAATAAAATGGAGTGATGACTGCCTTATGAAGTGTGTTTTCTTAATCATTCAACACCTGTAAAATTCCCACCCCTTTCACTCTCAAGTTTCTACTCAGAAAATTGAGGCCAGAGGCCAGGCCTGGTAGCTCACACCTATAATCCCAACACTTTGGGAGGCTGAGGCAGGCGGATCATCTGAGCTCAGAAGTTCGAGACCACCCTGGGCAACATGGCGAAACCCTGTCGCTAGCAAAAATACAAAAAATAGTAGCCAGGCATGCTACTCAGGAAGTTAAAGCCGGGGGATCACTTGAGCCTGGGAGGTGGGGGTTGCAGTGAGCTGAAATGGCGCCACTGTACCTGAGTGACAGAGTGAGACAGGACAAAAAAAAAAAAGAAAGAAAAAAAAAACTGAGGCCACGCCTGTTGTGGTGGCTCATTCCTGTAATCCCAGCACTTTGAAAGGTCCAGGTGGGAGAATCACTTGAGCTCAGGGGTTCGAGACCAGCCTGGGCAACATAGTGAGACCTCACATCTACTAAAAGAAAAAAAAAATTGAAAATTGAGGCCAGCATGTATAATCCCATGTATTGTTTCTGCATACCTACATAACATTCCAATTATACTTACTTTTGCCTTCTTTCAGTTGAGATAGAGGTGATCCTTATACGTGATCAATTTCATTACCACCTGTGCACATGTCCTTATCTCTCATCTGCTTAAGAGCCCCCCATGTTTCATCAGTTATTCACTTCCAGATTTTTCAACTATTGTCTCTGCTAGATTATTTCTGTCATCATAGCTTAGTGCATAGTAAGTATACAAAAGGTTGAGTGTTAACAAGTTAAGAATTTGGGGCTAGGCCAAGTACCATGGCTCATGCCTGTAATCCCAGCATTTTGGGGAGCCAAGGCAGGAGGATTGCTTGAGGCCAGGAGTTTGAGATGAGCCTGGGCAATGTAGTGAGACCTCCTCTCTCCAAGAACTTTATGGAACATTAGCTGGGCTGTGATGGCAAGAGCCTGTAGTCCTACCTACTTGGGAGGCTGAGGTGGGAGGATTGCTTGAACCCAGGCATTTAAGGCTGCAGTGAGCCAGGATGGCACAACTGCACTCCAGCCTGGACAACAGAGCCAGACCCTCTCTCAAAAGAAAACGAATTTTTAGAGCCCTGAGTTTAAGTCTTACTCCCAGTGTTATGTGGAACAATTTAGTTAGCTTCCCTAGGCCTCAGTTTCTTGAACTATAAGAGTAAATTATAGCTACTATCATGGAGTTTTGATAATTTTATTTTCTGTAAAAAGCCCATTGCATAATATCTGGCATAAATGGACTTAATGCTTTCTGTACAAGGACAAAAAAGATGCATAAAGATAATTACATAATTATTTTGGAAGAAGTGATTTTGGAAAGAAAACAATGGCAGGAGACACTTGGGAAATAGGGCCATATCATAAATGCTGTAGTAGGTAAAAGCATATGGAATATAAGTGATTATATTAGGACCCTAAGTTATTGGTATTTAATTTAATTATTTTGTTACTATTTTCTAATTCAAAGGAAGGCAGGCATTTTTTCACTATAAAGAGTGAATAAAGTGAGTACTATAAATTGATTAGAATTTTTTAAAGGACTACCAAAATTATATAATTAATTTCCATCAAGCTCTGAAGTAAACATTAGTTAACAGTAGAGGAAAAACAAAATGGATATCAGGTATCACAAAAAATAATTTGAAAAATTTGCTTGTGCTATTTTATTGTAGTAAAATGCAAAAACCATAACATACTAGAACTTTTTTTTTTCTTTTCTGTCTCTACAGGTTCATTGGCATGGAAAAATGTTCAGTGGGAGGATTAGAGTTGACTGAACAGACTCCTGCTTTATTAGGGAATATGGCCATGGCAACTAGTCTCATGGACATAGGGGATTCATTTGGTCATCCAGCTTGTCCTTTAGTCAGTAGATCTAGGAACTCACCAGTGGAAGATGATGATGATGATGATGATGTTGTGTTTATTGAATCTATACAACCTCCTTCAATTTCTGCTCCAGCAATAGCTGATCAAAGAAACTTCATATTTGCATCATCAAAAAATGAAAAGCCTCAAGGAAATTATTCTGTAATTCCTCCTTCTTCAAGAGATTTGGCATCTCAGAAAGGAAATATAAGTGAGACAATTGTTATTGATGATGAAGAGGACATAGAAACAAATGGAGGAGCAGAGAAAAAGTCTTCCTGTTTTATCGAATGGGGACTTCCTGGAACTAAAAACAAAACCAACGATTTGGATTTCTCCACTTCCAGTCTTTCAAGAAGTAAGGTAAATGCAGGAATGGGTAATAGTGGTATCACTACAGAATTGACTCTGAAATACATTATTACTAATGTTACAACCTTAGAAACAGGTATAAGCTCTGTGAATGCTGGGCAAGATGTGAACATAATTATTACATATAAAACATCACTATAGAATACCAACTTGGGAGATGTCGCTAAAGGACTTCAGTCAAGTAATTTTGGTGTTAATATACAAACGTACACCCCATCTTTAACTCCACAGACCAAGACTGGAGTAAGACCTTTTAACCCTGGTAGAATGAATGTGGCAGGAGACTTATTTCAGAATGGAGAATTTGCAACTCATCATAGTCCTGGTAAGCAGTAAGTGATACTGTTTCTACCTCAAGTAAATAAGCCTTTGGCTGTTCTTTTTAGTAAAGCTCATATCTATTTTATTCACATTCTGTGGCTTTGCTTTTTTTGTTTGCTTGTTTGTTTGTTTGTTTTTGGAGACCGAGTTTCGCTCTTCTCACCCAGGCTGGCTGGAGTACAATGGCGCAATCTCAGCTCATTGCAACCTCCGCCTCCCAGGTTCAAGCGATTTTTTTTTTCCTGCCTGAGCCTCCTGAGTAGATGGGATTACAGGCGCCTGCCACCACACTCGGCTAGTTTTTGTGTTTTTAGTAGAGATAGGGTTTCACCATGTTGACCAAGCTGATCTCGAACTCCTAACCTCAAGTGATCCACCTGTCTTGGCTTCCCAAAGTGTTGGAATTACAGGCGTGAGCCACCACTCCCGGCCTTTGACTTTCATATTAAGATAGAATATTTTACTTAATAAAACTGTACGGTCTACTTGGTCTCTGAAATTTTGGGATTTTAATCTATTTTATCCAGTAAGATTTACATCTAAAATATTTTAATTGAAATACTTTACCTTCTTTACTTTCTTTATATAAAAATCAAAGGATAAAGATACAGTGTAATGAAAGAACAAAGTAATATATAATGATTGGATTTTATTTTATTTATAATTATTTAAAATTTCAATTTTTGCTTAAGCTTTTAATTTTAGGCTGTTTTTATCCCTGATTTTAGTTTTTATTTATTTATTTATTTATTTATTTGAGACAGAGTTTTGCTCTTTTTGCCCAGGCTGGAGTGCAATGGCGTCATCTCGGCTCACTGCAGCCCCTCCCTCCCGGGTTCAACTGATTCTCCTGCCTCAGCCTCCCAGGTAGCTGGGATTACAAGCACGCCCGTCTCCATGCCTGGCTAATTTTGTCTTTTTAGTAGAGACAGGGTTTCTCCATGTTGGCCAGGCTGGTCTCAAACTCCTAACCTCAGGTGATCTGCCCACCTCAGCCTCCCCAAGTGCTGGGATTACAGGTGTGAGCCACTGCGACTGGCCTGATTTTAGTTTTTAAATCGGCGTTTTATTAGTCGCTTAATTCTGAAAGTTGGAAAACTTTCTTGCCTTTAAATCAAGGAACTGTATTTTTAGAACTTATATAGATAGTCCTATTCTGATATAATTAAAACATAACAAGTGATTTTTTAAATAGCAATGCCTTTTTGTTGCTTTTATGTGACTTGTGAGGGGTTTGGGGGAGAGTTGGTATTGTTTTTTTGACCATTTTAGTGTTTATAGCCTGTTGAATTTTAGGAAAGTACTGAAAAGTAACGAGAACCTGAGAACCTAATCATGTTGTTGCCTTCAGGAAAATAGTGCTTTTTCCCTTTTTTTTTTTTGAGACAGAGTCTCTGTCACCCAGGCTGGAATGCAGTGGCACGATCTCGGCTCACTGCAACCTCTGCCTCCTGGGTTCAAGTGATCCCCGGGCCTCAGCCTTCCGAGTAGCTGGGATTGCAGGCGTGTGCCATCACGCCTAGCTAATTTTTTGTATTCTTAGTAGAGATGGGGTTTCACTATGTTGGCCAGGCTGGTCTCAAACTCCTGACCTCAAGTGATTCACCCGCCTCAGCCTCCCAAAGTGCTGGGATTACAGGCCTGAGCCACCGCGCCCGGCCAACTTTTTTCCTTATTTTTAAAATTAATTTTATCTTCTGGTTACGAAATACTATGTGATTATTATAGAATATTTAGAAAAAAATCATAGAAATCAGAAAATATGTCTCCTTACCCCAGTAACTAGAAATAATGTGACCACTGTGAAGAATTTGGTTTGTTTGCTTTCAATCTTTGGTTTTTAAAAATATAATTTAGAGCACTTTTTATATTGTTTTGTATCCTGCTGATTTACTTAATCTAAATGCTAATATTTTATGTCATCATAAAAATATAGGCTGGGTGCAGTGGCACACCCCTGTAATGTCATCGCTTTGTGAGGCCAAGGAAGAAGGATCACTTGAGGCCAGGAGTTTGAACCCAGCCTCAGTAACGTAGCGAAGACCTCATCTCTATAAAAAGTAAAAAAAAATTAGCCAGGCGCCATGATGTGCACCTGTAAACTCAGCACTTAAGGAAGCTGCGATGGGTCAGTTGAGACCTGGAGTTTGGGGTCACATTGCGCTTTAATCCTACCGCTGCACTCCAGCCTAGGCAACAGAGTGGGACTCTGTCTCTAAAAATATGTATATATAAGTTTTAGTAACCACAAAATATTTGTCTGAAGTACTCATTCCCCTATGTATTTTTTTCATCATTTACATGCTTTTTCATTGTTTTGAAGCTACAATAAATACGTATGTTTACATTTTTTATTTTTTCCATAGGGTACTTATTCTCAATTTTTTTGGTCTCAGATTCACTCTTAAAATGAAGACCCCAAAGGTTTCTTTTATTTCTATTATTAGATATATTAAAAATTAAAGCTTTAGCCAGGTATAGTGGCGTGCACCTGTAGTCCCAGCTATTCAAGAGGCTGAGGTGGGGCTGGGCATGGTGGCTTACACCTGTAATCCCAGCACTTTGGGAGGCCAAGGCAGGTGGATCACTTGAAGTCAGGATTTTGAGACCACCCTGGCCAACGTGGTGAAACCCCATCTCTACTAAAAAAATTAAAAAGTAGCCAGGCATGGTGGCATGTACCTGTAGCCCCAGTTACTCAGGAGGCTGAGGCAGGAAAATCACTTGAACCTGGGAGGCAGAGGTTGCAGTGAGCCCAGATCACTCCACTGCACTCCAGCCTGGGCGACAAAGTGAGACTTGTCTCAAAAAAAAACAAAGAGGCTGAGGTGGGAGGGTCACCTGAGCCCAGGAGTTTGAGTCCAGTCTGGGCAACATAGCAAGACCTAATGTCTTTAAAAAATAATAATAATGGATGGACGTAGTAGCTCACATCTGTAATTGCAGCACTTTTCGTAGGCTGAGGCAGGAGGATCACTTGAGCCGAGGAGTTTGAGGCTACAGTGAGCCATGATCACAACACTACACTCCATCCTGGGTAATAGAGTGAGACCCGGTCTCAAAAAATAATAATTACCTGGGTGTGGTGGCTCTCACCTGTAATCCTAGCATTTTCAGAGGCCAAGGCTGTCGGATCACCTGAGGTCAGGAGTTCAAGACCAGCCTGGCCAACATGGTGAAACCCCGTCTCTTACAAAAATACAAAAAACAACAAAAAAAAATTAGCTGGGTATGGTGGCATGCTCCTGCAGTCACAGCTACTTGGGAGGCTGAGGCATGAGAATTGCTTGATCTCAGGATGCTGAGGTTGCAGTGAGCTGAGATCATGCCACTGCACTCCAGCCTGGGCGACAGAAATTTTTTTGTTTCAAAAAATAAGATAAAATCTTAAGAAAAATTAAAACTAGTCCGGGCGCAGTGGCTCACGCCTGTAATCCCAGCACTTTGGGAGGCCGAGGTGGGCGGATCACGAGGTCAGGAGATCGAGACCATTCTGGCTAACACAGTGAAACCCGTCTCTACTAAAAATACAAAAAAAAAAAAAAAAAAAAAAAATTAGCCGGGCATGGTGGCAGGTGCCTGTAGTCCCAGCTACTCGGGAGGCTGAGGCAGGAGAATGACCTGAACCCGGGAGGTTGCAGTGAGCCAAGATCACGCCACTGCACTCCAGCATGGGCGACAGAGTGAGACTCCATCTCACAGAAAAAAAAAAAAAAGAAAAATTAAAACTATTCATTTCACAATAATTACCCATTATATAACATAAATAACATTTGTAATGAAAAATAACTATTTTCAAAGAAATTTAGTGAAAAGTAACATTGTCTTACATTTTTGCAAATCTCTTTAAAATCTGGCTTAATAGAAGACAGGTATATCTGGCTTCTCATATGTATTTCTGTATTGAGTCTGTTGTAGTATTTTGTTTTGCTTGAAGTATAAGAAGAAAATCTGGCCTCACATAGATAGGTGGTTGGAGAAGGGAGGACTATTTTCCACGTCTTTTTAGATGTGGATAGTTTTCTTTTGATGCAGCACCAAAACTTGACAATTAGTAGTTTTCGAGGTTGTTACAATGTGGGATTTGTAACCGTATAATTAAGTTTTCATCACCAGGCGCAGTGGCTCATGCCTATAATCCCAGCACTTTTTGAGGCCAAGGCAGGCGGATCACTTGAGGCTGGGAGTTCGAGACCAGCCTGGCCAACATGACAAAACCCCATCTCTATTAAAAATGCAAAAAATTAGCTGGGTGTGGTTGTGCATGCCTGTAGTCCTAGCTACTGGGGAGGCTGAGACACAAGAATCACTTGAACCTGGGAGGCCTAGGTTGCAGTGAGTTGAGATCATGCCATTGCACTCCAGCCTGGGCAGCAGAGCGAGACTGTCTCAAAAAAATTTTTTTCATACTGTTTATTTTTAATTTTTTTATGTGTCAGCATCCCACTCTGTTTCCCAGACTAGAGTGCAGTGCCATGATCATAGCTCACTGCAGCCTCAAACTTCTGGGCTCAAGTTATCCTCCCACCTCAGCCTCCTAAGTAGCTGAGACTACAAGTGCATGCCATAACACCCTGCTAGTTTTTTTTTTCCTTAAAAAAAAGGGGGGGACTGTATTTGGTACAGACTGGTCTATTAGTTTAAAATCTATTGATTTTGAATGGATTTTTAACCTTTGTATTAATAACATTGTGCATTGGTTATTTGGAAAATATTGGTTCACTCAGATCCTAAATGTTGACACTTTAGGAAGCTGTCAAGTTCATGGTGGTGGATACAGGCTTCCAAAAATTCGCCTTTTTTTTTTGGCTAGTGACACAGCCCTCAGGAGGTCCTGAGAACATGTGCCCCAAGTTTTCAAAAATTCTGATTTTTCACTTGAAAGCTCATATTTTCTCATCAGCAACAAATACTCTGTTTTCTTGAAGTGATGAACTCTTTTGAGTTATTTTTAAGAAAATGTCTCCAATAGTCATAGTTTGTCATTTTTTTCAAGTAAAAATGGTATTCCATGAAAAATGGCTAGTTCAGCTTATAGTCCAGCAACTGTGCAAGCACTTTTCTGCTTTTCAGTAAGATAACCTTTGTACTTTGGTATGAAACAAATACTTTATGCATACTACCCAGTTTGTCATACAGAAAATTAAGATGTCAAAGGCTAAACTTTAATGAAATTATTAATAACTTTTACTGTTTCACCAAAGACATCTGTAGTAAAAATTATTTTTGTCCCTGGTTCCTGGAAGAGAGACTCTAAATCCTTAAAATTTCCAAGTATCTTTGTTATATTCATAAGCTCCTTGGATCATACCTGAATTTACGCCAAGAGATGAGATGACTCACAGTGGAGTCTAAACACCAGAAAGATGAACTATAGGATTGAAACTTGGGTCTTTGAGCCAGCCCAAAGTCTGGGAGAGGAGGGGATCTGGAGCTGAGTTCAGTCATATGACCAATGAGTCATGCCTACGTAATGAAACCCAAATAAAACTACTCTAGATTTTGAAGCTCAGTGCAGCCTTTTGGTTGGTGAACACATCAGTGTGCCAGGCAGGTGATGCTACTGCTTCCACTGAAAGCTGGCCCAGAAATTCTGCATTTGGGACCCTCCCAGACCTTGCCTTATGAGCTTCTTCATTTGGCTGTTTCTGATTTGTATCCTTTGTTTAAAAAAACAACAAACAACTAAATGTAAATATAGAGCTTTTCCAGAGTTCTGTGAGTCTTTCTAACAAATTATCCAACCTTGGGAGCCCCTCCCAGATTTGTGGCCAGTTGATTAGAAGTGCAGCTGGTATCTGAAGTGAGGGCAGTCTTGCTGAGAACCAGGCCTTTAAACTTGTGGGGTCTCATGCTAACTCTGAGTACATTAGCATCAGAATTGTTTTCCATATATACCAGTTGGTGTTAGGATAACATTCATAAGTGAAGGTGACCAAATGCATACTAGTGAAAACTGCTAGTACGGTTTAGTGCCATTGCCAGAGGTTTTGCATTTCCATCATTAATGCAAATGCCACATAATACAAAAAGCAATAAATCTTGGTATTACTATGGAAATAGTTGACTTCACACATTCCCTTTTGTTTCTTTTTCTAATACAAGGCTGAATACAAGTAGACTATAAAACCTTATTTTGTTCTTGACCTCAGGGAAGCATTGGACATATCATTATATTATTAGATCATATTAAATATAATTATCTGTTAATGTTTATATGTCATTTAGTAGTTTGTTATTTGGGGTAGTTTCTACTGTTTGCAATTACAAACTGTTTCTCATAAACATCTCTAAGTTTGGCACCCTTATTTTCTTGAAAAGTTTTTAGAAGTAGATTTGCATTCAAGATGTCAACATATTTTTAAAGCATGTGATGGTTAATACAAAATTCCCCCACCACCAAATTGTGTTACTTTTCTTGCAGCATAAGAGTTTCAGCGGGGTGCGATGGCTGACGCCTATAATCCCAGCACTTTGGGAGGCCGAAGCGGGTGGATCACTTGAGGTCAGGAGTTTCAGACCAGCCTGGCCAACATGATGAAACCCCGTCTCTGCTAAAAATATAAAAAATTTGCTTGGCGTGGTGACGGCCACCTGTAATCCCAGCTGCTCAGGAGACTGAAGCAGGAGGGTTGCTTGAACCCTGGAGGCAGAGATTGCAGTGAGCCGATATTGCGCCACTGCACTCCAGCCTGGCAACAAGAGCGAAACTCCATCTCAAAAAGAAAGAGTTCTTTTTCTGTACTGTAAACACTCCTTAACAGTAGGTGTTATTACTTAAAGCTTGCTAAACTGAAAGGTGGTATCATCATAATTTGCATGTCATTGACCATTGACAAATATATTTGAAATTTTTAATGAATTTTCTCAAATTCACATCTGTCACCCATTTATTACTATGTACATGTCTTATTAATAGTTAAACCTGAGACAACATAGAACTCTTGCAATCTCTAGGTTGTGTTAAAAGCAATGAAGGTGTCAAAGACTTTGAAATAATGTCCATTGAAAATCATCCTTTTGAGTCTACTTTTACTTATTTATTTTTTGAAACAAGGTCTGGCTCTTTCGCTCAGGCTGGAGTGCAGTGGCACATTCTCGGCTCACTGCAACCTCCACCTCCCGGGCTCAAGCCATCCACCCACCTTAGCCTCCCAAGTAGCTAGGATTACAGGTATGCATACCACCACACCTAGCTAATTTTTTTTTTTTTTTTTTTTTGAGACGGAGTCTCACTCTGTCACCCAGGCTGGAGTGCAGTGGGGCGATCTCGGCTCACTGAAAGCTCTGCCTCCCGGGTTCATGCCATTCTCCTGCCTCAGCCTCCCGAATAGCTGGGACTACAGGCGCCTGCCACCACGTCCACCTAAATTTTTAAGTATTTTTTGGAAGAGACAGGGTTTCACCATGTTATAGCCAGGATGGTCCGATCCCCTGACCTTGTGATCCACCTGCCTCAGCCTCCCAAAGTGCTGGGATTACAGGCGTGAGCCACCGCACCTGGCCCCCTTTTTTTTTTTTTTGAGACAGAGTCTCACTCTGTCACCCAGGACGGAGTGCAATAGCGCAATCTCAGCTCACTACAACCTCCGCCTCCCAGGTTCAAGCCGTTCTCCCACCTCAGCCTCCCTAGTAGCTGGGATTACAGGCGTGTGCCACTGTGCCCAGCTAATTTTTGTATTTTTTGTAGAGACAGGGTTTCTCCATGTTGCCCGGACTGGTCTCGAACTTGTGAGCTCAAGCCATCCACCTGCTTTGGCCTCCCAAGTGCTGGGATTATAGGCATGAGCCACCACACTGTGCCTGTTTATTTCTTTCACTCTTTATTTGTTTTATAATACTTTCTTACATTTTAGATATTTATTGCTTGTTTTAGATGTCATTCATGTTTATATAAGCATGAATTCCATCTTATATAAATAAAAGCTCTTTCATGGAAACTAGAAGCCTTGCTATATATTCTTTTTTTTTTTTTTTTTTTTTTTTTTTGCTGGAGTGCAGTGGCGCAATCTCGGCTCACTGCAACCTCTACCTCTGCTCTACCTCTACCCCGTCTCTGCTAAAAATACAAAAATTAGCTGGGCATGGTGGCGCATGCCTGTAATCCCAGCTACTTGGGAGACTGAGGCACGAGAATCACTTCAACCTGGGAGGTGGAGGTTGCAGTGAGCCAAGATCACACTCCAGCCTCGGTGACGGAGTGAGACTCTATCTCAAAAAAGAAAAAAAAAAACTGTTAAATCTGCTGGATGCAGTGGCTCACGCCTGTAATTGCAGCACTTTGGGAGGCCGATGCAGGAGGATTGCTTGATCCCAGAAATTTGAGACCAGACTGGGCAACATAGCGAAACTCCATGTCCATGTAAAAAAACTTTTTTTTTTTTTTTTTTTTTTTTTTGAGATGGAGTTTGGCTCTTGTCTCCCAGGCCGGAGTGCAGTGGCATGATGTTGGCTCACTGCAACCTCTGCCTCCCAGATTCAAGCGATTCTGCTGCCTCAGCCTCCCGAGTAGCTGGGATTACAGGCACCTGCCACCATGCCCAGCTAATTTTTGTACTTTTAGTAGAGATGGGGTTTCGCCATGTTGGCCAGGCTGGCCTCGAACTCCTGACCTCAGGTGATCTGCCTGCCTTGGCCTCCCAAAGTGTTGGGATTACAGGTGTGAGCCACTGCGCCCAGCCAAGAAACCTTTTTTTTTTTTTTAATTAAAAAAAAAAAGCTTAAGTCATCTGTCAAAAGGATAGTCTTTTTGTAGTTGTTGCTATTTTTACTCTTTAACTTGACATAGCATAGATAAAAGAAGTCCGTTTTTAGTATTAACCTTAAATTTTCTTTTTACTTGCTGTCAGCATTAGTACAACAAATTAGGTTTTACCAGGAAGCTTTAAGAATAAGATGACATTGATTATATTATTATGTTGTTGTTTGAAGTCAAAGTTCCTCCAGAATGTGTTACTTTAGTTGCTGTGTATTTCCCATGTAGATAAATTGAAGGTTTTGTAGTACAAGAGAAAAAACGGGCAAGGATTTCTGGAGTTGAATTGTATTTAAATTTAGGTCTTATGGGTTTAAATTTCATCATATAAAACTGGCTCTTGACAGCCCCCTGCGGGAAAGGGTCTGGCCAGCCCATGGGGTAGGTGGGTTGGTGGAAGGAAGCTGGCAGCACCAAAAGGAAAACCAATACAACTGGCTCTTCATAAAGTACACGTAAAACTGCATTCCGTTTTATGAAAATAGGATTGGCCAGGCGCAGTGGCTCATGCCTGTAATCCCAGCACTTTGGAAGGCCAAGGCGAGCAGATCACGAGGTCAGGAGATCGAGACCATCCTGGCTAACATGGTGAAACCCCATCTCTACTAAAAATACAAAAATTAGCTGGGCGTGGTGGTGGGCGCCTGTATTCCCAGCTACTCAGGAGGCTGACGCAGGAGAATGGTGCAAACCCAGGAGGCAGAGCTTGCAGTGAGCTGAGATCACGCCCCTGCACTCCAGCCTGGGCAGCAGAGCAAGACTCTGTCTCAAAAAAGAAAAAAAAAATAGGATTATATTTGTTAGAAAGGACCATTTAATTCTTTCTTTAACTTTTAGGGTACACTATGTTTCAGTGAAAGTTCTCCAGTTCCCACATACTTTTGTATAAACAGTACAAAAAAAAAAAAGCTCATGAGAGAAAATACCTAAATTTAGAATTTGCTCTTACATCTTTTGTATTTTTGTTGCATTATAAACATTTCTGACCATGATACTGACTCTAGGGAGTTTCATTTCTGATACCTAGGTAACTCCTATCCCTCTTGCTGAGAATAATTAGGGAAAAAATGACAAAATGTATAAAGTATCAGACATCAAGAGCTACAAATAACAAATGGAAAAACTAAGGTTCCAAGATCTGAGAGAAGAATTGGGGCTGTTTTTCCCTATTGAATATGTGTTCAATTCCAGAAAAGGCTGCAGAGAAGCTAAATGGAGTTTTCAGTAGACACTGAGGACCTGCAAAGAGGAGTACTGATAAAAACCCCCTTCCAACCTATGGATTAAAATGCTAACATCATCCAGAGCCTCACAGATTGTTGTAATTTTTCATATAAAAATAGGTCAGGCCCAGTGGCTCACGCCTGTAATCCCAGCACTTTGGAGGCTGAGGCGGGCAGATCACGAGGTCAGGAGTTCAAGACCAGCCTGACCAACATGGTGAAACCCCATCTCTACTAAAAATACAAAAATTAGCCAGGTGTGGTGGCGTGCTCCTGTAATCCCAGCTACTTGGGAGCCTGAGGCAAGGAGAATCCCTTGAACCTGGGAGGCGGAGGTTGCAGTGAGCGTGCCAGTGCAAGACTCTGTCTCAAAAAAAAAAAAAAAAGTAAAAAGTGGCCAGGTGGGCCGGGCGCGGTGGCTCAGGCCTGTAATCCCAGCACTTTGGGGGGCCAAGGCGGGTGGATCATGAGGTCAGGAGATCAAGACCATCCTGGCTAATACGGTGAAACCCCGTCTCTACTAAAAATACAAAAAATTAGCCGGGCATGGTGGCGGGTGCTTGTAGTCCCAGCTACTCAGGAGGCTTGAGGTAGGAGAATGGCATGAACCCAGGAGGTGGAGCTTGCAGTGAGCCGAGATCGCACCACTGCACTCCAGCCTGGGCGACAGAGCGAGACTCCGTCTCAAAAAATTAAAAAAAAAAAGTGGCCAGGTGTGGTGGTTCATGCCTATAATTTTAGCACTTTGGGAGAGCGAGGCAGGAAGATCGCTTGAGTCCAGGAGTTCAAGATCAGCCTGGGCAACATAGTGAGACCTTGCCTCTACAAAAAATAAAAAAATTAGCCAGGTGTGATGGCATGTGCCTGTTGTCCCAGCTACTCAAGAAGCTGAGATGGGAGGATCGCTTGAGCCCAGGAGTTCAAGGCTGCAGTAAGCTGTGATCATGCCACTGCACTTCAGACTGGGCAACAGAGTGAGAAGCTGGGACTGCAAGCGAGCGCCACCACACCCAGCTAATTTTATTTTTTGTAGAGATGGGGTTTTGCCTTGTTACCTAGGCTGGTTTCAAACTCACTGGCTTCCAGTGTCCCAAAGTGCTGGAATTACAGGCATGAGCCATTGCACCCTGCCTAGGCTGAGTCTTAAACCTCTGGCCTCAAGTGATCCTCCCGCCTTAGCCTCCCAAAGTGCTGGGATTATAGGCATGAGCCACCTCACCTGTCCAAAAGCTGTTTTTGAAGATAGATTACAAAATAATTCTTTATCATAGAACCTTGTTTCTCAAAGCTTCACCATCATCTGAGAGTTGGTTAGAAATGCAGAGTATCAGATTTCTTCTCAGACCTACTAATTTAGAATCTCCATTTAAACAAGATTCCCAAGTGATTTAATATGCACAATAAAGTTTGAGAAGGATCTCGCCTATAAGTAATACTGTACCTTTTGAAGCTAACAGTAATTTATGATACTGCAGTTGCTATGTAAGGTTAGGAAAGCTGAGTTTTTCCTGAGTAATCCACAATCTATATTAATGCCTGATAAGTAATATTTTAGAAGGCTGGGAAATAATAATAGATTTATATTAAACTACTGCGTCTAAAGTATTTTGAAAGTAAGTGTACTAATGTCTACAATTTACTTGAAATACATAGAAAGAGATGGATTGATTGTTTAGTGGTATGAGTAGACAGAAAGATGTGATTAGGCTGGGAGTGGTGGCTCACGCCTGTAATGCCAGCACTTTGGGAGGCTGAGGCAGGTGGATTACTTGAGGCCAGGAGTCCGTGACCAGCCTGGCCAACATAGTGAAACACCCTCTCTACTAAAAATAGAAAAAAAAATTTAGCTGGGTAATCCCAGCTACTCGGGAGGCTGAGGCAGGAAAATCGCTTGAACCTGGGGGGCAGAGGTAGCAGTGAACCGAGATTGTGCCATTGCACTCCGGTCTGGGAGAAAGAGCGAGATTCTGTCTCAAAAAAAAAAAAAGTAGCTAATATTTTTTGAGTGTGCCTGTGTGCCAGGCATTACTTTTATGTCATGTGTTCTTCATAGCACTCTGATGAGTTAGGTATCATCAATTAGTATATTTGTATAATATTACATTCAGGAGATCTTTGAACCTGGAGTCTGACTTAAGAGCCGATGGCTACCACATTACACAATTCCAGACGCCAACATTTACTTTATTATTATTGTTGGCACAGTGGAGTATCATTCACTTGAGATACAAAGTGGATAGTCCCCCTGGGATTGTGCATCAAGAGTGTTTGGCCTTAACCACATGTTTATACGCCTGCCCCACTTGTCTCTTAAACTCTTAAATGAAAATGCAAGTTATTTTTCTGATGTACATTTTGATTTGTTCCATGATTTTTTTCTTGTTTCATTTTTAAGATTCTTGGATCTCCCAGTCAGCTTCATTTCCCAGTAATCAGAAACAGCCAGGGGTGGATTCTTTATCACCAGTGGCCTTACTTCGTAAGCAGAATTTCCAGCCTACAGCCCAACAACAACTTACTAAACCAGCTAAAATCACTTGTGCAAATTGCAAAAAGCCTTTACAGAAGGGACAGACAGCTTATCAACGAAAAGGATCAGCTCACCTCTTTTGCTCTACCACCTGCCTTTCTTCCTTCTCTCATAAACGTACTCAAAACACACGAAGCATAATATGTAAAAAGTAAGCAGTACCTTTCAACATTTCTCCACATAGTTGAATACTAATGGTATAAATAAGTACTCAATATAACTGCAGAGCTGGATAGATTTATGGGTAGAATTGTTGCAGGAGTGTCTTCAAGTTTATTGAGCTTGAGCTCCTAGAATATATCCAAGCTGTGGACTCGTATGTGCTGTATTTACTCTCGGCAGAAAAATGGAACATAGGTTTGGAAATCAATTGCCCCTCTCCCTGCTACTACATTTGCCTCCCCTGCTCCCCCATCTTAACACCTTAGTTCTATGAATTTATTACCAGCATTTTGGTTTGTTGGTTTGTTTTTGAGACGGAGTCTCACTCTGTTGCCCAGGCTGGAGTGCAGTGGCACGATTTCCACTCACTGCAACTTCCACCTCCCAGGTTCAAGCGATTCTCCTGCCTCAGCCTCCCGAGTAGCTGGGATTACAGGTGCGCGCCACCACGCCCAGCTAATTTTTTGTATTTTTAGTAGAGACAGGGTTTCATCATTTTGGCCAGGCTGGTCTCGAACTCCTGACCTCAAGTGATCTGCCCACTTCAGCCTCCCAAAGTGCTGGAATTACAGGTGTGAGCTACTGTGCCCAGCCTATTACCAGCATTTTTGAATGCATCTAAAAATCTTAAAAACTTGTGGCAAGGTTCTTGTGCTACGAAAGATTTTTATCTCTGACTCTTCTCTTTCTGTATCATTTAAGAACTCTTGGCAATAAAGCCAAAAGTGGATTTGCTGCATCTAAAAGTTATACTTGATTTCTAGTATTAAATCATAAGAAAATGAAAAATGGCAATTATTATTAATATATTTGACTTGTATTAAAATTCAGTGTTCTTAAATTATGTGTCTATCCCTTCTGTTTCAGAGATGCATCTACAAAGAAGGCTAATGTCATTCTTCCAGTAGAATCAAGCAAATCCTTCCAAGAATTTTATAGTACATCTTGTTTGTCTCCCTGTGAAAACAACTGGAATCTTAAAAAAGGAGTTTTTAATAAGTCAAGATGTACAATTTGTAGTAAATTAGCAGAGGTCTGGATTTTTATACCTAAGTTGTTGTTTAGGCTAACAGTGATAATTTTAACTTTTAAGTGCTATTATGTACTCTTTCATCTACATAATGCACGTGTTCTGGATGTATAACATGAAGCTGAAAGGAAGAATAAGGATATGTTAGAACTATCTTATGGGATATTTTATAAATAAAATTCCATTTGCATAGCATGGAAAGTACACATCTGTTTCTATGGAATTGTTGTGCTCATAAACAAGGCAATTGTTTTATGGTGGATTTTGTTATTACTGATGACATTAAATAAAAATGTAGTCTCAAGAGTTGGGGGTCAAGGGCTGGAAAACTACCCCTTGGGGCCGGACGTGGTGGCTCACATCTGTAATCCCAGCACTTTGGGAGGCCGAGGCAGGTGGATATCTTGAAGTCAGGAGTTCGAGACCAACCTGGCCAACAGGGTGAAACCCAATCTCTACTAAAAATACAAAAATTAGCTGGGTGTGGTGGCGCAAGCTACTTGGGAGGCTGAGGCAGGAGAATCGCTTGAACCAGGGAGGCGGAGGCTGCAGTGAGCTGAGATTGCGCCACTGTACTCCAGCCTGGGTGATAGAGCAAGACTCTGTCTCAAAAAAAGAAAGAAAAAAAAAAAAACAAAAAACAACATACCCATCTAACAAACCTGCACATGTATTCCCTGAATCTAAAAGTTAAAATTAGAAAGCAGCAGATCCCGGTACAAGAACACATGGAACAAGTGGAGTGAATGTATGCTGTTTGCTTAACATTCAGTGATATTGCAATCTTCCCATTTCCTAGAAGAGAAGAAACATGCATGCAGGCAGTCCTCACTTTATAAAAGTCTTTGGTAACTAAATTTGGTGTTGGTTACCCCTGAGTCATGCATATCAAGAACATGATTTTATCTCAGTTACCACAGTGAGAACTACCCTGCTTCTGGTTATACAGACACGATCCTGAATACAGATAATATTGATTCCCTTAGCTCCCTCCACAAATGTTCTAGGGCAGTGAACTTTACTTACAATACCATCTAAAAATTGTTGATCCTTGTTGATGAGTGACTCATACATATAATCCCAACTGCTTAGGAGGCTGAGACAGGACAATCACTGGAGTCCAGGAGTTTGAGGTGGAGTGAGCTATGATTGTACCACTGCTTTCCAGCCAGGGTGATAAAGCAAGAGACACTATCAAAAGAAAAAAAAAGATTGTTGACCCATTTCCTTTAAGCGGGTCATGTCAAAATCTTCTAAACCAAAGTCAGGTGTGGTGCTGCAAGCCTGTAATCTGGGCTATTCAGGAGGCATGAGTAGAGGGCTTGCTTGAGACCAGGAATTCGAGCCCAGGGCAACATAGCAAAAACTTGTCTCAAAAAAAAAAAAAAAGTTCATTATCTGTTGTTATTAAATGTCTTTAGGGAAGTTATTATTGATTTTATTGCTTTCCTATGAATCTTGTCCTCTTTTGTGAAATCAAAGTGATCTTACAAATAAAGGAAAAAATAAAATATGCTTTTTAAAAATCTTTTCCCAGCTAGGCATGGTGGCTCATGCCTGTAATCCCAGCATGTTGGGAGGCCAAGGCGGGCAGATCACTTGAGGTCAGGAGTTCGATACCAGCCTGGCCAACGTGGTGAAACCCCGTCTCTACTAAAAATAAAAAAATTAGCTGGGCGTGGTGGCGGGCGCCTGTAATCCCAGCTACTTGGGAGGCTGAGGCAGGAGAATCGCTTGAACATGGGAGGCAGAGGTTGCAGTGAGCCGAGATTGTGCCACTGCACTCCAGCCTGAGTGACAGAGTGAGACTCTATCTCAGAAAAAAAAAAAAATCTTTTCCCTGGGTATATCTTCCTCTGAGATATGATTAGGGATTCTTTGCTTCTATTGCAGAAACTAGTTATCTCATTGCTTGCTATGCTAATCTGGTTCATATATCTTAGTTAATGAATTCTGGTTTTTCTTTTAGATTCGCCATGAAGTCAGCGTAAATAATGTAACACATAAACTGTGCAGTAACCATTGCTTTAATAAGTACAGATTGGCCAATGGTCTAATAATGAACTGCTGTGAACACTGTGGAGAGTACATGCCTAGTAAGAGTACTGGAAACAACATCCTGGTGATTGGAGGTCAGCAGAAGAGATTTTGCTGCCAAAGTTGTATTAACGAATATAAACAGGTAATTCTTTTTCATGAGCTTTAAATGATCAAATATATAGTAGCTTCACCCTTACATCTTACATGAACCGGATTTATCTTAGAATCTCATTTAATTCCATTTTGCCATTCTGTCATTGGTTTGTCCCATCTCAAATATTCAAGTCTAAGATTGTTGTAAGCTTGTTTTAAAAATTTTCTTTGGGCTGGGTGCAGTGACTCACTTGTGTAATTCCATCATTTTGGGAGGCTGAGGTGGGAGGATTGCTTGAGCTCAGGAGCTTGAGACCATCCTGGGCAGCATAGTGAGACGTAATCTCTACTAAAAATTTTTTAGAATTAGCCGCAGGCATGATGGCATGTGCCTGTAGTCTCAGCTACTTTGGAAGCTGAGGTGTAAGTATTGCTTGAACCTGGGAGATTGAGGCTACAGTGAACTATGATTGTACCACTGCACTCCAACTAGGCAACAGAGCGAAAGCCTGTCTCAAAAAAAAAAAAAAAGAAAGAAAATGATCAGGCACAGTGGCTAACACTTGTAATCCCAGCACTTTGGCCAAGGCAGGCAGATCACTTGGGGCCAGGATTTTGAAACCAGACTGGGCAACATGACAAAACCCCCTGTCTACTAAAAATACAAAAATTAGCCAGGCGAGTTGGTGTGTGCCTGTAATCCCAGCTACTTGGGAAGCTGAGGCATAGGAATCACTTGAACCTGGTAGGCAGAGGTTGCAAACCCGAGATCATGCCACTGCATTCCAGCCGGGGTGACAGAGCAAGACTCTGTCTCAAAAAAAAGAAAAAGGTTACTCCTGGATGAATTTAAAAGACTAATTTTTCTTCTGTACCATTTAGCACTCCCACTAAGCACTTGATAATTCTAGTTGCTCTACATTCTGACCAAAATTTGGAGCCAGGTGAGGTGCTTCACGCCTGTAATCCCTGCACTTTGGGAGGCCCAGGTGGGAGAATCAGCTGAGGCCAGGAGTTCAAGACCGGCCTGGTCAACATAGCCAGACCCTGTCTCTACAAAAAAAAAAAAATTAAAATGTGGTAGTTGTCTGTTTTGTCTATCAGGTCTTCAGCCCATTTTTTATTGAATTCTTTTTGTTACTGAGTTGTAGGAGTCCTTGGTATTATTCTGGATACATGTATTTTATAAAATAAATATATTTGGAAAAAAATTTTTTTTCTTCTGTTTTTTTTTTAAAAGAAAAAATAGGCTGGACGTGGTGGCTCACGCCTGTAATCCCAGCACTTTGGGAGGCCAAGGCGGATGGATCACCTAAGGTCAGGAGTTGGAGACCAGCCTGACCAACGTGGCGAAACCCCGTCTCTACTAAATACAAAAAAAATAAGCCGGGCATGGTGGCTGGCACCTGTAATCCCAGCTACTCTGGAGGCTGAGGCAGGAGAATCGCTTGAACCTGGGAGGTGGAGGTTGCAGTGAGCGGAGATTGCGCCATTGCGCTCCAGCCTGGGCAGCAAGAGCAACGCTCTGTCTCAAAAAAAAGAAAAAGGAAATACAGGTGGGTCTCAATATGTTGCCCAGGCTGGTCTCGAACTCCTGGGTTCAAGCAGTACTCCCACCTCAGCTTCCCAAAGTACTGGGATTATAGGCATGAGCCATTGTGCCTGGCCGGAAGATTTTCTTTCAGACTGATTTGTCTTTTCATTTTCTTAATGTTTTGTTTTGTTTTCCTAATATTACTTTTGAAAAGTACAAGATTTTAATTTTTATAAGTCCTATTTATTATTTGCTTCTCTTGTGATTAATAGTTTTTGTGTATTTAAGGAATCTTTGCCCACCAAAATTACAAAGATATTTTCCTACATTTCCTTCTAGAATCTTTTCAGTTTTAGCTTTTATTTTTTAGGCCTGTGATTCATTTTGAATTAATTTTGTATATGGTGTTAGATGTGGGTTAAAGAATTATCAACTTCCTGACTTTAAGACATTAAAATGCTGCAATAATCAAGGCAGTATGGTTTGGTATATAAACAAATGGGCTAACAGAGATCAGTGAAATAGAAGATAGTCCAGAAATAGAACCACATAGTAGATTTTTCAAGAAGGTACCAAATTATTCTGATGGGAAAAACAAGATTTTTTAACAAATTATGCTGAAATAATTTTTTGTTTGTGTGGAAATAAATGAGCCTTGACCCCTTTTCATTGCATACACAAAAATTAAGATAGATCATAATGTAAAACTGGAAATATTCTTAACCCCCATTTCACTGGATGAGAATTTAATTGGTTAGCTTCAAGGGAAAGTAACCCTGAATTGCTAGGCTTTTATCGAACAGGAGAAACAGTGGATACCCATAGTTGACTTTTCTGTTTATTTTTGCAAGAAAACCTTATTTATGTTAAATTATTTTTTCTTTACATATATTGCACCTAATATTTAAGAAAGCTTTTGGTTTATAGAAGAACACAATGAACATTAACAAATAGAAAGGTCCAGGCACGGTGGTACGTGCCTGTAATCCTAGCACTTTGGGAGGCCAAGATGGGAGGATGGCACTAGTCCAGGAGTTGGAGACCAACGTGGGCAACATAGTAAGACCCCATCTCTACAAAACAATTTTTTTAATTAGCCAGATATGGTGGTTGTACACTCGTAGTTCTAGCTCCTCAGGAGACTGAGGTGAGTGAGCTATGATTGCACCATTACACTCCACCCTGGGCAACAGAATGAGACTATCTTTAACAAAACGAAATTTAAAAAGACTTAATATTGTTAAATTGTCTTTTCAAAGACAGTTACATGACAAAAGTAACCTACTGACCTTCTAATTTGGAAATAAAAACTATATTAAGTCTTAATATTTTCCAAGCCTTTTTTATTTCTTAAATGGATGATTTAGGCTGGGTGTGGTGGCTCATGTCTGTAATCCATGACATTGGGAGGCCAAGGCGGGCGGATCACTTGAGTTCAGGAGTTCGAGACCAGCCTGGCCAACATAGTGAAACCCTGTCTCTACTAAAAAGGCAAAAATTAGGCAGGCGTGGTGTTGTGTGCCTGTAATCCCAACTACTCGGGAGGCTGAGGAAAGAGAATCACTTGAACCTGGGAGGTGGAGGTTGCAGTGGGCCGAGATCATGCCACTGCACTCCAGCCTGGGCAACAGAGCAAGACTCTGTCTCAACAACAACAACAAAAAAAGGATGATTTACCTGTGTCTGAGTTCTTGCTAAGTTAAAGGTTGTGAGCTCATAAGCTTCAGAGAAATACCATAATGCTTATCCTCCAAAAAGCGTAAGAATTACACGTAGATTATAAATTTTTTACTACTAAATAGGCACCAAAAGAGGAGGTAAAAATGAAGAAATAAGCCAGGCAGGGTGCCTCACGCCTGTAATCCCAGCACTTTAGGAGGCCAAGGGTGGCAGATCACCTGAGGTCAGAAGTTCGAGACCAGCCTGGCCAACATGGTGAAACTCCGTTTCTACAAAAAATACAAAAAGTTAGCCAGGCCGTGGTGGTGAACACCTGTAATCCCAGCTACTCAGGAGGCTGAGGCAAGAGAATCGCTTGAACCTGGGAGGCGGAGGTTGCAGTGAGCCGAGATCACGCCACTGTACTCCAGCCTGGGTGACAGAGCAAGACTCCATCTCAAAAACAAAAGAAGAAATATGCATAGTCAAACTAGGCAGACATACACCTATACATATGGTTTTTTTTTTTTTTTTTTTTTTTTTTTGAGACAGAGTCTCTCTCTGTCACCCAGGCTGGACGATCTCAGCTCACTATAACCTCCACCTCCCGCTTCAAGCGATTCTCCTGCCTCAGCCTCCCAAGTAGCTGGGATTACAGGTGCGCATCACCATGCCCTGCTAATTTTTGTATTTTTGGTAGAGACGGACGGGGTTTCACCATGTTGGCCAGACTGGTCTTGAACTCCTGACTTCAGGTAATCTGCCTGCCTCGGCTCCCAAAGTGTTGGGAATACAGGTGTGAGCTACCACGCCTGGCCTAGATTTTCTTAAATAACTTGCTTGCTATTCTGATCCCTAGAATAAAGTGCTCATTCTACCATGTGTATTTCAGTAATACAGAGTAACTCAGTGGGGCACAGTGGCTCACACCTGTAACCCCAGTACTTTGGGAGGCAGAGGCAAGAGGATTGCTTGAGCCCAGGAGTTGGAGAGCAGCCTGGGCAACATAGTGAGACCCCATCTCTACAAAAAATTAAAAATTAGCAGGCATGGTGACACATGGCTGTAGTCCCAGCTGTTTGGGAGCCTGAGGTGAAAGGATGGCCTGAGCTTGGGAGGTCAAGACTGCAGTGAGCTGTGATTATGACATTGCACTCCAGCCTGGGTGACAGAGCAAGACCTTGTCTCAAAAAAAAAAAAAAAATAGGCTGGGTGTGGTGGCTCACGCCTGTAATCCCAGCACTTTGGAAGGCCAAGGCGGGTCAGGAGATCAAGACCATCCTGGCTAACACGGTGAAACCCTGTCTCTACTAAACATACAAAAAATTAGCCGGGCGTGGTGGCAGGCACCTGTAGTCCCAACTACCCTGGAGGCTGAGACAGGAGAATGGCGAGAACTTGGGAGGCGGAGCTTGCAGTGAGCCGAGATCATGCCACTGCACTCCAGCCTGGGGGACAGTGCGAGACTCTGTCTCAAAAAAAAAAAAAAAAAAGAAAAAGTAACTCATAAACAGTTGGCAAAGGCCGGGCGAGGTGTCTCATGCCTGTGGAGGCTGAGGCGAGTGGATCGCTTGAGCTCAGGAGTTTGAGACCAGCCTGGGCAACATGGTGAGCCCCTGTCTCTACAAAAAATTAGCCAGGTGTGGTGACACATACCTGTAGTCCCAGCTGCTTGGGCGGCTGAGGCAGGAGAATCGCTTGAACCTGGGAGGCGGAGGTTGCAGTGAGCCAAGATGGTGCCACTGCACTCCAGCCTGGGTGACAGTGTGAGACTGTCTCAAAAATTATATGTTAGCCAGGCATGGTGGTTCATACCAGTAGTCCCAGGTACTTGGAAAGCTGAGGTGGGAGGATCACTTGAGCCCAGGAGGCAGAGGTTGCAGTGAGCCGAGATCACGTCACTGCACTTCAACCTGAGCAACGGAGTAAGACCCTGTCTCAAAAAATAATAAATTAATTAATAGTTGCCAAATATAGGCATGATATTTCTGTATAATCAGAATGTTTTACATTTTATAAATGTGCTTCCCCACTCCACCCCAAACACATGAGTATTTTCAAGTGATAAGTGACAGCCTTCTGAAAAGGCCAACACATAAGAAAAAAACTGAAATCTTGCACTTAGTAGCTTATTGCTGAATAACATACACGTCATAAAATGTAGACAGAATCTTGATCTAAGCCAGTGCTTCTCAATCAGGGATGATTTTTGTCCCCATGGGGACATTTGGCAATGTCTAGAAACATCTGTGACTCACACCTGAGGGGTGCTGCTGGACTCTAGTGGATAGAGTCCAGAGGTGCTGCTAAACATCTGCAGTGCACAGCACAGTTCTCACAACAAATAATCATCTTGTCCAAGAAATCCTGCAACTAAAGATAAGTGGATGGGTGTTGAGTGTGTATGGTGAGCATGGTAAGAGGAAGGAAAGCAAAATTTTCATCTTCCTCATTGAGAAGTCAATTGATGATACCTAAAGCTGGGAGGAAAAAAAAGTCAGTAAATAGTGATACAAACAAGTAACTTTGAGATTTGGAAATAACCGAAGAATCAGCTAGAAAAGTTATGTAAGTGCTGGGCATGGTGGTGTGCACCTACAATACTAGCTACTAGAAAGACTGAGGCGAGAGGGTCAATTGAGCCCAGGCGTTTGAGGCTACAGTGCACTAGGATCATACCTGTGAATAGCCACTGTACTCCTCCTGGGCAACAAAGCAAGGCCTTGTCTCAAAAAAATTGTTTGCCAGGCGTAATGGCTTATGTCTGTAATCCCAGCACTTTGGGAAGCTGAGGCAAGAGGATTGCTTGAGCCCAGGAGTTCAAGACCAACCTCAGCAACATGGTGAGACCCCTGTCTCTACAAAAAAAACTTAAAAATTAGCTGGCGTGGCATGCCCCTGTGGTCCCAGCTACTTGGGAGGCTGAGCTCGGAGGATCACTTGAGCCTGGGAGGTCACGGCTGCGAGTGAGTGAACCATGATTTCATCACTGCACTCCGGCCTGAATGACAGAGCGAGACTATCTCAAAATATATTTATTTTTTTTAATGGTATATATTTAAAAAATTGTTTTATTTTTATTTTAAAAGGTTGTAAGTGGTTAGCTTCTGGTAAAGGGGAAATGGGTAGAGGTGGTAAGGGACTCCTATTTGTTTTAATTAACCTGGCATGACTAGTTGGTGTTTTATACTAAATGTATCTGGTTTTTTTTGTTTTGTTTTGTTTGTTGGAGACAGGGTCTCTCCCTCTGTCACCCAGGCTGCTGTGCAGTGGCTTGAGCTCTGCTCACTGCAACTTCCAGCTCAAGTGATCCTCCCACCTTAGCCTCCTGAGTAGCTGGGACTGCAGGCATGTGCCACCACACTCGGCTAGGTGATAGGAATTTTTCAGCTCCATTATACTCTTAGGGGACCACCGCCTTATATGCCATCCATCATTGAAAGTCAAACTCATTGTGTTGAAAACTGAACCTCCAAACCTGGTTTCCTTTGTTTCCCATATCAGTAAATGAAGCCACCATCCACCCAAATGCCCATTCAGAAACTTAGGGTCATTGTTTACTCTTCTTTCTTCCTTAGCCCCTAGAGCCAATCAATTACCAACTAATCCAAATTCTACTTCCTGAGCACTTCTCAACTCCTATCTCTACTGCTATAATCCTAGACATAGCTAACATCATCTTTTGCCAGAATTACTACTATAGTTTCTTGACTGATCTCTGTGCCTCTTCCTTCCTTACATAAGGTTGGGAATTCATAATACAATTAGAGCAATCTTTCCAAAGTACAAATTTGATCATGTCACATCTCTGCATTTATTTATTGGATCATATCACATCTCTGCATTGATTGATTGATTGGAGACAGAGTCTCACTCTGTCTCCCAGGCTGGAGTGCAATGGCACGATCTCAGCTCACTGCAACCTCCACCTCCCAGGTTCAAGCGATTCTCCTGCCTCAGCCTCCTGAGTAGCTGGGATTACAGGTGCGCGCCACCACTCCTGGCTAATTTTTGTATTTTTAGTAGAAACAGGGTTTCACCATGTTGGCCAGGCTGGTCTTGAACTCCTGACCTCAGGTGATCCACCCGCCTTGGCCTCTCAAAGTCCTGGGATTACAGGCGTGAGCCACCGCACCTGGCCCACACCTCTGCATTTTTTACTTTAAAGCTGCCACATTACTTTCAGAATGAAACAGAACAAGTCCATTTTTATTTTCTTTCACTGCATTGCATATGGTACTCAAGTTGTGTTGTGTATAGCTAATAGGATGCCATTCACATTTTATACATCTTTTTTTTTTTTTTTTTTTTTTTGAGATGGAGTCTCGCTCTGTCGCCCAGGCTGGAGTGCAGTGGCGCAATCTCGGCTCACTGCAATCTCCGCCTCCCGGGTTCATGCCATTCTCTTGCCTCAGCCTCCCGAGTAGCTGGGACTACAGGCGCCCACCACTACGCCTGGCTAACTTTCTGTATTTTTAGTAGAGACGGGGTTTCACCATGGTCTCGATCTCCTGACCTCGTGATCCGCCCGCCTCAGCCTCCCAAAGTGCTGGGATTACAGGCGTGAGCCACCGTGCCCAGCCCACATTTTATACATCTTTATTATGTTAAATCTTTTTAGTTTTTTTATTATAATTTTATTGACACCAAAATAGGTAATGTGTCTTTATTACAACATATTTCAGTAAATGGTAGTAAAATGTTCAAAAACAAAATAAAAATTAAATTTCTGACAGATATGGTGACCTCATCTAACAATGTTAATAAACATACATACTACTTTGAATTTACAGTGTTAATCTAGCAACATCTAAATGGTCTGTTTTTGAGCAAGGAGCTGCTTTTTAAGCACATTGTTTCAATTAAAATCAAATTTTAAAAATGTTCTTTGTATTAGTGGATTAAAATAGTATGCTTAGTTCTCACTTTAAATCCCTAAGTATTTATGACCTATTTAAAAAGTAATCACTTGTCATTAATAATTGATGAACAAAGTATTATGTATACCTGAATTAGAGCTCTCTCTTCATATTTGTGTGTGTTTGGGCCCATGTATTGAAGGAATTATTTATGAAAATTTCACCATTAAAGTTAATTGCTGTTAAATTTTAGTGACTTTCACATTAATTTTTATAAACACTTTATTGAGATGTAATTAACATGCCCTAAAATTCACCAATCTTAGAACATTTTCATCATCCCCAAAATAAACCCCCTATTTATTAACAGTTCCCCTTTCAACTCCAACTCCTCCAAAGTTCTAGGCAACTGTTAGTCTATCTTCTGCCTATAAATTTGCCTCTTCTGTAACATTTCACATAAATAGAATCACACAAGTACTTCGCAACTAGTTTATTCATGTGTCATACTATTTTCAATTTTTTCCCATGTTGTAGCATACATCAGAACTTCATTTGTTTTTATCCATTGCATGGATAATACTGTATTTTTATCTATTCTTTCATCTGTGATGGGACATTTGAGTTGTTTCTACTTTTTGGCTATTATGAGTAATATTACCATGAACATTTGGGTCTAAGTTTTTGTGTGGACACAGTTTTTTTTTTTTTTTTTTAACGAGACGGAGTCTCCCTCCTGTCGCCCAGGCTGGAGTGCAGTGGCGAGATCTTGGCTCACTGCAACCTCTGTCTCCCGTGTTCAAGCAGTGTTCTGCCTCAGCCTCCCGAGTAGCTGGGATTACAGGTGCCCGCCACCATGCCCAGCTAATTTTTGTATTTTTAGTAGAATCAGGTTTTCACCATCTTGGTTAGGCCGGTCTCGAACTCCTGACCTCGTGATCCCCCCACCTCGGCCTCCCAAAGTGCTGAGATTACAGGCGTGCGCCACCATGCCTGGCCTGTGTGTCCATATATTTTTATTTCTTTTGGGTATATACCTTGGAGTGGAATTGCTGGGTCATAGGGTAACTCTGTTTAAATTTTGACAAACTTCCAGTTTCATTTTTTTGTTTTTTGTTTTTTGAGACGGAGTCTCGCACTGTTGCCCAGGCTGGTGTGCAGTAGCATGATCTCAGCTGGCTGCAACCTCCGCCTCCCAGGTTCAAGCAATTCTCCTGCCTCAGCCTCCCGAGTAGTTTGAATTACAGGCGCCTGCCACCATACCCATCTAATTTATTTTTTTGTTTCTTGTTTTTTGTTTTTTTGAGCCAGACAGTTTTCAAAAGTGGCTACACCACTTTACATTTCCCACCAGGATCTTAGAGAGGTTCCAGTTTCTCCACATCTTTGCCAAGACTTTTGTTCTCTCTTTTTTTTTTTTTTTTTTTAAGCATGGAGTCTTGCTCTGTTGCCCAGGCTGGAGTACAATGGCATGATCTCAGCTCACTGCCACCTCCGACTCCAGGGTTCAAGTGAGGTCTCTTGTGTCTCAATCTCCAGAGTAGCTGGGATTACCAGTACCTGCCCCACCACTCCCAGCTAAATTTTGTATTTTTAGCAGAGACGGGGTTTCGCCATATTTGCCACGCTGGTTTCAAACCCCTGACCTCAACTGATCCACCCGCCTTGGCCTCCCAAAGTGCTGGGATTATAGGCATGTGTCACCACACCCAGCCTCATTCTCTATTATAGTCATCCTCTTGGATATGAAGTGGTATGTTGTCACCTTTTTTTTTCTTCTTCTTTTGGGACTTGTCACCTTTTTTTTTTTCTTCTTCTTCTTCTTTTGGGACAGGGTCTCACTCTTTCGCCCAGACTGGAGTGCAGTGGCGCGATCTCAGCTCAGCTCAACCTCTGCCTCCTGGGTTCAGGCGATTCTCCTGCCTCAGCCTCCAGAGGAGCTGGGATTACAGGCGCATGCCACTGTGGCCCGGCTAATTTTTGTATTTTTAGTAGAGACAGGGTTTCACCATATTGGCCAGACTTGTTCTCGAACTCCTGACCTCAAATGATCCATCCACCTTGGCCTCCCAAAGTGCTGGGATTACAGGCATGAACCACCGCACCCGACCGTCGTCGTCTTTTTGATTGGCATTTCTTTGATGCCTAATGATGAGCATGTGCTTATTGAGCATTTGAATATACATTAATTTTTAAAAGTTTAACCTAAAATAAAATTATAATCCTCTTTGTCCTCAGATGATGGAAACAAAATCAAAAAAATTAACAGCATCAGAAAATAGAAAAAGGAATGCTTTTAGAGAAGAAAATGAGAAACAATTATATGGATCGTCAAATACACTTTTGAAAAAAATAGAGGGAATCCCAGAAAAAAAGGAAAAGACTTCACAGCTACAGCTTTCAGTAGAATGTGGCACGGATACATTACTGATCCAAGAGAATGTGAATTTACCTCCTTCTTCCACGTCAACCATAGCTGATACATTTCAAGAGCAACTGGAAGAGAAAAATTTTGAAGACTCCATTGTACCAGTTGTGCTTTCCGCAGATCCAGGTACGTGGCCCCGAATTTTGAATATTAAACAACGGGACACTCTTGTTGAAAATGTTCCGCCTCAAGTAAGAAATTTTAACTTTCCAAAAGATAATACAGGGAGGAAGTTTTCAGAAACTTATTATACACGGATTCTTCCAAATGGTGAAAAAACCACTAGATCCTGGTTACTTTATTCAACCTCAAAAGATTCTGTGTTTTGTCTATATTGCAAACTCTTTGGGGAAGGAAAAAATCAACTGAAAAATGAAAATGGGTGCAAAGATTGGCAACATTTATCACATATTCTTAGTAAACATGAAGAAAGTGAAATGCACGTCAACAATAGTGTTAAGTACTCAAAATTAAAATCTGATCTGAAAAAAAATAAAGCTATTGATGCTGCAGAACACAGATTATATGAAAATGAGAAAAATGATGGTGTGCTGTTGTTGTACACGTAATATACCTGAGTTGTTTTTTGGCATGATGATCAGAATCTTACATTACTCAGAAAACATCTGTCCTGCAATAGTCAGTACTATTGTGTTGTAAGTCTCCTCTACAGAGTAACTTGCAGCAGTTCCTTAGCAATAAGTATGATAGCAAATAAATAGCAAAGAATGTTTCCATTCTAAATCTAAAACTAATTAGATTCAATCATCATTAGGCAATGACTTCATTAGGCAATGAAGATTAACAATAGGTAATTGTTAATCTTCAAAATCTATCAATTTACACCTATTTAAAAATTGGCATTTAATGACTGCCATTTGATGGGTTTGGTTAATATTCTGTTCTTGGCCGGGCGCAATGGCTCACGCCTGTAATCCAAGAACTTTGGGAGGCTCAGGCGGGTAGATCAATTGAGGTCAGAAGTTCAAGACCAGCCTGGCCAACGTGGCAAAACCTCGTCTTTACTAAAAATACAAAAATTAGCCAGGTGTGGTGGCACACACCTGTAGTCCCAGCTACTCAGGAGGCTGAGGCAGGAGAATCGCTTGAACCCAGGAGGCAGAGGTTGCAGTGAGCTGAGATTGCACCACTGCAGTCCAGCCTGAGCAACAGAGCGAGAGTCAGTCTCAAAAGAAAGAAAAATATTATGTTCTAATTACCTTGAAAGAGGAAAGAAAGGCTTGAATTGATCAATACCAGTTTGAATAAGATACTTATGTGAACAAGCATTCTCAACATTATTATTAAAGTAAAACTACTCAGTTTACAGAATGGGATCTGAAACTACAGCTTTTTGCTATTAAACCAAATACTTGTGATCTACTTTGTTTGAGCAAAACAGCATTATTTGTTATGTTAATGATGGTTAATTTCCATTTTATTGGTTTTATGTTTATTTTAATTTGTAAATGTTTTAGCATTTATTATTGTATGTGAACTATATTTACCTATTTTATGTTGATAAAAATATAAAAAATATTAAAATAAGTATATATTAAGTTAACCTTCAAGTGTTATGGGCTTTTTTCTCCCTGTGAAAAGAGATGGCATGCTTGAAATTTGAGATACACCAATGAAAATTAAGGATTTAAGTTATTTTAGATGGTCAGCAGCCCCATCACTGTGTATTTAGTAAATCTCCCTTCTGTTTCTGATTTCTGATGTCAATTTTGTAATATATTAAATTTTTATATACTATTCCTGTGAAACAAAATGGCATATGAGCAGTGACTAGGACAGAAGGTGCGTTCTTGTGGGATGACACTAGGAATACTTGCAGACTCTCAATGATACCAGTGTATATATTTTTGGAATACCCGTGAAAGTAATCCTCATTAACTTCTAACCATTTTGAGTGTTTGTTTGTTTGTTTGTTTTAAATAAAGATGGGGTCTACTATGTTGTCCAAGCTGATCTTCAACTCCTGGTCTCAAGCGATTCTCCCACCTCAGCCTCTCAAAGTGCTGGAATTACAGACTTGAGCTACTATGCCCAGCCACCATTTTGGTTTTTGACAACTAGATCATTTAGTATTTTCAGACATGGATCTGAATGTGGCTTTGGGACATTTCCAAAAATCCAGTTTGCTCTAGAAGCCCAGAGAATACTCTAGAGACTGTAGAACAAGTTTTGAAATTTGTTTGCAAATTATCAGCGTACTTATTATTTCAGGCTGGGCACAGTGGCTCATGCTTGTAATCCCAGCACTTTGGGAGGCCGAGTGGGGTGGATCACTTGAGGTCAGGGATTCAAGACCAGCCTGGCCAACATAGTGAAACCCCATCTCTATTAAAGTACAAAAATTAGCAGGGCGTGGTGGCACATGCCTGTAATCCCAGCTGCTTGGGAGGCTGAGGCATGAGAATTGCTTAAACCCAGGAGGCAGAGGTTGCAGTGAGCCGAGAACATGCTACTGCACTAGAGCCTGGGTGACAGAGCGAGACGCTGTCTCTAAAATAAGTAAACAAATATACTCATTATTTCATTAAAGCTTGCCAATCAACTGAATCACAGATTCATAGTATAATTAGACCCTTTTGTATTTGAGCAAACTACTGAAATCAATCAGTGGCTGTTTAAGATAATTTGGCATAACCATCAGATTTATCAATTTAAAAAATAAAATTAGATCCTCACCTTAAATTCATTTATTTCATCAGCATACTGCACACCTAGAAGGCACCATCAATTCCACACATAGCAATTAAAGGTAAAAAATTCAAAAGATATAGGTGTTTCATTGACCTGTGTTCATTGTAAATAGCTTTCAAATTTTCATTATGTTTGACATCTTTCATAATACAGTGTTAGATGATCCGGGCTCAGTGACATATACCCATAGTCCCTACTACTTGGTAGGCTGAGGGAGGATCCCTGGAGCCCAGGAGTTGGAGTCCAGACGAGGCAACGTAATAAAACCCCAACCCTTAGAAAAAAAAAATCAACTAAATTAAGAAGAGAAGATAAAAATGCAAGTATCTCTATATGGGAATAATTAAATTTTTTTCCTTTTCTAGTTTTTAATTTTTAATATTTATTTATTTATTTATTTTGAGGCAGAGTTTTGCTCTTGTTGCCCAGGCTGGAATGCAGTGGCACGATCTTGCCTCCCTGGTTCAAGCAATTCTCCTGCCTTAGCCTCCCGAGTAGCTGGGATTATAGGTGCCCACCACCGTGCCTGGCTAATTTTTTGTATTTTTAGTAGAGATGGGGTTTCACCATATTGGCCAGGCTGGTCTCGAACTCCTGACCTCAGGTGATCCGCCCGCCTCGGCCTCCCAGAGTGCTGGGATTACAGGCGTGAGCCACCATGCCCGGCCTAATTTTTATTTTTTTAACATTGTAAAATTAATGTGGTCGGCCACAGTGACTCACGCCTGTAATGCTAGCACTTTGGGAGGCCGAGGCGGGCAGATCACGAGGTCAGGAGATCAAGACCATCCTGGCCAACGTGGTGAAATCCCGTCTCTACTAAAAATACAAAAATTAGCTGGGTGTGGTAGTGCACGCCTGTAGTCCCAGCTACTCGGGAGGCTGAGGCAGGAGAATCACTTGAACCAGGGTGTTGGAGGTTGCATGAGCTGAGATTGCACTATCACACTCCAGCCTGGTGACAGAGCAAGGCTCCGTCTCCAAAAAAAAAAATTATTGTGTGCTCACTATAAGGAAGGAAGGGAGAAAACATAGATGTGAAAGTCCTATTTACCATCCTTCACCTCCCCAGCTGCAGGAACTGTCATCACTGATCTGGACTGTACCCAGGGTTTCTTTTCATCTTTTTAACTACTTCACTGGGAAAAGTCATTAGAAAAAAATTATCTCCTACTACTAATTTTATATCAAAAATTAGAAAGGATAATCTAAATAGTCTTGGAGAGAATGGCAATGCCAATTAATATTGACTTACTGGTTTTCTCATCTCACTGAGGACAAGTGAGATGGTTCTCATAAACTTCTGATTTTCAAAATTGCTATCTTTAAAATTCTTACATTGACCTATTTTCCTCTTGTGATTTCTTTGGTCCTCTCTTAGTGTCATGAGCCAGTAAGAGTTGCTAATAGCCACTTTATATATATACTATGTACAATTTGCTACATAGAATGTAAAAGTGAGGCCAGGCTCAGTGGCTCACAGCTGTAATCCCAGCACTTTGGGAAGCCAAGGCAGGCAGATCACTTGAGGTCAGGAGTTTGAGACCAGCCTGGTCAACATGGTGAAAAGCCATCTCTACTAAAAATACAAGAAAAATTCCGGGCGTGGTGGCTCACGCCTGTAATCCCAGCGCTTTGGGAGGCTGAGGCGGGTGGATCACCTGAGGAGTTCAAGACCAGCCTGGCCAACGTGGTGAAACCCTGTCTCTACTAAAAATACAAAAAATTAGCTGGGTGTGGTGGTGCAAGCCTGTAGTCCTAGTTACTCTGGAGGCTGAGGCATGAGAATCGCTTAAGCCCTGGAGGCAGAGGTTGCAGTGAGCCAAGATCATGCCATTGCACTCCAGCCCGGGCTAAAAGAGCGAAACGCCATCTCAAAAATAATAATAATAATAAAAAAATAAAATAAGCCGGGTATGGTGGCATGTGTCTGTAAATCCCAGCTACTCAGGAGGCTGAGGTGGGAGAATTGCTTGAACCTGGGAGGCAAAGGTTGCAGTGAGCCAAGATTGTGCTGCTGCACTTCAGCTTGGGTGACAGAGCAAGACTGTCTCAGAAAAAAAAGAAAAAGTAAAAATGAATATAATTGAATGGAAGATCTCAGTCAAGTTCAGTGGAAAGAATAATACTATATCTTTTTAGGTCTCATCACTCTTTTTGTCTCCAAAGCTCTGACGTTCCCCATTACTTGGAGTTTAAAATTCCTCAACTCGTTGACACAACATAAGATCTTAACATAGGCAGCTGCAATCATCAGTGGCAGATGAATAGGGAAAGGCATAGACAAAGACAATATGAAGGCACAAAATTTTAGAGCTGGAATAGTGCTGTATAACAGGGGTCCCCAAACCCCTGGCTGTGGCCTGTTAGGAACTGAGCTACACAGCAGGAGGTGAGCAACTGGCGAAGGAGCATTACTGCTGAGCTCCGCCTCCTGTCAGATCAGGGTTAGCATTCGATTTTCATAGGACTGGGAACCCTATTGTGAATGGAGGTTGCAGGCTCCCTGTGAGAATCTAATGCCTGATGATCTGAGGTGGAGCAGTTTCATCCTGAAACCACCCCTACCCCCTTCATCCATGGAAAAATTGTCTTCCATGAAACTGTCTTCCCTGGTGTCAAAAAGGTTGGGGACCACTGCTCTATAAGGTTGACTTACAGTGTGTGACCATGTTAAGGCTGAAATTAAGAATTTGAGGCTGGGCTGGGTGTGGTGGCTCATGCCTGTAATCCCAGCACTTTGGGAGGCCAAGGCAGGTGGATCCCTTGAGCCCAGGAGTTTGAGATCAGCCTAAGCAACATGGTGAAATCCCGTCTCTACAAAATATACAAAAATTAGCTAGGTGTGGTGGCACACATCTGTGATCCTAAGTACTTGGGAGGCTGAGGTGGGAGGATCACTTGAGTCCTGGAGGTTGAGGCTACAGTGAGTCATGATCGAGCCACTGCACTCCAGCCTGGGCTGGACAGAGTGTCAAAAAAAAAAAAAAAAGCTGGTCCAAGGTGAGCCAGTAAAGTAAGTCAGTTATCTCAATTGTTCACAGTCAGTTACAAATTGAACTCTCCCTCCTCTCACTACTTCACTTTGAAAAAAAAAAAAAAAAAAGTGCTGGGCTCAGTGACTCACGCCTGTAATCCCAGGACTTTGGGAGGCCAAGGCGGGTGGATTGCTTGAGGTCAGGAGTTCAAGACCAGCCTGACCAACATGGTGAAACCCCGTCTCTACTAAAAATACAAAAATTAGCCAGGCGTGGTGGTGGGCAGCCTATAATCCCAGCTACTCGGGAGGCTGAGGCAGGAGAATTGCTTGAACCTGGGAGGTGGAGGTTGCAGTGAGCCGAGATCACACCTTGCACTCCAGCCTGGGTGACAGACAGAATGAGACTCTGTCTCAAAAAAAAAAAAAAAAAAAAGAGAATTTAACTAGACTTGAAAGCAAATTTTGAGCCAATTAATAGAATCTTTGTTTTTAAGAGGGTGTGAAATTAGTTCGGGAATATAGTGGTGTTAATTTTAAATGTGGACAGTAGATTATTTTGAACTAATATCCTGGAAATCACATTTAGAGTGAAGAGCATATTAATCCAGTTTGCTTCTAAGGATAAATAAAGCCAGAGAAACCCCTGGAAAATAAGACTTAACACCTCACTCCTGTTGGTATTAAAAAGCCTTTCATAATATGTGCCTACAAATTAATAAAATTGTAAACCTTTAGCGGCCAGATGCCTGGCTGAGCCCTGGGCACAGAGATCCATGGGGCCAAGTGCGTGCTCCGGCACCCGGGCGCCTGCCATGGGCTTTGTGGGGACGTGGGCCTGCATAGCACCCTGCGGGGCATCTCATATGAGCGTGCTGCTGCATAACCGCTCACAGTGCGTCCAGAAGCTGGGGATGCGCTGCGGCCTGCAGGGGGCGCCTCCACCGCGTGCAGGATGGCCTGCTGCGACCAGCTCCAGGATCGCAGTCACCTGCTGGCTCACCGCGATCCTCGTCCTGGCGCTGTGTGAGGAGGTCACGGTCTACAGGATGGTAAGCGACAGCCGCTGCAGGGAGAGGAGCCACCCCTCGGTGCCTTACTATGACTTCCAGAAGAGCTGGCGTCATGAATGTCATCTACCCCAAATCACCCACCGTTTCATCACCAAGGAGGCATCTTCTCCCACTGGACCAAGAGGAAGCCTGTCCTGGAGGGGCAAGTAGCCTCCTTCACCACACTCCACCAAAAACATTTAATCTATGGATCCTGCCTCTGCCACATGCCAGGTGGACCTAAGATTCCTTTCTGCCCCACTCTGAGGACACTTGGAGCCGTCTCAGTCCTCAAGACTTGAAGGGGAGCGGAGGGGGTGCCCTGTCTCCACCTCCACTCTCTGAGTAATCCACAGCATTTTGGCATTCACCCCACCTCCAGGTCTGTCAAGTGGCCTTTGCCCCTGGGGCTGATGGCCCTTCCTACTCACCAGCATTATGACCGTGTGCCATTCCTGGTGCTTCCTCCCCTGGCTCCCTACTGTTGAAGGCCAAAAGAGTGAGGGTCGTGATCAACTCAGTATACTACTGGAGGCTACATAAGTAAACAGCAAACTTCATGAAAGCTGGATGTTGGCAAACTGACAAACTGTGTCTGCCACCCAGAAGGAATGCTGAGGGCGTGACGCCCCAGACACAAGTGTTTCTTGTAATTAGGCACATCTGAAGCTTGTTAGCAATAATGTTAATCTGTGATCAATTAAGCAGCTTGACCAGTCGTTACCTCCTGCTCCCTGCTCTTTCTACCCAATAAATAGGAAGGGCTGTAGAGGCTCAGGCAGCTGCCTTTGCTCACTAGAAGCAGGGACCTGTCTTCTTCCCCTGGCCCTTTCTTTAAAACAGTTTCTTTTAATTTTTCATTTCTACATTCGTCCTCCGTTCAGTCTCGTAATGACGGTCTCAAGTAGTAACAGTAGTAACTGTCATAATGACGCTCTCAAGTAGTAACTGTGGCAGTCTCTCACACCCTACCGCCCTTTGGTGCCACACTTCTCAGGTCGGTCACCGTGGTTGGGGCAGCAGAGAGTCTAGGGTTTGTTGGGTGAAGGCGCCATTGAGCTGTGACTGTCAGTGCCATATTAGGAACTTATGGATATTTCTGGAGTGGGGGCGGGGGGAGACAAAAATGAAACAAAACAAAACAAAGAGACTTGAGAAGGTATTATAAACAATTTAGGTCAAAGAATTTAAGATAGCCAGACATGGTGGCACATGCCTGTAATCCCAGCTACTCAGGAGGCTGAGGCAAGAAAATTGCTTGCATCCGGGAGACAGAGGTTGCAGTGAGCCGAGATCGGGCCACTGCACTCCAGCCTGGGCGACAGAGCGAGACTCAGTCTCAAAAAAAAAAAAAAAAAAAAGAGGCTGGGCGTGGTGGTTCACGCCTTAATCCCAGCACATTGGGAGGCCAAGGCGAGTGGATCACCTGAGGTTGGGAGTTCAAGACCAGCCTGACCTACGTGGAGAAACCCCATCTCTACTGAAAATACAAAATTAGCCAGGCGTGGTGGCGCATGCCTGTAGTTCCAGCTACTTGGGATGCTGAGGCAGGAGAATCGCTTGAACCCAGGAGGCAGAGGTTGTGGTGAGCCGAGATCGCACCATTGCACTCCAGCCTGGGCAGCAACAGCGAAATTCTGTCTCAAAAGAAGAAAAAGAAAAAGGATTTGAGAAATTTGATGGACAAATCCCTCAAAAAGACAATTTAAAAAGCACAGCAAGGCCGGGCGCGGTGGTTCACGCCTATAATCCCAGCACTTTGGGAGGCCAAGGCGGGTGGATCACAAGGTCAGGAGTTTGAGACCAGCCTGACCAATATGGTGAAACCTCGTCTCTACTAAAAATACAAAAATTAGCTTGGCATGGTGGCGCATGCCTGTAATCCCAGCTACTCAGGAGGCTGAGGCAAGAGAATCGCTTGAACCCAGGAAGCGGAGGTTGCAGTGAGTCGAGGTCTCAAAAAAAAATAAAATAAAATAAAAAAAGAAATATGTTAATGGTAGATGTAAGTAGTGGTTATAAGGATGTTGACTCTAATTTTTTTTTAATTTTTATTATTTTCTTAGAGACAGGGTCTTGCTCTGTCACCCAGGCTGGAGTGCAGTAGCATGATTATGGCTCACTGTAGCCTCAACTTCCTGAGCTGTAGCAATCCTCCCACCTCAGCCTCCTGAGTAGCTAGGACTACAGATGAGCACCACCACGCCTGGCTAATTTTTTGTTTTATTTTGGTAGAGATGGGGTCTTGCTATATTGCCCAGTTTGGCTTTGAACTCCAGGGCTCCAGTGATCCTCCTGCCTCAGCCTCCCAAAGTGCTGGGATTACAAGCATGAGCCACTGTGCCTGGCCACCAACCTGACTTTTTTTTTGAGACAGAGTCTTGCTCTGTCACCCAGACTGGAGTGCCGTGGCACAATCTCAGCTCACTGCATCCTCCACCTCATAGGTTCAAGCAATTCTCCTGTCTCAGCCTTCCTAATAGCTGGGATTATAGGTGCACACCACCATGCCTGCCTAATTTTTGTATTTTATTTATTTATTTAAATTATTTATTTTTTGAGACAATCATGCTGTGTCGCGCAGGCTGGAGTGCAGTGGCGTGATCTTGGCTCACTGTAACCTCCGCCTCCCAGGTTCAAGTGATTCTCCTGCCTCAGCCTCTCGAGTAGCTGGGATTACAGGTGCCCACCACCATGCCCATCTAATTTTTGTGGTTTTAGTAGAGACAGAGTTTTGCCATGTTGGCCAGGCTGGTCTCAATCTCCTGACCTCAGGCGATCCACCCACCTTGGCCTCCCAAAGTGCTGGGATTATAGGCATGAGCCACCGGGCCCGACCCCAACATGACTTTTAACAGCTCAAGGTCACATCCATAGGATGACCCCTAGACGCTTGCCTGAGAAAACTCAAGATCACCTAAAGAATTTACTGTTTGTTCCAGCAAACACCTCAGGCTTAGGACCCCCATCTTCCAGCCTCTGTGGGAAAGAGGGTAGGAGCCTAATTTTAATAAGCACCAGTTGGCAAACCCAACTGGGTTTCACATGGACCAACTCCCCCAGTTTCCACTTTTTGGAGTTTTTTACTTCCCTGACTCTAATGAGCCCCTGCTCACCCCCTCCTTACTCCCTCATTCTCCCTTTAAAACAACCAGTTAATTCCCATCGAAGTTTTCATTTGTTTATTTTTATTTTATTTATTTATTTTTTTTGAGATGGAGTCTTGCACTGTCACCCGGGCTCCCAGGCTAGAGTGCAGTGGTGCAATCTCGCTCACTGCAACCTCTGCCTCCTGGGTTCAAACAATTCTCCTGTCTCAGCCTCCCAAGTAGCTGGGATTATAGCCACGCGCCACCACGCCCACCTAATTTTTTTTATTTTTAGTAGAGACGGGGTTTCACCATGTTGGCCAGGCTAGTCTCGAACTCCTGACCTTGTGATTCACTCGCCTCGGCCTCCCAAAGTGCTGGGATTACAGGGGTGAGCCACCGCGCCTGGCTATTTTTGAGACTGAGTCTCCACTGTTGCCCAGGCTAGAGTTCAGTGGCATGATCTTGGCTCCCTGCAACCTCTGCCTCCCGGGTTCAAGTGATTCTCTTGCCTCAGCCTCCTGTGTAACTGGGACTGCAGGCATGTGCCACCATGCCCGGCTAATTTTTTCTTTTTTTCTTTTTTTCTTTTTTGAGACGGACTGTCACTCTTGTTGTCCAGGCTGGAGTGCAATGGCATGATCTCAGTTCACCGCAACCTCCGCCTCCCGGGTTCAAGCGATTCTCCTGCCTCAGCTTCCCGAGTAGCTGGGATTACAGGCATGCATTACCACACCCGGCTAATTTTGTATTTTTAGTAGAGACAGGGTTTCTCCATGCTCGTCAGGCTGGTCTTGAACTCCCAACCTCAGGTGATCCACCCAGCCCAGCCTCCCAAAGTGCTGAGATTCCTGGTGTGAGCCACTGTGCCAGGCCCTAATTTTTGCATTTTTAGTGGAGACGGGGTTTTGCCATGTTGGCCAGGCTGGTCTCGAACTCCTGACCTCAGGTGATCTGCCCGCCTCAGCCTCCTAGAGTGCTGGGATTACAGGCGTGAGCCACCGCAGCCGGACTGTTTATCTGTTCTGAGACAGAGTCTTGCTCTGTCACCCAGGCTGGAGTGCAGTGGTGTGATTATAACTCACTGCAGCCTGAACTCCTGGGCTCAAGGGTTCCTTCCCATCTCTCAGTTCCCTGTGTATCTGAGACTACTACTACATGCCCAGCAATTTTTTTTTTGTAGCAATGGGACTTCCTTATGTTGCTCAGGCTGGTGTTGAATTCCTGGTCTCAAGTGATCTTCCCGCATCAGCCTCCAAAAGTATTGGGATTACAGGCGTGAGCCACTGCACCAGGCCCACATTGAAGTTGAGTTCAATTTTCACTGGACTCTTTTGCATATTGCAATAGTATGTTACTGATTAAAATCTGCCCTTACCTCTTTAGTATCTGGCTTTATCTCTGATATAGCTTTTTTGAATGTTTGAAATTTTCATAAGATTGGGATAAAAATTAAAACACACACAAAAAAAATAGACACATGTACCAGCTATGTCAGAGTAACTGGTATTGGGCTTTCCTCCCCCTATAAACAAGTAGAAAACTGGGGCTGGCTGCGGTGACTCACACCTGTAATCCCAGCACTTTGGGAGGCCGAGGTGGGTGGATTACCTGAGGTCAGAAGTTTGAGACCAGCCTGACCAACATGATGAAACCCCGTCTCTAGTAAAAATACAAAAATAATAGCCGGGCGTGGTGACTCATGCCTGTAATCCCAGCACTTCAGGAAGCCGAGGCGGGCGGATCACAAGGTCAGGAGTTCGAGATCAGCCTGGCCAATATGGTGAAACCCCGTCTTTACTAAAAAATACAAAAATTATCCAGGCATGGTGACAGGCGCCTATAGTCCCAGCTACTCGGGAGGCTGAGGCAGCAGAATCGCTTGAACCCGAGAGGCGGAGGTTGCAGTGAGCCAAGATCACGCCATTGCACTCCAGCCTGGGCGACAGAGCGAGACTCCATCTCAAAAAAATAAATAAAATAAATACAAAAATTAGCCAGGCGTGGTGGCTCATGCCTGTAATCCCAGCACTTTGGGAGGCCGAGGCGGGTGGATCACGAGGTTAGGAGATCGAAACCATCCTGGCTAACATGGTGAAACCCCATCTCTACTAAAAATACAAAAAATTAGCCGGGCGCGGTGGTGGGCACCTGTAGTCCCAGCTACTCGGGAGGCTGAGGCAGGAGAATGGCGTGAACCTGGGAGGAGGAGCTTGCAATGAGCCGAGATTGCACAACTGCAGTCCGGCCTGGGCGAAAGAGCGAGACTCCGTCTCAAAAAAAAAAAAAAAAAAAAAAAAAAAAAAATTAGCCAAATGTGGTGGTGTGCACCTGTAGTCCCAGCTACTCGGGAGACTGAGACAGGAGAATCACTTGAACCCGGGAGGCAGAGGTTGCAGTGAGCCCAGATTGCGCCACTATACTCTAGCCTGAGTGACAGAGCAAGACTCTGTCTCGAAAAAACAAACAAACAAAAAATAAAAAATAGAAAACTGGATAAATATCTGAAATGGCTGTTTTTAGACAGGAGGCAATAAGCAGCACAGGACCTGGATCCTGGGGACAAGAGAAACAGGCCTTTTGCCTGGAGAGCCTTTCCAGGCCGTGGCATACGAAGATGGTGTCGATGAGACCACAGCAAACTTGCTGACTTGAGGGGACAGAAAAAGGATTCAGGGGAACTGAGGGAGCTAGAATGTCTGGGGCAGAATACAAGAGAGTAGGGAGCTACACAATGAAAGAGCTGCAGAAATCCAGATAGGGACCCCCTTGAGTCTTTGGCTTATTAATTTTTTTTTTTTTTTTTTGAGATAGAGTTTCACTCTGTTGCCAAGGCTGGAGTGCAGTGGCAGGATCTCCGCTCGCTGTAACCTCTGCTTCCTGGGTTCAAGCGATTTTCTTGCCTCAGCCTCCTGAGTAGCTGGGCTTACAGGCGTGTACCACCACGCCTGGCTAATTTTTGTGTTGTTATTTGTTTGTTTGTTTGTTTTGAGACTGAGTCTCTCTCTCTCTGTCACCCAAACTGGAGTGCATTGGCATGATCTTGGCTCACTGCAACCTCCGCTTCCTGGGTTCAAGTGATTCTCCTGCCTCAGCCTCCCAAGTAGTTGGGACTATAGGCGCACACCACCGTGCCCAGCTAATTTTTGTATTTTTAAGTAGAGAGGGGGTTTTATCATGTTTGCCAGGCTGGTCTGGAACTCCTGACCTCAAGTGATCCGCCCACCTCGGCCTTTCAAAGTGCTGGGATTACAGGCATAAGCCACTGTGCCCTGCCTTAATTTTTGTGTTTTTATTAGAGACTGGGTTTCCCCATGTTGGCCAGGCTGGTCTTGAACTCCTGGCCTCAAGCAATCCACTTGCCTTGGCCTCCCAAAGTGCTGGGATTAGGGGCGTGAGCCACCACGCCTGGCCTGGCTTATTAAATTAAATAAGCAAGAGGCCACTGGCCTGCTGCTGTCTCCATACTTCAAATTCCTACATATTGAACTGTGACCTAACTTAGTCCATAAAGGAATTTAAACCTAATTTAGGAGTATATATTTTGTAACAGATAATCACGTTTCAGCCAATCATAAGCAGCCAAGCTTCAGTCAATCACAGGCAGCCAACTGATGAGACCATGTCCATATAAGGCAAACCCTTAGGTTACTTCTGTAGTTTACTTCTATTTTCTGTCTATACTCACTACCCATGTTGCAGAGGGGAGCTCTCTGAACCTCTTCTGCTTTGGAGTGCTGCCCAATTTATGAATTGTTCTTTGCTCAAATAAAGTCTGTTAAGTTTAATTTGCCTGAAGTTTTTCTTTTAAGAGGCTGAATACTAAGCTATAAAACTGTAGGGTGAAATTCAGTAATACCAGGAAAAAAAACGAACAAAAAAACAAAAACCCTGCAAGCTATTCTAGTTGTAAACTGAAAAGTTCCCAGAGCTCACATTAGCCAGCAGTGGAGAGACTCTATAAGTAACCAAAGCATCCAGTAGAGATCCCAGAAGTGTCATACCCCAATAACAGGGTAGAGCCCTAGAGCAGTGCTTCTGAGAGTGTGACTCACATGACCCCGTGGGTTCACAGAACATTTCCAGGAGGTCTTCAAAATCAAAAGTAATTTTATAATCGTACTGTCAAAGTCACAATAAAGATGAAGAAACGAATCTCTTAAATTTAACATCTTATTTGGGAAGCAAGAATTGCAATTTGGGGCACATACAGGCTGGGTGGTTTTCAGTATGTCCAAAAAACACAGAGAGGTTTGGGGGTTTTATAAACAAGATAAATGTTATGTGTTGATTTTAAAGAAATTTCATTACGCTGGGCACGGTGGCTCACACCTGTAATCCCAGCACTTTGGGAGGCTGAGGCGGGTGGATCACGAGGCCAGGAGATCGAGACCATCCTGGCTAACATGGTGAAACCCCATTTCCACTAAAAATACAAAAAATTAGCCAGGTGTGATGGTGGGCGCCTGTAGTCCCAGCTACTTGGGATGCTGAGGCAGGAGAATGGCGTGAACCTCGGAGGCGGAGCTTGCATTGAGCCGAGATCATGCCACTGCACTCCAGCGTGGGTGACAGAGTGAGACTCCGTCTCAAAAAAAAAAAATCATTGATATTAATAAAGTTTCAGGGAGCTGACAAGATCCAATTAGTGAGAAAATGTGGTGGGAAAATTAGTCTTAGAGAGGCAGCAGGTTGTTTTAGCAGCTATGAGATAAGAGTGGCCTCAAGTTACAACAGGCAGTTTATTCAGCAGCTGGACGTACAGAGAACTACATTTTTGGAGCAATGTTATGTGCCCCTGAGTGCTTTTTCCCTCTGGTCTCTTCACTCTGTTTTGTTGAATATGACAAGAATGTCTCAATTAGTATGATCAACTTTCACAAAATCGGGATGGAATTTGCCTTTTCAGTGGTTGACATCTGCTCTGACAGGTACAAAAGAAATTAAGGAGGCTGAGCATGGTGGCTCAGCCTGTAATCCCAGCCTTTTGGGAGGCTGAGGGCGGGCGGATCACCTGAGGTCAGGAGTTTGAGCCTAGCCTGGCCAATATGGTGAAACCCCATCTCTACTAAAAATGCAAAAATTAGCTGGGCTTGGTGGCGCGTGCCTGTAATCCCAGCTACTCGGGAAGCTGACGCAGGAGAATTGCTTGAACCTGGAAGCAGAGGCTGCAGTGAGCTGAGAACGTGCCATTGTACTCTAGCCTGATGAACAGAGAAAGACCTTGTCTCAAAAAAAAAAAAAAAGAAAAGAAATTGAAACTGCCAGTTCCTTGGTATTAATCAAGAATCAAAGAAGTGAATGCAAGTCTCCATTGTATTCTTCACCAACACATGATCACAGTTTTTAGTTTGAATTAAGAGAGTCCTGTGATGAAATAATAAAACTTGGGCCAGGCGTGGTGGCTCACACCTGTAATCCTAGCACTTTGGGAGGCTGAGGTGGGTGGATCATGAGGTCAGGAGATTGAGACCATCCTGGCCAACATGGTGAAACCCCATGTCTACTAAAAATACAAAAATTAGCCAGGTGTGGTGGTGCCTGCCTGTAGTCCTATCTACTCAGGAGGCTGAGGCAGGAGAATCACCACTTGAACCTGGGAGGTGGAGGTTGCGGCGAGCCAAGATTGCGCCACTGCACTCCAGCCTGGGCGACAGAGTGAGACTCCGTCTCAAAAAAAAAAAACAAGGCTGGGTGTGGTGGCTCACGCCTGTAATCCCAGCACTTTGGCAGGCCAAGATGGGTGGATCACCTGAGGTCAGGAGCTCGAGACCAGCCTGACCAACATGGAGAAACCCCGTCTCTACTAAAAGTACAAAATTAACCAGGCATGGTGGCGCATGCCTGTAGTCCCAGCTACTCAGGGAGGCTGAAGCAGGAGAATCACTTGAACCCGGAAGGCAGAGGCTGCGGTGAGCTGAGATCATGCCACTGGACTCCAGCCTGGGCAACAAGAGTGAAACTCCGCCTCAAAAAAAAATAGTAATAATAAAACTTGGTAATTTCCAATGTTACAACTTTGTAACATTGAGTATGCACACACACACACACGTGTGTGTGTGTGTGTGTATATATATATATGTATATGTATAGTGTAATGAAATGAGAAGTAGATATGAAGCATTTTTGCTGCATACCAAAGTAGATAGTTGTCAGTCGGGCGCAGTGGCTCACGCCTGTAATCTCAGCACTTTGGGAGGCTGAGGCAGGCAGATCACTTGAGATCAGGAGTTCAAGACTAGCCTAGCCAACATGGTGAAACCCCGTCTCTACTGAACAAAATAAGTTGTATGCACTGTAGTCCCAGCTACTCCAGAGGCTGAGGCAGGAGAATCACTTGAACCTGGGAGGGAGAGGTTGCAGTAAGCCGAGATCGCACCACTGCACTCCAGCCTGGGGGACAGAGCAAGACTCAGTCTCAAAAAAAAAAAAAAAAAAAAAAAAAAGTTAGATAGTTGTCTTGAGGAAATTACTTACGTAATTATTTGAATTGCAAGCTGAACTAACTGCTTTCTTCATGAAACACCATTTTTACTTGAAAGAGTGGCTGACAGACAAACTATGGTTAAATAGAATTGGGTGTTTGGTAGATACATTCTTTAACCAGGAGAATCTTGTCACTTCAAGAAAAACTATTGACAGTATTTGTTGCCAATTATAAAAATTTTAACTTTCAAGCAAAAATTGGAATTTTGGAAAACTTGTGTTTGCTACTTTGAGCTTGACAGTTTTCCAATATTTCAAGAATTTTCTGGGCTGGGCACGGTGGCTTACGCCTATAATCCTAGCACTTTAAGAGGCCAATGTGAGAGGATGGCTTGAGACCAAGAGTTCAAGTCCAGCCTAGGCAACAAAGTGAGACCCCATCTCTACAAAAAATAACAAAATAAGCTGAGCACAGTGCTGTGCGCCTGTAGTTTCAGCTATAGGCAACGCTGAGACAAGAGGCTGAGGTGGAAGGATCACTTGATCCATGGTATTGGAGGCTGCAGTGAGCTATGATAGTGCCACTGCACTCCATCCTGGGGGACAGAGCAAGACCCTATGTCTAAATTTAAAAAAAAATTATGCTGTACTAAAAACTAAAAAAAAATTCTGATGAGATCAATGGTGATATTAACATGTGAATTATTTGTTGTTATTATATAATGTGGTTTTATATATGTATATATTTTTTGAGACAGAGTCTTGCTCTGTTGCCCAGGCTGGAGTGCAGTGGTGCGATCTCGGCTCACTGCAACCTCCTCCTCCCAAGTTTAAGTGATTCTTCTGCCTCAGCCTCCCGGGTAGCTTGGACTACAGGCACATGACACTGCACCTGGCTAATTTTAGTAGAGACAGGGTTTTGCCATGTTAGCCAGGCTGGTCTTGAACTCCAGACCTCAGGTGATCCACCTGCCTCGGCCTTCCAGAGTGCTGGGATTACAGGAGTGAGCCACTGCACCCAGCCTATAATGTGGTTTTATTTGTTCTTATTGGGCAGATGGTCCTGAACTTATGATGGTTCAACTTAAGATTTTTCCACTTTATAATGGTGTGAAAACAATGCTCATTCAGTAGAAACCCTAATTTAAATACCCATACAACCATTCTGTTTCCACTTTCATTACAGTATTCTATAAATCACATGAGACATTCAACACTTTATTGTAAAATAAGTTTTGTGTTAGATGATTTTGCCCAAGTGTAGGCTAAGGTAAGTGTTTTGAACATGTTTAATGTAGGCTAATCAAGCTATGTGTTTTCTAGGTTAGGTGTATTAAATGCATTTTTGACTTACAGTATTTTCATATATATTTTATATTTCAGGCATGAGCCACCACACCTCACCAAATTTACAATAGTTTCCGTTTATAATGGGTTTATGGGAGTGTAGCTGCATCCTAATGCAATCAAGGAGCATTTGTATAATGCAGTGTCAACATTTTGGAAGATCCACATCACTCAGTGAACCAATATAAACTGTTTTTTTTTTTTTTGAGACAGAGTTTCACTCTTGTTGCTCAGGTTGGAGTGCAATGGTGTGATCTCGGCTCATGGAAACCTGTGCCTCCTGGGTTCAAGTGATGATCCTGCCTCAGCCTCTGGAGTAGCTGGGATTACATGCATGCGCCACCACGCCTGGCTCATTTTGTATTTTTAGTAGAGACAGAGTTTCTCCATGTTGATCAGGCTGGTCTCAAATTCCTGACCTCAGGTGATATGCCCGCCTTAGCCTTCAAACTGCTGGGATTACAGGTGTGAGCCACCTTGCCCAGCCCATCTGGCTTATTTTTAATTTTTTTAGTGGTGTGGTGGGGTTTTTTGTTTGTTTTGTTTGTTGTTGTTGGTTTTTTTTTTTTAGATGGCATCTTGCTCTGTCGCCCAGGCTGGAGTGCAGTGGTGTGATCTCGGCTCACTGCAACCTCTGCCCCCTGGGTCCAAGCGATTCTCCTGCCTCAGCCTCCCGAGTAGCTGAGATTACAGGCATGCACCACCACGCCTGGCTAATTTTTGTATTTTTAGTAGAGACAGGGTTTCTCCATGTTGGTCAGGCTGGTCTCGAACTCTCAACCTCAGGTGATCTGCCCACCTTGGCCTCCCAAAGTGCTGGGATTACAGGCATGAGCCACTGTGCCTGGCCAATATTTTCAAATATTACAAAATCATGCAAGAGTAAAAGATCCATGCAAGGTCACATCACTTTGGGAGGGCAAGCCTGGGCAATATGGCAAAAATCCGTCTCTACAAAACATTCAAACATTAAACAGGTGTGGTGGTGCACACCTATAGTCCCAGCTACTGGGGCTGAAGTGAGAGGAACACTTGAGCCTGGGAGGTAAAGGCCGCAGTGAGCCGAGATCGTGCCACTGTACTCCAGCCTGAGGAACCCTGTCTCAAAAAAAAGAAGTATATATGTATGTATCCACATATGTATAAGGCTAGATTTTCTTCATATAGTTCACCCATAACATTTTGCTGCAGTTTGAACACAAGCAGGTATGACAATCCAGTAGTTTTCTAGTAGGCCAGGCATTTAAAAGAATTTGCAAAATGTAAAACAGTTAAATATGGTTTACTAAATTTTGTTTTGGAAAATGTGATTGTTTTTTACAAAAAAGATGCAAGGTGACACCCATTTATCATTGAATCCCTTCCTTCCTTCATTTCTTTTCTTATCTTTCCCTCCCTCCCTCTTTTCCTCCCTCCCTCCTTTCTTTCTTTCCTTTCCTTTCCTTTCCCTTTTCTTTTCTTTTCTTTTTTCTTTTCTCTCTTCTCTCTCTCTCTCTCCTCTCTCTCCTCTCTCTCCTCTCTCTCTTCTCTCTTTTCTCTCTCAGAGTCTGGCTCCATCGCCCAGGCTGGAGTGCAGTGGCACATTCTCGGCTCACTGCAACCTCCACCTCCTGGGTTCAAGAGATTCTCACAGGCCAGGCACGGTGGCTCACTCGTGTAATCCTAGCACTTTGGGAGGCCGAGGCGGGCAGATCACCTGCGTCAGGAGTTCGAGACCAGCCTGGCCAACATGGTGAAACCCCATCTCTACTGAAAATACAAACATTAGCCAGGCATGGTGATGCGCACCTATAAACCTAGCTACTCGGGAGGCCGAGTCAGGAGAATCCCTTGAACCTGGGAGGCAGAGGTTGCAGTGAGCCGTGATCATGCCACTGCATTCCAGCCTGGGTGACAGAATGAGACTCTGTCTCAAAACACACACACACACACACACAAAATTAGCCAGGTGTAGTGGCACATGCCTGTAATCTCAGGTACTCAGGAGGCTGAAGCAGGAGAATTGCTTGAACTCAAGAGGTGGAGGTTGCAGTGAGCTGAGATTGCACCACTGTACTCCGACCTCGGTGACAGAGTGAGACCCTGTCTCAAAAAAAAAAAAAAAAAAGCAGAAGAAGATCTGTAAGTCGCATCTCAACCTGACTAAAATTTGGCTGGGGGCAGTGGCTCACACTTGAAATCCCAGTACTTTGTGGGGCCAAGGTGGGAGGATAGCTTGAGCCCAGGAGTTCAAGACCAGCCTGGGCAACATAGCAAGACCTCCCCACGACTCTTTTATTTTTATTTTTTATTTACTTTTGTTGTTGTTGAGATGGAGTCTCGCTCTGTCACCCAGGCTGGAGTGCAGTGGTGCGACCTCAGCTTTGTGCATCTTTTGCCTCCCGGGTTCAAGCACTTCTCCTGCCTCAGCCTCCCGAGAACCTGGAATTTCGGGCGTGTGCCTGGCTAATTTTTGTATTTTTAGTAGAGATGGGGTTTCACCATATTGGCCAGGCTGGTCTCGAACTCCTGACCTTAGGTGATCTGCCCACCTGGGCCTCCCAAAGTGCTGGGATTACAGGCATGAGCCACCATGCCCGGTTTTATTTTTATCTTTAAAAAAGATAAACCTAACTGAATTTTAACAATGACTTAATCATGGCACAGGAGTAAGAAATGATGTGTGCTGTGTACTTCCTCATCACATCATAAAGGAAAAGATTGATAGATTTGATTACATAATAATTAAAAAATTTTGGCCGGGCGCGGTGGCTCAAGCCTGTAATCCCAGCACTTTGGGAGGCCGAGGCGGGTGGATCACGAGGTCAGGAGATCGAGACCATCCTGGCTAACACAGTGAAACCCCATCTCTACTAAAAATATTTTAAAAAATTAGCCAGGGGTGGTGGCGGGCACCTGTAGTCCCAGCTACTCGGGCGGCTGAGGCAGGAGAATGGCATGAACCCAGGAGGCGGAGGTTGCAGTGAGCTGAGATCCCGCCATTGCATTCCAGCCTGGGGGACAGAGCAAGACTCCGTCTCAAAAAAAAAAAAATCTTTAGGCTATGCTGGGCACACTGCCTATAGGGGAGCCTGCTCCACAAGCAGCAGTCCTTCTCTGGGTGCTCTACACTGCCAATTCATTAAAAGTTGCTGTTTAAAAAAACAAAACTGGGGCCAGACACAGTGGCTCACGCCTGTAATCCCAGCACTTTGGGAGGCCGAGGCAGGTGGATCACAAGGTCATAAGGTCGAGACCATCCTGGCCAACATGGTGAAACCCCATCTCTACTAAAAATACAAAAACTATGGTGGGGCGTGGTGGCGTATGCCTGTAATCCCAGCTATTTGGGAGGCTGATGCAGGAGAATCGCTTGAACCTGGGAGGCAGAGGTTGTGGTGAGCCGAGATCACGCCATTGCACTCCAGCCTGGGCGACAGAGCGAGACTCTGTCTCAAAAAAACAAAACAAAACAAAAAACTTGCCAGGCGCAGTGGCTTATGCCTGTAGTCCCAGCTGCTTGGGAGGCTGAGGCAGGAGAATTGCTAGAACCCAGGAGGCAGAGGTTGCAGTGAGCCGAGATTGCACCACTGCACTCCAGCCTGGGCAACAAGAGTGAGACTCCATCTCAAAACAAACAAATGGTGGGGAGGTATTATGCATGGACTGGCTTTAAAAACCCTGCTTTTGCTGGATACAGTGGCTCAGGCCTGTAATCCCAGTACTTTGGGAGGCCGAGGTGGGCGAATCACGAGGACAAGAGATCGAGACCATCGTGGCCAACATGGGGTAACTCCGTCTCTACTAAAAATACAAAAAATTAGCCGGGCGTGGTGGCACACGGCTGTAGTCCCAGCTACTCGGGAGGCTGAGGCAGGAGAATCTCTTGAACCGGGAGGTGGAGGTAGCAGTGAGCTGAGATCATGCCACTGTACTCCGACCTGGCAACAGAGCGAGACTCCGTCTCAAAACCAAGAACAAAAACAAACTCTGGTTTTACTTTGTGGGAGGTATAGTGAAAGGAGTACAGTCCTTGGAGTCAGAAGACCTGAATTCCACTCTGCTTTCCAATTACCTCTATTTGACCATGGCCATAATAGGCTTCATTTTCCTCATTTGTAAAGTGATGACAAATTTGTCACTTATCAGATGGTCAAAGGATGAAAATGGTTAACATACTGAAATGAGCACTCTGAAACTATTGCTAGTAGGAATTAAATTGTACACGCTCTGTGGAAGGCAGTTTGTCAATCATTATCAAAATTATTAAATAGCAGTTACCCCTTGATAGTGAAATTACAGGTGGTTTTGGTTTTATCCTAGTTTGTTTCTTCTAACAAGTAGAATAAGCATTTTTCAAATATTTATATGTACATGTATATATATATATACACACACATACATATATATATATATATATATATATATATTTTTTTTTTTTTTTTTTTTTTTTAAACATTGTCTAGTTCTGTCACCCAGGCTTGAGTGCAGTGGTGCAATCTCAGCTCACTGCAACCTCCGCCTCTCAGGGTCAAGCAATCTCTGACCTCAGCCTCCTGAGTAGCTAGGACTACAGGTGTCCATCATGCTTGGCTAATTTTTGTATTTTTTTTTGGCGGAGATGGGGTTTTGCTATGTTGCTCAGGCTGGTCTCGAACTCCTGGGCTTAAGCGATCTGCCTGCCTCAGCCTCTCAGTGCCAGGATTGTAGGTGTGAGCTGCCACACCCAGCCAATAGATATTTTGAAATATTTGAGGGCCAGATGTGGTGGCTCACGCTTGTAATCCCAGCACTTTGGGAGGCCAAGGCAGGCAGATCACCTGAGGTCAGGAGTTCAAGACCGGCCTGGCCAGCATGGTGAAACCCCATCTCTACTAAAAATACAAAAAAAAAAAAAAAAAAAAAAAAAAAAGCCAGGCGCAGTGGCTCACGCCTGTAATCCTAGCACTTTGGGAGGCCGCACATCTGTAATCCTAGCACTTTGGGAGGCCGCACATCTGTAATCCTAGCACTTTGGGAGGCCGAGGTGGGTGGATCACCTGAGGTAAGGAGTTCGAGACCAACCTGGCCAACATGGCGAAACCCCGTCTCTACTAAAAATACAAAAATTAGCCAGGCGTGGTAGCAGGCGCCTATAATCCCAGCTACTCAGGAGGCTGAAGCAGGAGAATTGCTTGAACCCAGGGGGCAGAGGTTGCCGTGAACCAAGATCGTGCCACTTCGCTCCAGCCTGGGCAAAAGAGTGAAACTCTGTCTCAAAAAACAAAAACAAAAAAATCAGCTGGATGTAGTGGCAGGTAGCTGTAATCCCAGCTAGTTGGGAGGCTGAGGCAAGAGAATTGCTTGAACCCAGGAGGTGGAGGTTGCAGTGAGCTGAGATTGCACCATTGGACTCCAGCCTGGGCACCAAGAGTGAAATTCTGTCTCAAAAAAAAAAAAAAAAAGAAAAAGAAAAAGAAAAAGAAAAAAAGAAATATTTGAGATTTAGTCAAAACATTCCATTGGTGCTAACAAAATAGGCCTCATGTTGAATTATTTCAGTTTGGTGCTATATGACAATAGTGTTTGGTGTATTTCACATGTCTCTACAAATAATCTGCAAATATACAAATGATTTACAAATAGATTTTCGACATCATTTCTTGTTTTTTTTGAGGTGGAGTCTTGCTTTGTTGCCCAGGCTGGAGTGCAGTGGCATGATCTGGGCTCACTGCAACCTCCACCTCCAGGTTCAAGCGATTCTCTTGCCTCAGCCTCCCGAGTAGCTGGGATTACAGGTGTGAGCATCCACACCTGGCTAATTTTTGTATTTTTAGGAGAGACGGGGTTTCACCATGTTGGCCAGGCTGGTCTTGAACTCCTGACCTCAAGTGATCCGTCTGCCTTGGCCTCCCAAAGTGCTGGGATAATAGGCGTGAGCCACCATGCCCAGCCCATAATGTCTTCGATAAAGAAAATTTTTTATTTGTTTTTTGAGACAGACTCTCAGTCTGTCACCTAGGCTGGAGTGTAGTGGCTCAATCCTGGCTCACTGCAACCTCTTCCTCCCGGGTTTAAGTGATTCTCTTGACCTCAAGTGATTCACCTGCCTTGACCTCCCAAAGTGTTGGTATTATAGACGAGAGCCACTGTGCCCAGTCTATTAAAGATTAATTAGTAATAATATTGTCTTAATCCATTTTGTGCTGCTATAACATAATAACTGAGACTGGATAATTTATAATGAGCAGAAATCTAGTTCTCAGATTTCTTAAGACTGAGAAGTCCAAGATCAAGGCCCTGACATTTAGTGTCCAGTGAAGGCTGCATGCTGTGGGGAGGAGGAACACTCTGTCTTCATATGCACAAGGCAGAAGGGCAAGAGAGGACCAACTTCGCTGTCAAGCCCCTTTATAAGGGAACCTAATCCCATCAATGAGGAAGGAACCCTCCTGCCCCTTTTTAAAGGCCCACCTCTTAATACTATCACATTGGCAATACCTAAATTTTGGAGGATCCTCATTCAAACCATAGCAAATATGTAAAATGCAGTTTTGTCTTTGAAATTAGTCTTAGTTGTGTGATTTTCAATAGAAATCAGGCAAACAAATTTAAAAGGTATTTTTACTAAAATTACATGGAGCTAGGTACAGTGGTTCATGCCTGTAATCCAAAACTACTTAGGAGGCTAAACTGGGAGGATGGCTTGAGCGCAGGAGGTCAAAACTACAGTGAGCCATTATCACACCACTGCACTCCAGCCTGGGTGACAGGGTGAGATGCTGTCTCAAAAACAAAAACAAAAACAAAAATAAGGTACATGCTACAACACGGATGCACCTTGAAAATATGGTAACTGTATTAAGACACACAAAAGGACAATTATATAATTCCACTTATATGAGGTATCTCAAATAGTCAAATGCCTAGACAGAAAGTAAAATAGTGGTTACCAGGGGCTGGAGGGAGGCGGTATTGTGAAGTTTTTGTTTAGTGGGTAGAGTTTCAGTTTGGGTTGAATTAAAAAGTTCTGGAGATGGATGGTGGTAATAGTTGCACAACAGTGTGAATGTACTTGTTGCCACTGAATTGTACGCTTAAAAATAGTTAAGATGGGCTGGGCGTGGTGGCTCACGCCTGTAATCCCAGCACTTTGGGAGGCTGAGGCGGGCAGATCACGAGGTCAAGAAATCGAGACCGTCCTGGCCAACATGGTGAAACCCCGTCTCTACTAAAAATACAGAAATTAGCTGGGCGTGGTGGTGCTTGCCTGTAGTCTCAGCTACTCGGGAGGCTGAGGCAGGAGAATCGCTTGAACCCGGGAGGCAGAGGTTGCAGTGAGCAGAGATCGTGCCATTGCACTCCTGGTGCAGCCTCGTGACAGAGCAAGAGTCCGTCTCAAAAAAAAAAAAAAGTTGGTAAATTTTGTGTAATGTACATTTTAGCAAAGTAAGCAAAAATAATCCTATGTAATTTTATTAATTAATTTTAATTTTTTTGGAGAGGGAGTCTCCCTCTGTCACCCAGGCTGGAGTGCACCGACACGCCTCCCGTGTTGCAATTCTCCTGCCTCAGCCTCCAGAGTAGCTGGGTTTACAGGCATGTGCCACCACGCCGAGCTAATTTTTGTATTTTTAGTAGAGACGAGGTTTCACCATGTTGGCCAGACTGGTCTCAAACTTCTGACCTCAAGTGATCTGCCCACCTTGGACTCCCAAAGTGCTGGGATTACAGGTATGAGCCACTGCGCCCAACCAAATTTTATTTATTGTGTAAGAGACAGGGTCTCACTCTGTTGCACCAGCTGGAGTGCAGTGGTGCCATCATAGCTCACTGCAGCCTTGACCTCCCAGGCTCAAGCAATTCTCCCACTTCAGCCTCTTGAGTACCTGGGATTACAGGTGTGAACTGTTACATCCACTTCAAGGTTTCAATTTTGAGGAAGTCCAGATTGTCTATTTTTCCTTTTGTTGCCCTTGTTTTTGGTGTCATAGCCAAATCATTGCCAAATCCAAGTCATGAAGATTTTGCCCTAGTTTTCTTCAGAGTTTTATAGTTTTAGCTCTTACATTTAGGCATTTGACACCTTTTGAGTTAATTGTGTATATGGTGTATGATAAGGGCCCAACTTCATTCTTTTGAACATGTATTTCCAGTTTTGCCAGCACCATTTGCTGAAAAAACTGGTCTTTCCCTAATGAACGGTCTTGACATCCTTGTTAAAAATCATTGATGGGGCCAGGCACAGTGGCTCACACCTGTAATCCCAGCACTTTGGGAGGCTGAGGTGGGCGGATCACCTAAGGTCAGAAGTTCGAGACCAGCCTGGCCAATGTGGTAAAACCCCGTCTCTACTAAAAATGCAAAAATTGGTTGGGCATGGTGGCCCATGCCTGTAATCCCAGCTATTTGGGATGCTGAGGTAAGAGAATTGCTTGAACCCAGGAGATGGAGGTTGCAGTGATTCAAGATCAAGCCACTGCACTCCCACCTGGGTGACAGAGCCAGATTCCGTCCCAAAAAAAAAAAAAAAAAAAAATTGGTTGACCGTATATATATGAGGGTTTATTTCTGGGATCTTGATTCTATTCCATTGTCTGTACATCTGCTTTTATGCTCATATCACACTATTTTGATTTCTGTAGGTTTGTAGTATATTTTGAAATCAGGAGTTGTGAGACCTCCAACTTTGTTATTTTTCAAGATTGTTTTGACTTTTTAGGGTTTCCTGAAATTCCATATACTTTTTTTGTGTGTGTGGGTAACGGGAATTTCACTCTTGTTGCCCAGGCTGGAGTGCAATGGAGTGATCTCAGCTCACCACAACCTCCACCTCCTGGATTCAAGCGATTTTCCTGTCTCAGCCTCCTGAGTAGCTGGGATTACAGGCATGTGCCACCATGCCCAGCTAGTTTTTGTATTTTTAGTAGAGATAGGGTTTCTCCATGTTGGTCAGGCTGGTCTCGACCAACTCCTGACCTCAGATGATCTGCCTGCCTCAGGCTCCCAAAGTACTGGGATTACAGGTGTGAGCCATTGTGCCCTTAAACCTTCCAATCTATGAACATGGAATGTCTTTCCCTTTATTTATTTTTATTTTTATTTCTGAGTCAGGATCTTGCTGTCTCACCAGGCTAGAGTGCAGTGGCCTGATCACAGCTCACTGCAGCCTTAACCTCCTGGGTTCAAGAGATCCTCCTACTGCAGCCTCCTGAGTACTGGGACTTCAGGCGCATGCCACCATGCCCGGCTAATTTTTTTCTAGTTTTTGTAGAGATTGGGGGCCAGGTCTCACTTTTTTTCCCCCAGCACTTTGGGAGGCCAAGGTGCAGATTGCCTGAGTCCAGGAGTTCAAGACCCACCTGGGCAACATGGCGAAACTTGTCTCTACCAAAATACAAAAATTCCCCGAGTGTGGTGGTGCACATCTGAAGTCCCAGCTACTTGGGAAGCTGAGACAGGAGGATTGCTTGAGTCTGGGAGTGGGAGGTTGCAGTGAGCTGAGATCATGTCAGTGCACTCCAGCCTGGGTGACAGAGTGAGACCCCATCTCAAAAAATTAAAAAAAAAAAAAACAATTTTTTTTTATCTTTCAGCAATGTTTTGTAGTTAACAGTGTGCAAGTCTTTTTTTTTTTTTTGCCTTTTTTGTCAAGTGTATTTTTTTTTTTTTTTTTGAGATGGAGTTTTGCTCTATTGCCCAGGCTGGAGTGCAGTGATGTGATCTCGGCCCACTGCAACCTCCACCTCCCTAGTTCAAGCAATTCTTCTGCCTCAGCCTCCCAAGTGTAGCTGGGATTACAGGCGTGTGCCACCACGCCCAGCTAATTTTTTGTATTTTTAATAGAGACGGGGTTTCACCATGTTGGCCAGGCTGGTCTCGAACTTGAACTCCTGACCTCAGGTGATCTGCCTGCCTGGACCTCCCAAAGTGCTGGGATTACGGATGTGATCCACCGCGCCCAGCCTTAGGGTTGTCTTTTGAAAACAAATGTTTTTCTCTTCTTTTTTGTTTTTTATTTTTTGATACGGAGTCTTGCTCTGTTCCTCAGGCTGGAGTGCAGTGGCCCAATCTCAGCCCACTGCAACCACCGGCCTCCTCTGTTCAAGGGATTCTCCTGCCTCAGCTTCCCAAGTAGCTTGGATTACAGGTGCGTATCAGCATGCCTGGCTAATTTTGTACATTTTTATAGAGATGGGGGCAGGTCTTGCTATGTTGCCCAGGTTGGTCCCAAACTCCTGGCCTCAAGTGATCCTCCTGACTTGGCCTTCCAAAGTTCTAGGATTACAGGCATGAGCCACGTCACCTGACCATTTTTTTATTTTATTATTTTTCTTTTTTAGAGATGGGGATCTCACTATGTTGACCAAGCTGGCGTTGAACTCCTGGCCTCAAGTGATCCTCCCATCTCAGTCTCCCAAAGTGCTGGGATTACAGGTATGAACCACTGTGCCCGGCCTTTGTTTTTGTCAAGTTTTTGAGTTGTAAGAGTTCTTTATATACTCGATATTAAGCAAGACCCTGTCTCTTAAAAAAAAAAAAAATGATACGGCCAAGCGCAGTGGCTCATGCCTGTAATCCCAGCATTTTGGGAGGCCGAGGCGGGTGAATCACCAGAGGACAGAAGTTCGAGACCAGCCTGGACAACCCGGTGAAACCCCGTCTCTACTAAAAATACAAAATTAGCCGGGTGTGGTGGTGCATGCCTGTGATCCCAGCAACTTGGGAGGCTGAGGCAGGGAGAATTGCTTGAATTTGGGAGGCAGAGGTTGCAGTGAGCCGAGATCATGTCACTGTACTCCAGCGTTGGACAACAAGATGGAAACTCCATCTCAAAAAAAAAGAGCTATTAGTCCCTTACCAGATATATGATTTGCAAATATTTTCTTACATTCTGTAGGTTGTCTTGTCTTGATACTGTACCTCATTCTTTTTATGCTCTTTTATTTTTTGTTCTTACTGTTCCATCTTTTATTTGTGTAAGCACTTTAAGTAATATTATTTTGCATGCTATATAATCATTCAAGTGCCTGACATCCAACTCACCCTCTTTTTTCCTATTGACTCTTCCTCATGACGGATTATTTCTTTATATATTTTGTAACTTTTGTTTGACTGGTCTTAAATTATGAAAATTGAGAAAGATTCTTTGCTTGGTGAAACTTTGGTCAGGCTCCTAAACCACCTCTTAGGCCCATCTGTGTGCTTCCTCGTAAGATCCAGTTTTAGCAAAGAACCTTGCTGAGTCAATTTAGCAAGAATTTCCCGCACTTAAGATCCTCATCCTTCACCCTCCCCCAGGGGTCTGGTCACCCTGGCCTGTCTTCTGCAAGAATTCCGGTAGGTTGGTCTAGACAGAATCTCCCTCATCCCGATGTTTCCTCTTAGTGATTTTTCGTTCACTAACTCCTGCCTTGCTCTTTGGTTCTAAATTCCCGCTTGCCTGTGCTGTATTCAGAATTTAGCCCAATCTTTCCAACTCCAGTAGTTGGACCCCACTACAGTAGTTCCTGTACTGATCTCCGTAGTCCTGAGGGTCCTGAGTAAAGTCTTCCTGATGTGCTTTTTTAAATTTATTTTTATTTTTATTTTTTTTGACAGAGTCTTGCTCTGTCGCCCCAGGCTGGAGTGCAGTGGCGCAATCCGGCTCACTGTAACCTCCGCCTCCCAGGTTCATGCGATTCTCCTGCCTCAGCCTCCCGAGTAGCTGGGACTACAGGTGCCCGCCACCATGCCTGGCTAATTTTTTGTATTTTTAGTAGAGACAGGGTTTTGCCATGTTGGCCAGGCTGGTCTTGAACTCCTGACCTCAAGTGATCCGCCCACCTGGACCTCCCAAAGTGCTGGGATTACAGGCGTGAGCCACTGCGCCAGGCCATCTGATGTACTTTAACAAATATCACTGAAACATTTTTCTTTCCTGCCAGTGGGGTAGTCTGTCTGCATTCTTTTTTTTTTTTTTTTTTTTTTTTTTTTTTTTTTTTTTTTTTTTTTTTTTGAGATGGAGTTTCACTCTTGTTGCCCAGGCTGGTGTGCAATGGCATGATCTCGGCTCACCTCAACCTCCATCTCCTGGGTTCAAGCGATTCTCCTGCTTCAGCCTCCTGAGTAGCTGGGATTGCAGGCATGCGCCACCACGCCCAGCTAATTTTGTATTTTTAGTAGAGATGGAGTTTCTCCATGTTGGTCCAGCTGGTCTCGAACTCCTGACCTTGTGATCTGCTCGCCTCGGCCTCCCAAAGTGCTGGGATTACAGGAGTGAACCACCGCGCCCAGCCTCTGCATTCATTTTTTAATCACCAGTCATAATTTTTTCTTTCACAGAATACATATCTTAAACTTGGAAGGAATCTGCTGCATTTCCCTATAGAGTATTTTGTTTTGTTTTGCCAGAGACAAAAGCAGTTACTGGGGCTCATAACACAATACCCCTAAGTATGGCACATTGGCATTCTGGTTGTTTTTTAGCTGAAGGAGGCAGGAGTGCCTCAGAAGCCAGATGGTCTCTCTCTCTCTCTGACCTTCTCCCGCCCTCTCTATCCTCCCACTTGCCTACCTCCCCACTGCCCGACCCCACTACTTCTCCCCTAAAGCAAGCCATGAAATTGAGAAAGATTACTCTCTGACTTACTTCTTCTGAAAGTAGGTCATAGACCCTTATGTGACATGGGTCCTGCCTGAGGGAATGCTACACAAAGACACAAAGAATCTGGACAAACGGGTTATGCTGAGTTCCCCCAAGCAAACACACATTTTTCCCTGGGTCTTTCTCTGTCATTCAAGCCAGAGTGCTGTCACGCAATCCTAGTTGACTGCAGCCTGGACCTCCTGGGCTCAAGCTATCCTCCCACCTCAGCCTCCTTAGTAGCTAGGACTACAGGTACATGCCACTGTGCCTGCTAATTAAAAAAAAAAAAAAAAAAAAAAATTGGCCAGGTGCAGTGGCTCACACCTGTAATCCCAGCACTTTGGGAGGCCGAGGCAGGCAGATCACCCAAGGTCAGGAGTTTGAGACCAACCTGACCAACATGGAGAAACCCTGTCTCTACTAAAAATACAAAAATTAGCCAAGCATGGTGGCTCATGCCTGTAGTCCCAGCTACTCAGGAAGCTGAGTCAGAGACTTACTTAAACCCAGGAGGCAGAAGTTGCAGTGAGTTGAGATTGTGCCACTGCACTCTAGCCTGGATGACAGAGCAAGACTCTGAAGAAAAAAAAAACAACAACTCAGGGGAACACATTTATTATAAATAGGTATTTTATTTATAAAGAACATTTTGAAGGATACAGATGAACAGCCAGATAAAATACATACGGCAAAGTACCGGGGAATGGGTGGGAAGCTGCCATGCTGTCTCTGAGCATGCCATTCTCCTAGCACCTCTGTGTTCAGCAACTTGGATGTTCATCAAATCTCATAGTTCAGGAGGTTTTTGTTTTTTGTTTTTTGAGATGGAGTCTCGCTCTGTCGCCCAGGCTGGAGTGCAGTGAGTGGCGTGATCTTGGTTCACTGAGACCTCCACCTCCCAGGTTCAAGTGATTCTCCTGCCTCAGCCTCCCAAGTAGCTGGGATTACAGGCATCTGCCAACATGCCCAGCTAATTTTGTATTTTTTTAGTAGAGACAGGGTTTCACCATGTCAGGCTGGTCTGGAACTCCTGACCTCAGGTGATCCACCCACCTTGGCCTCCCAAAGTGCTGGGATTACAAGCACAAGCCACCGCGCCCAGCCCTTTGAGGAGTTTTTATAGGGCTTAATCTGTAGCTTTCCCCACCACTCCTTTCTGGATGTTCCTGGTGTTGACCTAAAGGAAGAAGCTGAGGCAAAATTAATATAAGTAGAGAGTTTATTTGGGCCAAGCTTAAAGCTTGCAACCTAGGAGCACAGATTCAAGTTGCCCTGAATATACACTCTGATGAGAAGCAGTTGCAAGTATATTTTTAAACACAAAAAAGGGGGACAGGGAGTGGGCTTATACAAAGTTGTTTGTAAAGCCTAGGTGCAGTGATTTACACCTGTAATCCCAGCACTTTGGGAGGCCAAGGCGGGTGGATCTCTTGAGGTTAGGAGTTCTAGACCAGCCTGGCCAACATGGTGAAACCCTGTCTCTAGTAAAAATACAGGAAAGTTAGCCAGGTGTGGTGGCACATGTCTGTAGTTCTAGCTACTCGGGAGGCTGAGGCAGGAGAATCATTTGAGCCAGGGAGGTGGAGGTTGCAGTAAGCCGAGATTGCACCACTGCACTCCAGCCTGGGGGACAGAGTAAGACTCTGTCTCAAAAAAAAAAAAAAAAAAAAAAAAGAAAATTTTTTTTGTAGAGATAGGGTCTCCCTGTGTTGCCCAGGCTGGTCTTGAACTCTGGGACTCAAGTGATCTGCCCACCTCAGCTTCCCAAAGTGCTGGGATTACAGGGGTGAGCCACCTTGCTCAGATAGCAAGCAGTTTAAACGATGAATACATAGCTGAAAGGAAGGAGTAGGTTATGACTGCTGTCTCATTTTAATGTCTCCTTGGGGGCTAATAATTTATTTTTACTTTTTAATTTTTTTTAAATTTTTAATTTTTGGAGATAATGTCTTGCTCTGTTGCCCAGGCTGAAGTGCAGTGATGCTATCATAGCTCACTGCATGCTTAAACCCCTGGGTTCAAGTGAGCTCCCACCTCAGCCTCCCAAGTGGTCGAGTGGCTGACACTACAGGCATTTGCAACCATTCCTGGATAATTTTGTAATTTTTTTTATTTTTGTAAAGACAAGGTCTTGGCCGGGTGCGGTGGCTCAAGCTTGTAATCCCAGCACTTTGGGAGGCCGAGGCGGGCAGATCATGAGGTCAGGAGATCGAGACCAGCCTGGCTAACACAGTGAAACCCTGTCTCTGCTAAAATTACGAAAAATTAGCTGGGCGTGGTGGCGGGCGCCTGTAGTCCCAGCTACTCGGGAGGCTAAGATAGGAGAATTGCTTGAACCTGGGAGGCAGAGGTTGCAGTGAGCTGAGATCACGCCATTGCACTCCAGCCTGGGCGACACAGCAAGACTCCGTCTCAAAAGAAAAAAAAAAAAGACAAGGTCTTGCTGTGTTGCCCAGGCTTGTCTTGAACGCCTGGGCTCTAGGGATCCTCTCTCTTTGGCCTCCCAAAGTGCTGGGATTACAGGCAGGAGCCACTGGGTTCACAGGGTTCGTAATTTAAAGGATTTGCATTCCTCAGATAAAAGTTATCTTTTCTCACTGGCTGGGGCTGAGAGTTCCAACCCCCTAATCCTCTAATCACTTGATCTTTCTGGAGCCCAGCCCCAGCCAGTGCTGCCTAAGGTACCCCGCTCCCTATTTCAAGTTTCTGCATTAGCATAAACTCAGGTGTTATCAAAGGGGCTCATTATTAATAACAAAAGACCCTCCCATCCTCAGGAAGTTCCAAAGGTTTTAAAGGCTTTGTGATGCCAGGGTACCATGACCCAAGCCTGTAATCCCAGCACTTGGTGAGGTTGAGCTAGGAGGACCCTTTGAGACGAGGAGTTTGAGGATGCAGTGGACTATGATCCTGCCAGTGCACTCCAGCCTGAGACTCAAAATAAATAGATAAATAACATTAAATTAAATTAAATTAAAATAAAGCTCCATGACAGGAAGTGGGGACAAAGCCCAAGTATATTTCATATTATACCAGGGTGTATTTCTCTTATTCTTTTGGGAATTTAGCTCTGCATGTAAAGGATTTATTTTTCTAGTTTTTCCAGCATTTTTTGGTAGTTTTAGCAAGCAGTTTTCTCATTATGTCTTGACAAGATCTTCCCGAAAGCAAAAGTGTGACTTAAATTTAAAATACATCTCTGAGCTGGGTGCAGTGGCTTGTGCCTGCAATTCCAGCACTTTTGGGAGGCCGAGGTGGGAGGATTGCTTGAGCCTAGGAGTTTGAGACCAGCCTGGGCAACATGTAAAGACAACATCACAAGGCCGGGCGCAGTGGCTCAAGCCTGTAATTCCAGCACTTTGGGAGGCCAAGGTGGTTGGATCACGATGTCAGGAGTTTGAGACCAGCCTGGCCAACTGGTGAAACCACATCTCTACGAAAAATATAAAAAAATTAGCCAGGCATATTGGTGCGGGCCTGTAATCCCAGCTACTTTGGAAGCTGAGGCAGGAAAATCACTTGAACCCGGGAGGTGGATGTTGCAGTGAGCTGGTATCAAGCCACTGCACTCCAGCTTGGGCAAAAGAGCAAGACACCATCTCAAAAAACAAAACAAAACAAAAAAACACACCACTAAAAAAATTAAAAATAAGCCAGATGGACTGGGCAAAGTGGCTCACGCCTGTAATCTCAGCACTTTGGAGGCCGAGGTAGGCAGATCACCTGAGGTCGGGAATTCGAGACCAGCCTGATAGACATGGAGAAACCCCATCTCTACTAAAAATACAAAATTAGCCAGGCATGGTGGCACATGCCTGTAATCCCAGCTACTCCAGAGGCTGAGGCAGGATAATCGCTTGAACCTGGGAGGCAGAGGTTGCAGTGAGCTGAGATTGCGCCATTGCACTCCAACTTGGGCAACAAGAGTGAAACCCCGTCTCAAAAAAAAAAAAAAAACAGATGTGGTGGCACATGCTTGTAGTCCCAGGAACTTGGGAGGCTGAGGCAGGAGGATCATTTGAGCCTGGGGGAGTTGAGGCACAGTGAGCTGTGATGGTACCACTGCACTCCAGCCTGGAATGACACAGGGAGATATTGTCTAAAAAGATAATAATAATATGATAAAATACATCACTGCTCTCTAGAGAATAGATGTTAGTACTTCTCTGGGGAAAATTAATAAAAATAATCAAAATAAAAAAGAAAGAGAAAGGACGTTAGCAGAGCAGGAGGGGAAGCAAGAAGATAATTAGGAGAGTACTTCAGTAGTTATCAGTTAATGGCTAGTAGTTATTAGATGATGATGAGTTGGCTTAGAATGTGTTCAGGATATATTTTGAAAGTAGAGCCAACAGGATTTGCTGATTGGATATTGTTGCTGTAGTAAGAAAAGGAGTAGGCTGGGCGCGGTGGTTCAAGCCTGTAATCCCAGCACTTTGGGAGGCCGAGGCAGGCGGATCACAAGGTCAGGAGATTGAGACCATCCTGGCTAACACGGTGAAACCCCGTCTCTACTAAAAATATAAAAAAAAAATTAGCCGGGTGTGGTGGCGGGCGCCTGTAGTCCCAGCTGCTCAGGAGGCTGAGGCAGGAGAATGGCATGAACCTGGGAGGCGGAGCTTACAGTGAGCTGAGATCGCACCACTGCACTCCAGCCTGGGCGACAGAGCGAGACTCTGTCTCAAAAAAAAAAAAAAAAAAAAAAAAAGGAGTAAAGTAAGACCTCTAGTTTGATGGTTTGAAGATGTGGATGAATAGCAGTGCCATTCATGAAATGGTAAGGACTGGGTCCAGAAAGGTCTGTGAAGAGATCACCCACAGTCTTGGTCTGGACACTTTACATTTGAGATGCTCGGCATCCAGGTATACATGTAAAGTAACTAGGGGGCAACTTTGACTACTGATTTTATTTTATTTATTTATTATTATTATTTTTTGAGACGGAGTTTTGCTTTTGTTGCCCAGGCTGGAGTGCAATGGCACGATCTTGGCTCCCCGCAATCTCTGCCTTTCAGGTCCAGGCAATTCTCCTGCCTTGGCTGGGATTACAGGTGCCCGACACCATGCCCGGCTTATTTTGTAGTTTATTAGTAGAGACGGGGTTTCTCCATGTTGGTCAGGCTGGTCTCAAACTCCCGACCTCAGATGATCCACCCATCTCAGCCTCCCAAAGTGCTGGGATTACAGGCATGAGCCACTGTGCCTGGCCTATTTTATTTTCTATAGCCTCATAACAGAGGTGAGACTAGTGATTTTAGAGCCACATTTCCTGGCTTCTGTTTTTATTATTTTAATTATTTATTATTATTATTAATTTTGTTTTTTTTGGGGGGGTCGTTTGTTTTGTTTTTATTATTATTATTTTTTGAGTCTCACTCTGTTGCTCAGGCTGGAGTGCAGTGGCACGACCTTGGCTGACTGCAACCTCCACCTCCTGGCTTCAGGCGATTCTCCTGCTTCAGCCTCCCCAGTAGCTGGGATTACAGGTGCCTGCCACCATGCCCAGCTGTTTTTTGTATTTTAGTAGAGACGGAGTTTCACCACGTTGGCCAGCTGGTCTTGAACTCCTGGCCTCAAGTGATCCACCTGTCTTGGCTTCCCAAAGTGCTGGGACTACAGGCATGAGCCACCATGCCTGGCTGCTTCCCATACATTTTGTTTAACAATTCACCAATTCACATCCTAGCTCAACTGTTTTTTTTGTTTTGTTTTTTTGTGTTTTTTTTTTGATGAGACAGGGTCTCACTCTGTCGCCCAGACTGGAGTGCATTGGTGTGATCTCAGCTTACTGCAACCTTGGCCTCCCAGGCTCAAGCAATTCTCCTGCCTCAGCCTCCCGAGTAGCTGGGATTACAGGCACACACCATTACTGCCTGGCTAATTTTTTGTATTTTTAGTAGAGACGGGGTTTCACCATGTTGGTCAGGCTGGTCTTGAACTCCTGACTTCAAATGATCCCAGCCTTAGCCTCCCAAAGTTTTGAGATTACAGGAGTGAGCCAAGGCGCCTGGCCTTGAGCCACCTCACCCAGCCTTCAACTTCGTATTAATTGTGTGATCTTTGGCAAGTTACTTAGCATCTCTTTGTCCTAGGTTTTTTCTTTTTTCTTTTTTTTTTTTGAGACAGAGTCTTGCTCTGTCGCCCAGGCTGGAGTGCAGTGGTGCTGGCTCAGCTCACTGCAAGCTCTGCCTCCCGGGTTCACTCGTGCCATTCTCCTGCCTCAGCCTCCGGGGTAGCTGAGACTATGGGCGCCCGCCACCACGCCCAGCTAATTTTTTTGTATTTTTAGTAGAGACAGGGTTTCACCATGTTAGCCAGGATGGTCCCGATCTCCTGACCTCGTGGTCCACCTGCCTCGGTCTCCCAAAGTGCTGGGATTACAAGCATGAGCCACCGCACCCAGCCTGTCCTAGGTTTTTTCATCTGTAAAAGGTGGTAGTAGGACAGGTATGGTGGCTCACACCTGTAATCTCAGCACTTTGGGAGGCCGAGGCAGGCAGATCACCTGAGGTCAGGAGTTTGAGACCAGCCTGGCCAGCATGGTGAAACCCTGTCTCTACTAAAAATACAAAAATTAGCCAGCTGTGGTGTCATGTGCCTGTAATCCCAGCTATTCAGGAGGCTGAGGCAAGAGAATCACTTGAACCTGGGAGACAGAGTTGCAGTGAACTGAGATCGTGCCACTGGACTCCAGCCTGGGCAACAGAGTGAGACTCCGTCTCAGAAAAAATCATAATAATAATGCCTGGCACATTTTGGGTTGTCACTGGGAATGGGTGCTACTGGCATCCAGTGGGTAGAAGCCAGGGATGCTGCTCAACATTCCCTTACAATAAATAATCACTTGGTCAAAATTTCTATAGTGTCAAGATTTAGAAAACCAATTCTAATGCATCTGAGGCACACTAGTGTGCAGGTCTGACCTGGGAAATCAGTGTAGCTGAAGAGGAGAGGAGAGCTGAGGCCTGTGGTTCTCTTGGCTCTCTCAGGAGTCAAGTTTCTTGAGAGAGGCAGAGGGACTGAGAAGTAGCCAGTGAGGCAGGAATAACACAGAAGAGTGTGACAGGAGTAATGACAGAACAGTTTCAAGAAGGGGGCAGGAAAGCGATCAATGATAACACTGACTAATATTTATTTATTTATTTATTTTGAGACGGAGTCTCACTCTGTCACCCAGGCTGGAATACAGTGGCATGATCTTGGCTCACTGCATCCTCCGCCTCCCTGGTTCGAGGGATTCTTGTGCCTCAGCCTCCTGACTAGCTGGGATTACAGATGCCTACCACCACTCCCGGCTAATTTTTGTATTTTTAGTAGAGACGAAGTGTCACTATGTTGGCCAGGCTGCTCTGGAACTCCTGACCTCAAGTGATCCACCCGCCTCCCACTCCCAAAGTGCTGGGATTACAGGCGTGAACCACCGTGCCCAGCTACACTGACTAATATTTATGATGGCAGAATATTTTCTTTTTCTTTTTTTTTTTTTTTGAGACAGAGTCTTGCTCTGTCGCCCAGGCTGGAGTGCAGTGGCGTGATCTCGGCTTACTGCAAGCTCTGCCTCCTGGGTTCACACCATTCTCCTGCCTTAGCCTCCCGAGTAGCTGGAACTACAGGCGCCTGTCACCATGCCCGGCTAATTTTTTATGTTTTTAGTGGAGACAGGGTTTCACCGTGTTAGCTAGGATGGTCTCGATCTGATCTTGTGGTCCGCCTGCCTTGGCCTCCCAAAGTGCTGGGATTACAGGCGTGAGCCACCGCACCCAGCCAAGTACTTTAATTAAGCATTTATTTATTTATTTATTTATTTATTTATTTGTTTGTTTATTTATTTATTTATTTGAGACAGAGTGCTACTGCAAAGCCCAGGCTAGAGGGCAGTGGTGCGATATTGGCTTACTGCAACCTCCACCTCCAGTGTTCAAGCGATTCTCCTGCCTCACCCTCCCGAGCAGCTGGGATTACAGGCTCCCGCCACCACACCTGGCTAATTTTTGTATCTTTAGTAGAGATGGGGTTTCGCCATATTGGCCAGGCTGGTCTTGAACTCCTGACCTCAAGTGATCTGCCTGCCTTGGCCTCCCAAAGTGCTGAAATTACAGGCATGACCCACTGAGCCCAGCCTTAGTTAAGCATTTAATATGCACAATACCTCTGTGAAGTAGGTATTATGCCCATTTTATAGTTGAATAAGCCAAGGCAAAGATCTATAAATGTCAAATGCTGCTAAAAGGTTGACTGGAGGAAGAGCTGAGATTTGAATATGGGGTTTGGCAAAGTGGAGGATGTTGCTGACTATGACAAAGAAGGGTTCAGAAGAATGAAATGGTGGGGGCAGAAGACTCATTACTGTGGCTAGAGAAGAAAATAAATGATGAACAATTGGAGACATATAATGCAGAAACTCTTTTTTTTTTTTTAAACGGAGTCTTGCTCTGTTGCCCAGGCTGGAGTGCAGTGGCATGATCTCAGCTCACTGCAACCTCCGCCTCCCGGGTTCAGGAGATTCCCATGCCTCAGCCTCTCGAGTAGCTGGGATTACAGGCACCCGACACCACGCCAGGCTAATTTTTGGTAACTTTAGTATAGACGGGGTTTCACCATGTTGGCCAGGCTGGTCTCAAACTTCTAATGTCAGGTGACCCACCTGCCTCGGCCTCCCAAAGTGCTGGGATTACAGGCGTGAGCCACTGAGTCCAGCCAAAACTCTTTTTTTTTTTTTTTTTTTTTTTTTTTTGAGATGGAATCCCGCTCTGTCGCCCAGGCTGGAGTGCAGTGGCGCAATCTCGGCTCACTGCAAGCTCCACTTCCTGGGTTCACACCATTGTCCTGCCTCAGTCTCCCCAGTAGCTGGGATTACAGGTGCCCGCCACGCCCAGCTAATTTTTGTATTTTTAGTAGAGACGGGCTTTCACCTTGTTAGCTGGGATGGTCTCAATATCCTGACCTCGTGATCTGCCAGCCTCGGCTTCCCAAAGTGCTGGGATTACAGGCGTGAGCCACCACACCCGGCCTTTTTTGTATTTTTAGTAGAGACGGGGTTTCACTATGTTGGCCAGGCTGGTCTCCAACTCCTGACCTCAGGTTATCCACCTGCCTCAGCCTCCCAAAGTGCTGGGATTACAGGCATGAGCCAGCGTGCCCAGCCTATTTGTGGTAATGCATTTAAAGAGAGTTCAGAATAGTATTACAGGGAGAGCAGGGAGAGACATGTGGTCTAGGGAGGGACTAGTGAGCATGAGAGTGAGAGTTTGAGTTGGGATGACCTTGTTGGAGTTGGGATTTTTGTCAAAGAAAGGAGGGGAAATGGACTTGAAGTTGAAAGGGATCAAGAAGCTTCTATTCTATGTCCTATGACACATGAGATGTAGGATAAGAACACACCCACTTCTGGAGAGGGCTGCAGGGGAAGCAGTCCTCAGAGGAAGACCATGTTCCAGTTAAAGCAGGAAAGTGATCAGAGAAAAAGTTAAGGACAGATGATTTTGCTGATGACAGAGAGTGAATTTCCAAGGACTCAGTACAATAGAAGGTTTTGGAGCACCTGGGAGGGATGGGGGAAACTGGGTCAGATTGTGGACTGTACAGAGTTGGATGTGTATTAGAATCTGGGGGATTCAAATTTGGGTGGTGACGGCTGGGCACGGTTGCTCACGCCTGTAATCTCAGCACTTTCGGAGGCCAAGGCGGGCGGATCACCTGAGGTTAGGAGTTCCAGACCAGCTTGCCCAACATGTCGAAATCCTGTCTCTACTAAAGATATAAAAAATTAGCTGGGCGTGGTGGCAGGCGCCTGTAATCCCAGCTACTTGGGAGGCTGAGGCAGGAGAATCACTTGAACCCGGGAGGCAGAGGTTGCAGTGAGCCGAGATTGTGCCACTACACTCCAGCCTGGGCAAGAATGAAACTCCGTCTCAAAAAAAAAAAAAAAAAGGATTTGGGTGGTGACTGAGGACTATGGTAAATAGAGATTAGTGTTGATTGTGTTTTATTTTTATTCTTTTGGGTAGTTAAAAAAATGTTTGTTCAAAGTATAACTTAAGTACAGTAACATTCACCCTTTTTTTTTGTCTCTTGTTGCCCAAGCTGGAGTGAAATGGCACCATTCAGCTCACTGCAACCTCCGCCTTCCGAGTTCAAGCGATTCTCCTGCCTCTGCCTCCTGAATAGCTGGGACTACAGGCTTGCACCAACATGCCTGGTTAATTTTTTGTAATTTTAGGAGAAACGGGGTTTCACCATGTTAGCCAGGCTGGTCTCCAACTCCTGACCTCAGTTGGTCCGCCTGCCTTGGCCTCCAAAGTGGTGGGATTACAGGTGTGAGTCACTGAGCCCGGCCAACATTCACCCTTTTAGTGCACAGTTAGACTTAGTTTTGACAAACGCATACAATTGTGTAGTCATCACCACAATCAAGATTTAGTTCCATCATTCCAAAAGCTTCCGAGTGTTACCATGTGGTTAACTGCCCTCCACATCCCAGTCCCTGGCAACCACCAATCTGTGTTCTGCAGCAATAGTTTTGCCTTTTCCAGAATGTTATATACACAGTTTGTAACCTTTTGAGTCAGGGCATTGCTTGTATCAGTTCATGGTGTTGCTTGTATCAGTAGTTTATTCCTTTTTATTGCTGAGTAGTATCCTGTTATGTGGACGTACCACTGTTTATCCATTCACCAGTGGAAGGACATTTGAATTGTTTCTTTTGTTTTTGTTTTGAGGACAAATAAAGCCCCTGTAAACATTTGCATACAGATTTTTGTGGGAACACAAGTTTTCATTTCACTTGGGTAAATACTTAGAAATGGGATTGCTATTGTAAAGTAAGCAAATGTCAAGCTTCATGAGATACTGCTGAACTGTTTTGCATAGTGACTGAGTTCATTTCTTTTCAACATTCATTAAGGAGTCACCATGTGCCAGGAGCATAGAGTTGAGTAGTTGTTAGAGAATGTGGCCTCCAAATCTGAAATACTGGCTATCTGGCCCTTTACAGAAAAAGTTTGTTGACCCTTGTCATAAGACTATGGCCCATAAGAGCTCATGGCCTGATTATACTAATTTTATAAGCAATTTCACGGAGTCCTCTGAGGCCAATAATCAACAGCACAGTTATTTTATAGAATTGTATTGTTTAACTAGGAAATATAAAAACCTTGCTCTTGAAACAGAAATAAAGATTTTTAAAAATTACTGGGAGGTATCTTGTTATTGAATGCTACATCCAAAATATGCAAGTTTTTATTTTTCCACAATCATTGAAAATTGAGCTTGATATGGCCGGGCGCGGCGGCTCACGCCTGTAATCCCAACACTTTGGGAGTCCGAGGCGGGTGGATCACAAGGTCAGGAGTTTGAGACCAGCCTTACCAACATGGTGAACCCGTCTCTACTAAAAATACAAAAAAATTAGCCAGGCGTGGTGGTGCGCACCTGTAATCTCAGCTACTCAGGAGGCTGAGGCAGGAGAATTGCTTGAACCCAGAAGGCGGAGGTTGCAGTGAGCCGAGATCGCGCCATTGCACTCCAGTCTGGGCGACAGAGGGAGACTCCGTCTCAAAAAACAAAACAAAACAAAACAAAACAAAACAAAACAAAACAAAATTGAGCTTGATATCTAAAAGGGTAAGGATGTTTACTCAAGTCATTGTATTTTCACACACTGCTGCACACATCACATAATTTGTCCCAAGAGTACAGCCAACAACAGTTTTGATATTTTAGCAGGATGGGAAAGGACGTCTTCACCCTCCTAGGAGATTTGTCGATTGCACGCGCAGCGTTATGCGCATGCGCGGTCAGTCAACGGTCCGTTGGTGCCGCGAGTGCGCAGGCGCGTCGTTCCGGCGCCGGCTTTGGCGGAGGGGTGGGACTTGCACCGGCGTCTCTTCTTCTAACTGCAGTTTGTGGCAGCGCCATTTTGAATGTGCAGCTGCAGCGGGCGTGAGTTGGGGGAGGACGGGTTGCCGACTCGCCTACCTAGCGGTCTCTTGATTGTCGATATTTTGTTGGCATAGGTTTATGTAGAGACGTATACATATATATAGACACACTGTCTATAAATCTAGGCCTGTATCCGGTGTCCGAGGCGAACTCAGTAAGATGATGTTAAGAGGAAACCTGAAGCAAGTGCGCATTGAGAAAAACCCGGCCCGCCTTCGCGCCCTGGAGTCCGCGGTGGGCGAGAGCGAGCCGGCGGCCGCGGCAGCCATGGCGCTCGCTCTTGCCGGGGAGCCGGCACCGCCCGCGCCCGCGCCTCCAGAGGACCACCCGGACGAGGAGATGGGGTTCACTATCGACATCAAGAGTTTCCTCAAGCCGGGCGAGAAGACGTACACGCAGCGCTGCCGCCTCTTCGTGGGAAATCTGCCCACCGACATCACGGAGGAGGACTTCAAGAGGCTCTTCGAACGCTATGGCGAGCCCAGCGAAGTCTTCATCAACCGGGACCGTGGCTTCGGCTTCATCCGCTTGGTGAGTGTCAGGCGCCCGCGCGAGGGAACAAAAGGACTGTCGGGGTGGCCGCGGGGTCGTGGGGCTGAGGCCAGCCTCGTCCTAGGACGCTGTCTCAACCTGTGGCAACCGTGGCGCCGCTCGGCCTCATCGATTCCTCTGTGCGGGGTTGGCCGCTTCCCCAGCTCGGCGCCTTTGGTTTCGAGTTCACGGTCCCGGGATTTCCTGCGCTCACAGTGGCCGCCGTTTTCTGCCGTGCGCCGATCGTGCTTTGCGGTGGCTGCAGGCCTGCTGCCCTGCGCTGGATCGGGCATGGTGCACCCTGTCCAGGTAGCGAGCGCTCCCGGGTTCCCCGTTGCCCCGGGTACCGAAAGGGTCCGGGGACAGGGGCGGGCAGCGTTTTGGGGTGAGAATTCTTCAAGGCAAAAATCGTGCCATAAAAAACGAATTGGATGTACATTTGGAAAGGAAGCTTAAGTCGGACCAGACGTATCACTGGTCGTGAGGGTCTGTCCAGGAGACTTGCTTCTTAAACAATTATTAACATCCCATCCTTGGCTTCAACCACACCTATATGCGTTTAAGGGTAGACCACTTTATTTCTTTTTAAATTAAATTTATTTATTTTAATAGAAATGGGGTCTCGCTATGTTGCCCAGGCTGGTCTCGAACTCCTGAGCACGAGCGATCCTCCTGCCTTGGCCTGCCACTTTATTTCTCACCTCAGTGCAGCCTGCTATTTACCTCAAACTGCTTAGGTGCCCAAACTCTGTACTCAAGTAACACCGTTTAATCTGCAGTAATGAGACAGTGTTTAATTGTATGTATCTAATATAGTGTTTTTCTACCAAACATCCTGGAGAGTTTCACGTTTTTATAGGGGGGAGAATAGTTGATACACAGTACTACTTCATAAATTACTGATACATATCCCAGTATCAGAGTAATATAGCTTACTCTCTTTTAATCTAAACTTTGAAAAGTTTTCCAATAATTTATGCAAAAATTATGATTCCTTTATATTTAAAAAAAATTTGAACAAGCCTGGCCAACATGGCGAAACTCCATCTCTACTAAAAATACAAAAATTAGCTGGGCGTGGTGGTGCGCGCCTGTAGTCCCAGTTACTTGGGAGGCTGAGGCAGAGGCTGCAGTGAGCTGAGATCACGTCACTGCACTCCAGCCTGGGCGACAGAGCGAGATCCCGTCTCAAAACAAAACAAAAATTGCTAAGGTTTACGCCTTTTTTTTTTTTTTTTTTGAGACTGGGTCTCGCTCTATCACCCAGGCTAGAGTGCAGTGGCGCGATCTCAGTTCCTGGGCTCAAGAAGTTCTCCCACCTCAGCCTCCCGAGTAGCTGGGACGGGGACTACAGTCACGCACCCCCAAGCCTGCCTAATTTTTGTATTTTTTGTAGAGGCGGTGTTTCGCCATGTTGTCCAGGTTGCTTTCGAATTCCTGGGCTCAAACGATCCTCCCGCCTTGGCCTCCCAAAGTGCTGGGATTACAGGGTGAGCCACTGTGTCCGGCCTGGAACTTTGATTTTCAAAATTGGGTTCTCTGTCTGGACGATACAAAATCTTTTTAATTTATTTTTTTATTGATAATTCTTGGGTGTTTCTCACAGAGGGGGATTTGGCAGGGTCATGGGACAATAGTGGAGGGAAGGTCAGCAGATAAACAAGTGAACAAAGGTCTCTGGTTTTCCTAGGCAGAGGACCCTGCGGCCTTCCGCAGTGTTTGTGTCCCTGATTACTTGAGATTAGGGATTGGTGATGACTCTTAACGAGCATGCTGCCTTCAAGCATCTGTTTAACAAAGCACATCTTGCACCGCCCTTAATCCATTTAACCCTGAGTGGACACAGCACATGTTTCAGAGAGCACAGGGTTGGGGGTAAGGTCAGATCAACAGGATTCCCAAGGCAGAGGAATTTTTCTTAGTGCAGAACAAAATGAAAAGTCTCCCATGTCTACTTCTTTCTACACAGACACGGCAACCATCCGATTTCTCAATCTTTTCCCCACCTTTCCCGCCTTTCTATTCCACAAAGCCGCCATTGTCATCCTGGCCCGTTCTCAATGAGCTGTTGGGCACACCTCCCAGACGGGGTGGTGGCCAGGCAGAGGGGCTCCTCACTTCCCAGTAGGGGCGGCCGGGCAGAGGCGCCCCTCACCTCCCGGACGGGGTGGCTGGCCGGGCGGGGGGGCTGACCCCCCCCACCTCCCTCCCGGACGGGGCGGCTGGCCGGGCGGGGGGCTGATCCCCCCACCTCCCTCCCGGACGGGGCGGCTGGCCGGGCAGAGGGGCTCCTCACTTCCCAGTAGGGGCGGCCGGGCAGAGGCGCCCCTCACCTCCCGGACGGGGCGGCTGGCCGGGCAGGGGGGCTGACCCCCCCCACCTCCCTCCCGGACGGGGCGGCTGGCCGGGCGGGGGGCCGACCCCCCCACCTCCCTCCCGGACGGGGCGGCTGGCCGGGCGGGGGGCCGACACCCCCACCTCCCTCCCGGACGGGGCGGCTGGCCGGGCGGGGGGCCGACCCCCCCACCTCCCTCCCGGATGGGGCGGCTGGCCGGGCAGAGGGGCTCCTCACTTCCCAGTAGGGGCGGCCGGGCAGAGGCGCCCCTCACCTCCCAGACGGGCCGGCTGGCTGGGCGGAGGGCTGACCCCCCCCCACCTCCCTCCCAGACAGGGTGGCTGGCCGGGCGGGGGGCTGACCCCCCCACCTCCCTCCCGGACGGGGCGGCTGGCCGGGCAGAGGGGCTCCTCACTTCCCAGTAGGGGCGGCCGGGCAGAGGCGCCCCTCACCTCCCAGACGGGGCGGCTGGCCGGGCGGAGGGCTGACCCCCCCACCTCCCTCCGGGACGGGGCGGCTGGCCGGGTGGGGGGGCTGACCCCCCCATCTCCCTCCCGGACGGGGTGGCTGGCCGGGCTGAGGGGCTCCTCACTTCCCAGTAGGGGCGGCCGGGCAGAGGCGCCCCTCACCTCCCGGACGGGGCGGCTGGCCGGGCGGGGGGCTGACCCCCCCACCTCCCTCCCGGACGGCACGGCTGGCCGGGCGGGGGGGCTGACCCCCCACGTCCCTCCCGGATGGGGCGGCTGGCCGGGCGGGGGGCTGACCCCCCCCACCTCCCTCCCGGACGGGGTGGCTGCCGGGCGGAGACGCTCCTCACTTCCCAGATGGGGTGGCTGCCGGGCGGAGAGGCTCCTCACTTCTCAGACGGGGCAGCTGCCGGGCGGAGGGGCTCCTCACTTCTCAGACGGGGCGGTTGCCAGGCAGAGGGTCTCCTCACTTCTCAGACGGGGCGGCCGGGCAGAGACGCTCCTCACCTCCCAGACGGGGTCTCGGCCGGGCAGAGGCGCTCCTCACATCCCAGATGGGGCAGCGGGGCAGAGGCGCTCCCCACATCTCAGACGATGGGCGGCCGGGCAGAGACGCTCCTCACTTCCTAAATGTGATGGCGGCTGGGAAGAGGCGCTCCTCACTTCCTAGATGGGATGGCGGCCGGGCGGAGATGCTCCTCACTTTCCAGACTGGGCAGCCAGGCAGAGGGGCTCCTCACATCCCAGACGATGGGCGGCCAGGCAGAGACACTCCTCACTTCCCAGACGGGGTGGCGGCCGGGCAGAGGCTGCAATCTCGGCACTTTGGGAGGCCAAGGCAGGCGGCTGGGAGGTGTAGGTTGTAGCGAGCCGAGATCACGCCACTGCACTCCAGCCTGGGCACCATTGAGCACTGAGTGAACGAGACTCCGTCTGCAATCCCGGCACCTCGGGAGGCCGAGGTTGGCGGATCACTCGCGGTTAGGGGCTGGAGACCGGCCCGGCCAACACAGCGAAACCCCGTCTCCACCAAAACCAGTCAGGCGTGGCGGCGCGTGCCTGCAATTGCAGGCATTCGGCAGACTGAGGCAGGAGAATCAGGCAGGGAGGTTGCAGTGAGCCGAGATGGCAGCAGTACAGTCCAGCTTCGGCTCCGCATGAGAGGGAGACCGTGGGGAGAGGGAGAGGGAGGGGGAGGGGGAGGGGGAGGGGGAGGGGGAGAGGGAGAGGTCTTAATATGTAGAGAAAATTGTAATTACATGGTACGGTATTTTTATTAATTTTTTTCTTTTTTAAAAAATTAATCTTCTAAAACCTTTAAGATAGTGTAATTTTTTTTTTTTGAGACGGAATCTTGCTCTGTCACCACGTTGGAGTGCAGTGGCGGGATCTTGGTTCACTGCAACCTCCACCTCCTGGGTTCAAGCGATTCTCCTGCCTCAGCCTCTGGAGTAGCTGGGACTACAGGCGCATGCAACCACGCCCAGCTAATTTTTGTATTTTTAGTAGAGACGGGGTTTCACCATGTTGGCCAGGATGGTCTTGACCTATTGACCTCGTGATCCGCCCGCCTTGGCCTCCCAAAGTTCTTGGATTTCAGGGGTGAGCCACGGCGCCCAGCCAAGGGACTGTTTTTTTGAGAGGGAGTCTCACTCTGTCGCCCAGGCTGGAGTGCAGTAGCGCGATCTCGACTCACTGCAACCTCTGCCTCCCTGGTTCAAGCGATTCTCCTGCCTCAGCCTCCTGAGTAGCTGGGACTACAGGTGTGTGCCACCAGGCCTGGCTAATTTTTGTATTTTTAGTAGAGATGGGGTTTCATCATGCTGGTCAGGCTGGTCTGAAACTCCTCACCTTGTGATCCGCCTGCCTTGGCCTCCCAAAGTGCTGGGATTACAGGTGTGAGCCACTGTGCCTGGTGAGACTGTATTTTTTAGGGCAAACACTTCAACATGTAAGTGGCTTCAAGAGAAGGGTAAATATTCGCAAACTATTAATAATAATGAAATATGGAAATTTCCTTAAAATTCAGGTTAAATAATCATTACATTTTGAACATTATAAATGCATTTATTTATTTTTTGGACATCAGAGACAGCTCGCCATTTGGTGAAAATTTTTATGTAAAAGTTATCTTTTTTTTTTTTTTTTTTTTTTGAGCTGAGGTCTTGCTGTGTCGCCCAGGCTGGAGTGCAGCGGTGTGATCTTGGCTCACTGCAACCCCCGCCTCCTGGACTAAAGCGATTCTCCTACCTCAGCCTCTGGAGTAGCTGGAATTACAGGCGCCCGCCTTCATGCCCGGCTAATTTTTGTATTTTTAGTAGAGATGGGGTTTCACCATGTTGGCCAGGCTGGTCTCGAACTCCTGACCTCAGGTGATCCACCCGCCTCAGCCTCCCAAAGTGCTGGGATTACAGGTGTACAGGTGTGAGCCACTGTGCCTGGCCTCTTTTTTTTTTTTTTTTTTTAGATGGAGCCTCGCTGTCACCCAGGCTGGAGTGCAGTGGCACACTGGGCTCACTGCAGCCTTGCCTCCCCAGGTTCAAGCGATTCTCACTCCTCAGCCTCCTGAATAGCTGGAATTACAGGCATGACACCAGCCCAGGCTGATTTTTGTATTTTTAGTAGAGATAGGGTTTCACCATGTTGGCCAGGCTGGTCTTGAACTCCTGACCTCAGGTGATCCACCTGTCTCGGCCTCCCAAAGTGCTGGGATTACAGGCATGAGCCACCATGCCCGGCATATTATTTTTTAGGGTTTTAAAAATTTACATATAGTAGGCCGGGCGCGGTGGCTCACGCCTGTAATCCCAGAACTTTGGGAGGCCGAGGCAGGCGTATCATGAGGTCAGGAGATCGAGACCATCCTGGCTAACACAGTGAAACCTCGTCTCTACTAAAAATACAAAAAATTAGCCAATTGTGGTTGCAGGCACCTGTAGTCCCAGCTACCCGGGAGGCTGAGGCAGGAGAATGGCGTGAACCCAGGAGGCGGAGCTTGCAGTGAGATTGCGCAGCTGCACTCCAGCCTGGGTGACAGAGTGAGACTCCATCTCAAAAAAAAAAAAATTTGCATATAGTAAAGGGTACACATTTTAAGTGTACTGGTTGGTGATTTTTGTTTTTTCTCTTGAGACAGAGTGCCCAGACTAGAGTGCAGTGGCATGATCATGGCTCACTCTAGCCTCCACTTCCGGGGCTGAAGTGATCCTCACACCTCAGCCCCTCAGGTTGCTGGGACCGCAGGCACACACCACCACACCCAGCTAATTTTGTTTATTTTTTGTAGAGACAAGGTCTCTCTCATTATGTTGCCCAGGCAGGTCTCAAACTCCTGGGCTTACATGATCCCTCCTCCTCAGCTTCCCAAAGTGTTAGGATGACAAGTGTGAGCCACCATGCCTAGCCACTGGTTTGTGAATTTTGACAAATGTATATGTCTGTTTAACTCAAACCCCTATCAAAATATACATATTATCACCCCATTAAATGTCTTCATATTTCTTCCTATTCTCATTTTATTTTATTTTTTTTTTGAGATGGAGTCTTGCTCTGTCACCCATGCTGGAGTGCAGTGGTGCGATCGCGGCTCACTGCAAGTTCCGCCTCCCGTGTTCACACCATTCTCCTGCCTCAGCCTCCCCAGCAGCTGGGACTACAGGCGCACACTGCCACGTCCGGCTAATTTTTTTGTACTTTTAGTAGAGACGGGGTTTCACTGTGTTAGCCAGGATGGTCTCAATCTCCTGACCTCGTGATTCTCCTGCCTCGGCCTCCCAAAGTGTTGGGATTACAGGCGTGAGCCACTGTGCCCAGCCCTATTCTCACTTTCAAAACTGTTTCTAAAGTCTACCTCTTAAGAGTTGTTGGATTATATGATGTATTAGGTAAGAAAGTACCCATCTCTTTTTAGGTGTTTATTAAGTGCTTGCTGCTACTACTGTTACTAGTGAGTTAAAAGCAATAAACAAAACGACTGTTTAGAATGCAATTATCCCTCAGTATCTGTGGGGGATTGATTCTAGGACCTCCTCCAGTACTAAAATTCGTAGATGCTCAAATCCTTATACTGTGTAAAAATGGCATTGTTTTTCCATGTTACCCATGCAATCCTCCTGTATACTTTAAATCATCTCTAGATTACTTGTAATACCTAGTACAATGTAAATGCTGTATGAATAGCTGTTATGCTGTATTATTTGGTTTATTTTTTTTTTTTGTCTATTTATTTTTTTGAGACGGAGTCTCGCTCTGTCACCCAGGCGTGAGTGTAGTGGCACTGTCTCAGCCCACTGCAACCTCTGCCTCACGGGTTCAAGCAATTCTCCTGCCTCAGCCTCCTGAGTAGCTGGGACTACAGGCCCGTGCCACATGCCTGGCTAATTTTTGTTTTTGTTTTTTTTTGTATTTTTAGTAGAGACGGGGTTTCACTATGCTGGCTAGGCTGGTCTCGAACTCCTGACCTCGTGATCTGCCCGCCTCGGCCTCCTAAAGTGCTGGGATTACAGGCATGAGCCACTGCGCCCAGCCTATTTAGTTTCTTTTATTTAAATTTTATTTTTTTATTTTAAAGGAATAAAGAAGAGGTCTTGCTATGTTGCCTAGGCTGGTCTTAAACTCCTGGCCTCAAGGATTCTTCCTGTTTTGGCTTCCCAAAGTGCTGGGATTACAGGTGTGAGCCCCCTTACCCTGCCTGTCAATTTTAAATTGTTTCTTTCCCAAATGTTTGCTTTTCTTTCTTTCTTTTTCTTTTTCTTTTTTTTTTTTGTTTTTTTTTTTTTGGACACAGAGTCTGTCCCTGACACCCAGGCTGGAGTGCAGTGGTGTGATCTTGGCTCACTGCAACCTCTGCCTTCTGGGTTCAAGAGATTCTCCCACCTCAGTCCCCCAAGTAGCTGGGACTACAGGCGCTTACCACCATGCCCCGGCTAATTTTTGTATTTTTTGATAGAGACTAGGTTTTGCCATGTTGGCCAGGAGGCCGGTCTTGAACTCCTGACCTCAAGTGATCTACCTGCCTCAGCCTCCCAAAGTGCTGGGATTACAGGTGTGAGCCATTGGGCCTGGCCCCAAATATTTTTGATCCACTTTTGGTTGAATCCATGGATACAGAGGGATGACTATATCTCTAAAAAGGGTAACTTCATTTGTTTTTGTAAAAATAATTCTATAGGTAGATTTTTGCAATAAAGGGCAATAATTTCAAGCTGTCATGAACATTTTAGGGATTGAATAAAGAGCTCTTGTGACCTTAAGACAATTTTCATAAGACAGTATGTTTGTATTCTTCTTACATATACATATAAAGCCTCTTCAGTTGTCCTTGGAGAGTTCCCATAACACAATGAAAAAGACATACTTCTGTTAAATTTACCAGTTCCTTATTTATTGTTTTAGGTGCTGCCCATATTCTACACCAACTTTGAATTCTCCCAGTAGAAGGAAGTTCTCTTACCTTGTAGTTTCAGCAATGAGCATATTTTTTAGTTTATAGTAAGTGTATATGTACACTTTATATAATGGCGAGAACTATTATAGCTCGTGAATGTTGCCTTTGTTTCTCTTCATGTAATAGTGAGAAATGTGTAACCCATGCCAGTATTTCAGGAGAAGTCATTAAGAAGACATTGGCTAGGGCAAGATGGCTCACACCTGTAATCTTACACTTTGGGAGGCTAAGGCGAGAGGACTGTTTGAGGCCAGGAGTTCGAGAGACCAGCATGGGGAATATAGTGAGACCCCCCCATCTCTACAGAAAATTAAAAAATTAGCCATGCTTGGTGGCATGCACCCGGAAACCCAGCTACTCGGGAGGCAGGAAGATCCCTTGAGCCCCAAAGTTTGAGGCTGCAGTAAGCTATGATTGTGCCACTGTACTCCAGCCTGGGCACCAGAGTAAGACCCTGTCTCAGACACCTCCCTCCCCTGAAAAAAAAACCCAAGAACTAACAGTTTTTACATATAAAATTGAAGAGAAATGAAAATAAAAAGAAAAGGTGATTTGTCTGGCTGTAGAGAGGTGGGATGTTTTGTTAAGATATAAAAAACAGGCCGGGTGCGGTGGCTCACGCCTGTAATCCCAGCACTTTGGGAAGCTGAGGTGGGCAAATCTGGAGTCAGGAGTTCAGGCCAACATGGTGAAACCCCGTCTCTACTAAAAATACAAAAAATTAGCTGGGCGTGGTAGCGGGCACCTGTAATCCCAGCTACTTGGGAAGCCAAGGCAGGAGAATCTCTTGAACCCAGGAGGCAGAGGTTACAGTGAGCCGAGATTACGCCATTGTACTCTAGCCCGGGTGACAGTGCCAGATTCTGTCTCAAAAAAAAAAAAAAAAAATGAGATAAAAACATAAAGGGTATGGAGAATTATTCCTTTGTTGATAGTTTCTAGTCAAGTTATTATTGTTTTTTTATTTTTATTTTTTCCGAGACAGAGTCTTGCTCTGTTCACCAGGCTGGAGTGCAGTAGCGCCATCTCAGCTCACTGCAACCTCTGCCTCCTAGGTTCAAGAGATCTCTTGCCTAAGCCTCCCAGGTAGTTGGGATTAAGGCACCCGCCACCACGCCCAGCTAATTTTTGTATTTTTAGTAGAGGTGGGATTTCACCCTGTTGGCCAGGCTGGTCTCAAACTCCTGACCTCAGGTGATCCGCCCGCCTCAGCCTCTCAAAGTGCTGGGATTACAGGGGTGAACCACTGTGCCCAGCCTCTAGTCAAGTTGTTAATATGTGTTCTTAATATATGTAGGAGATTTTAAAACTATATTGCTTTGAATATTTAATAGTTGGTAACTGGCCTTATGAAGAGCTAATCTTTAAATGATTACTTTTAACAAAACAATGGAGTTGGGACCTTTTAATTAAAATGTTTAAAATGATCATTGAATAGTTAAAAACCATGTGATACCAAAGTTAAAAGATACAAAATCAAATTGACCCTGTCAGCCATTTGCTAAAGATACCTAGTTCTCCCTAGAAGCCAAACACTGTTTTGAATTTTTTCTGTTACTGTCATCTTTTAAAAATGTTTTTTCTTCCTAAAAAGGAATCCAGAACCCTGGCTGAAATTGCAAAAGCAGAGCTGGACGGCACCATTCTCAAGAGCAGACCTCTACGGATTCGCTTCGCTACACATGGAGCAGCCTTGACTGTCAAGAACCTTTCTCCAGTTGTTTCCAATGAGCTGCTAGAGCAAGCATTTTCTCAGTTTGGTCCAGTAGAGAAAGCTGTTGTGGTTGTGGATGATCGCGGTAGAGCTACAGGAAAAGGTTTTGTAGAGTTTGCAGCAAAACCTCCTGCACGAAAGGCTCTGGAAAGATGTGGTGATGGGGCATTCTTGCTAACAACGTAAGTTTTAAATATCTTGTCCTTCTTCTATCCAGTTACATATGGGCTTCTCTCTGTTTTGGAATTCTGTCTTTCATTGCAGTTCATACTAGCATATGGTAAGTAGGTGTTGAGTAAATATTCAGTGAATATAAATAAGAAATTTTCGTGTACTGGTAGGAGTCAAGAGTCATGTACTTTCTTCAAACTTCAGAGTTTAAATCTCTGCAGTGTTTTGTATTATTTCATTTAACTTAATGAACATATATACAAAGTAAAATCTATAAACTTAAGGTAATCCTTTCAGAAATTGTAATCAGCTTTATTGACACCTAATTTACATTAATAAAAAGCACCTCAGGGGTGCAGTGGCTCAAGCCCCAGACTTTCAGTGCGCGGATCACCTCAGGTCAGGAGTTCATGACCAGCCTGGCCAACATGGCATGAAACCCCATCTCTACTAAAAATACAAAAATTAGCCGGGCGTGGTGGTGCATGCCTGTAGTCCCAGCTACTGGGGAGGCTGAGGCTCAAGAATCACTTGACTCCGGGAGTCGGAGGTTGCAGTGAGCCGAGATCATGCCACTGCACTCCAGCCTGGGTGACAGACTCTGTCTCAAAAAAAAAAACAAAACCTCATCTCTTCTAAAAATACAAAAATTAATTGGGCGTGGTGACACATCCCTGTAATCCCACCTACTCAGGAGGCTGAGGCATGATAATTGCTTGAACCCTGGAGGCAGAGGTTGCAGTGATCCCAGATCATGCCACTCTACTCCAGCCTAGGTGACCGAGTGACCTTGTCTCAAAAAAAATAGTACCTTGGGCCAGGCGCGGTGGCTTATGCCTGTAATCCCAGCACTCTGGGAGGCCCAGGCGGGTGGATTGCCTGAGCTCAGGAGTTCGAGACCAGCCTGGGCAAATGGCGAAACCCTGTCTCTACTAAAAATATGAGGAATTAGCCGGGCTTGGTGCTGCGTGCCTGTAATCCCAGCTACTTGGGAGGGTGAGTCACCAGAATCGGTTGAACCCGGGGGGCGGAGGTTGCAGTGAGTCCAGATTGTGCCACTGCACTCCAGACTGGGCGACAGAGCGAGACTCTGCCTAAAAAACAAAACCAAAAACAACAACAACATAAAAACATCTTGGGGGCAGCGTGGTGGAGTGCACAGTAGTCTCAGCTATTTGCGCTGTAGTCCCAGCTACTCAGGAGGCTGAGATGGGAGGATCACTTGAGCTCAGGAGGTCAAAGTTGCAGTGAGACCCTGTCTCTATTTAAAAAGAAAATTAAAAATAATAATAAAATAATAAAAGACATTCTGTTGTAGAGCTCAATGAGGTGTTTTTTTTGTTTGTTTTTTTTTTTGGAGACGAGTCTCACTCTGTCGCCCAGGCTGCAGTGCAGTGGCGATCTTGACTCACTGTAACCTCTGCCTCCCAGGTTCAAGCAATTCTCCTTCCTCAGCCACTTGAGCAGCTGGGATTACAGGTGTGCACCACCATGCCTGGCTAATCTTTTGTATTTTTTTCTTTTGAGATGGAGTCTTGCTGGGTTCAAGTGATTCTCCTGCCTCAGCCTCCCGAGTAGTTGGGATTACAAGCGTGAACCACTGTGTCCGGCTAATTTTTATATTTTTAGTAGAGATGGGGTTTCACCATGTTGGGCAGGCTGGTCTGGAACTGCTGACCTCAGGTGATCCACCCACCTTGGCCTCCCAAAGTGCTGGGATTACATGCATGAGCCACCATGCCTGGCCCGTATTTTTGTAGAGACGGGGTTTCACCATGTTGGCCAGGCTGGTCTCGAACTCCTGACCTCAAGTAATCCACCTGCCTGAGCCTCCCAAAGTGCTGGGATTACAGGTGTGAGCCACTTCACCCGGCTGAGCTCAGTGAGTTTTAACAAACATATGTACTCATGTAACACACTGCCATAATAAAAATACAGAACACTTCCGTTACCCCACAGAAGTTCCCTTGTGCCCTTTTACAGTTATTCTGCACTCTACCTGCCTTAGATAGCTATTTCTTATTTATAAATAAGTTTTGTGTTTTCTAATATTAAGTGAAATCATATAGTATGTATTCTTCTGTGTCTGGCTTCTCTTGCTCAGCATATGTTTATGAGATTTCATTCATATCTTTGTGTGTATAGTATTTTGTTCCTTTTTATGGCTGAGTCATATTCCATGGTATGGACATAACTATGTTTTGTCCGTGACATATGGATGGATATTTGAGTTGCTTACAACTACTGGCCATTGTGAATAAAGCTACTATGAGTATTTGTTTACAAGGCTTCTTGTGAATATTAGGCTTTCATGTGGCTTAGGTAAATATTTAGGGGTAAATTGCTGTATGTTTAATTGTATAAGAAACTGCCAAGTTCTTTTCCGTGGTGGTTGTATCATTTTACATTCCTACCAGCAATGAGTGAGTGACTTCTAGTTACTCCACATTTTACCCACACTTGGTGTTTTTATTTTTTATTTTTATTATTTTTATTTTATTTTATTATTATTTTTTGAGACGGAGTTTTCGCTCTTGTTGCCCAGGCTGGAGTGCAATGGCGCGATCTCAGCTCGCTGCAACGTCTGCCTCCCGGGTTCAAGCGATTCTCCTGGCTCAGCCTCCCAGATAGCTGGGATTACAGGCATGCGCCACCATGCCCAGCTAATTTTGTGTTTTTAGTAAGACGGGGTTTTTTTTTGAGACGGAGTCTCGCTCTGTCCCCCAGGCCGGAGTGCAGTGGCGCGATCTCAGCTCACTTCAAGCTCCGCCTCCTGGGTTCACCATTCTCCTGCCTCAGCCTCCCGAGTAGCTGGGACTACAGGCTCATGCCGCCACGCCCGGCTAATTTTTTGTATTTTTAGTAGAGACGGGGTTTCACTGTGTTAGCCAGGATGGTCTTGATCTCCTGACCTCGTGATCCACCTGCCTCGGCCTCCCAAAGTGCTGGGATTACAGGCGTGAGCCACTGCGCCCGGCCGTTAGACGGGGTTTCTACGTGTTGGTGAGGGTGGTCTCTAACTCCAGACCTCAGTTTGGCCTCCCAAAGTGCTGAGATTACAGGCGTGAGCCACCGCGCCCAGCCTATTATTAATTTTTTGTTAATTTGCTTTTTGAGGCAGAGTCTTAATGTGTCACCCAGGCTGGAGTGCAGTGGTTCCATGTCGGCTGCTACAACCTCTGCCTCCCGAGTTCAAGTGATTATTGTGCCTCAGCCTCCTGAGTAGCTGGGACTACAGGCATGCACCACTATGCCTGGCTAATTTTTTTTTTTTTTTTGCAGTAGAGATGGGGTTTCGCCACGTTGGCTAGGCTGGTCAGGAACTCCTGGCCTCAAGTGATCCACCTGCTTCGGTTTCCCTAAGCGCTGGGATTACAGGTGTGAGCCACTGTGCCCAGTTGCCACTTGGTGTTTTTAGACTTAGATATTCTAGTTAGTTTAGCGCAATCTCATTGTGATTTAAATTTTATTTTCCTGATGACTAATGATGAGCATCTTTTCATGTGCTTTTTGGCCAATTATATATCTTTCCTGAAATATCTAAAATTTTTTGTCCATTTTTTTAGATGTCCCCCTTATTCATTTTTTTTTCTTTTCTTTTATTTGAGACAGAGTCTTGCTCTGTTGCCCAGCCTGGAGTGCAGTGGCGTGATCTCGGCTCACTGCAAGCTCTGCCTCCCGGGTTCACGCCATTCTCCTGCCTCAACCTCCTGAGTAGCTGAGACTACAGGCGCCAGCCACCATGTCCGGCTAATTTTTTTTGTATTTTTAGTAGAGACAGGGTTTCACATGTTAGCCAGGATGGTCTCGATATCCTGACCTTGTGATCCGCCCGCCTCAGCCTCCCAAAGTGCTGGGATTACAGGCGTGAGCCACCACGCCCGTCCCCTGCTTGTTATTTTTAATTGGGCAGATTGTCTTCTTACTGAATTATGAAATCTAGATAAGTCTGTATTATAAATCTTCCTGCCAGTCTGTGGCTTGTTTTTAAATTTTCTTTTATTTTTATTTATTTATTTTTTTGGGGGGGGACACGGTCTTGCTCTGTCACTCAGGCCAAAGTGCAGTGGAGTGATCTCGGCTCACTGCAGCCTTGACCTCCTGGGCTCAAATGATTCTCCTTCCTCAGCCTGCTGAGTAGCTAGGACTACAGGCATGTGCCACCATGCCTGGCTAATTTTTTGAATTTTTTTTTAAAGTAGATATGAGGTCTTGCTATGTCACCCAGGCTGGTCCCTAACTCCTGAGCTTAAACTATCCTCCTGTCTTGGCCTCCCAAAGTGCTGGAATTACAGGTGTGAGCCATTGCATCTGTAAAGTTTTTTAACTTTAACAGTGACCCTCAAAGAGCAGATGTTTTTATATTTTATGAAGTCCAAATTTCATCAATTTTTTTCTTGTATGGTTTGTTCTTTTTGTGTCCTTGTATGATCTTTGCTTAAGATTGCAGAGCTTTTCTCATGTTTTCTTGAGAAATTTTATAGCTTTTACATTTATACATTTTGAGTGTGACGTAAAAATCCTTGTTACCGTGCAGGTCTCCAGTTGTTCCAGCACCATTAATTGAAAAAATTTATGATTTCCCCTTTGTTACCAGGAAAAAAAAAATCTGTACTTTTTTGTTTCATTGACCAGTTTGTCAGTTCCAAAATTGTACTTGCTTAATTACCATATTTACCCTAAGCTTTGAAATCAGGTAGTATAATCATCCAATTTTATTTTTTCAAAAATTTTTTTGGCTATTTAGGTTCTTTGTATTTGCTTATTGTATGGTGCTGTCAGCTATTGGTTGGGATCATTCAGATGTTTTAGGGTTTAGGGAATTTAGGGTTTAGGGAATTGATCCCTAAAATTTAAAAAATTTTGTTTCCTGGCTCTATGGAACTTAGTTGCTGATTTGTAAGCATTTTAAAACTTACTTTCGACTATTAAGCATTGATACTAAAACTGAAATTCGTGCTATATCTGCTGTTTTACAACACAATCTTGTCAGAGATTGTGCTCTTATTCTCTTTCCTTAGAGAATGCTCTTTCTTCAGATTGTCATAGATCTTGCTTTTCCATTTTATTTTTATTTTTTAATTTTTTATTTTTTTTCGTATTTTTAATAGAGCTGGGGTTTCACCATGTTGGCTAGGCTGGTCTTGAACTCTTGGCCTTAGGTGATGTGCCTGCCTCAGCCTCCTAGAGTGCTGGGATTACAGACATGAGCCACTACTCCAGGCCTACTTTTTGTATTTTTTGTAGAGGTGGATTTTGTCATTTTGTCCAGGCTGGTCTTCAACTCCTGAGCTCAAGCAATCCACCTGTCTCAGCTGGCCTCAGCCTCCCAGAGTGCTGGGATTACAAGTGTGTGAGCCATTGTTCTTGTCCTTTTTTTTTTTCTTTTTTTTTCCTCGAGGCAATGTCTCAGTGTGCCTCCCAGGCTGGAGCGCAGTGGCATTATCACAGCTCGTTGCAGCCTCAACCTGCTAGGCTCAAGTCATCCTCCCACCTCAGGCTCCCAAGCTGCTGGGACTATAGGCATGCACCACCACACCCAGTTAACTAACGATTTCTTATTGATAGCTTTTTTTTGGAGATAAGGTCTTACTCTCACCCAGGCTGAATGCGATCATAGGTCACTATGCCCTCAGCCTCCTCAGGCTCACATGATCCTCCCACCTCAGCCTTCCGAGTAGCTGGGACCACAGGCATGTGCCACCAGACTTGGCTAATTTTTTTACTTTTTGTATTTTCGCCATGTGGCCCAGGCTGGCCTTGAACTCTTGGGCTCAAGTGATCTGCTCGTTTTGGCCTCCCAAAGTGCTAGGATTACAGACACAAGCCACCGCTCTTGGCTGGTAGGATTGATTGATTGATTGATTGATAGATTGATTTGAGACAGGGTCTCACTCTGTCACTCAGGGTGCAGTTCTGTGGCATGTTCTTGGCTCACTGCAACCTCTGCCTCTTGGATTCAAGCGATTCATGTGCCTCAGCTGCCTGAATAGCTGGGATTACAGATGTTCACCACCACACCTGGCTAATTTTTGTATTTTTAGTAGAGACGGGGTTTCACTATGTTGACCAGGCTGGTCTCGAACTCCTGACCATAAGTCATCCGCCTGCCTCAGCCTCCCAAAGTCCTGGGATTACAGGCGTGAGCCACTGCGCCCAGCTGCAGGCTTGCTTTTTAAAACTCTTTTCTGCACACTTTTCCTGTGCAGAAGAGTACAAAAATAATTTTGTACTTTTCCTATTTTATATTTATATTTGAAAGGGATTACTTTTTCCAACATTTTATTTGCTTTATCATATCTTTCCATTAAATGAGATTACTTTTAGACAAAAAAAATTCTTTAAGAAAAACATTATAATATTTCCATTGCCTGTTGAAAATAATGAGTTATCTAGGAAAACCTGCTGATAAGTATAAATTGCTACTTAACTTTTTAGGAAAGCAACATTAACCCTTGATATACTATCAGTGCTAATTGGATCCAGTTTTAGTTTTTTGCTTTCTTTTTTTTGTAAAGATTGATATTTCCTTATTTGTTATTTGTAGTTATTTGTAAAGACTGATACTTCCTTATTTCTTAGAGGTCTTCAAAAGAACAAAAAGAAAAATTAAAAAAATTAAAACAAGCTGAGTGTAGTAGTAGGCACCTGTAGTCCCAGCTACTCTGAAGGCTGAGGTTTGCTTGAGCCCGGGAGTTCGAGACTAGCCTGAGCAACGTCGTGAGACCCGTCTCTCAAAAAAAAAAAAAAAAAAATTAGATCCCTTTTCTTAAAATTACCACATGGATCTATTGTGTCATTTTGTAAATCTAAGATATCATTATCAGATCCTAGTGATTTTATTTTTTCTCCATCATAAAATATTTTATTAATATCGTCATCCTGGTAATAATAATAATAATAATAATTATTATTATTATTATTATTTTTGAGATGGGCTCTCATTCTGTCACCCAGGGTGGAGTGCATGGCATGATCTTGGCTCACTGCAACCTCTGCCTTCTGGGTTCAAGTGATTCCTGTGCCTCAACCTCCTGAGTAGCTGTGATTACAGGTGCGCACCACCACACCCAGCTAACTTTTGAATTTTTACTGGAGACAGGGTTTCACCATGTTTGTCGTGGCTGCATCCTGATAATTATTTTATCATTACTATTCAACTATTCTCAACCATGCTTATAAATATGCAACTGAGCTAAAATGAAAAACCATCACAAAATGGTACATGTCTATAAGGGTGATTCAGTGCAGAAATAAATTGTCATCATCATTACACATTCTTCGTTTTAAAAATTATGTGTAGCTTGGGCAACATGGCAAAACCCTATCTCTACAAAAGAAAAATAAAAAAATTAGCTAAGCATGGTGGTGCACACTTGTAGTCCCAGGTACGTGGGAGGCTGAGGTGGGAGGATCACTTGAGCCTTGTAGGTCGAGGCTGCAATGAGCAGTGATCATGCCACTGCATGGCAGCCTGGGCAATAGAACAAGACCCTGTCTCAAAAAAAAGAAATTACATGTGCAAAATATTGCATTATCTTTTAAGCCACCTTTTTTTTTTTTTTTTTTTAAGGCAAGTTCTGCTCTTACCCAGGTTGGAGTGCAGTGGCACGATCATAGCTCATTGTAACCTGGAATTCCTGGCCTCAAATGATCCTCCCACTTCAGTCTGCCAGAGTGCTGGGATTACAGGCAAAAGCCACCTTGCCCAGCCCTTAAGTCACCATGTTTTTTTTAGTACTGTATATTTTACCTTGTTTCCACAGTTCTAAGAAAAGATCAGCCACAATGAGGAAAGATCAGTCACAAATACGTAGTTGATGTTATATATAATTACAGAAAACATGAAAACCCCAGATGTATACCAGTTGGTATGGTTAAAAAAATTATTGTGCATGCATGCAGTGCGTAAAATGGTGCCATTTTACATTGAGTACATTGGATATCTGAAAAAAAGCATGTATAGGTAATTCATTTTATGTAAACTTATGCATATATCCAACAGAAAGGCAAGTCTTAAGTGGTTTTCACAAAAATGTGATCAGAGCTCCTCTCCATATGTTAGGATTTCAGGGGCCTTGTTTCTTCTGCAATACTTGCTATTTAAGTTTTTTCACAATGAAACATTTTTCAAGTTTTTTTGTAAATAAATTAACACTTTAAATTTTAGTATTTTCAAGCCTGAAAGAACACTGAAATACTTTTTCTCTCTCTTACCCCCTGAAAAAAACCTTCAGTTTCTTTTTTTCCGAGACAGGGTTTCAGTCTGCTGCCCAGGCTGGAGTGCAGTGGTGTGATCTCTGCTCACTGCAACTTCCACCTCCTGGATTCAAGCAATTCTCGTTCCTCAGTCTCCTGAGTAGTTGGGACCACAGCCGCTGCCCGGCCACCATGCCCGGCCAATTTTTTGTATTAGTAGAGATGGGGTTTTACCATGTTGGCCAGGCTGGTCTCAAACTCCTAACTTCAGGTGATACACTTGCCTTGGCCTCCCAAGGCGTTGAGATTACCAACGTGAGCCACCACGCCTGGCCGAGTTCACTTTGATTTAATGAACTCTCTTTACCAAGAACTGTGCTAAGTGCCCTACCTTTCTTCTTTCGTTATCATAACAACCCTATGATGCACTGATATCCCATTTTACCGATGAGAAAACTTCAGAGAAAACTTCAGCTAGCGCAGGAACCTCCTAGCCAAAGGCTATGCAGCTCATAACCTGCTGTAAACCCCAGGGCCTCAGTCCCGAAGCCTCTCTCTCTCAGTCCTTCAAGTTTATAACCAAACTAATGATTGACTTGGTGGTAAAATGGGGAGAAAAACAAAAACCCAAGCAGTAACTTCAGATTTAACATTATGGTTGAACACTTTGATTTGTTTCTTTTTGATCTGTTTTGTACTTATTATATACTTATATTTGCAAAAAGAGTAACCTGGACAGACGTAGTCACTCATGCCTATAATCCCAGCACTTTGGGAGGCTGAAGCGAGAGGATATCTTGAGCCCAGGAGGTTGAGGCTGCAGTGAGCTGTGATCGCCCCACTGCACTCCAGCCTAGACAACAGAGTGAGACACTGTCTCAAGAAAAAAGAATAAATGTAGTTATTATACCTATGGTAAACAGAATTTAAGTTGAGTTTTTTTTTTTTTGGAAACAGTTTTGCTCTTGTTGCCTAGGCTAGAGTGCAATGCCGCGGTCTCAGCTCACTGCAACCTCTGCTTCCTGGGTTCAAGTGATTATCCTGCCTCAGCCTCCCAAGTAGCTGGGACTACAGGCATGTACCACCATACCCAGCTAATTTTTTGTATTTAGTAGAGACGGGGTTTCACCATGTTGGTCAGGCTGGTCTCAAACTCCTGAGTGATCCACCTGCCTTGGCCTCCCAAAGTGCTGGGATTACAGCTGTGAGCCACCGTGCCCGGCCTTAGGTTGAGTTTAACAAATTTTGGTTATACCTAAAGATGAAAGTGAAATAAACAAGATGAGTCAGAAAATGGACAAAGGGAGCTTCTATAGGGAGTGGTGTATGTACAATGAAACCATAGATAGAAACACATTTTAGCATGTGTTCCAATAAATAAAAATAAGACACAGTCCCTTAAGTAATTCCCTTGTACACAATACGTACCCATGTTCCTTGGTCTTTTTATGTTGTGTAATTAGATGAATGTGGTTGTGATTGATCTTTTTTTCTGAGACGGAGTCTCGTTGTATCATCCTGGCTGGAGTGCAATGGCACGATCTCGGCTCACTGCAACCTCTGCCTCCCAGGTTCCAGCGATTCTACTGCCTCAGCCTCCCGAGTAGCTGGGACTACAGGCGTGTGCCACCACGCCTGGCTAATTTTTGTTATTTTTTTTAGTAGAGATGGCATTTCACTATATTGGCCAGACTGGTCTCAAACTCCTGACCTCGTGATCCACGCACCTCGGCCTCCCAAAGTGCTGGGGTTACAGGCGTGAGCCACCACGCCCAGCCTGATTGATCTTTGCTCACTGGTTTATGTTTCTTCAGAAGTGGAATTGTAGGAGCAAGATGATATATAGAGTGGTAGAGGGAGACTTTATAAACTTGTTTGTATCGATTAAGTTCCCTCTTAGAAATCTGTACTTCTCCTCTCCCGCACTGTGTAAGAGTTGTCTAGTGGTCCAAACTTACATGTGAAAAGTTTACAATTTGTTAAAATCTCTAACATATTTGAGAGTACAGAGATGTCAGAGTTTTCCCTTAATTCTGATTACGGTTTCCCTTGGCTTCATATACTTTTGTCATTTCTGATGAATGACATATCATCTGCTTAGTTCATTTTTCCCTCTTAATTCTGTTTCTGAAGTTTCTCTGAAGGGGGATGGTCTTGTGTTACTGGAGGGGTTTGCTTGTTTCTTTGTTGGCCTCTGCTCAGGTGCACCTTTTATCTGATTCTGTTACTGTTCTATGTTTGTGGCCCTGCCATAGCTTCCAGCGGATGAATGGTCCATAAAATGCATCATCTTCATTTTGGCCCTGGGCCTTTTTGGGTACTTTTAGAAGTACCACATCTTAAGTCTCTTTACCTTTGGGTTCCTATTCAGTTTATCTGAGGTTTCTATAATCTCATTCCACCACTCCATGATATTCCATACCTGCTTTAACTGTTTCCTTAAAATGTCTTCACTAACTCAGTAATAATTTTGAAAAGTTATTTTGTATCTTTTCTTACATTTAGGATCTAAAGTCTGTGTTAATCTCTGGTATTATGTGTAAGAGAAGCTTTTGGAGTCCAAAAACCCTTCATCTCTCTAGCTTAGTTTTTTCTCTCTGAAGCATCACTGTTTTGAAGGTAGTATAAATAGATTTTAATGCCCCTTGCATGGTGAAGAGCCGATCTCAAAGGAAATTTTAATATCAGTGTGCCATCCATTCTGCTTATTCCTCTTCCCCTCCATGAACTCTCCTTTTCTCCTATTTTACTGAAGAAAACAGTAAAGAAGGAGGGCCTCTAGTCATATCTTTCATTACCCACTCTTGTCATTTCCTTATCCCAGCTTTTCTCCTTGAATGTCTGGTGTCTTCTGCCTTCCCTTTTTCCCTTTTTGTCTGGCTAACATCTTTTATTTTTATTTTTATTTAGAGATGACATCTTGCCTTATTGCCCAGGTTAGAGTGCAGTGGCTCTATCATAGCTCACTGCAGCCTCAAATTCCTGGGCTCAAGTGATCTTCCCACCTCAGCCTCCTGAGTAGTGTATGCTACCTGGCTAATTTTAAATTTTTTTTTTTTTTAATTTGAGACGGAGTTTCACTCTGTCGCCTGGGCTGGAGTGCAGTGGCGTGATCTTGGCTCACTGCAACCTCCGTCTCCCGGATTCAAGCGATTCTCCTGCCTCAGCCTCCTAAGTAGCTGGGATTACAGGCGTGCACCACCACGCCCGGCTAATTTTTTGTATTTTTAGTAGAGACGAGGTTTCACCATGTTGGTCAGGCTGGTCTCAAACTCCTGATCTTGTGATCCACCCGCCTCAGCCTACCAAAGTGCTGGGATTACAGGCGTGAGCCACTGTGCCCGGCTAATTTTAAAATTTTTTATAGAGACAGGATCTCGTCATCTTTCCCAGGCTGATCTTGAATTTCTGGGCTCAAGCCATCTTCCCCGCCTCTGCTTCCCAAAGCTCTAGAATTACAGGTTTGAGCCACTTCGCCGAAATGTTTTAGGTCGGATTTTCAGCTTTAACTTTTTTTTTTTTTTTGGTGACAGAGTCTCACTCTGTCGCCCAGGCTGGAGTACAGTGGTGCGATCGCCACTCACTGCAACCTCTGCCTCCTGAGTTCAGGCGATTCTCATACCTCAGCCTCCTGAGTAGCTGGGACTACAGGCGTGTGCCACCACGCCTGGCTAAATTTTGTAGTTTTAGTAGAAACGGGGTTTCACCACGTTGGCCATGTTGGTCTCAAACTCTTGACCTGAGGTAGTCCGCCTGCCTTGGCCTTCCAAAGTGCTGGGATTACAGGTGTGAGCCACTGTTCCTGCTGGCCAACATTTTTAAGAACTTTCTGAACAATACTGATAGATACAGGGAAACTGGGTGGTGGGTACAGATGGGTGGGTTGAGGTGGTGGGACATGTTGATGATAAAGATATATATTTAGAAAATGTCTCACTTGAGAAAAATGTCTCAGAAGTATCATTTGTACTCATAAAAATCAATCAATAGCTGAAGCAGTGGCTGTGATGATGACCACACATATAAAACATGGGTTAGGTACAAATTCGTTTTCATTATACTTTCTAAATGTTAACTATAACCGTTATGCTGGTTCATAATTGTTGCTTTATTTACTCATCTTTTTGTGGCTTTTGACATTCACCTCTCTCTGACTCAGTAAATGTTTATTGACTGATTTTTTTTTTTTTTTGTGATGGAGTCTTGCTGTGTTGCCCAGGCTGGAGTGCAGTGATGCGATCTTGACTCACTTCAACCTCTGCCTCTGGGGTTCAAGCAGTTCTCCTGCCTCAGCGTCCTCAGTAGCTGGGATTACAGGCACACACCACAATGCCCGGCTAATTTTTTGTATTTTTACTAGAGATGGAATTTCACCATGTTGGCCTGGATGGTCTTGAACTCCTGACCTCAAATGATGTGCCCTCCTTGGCCTCCCAAAGTACTGGGATTACAGGCGTGAGCCACTGCTTCGGCTGTTGACTGATTTTTATGAGTACAAATGATACTTCTGAGACATTTTTCTCAAGTGAGACATTTTCTAAGTATATATCTTTATTATTATAAAACATTTCTTTTAAGACGGTATTAATTCTTGGCACTGTGTTAATTTTTATGAATGCTTTTATACCTATCCAGGACCCCTCGTCCAGTCATTGTGGAACCCATGGAGCAGTTTGATGATGAAGATGGCTTGCCAGAGAAGCTGATGCAGAAAACTCAACAATATCATAAGTAAGATTTTATTAATAGATAATTTGTGTCTGTACTATTAAGGGTGTTCATTACATTTGTTTTCAAATATTGGATTATGAGGTGTTCTGTTTATTTATATAATCTGGGTAATAGAGTGGTCTAGTCTACATGGAATGCTAGTTTTCTTTTCTTTCTTTCTTTTTGTTTTTTTTGAGATAGTATCTTGCTCTGTCGCCCAGGCTGGAGTGCAGTGGTGTGATCTTGGCTCCCTGTAATCTCTACCTCCCACGTTCAAGTGATTCTCGTGCCTCAGACTCCTGAGTAGCTGGGATTACAGGCACGCACCACCATGCCCAGCTAATAGTTTTCTTTTTTTATATGGGTAAAACATACTAATTTTTTTTAGAAATGTCTACTTTTATAACTGGGGCAGGGAGGGTACTAGGAGGACACTGTCAATAATATTCATGCCAGAAAAACGATGAAATCTAGATAACATGAAAATACTTTTTTTTTTTTTGTTTTTGAGATGGAGTCTTACTCCTGTAGCACAGGCTGGAGTGCAGTGGCGTGAACTCGGCTCACTGCAACCTCCACCTCCCAGGTTCAAGCAATTCTCCTTCCTCAGCCTCCCGAGTAGCTGGGATTACAGGTGTGCGCCACCACGCCCGACTAATTTTTTTGTGTTTTCAGTAGAGATGGGGTTTCGCCATGTTGGCCAGGCTGGTCTCAAACTCCTGATCTCAGGTGATCTACCCGCCTAGGCCTCCCAAAGTGCTAGGATTACAGGTGTGAGCCACCACGCCCAGCTGGAAATACTTCTTAAGTTTTATTTTGTGCTTCAAGTCTATTGTAGGTTAAAAGGAGATTTTTGGTGTGCCAGGGTAGAGCAGGGTATTCCTAGTTAAATAACCTGGCACAGCGGAAAAACTCTTAGAGGTTGCAAAAAATAGCTCATTTTCAAAATGTATGTTTATTTTCCCTTTTCACTTAGAATAATACAAGTATATTTACATAAATTGCCTATATGAGTGCACTTTTTTTTTTTTGAGACGGAGTCTCACTCTGTTGCCCAGGCTGGAGTGCAGTGGCACGATCTCGGCTCACTGCAAGCTCCATCTCCCGGGTTCACACCATTCTCCTGCCTCAGCCTCCCGAGTAGCTGGGACCACAGGCGCCCACCACCATGCCTGGCTAGTTTTTTGTATTTTAGTAGAGACGGGGTTTCACCATGTTAGCCAGGATGGTCTCGATCTCCTGACCTCGTGATCCACCCACCTCGGCCTCCCAAAGTGCTGGGATTACAGGCGTGAGCCACCGCACCCAGCCGAGTGCATTTTTTTTTTAAGTTTATAAAGCTTTATTAAACATTTCAAACAGCTGTGCAACGAACACATCAAATAAAAGTCCTAGAATAGCAGTCCAGATGTTTCACAAGTATGGCCTCACAGTCCCATTCCCTAGATGGACTGCCTCCAGTTCTGTTCTCTGCCTGTCCCACCTCCCTTTCCTCTCCAATTACTTTTGCAGAGCTTATTATATTTTTAAAAACCAGTCACTTACTTATTTATTTTTTTGCAGGGGAGGAATGAAGGGTTTTATTGAAAATGAAAGTACACTCTGCAGTGTGGGCCTGAGCATAGGGGCTCAAAGGCCCTGTTACAGAGTTTTTGTGAGTTTAAATACCCTCTACTTGGGGTATGCCTTATGTAAATGAAGAGGATGAGGTAAAGTTACAAGTCATTTACTCGGTGTATGTCCTATGGAGAGGATATTTCCTGTTATAGCTGAATTGTGAATTGGTCTTCTGTTCCCTGCTTCCAGACTGTATTTTCCTGCCTCATCTCTCCACTTAGAGATGTGATCCTCATAAATCTTTATGGGAGGCAGAGGGACCGATGGTCTTTTTTTCTGTAACTGCTTCATGCTGACTTGGGGCATAGTCTCTACCTATTGGGGATCACGGAACTCTCGCCCTGCTCTATCTAATGGAGGCAGGGTAGTTTCTTGATGGCTAGGGGTGGTGTCTTTGCCTGGAACTGGCTGGAGCCTTTGTTGCATGGTCATCTGAAGCTTGATGGTCTGTCAAGGGTTCCAGTGGGTGCACAGTTCCAAAAGTGTGGAGGGACCCTTCTCAGTTGTGAGACCATGAACCCAAAGTTCAAGGTCCCAAAGCTTTGTTGTGGTGTGGATGGCAAGGACAGTCTTTCTTTCTTTTTTTTTTTTTTTTTTGAGACGGAGTCTCACTCCATTGCCCAGGCTGGAGTGCAGTGGCACGATCTCAGCTCACTGCAACCCCCGCCTCCCAGGTTCAAGCAATTCGCCTGCCTCAGCATCCCAAGTAGCTGGGACTGTAGGCACGTGCCACCATGCCCGGCTAATTTTTTTGTATTTTTAGTAGAGACGGGGTTTCACCGTGTTAGCCAGGATGGTCTCGATTTCCTGACCTTGTGATCCGCCTGCCTTGGCCTCCCAGAGTGCTGGGATTACAGGCGTGAGCCACCATGCCCGGCGACTGACTGTCTTTGACGTTTCCAGAAGATTCAAACCATAAAACGCTTTCTTAGGGCCGGGCACAGTGGCTTACACGTGTAATCCTAGCACTTTGGGAGGCCGAGGCGGGCAGATCACGAGGTCAGGAGTTTGAGACCAGCCTAACATGGTGAAACCCCCGTCTCTACTAAAATTACAAAAATCAGCCGGGTGTGGTGGCACGCATCTGTAATTCTAGCTACTCAGGAGGCTGAGGCGGGAGAATTGCTTGAACCCAGGAGGCGGAGGTTGTGGTGAGCCAAGATCGCGCCACCACACTCCAGCCTGGATGACAGTGAGACTCCGTCTCAAAAAAAAAAAGGTTTTCTTTACCCTTTTGCCAGCATGCCAGGCTTCTGAGTTCTCGCTCCCTGAGTGGCCGTAGTGAACCTGCTTGACTCTTCCTCCTGGCTGGCTCACCAAAATATGTTAACGGTGGAGAGTATCCAAGTTCTTGGCGTCTTGAACAAAGAATTGGACAAAATGCTCAAAGCAAGGAAGGAGCGAAGGGTTTTATTGAAAATGAAAGTACCACTCCACAGTCTGGGAGTGGGCCTGAGCATAGGGGCTCAAAGGCCTACTTATTTATTTTTTGAGACAGTCTCACTTTGTCATCCAGGCTGGAGTGCAGTGGTGCAGTCTCAGCTCACTGCAACCTCCACCTCCCGAGTTCAAGTGATTCTTGTCCCTCACCCTCCCTGAGTAGCTGGGATTACAGGCGTGCACCACCACACCCAGCTAATTTTTGTATTTTTAGTAGAGACGGGGTTTTACCATAATGGCCAGGCTGGACTCGAACTCCTGACCTTGGGTGATCCACCCACCTTGGCCTCCCAAGGTGCTGGGATTACAGATGTGAGCCACTGCGCCCGGCCCACTTGTTTATTAGATAAATAAAACTTGGAGTGCCTTTGTGTTAGCCACTGTTCTAGGTGCTAGCAGTGTAGTCAAGCAGGTAGTTGGATTTATAACTAGGATTTAGAGCAACTGTCCTGGCTGGATTTATGAACATGATATTTTAAAGTCAAAGGACCAAACCTTGAACCTTGGAGTTCTTCAGTGTGTAGAGATTGGGAAGATCAGAAGGAATCAATAACGACTGAGAAGGGAGCATTCATTCATTGGAATAGGGGGAAGAACCATCAGACTGTGTCCTGGAAGCAAGGGAGGAGAGTATTTCAGGGAGGAAGCATTAGCATTAGCGTTGATTATAATTCATATCTATTGTTTTTTTTTTTTTTGAGATGGAGTTTCTCTCTTATTGCCTAGGCTGGAGTGCAGTGGCGCGATCTTGGCTCACCACAACCTCCGCCTCCCAGGTTCAAGTGATTCTCCTGCCTCAGCCTCCCAAGTAGCTGAGACTACAGGCGCACATAACCATGCTCAGCTAATTGTTGTATTTTTAGTAGAGATGGAGTTTCACTATGTTGGCCAGGTTGGTCTCGAACTCCCGACCTTGTGATCTGCCTGCGTCAGCCTCCCAAAGTGCTGGGATTACAGGCGTGAGCCACCATGCCCAGCCTAATTAATATCTATTCTTATTTCCTTTGCAATGCTATTTCTCTTTCTTTTCTTTTCTTTTCTTTTTTTTTTTGAGACAGGGTCTGGCCCTGTTGCCCAGACTGCAGTGCAATGGCATGGTCATGGCTCACTGCAGCCTCTACCTCCTGGTCTCAAGTGATCCTTCCACCTCAGCACCCCCCAAGTAGCTGGGACTACAGATGTGGGCCACCATGCCCGTCTCATTTTTTAATTATTTTGTAAAGACAGAGTTTTGTCATGTTGCTCAGCGTGGTCTCGAACTCCTGGGCTCAAGCGATCTGCCTGCATTGGCCTCTCAAAGTGTTGGGTTTACAGGTGTGAGGCACTGCACCTGGCCACAATGCCATTTTTTTTAAAGGGTTCCTGTGATTTCCTCTTCACTTAACTTTTTCCTTGTTATAGGTCACCATTACAAATTTGAAATAAAGCATACGTTTGGATTTGGGAGTTAGAGAACTAGAAGTACAAGGTTGTTAACAAGAATAGACTTTATAGGCAATATTTGTTTATATAGTTAATGATATCAGCAAAACTTAAGAGCTAGTTATGGCTGGGCGTGGTGGCTCACGCCTGTAATCCCAGCACTTTGGGAGGCCGAGGTGGGTGGATCACCTGAGGTCAGGAGTTCGAGACCAGCCTGGCCAACATGGTGAAACCCTGTCTCTACTAAAAATACAAAAATTAGCCAGACGTGGTGGCGTGCACCTGTAATCCCAGCTATTCGGGAGGCTGAGGCAGGAGAATCGCTTGAATCCGGGAGGTGGAGTGGAGATTGTGCCACTGCACTCCAGCCTGGGTGACAGAGCGAGACTGTCTCAAAAAAAAAAAAAAAAAGGAGTTAGTTATATTCCCACTTTTATTACTAAAGATTTAGATTTATTCACAGAAGAAAATGCTCACAAGGCTGGGCGCAGTGCCTCACACCTGTAATCCCTGCACTTTGGGAGGCCAAAGTGGGTGGATCACCTGAGATCAGGAGTTGGAGACCAGCCTGGCCAACATGGTGAAACCCCGTCTCTACTAAAACTACAAAAAATTAGCTGGGTGTGGTGGCAGGAGCCTGTAATCCCAGCTATTTGGGAGGCTGAGGCAGGAGAATCGCTTGAACCCAGGAGGCGGAGGTTGCAGTGAGCCAAGATGGCGCCATTGCATTCCAGCCTGGGCTACAAGAATGAAACTGTTTCAGGAAAAAAAAAAGAAAGAAAGAAAAAGAAAATGCTCACAAAGCAAAAAAGCCAAAATTCAAATTCACTTGCACCTTCAAAAAATCATGTTATTTCAGTGGTTTTTTTTTCCTTTGAAAGAAAATAAATAATTTAAAAATATAGTCAGTCTTTGACTTTGGAACTGCTGACCAGTAAACAATTCTTTTAGAAAAATTAGTGGTTGGTAGATTCTCCCAATCTTTCCCACTTTCCAGTCAGTGCTTTAAAAAGAAAAAAATCCAAGTAGGGTTTTCAGATATAGAGTCCCTAGGATCATGGCTGTCTTTGATTTTTCTTCACATGCTTCTGAATATCTTTCCCTCTCTTGTTATTACATCTTTCCCTCTGTGACAGCCTTCTTCTCTCCTAGATTTGTCATACCCACCCCTCCTCACCTCCCTACCCCAAAATAAAAGTTAAAATTTACATTTATAGCAAGGTATCTATGCTTTTATTCATGGAGTGGGAATTGTTTTCCCATGAGTACTTTTAAATACAGGCTGTTATAGGCGAGACTAATTGAAGATATTTATGCAGAAATTTCTTGAAAGTTGGCTGGGTGTGGTGGCTCCCACCTGTAATCCCAGCACTTTGGGAGGCAGAAGCATTGCTTCCAGGAGTTTGAGACCAGCCTGGGCAACAAACGTAGTGGTACCTCATCTCTACAAAAAATACAAAAATTAGCTGGTCATGGTGGCATGCCTCTGTAGTTCTAGGTGCTCTGTAGCCTCAGGTGGGAGGACTGCTTGAGCCTGGGAGGTTGATTTGGCAAGTGAGCCTTTTTTTTTTTTTTTTTTTTGAGATGGAGTCTTGCTCTTGTTGCCCAGGCTGGAGTGCAGTGGCACAATCTCGGCTCACTGTAACCTCCGTCTCCCGAGTTCAAGCGATTCTCCTGCCTTAGCCTCCTGAGTAGCTGGGATCGCAGGCACCCGCCACCACGCCTGGCTGATTTTTGTAATTTTAGTAGAGAGGGGCGGTTTCGCCATGTTGGCCAGGCTGGTCTTGAACTCCTGGTGTTGTGATCCGCCTGTCTCAGCCTCCCAAAGGGCTGGGATTACAAGTGTGACCTACCGTGCCCAGTCTCGGCAGTGAGTCTTAATTGTGCCACTACACTCCTGTGAAACTGAGCAAGACCCTATCTCAGAAAAACCCAAAGCAACACCTCCAACAACAAAAATTCTTAAAAGTGAAAAGAAAGGCTGGGCACGGTGGCTCACGCCTGTAATCCCAGAACTTTGGGAGACCGAGATGGGTGGATCACAGGGTCAGGAGTTCAAGACCAGCCTGGCCAACATAGTGAAACCCCGTCTCTACTAAAAATTACAAAAAATAAGCCAAGCATGGTGGCGGACGCCTGTAATCCGAGCTACTCGGGAAGCTGAGGCGGGAGAATGGTGCGAACCCGGGAGGCGAAGGTTGCAGTGAGCTGAGATTATACCATTGCACTCCAGCCTGGGCAATACTGTGAGACTGTGTCTCAAAAATAAATAAATAAATAAATAAAAAAGTGAAAAAAAAATTGACTGGGGACCAGGTGTGGTGTCTTGTACCTGTAATTTTGCACTTTTGGAGGCTGAGGAATGAGTATTACTTGAGGCCAGGAGTTTGAGATCAGTCATATTTTTTATATGTCTCTAAAATAAATATTTACATATATATGTATATATGAAAAAAATGAAGACTTTCAAATATATTCATAGCCCTTTATTTGGTAATTCGTTAATTTATTCAAGAAATGTATATTAAATGTATATACTGCACTCTAGGTACTTGAGGTGGTGGTACAGCATTTAACAGCCACATTTGATGTCGTCAATTGAGTTTAAAGTCTATCAAGAGAAAGAGGTAATAAATAATTAACTACAATGGTAGTAAGTTAGGCCTTGATTTTTGGGGCCTACCCAATTAATTGGCACATAACGCTCAGTAAAATCTAGCTGGTTTTACTAGAAAAACATCTGATCCAGACAGTTAATTCATATTCATGTGTTCCAGACTTTCCTTTGTAAAATATTTCTTTTTTTTGGGACGGAGTCTCGCTCTGTCACCCAGGCAGGAGTGCAGTGGCAGGATCTCAGCTCACTATAAGCTCTGCCTCCTGGGTTCATGCCATTCTCCTGCCTCAGCCTCCCGAGTAGCTGGGACTACAGGTGCCTGCCACCACGCCCGGCTAATTTTTTTGTATTTTTAGTAGAGACGGGATTTCACAACGTTAGCCAGGATGGTCTTGATATCCTGACCTCGTGATCTGCCCGCCTCGGCCTCCCGAAGCGCTGGGATTACAGGCATGAGCCACTGCGCCCGGCCTGTAAAGTATTTTGTTGACTGAAAACCAGAAAATGAAACCTCCAAAAGCAGAAATTTTGCAGGTAATAATTAGGAGAATGCAGGTTGTGGCATCAGATTGTGTAAGTTTGAATTATTGTTCCATTATTAGTTGAACATTCTTGGGCAGTTCTTAAACTCAGGCCTGTAATCACAATATTGTCACGAGGTAATTCATGTAGACACGGTGTCTCACACGGTGTCTTGGACATTGTAAGTGCTTGTTGTTCTCATTTGTTGTTGTTTTACCTTTTAAGCATACATTTCTGTATGTTTTAATGTTAATTTAGGGAAAGAGAACAACCACCACGTTTTGCTCAACCTGGGACATTTGAATTTGAGTATGCATCTCGATGGAAGGCTCTTGATGAAATGGAAAAGCAGCAGCGTGAGCAGGTTGATAGAAACATCAGAGAAGCCAAAGAGAAACTGGAGGCAGAAATGGAAGCAGCTAGGCATGAACACCAATTAATGCTAATGAGGCAAGGTAAATATGGATTTTCATGTACATGTGGTATGATTTTTTTTTTCCCTTAAGTGTGTGTACCATTCATGTACTACTGTGTAAAGTGCCATTTAGGAGTTTAGAGGTAAAGTTGGAACTCAACATATTAGGTGTGAAAATCTCCCTTTTCCCAGATAACTTCCCTTAAAAAAAAGAACACAACTTACTAAAAGTTAGTTTTACTTGACGGGCGCGGTGGCTCACGCCTGTAATCCCAGCACTTTGGGGGGCCAAGGCAGATGGATCACCTGAGGTCGGGAGTTCGAGACCTGCCTGACCAACCTGGAGAAACCCCATCTCTACTAAAAATACAAAATTAGCCAGCCGTGGTGGTGCGCACCTGTAATCCCAGCTAGTTGGGAGGCTGAGGCAGGAGAATTGCTTGAACCCGGGAGGTAGAGGTTGCTGTGAGCTGAGATCGCATCATTGTGCTCCAGCCTGGGCAACAAGAGCAAAACTGTCTCAAAAAAAAAATTAAAAAGTTAGTTTTACTTATGCAAGCAGTAGTGTTGGAGGTAATTTGCGGGTATTAAATTGTGCCAGTATCAAATACATGATTCTCTTGGCAAACAGAAACATAGCAGGCAAATTTTGGTAGGTAGACATGGCACATACAGGATTTTTTGTTTGATGAGAAGAATTTGGACAAATGCTGGCTATTTAAGATTATTATTACATGTTTGAAAGAGTACAGATGGATAATCTGGTAGAGATGAAAAAGATTCATTTGTACACATTGATATGGGGATTTAGGAAAAGTTAGTAATTGGTAAGTGTATATATATATATATATTTTTGTTTGTTTGTTTTTTGTTTTTTTTGAGATGGAGTCTTGCTCTGTTGCCCAGGCTGGAGTGCAGTGGCGCCATATTGTCTCCCTGCAGCCTCCACCACCTGGGTTCAAGCAATTCTCCTGCCTCAGCCTCCCGAGTAGCTGGGATTACAGGCACACACCACAATGTCCGGCTAGTTTTTTTGTATTTACCTTCTCTTGGCTGTCCCCAGAGATCAAGGTACCACAGCTGCCTGTCTGAATTTCTGCAGTAGCATTCCTGCTGAACGTTTCTGCCATCTAATCTTGGCTTTCTTTAAACCGTTCTGTGTACTAGATTCAGTATTTTTCTTAGCAGGTGAAATTTTGATCATTCTTCTCTAAATCCTTTTGGGTAAATTCTCACTTGCTTTAGAATGAAGTGTAGGTTTTTTTGTTATGTGTGTTCTAGTATTTCGTACATCACTATTCAGTAAATGTTTATTGAGCACTTATGATGAAGTCATTGAGTAACTGTGCTGATGCCACATACGTTAAAACAAAATCGAGCCCAGCAAACCATAGAAACTAGTTAGGTGTTTTGGTTTAATTTGGACCCTAAGCTTGGTAGTTCTATAAGTTCACTTTTCTAACAAAATTGAATTCATTTATATCTTAGAGTAGATTTAAAGGTAAACTGTCATTAGCCAGATGTGGTGGCGGGCGCCTGTAATCCCAGCTACTTGGGAGGCAGGGAATTACTTGAACCCAGGAGGTGGAGGTTGCGGTAAGCCGAGATCACGCCACTGCACTCCAGCCTGGGCGACAGACAGAGCGAGACTCCATTTCAAAAAAAAAAAAAAAGATAAACTGTCTTTTATTTTGTGGAAAATGTGCAAGTTGTTATTTGAGATAAAGGTACTGAATCATTCATTAGCTGTTAGATCTGGAAGAGAGATTTTTTTTTTTTTTTTTGAGACAGAATCTCACTCTGTCGCCCAGCCTGGAGTGCAGTGGCATGATCTCGGCACACTGCAACTTCCGCCTCCCATGTTGAGGCAATTCTCGTGCCTCACCCTCCCTAGTACACCCTCCCTGGGACTACAGGTGCGTGCTACCACGCCCAGCTAATTTTTTTGCTTTTTTAAAATTTGAGATGGAGTCTCACTGTTGTCGCCCAGGCTGGAGTGCATTGGTGTGATCTTAGCTCACTGCAACCTCCACCTCGGGGGTTCAAGTAATCCTCCTGCCTCCGCCTCCTAAGTGGCTGGGATTACAAGTGTATGCCTCTACACTCGGCTAATTTTTTGTATTTTTAGTAGAGATGGGGTTTTACCATGTTGGCCAGGCTGCTCTTGAACTCCTGACCTCAGGTGATCCGCCCGCCTCGGCCTCCCAAAGTGCTGGGATTGCAGGCATGAGCCACTGTGCCTGGCCAGTTTTTTTGTATTTTTAGTAGAGATGGGATTTCTCCATGTTGGCCAAGCTGGTCTTGAACTCCTAGCCTCGAGTGATCTACCCACCTTGGCCTCCCATAGTGCTGGGATTACAGATATGAGCCACCGTGCCCAGCCAAGAGATCTTAAAGTTTGTCCAGTCCAGTGGTTTTGAAATTTTATTACCCATTAGAATCATCTTGGAAATTTTTGAAATTTCGTTTCCTGGGCTCTGTGGTTACCCTAGCCCTTCTGTTCAATATGAATTGTTTTCTCTTAGCCTGCTAGGCACTTCTCTGCCATTTTGTTTCCCACCTACCTACAGTTGTGCCCTAGTTAGATAACAATGTTGATTAGATGTGGAAGCATCTGTACTAAAGATTTGTGTTGATGCTACGAACAGTGGTATAACATTCACTAATTTAGCACATCTTTAATGTCAGTTATGGGAGACATGTCTGAGGTACTGAGGATATATTGATGGCAAAGAACATTTCCTTAGACTTCAGTTTTTTCTTGAGCTCTTAGAAAACTTTGCCTGAAGGTATTTTGATGTTTGAAGTAGAGTAATTTTGCAGTTATTTCCCATGAGTTTTTTTGTTGTTTATCGTGTGTGTTCATTTAAAGCCTCTGTTAACAATATCTTAGTTTATAATATTAGAAAATCACATTGCTTGTTGAATCCTACTCCCTGCTTCTGGGTTCACTTGTGCCGAAGTACTTGTACTTATTTGATCCAAAGTCTGCAATTGGTAAATTTCAGTTGTAGTTTGTTTAAAAATTTAAAAAGTTACAACTTTCTCCCATTTGTTCTACAATTTTGTATTTCTTTTTTTTTTTCTTTTTTTGAGACAGACTCTTGCTCTTCGCCCAAGCTGGAGTGCAGTGGTGCAACTTCAGCTCATTGTAGACCTACCTCTTGCCTTCTGAGTTCAAGCGATTCTCCTGCCTCAGCATCCCAAGTAGCTAGGATTACAGGTGTACACCACCACGCCCAGCTAATTTTGTATTTTTAGTAGAGATGGGGTTTCATCATGTTGGTCAAGCTGGTTTCGAACTCCTGACCTCAAGTGATCTACCTGCCTTGACCTCCCACAGTGCTGGGATTACAGGCATAAGCCACTGTACCCGGCCTACAATTTTGTATTTCATCCAGCATTTCTAAGGATGTATTCAGGTTGAGGAGAGACTGTAATTAATCTTAGTTGTGTGGTTCCGCAGAAACATGTATCATGACATATCATGGAAGGAGAAATCTCAAACAATACAGAAAAATTGTCCCCCTATTTACTACCTTCTGCTTTTTTGTAGGAATCACTTTTTGTATTTTAAGTCTCTTTTGTATTCTTTAATGAAAAAAAATTTGCATATGTCATTAGATGTTTTTGTGTATTTGTAAGCAAAAAACCCAAAAATCGTAACAACAAAACAAACTGGCTGGGTGTAGTGGCTCATGCCTGTAATTCTAGCACTGGGAAGCTGAGGTGGGAGGATTGCTTGAGTCCAGCAGTTCAAGACTAACCTCAGTAACACAGTGAGACCCCGTCTCTACCAAAAGTACAGAAATTAGCTGGGCATGGTGGCATGTGTCTGTAGTTGCAGCTACTTGGGAAGGCTTAGGTGGGAGGATCACTTGAGCCTGGGAGCTTGAGGCTGTAGTGAGCTGTAATTATGCCACTGTACTCCAGCCTGGATGACAGAACGAGACTCTGTCTCTAAAAAAAAGCTGTTTACCTTTTCTGTACCTTTTTTACTTTCTACATGAATATATATGTAAATATCCGCCTTATATTTTTAATGGTTGTATGATATTCTTTTATATGGGTACAATTAGTTTAGTTCATCCTCTTTCGATAACAATTTCTCTTTTCAGTTTGTTTTTAAAAGCAGTGCTGCAAAGAATATATATGCATGTATCAGAAAATTTTTGTAAATGTTGATTTTTTTTTATTTTTTTGAGACGGAGTTTCACTCTTGTTGCCCAGGCTGGAGTGAAATGGCGCCATCTCGGCATACTGCAACCTCCACCTCCTGGGTTCAAGCGAGTCTCCTGCCTCAGCCTCTTGAGTAGCTGGGATTACAGGCATGCGCCACCACGCCTGGCTAATTTTGTATTTTAGTAGAGATGGGGTTTCTCCATGTTGGTCAGGCTGGTCTCGAACTCCTGACCTCAAGTGATCCATCCGCCTCAGCCTCCCAAGGTGTTGGGGTTACAGGCGTGAGCCACCACACCCAGCCGTAAATGTTGATTCTTATTGAACACATGGGTACCTTACAATAATAATTGTTTGATTTATACTTTACTGATAATTATTTAGTCCTTTCTAGATTCAACTCCCATTACATTAAAAAAAAATTTTTTTTTGAGATGGAGTCTCACTCTGTTGCCCAGGCTGGTGTTCAGTGGCACAATCTCAGCTCACTACAACCTCCGGTTCCCGGGTTCAAGTGATTCTCCTCCCTCAGGCATGAGCCACCATACCCGGCTAATTTTTGTATTTTTGGTAGAGACAGGGCTTTGCCATGTTGGCCAGGCTGGCCTCAAACTCCTGGCCTCAAGTGATCTGCCCGCCTCAGCCTCCCAAAGTGTCAGGATTACAGGCGTGAGCCACTGCGCCTGGCTCCATTACATTTATTTTTTTTTAACATTTATTTATTTATTTAGAGACGGAGTCTCGCTCTGTTGCCCAGGCTGGAGTGCAGTGGCGCAATCTCGGCTTGCTGCAACCTCTGCCTCTGTGTTTCAAGTGATTCTCCTGCCTCAGCCTCTTGAGTAGCCTGGATTACAGGTGCATGCCACCACAGTCGGCTAATTTTTGTATTAGTAGTAGAGATGGGGTTTCACCATGTTGGTCAGGCTGATCTTGAACTCCTGACCTCGTGATCCGCCCACCTCAGCCTCCCAAAGTGCTAGGATTATAGGTGTGAGCTGCTCGGGTAGCTGAGGCAGGAGAATTGCTTGAACTAGGGAGTCGGAGGTTGCAGTGAGCCAAGATCGCACCACCGCACTCCAGCCTGGCGACAGAGCGAGACTCCGTCTCAAAAAAAAAAAAAAACAAAAAACAAAACAAATATGTTGCTGTGAGCCCTTCTTAAAGAAATCAACAGAGGATAAACATCACATAAGTGAAGAACAGAACAGTCATGCCTGAACCTACTTGAGATATTAGGATTTAAATACATGTGAGGTTTATGATTAAAGAACATTAATGCCGACAGGAGATCGAGACCATCCTGGCTAACATGGTGAAACCCCATCTCTATTGGAAATACGAAAAATTAGCCAGGCCTGGTGGCATGCGCCTGTAGTCCCAGCTACTTGGGAGGCTGAGGCGGGAGAATTGCTTGAACCCAGGAGGTGGAGGTTGCAGTGAGCCGAGATCACGCCACTGCACTCCAGCCAGGGCGACAGAGCGAGACTCCCATCTCAAAAAAAAAAAAAAAAATTAATTCAGTGTCATAAATCTGGACAGATCAGCGGTAAAATAAAAACTGAAAGAAAAATAAAGAGACTAGTATTTTTAGAAAATAAAATTGTTAGATCAGAAGTTATACATTCAGTTTTCATGACTTGTGCAATTTTAAATTGAGAAAACACTGTCTTACAGTCTAGCAAATCAAAATTTTAGTTTGTTTATATTCCTTTTTTCTGTACCTGTATTTATGATACATTGAAATTATAGCATATAATTTCATGTAATTTTATCATTAAATTTGTTAGGACAGCATTTTAATTAATTAATTAATTTGAGACAGTCTTGCTGTGTCACCCAGGCTGGACTGCGTTGGCATAATCTCTGCTCACTGCAACCTGTGCCTCCCAGGTTCAAGTGATTCTTCTGCCTCATCCTCCTTGAGTAGCTGGGACTACAGGCGTGTGCCACCATGCCCGGCTTATTTTTGTAGTTTTAATAGAGACAGTATTTTGCCATGTTGGCCAGGCAGGTCTCAAACTCCTGACCTCAAGTGATCCACCCGCCTCAGCCTCCCAAAGTGCTGGGATTACTTTCGGAGGCCGAGGCAGCCTCCCACTTTGGTAAGCCACTGTGCCCAGCCAGGAAAGCATTTCAAAGTGTTATTTGGTTTAGTAAGTAATAAGTAATACGGTAGATGATGCCTTCATGACTGTAGATGGCTTTATTTTATTAAGAAAAATTCCTGAGTGTAATTTCCTGGATCAAAAGATAAAGACATCTCTAGTTGGGCCGGGCGCGGTGGCTCACGCCTTTAATCCCAGCACTTTGGAAGGCCAAGGCGGGTGGATCACAAGGTTACGAGTTCAAGACCAGCCTGGCCAAGATGGTGAAACCTCATCTCTACTAAAAATACAAAAATTAGCTGGGCGCGGTTGTGGGCGCCTATAATCCCAGCTACTTGGGAGGCTGAGGCAGGAGAATTGCTTGAACCTGGTAGGCAGAGGTTGCAGTGAGCCGAGACCTCGCCATTGCATTCCAGCCTGGGCAACAAAGCGAGACTCTGTCTCAAAAAAAAGAAAAAAAAGAAAAAAAAAGACATCTCTAGTTATGTACTTTTTACAGTTTTTTCCCCTAGAAAGATATTATCATGGCAGTGTACAGATGTATAAGCTTTAGTGAAATATCAGGAACTTTGGGTATTAGGAACTTTAAAAAATATATAATTTAGTCAACATAAAATGGTAGTTTTAAGTTTATAGTTCTTTTAAGTATTAGGTAATTGTGCTTATTTGATAATTTCATTGTTGGAGCCTTTGAGCTAATTATACCAGTGTTACAAGTAAGGTGATAAGATCTGAGAGGTTAAAAGCCTGTCAGTCCTGGCTGTTGGGGAGACTGAGGTGGGAAGATCTCTTGAGCCCAGGTTTTTGAGGCTGTAGTGAGCTACCATCATGCCACTCTACTCCAGCCTGGGTGCCAGAGTGAGACCCTGTCTCTGAGAGAAAAAACAAAAAAGGTATTTAAGTAATTTTTTTGTTTTTGAGATGGAGTTTCGCTCTTGTTGCCCAGGCTGGAGTGCAATGGTGTGACCTCAGCCCACTGCAGCCTCCGCCTCCCGGGTTCAAGTGATTCTCCTGCCTAAGCCTCCTGAGTAGCTCTGATTACAGGCATGCGCCACCACGCCTGGCTAATTTTTGTGTTTTTAGTAGAGACGGGGTTTCTCCATGTTGGTCAGGCTGGCCTCCAACTCCCGACCTCAGGTGATCCGCCTGCCTCAGCCTCCCAAAGTGCTGGGATTACAGGTGTGAGCCATTACTTAAATACTGGTCAGGTATTTAAGTAATTCTAATGAGTATTTAAGGTTGAGAATTATGTTATAAAGGTTCGAAATAATTGCGGTCATGTTTAACATTTTTCAGATAATCAAGTGTTTTCTCTATGGGCCTATTATGAGAACTACCTGGGCCCTGTCTCATATACCAAAACAGACTTTTCTTAGCAACATCCCCAAATGCATATTTTTAAGTTTTCCAATTGAGTCTGATCAACTAGGTTTGGCATACTTTTTTGAAAGAGCTTTGGAATAAGGAGAGGTTTGGCCTGGCATCCCAGTTGAATCATGTAATAGCTGGAGCAACTTTATAATCTGTCTGAATCCTTTTTTTTTGCATAATTTATAAATGTCTGTTTTTAATCTGTAAAATGGGGAGAACAATATTTACCTTGTTATGGTTATGATGCCTGTCTTGCTATTGTTATGAAGTTTGGGTTATTGGTACCTTAGATTAACTTTAGCTGTAGTATTATATGAGTCAACTCTTGAGTACAGGTGTTTATTAAGAAACATTCAGTTGAGGTAATTTGTTCACTTTAGACATTTCAGATATAAAGAGAAAAGGAAAATAAAAGCAACCAGCAATTGTGCCATCCAGAGTATTTTAACATTTTATTATTTTAAAATATATGCATATATACATACATAATTTTATACAAAATCACACACAAAGATTTTTAGCTTTGGAGATTTTTAACGTGGAAAGTTTATACACTACTTCTTAGATGTGCAATACAAATGTACTTTTCATTATCTTACTCTGGAACCCCCCCATTCTTGATATGGCAGGGATTGGTGATAGTGGAAATGCTTTTTTGTTGTTGAAAAGTCTTGTTTATATCAGCATTTATCTTTGCTTTCTTCTTTGAAGAATTGTCTCCTCACTCTTCTTCGTAAGACATTGGCTTAGTTAGGGAGGAATTTCATGCTAATCGTGTTGCGAGGGAGGTTCCTTGGGTTTTATGTCATGATTCCTGTTTGGTCTGGTTCTTAAGTGCTCTCTGCTGGTGTCTCTGAAGGCATGTGTTGGGGCTTTGCATTTGCTGCTGAAAACAATTACAATTTGTTATTTTATTTTAGAGACAGTTCTGCTGTGCAACCCAGGCTGGAGTGCAGTGGCGCAATTTTGGCTCACTGCAACCTCCGCCTCCCATATTCAAGTGATTCTCCTGTCTCAATCTCCCGAGTAGCTGGAATTACAGGCGTGCACCTCCATACCCAGCTAATTTTTGTATTTTTAGTAGAGATGGGGTTGCGCCATGTTGGCCATGCTGGTCTCGAACTCCCAACCTCAGGTGATCCGCCTGCCTTGGCCTCCCAAAGTGTTGAGATTCCACCTGTGAGGCACCACACCTGGCCCTGATTTTTGTATTTTTTGTAGACAGGGTTTCACTGTGTTACTCAGGCTGGTCTCGAACTCCTCGGCCGAAGTGATCCGCCTGCCTCGGCCTCCCAAAGTGCTGGGATTACAGGCACAAGCCAGCCTACCTATTTTAATTTCTTGACGTAAAGATGAATTTTTATTTATTTATTTGTTTGTTTTTTTTTTTTTTTTGAGATTGAGTCATCTCACTCTGTTGCCCACCTGGGCTTCCCAAAGTGTTGGGATTATAAGGCGTGAGCCACCGCGCCCAGCCAAGATGAGTTTATTACGTGTTTTTCCCCTAACAATGAACTTGTTTTTGAGATGGAGTCTTGCTCTGTCATTCAGGCTGGAGTGCAGTGGCACAATCTCAACTCATTGCATCCTCCACCTCCCGGGTTCAAGTGATTCTCCTGCCTCAGCCTTCTGAGTAGCTGGGACTACAGGCGCGCGCCACCATGCCCAGCTAATTTTTGTAGTTTTGGTAGAGTTGGGGTTTTGCCTTGTTGGCCAGGCTGGTCTCAAACTCCTGGCCTCGAGTGATACGCCTGCCTTGGCCTCCCAAATTACTGGGATTGTAGGCGTGGGCCACCGCACCTGGCCAAGAATGAACTTGAATACTCTTTTTTATATACGTGAAGAAACGTGCTCAGAAAGGATATTTATTTAATTACCCAGCTTACATTATTATAAAATGAGTAATATACCAATATATTGCCAGTGATAGAGAACTTCTATGCTTATTGGTATAAAAATATGGAAAGGGAAACTAAAAATATTAATGTGCAGTCATTATTTTATAGATCTAATGAGGCGTCAAGAAGAACTCAGACGCTTGGAAGAACTCAGAAACCAAGAGTTGCAAAAACGGAAGCAAATACAACTAAGGTAAAAGAAGATCATTTTAAGAAACATGAATTGTATGTCTTATTAATAAAAACTCCCCACAACCTGTTACAAGTTGTATAAGTTGAGTATCACAGGAAAAATAGAAAAATTGCCCATTTTAACCACATACAGTGAATTACTTCATAATGTAGCATAATTCTTTGCTGGTTTTTAGCTGGTTAAGGGCACTTTGAATGCTAAACTTTGAAGTTAAACAAGGGTTTTAGGTATTATTATATGTAATTTATTATAAGAATATGCTGTGAATATCCATTTTTCCAGAGATGGATATATTTGCGTTGCTCTTATTTATTTTGTTATGTGTAAAACTCTACTATGAATATCTTTATGTAACTTTGTGCTTCTGATAATCTTTAAACAAGATTTCTGAGGCTGGGGGCAGTAGCTCATGCCTGTAATTCCAGCACTTTGGGAGGCTGAGGTGGGCAGATCACATGAGGTCAGGAGTTCGAGACCAGCTTGGCCAACATGGTGAAACCCTGTCTCTACTAAAACTAAAAAATTAGCTGGCTGTGGTGGCACGCGCCTGTAATCCCAGCTACTCAGGGCGTTGAGGCAGGAGAATCGCTTGAATCCAGGAGGCGGAGGTTGCAGTGATCTGAGATCTTGCCACTGCACTCCAGCCTGGGCTACACAGTGAGACTCCATCTCAAAAAAAAAAAAAAGATTTCTGGAAGTTGACTCCGTGTTAAAAGGGGTTATGGGGACTTAAAATCTCAGTACATAATAGACAATCGTGATGGTCAGCTTGAAATCTTTTAGGTTTAAGTAAGGATGTTTGAGAGAGTGGTTAATTCAAGATATATAAACCCACATTGATAGCTCACCTTGTGCCTGTGGTGTTTAATTGCAAAATATAATGGTATAAACATTACTCTTCAAAGGTTCAAAAATCATACTAGTTAGGAAATATTATAAACAAAGCTATGATAGTTAAAGCAAATGTAGAAATCTGTTTTTGAAAATAGTATTTGCTTTAAAAATGTAAGGTGCTTGTGATAAGAAAATAAGGTGTTCATGGGGAAGTAAAAGTAAAGAAAAAAGTGAAAAACCGTGAACAAATTTGAAGCTTCTCTGGTCTACAGATAGGTGATATTCTGTATATTTTGATGTATTTCTTCAAACTTTGTACCTGAGTTTATCAATTTATAAATATTTCTATGTGATTTTACTCTACCCAATTCATTCTTTTTTTTTTTTGAGAGGGAGTTTCGCTCTTGTTGCCCAGGCTGGAGTGCAATGGCGCGATCTCGGCTCACAGCAACCTCCGCCTCCCGGGTTCAAGCCATTCTCCTGCCTCAGCCTCCCGAGTAGCTGGGATTACAGGCATGTGCCACCATGCTCGGCTAATTTTGTACTTTTAGTAGAGACGGGGTTTCTCCATGTTGGTCAGGCTGGTCTCGAACTCCGGACCTCAGGTGATCCGCCTGCCTCGGCCTCCCAAAGTGCTGGGATTACAGGCGTGAGCCACCGTGCCCGGCCCCAATTCATTCTTAAATCATATTCCCTGGACAGACAGCATTAACATTTCACCTAGGGAACTGTTAGGAATGTAGTCTCAAGCCTCCCTGCAGAACTACTGAATGAGAAACAATAGTGGTGAGGCCCAGCCACCTGGAATCCTCCAGCATTCAGATAGATCTGAAAGCTTGAGAACTACTGTTTTTTTTTTTTTTTTTTTAAACAACTCTCAACATCATGAATGTGCCTTCCTCAGGAACCTTTTTTAAAACTTTTCTTTTTTCCTTTTTATATAGACATGTTCAAATCTCTTCTACTTTTTTTTTAAATTTTATTTTGGAGACGGAGTTTCGCTCTTGCTGCCCAGGCTTGAATGCAATGGTGCGATCTTGGCTCACTGTAACCTCTGCCTCCCAGGTCCCAGTGATTCTCCTGCCTCAGCTTCCTAGCTGGGATTACAGGCTTGCGCCACCATGCCCACCTTATTTTGTATTTTTAGTAGAGATGGGGCTTCACCATGTTGGCCAGGCTGGTCTTGAACTCCCGTCCTCAGGTGATCTACCTGCCTCGGCCTCCCAAAGTGCTGGGATTACAGGTGTGAGCCACCACGCCCGGCCAGATCTTTTCTATTTTTAACAAAGACAACGAAACCTCCTCTCCCCTAACATAAAGGCTTACCTGAATCTAGCTTTTTCCTCTTAAAACTTAGAGATGACAGCTAGGCTTTTTGAAATTATACCTACCCCTCATGTAAGCAAAAAATAAATCATTAAAACCAAACAATATGAGGGGTGGATTCCAAAATAGGATACAAAAATACAAGAAATTAACCTAATTGTCTTACAAATGAATAACATCATCACATTGAAAGGGGGTAGGGAAGAAAACAAGGAACCTAAATAACTGGAAAATAGTGTGTTGACTGGATATCATAATACTAATGATAAGAACCATACATAAATTCTGTAAGCTAGTTAGGCATATGGGCTAGTAGTTCTGAAACCACTTTGTGTGTATACGTTACATGAACAGATTAGTACCTACAGTCTTTTGTATCTGTGGGTTCTACATCTATGGATTCAGCCAACTGTGGATTGATAATATCTGGGGAAAAATTGTGTATATACTAACATTAACAGACTTTTTAAACTTGTCATTCTCTTTTTTTTTTTTTTTTGAGATGGAGTCTCGCTCTGTCGCCCAGGCTGGAGTGCAGTGGCGCAATCTCGGCTCACTGCAAGCTTCGCCTCCGAGTTCACGCCATTCTCCTGCCTCAGCCTCCCAAGTAGCTGGGACTATAGACGCGTGCCACCATGCCTGGCTATTTTTTTGTATTTTTAGTAGAGACGGGGTTTCACCGTGTTAGCCAGGATGGTCTCGAACTCGTGACCTTGTGATCCTCCCGCCTCAGCCTCCCAAAGTGCTGGGATTACAGGCGTGAGCCACTGCACCCGGCTAACTTGTCATTCTCTAAACCGTGCAGTATAACAACTATTTACATAGCCTTTATATTGTGTTAGGTATTATAAGTAATCTAGAGATGCTTTTAAGTGTGTAGGAGGACTTTTTGTTACTTGTCGTTCTCTGTAAACAGTGCTGTTTACATAGTCTTTACATTGTATTAGGTATTATAAGTAGAGATGCTTTTAAGTGTGTAGGAGGATGTGCATAGGTTATATGCGAATACTACACCATATGTCAGGGAGTTGAGCATCAGTGGATTCTGGTATCTGGGGGAGGTTCTGGAACCAATCCCCTGCACATACCAAGGTATGACTGTATATTGTGGATAATGAGACTCAAATTTCTCATCATTAGAGAAAGATGAACGGCTAAACTTAAAATCCTGTGTGAGTGTGATTTGAATCAGAGGTATGAACTCTGTGGTGTTTAATATTGACAAATACATGCAGAAATATAGATGTGTGTTTATGTATGGGTTAATATGTATACATATACTGTATTTTATTTTTAATTTAAAAAAATTATTTAAGAGACAAGGTCTTGCCCTGTCACTCAGGCTGAAGTGCAGTGTCTCAATCATAGCTGACTGTAACCTCGAACTCCTGAGCTCAAACAATCCTGCCTTAGCCTCCCAAGTAGCTGGGACTATAGGTGTTTACCACCACACCCAGCTAATTTTTTAATTTTTATTTTTTTATAGAGATGGGATTATGCTATGTTGCTTAGGCTGGTATCAAACTCCTGGCCTCAAGTGATCTTTCCTGCCTCAGCCTCCGAAAGCGCTGATATTACAGGCATGTGCCACCATGCCTGCCCCATATGCTGTATTTTATGGCTTTTTCTACTGAGAGGCCCTAGAAGCTTCAGTAACAATGAACATAACTGGTGCCTCGATCTTTAATAATAATTGCTACAGACAAGCTTTTTTGATGGATACCAAAGTTGGTGGGCAAAACTTGAGAAACAGGGTTTTTGCATAGTCTCAAATTTGTATACAAAAGGAAAAAATATTAAATTTAAAGGGAGAAACCCAGTAGACACCACCATAACCAAACACTAAATTTCATATCACCTGTAATAAGACAGTTAACATCAGGAGCCCCTTGATATGATTCACTGAATGGGATATAACATTATTTCTGTGATATTCTTACCAGATATGCATAATCATTCCAGTTATGAGAAAAAACAAACCCAAATTCAAGGACATTCTACAAAATAATCAGTTCTCTTTAATAGTGTCAGGTTCATGAAAGATAGAAAGACTGAACTGTTACAGACTGTTGGAGACTAAGGAGAAATAACGACTAAATGCAATGTGGGATTCTGGATAAGGTATTGGAACAGAAGAAAGGTGTTAGTGGGCCTGTGGTCCCAGCTACTTAGGAGGCTGAGGTGGGCGGATTGCTTGAACCCAGGAGTTCTGGGCTGTAATGCACTATGTCGATTGGATGTCCGCATTAAGTTTGGCATCAATATGGTGACCTTCTGGGAGCAGGGGACTACCAGGTTACCTAAGGAGGGGTGAACTGGCCCAAGTCAGAAATGGAGTAGGTAAAAACTCCCGTGCTGATTAGTAGTGGGATAGCGCCTGTGAATAGCCACTGCACTCCAGCCTCAGAAACATAGCAAGACCCTGTCTCTTAAAACAAATAAACAAGCAAGCAAACAAACAAAAAACATAGGAAGACCCTATCTCTTTAAAAAAAGATTAGTGAGGAAACTGGTGAAATTTTAGTAATGTCTATAGTTAATTATAATATTGTGCCAGTATTCATTCCTGGTTTTCATAATTTTGTACTATGGTTATACAAGGGGTTAATATTAGGGGAAGCTCGTGAGGCACATAGAGGATACGTTGCTGATTTAATCATAGGCTGAGATGTGGAATACTTGTTGCAGATGTAATTTTTTATTTTATTTTATTTATTTTTTCGAGACGGAGTCTCACTCTGTCGCCCAGGCTGGAGTGCAGTGGCGCGATCTCGGCTCACTGCAAGCTCTGCCTCCCAGGTTCATGCCATTCTCCTGCCTCAGCCTCCGGAGTAGCTAGGATTACAGGCGCCTGTCACCACACCTGGCTAATTTTTTGTATTTTTAGTAGAGATGGGGTTTCACTGTGTTAGCCAGGATGGTCTCGATCTGCTGACCTTGTGATCCGCCCGCCTCGGCCTCCCAAAGTGCTGGGATTACAGGCTTGAGCCACTGTGCGTGGCCTGAAGATGTAATTTTTTATTGCGTGATTTTTTTTATTATGTAATCTCAGTATACAGGGGCATCAGATTTAATCTAAAATTCAATTAACTGAAAATATCTCAATATAAGGTGATAATTTGACGGGTAACCTTTATGTTTGACCAAATTCTAGTAAATACAGGCAGTAATAAATCTGTTACAATCTTAGTTTTTCCTGGTGGCTGGGGAGTTTCTTTTGAAATTAGCTGTAAGAATCTTGATTTAAGAAGTGTGAACAACTTGCCTTAAAATTGAGTAGTTTTTGGCCGGGCGCGGTGGCTCATGCCTGTAATCCCAGCACTTTGGGAGGCCGAGGCAGGCGGATCACAAGGTCAGGAGATCGAGACCATCCTAGCTAACACGGTGAAACCCTGTCTTTACTAAAAATACAAAAAATTAGCCGGACGTGGTGGCGGGCGCCTGTAGTCCCAGCTACTCAGAGTCTGAGGCAGGAGAATGGCTTGAACCCAGGAGGCGTAGCTTGCAGTGAGCAGAGATGGCGCCACTGCACTCCAGCCTGGGTGACAGAGGGGACTGCGTCTCAAAAAAAAAATTTTTTTTTTGAGTAGTTTTGCAGTATGTATAAAGGAAAGAAAAAAAGATTATGTCTGGGAACTCATATATATTTGCAAGATGGAGCAAATGAAGAAAATTGTCACAATTAAATTGAAGAGATTTATCTGGCTGAGGCTGCTGCCAAGTAAGATAGCTTTATTTGTTAACAAGCCAAATAGTCTGAATTCTGCCTTTGTGCTTTACTTTAGTTGGAAGATAGAAAAACTGGCCTAGGACAGTACATTTTGGGAGAAATGTATTTGGAGTACACAAGTTTCTGGTTTTACTTTCAATGCTATAAATAAATTATTTAGTTTTTCATAGGTAACTTAATTCTTCAGAGGTTGTGGCAGGTACCAAAGGAAGACCAGGATGAGGGGCTTACATGAACTGGTTCAGTCTGTGACTTGACCACTTAGTAGTTATTCCTTTGTTTTGTTTGTTCACTTATTCCTTCATTCCTTCTCTTTCCACCCATTTACTCACCTACCCACTTCGTTTCTTTGGTTTGTTTTTTGAGACAGAGTTTCGTTCTTGTCGCCCAGGCTGGAGTGCGGTGGCGCGATCTCGGTCGCTGCAACCTCTGCCTCTTCGGTTCAAGTGATTCTCCTGCCTCAGCCTCCCGAGTAGCTGGGATTATAGGCGCCCACCACCCTGCCTGGCTAATTTTTGTATTTTTAGTCGAGACGTGGTTTTACCATGTTGGCCAAGCTGGTCGCAAACCCTTGACCTCAGATGATCAGCCCACCTTGTCCTCCCAAAGCGCTGGGATTACAAGCATGAGCCACCGCACCCGGCCCCACTTCCTTCCTTTCTTTGTTTTTTTTGTTTGTTTGTTTGTTTGATTTTTTGAGACGGAGTCTCGCTCTGTCGCTCAGGCTGTAATGCAGTGGTGTGATCTCGGCTCACGGCAACCTCCACTTCCCAGGTTCAAGTGATTCTCCTGCCTCGGCCTCCTGAGTAGCTGGAATTAAAAGTGCACGCCACCACGCCCGGCTAATTTTTATATTCTTATTATTTTTTTTTTGAGAAGGAATCTTGCTCTTTCGCCCAGGCTGGAGTACAGTGGTGCAATCTTGACTCACTGTAACCTCTGCCTCCCGGGTTCAAGAGATTCTGCTGCCTTAGCCTCCCAAGTAACTGGGATTACAGGCACCTGCCACCACGCCAGGCTAGTTTTTGTAGTTGTAGTAGAGACAGGGTTTCACCATGTTGGCCAGGCTCGTCTCGAACTCCTGACCTCAGGTGATCTGCCGGCCTTGGCCTCCCAAAGTGCTGGGATTACAGGCGTGAGCCAGTGCGCCTGGCCCCCACTTCCTTTCTTAAGTCATTTAGCGAATTATTATAAAGCCCTTCTTCTGTCTTGGGCTCTGTGTTGGATGTGGAGCCATAGTGCTGAACAATAACAGCAAGGAGGTTTCATCCAGTAGGCGTCTTTCAGAATCCTGCAAGAATATTTGAGACCTGTAAATAATTAATGGGCCTCAAAATAAAACAAATTGTAAAATTGAAATTTTATTAGTTTTCAATTAAATGTAACGTGAAGGTTTAAAATTTGTCATAATTACTAGTTCTCCTCTCCTTAGTAGTTCCATTTGTGAATATAACCTAGAAAGCAATCCTTGACCTGAAGAGGTAATTTGTATAATTATAAAGGTGGTCATTAAAGCATTTGTGGAGTAGAAATAATTGAAAGCAAACATATATGGACAACAGGAATGTTTCTGTATGCTGTCATTAAATTTAGATTATAGAATCTTCTGTGTGGTATAATCGTAAGGGCAATGCTCCTGTTCCCCTAATCATTTCCAATGTGGTATATAAACTTTTTCATACCCTCTTCTATGGTTTTAAAAATCATTTTTATTTTATTTTTTAGACAGAATCTCACTCTGTCACCCAGAATGGAGTGCAGTGGTGTGATCACGGCTCCCCGCAGTCTCACCTTATGGGGTTCAAGTGATCTTCCCACCTTAGCCTCCCTAGTAGCAGGGACTACAAGCGTGTGCCACCATACCTGCCTAATATATATATATATATATTTTTTTTTCTTTTTTCTTGTTTTTGAAATGGAGCCTTGCTCTGTCACCCAGGCTGCAGTGCAGTGGCATGATCTCAGCTCACTGCAACCTCCGCCTCCCAGGTTCCAGCGATTCTCCTGCCTCATCCTCCTGAGTAGCTGGGATTACAGGTGTGCGCCAACACACCTGGGTAATTTTTTTGTATTTTTAGTAGAGATGGGGTTTTACCATGTGGACCAGGCTGGTCTTGAACTGCTGACCTCAAGTGATCTGCCCGTCTCGGCCTCCCAGAGTGCTAGGATTACAGACATGAGTCACTGTGCATGGCCGTGGCTAATATTTTCTATTTTTCGTGGAGAGAGGCTGTCACTCAAGTGATCCTCCCACCTTCGCTTCTGCCTCCACCTCCCAAAGTAATCCCAGTAATCCTGGGATTACAGGTGTGAGCCACCAAATTCGGCCATAAAAATGGTTTTTAAAAGCAGTAATAGCAATACCATTCTTTTACTTGCCCTTTTTCCTGACATTTGCATCGCAGACATTCTTTCATGCCAGTAGATAGTAATCCACCTCTGTAACAGATGTGTTTCTTGTCTCCCAAGGTGTCAGTGAACCTTGTCTCCCATTTATAACTGATTAATGTGTCCTTGATCTTTTGCTTTTATAAATAATGCCACAATATATATCTGTGTATACATATGTCCCTGCACATTTGTGCGTACATTTCTGTTTACTGGAAATAGGCTTGTTCATTTAAAATTATGTGGTAGAAGTGGGCCCCCAACAAGGTCACTGTGTCTACTGTATTGTCTTTGTAATTCGGAAGCTTTGAGACTAAAAAGTTGGTGTTTTTTTTTTCTTTTTCTTTTTCTTTTTTTTTTGAGATGGAGTCTCGCTGTATTGTGCAAGCTGGAGTGCAGTGGCGCAGTCTCAGCTCTCTGCAACCTCCGCCTCCTGGGCTCAAGCGATTCTCCTGCGTCAGCCTCCCGAGTAGCTGGGATTACATGCACGTGCCACCGCGTCCAGCAAATTTTTGTATTTTTAGTAGAGACAGGGTTTTACCATGTTGCCCAGGCTAGTCTTGAACTCCTGACCTCAGGTGATTCACCTGCCTCAGGCTCCCAAAGTGTGGGATTACAGGCGTGAGCCACCGCGCCCTGCCAAAAGTTTTTCTATGTATCCTCATTCAGGTGGCAATCTGACGTGAATCCATTTGATGGCAAAAGTTGATCTGAACTCCTGTTATGTGAAACCTTTATTACCTCCAGAGTGTGAATGTTTTATCTTACTGCAGAAATATTAATGTGGTTGATTATGGGGTGCTGCCCCAGATCCCACTGAGCATATAAGTATATTATTAGTATATTGACTCTTTTTATAAGTAGTATTGGTATATTATGAGTATATTGACCCTTTTTTAAATGAGAAAAACTGAATTTCAACACATTTGACCTTTATTGGATCTTCCCATCGCCACCCACACCCATGAATGTGAAGTACTTTCTTCACAGTAAAATATATGAAATGTGTTAATATCCAGGAAATGGATTAACCAGTTTACTTAAAGATTATTTTTAAGGATTATACTAAGAGTTGTATAGAGAGTAAGACAACAATCTTAAAATAGTCCAGATTTTGCGTGAAATCCCTTAGGAACATTTTTGTTCATGTTGTCTGACATGAAGTTCTGAGTTTTTTCTCTGGTAATAGAAGAAATCACCATATCTTTGAATTAGTGGACTCAGATTTAGCGGGAGTGTTGTGCAACAAACAAGAACAAGGTATCTTGAAATTTGAGGATTTGCAATTCTAAATGTAGGAAAAGTACGTTATAAGAGTAATCTGGAAAACGAGACCTAATAATGGGGCATCAGCTTTATATAGCCTTCACTATATAAATTACTTTTGCAGTTTTATTGGTGGAGGGCATACACCTTGAGTATCCATTATGGGACATGTTTAACACCAGAATAAGTATTTTGGATTTTTTCACATTTTCAGTATTTGCATTGTGTTTACCAGGTGAGCATCCTAAATCTGAAATGCCCCAGTGAGCATTTTTTTAAACATCATGTTGGCTATCAGGAAGTTCCAGCCGGGGTGTTGGGGCTCACGCCTGTAATCCCAGCACTTTGGGAGATTGAGGCAGGCAGACCACTTGAGCCCAGGAGTTTAAGACCAGTCTGGGCAACATGGCAAGACCCTGTCTCTACAAAAGTACAAAACATTATCTGGACATAGTGGCACGTGCCCGTAGTCCCAGCTACTTGGGAGGCTAAGATTGGAGGATTGCTTGAGCCTGGGAGGTCAAGGCTGCAGTGAGCTGAGCTGAGATTGGGACACTCCAGCATGGGTGACAGAGTAAGACCCTGTCTCAACAACAACAACAACAACAACAAATCCAGATTTTGGAGCATTTCAGGTTTAGAAAGATTCAAGAATGCTTTCAGATTTTTGGTTTAGGGAAACTCAACCTGTGTATATTTGAATTTGCATTGGTTTAAATGCCAATATAATGTGAGTCTGTTACTTCAATATTACTATATAGATTTTTCCTCTTAAAAGTAACCATAGACAGTAATGTAAATGTTTATGCTATAACACGTAATTTCTAAAAGCAGATTGTGGACTGACACCTGCTTCAGGGGATTTCTTTCAGTGGGTTGATGAATATGGGGAGGGAGGAGTTGGTAAGGCTTCCTTTTGGAAATAGGATTTTTGTCTAGGCATTGTGGTTTTTTGAGGTGGCTTATCTCTGGATATGTTCTGAGTGGCTTTAAGAACTGTGCAGTGCCAGTGATAGATCAGTAGATCTCAGACTTTTTCTGTTTTTTTTTTTTTTGTTTTTTTGTTTTTTTTTTCTGAGACAGGGTCTCACTGTTGCCCAGTCTGGAGTGCAGGGGCGCGATCTCCGCTCACTGCAACCTCTGCCTCCTGAGTTCAACCTATTCTGGTGCCTCAGCCTCTCGAGTAGCTGGGATTATAACACACCTGGCTAATTTTTGTATTTTTAGTAGAGATAGGGTTTCACCATGTTGGCCAGGCAGGTCTTGAATTCCCGACCTCAGGTGATGTACTCGCCTCAACCTCCCAAAGTGCTGGGATTACAGGTGTGAGCCACCATGGCTGGCTGAGATTTTTTCCTTTCTATAGTAAGAGAGTACATGTTTCAGCTTTTTTTGACTCTCAATTTCTTGAATATACGCAAATAACTATCCTAGTTATGATTTTACTTTGTTTTTCTGGTTTACCTTAGCTAAGTTACTTTATTTCTTTGGCTTTTTTGATTTATTAAAGGCTTGGAGTGACATAGAAGGAAGGTAAATTTAGGATGCCGTGGTCAGTCGTGATTACAGGTTTGGCATAATATGATTGCATAAATGATTTCATTTTACATGAAGTAAAATGTCCAATGGCAGCCCACATGTTATGATGCTGAAATTTTTATTTGAAAAATTTTCAGACATGAAGAGGAGCATCGGCGGCGTGAGGAAGAAATGATCCGACACAGAGAACAGGAGGAACTGAGGCGACAGCAAGAGGGCTTTAAGCCAAACTACATGGAAAATGTAAGTAAACTACTAGTTAACTAAAATGATTTTATATTTTCAGGTTTATGATGCATATTTAGAATGCTTTAGATTTTGGTTTATACAGTAGTCTTTTCTAATCTTTCTAAATTCATCATGTTTGATAAATTAGTGATTTTCTTAACCTCTCATAGGTGGTAAAGTAAAATTAGTTTCTGAAGATATCTATGTTTTATGAAGTGGATGTTATATTTTTTCCTATTATTTTGGTTGATCTTTAAAAAAACATATGCTATTAAGTTAGAAATCTTGATATATACATCATTTCCACTTGACTGATTTTCACCACATACTAATATTGAAACATCTCTATTTTGGAAGATTTCAGACATGTACAGAAGAATTGTAGTGAACACTTATAAACATATGGCCAATCTTTTACATCTTTAAGTATAACCACTTTATTTCCCAATTTATGTTATTTGAAATACCTGATTTCATATAATTTTATTTTCAGTATGTATCTCTAAAAGATGAGGACTTTTTAAAAAAATCTTTATCATATTTTAAAAATGGTCAGCTCTTTCATCTTAACTAATTAAAGCCCAGATTTGCACAGGTCTTAATTTTTTTTTTTTTAAACATTTGGTTTCTTTGAATTGACTGTTATATCCAGCCTCTTTTAGTCTATAGGTTTTCTCTTCCTGTCTTTAATATTTTAGTAACCTTTTTTTTTTTTTTGAGACGGAATCTTGCTCTGTCAACCAGGCTGGAGTGCAGTGGCACAATCTCAGCTCACTGCAACCTCTGCCTCCCAGGTTCAAGCGATTCTCCTGCCTCAGTCTCCCAAGTAGCTGGGATTACAGGTGCGCACCACCACACCTGGCTAATTTTTGTATTTTTAGTAGAGACGGGGTTTCACTATATTGGCCAGGCTGGTGTCGAACTCTTTACCTCAAGTGATCTGCCCACCTCAGCCTCCAAAAGTGCTGGGATTACAGGTGTCAGCCACCATGCCCAGCCGACATTTCTAAAATAGATCATCTATTGTTTCATAAGATTATGCTTATAGAAAAGCATTAGGTGACAATATACCTTCTTTTCTAGTAGTTACTTAAAGTATGTATCGCATACTTGAAGCATCATGATAAAATTAATTTGGCTAGAGTGTAAGTTGGCAAGCTCTAGCCTGGGACTACTGCCTGGTTTTTATTACTCCACCACAGAGATACTGATGGTGCTTCTGTTTTTAAAGGGTTATTGCAAAAGAAAGAAGAATATTAGAAATGATTTGTGACTCGCAATAACTTAAAATATTTTTTTCTGACCTTTTTATAGTGTCTGTGGAAACCTGGGCTGGAATATTTATGTTTTTTAAAAAATTTTAAAATTAGTATTTATGGTAGATAGACCACAAAGTTACTATGCTCTTAACTTTTTGGGATATCCGTATTTCAAATAGTATGTAAATGAGGTATGATAATTGTGTAACACTGACTAGTGTTCTATAAGTTTATTTGTGATTAGAAGTGATATGAATCTACACAAGTTTTTCATTATTTTGGTGTCAGTTTTATTTGGTTCCAAGCTTCACAGTGCCTCTTACTACTGCAAACTTAAGCACTAAAAGCAATATGAATGAAAGCTCTACCTATCTCAAATATTTTGTGTTAATGGGAGTATATTAATAGGAAAGCATTGTATTAAGAATGCATTGAGGCCATTCTGGCAGTTGTTCTTCATTTACTTTGAAAACTGTCTTTGGAGAAAATTGTTAAACAATTTTAATGCTGTGTGTGTGTGTGTGTGTGTGTGTGTGTGTGTGTGTGTGTGTGTGTTTAAGCTTTGAAATTAGGCCCTCTTATGTGCTTTCTCTTTATTTCACTGTTCAGTTTAAAGGGAGGAATCAAATGGTAAGTGTTCAACTTGTCCAAGTAATGAGTAAAGTTGATTTTCTTTGTTAATTTTAAGATGCCACCTCTCTCTTCTTGCCTTCCTAATAGAAATATTCCAACAAAACTAAGAGTTATGGGACTTTTAAGTATAAAATAAATATTGATTTACATATTTCACATTTTAAATAATAATTTCATGTAACAAAGAAAGAGTGAAAACACTTGTCATATCTGGTCATCTTTTTGTTTGTCAGCCTTCAACTTGATCATAATTTTATGACACATGGGAATATATTTTTAAGAGTTTCAAGGATGTAAGCCAGTACTTCATCAATATCAGTTGTCAGTTTTATTTAATACTTGATTTTTCCTTAGAAGACAAACTTTTTGATAATTACTGTTGTAACTATAAATTAAACAACATTTTTTACTCATTTAGGATAACATTCAACTGCCTTAAGAATGTATACATTTTAATAATATGTCTTAATTGCATTTAGGTTTGTCTTTACCATAATATAGAGTGTATTCAATTTTTTTCCAGGCAGTATTTACTAAGTGGAAATTTTCTACTTATCACAATTTTTGGACACATTAAAAGCTATTATTCTGGAAGCAATGAGAATTTTATGAGATTGTTTTTTATAATTGTCTTGTGATTGTTTTCATATTAGGTTACTCCACCAACTGTAGATTAAGTAGTTTAAACACTTCAGTACTTACCAGTCTTTATGGGAAAAATCTGCATTGGACTAAATGACAGATTTTAGTTCTAGCATTTGGTTGATGCAGTTTCTTGGAGTAAACATTGCTTCTTGGGAAAATGTTAATGTCATAAAAATATCCAAACGTCCATCTTATTTTAGCTTTAGTTATTGTATCATGTAGTTATGAAATATTTGGGTTAGGAAAATTGGGGTGATGTTTAAATTGTATGTTACTTGGTTTTAAAATTTGAGAAGTTTCTTTTTTTTTTTATTTATTTATTGAGGCAGAGTTTCACTCTTGTCGTTCAGGCTGGAGTGCAATGGGATGATCTCAGCTCACTGCAACCTCTGCCTCCTGGGTTCAAGCGACTCTCCTGCCTTAGCCTCCCGAGTAGCTGGGATTACAGGTGCCTGCCACCATGCCCAGCTAATTTTTGTATTTTTGGTAGAGATGGGGTTTCACCATGTTGGCCAGGATAGTCTCGAACTCCTGACCTCAGGTGATCTGCCCGCCTTGGCTTCCCAAAATGCTGGGATTACAGGCATGAGCCACCACACCCAGCTGAGAAGTTTCTTTTTCTTGTATGGTACATATTAATGTTTGCCTTTTCAATAAAGAAAAGAATAATTCTTCATACCCTTTTCAGGTTTCCTGCATTGAACTAAATATATACCTGACTTACTATTAAAGCTTATTAGTCCCATTTGAGTAGTTGGGAATAGCCCTAGGTGTTTCAACACAGTTTATTCAACACACATAATAAACTTGAGAATAAAGGTATGTTGTATGCTAAGGCAACAGTTTGACTCAGTTGTATTTCTTTGCTTGTCAGAGGCATTCCATTGTAGCACCCGAGGGACTGTGAGGCCAGAATGATTAAGGGAATGTTGGCAGAGGCTAGCAGTGTAGTGCTTCTTCCAAGGACAATGTAAAACATTTTTTTTCTTTTAGAGATGGGGTCTTGATATGTTGCCCAGGCTGGGCTCAAGCAGTCCTCTTTCCTCATCCTCCTGAGTGGCTGAGACAACAAGCACATGCCACTGTGCCCAGCAGAACAGTGTTTTTCCAATGTACGTAATAAACACTCAAGGAGCTTTTAAAAAATGTGGGTTCTTAGATCATACTACTAATAATTGATTTGTTTTGTGATCCAGGTAGATTGTAATACATTGATCTTTGATCACATTTTTTTGCTAAATCCAGTAGTTTTCAACCTTGCAATATATTTGTGGAACTTAAGGAAAAATGCCTGAGATTCAGTCCTCCAAGTATTTTGATTCAGTGTGTCTAGGTTGGTACCAGGAGATATACGTGTTAAAGAAAACTCTACACCTTGCTTATTTCTTTTTGGTAGCGAAGATTCAAAACTACTGGCCTTGTATTGAAATGAGACATACTGAAATGAAAATAGTTGAATTTTTCATGGATCCTGGGAGTGTTAGTGGAAGGCATGCTTGATGTGGTTCAACATGGTGTAAGATTTATATAGGATGCAATTTATTTATTTATTGATGGTATCTTGCTGTGTTGCCCAGGCTGGAGTGCAGTGGCTATTGACAAGTGTGATTATAGCACACTACAGCCTCAAACTCCTGGGCTTAAGTGAATCTTCCTGCCTCAGCCTCCCAAGTAGCTGGGAGAGTAGGCATGCTGCTGTACCCATCTTTCTTCATTTTTTTCTTTCTTTTGATTGGGTCTCCCTGTGTTACCCAGGCTGGTCTTGACCTCCTGAAGCTATCCTCCTGTCTCAGTCTCCTGAATAGTGGGACTACAGTTGCCTACCACTGCATATGGTTATATATCCATCTTTAGAACACGGTTCAAACAGTATGACATTCTACGTGAATAGTACCCTGCAGAATTTGGGTGTGGCAACCTTGATTTGGGCTTTCAGACTATATGTGCAGGACATATTATCTCAAACTATGCATTAATTTTGCGTGCATAGTTCTAATAATTTTAATTGTCTCATCCAGTCGAGGGGTTGACAGACTAGAACAGACCAGGCTCAGTTCACATGCTGCCTATTTTTGTAACACTTTTTTTTGTTTGTTTTGTTTTGTTTTGTTTATTTTGCCCTACAAAAACTGATTTGAGTAGTTGTGACACAACTATGTGAGACTGTATTGAGACTACATGGCCTGCCAAGCCTAAAAAATATTTACACCTGACCCTTTACCTGAAATGTTTGCTGACCTCTGAATCCGAGAGTTGAAGGGAATCTATAAAAGTGGCTCATATTACCAAACTCGTAGAGCTTGTGAAGAATAATGCAAATCTATTCATTTATATATTCTTTTCCAGTGTTTTTAGAAGGCTCACTGAGCACAGTACCTCATATTCCAGATCCAAGGATTCCTGAGGAATCCAAATTAGTATCCAGAAGGTTCATTGGTAGTCATGGTTATAAACCAGAGCAAAAGTTAATGGGAAGAAATGGTAAAGAGTCACTGCATTGCAGCTGACACCTGGGATTTTAAAATCTTTTTTTCGTTTTTGAGATGGAGTCTTGCTCTGTCGCTTAGGCTGGAGTTCAGTGGCGTGATCTTGGCTCACTGCAACCTCTGCCTCCCAGGTGCAAGTGTTTCTCCTGCCTCAGCCTTCCGAGTATCTGGGATTACAGGCACGCGCCACCACGATTGGCTAATTTTTTATTTTTATTTTTATTTTTATTTTTGAGACGGAGTCTTGCTGTCTCGCCAGGCTGGAGTGCAGTGACATGATTTCGGCCCACTCCAACCCCCGCCTCCCAGGTTCAAGTGATTCTCCTGCCTCAGCCTCCCAAATAGCTGGGACTACAGGCGTGCGCCACCACGCCTGGGTAATTTTTGTATTTTTAGTAGAGATGTGGTTTCACCATGTTGGCCAGGATGGTCTCGATCTCTTGACCTCAGGTGATCCGCCCGCTCGGCCTCCCAAAGTGGTGGGATTACATGTATGAGCCACCACGCCCGGCCCACGCTCGGCAAAGTTTTTGTATTTTTGGTAGAGATGGGGTTTCACCATGTTGGTCAGGCTGGTCTCGAACTCCTGACCTCGTGACCCGCCCACCTTGGCTTCCCAGAGTGTTGGGATTACAGGTGTGAGCCACCGTACCCGGCCAAAATCCCTTTAGTTCTAGTCAGTAGAGGAATAAAGCACTGTTCTTTCAAATGTGAACCCCTCTTGATCAGTATTGTCCAATCTGGCCTGTTCTTTAACCAGTCAGCCTCTTTTCCTGCCTCTTGCATGGGCTTTTTGTTGTTGTTTCTTTGTTTGTTCATCTATCATCTCTTGCTTTAATCATAACCTAACTTTCCCTGATGTGGCACGTGTAAAACTGAAAAACAGAAACTCTATCTGGTAAAAAAAAAAATTCCATTAATTTATGCTGTCAGAGAAGAGTGATCCTGTTGTTATTTACTAATGAATAGATACAAATTTATTTTCTGAAATGGTTTGTGAAGATTCCAGAGCAGAAGTTACAGTTTTGTGGTTTCCACATGGCTGTCCCTCTTTTTCTACAGTTTTTAAAGCTCTAATGAGGAATTTATGTTGCTTAAGAAGATTTGTTTTTTGAAGTCTAAACTTCTGAAGCATTCAAACAAAAGACACATTTTACAAGGGATTTTTATGGCCTCTTCATTAAGTTATGGAAATAACTAAAGAATTATTTGCTGAAGGATTTGATGTCAGATTTAAGTGTGACCTGCTGGACTGGTAGGCTTATTTATGGTATAATGATGGCCTAGTCCCAGTGGTTTGGACATGTTGGTGAAAATCAAAATGGATAATAACAGACATTGCAATGGTCTCATATGTAATGTTCTAGTTGTGACTAGTTTCGGTTGTTAATGTTTTTACTTATTCATTAAAATAATTTATTACAAGCCAAGGATTTTTCTCAATATTTGGCACGGTACATAATTGTAACTTAACTTAGACTTTTGTGATCAAATAAAAACAAACATATATATAAGTTTGTAATGTTTACACATATTCTTAGAATTGATTTGTAGGATTTTGCTGATTTGGGATAATTGGTTGAAGGTATGTGTCAGTTTTAACCAGGTGTTGAGTTATTTGATCACTCCTCCAAAGATTATTTAATAGTTTCAATAATATCTAATGATGTGTGGGAAACCGTAGAATTTTTCATACAAACTGGGACAAATGAACATGCATACTATTAAAATACTTCCTACAATAGGCATAAAATGGGCTTTCTTAGGTGAACCAGGAGGTATAGTTAGCCTAATCATATGCTATGATTATTAGTAATGGTTTTCTGTGTTTTATCATTCATATTTGTAAATCTTTTTTGAATGACTACTTGGAAATGATGACTGAATCTCATACTGTGTACACACTTCATCAGAGGACACTTAATTGTATTGATTAACATTTTTTTGATCTTACCTTCTGTTAGAGTTTCAGAGAGGTTCATAATCCAGAAAAATTATCATGTTTTCTTTTTTCCTTTTGGAGAATATCTGTTCAGACTCAGGTCATGTGTTTCTTCTGATTCCTCACCCCAGCTGTCATCTTTTTCATTAAAATAATTTAAAATTAAAAATTGGTTTTAAGGAGGGAGTCTTGCTCTGTTGCCCAGGCTGGAGTGCAGTGGCGTGATCTTGACTCACTGCAACCTCTGCCTCCTGGGTTCAAGTGATTCTTGTGCCTCAGCCTTCCAAGTAGCTGAGATTACAGGTGCTCGCCACTACATCCGGCTAATTTTTGTATTTTTTAGTAGAGATGGGGTTTCACCATGTTGGCCAGGCTGCTCTTGAACTCTTTACCTCAAGTGATCCACCTGCCTTGGCCTCCCAAAGTGCTGGGATTACAGGCATGAGTCACTGTGCCTGGCCAGAAAATTTTTTTGTTTTTGTTTTTGTTTTCTTGAGGCGGTGTTTTGCTCTTGTCATCCAGGCTGGAGTACAGTGGCGCGATCTCAGCTCATGGCAACCTCCGCCTCCCAGGTTCAAGTGATTCTTCTGCTTCACCCTCCCGAGTAGCTGGGATGACAGGCACCCGCCACCATGCCCAGCTAATTTTTGTATTTTTGGTAGAGACGGGGTTTCACCGTGTTGGCCAGGCTGGTCTCGAACCCCTGTCCTCAGGTGATCCACCTACCTCAGCCTCCCAAAGTGTTGGGATTACAGGAGTGAGCCACTACACCTGGCCGAAAATTTTTTTAAGACAGGCTCTCGCTGTGTCACCCAGACTGGAGTTCAGTGGCACGATCATAGCGCCCTGTGACCTTGAACTCCTCAGCTTAAGTGATCCTCCTGCCTCAGCCTCCCATGTAGTTGGGACTGCAGGTGTGTGACACCAGCCCCTCCTAATTAAAAACATTTTTTTTGTAGAGTTGGAGTCTCACTGTGTTCCCTAGGTTGATCTCAAACTCCTGGGCTAAAGCAATCCTCCTGCCTCTGCCTCCCAAAGTGCTGGGATTACAGGTGTGAGCCACTGCACCTGGTCCTTTTTATGTTCAATATAGTTTATTCTTTATATTTACCAAGTTGTATTCTAATTTTTTTCTGACTTTGTTGTCTACTAATTGTGTTCTCTGAATTTTTCGAGGTCACGAATTTTATGTTTGTCATATTATAGTTACTTAGATGTAAACTGAGAGAATTAAGTAGCTGTTTGAAGTCTTGTTTTTCAAATGCCAATGCAGCTCAGTTATGGTTTTCAGTCTGTATGGATCACTAGACCTTGGCATTTATTGAATATTAATGCCTCAGATATTACACATTTGGCACTTTGGAAAACATAGGTGGCATTGAGGTACAACTGCTGATACATTTTTATAGACTTCATACGTGATTAAGTAATGAAGAGTATTTTTAAAAGCAGCCAAAGAAACAATTTTTTTTTGCTTGGTTTTCAACACACCTAACTTTTTACTTCAGAGTATTAGACTTACAGGTCGTCTGGGAGGTTTCCATTTTGGAAGAAAAATTTGTTCACTGTTTCCTGTATTCAAAACATAGTGCTGAGCACTGTGGAGGATACAGAGGATGTTAGAGGACTTTAGGTGCTGAGTACTTATACAGAGTAATGTTAAAAGAAACAGCTCAAACGTTCTGAGAATTTAGAAAATGAAATTCTCTACTGAGAGTGTCATTAAATAGTCTTGGTACTTTTGTGTGTGTATATGTCTGTGTTTATAAAATGATGTGATTTGTTTATTATTCCTGCTGTGTTGTAGGTATACCTCATGTCTTTTCATTTGAAATGGTAAGTTCTAATAATTTTTGGTTCAGAATGGTAAGATTTTTTAGCTAATGTTAACTCTTTTTTGAGCAATCGGAGAAGAGGAGAGTCAAGACCGGCAAATAGACATGGTTAACTAATGTAAACATATCTTGTGCATTGTCTAGTGTATAATATAACTAATAATAATTTTAATTATTAGTTTGAATTAGTAACAGAAGATCCTCAGAAGGCATAAAAATTTAACTTGTTACTTCTGCTTTGTGACTTGTTTAATGTATTTGGAGCCACCTTACAGTGCTTGTTCTACATAGTGACGGTAAATTATATTTTAGGCTAGTCAGTATCTAAGATCTTCTATACTTCATATTGAGGATAGTATCTCTGTAGTATCATCTAAAATGTTAGAATTTTGTACTAAAACTAAAAAATTATAATGTCTATGTTCAGTATTAAGTAACAACTAGTGAGATGTAGGCTGTAGGAACTCTGGTTTGTAAGCATCTGATGAGATGCAGTTATGAGTTAGATTGGTAATTATTATAATTATAAACTTTCAAAGGCTTTTACTTATTTGAGTTAGATTGATAATTATAATTACAAACTTTCAAAGACTTTTACAATTCAAAGTAACTGAAAGTTTATGGGTAAGTTTGTTTCTTTTCTTAATGGTATCTTATACTATATTGTGCACTATGTGTCAAACCCTGGCTTTTCTGGTTGTTTTACCATAGTTTTCTTAAGATAACTTCTTCATTTGATTTATTCTTGTTTTTTCTATATATGATTTTAACCAATTGATATGATTGTTACAGTAGTTTGTTTTATAATGGCAAATTTTAAATAACTTTGATTTTTATTTTGGTACCACTTAAATGTGTAAAAAATGACTATGTATTTAAACCTGTAGCTTTGAGTTAGTTACTTAGAAGAAAATATGTACTAACATCACAATTTCAAGGCCTCTGGTAAATTATTAAGATGATTTATCTAATGCCGACTATCACAAACAGAAATGGATACTCTCCTGTATAAAATGTGTACTTAACTCATACGTTGGCCATCTATGCCTTGTTTTCCTCTTTTCTGCTTTTTTCTGTTGACGGGACCAATTTGGAACTGCTGCTTGTGCAGTTTATATTTGTTCTTTTCTTTCACCTTTCATACCTTGACCTGGCCAGTTATGATGGTTTTACTTTGGTAAGGAAATGCACTGGATAAGAAAGAGGTTTTGGATCAAGAAGTGCAAACCAGTCACCAGTATTATGTGAACTTTGGTAAGATTTTATTGCTAGTATTGTTTGTCTTACAGCTGGTATCCTTGCTCATTGTTTTTTTTAGGAGTTCTGGGTAAAATAACTAAATTTGAAGAATAATTAAATACTATTAATCAATTTTAGGTTTTAAAAGCACCTCTTCAGAGTGAGTTTACACCTGACAATTGAAACTGGTAATCTTGAAAATGCTCTCAGGTGTATGCATTACAAATAAAATTCTTAGGAGCAGTGTTGTGTGCCTTGTAGTCCCAGCTACTTGGGAGGCTGAGGTGGGAGGATCAATTGAGCTCAGGAATTCAAGGCCAGCTCGGGCAACATAGTGAGAGGCCCGTCTCTTAAAATCTCAGCCAAATAGAAGCTTCTTTAACAATTAATTTATGTAAAATACTTATTTCCTTCTGTCCCTTGATGTGTGCTAGATTGTGTTTACATTTAATTGATCTTCGGTTAGAAAGCCACCCTATGTATTAAAAAACAGCCATTAATTTTGCTACACATTCAGTTGAATTTGACAGTAATATCAGAGCAATCTATTCACTCAATTACCTGACCGAGGCTTTCAAAATACATTGTTGAATGTATTTGGTTTAAGAGGCACATGTCAAGTTAATGAACACAGTAAGTTTCCCTACTTCTATTTGTCGTTGCCTCCATTTCTGATTTAGTATTTAACAAGTAACAACTACTTTTTGTTTCGTGACTAAACCTTGCAGTATAAATTAAGATGTAATTAGCTGGGTGCGGTGGCATGACTGTAGTTCCAGCTACTAGGGAGCCTGAGGCAGGAGGATCCGTTGAGCCCAGTGAGTATAAGTCCAGCCTGGGCAACATAGTGAGACTCATCTTGATTTATTATTATTATTTTTAATGTAATTGATTATTCAAAAGGATTCATTTTAAAGTTTCAATATTTTAGTAGCCTTTTTCAAAAGAGCTTTAGGTCCACAGCAAGATTATGTGGAAGGTACAGAGATTTCCCGTCTACCCCGTGCCACATGCCTACAGCTTCTCCTGCTATCAAAGTGTTTTACCAGAATGATACACTTATAACAATTGCTGAAGCTACATTGACACGTGCTTATCAACCAAAGTCTATCGTTTACCTTTAGATTTGCTCTGGGTGTACATTCTGAGGGTTTTGACAAATCTATGACATGAACCTATGATTATAGCATCATACAGAGTATTTTCACCTCCTTAAAAATCTGTGCTCTGCTTCTCTATCCCTTCCACCTAACCCTTGGCAACCACTGATCCTTCTATCGTCTCCATAGTTTAGTTTTTTCCAGAATGTCATATAGTTGGAATCATACAGTATACAGCCTCTTCAGATTGGCTTCTAGTCACCTGGCAATGTGCATTTAAATTTCCTCTATGTCTTTTCATGGGTTGATAGCTCATTTCTTTTTAGCACTGAATAATATTTTGGTTGTACCACAGTTCACCCATTCATATACTAAAGGACATCTTAGTTGCTTCCAGGTTTTAGCAATTATGAATCAAGCTGCTATAAACATTCATGTGTAGGTTTTTGTGTAGACATAAGTTTGCACCTCCTTGGGGTAAAATGCAAAGAGTGATATTGCTGTATCAGATGGTAAGAGTATGTTTAATTTTATCAGAAACTGCCAGACTGTCTTGCAAAATGGTTACACCTGTTTGTATTCCCTTCAGCAATACGTTGAAGTTCTTGTTGCATCGCATCTTGGCCAGCATTTGTTTTTGTCAGTGTTTCGGATTGTCACCATTCTAGTAGGTTTTGTAGTGCTGTCTCATTTTAATTTGCAGTTCCGTCAATGTAATTTGCAATTCTATCAATGGCATACGATGTAAAGTTTCATTTTAACAATCATATATCTGAAGAATATTTTCCCAGATATTCATGGGTGAAGATATTTAGGAATGCATGTATTGAGGGGAGAAAACTTGGGTATATATATATAAAGAGATTGTCTTATATTTTTTAAACTACCCCTCACTAACTAGCAGCGAATAACATATATTGGAAATTGTTGTTTTTAATTGCCTGAATTTCAAATGTTAAGTTTTCCAAGCATTCACTATTGATTAGGTTGGAAAGTTTACATGCTATTGAGTTGTATCAATAGAAACGTATATTTTTTTCCTTTTCATTTTAAAACGTTTAAAAATTTTTTTGGAGTGAGGTCTCATTCTGTCACCCAGGCTGGAGTGCAGTGACGCAATCATAGGTCACCATACCTCTAATTCCTGACCTCAAGGGATCCTCCTGCGTTGGTCCCCCAAAACCCTGAGATTACAGGCACTGGACACCATGCCTGACCCTTATTTACTTTTTTTTTTTTAAAGTGGAGTCTCCCTCTGTCGCCCACGCTGGAGTGCAGTGGCACGATCTCAGCTCACTGCAAACTCTGTCTCCTGATCAAGTGATTCTCCTGTCTCAGCCTTCTAAGTAGCTGGGATACAGGGGTGCACCACCATGCCCGGCTAACTTTTTTTTTTTTTTTTTTTTTTTGAGACAGAGTCTTTCTCTGTTGCCCAGGCTAGAGAGCAGTGGTGTTATCATGGCTCATTGCAGCCTCCACCTTCTGGTTTCAAGCGATTTTCCTGCCTCAGCCTCCCGAGTAGCTGGGACTACAGGTGCCCACCACCACACCTGGCTGATTTTTTGTGTTTTTAATAGAGATGGGTTTCACCATGTTGACCAGGCTGGTCTCAAACTCCTGACCTCAGGTGATCTGCCCGCTTCGGCCTCCCAAACTGCTTGGATTACAGGCTTGAGCCACCGTGCTTGGCCTTAATTTCTTTTGTATTTTTAGTATTTATGGGGTTTCACCATGTTGGCCAGGCTGGTCCCTAACTCCTGACCTCAAGTGATCTGCCTGCCTCAGCCTCCCATAGTGCTGGGATTACAAGTGTGAGCCACCATGTCCGGCCCAGTTTACTTTTATTAGAAAAGATTCATTTGCTGATGTATATTGTTCAGTATCTTAATACTTTTTTCATGAGTTAATACTTTCTTGGCAAAGAGGCCTAATATCTTGAGGTTTTTAAAAATACCCATGAATATTTCATGTAAGTGATTTTTGCTTCATTCTTTGTGTCTACAATTTGTTATCTAATATTTCTGGCTCCTAACGATTTTCTTTTTTGTTTTTTTTGAGATGCAGTCTTGCTGTGTCGCCAAGCTTTTCATAGAGATGGGGTTTCACCATCATGGCCAGGCTGGTCTCGATCCCCTGACCTCAGGTGATCTGCCTGCCTCAGCCCCCCAAAGTGCTGAGGTTACAGGAGTGAGCCACCGCGCCTGGCCAACAGTTCTTATTTAATCTTTCTCATGAAAGTTTAATTGGTTATAACCTTATTGTTCTGTTATGTAACCTTCTTTAGTGAAGGAAAAGGTAATAGAATATAGTTTGCTCACACTAAAATATTTTCAATTGCTAAATATAGTTTTTTTTAGGGAATTTATTTTTAGGAATATTTAGATATTCCTAATTGATTAAAAAGGCTGAATCCTGTTGTCAGAACTTACTATATTTTTCTCTAGAATTATATATTTTTTAGTGGATTTAAATGTTCTACATTATTTTAGCATTTTCGTTTTTTGAGACATAGAACCTAAATAGCATGTGGTGATTCCTGGACAATTCTTAAAGCTTTTTTTGAGATAAACATGAGAGGTCTTTATCAATAAAGAATTTTGACTGTGACCTAAAAAAGAGTATTGATTGTGCCCATTAAGATTGCATTCACTCAAACAAGAGTTATATTGATAAAGTGTTAGATGAATACCTCTCGTCATTGATCATTAAATGGTGTTCCAGTTGACACAGTTAAAGCAGTTTTTATTTAGTTCAGTGAGTGTATCCCCAAGTTTAGGTGGTCATACTACACTTTAGCTTTACCTGAGTACTGTGTTAAGTCATTCCTTTAAATTAGGTTATTGGTAATACACACACACATATACACCCACAAAATATACGTGTTGAGTATCCCTTATCTAAAATGTTTGGGACTAGAAGTGTATTGGAATTTGGATTTTTTTGAATTTTGAAACATTTGTGTATTATGTAATGAGATATCTTGGGGATGGGACCCAGATCCAAATATGAAATTCACTTATGTTTCATATATGTCTTATATACATAGCCTGAAGGTAACTTCATAGAATTTAATTTTTTTATTTTTTATTTTTTATTTTTTTGAGACGGAGTCTTGCTGTATCGCCCAGTCTGGAGTGCAGTGGCGTGATCTTGGCTCACTGCAAGCTCCGCCTCCCGGGTTCATGCCATTCTCCTGCCTCAGCCTCCCGAGTAGCTGGGACTACAGGTGCCCTCCACCATGCCCAGCTAATTTTTTTGTATTTTTAGTAGAGACGGGGTTTCACCGTGTTAGCTAGGATGGTCTTGATCTCTTGACCTCGTGATCCATCCGCCTCAGCCTCCCAAAGTGCTGGGATTATGTGTCTGTCCAAAAAAAATTTTTTTTAAGAGACAGTGTCTCACTGTGTGACACAGGCTTGTCTTGAATTCCTGGGCTCGAGCAATTGGCATCTCAGCCTCCCAAAGTGCTGGGATTATAGGCATGAACCACTATGCCTGGCTCAGTAGAATATTTTAAGTAATTTTGTGCGTGAAAGTTTTGCCTACATTTTGACTTAGACCCATCACATGAGGTCAAGTATGGAATCTTCCACTTTGGGCATCGTGTTGGTGTTTAAAAAGTTTTGGATTTTGGAGCACTTGGGGTTTTGGATGGTTATGCTAACCTTGTTTCATGATAGCCCAAGTACTAAATATTAAAGGAAAAATATCCATGTTCTGCACAAAAAGTGCCATGTGCCAGTAGTGGCATGTTTACCATGCCACTTTGGAAAATATTTGTTAGGTTAATTTACCTTACTTAGTGCAAGCTTCCTGTTCTATATTTTCATGAAAGAAAACTGACTGCGATTTTAAAAATATTGCTTCTCAAACCTTTTGGCTTCCATATTTCTTTAATTTTCCATATCACTATTAAAAATTATTGAGGGTGCCAAAGTCCTGCTAAAGGATTATATCAATATTTACCATATTATAAGCCAAAGCGAGGTTTTAAAGAAAACGTTACAGAGTTAAGAGTCGCTTTCTTGTACATTTTTGCAAATGTCTTTTAATGTTCCCTTTAGTGTAGTGGGAAGAATGGTGTTGTTTTATGTTTTGTAAATTTGTTTTGCTCTATAAAAAATGGTTGGCTTCCCACGTTTGCTTTTGCAGTCCATCTATTGCAGAAAGCTTTTTAATTAAAACGCATCAAAGAAGACCTGACTTTATACGGAGAAGTGATAAGGGAGGAGTATGTTAATAACCTTTAAAGATAATTGTGGATTTTTTTGATACTACTGTAAAACTTAAAAGTACTCTTACATCGAAATTAATTGGGTTGGCTGGGCATGGTGGCTCACACCTGTAATCACAGCACTTTGGGGGGTTGAGGCAGGTGGATCACTTGAGCTCAGGAGTTCAAGACCATCCCAAGTAACATGGTAAAACCCCATTTCTACAAAAAACACAAAAATTATCTGGGCGTGATGGTATCTGCCTATAGTTCCAGCTACCCTTGAGGCTGAGGCAGGAGGATTGCTTGAATCTGGGAGTCAGAGGCTGCATGAGTTGAGATCACGCCATTGCACCCCAGCCTGGGCAACAGAGTGAGACTGACAAAGGAAAAAAAAAAAAAAAAAGAAATCCGCTGGGCTGCTTTGAATTTTGAATGGATTTTTTACCCATGCATGATTTTTTAGTGTTATGTACCAATCAGAAGAAAAATACTGATGCATTGGCCTAAGCAGATTATCCAAAATGCTAATGTATTTATTTTACAAAATTAAAAAGAAGTTACATGTCTTCATATTGATCTCATAGAAAATATCCGCCAAATACTCAAGCCAATAATTATAGTGTCTCTTATAAAAACCTTGTTCTGTGAAAAAAGTATTTCATTCAACATGCACCTCAATTATGAATGCTTTTTCTTAAAATAACCATCCTACTTCAGAATGCAGCAGATGTACTTTGTGGACAAATCCTGTTTTATTGTGAAGAACATGAAAAAAGCATGTACCCATGGATAGAGATTTAATAAAATTAACTTTGACTGCTTCCTCCAGGTATTCATAGTTTAAAATTTTAAACTACAGTTTTATCCATGTGACAAATGCAGTGGTTACTAGTAAAAATTGGGCCCAAGTCTCTTGGCTTGTGCTATAGTGCTGGGACTTTTCCTAGCCATTACTTTCGCACCATTAAATGTAGTGAATGTTGATACAGAGAAAAGTCTGATGATAGTACTATAACTAACTGTATCTTAGTGCTGGGAAAACATGAAATAGTTGTGACTGTGCACTTCCTGAGTTTTGGGGACTCTTAGTGTACTCCATGACCTACACGTTAAGAACCGCTGCAATGATGGAATGCTCTTTTGACATGTGGTTCTGGGAATTAGTCATACTTTGCCTCCTTTTTTGGTCATCTGTTAATTTAAGTACACTTGAATTCGAAGCTTTCAGGAATACATATGTATAATTCTTTCCATGGAAAGGCATACAATCTTATAAATACCGCAAAGATAAGTTAAAATCTTGCCTTTTGTTAGGCTTCGACTGTTGGAATTCTTTTTTTTTTTTTTTTTTTTGGCTGTCTGGGACATGGAGATATGTTGGAATTTTTGAAGAATGAAAGTATCTCGTGAACGTCAAAAATTTTGTGAACTCCATTTCAGTAGAATCGTATAGGTTAGCTCAGCCACTTACTATCCATATGACCTTGACTAAGTTATTCAACAGCTTTGTGCCTCAGTTTCATTATGTCTAAAATGAGGTAACAGTAGGCCTACTTCATAGAGTTGAATCAATAATGTAAAACTGAGTTTTCATCATAGGTTTATTTTAGCGCACTGCAGTCTTTTGAGATGTTGGTTACAAATAAGTTGTTTTGGCTTAAACAACAACTCTTAATTTTTTGTAATGTAATAAAGCATTATTAAAATTTGTAAAAATATCACGTATACGCACTGGTTCTAACTTAAATTCTAATTTGAAGTGTTATTAAAAGTCATTCATAGAGGGAAGTAAGGGTTTTGTGTATTGCTTGTTGGGTGGGCACACAGTTGTGAATTTCCTCAAGTGATTCTTATTAATATTTGATAGATTTAGTGTTAGTGAAGAATGCTGTATTTCATTTTACAAAATCATCCTAATCTCTACCTCTTTTGCATTTTACTAGAAGTTTGTAGCGGTGGTTTTCTAGAAAGTAACAGCCTGAAGACATGACTAGGAAGCTGAAAATTTCTTTTGCCCCTTCTAAGATAGTTACAAAATGATGCCATCAAATTATACTCTTTTTTCTTAAGAGCAAAGCTGTGTAAAATAGTATTCAGTAATCATCTTTAAGATATTGTCAACATTACTAAGTACAAGTATATATATATATATTTAGTGAAAAATGCTGTAATGTGCCTCATGAATTGGTATTTTAATACAGTAATATGCTATGGTAGCATGGAGTATTCTAAGATATTCTGATTATCTCATTTAGAGAAAGGTATTTTAGAACTTGTACCAATTTATAATATACCACCAGAAGGGGAATGTTCATGTTTAATAGTTAACTTAAAACCATAGATATTTTTGGTACATTGATACATTTCCCGTGAAATTTTCTTAATGACAATGGATTTAATAATAAAAGAAGGTACTTTGTGAATAATAAAGCTTGCACTATTCTAGAAAGTTATTCTAGAAAGTGATACATAGAGCTGAAAATACAAAGAGACAATAAAAAAGATTGTTTATGCCCTTTTTTCCTGCCAGTGAATCATAGGCCAATAGTTAAGGTATTAGGGTATATAAGGGGTAGTTGAAAATTGAAATCTCAAGCAGTGAGACTGTAAACAATTACCCTATATTAGTGGTTAGATATTGAATTCCTAACCTTTCATAGTGAAGACAAATTCAAAAGTAAAAATATAAATTGAAATCCTGTCCTCCCCAAAAGTCATGACTATGAAATCCATGTATTTTACTCGATGGTGCTGGTGTGTAACCAGCTTCTGAACAACGAAATGTCTACTATATTTGCTTGTTACAGATACTTATCTAGATACTATAGATATTATTTTTATAGCTAGAAGATTTTGGGTGTTTTGAAGCATTCTTAAGTTTTATCAGTAGGTTCTAAGAACCTATCAGTAGTTTCTAAGTAGTGATAAGGAAATGGCAATTTGGTTTGGTTTATTGAAAGTAGTGATAACAGAAGCTTTATTTTAAAATAGTTTTCTAAATATAATGCTTGATGAGTAGCAATTTTATATTACAGTCTAGCTTTTTTTTTTTTTGAGACAGAGTTTTGCTCTTGTTACCCAGGCTGGAGTGCAATAGTGCAATCTTGGTTCATTGCAACCCCCGCCTCCTGGGTTCAAGCGATTCTCCTACCGCAGCCTCCTGAGGAGGTAGGATTACAGGCATGTGCCACTACTGCCCAGCTAATTTTTTTGTATTATTAGTAGAGATGGGGTTTCTTTTTTTTTTTTTTTTTTTTTTATGAGACGGAGTCTCTCTTTGTTGCCCAGGCTGGAGTACAGTGGTGCGATCTCGGCTCACTGCAACCTCTGCCTCCTGGGTTCCCGCAATTCTCCTGCCTCAGCCTCCCGAATAGTTGGGACTACGGGCGCCTGCCACCACACCTGGCTAATTTTTTTTGTATTTTTAGTAGAAACGGGGTTTCACCGTGTTAGCCAGGATGGTCTCAATCTCCTGACCTCATGATCCGCCCATCTCGGCCTCCCAAAGTGCTGGGATTACAGGCGTGAGCCACCGCGCCCAACCTAGAGACAGGTTTCACCATGTTTGCCAGGCTGGTCTTGAACTCCTGACCTCAGATGATCTGCCTGCCTCAGCCTCCCAAAGTGTTGGGATTACTGGCGTGAGCCACTGCACCCCGCCTCAGTCTAGCTTTTTTTGCAGGTCAGCAATAGTATCCATTAATGGTCACAAATTTTATGATGAGAAATTTTTAGGAAAGTTAAAACATGGCTTTTAGGGCTGGGCATTGCGGTTCACGTTTGTAATCCCAGCACATTGCGAGCGTGAGGCAGGAGGATTGCTTGAGCCCAGGAGTTAGATACCAGCCTGGTTGACATAGCGAGACCCTATCTCTACAAAAAAAAATTCAAAAATTCACCAGGCATGATGGTGCATGCTTGTCATCCCATCTATTCGGGAAGCTGAGGCAGGAGGATCACTTGAGCCCAGGAGTTCGAGGCTGCAGTGAGCTATCATGACGCCACTGCACTGCAGCCAGGGCAACAGAGCGAGGATCTCTGGGAAAAAAAAAAAAATTAAGCTTTTTAGAAAGATTGGTATTTAAATCTTCTAAATAATGTGAGAAAGCATTTTATCTCTTCATGATGGTGTTTTTGTTGTACCGTAGCTTCATTCATTGTACCGTAGCTTCATTAGGATTACCTTTGGACATCTCCATTTAAGTTAGGCAGTTTTTTTAAGGAGCCACTTGTGGCTTAATGGCAATTACGTTTCCATCATAGGCTTTTATTTTATTTCCAGCTTTATAGGTGCTTTTCAACAGTCTTTCGTATTATAAAATGGAACTTTAAATGAACATTTAGATTTTAATAAGATTGCTTTTCAAAAGTACAGTAATTATGCTTTCTTTAAACATTGCTGCATTTGTCTCATAATGGAATGTTTTTCATGATTGCTACATTTAACAGTTTTCTGTGATTGGAAATGGTCATCAAGTCAAAGTGAAAATTGCAATTTTCCTATGTTATCTTGAGAAATTTCACTTAGAGATTTCATTGAAGTTAATTCTATGTCACTATTGTTGGTAAATGAACAGCTTTTAGGAAGCAGTTTCTGTAATGAAATTTCAAATGTTCTGAATATTTCTGTTTTATAGTTAACTGTGTAATACTTTCATTCAGGTTTTCAAATAAAATTACTGCGCAGTTAAAGGAAAGCAATGTTATGTCGAGCTTTCAGTAATTGCTTGTGTGGGCTATCTATAGTCCCTGGATGGAATAATGCTTGAGTAGATGAATACAAATACATGAATGAATTATAATATTTAGACAATGAAGATTGTAACCTTATTTTTAGCATAATTCCCTAAAGCTATTTGTGTTATATGTTCAAATACATTTCAACATGAACTTGGTAACAGTCATTTCTATTTTAAGACTTCAGTGACCTGGGAGGAGAAAATAATTGGCTCTGGTGGTTATCATTACTAGATTTTCCTTTGCTTGGAATCTAGGCATGTGTCTTTCATCTGTTGGAATAAAAACATTAAAAATAATTTGTGATATATTTTATATAATCTGATTCATTAGTAATCTAATCTTGCAATATAAACTGGATGCATTAAGCATTTGTAGTATATTAAGCCTGGGAGACTGAAGTTTCTTTTCAGCATTCTTATTAAGTTTATGATGATGGAAACTTTTCAAAATTTTTAATGAAAAATGATGTCCCAATTCACTCTTTTCTTTTTGATTTTAGATGGGAAATGTAAAGTCATAAGATCGATAGGTTGACTGTGACAACTATGTTTACTTACAGAGAGAACAGGAAATGAGAATGGGTGATATGGGTCCCCGTGGAGCAATAAACATGGGAGGTAGGGATTTGAAGCAAAAGGCTTTTGTAATTTATCATTTTTGGGGGGACTGTTTATGCTGTTTGTGGTATCTACATATCAGTAAGAAACTAAAATACAGAACCAACATTTCTAAAGGTGAAATCTCTTACATCCATTAAACTGGAATACAATACAATTATATTAAAAATATATGTCTGGGAAGAAAATTCTCATTTTGTTTTTGTTTGAAGGCTAAAAGATGTGTTATACATTCATAGGCTTAATGAAAGAAACATATAAACCAGGTTGCAATACAGCCTGAAGGTAGTTTAGTCATTGCATTGTGTAATACAGCTCTGTCTTTGCAGTTTTAAAATCAAATTTTATGCCTTCTATTTGGCTTTTTTTTTTTTTTTTTTTTTGAGGCAGGACCTCACTCTGTTGCCCAGGCTGGAGTACAGTGGCACAAACTTGGCTTGCTGAAACCTCGACTTCCTGGGCTCAAGTGGTCCTTCCATCTTACCAAGTAGCTGGGACTACAGGCATGTGCCACCACGCCTGGCTTATTTTTTGTATTTTTAGTAGAGACAGGATTTCGCTTTGTTGCCCAGGATGGTCTCGAACTCCTGGGCTCAAGCAGTTTACCCCCATCAGCTTCCCAAAGTGCTGATATTCCAGGCATGAGCCACCTCGCCTGTCCTAATTGAACACTGGAAATTGATAGTTTCCGAGTTGGAAATTGATAGTTTCTGAGTTGTGTTTTTAGGTGGAGAGCGTTTTATACATTTCTATCTTAAACTAGCTTTTTGTGTAACTTTGAAGCTGTTTTCCTTCACTTTAATGAATATTGAACTTTTTTCCTTTAACCTACAGTGTTGTGCACAGAAGTGCACTCAGTGTTTGTAGTCTATAACTCATCAAGGGAATTATGTGTGTCGCCAATGCATGTTTTAGAGTTGACTAAGCTTTTAAGAAAGCATATTAGCAACTTTAGTATGGATTTGCTCGTATAGCCAAGTTGCAAGGGAAATAATGCCAAGTAAATAACCTGAAGGAAAAGCAAGTGTGGCATATCGTAGGCCTTACTAAATTTGAAATTTGAAATGTCATACATTTAAAAGTTGGATAAGGAATTAAATTTTATTAAATTAATTGTCCCACAAAAGCTGTCCCACATTAAATTGTCCCACAAAAGGTGTTATGAAGCTAAAAATCTTTATATAACTTAAAAGTACATAGTTTCAAAGATTACACTACCATGGCAAACAATGTACTTAACATGCACACCCATTTACAAAATCAAGTGTGTTCTCAGCATATATAGTCTATCAAATGAAACTTAAGTCATGTGTGGAATGAACATTTTCCATGATCAGCTTTTTTTTCTTAAACTTCTGTTGCCAGTTTTTCAATACTACTAATCAGATAATGTAGAGTCATATATTGCTGTTTTACTTGGTCACTTTTTACCAACAAGTAGTTAGTGAATATCTCTGATATATGCAGGAAGCAAGAAACATGGCCCTCGCCCATAAAGAACTTAATTGTGAAATTACTGCAGTGGATACGTGAAATAATTAATGAACCAAGAGTGTTCTAAATTATGAAGCATAATTGAGTATAATGATGTCCAAGTGGTCCAATATTTATGTCTTTTTTTAAGAGTAAATGCTGGGGTGCTATTTAATATAATCCATGTAATTTTAAGGATTTTAGGAATAAGGTTATTGTAGATTATAGGCAGTTTAAAAGGCTGTTATCATTATTAGAATGACATTAACATCAGAGCTAAACTTTAAAATAGTATAAAACTTAAAACCATTTCTGATGGTGCAGAGATACTCTGCAATTTTATCAGAAGAAATATCAGAATATGCCTTTAGAGTCCTTATTTAGTTAGGAATTGAAGATAACTTAAAATTTTTGTGACATTTTATTCACCAGAGGACTTACTTACATTTTAGCACTTAACTCTCCTAAAGCCCAGTTTATCTAATTTTCTCTTCAGTCTTCATTCAATGTGAGACTTCATCATAATGGTTTTGTAGAGCTATTAATCATTATCATCCAGTTGGGTTGTTGAGAAGTTAAAACTGTCATAACTCATCAAGTTACATTGATGGAAAGTGGCAGCAGATTTTCTGGTGTATCACTAGTGTGTATAACCAAACGAAACCTACATTATAATGCTACCTTTCTAGTAATCAGATAATGCTAACATTTTTTATATCTTTAAATTTATTTATAGCTATGTGGTGGAAGATGTGAATACTAAAAGTAAGGCTCTAAGTTAACTGCTGTTAGTTGGAAATATTATTTTTGATTTTTTATACCCATAGTTGTATAGTTATATTCTGAACCCACCATTGTTAAATTACATTCTATTAAAGAGAAAGAGAGGAAAAAGAAAACTTCCGAACCCACCATTGTAAAATTACATTCCATTAAAGAGAAAGAGAGGAAAAAGAAACTTAGTTTGTTTTCTGGGGGATTGTTGAGGTAAGACGCCTCTTAGATACTGTTCTTATATTCTCTTCATGTCTAGATTGTAGAAATTATTAAAAATAGCTATTTAGGGCTATACTGAGGGAGCGGAAATATTCTTGGTTAAAGTCTGTTTATCGGCAAGAGCATTTGGGGATGAAGGAAATAATTCCTTCCTATGAATTTGCTAGGTTTCTGGGGATTGGATTCAAAGAGCAGAAGTATGATGCCAGGGGCTGGTAAGGACTCAGCCATATAGAGATTTCAGCTGCATTATAATGTATATTTGAGAAATTGAGTTCTTATTATCAGAAAATTGACCTATGTAATGAAATACTAGAAGAAAACTCTAAATTAGAATGGCTTTGTTATGAATTTTTAATGATAAGTACTAACACTTAAAAGGGAAAAAATTTTTCAAAGAAAATGCCTAAAAATGTGTTGTATCTGAGATCATCATATATGTAGTATTACAGTGCAAACACTATTAATGTTAATGAGGTAGGTGGATTTTTTTAATGAAAAAACTTGAAATATTATCAGGTTGTCCCCATTTATGGAATTTAAGCTTGTCAGAAAGATCCAGATAGCTATATTAATATTTTATCTGTATTTGGTTGCGGTTGCTTTTAAAAATAAGTTTTCTTATAAGTCATTTCAATTTTTTGGTTTAGAGTCCATATTTCAAAATAAAAAGTTAAAAAAAGAGTACCTTATGTAATTTAGCAAGGTATTCCATAAACTCAGGGAGGAAAAAAAAAAAACTAAGATGAGAGGCTAGTTATAATGATCTTTATTTATATATTGCAGGAAATGATTTCCTCTCTCACAACTTAGCATAATTTACTGCTAATATTTTTAGCCATGGGTTGAAAAAAATTAAGTGGTTTTGTAAGTGCTAATCCTTTGTTACTCATTTAAACTGGTAAAATGTAGTCCCCATTGTTAGGGATTCTTTGGTTTAAAAGCCTGCTATTACAAAATAATAGTGATGTCTCAAAGCTTGCAAACTGTTAGTCTCAAATGCCCTAAAATGATTGATAGTTTCCTCCTTGATTTTATGTACGTTTGGCTTGGGGATGAAAATTCTAATTCTAGAGTGTAGGTAATACCCTATTACAGAGTAGATAACGCATATCGCATTCTTAAGGAGCGAAAATAATTTTGATAATGGTCTTGGTATATAGATTGCATAAATATTGTTAAATTGTTAATGTTTACTAAACTAAGATAGGACAGCTCTAAGTATAGATTGTTTTACATAGATGCGTTTAGCCCAGCCCCTGCTGGTAACCAAGGTCCTCCTCCAATGATGGGTATGAATATGAACAACAGAGCAACTATACCTGGCCCACCAATGGGTCCTGGTCCTGCCATGGGACCAGAAGGAGCCGCAAATATGGGAACTCCAATGATGCCAGATAATGGAGCAGTGGTAATGTATCATAAACATTATTTTGATTATATTCAGTAATGTACACTTCTGCATCAAGGATAACTTCACACTTAATATAATTTGGTATCATTTGTTTTGGCAGCCAATGAAGAAGAAAATTTTGTGACATCATATGTTGATGTGTTACAGATAGTTTTTTTTTTTTTTGAGACAGAGAGTCTCGCACTATTGCCGAGGCTGGTGTGCATGGCACGATCTTGGCTTGCTGCAACCTCCACCTTCTAGGTTCAAGCAATTCTCCTGCCTCAGCCTCCCGAGTAGTTGGGGCTACAGGCGTGCGCCACCACGCCAGGCTAATTTTTGTATTTTTAGTAGAGACAGGGTTTCACTATGTTGGCCAGGCTGGTCTCAAACTCCTGACCTCGTGATCCGCCCGCCTCGGCCTCCCAAAGTGCTGGGATTACAGGCGTGAGCCACCGCGTCCAGCTGAGATAGTTTTTAAGTAGTCCAAGAATTAGGATTACTGTCTGTGGCATGCTGTGGTACCTCAGTATATAGCAAATGCATATGTTAATTACAGATATTTTTCTGTGCTTTTTAATTTGTTTCCATCTTTTACCAGCATTCTAACGTTCAAGCATTTTATGATAGTGTTCTTTTCCTGTGTGGACTCCTTATATTTGATGGGGACAAAAGTCCAATATGTATGAACACACAGTTTTCAGTAAATATTTTTGATAAAAATATTACCTGTCATGATTTATTGCAAAGAATTTGGCTGTAAATTAACATTAAAGTTTTTGTGTATTTCCAAACCACCATTGTGGCATTCTTTTCACAGAATTTTAAATTATATTTAGTAAATTTAAAGTAGACAGTTTTTTGTCTTGATCTGAGAGTGTGAAGATATCTTTGTGTGGATTAAATACTATGAAAACAAGGTTTTTCAGTTGTAATTTTTATTATATTTAAATATATTAGTAGCAAGAATGATACCTTTTATCATTTCTATTAAAGTCTGTCACTATATAAATCGGACTTTAGGCAAACCGTTTTCTCATTTAGTGTTTGTTAATGCTTGTTGTAAATAACATTTTGAAAGGGAAATTGTTTGGTTATCTATTTTGAAAAGGCAGTTTAGTTTTGAAACTACTGTATGAAATCTTGAGGCGCCAATGCTGCTAAGAAAGAAAGAAAGCACTGCCTGTTAGACTCAGACCTGTCATCAGTTGTAAATCCACCGTGATCAGAGACGTTAAAAGCAATGCATTGTATGTCTTAGAGTTGAATGCAGCATTTATCATTATTTTATTTGCTTCAAGAATTTGGAGAAATTGGACATGCTGGCAGTTGGATTTTTTAAAATGATAGTTTATACAGGGAGATGAGGCAGTGCACGGCTACTATGAACAGATGGCGCTTAACACAGTGATTGCATTTATTTCCTTCAGTAGAGGCTTTATTTTATAGTGATATGTTTGAAAGCTAGTAAAAACTTATACTACTTTGGTTAAGTTTTTGTGTGGCATATAATCATCAATAGAAACATAGAAGTAACATTAACTGTCCCATTTTTTTATTGTCTCCCTGAAATTGTAAACTTTATTTAAATATCACCCTTGGTCTGTTTTGCACTGACATTTTACTGCTACACTTCAGGGAGTTCTATCCAACCTTTCAGATTAATATGTATGATTATTGTGAAGTTTTTCAAAATACTTAATTCAGATGTTTAAATGTGCTTATTAGTGCATGTTATTACATTAATTTTTAAAACTATTTTCCCATGATAATCTTTCAAGGAAAACACTCTCAGAAGTTTCCATACTGAAATCATAATTCTTTGTGTATGTTTGTATTAGTGCTTTCTATCTTCAAGGAATTGATGTGAAGATTTTTTTTTAGAATGTTTACTTTTAAAAAACCGAATTGATGCTGCTCCCCAGTTTTATTTCTCTGATTTTTTTAAGAACGTATTTTTCTTACATAGCGTAGTTTCATGCAATATAAACTTTTGAAAAAAGGAATCAGAGATTTATTATAATATTGTTTAGGCTTAAGATTACATTTGCTTCTGTCACGAAATCAGTTCTTTGTTCTTTAAATTGGGGCATAGCATTAGCAATATGTAAATCTTCAGATGCTGCATTTTTTTAAAAAAAACATAGTAACTAATTAAATTGCTCCTTTCTTCCTTCTATGTGTGATCCTGATTCTGCTGGACTTTCTGCCGAACTTCATGACACCACCACTTGGGATTTTGCCAATTTTTCTTGTCACTTATATTTGGCGTGTTCCAAATGGACTTCATATTCTATTCCTTATTGTGTGGTATCATAGCACAATGACAGATTTCCTCAAGGACCACCATCTCAGATGGGTTCACCTATGGGGAGTAGAACAGGTTCTGAAACCCCTCAAGCACCAATGAGTGGTGTAGGTCCTGTGAGTGGTGGTCCTGGTGGCTTTGGTAGAGGAAGTCAAGGGGGCAACTTTGAAGGCCCTAATAAGCGTCGTAGATATTAAACATTCGTTCATTCCTGGCTATCTAGAAAAAAAAAAGTCAGTGGTATGCCTTTATACTTTTACCTGTTATCTGGAAGAAATGGTTTTATTGTTAATGTATGTAGACTTAAAAGTTTTTTTTTTTTTGTAAAACTTGAGGTTTTTGTATTTTTCTTTATTCATGAGCTTTGTAGATTAGAATGGTAATGATGCTCATCATTTTGAATGTTGAAATGTGTTTGTGACTTTAGCTAAATATAAGTATTCCATAGTACTGTGAAATCTATGTAGTTAATCTCAATAAAGAAATCATTTTGGATAATTTAAAACTGTTATTAGTGGTATTCTCTTACGGTCTTACTAAACTTTGCTGTAACAGTAATGCTTTGGTTGCTTTAACTAATCCTATCATTAAAAATGAAAATGATTTTGCTTTTTAATTTGCGCAAGTAGCACTAAAGATAGAAGCTTAATTAATGAAAGCTAATGTCAATAAGGGGTAGATAGAGTAGTATATGTGGGGGTGGGAGGGTATGGGAGTTTAATTTGTATAAACCACTGATGTTCTGTGAAATCGGAATTTCCAGCTACATTTCATATAGCTTCTGAATATTCAGGTATTCTGAGACAGATTATTAAGGATATCTTTGTCCTGTGCTGATTTTTCCAAATAAATCTTTTTCATCTTGAAAAAAACTGTTTGAAGGCAAATCTCTTTTGCTTATAAAAAATAATGTCTAGTTTTAAACATATCTGCCATTATTTATTTGGTTTTAATATCTAGACCTTACCCGATTATTATCGTACAGTTAGTGTTAAACATTCTTTAAAATAAAACAATACTGTTGGGTTGGCTGTGAAGTGAGGATTTGCTGTGTGATTTGTGGTGAATTAGGCATTTCTTGAGAATGTAGGTTTCTAGAAGTATTAAAAGATGGCTTGACTCTGCAGTGTTGTAAATATTTCCCTAAAATTTGGACATTTCTCCAGTAAAACGTGTCTGATGGGTTAGGACCATTTGTCTCCAAGGAATGGCAGTGGTTTTCTTTTTAATTGTTTGTTTGTGTTTTTCAAGATAATGCTGAGAGACATCCAAGGAGTACAGTTCAAGAGGTGATTTTAAAAAGCAGATAATTACTTGAGAATGGCTAGAGTCATTGGAATCTGATTAGCTCCTTTCACTATCAAATACCTATTTTGATTTTCAATACTAGGGAGAAACTGATTTTATCACATTATAATGTTTATTGCAAAACAAAGTCATAACTCTTTAAAAATGTGTATGTTGGTCATGTTTATTTAAAATTACATTTAAGGAATCATATATGACTCATACCACAAATGTAATTCATCAGACACTGATCATAGCATAGCTGTTTCTCATAAAACATCATTATGGTTTGCTATATCATGCTTTCAGCACCTTTCTGAAAGATAATATGCTATTTTAAAATAAACACTATGTAAATAGTGGTGTCTGTTTTGCTGGAAGGTGTAGTTTGGAAAGAAACAATTTAAATTTTGCATAAAAGCAGTTGGTTGTAAAGCATAATTGATGCATTCTTTTATACTAATTAAAATTTTCATACGTACTCTTTCATGTTCTGCTATTTTTTTGATACACAGTGTGGATGGAACTATTTTCCAAAATTTGTGGTATTCATAGGCTTTTGTTTTTGACAGTTCTTTGAAAACATGATTTGGAGATTGTAAAATAATAGTCAAAGACTATTCTCATGTTTCTCATAAGTATGAGGTGATGGAGAGTGGGATTTGCTTTAATTTGTGACATTAATTGGGGTATGGGGAGTTTTAACATTGATTACAGTTTTTCAGTGATATCTATTGCACTTAAATCTACCTTTCCCGTCATCTATATTTTATTCATATAATTCTCAGGTAATTTTTAGCATTGTATTTCACTTCAAAGCTGAAATATGATTGGGAGAAACTTGATCCTTTGATGTTAAACCAAGGTACCTTTGGCCAAGGCTGTGAAATTCTGTATGATTCATTCAAGAACACTCGAAGGCCAGTGCACAAAAAGATGTCTTAATCTCCTGAACATCCTAGTGTCCAGGCTCAACTCTGGCACCAAGAACAGAGTTCTACACAACTTTTTCCCAGCATCAAGAAAATCCTTGTTCCGGCTTTACCAAGTTTACGCTGGGAGCAGTCAGCTTCTGAGTGACAGTCAAGTGGAGCATCTCTGAACTCCCAGTTATTCCGTGTTTTTAGTGTTTTTGTATAGTTAAACTTTGTGGCTGGTTCAGTCAATTTTTTTTTCTTGTGGATTAGTATACCAAGGAAGATTTTTGAATATCATCTGCTTAAAAGTGGTAGATACAAAAATAAAGAGGAAATTCAGTAGTGTTAGCTTTCTAAGTAAGTGTGAAGTTGTCATATATGCTATCTTTTTTTTATAAAAAGTAATATGAAACAATTTTAATATATAACAATATTATGATAGTTTGTGTGATGATTTGAAGTACTGAGTTTAAAGTCTTCAGGACTTAATGTTTCATGTGCTACTTGTAATTAGTGTGTATAAAATAAAGGAACACCTGTTTTCCTAATAGTTTTATTCTAGTACTCTATGTTGTTGGAATTTCCCCCATTTTTGTATATTTTGTAAATAAATGCATATTTTTTTTCTTGACAGATGCAGATTTTAAAAAACTGATTCACTTGTGTTTTTGCAAAATTCAATTTGCTATTCTTTCTTGAGGTTTTTTTTATTTTTCTGTGTGAAATCAGTGCTGAGCACTTAGTGAAAGAGATTGAATATTTTTAACCCTGAAATATCAATAATATTAGGGGAACAATATCTGTTTTAGCTGGAATTGCCATTTAATAAAAATAGGAATTGTAAACAAGGACAGTGACTGAAACTTTGGCTCTTGTTTTTCAAACACTATTTGAAATAATACCTTTACAGTTTGTTGAGAAACATACTTGTTGAATATTTCAGTAACTTGCTACTTATATGTAGAGTCTCTAATAATTGCTAAATAGCAATGTGAATGATTAGTAGTCATTAATTAGTAAATGGGGATTAGGTTGATCATTACAACATAGATTCTGAATGAGAAAAAGGACATATATGATTGAAATCAAGTAAGTTTTGTGAAAGGATGTGATCATATTATGGTAAAAGCTTTAAAAAGGGTTGAGATTTAGTGTCAGATGGTATTAGTGAAAAATAAATGGGCCACATCATTTTGAAAAAATGAAGGAAGTTCCTGGGGAGTAAGGTATTATTTAAGTGTTTTCTGTAGGTGTTCAGAGTTTTGTTACAACATCTAATGTGTTAAAATATATTTCTGAGGTGTCAGAGGATAGCAGTGATATAAAAAGTCAGACTTCTTATTTTCAAGAATAAGGCAGTAAATATCCATATACATATCTTCTAATTCAACAGTTATTCATGTTTTCCTGTGTTCATAGATGTTTTTAGGCATGGACTTTTTGGGGGGATGGCAAACTACTTTAAAGTAAGTAGCAGGCTTGATGTTACTTGTCCCTTAAATATTTCAACACATGCCTCCAAAAACAACATTTTTAGGTTAATTTCATACTGATGAAGATTCATTTCTTGAAATCGAAGAGTCCACCTCTTATGTAGCCCAGCATGGAAACATTTCATTCTAAGCAAATCATATAATTCAATGAATTGGGAGTAGTCTTATACTTTACAAGATCATTTTGTTTCCAGCAGCTTTCATTACTGAAGTTTAAAAATTAAAATCATTTTTCTCTGTTCACTTTACATGTTTTTCTGGTGGTGTAAAATGAAGTATGTCTGCCATTTCCTAAGTGAGTATCCATCAGTTAATTTATGGACTGTTACTCTGGGGAAATAATGAAAAAAAAATGCAGAAAAAAATTTATAGTGTCTAATGTTTAAAATCTGGAGTTTTTTAAATACCAAAAGCTGAGATGAGCCTGGGCAGTTGTAGTGAGACCTCGTCTCTACAAAAAATAAAAAAATTTTAAAAATAAATATCAAAAGTAGTGTCTTCTATGTGTTGTGAGAATATTTTGAATTTGTTTTTGTTTCCTTGATTATGGAATAACAATATTAATGATTGAAATTTGAAGCTTGTAAGACAGTGTTTAAAGGCTTACCACAAAACTTGTTTTCTGATTTTATTTGACCTTTTTTTCTGTAAAACCGTTTAGAATATAAATACCTCTAAGGGTTCCTCTTTGTTGAAACTTACTATTTGATTACACTTTTTTTTACCTGATGAAATTAACAGTGTATGTGTTTTTTCTATTTTATGACATTTTTTCCTTTTGAATAACAGAAGTCTGTTATTTCCAGATTGAAGATACTGAAATTCTTAATGTTATATAGCCAGAGTTTATACATACACATTAAACAAAATCTTTTTCAAGAAAATTTTATGGCTTCAGTTACCATTGTCACTATCAGTTCCCTCCTCTGCGAAAGATCCTGTATTTTTAAAAGAAGTTTGTCAGAATTGTTCTTTTTAAATGTGCCTTTCTCATTTAATCAGATGAACTTTAAAAGAGATGGTATTCTGCTTGTACACATAAATAAAATTTCAGTTCTGTCTTGTGGAATATAAATCACTCAAATTTCACATGAGGTAGTTCAGTCTCAAAATTAAGAATAGAATTAGAATTAAGTAGGTTCAAGTGGAAATGTACTTAGTTTGAACACATTTCATTTTAGATTTTCTTCATATTTTAATATAAATTTAGTCAATAAGACAAATTATTCATTAAATACGAGGTCCTACATTGTGTTGATAGTAATATAAGTGGACCTTATATTTTTTAAATGCTTTGTTTAAGTGTTTTGTTGATGGTGTTGAAGACTTTGAAATAGATACCTTAATCTAAATTTTATCTTAATTTTTATTTTTATTTCATTGTCTAAATTTTTATCTAAAATTTTTTCTAGCTCTTTATTACACCAAGACAGCTTCACATTTTTATTTATATATTGTACATCTCATGTAAGGAATTACCGTATATAAGCTAGTGTCATAACTTAAGTAGCCACATTCATTCAGTATGTTTTATGTTTTCTCTCTGACTGGATCTCTGATACATTCTTTCCTGTTCTAGCTGCTTTTATGCAAAAGGGCATTATATGTTTGTCAATCAACCAGGCTTCTGTGACTGTTTAGAAGAATTATGTAAATATATAATCCTGTGCCTGTTCACTTTGCCATGTTTGGAATACAAGTTATTTACATTATTATCTTTATGGTTATTTAAATAATTTACTTTTTGCAAGTTATTTGTATTATTTATTACGTGAAAATTGAGAAAACATCTTAGTGTACCTTTCGTGGTTAACTTTTCCTCAGGATATTTTTACATTATTAGATAATGTAAATCAGTATTAAGTTTCAGACATTCTTTAGATTTAAATATGTTGCCTGGTGTTTTTATGTATTGAGAAAAAGTAAACTAAATTCTACATAGTCATTCTGTATGACTTTTAGTAATTTCTGACCTTTTTGGTGTTAGAGGCAATAATAGTAAGTTGCTTAGTTGTTAATCACTGTATGTTAATTCTTTGAGTTGATTAGAAAATATGTTCCCAGACTTGAATGCTTTACACATTAGGATAACTTTGGAGTGAGAAGTTCAGATAACTGAAAATGGTAATGGGAGTAATTGTCTACAAAAACTTTTCTTAGTCATATAAGATTTTATGAGGTGCCATGTCATTCAGAATTTCACTATATCCATTAATTCATTGTAACAGCATGTATCAAGGGGACCTACTGTGTATTGGTTAGTTTTCTAGGGCTTAAGATACAACAGTGGAAAAAAACTTGTCCTCTAAATTAAGGGACAGCAGCCACAGACATCCTTCTGAAGTTAGTGGTTCTCACACTTGAGCATGCATTAGAATCACCTGGGAGGCTCATTAAAACACAGATCTCTGGACTTTATTCCAGAGTGGTCTGTAGGCCTCAGGTGGAGCCAAAGAACGTTCATTTCTAGTAAGTTCCTATGTGATGACGCTGCTACTGTTGGTAAGAACCCCTTTGAGCATCTGTTTTCAGATATTGTGCCTCAAAAGAGGCTATTCTGATTGTGATTTTTGTTGTTGCTGTAGTTGACTGTCCCAGTACACTGTAGATTGGATAAGATCCCTGACAATCAAAACACCCTCAGACATTTACAGCTATTGCCAGTTGATAAGCACTGCAAAAGTCCATTATTTCTGACTAGGAAACATATTAGCTATTGAGTGTTATTTAATGCATAAATTCATTTATCATACATTTTTGAACTAGGATTTTAAAACCTAGTTAATTCAAATGAAGAGGGTATGTGGAGAAGTGTACTTTGAAGATTTTGTGAAACAAGTTTCCTCTTAGCAGATTCTCAGCATACCAGTATGAGATGAAATAATGTAACTGTTTTTGTATCGGTATGTTTGGACATGCTTCTGGCTGCTGGATGAAGGTGCTAGAAAACTGTCCTGTCTTTACTTACCCTCATGGTGAATATGAATAGAATGATAGTTTGGTGGATTAAAATGATGGCCTGACTTTCTCTTTGGTGTAAGCTTGTTTTGCTTTTCTAGCTTGAAGATAAAAGATTTGATAAGTGTATTTCCCAAGACCATAAGTATATATATTAAAATATTTTCTTTGTAGCGTCAGATATGTGTGTGTGTGTGCGTATGTGTGTGTGTGTGTGCGTGTGTGTGTGATAAAGGCCTACTCAAAATTATGCAGCACAATAAAAAATTAAATTGGTTCATAATGAGAGCATCTATTTGCTGTATTGACAGTTGTTTGTTCCAAAAAATTGTGACTGTACCAGTGCAAAGAAACAGTCACCTGATTTCAGTCCTTTAATATCCCAGAAAGTAGATTCTATAACATTGACTTTGATGTGTGTATGTTAAGAATATCTATATGTAGGAAATAAGTATAGAGATTTGTTTCTTAATTGTAATCCGGATATCACCTGGGGACTCTCTGACTCTGCTTCCCAAAAACTACCCTAAAATAGAATTTGGTATCTTCTCAGTTTTCCACATGAATCAGCCATTTTGAGATTTTTGTGAACATAAATGGGTTTGGTTTGGAGAAGGTGCAATCAGTGTTATCTTTTAACATTGCACCAACCACACCCCTCCCCCATTTCTTCTGTTCAGAGTCAGATTCCTCGCTTCGTGGAGGCCCAGGTCTACGACATTAGGCTGCTTCTACCCCATGGTGGCTTATTAACCTATTTTCCAACTGAGGAATTCTCAGGCAGCCTAATGAGAGTAAGACTTTTTTTTTTTATCTCTTCTAAAAAAAATATGTTGATACCAGACTTTTTCACAGTTTTTCCTGTTATGTATTACTAATTGTCTTCAGTCAAGAAATGATTATTTTTAACTCCTGTGACACCAAAATGAGTTACATCTCTACAAAAATCAGTGTTTAACTTTTATTCTTGGTACATGAATACAGAAAAAAAAATGATAAAAATTTAAAAAGGGACCTGCCTTGAGTTTTTACTTTGTGTCATCTTATACATTACTGAAGTCTTCTGATTGGAATGTGGTTCCCTCCCCCACCAGCATGCATATTTAACGGCTCTAGCATTACCTTACTGGGCAGCCATAGAACTTTATATTTGATCTGTTGCTAATATGTAGATTTATGCATGATGATTAATTGGGAAAAATAAGACTACTTCTTTTGTTTCTTGGCTGTGTATTGTGCTACATTGCCCTTTATCTGAAGCCATTAAATTTTTTTAAAAAATTAGTGGAAGATGGGCAGTTTGTGGAAAATAACATGCTCCAAGTTTTAGGGCTGGGAAGTACAATGTAGAAAAGTGTGTTTACATTCTTAGATTCTGCTTTGCAATAGAATGTACTTAACTTATGTTCTGCTGTTTGTGCTACAGGCCTTAAAGTCAACTAAAGTCTAGGGGTTCATGTCATGAACTTTTTGACATATGAATGGATGAAATATTCCCTAGGTTGGCTGAAAATATAGATCTCATAGTTTGAATTATTTTGGAATTACTTGAATGATATAGAAGACTAACCTATCACAGCCAGTTTCTATTTCTTTTCTGTAGGTCATAAACACAGCATAGATACACATGTTAAATAATTTAGCAGTGCTTGAAACCCTCTTAGTTACATACTGACTTCCTACAGTTTGCTATGTAGACTGTAGTTTCTTGCAGTTTGAAGTGTGAACACAGTGGACCCATCCTTTGCCCTGATAGCATTTGTGTAATAGAGTGACAAATAATATCTTACCATGTAGCGATAAAGGCAGTAGAGAAAATGACAGCTACTCTTTTAGTTAAGGGGCCTAGAAAATAGCTATCTTAGGAGACAAAGGGGAAAGAAAATGATTTTTATTTAGTTTGTGCTCATTGAATTGAGTTGTGCTGAAGTAAGCGGCCACAGTTCTGCCTGAAGCTGAACCATCCTAGTAGTAGTGGCATTTGGCTGTTGAGTCCTTGGAATGGGACTAGTGAGATGAGGAACTAAAGTTTTTATTGTAATTGACTTAAATTCAGTTATTGATAGAATATTAAGCATACTTGGAACGACTTGATTATATTAATCTACTTTTGTATCTTTGATTTTATGTAATCTAAATACAGTTAAGTATTTTTGAGGAAAATTTTGCATCTGAATTAGATTTGCAGACTTACGAAGAAAAGAATGTAAAATTTCTCAACTTTTAAATGTGGCATATGCCGAAGTGATAATATTTTGACTACATTGGGTTCAATAAAATATATATAATTAAGCTAATTTCACCTGTTGCTTTTTTCCCTCCTTTAATGTGGCTTCTAGGAAGTTTAATATTTCACATGTGGTTTGAAATATTTTTCTTGGCCCTGATCTTAGAAGAATAATTTAGTCACATTTTAATTTTTTCCTTTCAATGATTGTAATCTCTGAATCCCATTACATAGGCTATAATTATGTAATTTATTGTTCCTTTTAAAATGAATAAGGTTGAAATTTAAAGTTTTAGTGTGTGTGTGTGTGTATGTGTGTATGTATATATATATATATGGTTTTTTTTTTTTTTTTTTTTTTTTTTTTGAGATGGAGTCTCGCTCTGTCACCCAGGCTGGAGTGCAGTGGTGCGATCTCGGCTCACTGCAGGCTCCGCCTCCCGGGTTCACGCCATTCTCCTGCCTCAGCCTCCCAAGTAGCTGGGACTACAGGCGCCCGCCACCACACCCGGCTAATTTTTTGTATTTTTAGTAGAGATGGGGTTTCACCGTGTTAGCCAGCATGGTCTCGATCTCCTGACCTCGTGATCCGCCCATCTCGGCCTCCCAAAGTGCTTGGATTACAGGCGTGAGCCACCGCGCCTGGCCAAGTTTAAGTATATATTCATAGTTAAGTGTCAGTGTGAGATTAATTTCCTGAGCTTAATTACTTGGTGTTTGCTGTCCTGCAGGGAAGGAGTTGGAGCACGAAGTTCTCAGGAAAGAAATCGTACACATCAAGTTTTACACCCCTTTCACTTTGTTACTTTCCTTTTGTGTTTGCTATCACCTTGATACTATCCATAACATTTTTAAGCATATGTTTTAAGTCCTGAAAAGGTTTGGTCGTACATACAAGATTTCTCTTAAAACATTTGTGTGAGGTTATCTTGTTTATTTATTTATTTATTTTATTCCTTCTAGAATATCCGTCATTTAGTAATTCATCTTAATTTCCTAGCAAGTCCTTGTTAGATATTTGCTTGGTGAATGAATGACACCAACTGTAGAACAGACACAGTGTTTACAAATGAGGATACCAAAATGAACAAAATATGGTCCTTTTGTAGTTTAATGGGTATATGTAGAGTTGTAAGGAAACTGACCAAGTTGTTGTAATAAAGGGCATAGAAAGTTCTTTGAAAACCCAGACGCAAATAGTTCATTTACTTTGCGGAGACTGGGAAGATTTCACTAAGATGATAGCGTTTGAGCAGGTCCTGAAGGTGAGTAGATACTTGATAGTTGTAGGCTTTTTGCACGAGAGGGTAAGGAGCATTGTGGGGTGGCAACATGATGTGGTCACAGGCCTGGTGAGGCACTAAGCCGTCTAAGGGGAGGACGCTAAGACTGGTTGGTAGCAGAGAAGAGAAGTAAAGTTGAGATAAGATTATAATTGATCACTGTTAAGGAGTTTAGACCTTTATTTACCTTTTAGGTGACTGCGAGTAAGGATAAGCCCCATTATTACAACTTAAAATAATTATGTTAAATGTAAGAGTGACTGGACTGGAAACAATGTTCTGGAGCAGAGAGACCACATAGATCAGGGATCCAGCCCCAGCCTCCCTACATTGAATTTGAAAGGATCTTTAGTGTCAGGATTGTTCAGATTCCAGATAAGAGTAATTCAGAGGTATAGTGAATTCAGCTGTTTCTAATGTATTGGGAGGGCGGAGGAGGGAGATGCAAAGTGTCCTAGGGGTTTCTGGTTTGAATGATGGGTTGAGGATACTATGAACAGAGACGCCAAAGGTAAGTGTGTTCAGGGTCGATGGTGAGGTGATTGATGTAGCTGCTAGAGGGAGAGGAGGGCATAATCCATTTGATTTTTGAATGTTTTGGTTTTGAGTGCTTTTAGGTGGTTGGTTGGGATTTTTAAAACTTTGGAAAATCCGCCTGGTAAATATATTATCTCACAGGACCTACCATCTGTCACCAAAGATGACTATGATACATTCCTAACTCGTCCTGTTTTTACTTTTGCTCTTGCAACTTATTCTCCACAAAATGCATCATTCTAAAACAAGACTTGGCCGGGTGGGCGCAGTGACATGCTGTAATCTGAGCACTTTGGGAGGTCAAGGTGGGTGGATCACTTGAGCTCACAAGTTGAGACTAGCCTGGGCAAGATGGCAAAACCCCATCTCTACTAAAAGAGTAGCCGGGCATGGTGACGCAAACCTGTGGTTCCAGCTACTCGGGAGGCTGAGGCAGGAGAATCGCTTGAACCTGGGAGGCGGAGGTTGCAGCGAGCTGAGATCACACCACTGCACTCCAGCCTGGGCAATAGAGTGAGACTTTGTCTCAAAAATAAATAAATACACAAAACATGACTCAGATTCTGCTTCCTTTTCTTTTCAAACAGTAGTTTCCCATCTGAATTAAATCACAACTACATGGTAGACCACAGGACTTTATCTGATTTGGTCCGCCTTTCCAACCTCATCTACCTCCATCCCTCCCCGCTTGCTCACTAAACTCTAAGGTGGTTCCTCCGTCTCCCAGATATTTTTGTAGGTCTCTCTTTTTTGAGATGGGGTCTCGCTCTGTCACTCAGTCTAGGGTACAGTGGTGCAATCTCTGCTCACTGCAACATCCACCTCCCAGGTTCAAGTGATTGTCCTGCCTCAGCCTTCTGAGAAGCTGGAACTACAGGCACCTGCCACCATCCCCGGCTGATATTTGTGTTTTTGTAGGGATGAGGTTTCACCATGTTGGCCAGGCTGGTCTTGAACTCCTGACCTCAAGTGATCCGCCTACCTCGGCCTCCCAAAGTGCTAGGATTACAGGCAATGACTCACCACGCCCGGCCTTTGTAAATCTCTTATAAGTGCCTTTTTCAGAACAGTTTCCCATCAAGTCTTTTCATTCATGTCAATTTTATCAGTATATTTATTTGCTCGTTGTGCCTACTTTGTCTTTTTTCGAGACAAGGTCTCACTCTGTCACTCAGGCTGGAGTGCAGTGGTGTATCATAGCTCACCGCAGCCTCAAACTCCTAGGCCCAAGTGATCATCCCACCTCAGTAGTAGGGACCACAGGTGCATGCCACCATGCCTAGCTACTTTTTAAAAAAAAAGTTATAGAAACAGGGTCTCACTGTGTTGCCCAGGCTCCCAGGCTGGTCTCAAACTCCTTGTCTCAAATGATCCTCCCGCCTTGGCCTCCCAAAGTGCTGGGATCACACGTGTGAGCCACTGTGCCCAGCAATGCCTACTTTTTTTCCCCATCTTTATCAATGTTCACACAGTGTTTGACATTTGGTATTGAACTGATCTGAGAAAATTTTCAGGAGGAAAAATGGAGTCATGGTATGGATTTAGGAGTAGAGTTTTTAGTACCAATTAAAGTGTTTGGATGAGTATTGCAGATTGTTTATTCATTCAATAAATTTTTATTGAACATTTTTGTCTCAGTCTGTGCATATAATAGTGAAGAAAATAGACACTGTCCCTACCTTCTTTGAGTTTGAAGTCTAGTAAGTGGCAAAAGAAAAATTGGGAAAAGAAAGTGCATAAAGAAATTCTTAGACAACTCCATTACACTAAAGGGTCAGAGTAAGAATAGCCAGCAGGGAGGACGAGTAAATAGTCCAGCTCTTAATAGACGTTGGTAGAATATGTACCCTGTCTAAAGAGGAAAGAGAAGAAAGTTGGAATGGATAGATAGGAGTTAAGATATCCTGCTGTGTGGGACCAGAGAGTGGAATGAGGTTGGCGGAATGGGAGAAGACTTGGTTCAACGATCAATATAAAATTTAGAACTAAAATCACGGTGTATGTTCTTTGTATTGATTGGCTATACCAAATACAATGGCGTTTGGTCTTGGTGGAACCCCAAGCAGTAAGAAGACCAGAGGACGTGGAAGTAAGTTTAAAACGCCTACCTGAGGTTTCTCCAGGAAAGTAGGCTTTTTCTAATTGAGTTTTAAATGAAGGCTACTGGTTTTATAAGTTTCTGTATTTGTTTTTCTCTCACACCTTTTCTTCCTTTGTTATACATTGAAGAGAAAACCAGAACCAACACAAATGGGAGAGGTTCACTGCTAGGAGCAACTCGTCAGGAAATGCTCAGAAGGGTCTTCTAGCAAAATGTAGCAACTAGAACTCATTGTTGATGTGATTATCCATATATAGTTTCTATAGGTGATCACTATATATACTTCTTCAGACATTGATGGTCCAGTTAATTCTTCCAGTAATTGAACTTTAAGATGACAGTGTGGCTAAGATTTGCAGGAGAAATAATTCAGTAAAAATTATATGTGATGAAGGGGACTACCTAATCCTCTCAGGTTTTGATACATTGGATATATTGTACTGACATAGATTGAAAAACTCTTTTACAAATACTGGGAGGAGAAAAAGCATGTAATTAATAGTTTGAGACTTGGTCTTTCATGTTAAGAGTCCCTGTTTATGAGTGGATAGTTACTCAGATACTCTGAGGAGTTCTTAAGAGTTACCAGTTTCCCTCTGCCCTATCCTTTTTTTCAGTTGCTTGCTTCTTTTATCATGGTCCTTGACCTCATATATATTACTGTTCAGTTGGATGGGTTATAGGAATTTAAAACATTACCTGTAAAATCGACATTGCTTTTTTGGATTGCTTTTACAAATGGTGATTTCAAATGTTTTCTAAGAATAGACCAGATTAACATTTTTCTTAGTTATATGGTAGACATTACTCAGTTCCTGCATTTTGGTTTTAGTCTCCGTTTGTGAAATATGTCAGTTATATTCTTTTCAGCATCCTGGGCTCTCTGTTTTATAGTAAGTACAAGTTAGGAAGAATGGGAATGCCACCAAGTCTGGGGACCTGACCTCTGCAAGAAGCATTGTTTTTTTCTTCTCTTCTTGACAAGAGATGATGAAAACTTGGGATTAAATGTATAATTCAGCGTATGCAAAGGGTTTTTAAAATGTTCAAGTTGACATTATGATATAATTTTGGTTAATAATCACATTATAGTAGTATATATAGTCTTAAGTACTTTTGGAGCATAAATAAATGGAATCAACTCTAGTTTGCCAAAACTCATTTTTTTCTATATAGCTAATCTATAGTATGAAATATGTATTTGGTTACATAAAATTTTCATGTGTGTTTTCCCAGTGTTCAGTGTCTTTGCCATTTCCTTAATTTTGCATCCTCGTTATCATCCTGTTTTTATTTTGCTTTTGTCTTCACTCTAGGCTTCCCTCTGGAGGCCTGCCTTTTCCTGCTCTAGTCTGAACTGGCTGCTGTCTAGAGCAGCCGGAGCAGAACTGTACCCTTCAGACCTCAGTGCTTCTCTGGGTTGGATGTGCTCTTGGCTGGATTATCATTAATTGAACACCTGACAGCTCATGTCGACAGTTGACTATAAGTTTTCTGTTTGTCCTTTAATAGTTATTTTCCTTTGGCTAGTGCACACACTGACACATAAAATAGCCTGGGTGCTAGTGTAGGAATACTACAATGAGTTTCCTTTTTTTTTTTTTTTAAGAGTTTATCACACCATTAAAAGTAACTTATGTATTAAAATGCTAATTTAATGTGAATGTGTCTTTGATGCCATATAAACTAATAAGCGAACACTGTATTTGGTCAACAAAATGAATGGTTTCTAAACAATCTATAGGGTCCATAAATTAATTGCAAGAGATTATGTCATTGTTATATTTGTGAAGGGCCTAGATTGCTTGAGCTGAGTTAGTAGACGCTCGAGTCATAGATTAGGAATAATTGATTCTACAGTAGGTCTGGGTGGCATGGAATATAAGCTCCGTCCAGCAAGGATTTGCTCCATCGAAGATAAACGCAGCCAGCGTGGGGTAGATATGAGGTGCTCCTGTCTTCCAGCAACTCCAGACAACTGATACATGTTAGAAGACAGCACATTAATTATGAAACAATGCAGAAAAGATCTTAAGGGAGAAAGAAAGGATGACAAACATCAATAATGGTAGGAGCACCTTTCAGCAGTCAACTTGGACTTTACTTACATATGCATGAATTGAGAGGCAGACGGAAGGAAAAATTCAAGAATACACAATACAAAATAAGTGTTGGAATCTTGTTCTCAATAAAGCATACATCTTGTTATCAGTTTTGGGAGCATCGTGTGACAGGAGGTTATCTAGTATTATCTGTAAGAATCACCTGCTATGTGTACAGTTCAGTAGTAGTGCTAGGTATACTTTGGTACCTTGACGGATTACACATGAAACCTGTTGCCCAACATAAGTGTGTTACAGGGAGTTCGGCAAAGAGAAATGCATATAAGATACAATAGTTGGGAAGGATTTTCATAGAATGCTCTTGTTTGGAGGTGGGAGCATTAGACGACCATTCAGAACAAAAGGGGAAGTAGTATCTATCTTAGTGAGTGTGTCCAGAGATTTGGGGAGGTAGAAATACCTAGGTATCAACTTCAAATGAGCTATATCTGTTTCGGGGAGTAGATACGATCAGAGTGGGCCCACCGTGAGCAAAGGCTGACAGTTGATACTGTGTAGAAAGCTGGTAGGAACCCAAAACAAGACTGGAAAACAAATCTAAAATCTTATTCTGTGATAAAGACCCATTGAAAAAATCTCCAAAAATCGTTAGGAGATTTTTGGCAAGAGAATGACAGTAGTCAGATTGCAGTCACTATATACCTAGGGATTGGCAGTGGGATGCATTTGAATGGCCTTAACTGCAGGAAGTGAGAGCACTTGATATGTGGGATAGTGGGATGGAGAAGAAGGGCAGAAATCAAGACGTGGAGTGATTATGATATGGTCACGACTGGGATTTATGTGGAAGAAAGAAGGCAAGGGTGACAGGTTTTAAAAAACCAAATGATAGGTATTTTGGTGCTGCTAAAAAGAGGAGAAAGGGCAGATGGAAGGGTTGGGGCCCTGTGCCATCTAGAAAGTGGGTTCAGCACAGGAAATCCTGATGCTCGGGGAAAAGATCTTGGCTAGAGAATTGTCAGTAGAGTAAGCAACAATTGACAAATGAAAATATGAGACACAAAAGTTTGCCAGTGTCAAATGTATATAGGTTAGGGGGCTGAGATACCCTCTGTACATCCACAGAGTGATTTGGGTGTCCCCTGCAGGGCTTGGTGAGTTTGAGTCTTGTACTGGAATACGTGGAAACCATTGAAGCTCCATAGAACACTGCAGTTGCATTGATGAGTTACAGAAATGCACATCCCAAAGAAATGAACATATACTAAAGATGGCTTTATTTTTTAATATTAATTTTAATTTTTTGAGATGGAGTCTTACTCTGTTGCCCAGGCTGGAGTGCAGTGGCGCGATTTCAGCTCACCACAACCTCCGCCTCCCGGATTCAAGTGATTCTCCTGTCTCAGTTTCCTGAGTAGCTGGATTACAGGCATGCACCACTATGCCCAGCTAATTTTTTATTTTTATTTTTAGTAGAGATGGGGTTTCACCATGTTAGCCAGGCTGGTCTCGAACTCCCGACCTCAGATGATCCGCCCACCTTGGCCTCCCAAAGTGCAGGGATTACAGGCATGAGCCACCGCGCCCACCCCTAAAGATGGCTATATTCATACTTGGTCAGTGGCCAACATGAGGAAATACGGAAACCCTAAGTGGACTAACCCCATTCTCTTATTCCTCAAACTTAAAAGTTACCTAAATAGGCCCTTCATTATAGCCATCATTCAGATCCTCCTTGAGATCTAGAAATAATCTTTATTACACTGTTGCACTTTAGAAAGAATACCTAATAAAAATCAACAGCCTTCAAATACTATTTATACATAAACTATATTTTTGAATTTTATGAACAATAATGTGTACCTGGTACACAGAAATCAAGATACAAAGTGATGCAGAGTGATAGTAAATTTCTCAGTATCATCTAACAGCCATCCAACTTCTCTATCCAGGGGCAGCCGCTGTTACTAATTTCTGGTGTATCCTTCCAGAAGTTTCTGTATTCATAGATGTATATATTCTTAATACATCCGCATTTCTCAATTTTTTTTTGTGATCACTTCCTCCACAGAAGGCCTTTTAGACCTTCTTTTCCTAATTGACCCCCTGCTACTGAAATGTTGACAACCTGGATAACTGTGGATGGTTGTAAGTCTATCTGTTAAATCTGTGCTGCATACATAGAAAGAGTACGATTTTTGTCCTCTCCCTCCCCCAGGTAATTTTCTCCCCCTTGGGACGGAGATTGCTCTGTTGAGAATGCAAGATGTGGAGCAATGCCGTGGTCAGTAGTTGGGAATTTTTTTTCCCTGAATAAAATGGGAATTCAGCGGAGAGACTTTGCCTAGGTCATGATAGGATGTAGCTTATTTTTTAGAAAGGAATTACGTTAGCTACTTAATAGAGAATTGAGTGGAGGAGAGCGAGAATCAAAGCACTTAGATCAGTCAGGAGAGTTGAGAGAGGTGATGGTGGCTTGGTCTGCAAAGATCACTGTTGGCAGATAAATATGTAAGAGGAGAGACAATAAGATGCATATAGCAGTAATGGCCAAAAATAAAGCATGTCTATGTATATTAATGACAAAAGCTCTGGATACAATGCCTCTGAAGACATGTAAAGGGAGGTTGTCTGTGGAACCCACAGCTGTAGTAAAGGAAACTTTGGGAAATGAGAAACTCAAGTCTGATTTTTAACCTTGAGGTCATTGTAAGTTTTTTTTGTTAGGGATTTGGGTATATAAATAGATGATCACAAAAGGAAACTAGAATGGTCAAAATTCCATATTTATTTCACCCTCTTATTCCAGTCTCCTCTTGATTGGAGAATCTGCTCATTGCCTGCTTGCTCTACTCTTGCTGCTGCACTAGTGGTGATTGTGCACTAGCATATGAACATCTGGAGTTGAATTTCAGTGCTCTTTCTGTCAGACTGAATTATTCTTACCTAATACACAATCTTCAGACCTTCTGAGATGTTAAGGGAGACCTTCTTAAGTTGTGAATACCCTCATAGAGGTGCTTCCTGTGCTTTTGTTGAATTAGTGAACAGGCCATTTGTCTAAGATAAACAAGTTATTAGCCGAATCAAAATAGGATTTCTTTATACCACATAGTTTTTCCTGAAATAATCACTGCAAAATTATTGGGAGTGCTTTTAATGAGCCCTGATTATGACTGAAAGTGGGAAATAGTATGTGTTCTAACAAAGGGACTGCCGGGAATTCTGAGGTTCACATGGCACTTACGGATATGCTGTTAATGCCTTACCAAGGGCCAAAGGTTGGGCTGGGCTCTGATGTGGCGCAGTGCCATGCAGCTTTGCTGATGGGAAGCTTCTGCATTTACAAATGATGTGGAGGCAGGAAAAGTTTGAGATGGTAGATTTACAACTACATGTTACGGCTTTCCTTATACTTTGTTTTTCTGTTACCTATTAACCTGGTCTATATAGTCTAAATTTCTCAAACTTTGTGGCAACCAATAAATGAAGTTTTGTACATTTACAAAATGTGACAGATATCTTTTAAACTTGTCTTCTGTTTTTAGACTTTAGTCTCTTTTTAGAAGATGTGTTGTCATTCTATGTTAAAGCAAACCATTAAAACATGTAATGATCCTAATGTATTTTCATGTAAATACAGTTACTGGATACACTTCTAATTCAGAAGTAGTGTTCCCCAGTGAGGAGTTCATGCCAAATGGGGCAGCAGAAGAAAGGATCCTGACTGAGGTTGGTCATCAGACCTCATCACTGATTCGGCTTAGCACCTGTTTTCCCCCTGCATTTAAACAGATGATCAGCACATAACACTGCAGTGATATTTGAGTAATTACCCCCAGTACAACATTTTGGTATTATTTAATGCACATGAATATGTAATGGATTCTGCAAGAAATATTTTTCCTAATTTGATTTACATGTTATCTTCAAAATAAGTAACAGTAAGGTGCTATTTTTTAAATGGTTTTACGTGTGTGGTGTAAAATAAACTATTGAATATTATTTGACAATTTGTTTCCAGTGGCTTTTCATGATATATGAACATGATTGATACATTAAATAAGTAACAGTGGGATTCTTGGCTGTGGCAGTAATTTACTTGAAATATTGAACTTTTAAAGAAAATAGTGGAGGCTGTTCAGGTAAGTTCATAATAATTTCTTGAACTAAAAAATGCAATTTATTGTTACCGTAGTCCATCATGGTTTAAAAAACTTACCTTGATTATGCAGTGATCAATGGTAGTTTTTTTCTTGACTGTTTTTGTTTTGTTTTTTCTATTATGTTTGAGAAATTCATGTGATCACAAGAAGATAATTCTGGATTTTGTTTTCGAGATGCCTTTGTAGGGATTTGGGGACAAAATTAAGGTTGAAAATTTTCAGTGACATGTCTCACTTCCTAACGAGCGCTTGCCTCACTACAGTTGCCTTGCAGATAAAGCAGACAGATATTCTAAGATCCATTCCAAGCTTTTCTCTAGAATTTGGTATTTTTCAGGTCTGGGCACTTGAAATGGAGTTAATTTTTCCTTTGAGGTCATTAATTATGTTTGATAAAGTCATCATATTGTACTTTATTCAACTATGAGTCTTTGCTGAACTTCACATTTCTTTGATAACTTACAGGAAACGTTACCATATAATCTTAAGAGGAAAAGATGGCATATATACATATATATTTTTTTCCTGAAAAAGTTAAGATTCTAACTGGAATGTTTAATATTTCTTTAATATTTATCTAAACTTCAGTGTTATTTTTAATATTTATAAATGATTCCTATATCTGAACATGGTTTTATTTTAGGTATTTATTTCTCAACGTTGAGTTGCTACATGAACTTACAAATAATTTTCCCTTCTTTAAGAAAATGTAAAATTTTGCGTTTTAGAATTTAGGGTTACCCTGTCAGTTATTCAAACGTTTTGGATTTTGTTCAGTTTGACTGTTTTCATAAACGTAAGGTCTTATGAGCTCCTTTGTAGTCAGTCCATCCTGCGTCAGAGGACGTCACTGTTGTGTATTGATCACCGTTGATAAATCTGTTTTTGAATTTCATAGAAATGGAATGGTACAATATGTACTCTTTTTTCTCTCCGGCTTCTTCCACTTCACATAATGTTTTTGAAATTCATCTGTGTTGCTGCATTTATCAGTACGTGGTTCTCATTCTGCTCAATGACATATCTTTAAATGAATATGTCACATTTTGTCTGTCTAGTTTTCTATTGATATGCTCTTGGGGCAGTTTTTATTTTTGGGGCTATTGTGAATAAAGCTACTATGAACACTCTTGTACAAGTCATTATGCATTCATTCCTCTTGGGGAAAATTCCTAGGATCAGTATTGCTAAGTATAGAGTAGCTTATGTTTCTTAGAAACTCTTAGAGTATAGGGCAGTTTCTTTCTTTCTTTCTTTTTCTTTTTTTCTTTTGAGACAGGATCTCACTCTGTCACCCAGGCTGGAGTATAGTAGTGCGATCATAGCTCACTGCAGCCTTGAGCTTCTGGGCATAAACCATCCTCCAGTCTCAGCCTCCCGAGTAGCTGGGAATACAGGCATGTGCCACTGCATCTGGCTAATTTATTTTTTTTTTTTAGTGAGAGACAGGGTCTCTCACTATGTTACCCAGGTTGGTCTTGAACTCCTGGGCTCAAGTGATTCTCCCACCTCGGCCTTCCAGAATGCTGGGATTATACCTGTGAGCCATACTGTCAGTCTAGGGCAGGTTCTATTAATATGTTTCTTAGAAACTGCCAAGTAATTTTCTAAAGTGCCTGTCCTGTTTTCTTTTCCCATGAACAATGTATAAGATTTCCGTTCCTCCGCATCCTTGACAACACTCCATACTGTCAGTCATGTTAATTTTAGCCATTTTAGTGAATATATCTCATTGTGGTTTTAATTTGCTTTTCCTCATAACTTTTTTTAGTGAGCCTGACGTTGTGAACATTTTCCGATAACTTCTGATGTTGAGTACCCTTTATATACTGCTTTTTTTTTTTTTTTTTTTTGCCATTCAGCCACCTGCTTTGTAAAGTACTCCTGCTTTTTCTTTGATCACCGTACACCCATATTGCTATTTAACTAGCTTCTGTGGTTTCATTGCCATTTGATGTTAAAACTCATTGACCTATGTATAATCTGTGAATGTAAAAATGAGTTTAAACATAGATAGCTTTATTAGAATTCTGAAAAGCCAGATGATATTGGGAATCCAGAATTGAATGTTCATATTACAGATTTTTGCTTCTTACAAAATATCAGCTGAAAGATACAACTTTTTTATTAAAACATCATCTAGTTGTCCAATTAACTGAAATTATATTTTAATATGTTAAATAATTTGTTCATCTATTGAGGTTATATTACATCAAAATTAGTTTGACCTTGTGGATCTGTTGTCAAGTTCTTTCATGTTTGTTGCTTTCATAGTCATTTTCTCAAGTTTTCTTGGAAAATGTTGGCTTTTGAATTTTTTGCCTTATTCTTTTGCTATATCATTCACTGAGTCTTCACTATTTCTTTATACTGTCTGTTGAAAATACATTCTTTGTTGCTTAAAGAGAATCTTACAGTTAACAGTAGAATAGAGCAGCTTTGGTGAAAGGTAATCCTGTATATTTTGACAGCTATGAATTGCTTGTAATAGCATTTAGTTTCTTTATTGCTGTAGCAGCCAGTGTTGTGGTCTGTGCCTTTGTCATGAAGGCAAAGGATCATATTCAGTTGTAAACACTCCTCGGTATAAGATTTCTCTGGTGGTTATGTTAGATAACATGGAAATCCCTACCCCACCAAAATCTGCAGACTTCAGAGCATACCTTTCTCCGAAAGGAAACCCTGCTGTTGAACAGTGAACATCTGGTTAAAAGAATGCTGGTCCCTGTGGCTCAGCACAACAGGTGTCTGCCTCACAGGAAATCCTTGCCTTTTAGGCATCTTTCAACATATGCCATTGTTAAAATCCTGTTTCTTCAAGTTTTACAATTCGTATGTTGTAATTTGAACAGCTCAGCTTCCATGCTCATTAGATCATATATTATGTGTATTTTATACATTCATTCCTTAGGACTTACTTCTATTATATATAATTTATATATTACATAATATATAACATGTAATACATGAATAATAGTAGATCTTGTGTCTTCAGGGAAAAGAGTATCTTCTTTTACTCAAAGGCTGGGAGAATGTTACATCCATTATCACATAGTTTACCATTCTCAAAAGAATGGGGCTTCTGTATTTAAAAATATCTTTACATTTTATTTTATTCTTTTTTAGAGATAGAGTGTCACTCTGTCACCCAGGCTGGAGTGCAGTGGCTTGATCATAGCTCACTGCAGCCTTGAGCTCCTGGGCTCAAGTGATTCTCCCATCTCAGCCTCCCAAGTAGCCAGGACGACCTGTGTGTGCCACCGCACTCAGCTAATTTTTACATTTTTTGTAGAGTCATCTTGCTATGTTGCCCACGCTGGTCTCAAACTCTTGACCTCAAGCAGTCCTCCTGTGTCAGCTTCCCAAAGTGCTGGGATTACAGGCATGAGCCACCGTGCCCGGCCTTGTATTTTAATGTTTTATTCTTTAAGTCATAGAAAAGTATGTGTGGTATTGACTGTTTACATTTCTGACTATGTGAAAAATGTCTCCATTCAATCTTAGGGGGTGGTTAGAGGGGCCTTTTTCACTCGCTTTTGTTTAAATGTTTTGGCATGAGGATAAAATCCCCCGTTAATGTGTGGGTAGTTCTTAGTGACCCAATTTTATTCTGAAATTAAAGACAGACCACCTGTGTTCAAGATGGTGTCATATAGTTGTTACAGTTATACTTTTAGGATTTCACTTAAGGGAGACCTTTTCTTTTAATTTGATTATTGGTTTTTTTTTCATATTAGGCAGTATCACTTTGATGGAGATGCTGTTCTTCAGAATGAGGAAGTATTAAGTGCTGTCTTTGTCTTAGCTTTCTAGGACTTCGCATATTTTGAAATCCAAATTATGAGTATCATTGAATAGATGTGTAGTAGCTCATTGTGATGGTTTTATTAGGGTTGATTACAATGCAATGTACAATCAGCCTTGTCACTTTTTTTGTAAGACCAGTTTAAACAGAACTCTAGTAATTTTTCAAATATTGAATAGAAGTAATAAGAAAAAATGACCCTTTTAAAAATTAAATATTGGGCCGGGCATGGTGGCTCACACCTATAATCCCAGCACTTTGGGAGGCTGAGGCTGGTGGATCACCTGGGGTCAGGAGTTCGAGAGCAGCCTGGCCAACATGGTGAAACCCTATCTCTACTAAAAATACAAAAATTAGCTGGGCGCGGTAGTGTGCGCCTGTAGTCCCGGCTACTTGGGCAGCTGAGGCAGGAGGATCATTTGAACCTGGGAGGTGAAGGTTGCAGTGAGTCGAGAACACCCCACTGTATTGTAGCCTGGGTGACAGAGTGAGACTCCACCTCAATAAATAAATACATAAAAATTTAAAAATTGAAATTAAATATTGACAACTAAAACTTGGCTAAATTCTGGAAATTACTTTTCTAGGTTTTAGTAATGGTTTATAAATTGAGTATTCACATATTTGAGAAGCTGAGAATGCTTAAAGTTTTTAGTAATCCTGATGTTATTGAGAAGGATTAAGTGACACTGTTGTCCAGTTTGGTTTATGGTTCTGTTTATTTTTATTGTCAGCCTTTACTGTACCAAAGGCATAAACAGTTGTTCCTCCATTTCCTGGGAGGTTGCTTCTGCCCCCATGAATATCAAAATCTGCAGATCCTGAAGTTCCTGATATAAAATGCTGTAGTATTTCACATATCCCATGTACATCCTCCTGTATACTTTAAATTATATGTTGCTTATAATACCTCATACAGTGTAAATGCTATGGAGCTATATTGTTTAGGGAATAATGACAAGGAAAAAAGTCTATACATGTTCAGTATAGACACAACCACTCGGGGCCTAACTACATTTTCTTTTCTTCCTTTTTTTTTGAGAAAGGGTCTTGCTCTGTAGCCCAGGCTGGAGCACAGTGGTGTGATCTCAGCTCACTTCAACCTCCACATCGTGGGCTCAAACGATCCTTCTGCTTCAGCCTGCCAATTAGTTGGGACTACAGGCATGTACCACCACGTGTGGCTAATTTTTGTATTTTTTTGTAGAGACGGGACTTTGCCATGTTGTCTAGGCTCTTCTCAAACTCCTGGACTAAAGTGATCTGCCCACCTCAGCCTCTCAAAGTGCTGGGATTACAGGCGTGAGCCACTGCACCTGGCTTCTAACTGCATTTTCAATCCATGGTGAATATAAGGATACAGAGTCTATAAATTCAGAGCTTGCATACAAGAGTAGATAGAATGCCAATTGCTGGTGGAAATATATAAAAAATAATTTTTTGTTCATTTATGCCATGCCTTGTTTTAAAAAATACTTACAGGACAGGCATGTTGGCTCACACCTGTATTCCTAGCACTTTGGGAAGCCAAGGCTGGAGGATTGCCTGCGCTCAGGAGTTCCATACGAGCTTGGACAACATGGCAAAATCACATCTCTACAAAAAATACAACTAGCTGGGTGTGGTGGTGCGCACCTGTAGTCTCAGCTACCTGGGAGACTGAGACAGGAGGATTGCTTGAGCCTGGGAAGATGAGGCTGCAGTGATCTGTATTCACGCCACTGCACTCTAGCCTGGGTGACAAAGTGAGACCCTCTCTCAAAACAAAAACAAAAACTCCAAAGATTTGATTATAGGGACCCCATGGGTCCTCTTGGGTTACTGGGGTGCATTAGGGTATCTGTGGATCCCCTTTACTTGCAGGCAGTCTTGTCTACAGTTTCTGCATACATATTTCACATATACTTTCTGGGGGGACAGTTTTGGGCTTCATCCAATTCTCAGGCAAATTGAGTCCCAAATGGGTTTTAACAACACTGATCTAGGGTAATGATTTCCAATATTTTTGGATCATGGACCCCCAACAGTTGAAAATTGAGCACACAGCTGTATGTTTATGTGTCCCAAAATGCAATTGTGTATGACTGTATGAATATTTCAGGCATATTATAAAACATATATAAGGATAACTGTACACATAAACCTGTCCTCTATTGAAATGTTTTGGGTATGTGCTCTTTGAAGAACATTGATCAAGGTCTTACTAGGGTAAGAGTCTTTTTCTGATGGAGCACGACACACACATTGGTATTCCCTGCCTTGGTACAAGTGGAATACGGTTTTGCAGACACAGTGGGAGTGAGGATCCTTTGTGGGATTTTGCAATACAAGGTTTCAAGCTGTGTTGTGCTGAGGTATCAACAATCTGTACAAGAGGGCCTGTGGAAATAAGGAGGGACTTAGCCAATTAAATTCTTAATAAATTATTAGCAGATCTGAAAATTATTTGGTATTTAGGACTTAATACTGTTTACTGTAGAAGATAAAATGAAGCTGATTTTAATTCAGTTGATGTTCTTTGAGGAAATGGAGAGTATTTTGAATTAAAAAGAAAATCCTTACTGAATGGAAATAATCAGCACGCAGCACTACATGGTATCGAAACCTCAATTACTGTTATGAATTTACTAAATGAGTTAACTCTGATTTTTCTCATTGTTTATTGAAATCAGTTCTTAAAAAGGCTGAATCTGATTTCATTGTATTTCTAGGGTGATAAAAGAAAATGTGGCTGAAGTTACCCGAAGTTCAGCTTGCAGTGTAATTCAGAAGAGTTAAGACCAGAAGTACTGGAATCATACTTCCTTTCAGGTCAGTCCGTATCTGCTCATTATTTTCTAACAGATCCTTGAGTATTCGTTTCTTCCTAGTTTTTTCTAGTCAATTCTTCCTGATTCTGATTCTGTGGACTGTAATGAAGATATGTAATGGTCCCAGTGTTTTGAGTCAGTAGAATATTTATGAACAGTTTATAGGTGAAGCTGAAGCCTCTATAGCTTGGCCTGTCTTCGTAGGAAACCCTGGCATCATATCTCAGCAAGGCTAGAGGGGACTCTCAGCTTCGCCTTGCCCTCCTCTTTCCTCACTGGTGTAATGCGTATATTAATTTGTCTTCAGGTAAAACTGGACTAAGAGGGGAAATGACTAAGAGGGGAAATGACATAGAGGTCTTGGAGTGAGGAGAGAGAAAAAAAAGGTCTTTGTAAAAAAATTTCCTGTTGATTTTTAATGACCTCCAAACCTAGAATTTTAAACTTGTGTTCCTTTGGAAAATATGTAATCTCTTTTTTTTTTTTTTTTTTGAGACGGAGTCTTGCTCTGTCGCCCAGGCTGGAGTGCAGTGGCACGATCTTGGCTCACTGCAAGCTCTGCCTCCCGGGTTCATGCCATTCTCCTGCCTCAGCCTCCCGAGTAGCTGGGACCACAGGCGCCTGCCACCATGCCCGGCTAATTTTTGTATTTTTAGTAGAGACGGGGTTTCACTGTGTTAGCCAGGATGGTCTCGATCTCCTGACTTTGTGATCCACCCGCCTCGGCCTCCCAAAGTGCTGGGATTAGAGGCGTGAGCCACTGTGCCCGGCCAGAAAATATGTAATCTTAAAAATGGATCCATTCCTCCTCCTCTGCTTTTTACTTTTTCGGAGAGGGGTCACAATTTTTCGGTTCTTTTGTTATGTCACTCTTAAAATATTATTGAAACATTAATGCAGTCTTTATGACAAAATTCCCATGGGTACATTGTCATCCTAATAGATCCAGAAAGTATTAAGTGTATGTCTTTTCTAGCTTTTGTCTGGTGATACTAAACATTATTGTGTCTTATTCTTGCTGCTACAAGTGGTTCTGGGGACTAGGAGTGACAGTGTTGCCTGAGAGCTTCTTGGAAATGAAGTGTCTCCCACACAGGACACAGAGTCCTGCAAGTCAAAAAGTCCGTTTTAACTGTGAAGATTAGGTCCTGTGTACTAATGAAGACGTTTCTTTCTAGGATTTGTGTGCACTTGGTTTGAGATGCACTGATGTATTCTGTAGTTTTGAGAAATTATACCTTTTCAAAGTATCTGACACCTCATGCAGCACAAAAATGTGACAGCTGTTTTGCATACTGTACCCAGCTCTAGAAAGTTAAATCTCAGGCTTTGGTTCTCAGGCCTAGACCAGCAGCATCGCCATCTGGGAGCTTCAGAATGCACATTCTCAAGCCACACCCTCAGCCTATGCAACAGAAATTTTGAGGATGGAAACTAGAGAATAATTTTCTAGTCTATGGAGATTTTATTGAAGTTAAACTTTTAAATTGCTGTATTATGTAGGTATCTGAAAATCCAAAGAACGAATCTCATATATGGGTAAGGAAATATATGGGAAAGGAAAAAAAATTGTGTACATAAGCTGTCTGTGGCATAGATCAAGCCTGTGGCATTCTGTGGCCTTCAAAGAGAGAAGGGGAGAGAGATTCTATAAGCTTATCAGGTAGATTTGTCATTGGAACTTTAGGATTTTAAAATTTTGGTTAAAATATGTGAATACTGTTACTTCAGTTAAAGTAACTCCTTTTATAGATTTTGCTTTCTAACAAAGTCAGTGAAAAGTAACCGAGGTTCACTCCAGAAACATGTAAAGAAAGTAAAATTATTAAAAGGCCAAATATTTAATTCTTGTGACATTGAATCTGCTTTTATTATAAAGAGTTAAGAAATTGCCATTTCCATGACAGTTTCCTCCATCAACAATCTTAATATTGAAGCTTGAATTTAGGTCTGCTGGTCAGTGATTCTAGTCTAGCAAATTACTTTAGGACTGAAAGCTCTTGTTTCTTTAGAAAAATATACTATGGAGATTAGATCCTGTTTACTAGTGAAGACTCTGTCTCTTTTCCAGGTCAAAACATTTTGTGGGAAATATCCTGTTCGTGACCTAGGAGAAACAAGACAGAAAACAAATCTTTCTTCATTTATGAATTTCTTACTCCATACAAGCAGTTTATGGATGTCTGGGCAATCATAGCACTTGCCATTTAAAAACATGCTACAGGGGCACATTTTCTGTGGTTAAAAATGATCTCCAGAATAAGTGTAAACTGCAGTTTTCCTTTGCATTGAGGGTTTTGGCTTTTTATTTGTAAATTAAATCAAGATGTTACCCACTCCTTGGTGTGGTGGTCTTGCTGGTTCGTGTTGGGAAGTAGTATGGCAGCAATGCACAAATTCAGAATAGCCAAGAAATCCCTCCTTTTCAACGCTCTGTGCCTGGGAACCATTAGAGGAGTTTTAAAAACCATCCCTCATAGCCCACAATTTTGGGTCAACTCTCAAAATTGGGAATAAGAAAACTGGCACTGTTGGGAGAAAAATCGTTCTTACTGAAACATGAACTGGCTCAGGCAAGCAAATAGCGGGAGTCGGCACAGGAAGGAGTGTGTGCTGCGGGGATGCGTGGTGGCGTCACCTTCAAAACTAAAGTGGTGCCAGGCGGACAGATGAGTCCTTGATCTTGTTTCCTGATCTTGTTTCCATTTGACTGAATTCTGAACCTTCATTGTCTTCACAGTCTTGCCACTTGCCTAGTGAGGCTTTTCCGAACCTGGAAGGAGACGTCTAGAAATCCCAACTTTGCTGTGTAAGGACCATTAGCTGCAAGTCAGTGGAAGTCTATAGAAAGCAGTGTGAATTCCATAGTGGTCTTGACTTCTTAGCAAGGATTTGGGATAAGTCTAAAACTTCAGACTTAAAGCTTTGAAGCATGTTAACTGCATGAAATATTAAACATTTCGAACTTCTTTAGCCTTTGTCATTTTGTGACCCAGGTTTTTCATAGTCTGCTCTATGTCTCCTGCTTTTCCTTGTTTTGCTAATCATCCTCCTTGAGCTCCACTGTTTTCATTCTGGGCATCCAATCCAGCCTTTCATGGTGTGTGCTTCATCAGGCCCCTGGTTCACATGCTGAGTGCCTTATAAGCCTGGCCAGCACTAGTATATTCTCATTAACAAACAAACAGTCAGCTTCGTTTGGGAGGGTGCTTCACTTTCAAAGCTACCCAGTATAATGCATACAATGCAGTACAAGCGGAACTCACTCAGAAGTAGCACCTGAGCTTCAAATAGACTCTCCTGATCATTCTACTGAGTAAGATTCTCCACATTTAAGAATCAATACAGGATTTACTTGCGAGGATAGTGTATAAAAATGGAATAGTTTTTCTATTTCTGGACTGAAACCAAACTCCTCATATCTAATTGTAGTTATTCAACATTATCAGAATCCCTATTTATTTTGGCAGAACAGACAAAAGGACGTGGAATGTACTTTCTGCTACAGCCATTACAGTCAACTAGATTTGAGTGCTGCCGCTGGTAAGTTAATTGAATAGCCAAGTTATGTTGTCCTTACCCAAGTAGACAGTGGAAAGGAATAATGGCAGAGGCCATGATGCGAGTCTGGCCACAGCCATGCATCCCATCTGTGGTGATCTTAGTCCTGAGATCACCTATGTCCTAGGCCACGAACTGAATCATGTACTAGTACCATATCATCTGACTTCGTAGCTTTCCAGGGGAAAAGACTAGGAGATCCGGACATGACTAGGTCTGTGTCCTCAGTCACATAAGCTGTGCTGCGTACACTTGAACTGCACTACACAACATTGCCCTGGGCCTTGACCTGTACTTCTAAATGTTATAATAAACCTTTTGGTAAGGTGCTGCCTGAGAACTGCTTTGTTTTCCAGAGGGATCATTGCTCAGGCTTTTTCCCCCGGATAATTTGAACTATTTGACGATTCCTATTTGGTTTGTATCTTAGAGAGAAAGCCCCGCCTTCCTGATAAACAGCAGGTCACCTTCTCATGTGTTCCTCTGAGGCTGTTCATTCACATCTATAGTTGGACTCCTCCTACTGTCTTCTTTACTGCTCCTGACCTGCACTGCTGCTAATTCAAATCCTCCCTTTTCCCCCAGAAAGCTATGAAATCAGATATACTACATGATTCAATTTAGTTGAAAAAGTCCAATCTTGGCCCTCATTTAGCTAGAAAACCACAAATATCTACTGTCTTTTAAAGTTTTGAGACTTGAGATATAAAAGGAAACAGACCAACATCATAGTGTTTTATTGACAAAACCATAGGAAAAGGCAGTTTTAGGATGTAAAGTAAAAATGGTTCTCTGAAATATCTACACAAACGTGAATTCTGAAAAGTTTTCATTAAAATCGTATTTCATACAATTATAAACTAATGAGGAACAAAACAATTTTCAACTTCTCCATAACCCAGACTGAGCTTGATTTATGCTTGCCATACAGAAGCAGGAACTCTTCCCAGAGAGGGTGGTGGCTCCCACACAGCTGACAGCCAGGTTTGGCTGTTACCTAAGCCCCATCTTCCCAGTCGGTGTTCAAAACAAGGGCACAAGGTCTGGCTTTTCAAAAAAAAAAAACAAAAAAAAACCGTATAGGTTCCAAGAAACTTTTTTTTTTTTTTGAGACAAGGTCTCATTCTGTCACTCAGGCTGGAGTGCAGTGGCCTTTCACGGCTCACTGCAGCCTTGACCTCCCTGGCTCAAGCAATCCTTTCACCTCAGCCTCCTGAGTATCTGGGACTACAGGCTTGTTCCACCCCATGTTACCCAGGCTGGTCTTGAACTCCTGGACTTAAGCAATCCTCCAACCTCAGCCTCCAAAGCGCTGGGATTATAGGTGTGAGCCACCACGCTCTGCTAAAAGTTCACATTTAATACTCTCTTTTAGGTCTCATAGTGTACTGGTTTACATTCTTACTACATCTTAGATTCTCTTGTTACCCTTTGAAAAGATGATAAGTGACTACAGCATATTTACAAAGTGACTGCCATCTCCACCTTTTGTGCTTGGGGAATGTGTGGCAACTGTCTACTAGAAAAAGATCAGGCCTCCCAACCCTTTCAAGGGCAGCAAACCCACACTTTATTTGGTGCTTGGGTAACTTGAATATAACATGGCTCCCTTGCTGTAAGCAAATGTTTTAGAGCTGAATTTTTCCTTTTTTTTTTTTTTTTTTTAAGCACAGAAGTTCACCAGGGCTAGTAGAAAATTTCAAGTTAAGAAAATAACTCTTGCTGGGTGCGGTGGCTCATGCCTGTAATCCAAGCACTTTGGGAGGCCGAGGCGGGCGGATCACCTGAGGTCAGGAGTTCAAGACCAGCCTGACCAACATGGATAAACCCCATCTCTACTAAAAATACAAAATTAGCTGGGTGCCATGGCGGGTGTCTGTAATCCCAGCTACTCAGGAGGCTGAGGCAGGAGAATCACTTGAACCCAGGAGGCAGAGCTTGCAGTGAGCCGAGATCGCACCATTGCACTCCAGCCTGGGCAACAAGAGCGAAACTCCGTCTCCAGAAAAAAGAAAGTGAAGTCTTTAATTTTCTTAAATAATCCTCATATGTACTATCCACATTGTGGAAAAACTGAAATACGCAGTCTGGACACTGCACTGAGATTCCGGCATACTGGCACAGACACAGCTATGTCGCATCTTACAGACTACAACAGACAACAGGCTTAACTGCAAGAGGTTTACAGACAAAACTTTACATAGATGTGCTAGAAGAATTCCAAACTGCTGTCAAAGAGAGTATAGGAATCGGTCTGAAGAGAACTCCGCCCAGTCCCTTCTGTTTGGTCACTGCAGCTGCACTCTGTATGCACCTATTAGCAACTTAACCTGTTGAAAGAAAAGAACGCAGGTGTCAGTACAGATCCAGATTTCCCCTTTCTTACAAGAAAAAACCCACAAATGGCCAAGATTTGCTTCTATTATTTGGCAATATTTTCAAGTTGCTTATCAATTTACATTGTTAGATCATTGCCATTTTAATTCAAGAAATAATTCCAAGTGCTTATAATTTTATATTACTGTTTTATTAGAGAGACTATTTTGTCCAGCTTCCTTTCATACAAGAGAGGTTAGGGACCGGCCTAAAGACATACATTTGGCAACTCCATACCAAGGCCTAGATCATGATTCAGATGGCTCCATCCTCTAGAGAGGCATCTTTCTCAGCTGCAACCTAGTTCTTTTCCTGCCGCATTATTATGTCTAACACATTGTAAACTGAGAGAGGGTGCACCTAGCATCACTACCCCAGGGAGTGCCTGTCTCTAGGACAGGTACACCAGGATTCTTGGAATTTTTTTTCTAATGTTGATAAAGTAATCTGGAGCAACAACTTGAGTAGTGACACTAAATGTGAAGAAAGGACTGTCACCTTGGCAGAGGGTGCTTCTGTCAACCTTATGAAGAGTTTATTGGGACCTGCAACAGGGCTGAATGAGTAAACAAAATGACTGTCCTACAATGGAAAGAGAAAAAAAAAGTCAGTGTTTTCAAACTTACACCAGAAGCCCTTAAAACACCAATGATGTAAAAGAATCATAAATAAGTTTTATTTTTTATTTCATAAGTCAAGATGTTGTGGAGGAGGCCAAGGCGGACAATCGCTTGAGCCCAGAAGTTTGAGACCAGCCTGGCCAACATGGTGAAACCCCATCTCTACAAAAAATACAAAAAATTAGCCGGATGTGGTGGCGTGCATTTTTAGTCCCAGGTAGTTAGGAGGCTGAGGTGGGAGGATTGCTTGTGCCTGGGAAGTCAAGACTCCAGTGAGCTGTAATCCGCGCCACTGCACTCCAGCCTGGACAACAGAGCGAGACCCTGTCTTCAAAAAAAAAAAAAAAGTGATTTATTTTTCCCTTGATTTATTAAAAATATACAAATGACAGAATCAATCTGGGAAACTGGATTAGAATGCCCCCAGCAATATACAGTACAAGTGTTAAAATGTCTATATCTAGCAAATTTTGCTTAATTCAGTCCAAGGAAATAATTCTAACAGTGGCAAAGTAATTATGTACAAAGAATCTTTGAGATCATTAAGTATTTATATTCAGAACAATGCTGGCCCTAAGACAGTATGGTGAGCACAATTTAAGGCAAAAAATAAGCAGGAAAAATTCCTACTGACAAAACTTAGGATAATTTTACTTTATGGGTATTGCCTCATTCCCAACCACTATTACTGGATCGTTTTCTGAATGCTTATATTTTATTAAGACACAGGAATTTAAAATTAAGTCATCTGTGCTTTTGATTAGAAGAATGTACTTTTCAGTAGTGAAATACAGAGTATCTTACCAGAAAAACAGGAAGCTGAAATTTATCATTCAGAACTACAGCTTGTACACTACACGGTCCACAGAGCCGAGCAATAACTTCTTTACCCAAAAAGTTTGCATGGAAGATAAACAGCAGGATGCCAGAGCCTGAAAATGGGAGATGTGTGTGAATTACTTCAAAGGCAACCTTCAGTCCCCAGAGGAACACTCAACACCAGATGGAAGCAGGCCCCTGAGCTGGGCCTGGTCAGACAGGCATCACCCACTCTGCCTGGAGGCTCAGAGGAGGCTGGCCCTCTCAAAGCTCGTGTCACCTGGCATTTTTCAACCACAGAACTCTTTTTACCTTTTGCCCAAGTAATCTCTGCTGACAGTTCCTGGAAAAGACTTACGTATGATTTTCTACACTGAAGTTATTTAACTGGTATTTAAACACTGCTGCTGAATGTGCACACGTCCCAGGGACATTCCTGTGGTGGGCATCTTTGGGTGTGGGTCTGAGTGGTTTTCCATTTTCTTCCACATACCCTTTTGCCCCTTCCAATTTTTCTGATTAATACATAACCAAAAATTGGCCAGGCATGGTGGCTCATGTCTGTAATCCCAGCACTTTGGGAGGCAGAGGCAGGCAGATCACTTGAGGCCAGGAGTTCAAGATCAGCCTGGCCAATATGGTGAAACCCCCATCTCTACTAAGAACACAAAATTTAGCTGGGTATCATGGTGGGCACCTGTAATTCCAGCTACTCGGGAGGTTGAGGCAGGAGAATTGCTTGAACCCAGGAGGCGGAGGTTGCAGTGAGCCGAGATCGCACCACTGCACTCCAGCCTGGGGAACAGTGTGAGACTCCTGAAAAAAAAAAAAAAAAGTTGGTGGATGCAGACATTGTACACATGCTGAGAAAACTGCAGGCCCAGCAGTTGTAGGTGTCAGTGGGGGCTCAGGTTCACCAGGGCCAGCTCAGGGCATCGTTCTCTGGTACTCATACCTGGCAATGCAGATGGTCCACCCGAATAATCAAAACTATAAATTACTGAACGCGCACGGTGGCTCACGCCTGTAATCCCAGCACTTTGGGAGGCTGAGGCAGGCGGATCACTTGAAGCCAGAAGGCAGAGGTTGCAGTGAGCCAAGATCATGCCATGCACTGCAGCCTGGGTGACACAGGGAGACTCCATCTCAAAACAACAGCAACCACCTGATAAGTTCTCTCAACACTAAGATATTACAAACGGCTCTTTCAGGGGCAGGGCTATATGTTCTTAAATACATTTTCCAGGAATGAATACAAACCATTTACAAAATGGGGAACAGGAGTTTCTAAGCAAAAAAAGCCAGAGCCCGGCTTCCTCCCCTCGGCAGACTGCACTGCCTCCACGTCTACCTGGCGCCACGTGTAGAGAGGGCCAGCCGCAGCCCTGCCTGGAGAGGGTCTGTCGAGCAGAGGCTAGAGAGGAAAGTGGCTTCTCCATCTCTTTCCACTCAGCTTTACTATGGAGCAAGACTATTTTTTTCTTTTTCAAAGGGCAAAGACTATTACAAACAACAAAATTCAGGGAAAAAACATTCTAGGCTTAGAATCTTGACGCTGAATTTTAATAAAACTCATTGAGAACTAGTGTGATTATTAAGACCTAACTTCCATGCTCTATATGGGTGTTAAAACAGGGATGGGGTGTCAGCTGGATGTCTCTTCCACCAGAGTGGCTCTACTGTTAACCGGTCTGCAGAATTATTACACGTAATGGAATTTCCTTAAAGTTTTGTTCCAAGAAAGGATTCTGTCTAAAAATCTGTTAATATAGTGTCACACTTCACATAGAAAAGTGTGAAGGGAGGCATCGGCTTACCTTCTGGTATGTTCTGTGGGGGTTTGTAATTGAAATCTGTTGAAAAATCTGGACCCTCACAGAGTCGATGACATGCGATTGGAAAAACTGGTTCTAGCAGAGCAAGGCGAGCTTCAAAGTAATCCTTTATTGTCTCTTCTGCTACTCTTGAAAGTCTAAGAAAAAAAAATAGTACGTGTTAACGTTAATGTAGAAAAGAACCACAAGCCTGTCGAATACCAGTGAGGGCTTCCCAGGCCAACCTTCCAAACAAAGACCTGCAGCTCTGCCTGCCTCCGCTTTCCAGCTCTACTTCCACCAAGCACCTGACACCCATGTGTCTGTCTTGTTGTCCATCTCAGTGGAATTGAAGTTCTAAGAAGGCAAGTCTCTTCCCTCCACTGCCATTTCCATCTCCCCAGCCTTTAGAACAGTGCCTGGCACAAAGTCTATGCTTAATACATAGTTGTCTAATGAATCAGTGGAAAATCAGAAAGGGGAACCCCTCAGTACTGGGCAAATCAGGAAAGTGGGTCACTCTACTTGCTGGATCTATGCAAACCCCCCGTGTGACCAGAGGAGTTGGGACTGCAGCCATCAGCAGCACTGAGTTCAACAGGCGCGGTCCCAGAGGCCCACCCGAGACCTGCTACATAAACACCGCCTTGAGTTCGCTACTGTCTGATACATGCAAGTTTCTGATATGTGTTGCCAAGAGTTCTTAAGTGATAGAAATACTAAATTGTGTTATAAGTATGAACCTGCAATAAAATAAAATATGATTGAGAATTTATTTGAAAAAGAATGAACTTGAATAAACTAGTAAATCTTGACAACCAACAACAGAATATTAGTCAGTGCTAAACAGAAATGCACTATCAAGACATGGAAGGAATCTTGAATGCCTATTGCTAAATGAAAGAGGCCAACCTGCAAAGACCAAATAATGTGTGATTCCACCTGTTCTGGAAAGGGCAAAATATGAAGGAATTAAATTACTGGTGGTTGTCAGGGGCTGGGGGAGGGAGGGATGAAAAGGTGGAAAACACAGGCTTTTTAAGGCAGTGAAACTATTCTGTATGACACTGTGATGAGGGATGGATGTCATTATGTATTTGTCCAAATTCATAGAATGGGTAACACTACGAGTGAGCCCTAATGTCAATGCTGCGCTCCAGGGGATTATGCCATGTCCCTGTAGGTTCCCCAGCTGTATGTCCCACTGTGGGTGACTGGGATCTCGACAGTCGGGGAGGATGGCGGTGGGGAGGCTTGGAAATCTGTACCCTCCGCTCAACTTTGCTGTGCTTAAAAGTGTTGCAAAAAATAAAGTCTATTAAAAAGAAAGACAAATGTTTAAAGTTTCTTTCTTTTTTTGGTGGTGGGGGGCGGAAACAGAGTGTTGCTCTGTCGCCCAGGCTGGAGTGCAGTGGTGTGATCTCAGGTCACTGCAACCTCCGCCTCCCGGGTTCAAGCGATTCTCCTGCCTCAGCATCCTGAGTAGCTGGGGTTACAGGTACCCACCACCACGCCCGGCTAATTTTTGTATTTTTAGTAGAGCCAGGGTTTCATCATGTTGGCCAGGATGGTCTCAAACTCCTGACCTTAAGTGATCCACCCGCCTCGGCCTCCCAAAGTACTAGGATTACAAGCGTGAGCCACTGCGCCCGGCCAAGTTTAAATGTTTTTAAGAAAACCTTTGCTAACCAAATTAAGAGCATACTTAATATTTAAGGAAAATACTCCCAGATAGGCCAGTGTTAAGTTTGAAATTTTCTGAGAGTTAAATAACTTGCAGAAAAATAATTCATATGCCATTTATTAAATCTGTGATCTACTGGAAACAAAACCATCAGGACTTGTGCTGGATGTTTTTCTGAGCAGTTACACACAGGCCACTCCAATTATAATATGTCTACATAAACAGATGTATGATATGTGACTTAACTATGGCACAGTCGCTTCTCACTTACGTCTCTAAATGGTTCTTCAGCAAGTCGTACACAAGCACATTGTTAGACTGCTTCGCAAAGTGCAGGGCACTATTCTGGTGCTTTGACAAAATATTGCAGTCAGCTCCACATTCAATTACGAGTCGTACGATGTCTGAATTTCCTCTTTTACAGGCCTACGTCAGGTAAAAAGGAGTAACAATTACTTAGCTGTAAACTGTGGCATGGGTGCTGGTCCCTTCTCCATACATGCTTAGCGGTTCTGTGAAGAGAGGGCACAGGCCATGGAAGAAGGATAGAGAACTTTTGGGGCCCGTCAGGCCACAGCGTTAGGAGTCACACAGCATTGCTTAAATGCAAGTGGGGAGTATCTTTGACTCAGGGGCCAACATAAAAATCTGTGTGCTACATTCAGTTAATATCTTAGCACTGAGTTTTCAGGAAATGGGCAACTTCAAAAAGGATGCTTCAGTCCCAAGACAGAACAGACACCAGGCCTTGCTAAGCAGTCCCCTGCTGCTGCCCTCTGTCCATGCCACGCTGTCCCCCGTGAGCCAGCCCCTCAGCGAGGCGCAGAGATACGTAAGCCTGGCCTTCACTGTAGACAACTTTGTCTCAGGAATCTCAAAAACACCTCTCAGGACCACAAAACACCCTCGAAATGTCCCCAGCTGCCGCTTTAAAGGAGACAACCCAAGCACAGATCCGAATCTGAACCTGCAAATGTACGATGGAGCTGTGGCACAGCTGACAGACTGTCTCCTTGTCTCTGTCACTTATTAGCCACGTGACTTCAGATAAGTCCCTTAATTCTTCTGAGTGGCACGTTTCCATTTGCGAAAAGAGGATAAGGGTGCCTGTGCCTCCCTACCCTGTGAGGCAGATGCTGGGGCAGCAGCGTCACTTTGCAGAGCAGCCTCCAGGAGCGGTGGCACTCCCGCAGCCCTAGGAGGAGCCGCCACACTACCCCGACAACGGTGTCATCCAGTGCTTCTGGCAGGGGGAACTCTGCCATCAGGGGAGCCTGGGCAATGCCTGAGACCTTTCTGGTTGTTACCCTGGGCATCCAGTGCAGAGGTTAGGGACGCCGTCCAGGACAGGCTCGGGACAGAGCGAGTGGCCCACATTACAGCCACGGGGAGGGTGAGAGGCCCTTCTGGGACCAACAGAGCCTGCAGTGACAGGCGAGGGCAGTCCCTCTGCACCTGCCCACTCTGGTAAGGACCAATGTTACACACTTTCTCCTCAGATAAAAAGGTTTTTAATTTCTGAAAATCACTATGTTTACATCTTCTCATTCTAAAACTCAAACTTCAACATGCTAAATCCTGAAAGCAATTAAAATACAGCTTTTCAGGAACAAACACTTAAATAAACCTCATGGCAGATAAAGGCAGTCTACTGAATTCAGACCCAGTAAAATAAATAAGTGCTACATGTCCGCTCAGGGAAGAAACGCCACGCCCTCCCCAACCCACTTCCAGAGCCATCTCCCCTCTGCACCCCACTCCCCAACTCAACACACGTACCTCAGCAAGGCACACAGCCCTGAGGTGCTGACCTGGGGCACTCCCGCCTGCCTTCTGCCTGCTGTGTGGGGGAGGTGCTGCCAGCCCGTGGACCACTTCCTCCTCCTCCTCTGCTTCTCCCCACGCAGGCTCTTTCCATCTATGGCCCTTTTCTCCTTTCCAATTCCCCATGGATGACCCCACTCTCAACCTATGGCTACGGTCACTGTTGCAGAGCTGGACAGCAACAAACCTGAATCTCCAGCCCACACCTCTCTCCTGAGCCTAGATGCCCCTGTGAAATGTACAGAGGTGACATCTACACGACCCAACGCCCAACTCCCCCAGCTCTGCCAGCCGTGCCCCAACTTAGGAAATGGGATGCCCAGGCGTCACCTCCAGTTACCAAGCTCTTACCAAGTGGGCACCTCACCCACTCCATCCCTCCTGCCACTCCCGAGGTACAGACTTCTGTTATTTCACATAATCTGGAGACCCTCCTGACAAGTTTGCAAACTATCTTCTTCTCAATCTATGCCCCTTCTGTACTAAGCAGCATTAAAATACACAAATGAAAACCCTCTAATCCGATTCTACCCTTCTTCAGCTTCAACCTTGCTGTGGCTCCCCAGTGCCCTCAGGACGAACTCCCTAAGGCTTGGCATGAAGGGGGCTTCTGTGCCCACCCACCTCTCTCATGCTCTAAATGCACCTGCGTGGCTGCAGTTCAGGGTACACCTGGTCATCTGTCACTAAGATGATGCTTGCAGAGGCCACCTCTGCTCCACACAAGACAACCACAGAAACAAATGAAGGGAAACAAAGACAAACCTCAGGCTCCCAAACAAAATGAACATTTCCATGAACCAAAAGGAAAGTGCTTGAGGCCAGGAGTTCAAGACAAGCCTGGGCAACACAGTGAGACCTTGTCTCTAATAAGAAAAAAAATGGCTGGGTGTGGTGGCTCGCACCTGTAGTCCCAGCTACTCGGGAGGCTGAGGGAGGCACTTGAGCTCTGGAAGCCAAGGCATCAGTGAGTCATGATGGTGCCACTGCACTCCAGCCCGGGCGACAGAAGGAGACTGTTTATGGGCCTCATGCAGCAGGAGGACAAGGGACAGGTGGTCCAGGCCATCAGAAGAGGGTTCACAGTGAGACTTGATGCCAGGTGCCCTGCAGACCCAGGGCCTGGCTGTGCTCTTTTGCTTACTGGGGACAGCGGCTGGAATGGGCGCTGTGGGCAGGCCCCCGCTTGGCTCAATGGCTTACATGGAGCCAAGCATCCCAGGAAGGAAAGAGGACAGGTCCCCACAGGGAGCTGAGCCGGCCACCACTGGCTGGGTGTCTGGACCTGCTATATCCTAACAGCATCCTGGGCCAGGAACCCACAACTGCCACAGAGGAACCAACCAGACCTGGCAGGGCCCCCTAAGACAAATGCCAAACTGCTGACCTTTCTCTCAAAACCTGTCTGCAAACCACGTTCCAGAACACAGGAACAAGCCCGAGGCAACAAATTCACCAACATAAAATGACGAACACACAGAGTGCACGAGGAACTCCGTCCCACCCCTAGGCCTGCACTTTCGAGGCCAGCAGCCTCCCTGCTGCTCCAGCTGCGGCCGGAGTGCTCCCTCCCGGCTGACTTGACTGCCATTTAGGACACAGTGTGGCACCTGCCTCATCCACCCTAAGGATTGTCAGGGTCCCCAGGGCCCAGCTCGGAGCACTTCCCTGTGACCTCATGGCTCTCTGTGCCTGTTCTGATCACACCACTGCCCATACTGAGCTCTCACTGCTACCCTGCCAGCCCGCTTCTCCTTCTCCCCTGCAAGCGGCTGACTCTAGGACTGTCTTGGTACCCACTCTGTTCTCAGTCCCCAGCACAGTGCCTGGCAGTGGCAGATGCCAACACGAGCACCTGCCAACGTAGTGAAGAAAGGGATGACCTGCAGGAGGGATTTACCTTCATCAGTGCAGTCTCACCATTGCTTTGCTGGACATTTACAAAAGCTCCTGCTTCCAAAAGAATAGCCACTGTTGTTAAAAAGTTCTATGAAAAGAAAAAAAGGCAAATTTAATTTCCCAAATTATTTAAAAGACAGTTTTCAGATATTTTGAAATTTTTAGTCATCAGGAAAAATACCCAGCAGGTTCTATCACAAGTGGTTGCGGGCTGCAGCATTCCCGTGGGGCCACGGGGGTGCACCCCGCCCCACAGAGGCCCAAACGTGGCCACTCACTGTGCTGCCAGCAACTGCGAATGGAACCGCTAGCTCCAACCTAAGAACCTCTGCATATAAATCCTTTAAAAAGATAATATATGGAAACATTTCAATTAAATTATTAACCAAAAGGAATACAAATACCATTTATTCAAAAAAATTAAATTATCTAAGATTAAAATATTAGTACTTTAATCAGAGTATTTTAATATAAATTACTTCCAACGAGATAAATCACATTTTGAAATGTGATTACAATGTACTACTGATGATAAATCCATTCATTACATGTCACAGATCAACTGAAACAAAATTAAAAAGTTACTCCAGCTGGGTGCGGTGGCTCATGCCTGTAATCCCAGCACTTTAACTGAGGCAGGAGGATCACTTGAGCCCAGGCTGGGCAACACAGTGAGACCATGTCTTTACAAAAATTTTTAAAATTAGCCAGGTGTGGTGGTACACACTTAGTCCCAGCTACTTGGGAGGCTGAGGCGAGAGGATTGCTTGAGTCCAGGAGTTTGAAGCTACAGTGAGTTATGATGGTGCCACCTGCACTCCAACCTGTGTGACAGAGTGAGACCTTATTTCTAAAAATAAATTTTTAAAAAGCTATGGGACCGTGTGACAGCCAGGCGCGGTGGCTCACGCCTGTAATACCAGCACTTTGGGAGGCCAAGGCAGGCAGATCACGAGGTCAGGAGATCGAGACCATCCTGGCTAACATGGTGAAACCCCATCTCTACTAAAAATACAAAGAAATTAGCCGGGTGTGGTGGCAGGTACCTGCCTGTAGTCCCAGCTACTCAGGAGGCTGAGGCAGGAGTGAACCCGGGAGGTGGAGCTTGCAGTGAGCTGAGATCGTGCCACTGCACTCCAGCCTCGGCGACAGAGCGAGACTCCGTCTAAAAAAAAAAAAAAAGCGATGTGACCATGTGACTGCTATATTTCACTACCAAAGAGATCCTCTCAGTCCATCGGCAGGAATACCATGAAAGCTCTGAAACTGATGCATAAGAAGCCACAAACCTTCTCTGCAGCATGAATGAGGGCGGTGGTCCCGTTCTTCTGCCGACCGTTCACTTTCGCGCCTTTTGTGATGAGGAGTCGCAGGAGGTCGTCCTGCCCTCCGGCGGCGGCAAGCATCACCAGTGTCATTCCACTGGAATCCTGTGTTGGTTTGTTAAATAAAAAACGTGTTAATCTTTAGTCAGAACAATTTCAGAACCAAGTCTTCTCACTCGAGATGTTTCAATGTGAAATCACTAATAGGCACTGATTTAGGCATCTACTTAGGATTTTCACTAAAATATCCCAACCATCAGAAGCTACTAGCTTTTAGAGTATCTTTTCACATATGAATGTTTGCATAAAATTTTACAACTTTCCTCTATAGGCCTACCTTGTTTCACTGAGCTTTGCTTTACTGCACTTCACAGGGACTGTGTTTTTTACAAAGGGAAGGTTTGTGGTAACCCTGCCACAAGCACGTTTATTCACATCATTACCCCACAGCATGTGCTCATTTTGTGTTGTTGTGTCAGCATTTTTTAGCAATAAAGTGTTGTAAATTAAGATATATAGGTTTTTTAAAAGATGTAATGCTATTCACATTTAGACTACAGTATAGTGTAAACCTAAATTTTATATGCACCAGGAAACCAACAAATTTGTGTGACTCGCTTTATTCCAACAGTCTGGAACCAAACCCACAATATCTCCAAGGAATGCTTCAATTTTTTTTGTTGGTGTTGTTTTTCTTTCTTTCTTTTTTATTGAGACGGTGTTGCTATGTCAGCCCAGGCTGGTCTCAAACTCCTGGGCTCAAGCATTCCTCCTGCCACAGCCTCAAGTAGATGGGATTACAGGTGCATGCCACCACGCCCAGCTCTCATTTTTGTATCTTCTTTTTGTTTTGTGTATTAAATCCTAAAGGCACATGAAAAGTTTGCACCATACAAAATGAACAGTGAATTTTTGGGGGGCATACGATCAAATTTTCTACCTAGAAAATCCAAAACAAGTAACTTAAAAACTATAAGAATTTCATTAAATGACTGGAGTTACACACACTTATGTGTACAAAGACATCCACAGCTTTACCATCGACAAGCAATAACCAGTTAGAAAACAAAATGTAAATGAAAAAAGACTCTAATGACCATTATAAAACATATAGGCATACATCTATAGGAAATGTGCAACGTCTATATGAATGAAAAAACCCATAGAACTTTGCTTAAGGATATAAATGAAGAGCTGAGTGAATGTAGAATTACCATGTTCCTAGACAGAAGATGCAAAAAGTAAATGTCAATTCTCAATCTATATTATTTCATGCAATTTTAATCAAAAGCCCAATAATTTTGTGAATTGTAATCCCAAAGGATTAAACCTAAAAAATCCACAGCTAAGCTAAAAAACTAAAGAATATAAAAATATTTTCTAAGCAAGACAAGATACCCAAAAGCCATAAATGTAAAAGATCAACAGATATGATTGCCTAAAACTAAAAATCTTCAAGCAATACAAGACTCAAACACAAACCTAAAATCTAGGGAGAAAGGGTCAATATGCTTCCATTAAAAAAATCCATACGTGGCCAGGCGCGGTGGCTCACGCCTGTAATCCCAGCACTTTGGGAGGCGGAGGCAGGCAGATCACAAGGTCAGGAGATCGAGACCATCCTGGCTAACATGGTGAAACCCCGTCTCTACTAAAAAAAAAAAAATACAAAAAATTAGCCGGGCGAGGTGGCAGGCAACTGTAGTCCAGCTACTCGGGAGGCTGAGGCAGGAGAATGGCGTGAACCCGGGAGGCGGAGCTTGCAGTGAGCTGAGATCACACCACTGCACTCCAGCCTGGGCAACAGAGCGAGACACTGTCTCAAAAAAAAAAAAAAAAAAAAAAAATCCATACATATCAGTATGAAAAATCCCCAGCTACAACAGGAGAGATGGACCATTGTTGTAAATGGGACAACCATCAAAGAAACACAAATGACCACAGGAAAATGGTCTCACTCTACGCTCTCAAGAGTGGCAGAGGGTAAACCACATACAAAACAGGTAGACCATAACCAAACCAAACCATCACTTTTAGAGGGGAGGGGGTTGGAATTAAAGGGACTATAATTGTACATTTATAGGGTTCTACAATTTTTTTATTTTACAAAGTGAACGTGCATTATTTTTTTTTTTTTTGAGATGGGAGTCTTGCTCTGTTGCCCAGGCTGGGGTGCAGTGGTGTGATCTCCACTTACCACAGCCTTGACCTCCCAGGCTCAGGTGATCCTGTCACCTCAGCCACCCAAGTAACTGGGACCAAAGGTGTACACCACCATGTCCAGCTAATTTTTGTATTTTTTGTAGAGTTGGGGTTTCACCATGGAGCCCAGGCTGGTCTTGAATTCCTGGGCTCAAGCAATCCTCCTGCCTCGGCCTCCCAAAGTGCTGGGATTACAGGTGTGCACCACCACGCCCAGCCTTTTGTAATTAAAATAAATGAAAAGTTAAACTGAATTCTTTCAAGTGTTACTTTCCATTTTCCTTTCATGAGATTTTTCAACGACATATTACCTCTTGGTCCAGGTTATATTCTTCATTTGAATTAAGTGCAACTTTTACAGTAATATAATCCCCATTTTTCACAGCATCCCTTAACACATCTAAAATGAAAGAAAAAATAAGTTAGATTTTATAAATCTAGATTTGTGAAAGGGATTTCAATATTTCCAAAACTACTCACTACTTGGAATTGCATCTGTTGCAGCAAAATTCTCATCTTTCCCATCAAGGTGCTTTTGGAAATCTTCCAACTTCATCCATTCCAACTGCAGGTCCATGCCCAAACTCAGAATCTGCTGCCTGCCATCTGGAACACACAATAGCCTTGTTAACATACATTTGTCTGAAGTATAAAAAACCCACAATGTTGTTTATGAAATTTGTGGTGTCTTAACCAAAGCTTTATGTACACTTTTAACACAAGTCATTGTATAATGGGGTCTTTTAATTGATAAAATCCCCAATTTTCTTTGGGAAGTAATATGAACGATCCACATTTAGAAGCCATGGTACTCTGAAGGCATAAAGATAAATAGGTAAGCTGTCATTGTAAAATAGCAAAGGAGGAATTTTAAGACTAAGTAGCTCAAAGGAAGGAGGGATCGGGGATCTGGTAAGAGGAAATGCAATTCTAATGTGACTCTTCTCCCTTACACCATTCTTCTTGGACATACACTGCTTCCAACCATGTACAGATAAAGCCATTCTCAGCATGTGAGCTATCCCAGCATGTGAGTCAAAGGCACTGCTTATGGATCCTTCCAGACTCCCACAGGCCCCTACATCTGGAAGCCTCCTGCTCCCAGTGCCCTGGCCCACACCCACCCCCGTGAGGTATTGCTAGAGTCTTCCCCGACAGGACCTACAGGCACGGGAACACTGAGGACGCATGTGTTCAGCCTTTATCACCACTGCAATCAATCACACAGACTTCAGTGCAGGTCATTTGGGAGTAATTCACAATGGTTTTGTGCTTTTTTTACAAGTGAAAAACAGAACTACTTGATGGTAGAGTTAAAGGATTTTCACCTGAAACCAGTTCCTCAAACTATATAGATGATGTTAGGCAGATGGCCTGGCCACAGAAAAAAAGTTTGTAAAACATATGCAATAAATGAAGAACTTTTCCAAAGCCCTCAACTCAAACTAACACTTCTGCTAACTCTGAGAGCTGACAGCAGAGAAACAGCACAGC